>NC_000003.12:1260000-2510000 GCF_000001405.40 Homo sapiens | reverse complement strand
ATTTAGTTGTACACAAACTGTGTCTACCTGATAGTAAAACACCTGGGTGAAGAACCAAAAATCCAATCAGAATGTTTTGTCTTCATGGTGCCAATCAGAAGAGCTCTGGGATTTTGTGGGGAAAGAGTCTTTATATTTAATGTGGATTTCTCCATCTTACTTTCTTTCATCCCTACTATCCAAAGGTAGAGAAAGGTGAGGCTTTCTTCACATGGTTAGTTATGTTATCTTTTGTGAAAAAATGTGTATCATTGAGGCCAAGACCACCCAAACTGTGTTAGCGTTTTGATTGTCTTAGGGAATAAAAGCAAAATGGATCAACACTTTCGTGATGCCTTACTCAATAGCTAGAAAAGTATTCTCTCCCAAAGGATACATGATTGGGTAAAAGATGTCCACTACCAAACCCTTCTGTGCCCATTATCAACTCAAGTATCCCCAAAACAGATCCATGCCCTCGAATAGATTTATTACCAATAGTTAATGGTAATGATATGCAAAGTGGGGTACAAAGAAACAAGGCAATTATACATTTTTGAAATTTTACTAAACTTTTGAGTAATTTTGTGTTGGTTCAACATGTTTTTTAAGTACTTTCAATCCAATTTCTGTAAGGTAACCAGTTTCTTTTTTTCTTCAGATATTATTACATTTGGCATAACTTGTAAAATGACTGGCACGAATTTCATGTTGGTTATTTTTTATCAGGCTCATTATTATTGAGACTTTAGCAGATCTACTCCACGCAGCTCGTGTGAGGTTCTGACAAAAATAGGTTAATTAAATAGCAATTGTGCACCTCAGTCATATTAGCAAACATATTGCTGAAGCAAATGAAGAGAGGAGAAATTAAAATACCAAAGTGTTTATTCAGTGGTACAGCCGAAATAGTTTAATTGGTTTTAAGTTCTATTCAATCCCTGTTTGCCTGGTAATTACTTTGATTAATCTTTGATTATGATATGTAATAGATTCACTTTGCCATCATGTGATTTGCACTTGTTTTTAATGGTAGGTGTTAATTACTAACTAAAAAATTTCCAACTTCCATCAATTCTTCATACATTTCTCCCTAGAGATATACCACTTAAAATATGAAGTGTTTATAATAAAAATCTAAATCTGGGAAATGCCTGATTTTTTTTCATTAAAGGGCATAGCCAACATTAAAGTCCAAATAAATATAACAAAGAGAAGGAAAAAAGAGACCAACATGACTAGTTACCACAAACAAAAGAAATGGTCTTCTCAAAGACAGTAGAACCTGCTATTTTACCTCAGAATATATTTTAGAAGCCAAAATGTATACAGAGATTGTTTTAGACTTGGTATTGAAACAGCAAGAAACGGCATCTCTTTGGAACTGTGAAGAGTCTGCAATTTTAACAACACTCTTGTCAAGGCTAATAAGAACCTGGGGGATGGGGCTCCTGAGGTCTCTTTCTGGCCATTACACAAGATTCACCAAGCTAAATACAGCTCAAAACCTCAGCAAATCTAGGGGCAGAATGAAAGTTATGGGAACAATTTCCCAACAGTTTGAGGCTTAATCAATATTTTTAAATGCTTTAGAATCTTCAGCAATAAGTCACCAGATGTGCATACAACTGCTCATTGCTTCTTCTTGAAAGTGTTTTCCTATTCCTTGCATCTCTCACTAAAAGTCAGAGTCAAAAGCTGAGACAACTGTGACATTTCTCCAGCTGGGAACAAAATTTCAAAAGGGATGGTTCAGAAATTGCTGCCCAGGGCACCTACTGGAATGATAATCTATGCAGCAATGATTGAACCTTCTTTTCCAACCAAAAGCAATGGAGCCAGTAATAAAATATTCAAGAAGTAAGCCAAAAGTATGGACGCACATAAGAAAATATGTGGCCATATTAATTTTCCATGAGATAATCAGATTCTAATAACAATGACCCAGAGACCAGGGTCATGAAATTAAAACAGTCTGTGGAGAAAATAGCCCATTTAAATAATTATGTCAATGTGACATCAAATTGACCTATGAGCTAGATAAAAGGGTGCAATATGCCTTGATATTCATCTACCACTAACTGCTCAGAAATTTGTAGTCACTATTAGCAAAAAATTTGAGGGGGTGTGTGTGTGGAGAGGGAGAAGAAAAGAGAGAGAGAACAAATTGTTTTATGAGTGTTACTTCTCATTTAATTTTTGGGGGAGAACTGACTTATCCTTATTTTAATGGCTAAAAAAAAAAAGCCAATTTTCTTTTTTCTTTCTTTCTTTTTTTTTTTTTTTTGAGACAAAGTCTCTCACTGTGGCCCAGACTGGAGTGCAGTGGTGCAATCTCGGCTCACTGCAACCTCCGCCTCCTGGGTTCAAGTGATTCTCCTGCCTCAGCCTCCCGAGTAGCTGGGATTACAGGCGCCTGCCACTATGCCTGGCTAATTTTTTGTATTTTTAGTAGAGACGGGGTTTCACTATGTTGGCCAGGTTGGTCTTGAACTCCTGATCTTGTGATCTGCCCACAAGATCACCTCCCAGAGTGATCGGGCCTACCAGAGTGCTGGGATTACAGTCATGAGCCACCGCACCCAGCCAACACAAGCCAATTTTCTTAACATCCAAGAAGAGAACAAAAATCCTTTTCCTCAGAAGATTCTGATTTTCCTTCCAACAAAGACAGTTTAAAAAAAACCCTGATTTTTGGTTGTTACCACTTGGGGTAGGGGTGCTACTGGCTGTTATCATCCTACCAAGCACAGGACAGCCCCCCACAGCAACGAATTATCTGGCTCAATATGTTAACCTCAATATGTTTAAGATACCCTGGCCCAAGGGAAGCATGATGGGGTTCTTATAGTTGGAATACCGAAGAACTGAGTGCTGAGATTAAAACCCGACTAAGTATAAATGTTGGTGCTCTACATATAGCTGCAGTAGCTGTACTAAACTGTTTTGCCTTGGAAGTTATTTTAGACGTTTCAGTATGCTTTCACAAAAATTACCACATTCAGCACAATGAGCTAGTTCAAAAGCCAAGAATGTCCTATAATTCCAAGTCTATCAATGCAAAACCGAACATGAGCCTCAGAACACATGACTGGAGGCATGATCGCTAAATAAAAACGTCAAGGCCCTCTCTCCTCACTAGATTATGCCTCAGAAAACCAAGTATCACTACAAAAAAAAATCTCATTCCAGCCTCTCTTGCACTCCCTCTCCCGTCTCCCACCTCGAAATGCACACAACTCATAGGCAAAGTGAGCTCCATGTACTTCCAAATATCTTTTTTCTTTCTATCTCTATGATTGTCCCTAAATAGATGGGCAACATTTTGCATGTTCCTCTATCAGGATTCTGATCTTACTCCTGAAATAGATACAGTTTTAATACAGAGTTGGGATGCAATGCAAACATGCTTCAATTCATGAACTTTCATTAGGAAATCCGTTGTTAGACTGCTTTTGTTTACTCATTCAACAAATATTTATTGAGCACCTACTAACTCACCATCAATTTAAATTATTGGAGGAAGAAATTGAATCTCTCAGCATCTTCTTCCCTTATAGACTTCTATGCATTTATATGGTATCCCCTACATCATTCTGTCTGGCTCAGAAAAACTTTAGTGCAGTTCTCAGCATCCACTAAGGTCATTATTATTTATAATCGGCTTTTTCACTAACGTGGTGCTCCACGGACTCTTCGGCTCTGGTACTGAGCTCTTTTGTCGGCTCCAGGGCGTGTAGGCGCTAGGTAGATAGCAGAGGCTTTTCATTTTATTCTTTGGCATCACTTCCATCAACTATGAAAAGCCTTCTTTAGGCTTTTACATGACAGGAGTCACAGCTAACCTTTGTTTCTTAAAGGGAAAGTGTCTCTCCTTAGATCCGGTGCAGATGGAACAAAATGAGAAGGAAGGCGTCCACATGAGGAAAACCGGCAGAAACAAAGCTAAATCTAAAATGTTCTATATTTGTTAAGATTACCATAGTGTTACATTAGAAAAAAAAAAGCGAGTGTCTGTTTAAAATGGGCAAAACCTGTCCTTATATATATTTTATGGAGTGAAAAGAGGAATAAGATGCCTGCTTTTCTTCCTCCATGCTTTCAGAAAATGGTTTAATGTTTTCTCCCCAACTGATTCCCAGATACAGAGGAAAGGCTTAATTTTAGAACACACGTAAATCAGAGCGTAAAGCAGAGTTCAAGTTTCTCTTTAAGTAGATATTTTAAAAGCTCTTTTCAGGGAAACCTCTGCCTAAATTCACACCTTTCTACCTTCTTTTATCTATATGATGTAGTAACATTGCAAGCAAATGTCAAATATAGGGAAATCAACCTTTAATTCTGAGAATATGAAATTAATGTAATCTTGGTGACACAGCCACATAATCATATGTAATTTTAAAGTGCATGGCCACCCTTATGCTAAGGGATATATTTATGTAGGTCTTTGCAATTTTTAAACAGTTTGCAAATTCACAACAGGCTGGTATAAAAATAAAGCAAATGTATAAACTTTGAAACTGTTGGGCAGGATTGGTCTAAAATAACACATAAAATGTAATTAAGTTTGGATAGGACTATAGAACATTCCATTTGAACTTGATCATCTGAATTCCCATTTCCCCTCAATATTTTTTTAAAAATTTCAAACTTACACAAAAGTTGAAAAGATGGCACAATGAATACACATATGCCTTTGACCTAGAACCAATATAAACATTCTGATGTCTGCTTTCTGTTTTTACTCTCTGCCTCCGATCTTCCCTCCTTCCTTCTCTCTCTGTCATACTCATTTTTAGAAAGTCATTTGAGTGAAAATAGCAGACATCATGACACTTTGTCAGTAAATAATTCTCCTAAGAATACACCAAATAAAGCTTCTCCAGAAAGACCACAACATTCATCTCCACAACCACAATACAATGAACCAATTCAAGAAATGCAGCAATGCCACAAAACTACTATTTACCACATGGTCTATACTCAAATTTTCCAAATCGATCCAATAACATCCTTTATAGCTGGGTGGGTTCTTCTTTTTGTTTGTTTCCTGTTTCTGTGACCCAAGATCTAATCAAGGATCACACAGTGCTTTTTGTGGTCATACCTTCCTTTTATAGAGAACAGTCCCCCAACCTTTTATTGTCTCTTATTACATTGACATTTTTAAAGAGCCTATCCCCATTATTTTACAGAATGTAATTCAATTTGAATTTTTCTGGTTGCTTTTTTGTGATTAATTCAAATGTTTTGAAGAATACTACATAGAGGAGGAAGGTATGGTCAATTTGTCCTGTTGTTGTTTGATCACAATATTTCTCTGTTATTTAAATGTAAAGGTATTATTTTACTTTTGTAACTTGTCAATAATATTTGGAAGCAACTTTGAGATTACATATAGTTTTCTCCAATAGCATTTCACTCAGTAGTTTTAGCATACATTGAGGAATGCGGATTGAGTCATTTGTTATAAGAATGGTTAGAAAATACCCGTATATTGATAATCTGTATAATTAACTCATCTCTCAATTTATTTTCTTAAAGGGTCCCACCCACTCACTCAACCCTCTCACACAAAATGAGAAGTGGTGGCAACAGATGCCATTGAGGAAATACTAGGCTTCTGAAGTTTTCTCAGAAACAGAAGCCGATATCAACTAATCAACCTATTCACAAAAGCTATATGATCCAGAAAACATGAAGATGGTAGAAAAATGTGAACTTCACTTCTTCTTGAAAGGAAGAGGGAAATTGTCAGGATAAACCTGGAAATCAGTCTTCTTCTTAATAATGCCTTAAACTGAAAACGAGACATCCCTCTTCATATCTACTAGTGCTAAAAATACTACACTTCTCAGATTAGGGTCACTTTCAACTTCTGCAGAATGCACTCTCTATTAAGGAAGCAGAGAGCTCCTTCCAGACACTTTACTTGTACCATTTATTGATCTCTAAACTGTTCTATTTTGTTCTAGCATTTTTCACCTGGAAATAAAAAAAAAAAGAAAAGCTTTAGTTGAAATCCATTCTCCACACTGACATCAGAGCTCCCATTTCAAAATAGAGATCTAAACACACAGTCCTCCTATTAAAAATCCTTCAGTGGATCCCTCTCAGCTACCTGGTAAAGCCAAATATGGCCAGTTCTTACAGAGTCCTCCCAACCCCCCAGTAACCTCCTTTGCTCAATGATTTATGCTTTATATTCCATTCACCACCCAGGATTATGTTTGCCTTGAAAAATCCATGCTATTTTTCCTATCTATGTAAATATATTCTCTCCTTTGCCTGTAATGCTTCCTCATCCCTACCCACTTTATTAAAAAAAAATCCTCTCAATCTTTTAGAGATAGCTCTGTCAAAGTTAAGAGTGAAAATTCTAGAGTCAGACAGCCTGGTATCATGGGTTGTCCACTTACTAACTGTGTGAGCCTGAACAAGTTACTTAACTTCTCTATGCCCAACTTTCTGTAAAATGGGGATAATGATAGTACTTATCTTGCAGATGATATGGGAATTAAATGAGCTAAATCATGTAAAGCTCTTAAAGACGCCTGGCACACTAAGCACTCAATGAATGATAGCTATAATAAAGATGAAGACGATACTTCCCCAACCATTTATTATAAAATTTTCGAACATAGACAAACGTTGAAAGACTGATACAGTGAGCAACTGTGTATCTCCTTTCTAGATTCTACAACTAATATCTTACTATGCCTGCTTTGTCATATAACTATCCATCTATGCATCCCTCAATCCTATCCAGCCATCTATCTGGTAATAACTATTTGAAGATTAAACATCCTGAACCCATTCTCTCTCCTCCCCATCTAATCAATCCCACTTTCCCCAACAGCTTAACTATATCTTGAGTTCAAATGATACTTGGGCACAATGCATTGTAACTATCTGTTTATGCACCTATTTCTTCTATTAGACTATGACACCCTGATGGCAGATATCATGTCTCATTCAGTTTTGTATACCTATCACCTAGCTTAATGATATATCTCCAAAAATGTTTCAGTAATAAATGAATTTTTATTGTATATGTGTTGCGGTTCACAAGGACATACAACAGTATAGTTTTCATCAGGTTCTTGTGTAATTTGGGAAGTTAGTAATGAGTATCAGTGATAACAGGAATAATCATAATAAAAGCACTGTTACTAAGATTTATAAAAGAACTTTTGTGTCAGAGTCAGGACACCAAAGTTCTAGCTGTGATTCGGTAATTTATTAGTCGTGTCCTCAGATAAGTCAGTTCACTCATATGGAAAGCCCTTTCTTCCTCTGTAAAATGAAGGTAAAGTTCCAACAATATGGTGGACTAAGCCTTCTCTCTTTACAGCCACGAAAATGCTGGTTAAACAAAAGGAAAGAAAAATAACAAAATTATGTGTGAACACCTGTTCACATGTTTACAGCTGAGCTTGAAAAACAAAAGTGCTAAGCCAGAGTAGTAAGGTTCCATCCACTGATGGTGGATGGAAGGCATAGAGACAGGAGCCCTGATTGCTGGCTCTAGTGTCAGGCTACACAACTGTAGGAGGTGCCATTCATGTACTATCTAATGTAAATGTACTTCCTGGAATTGTGCAAGAAAGTACCTCTGGGGGCTGCAAGTGAATTTGAATATACTGCAGAGACAGATGAGACATGAAGCAAAAACTTTAAAACCCTGGTTTAAAACTGGGATACTAGAGGAATGCACCATGAGACACGTGGATAGTAAAACTCCACCCTTAGCACATGAAGTGTTAAAGAAGTGGAGTATCTCTAAAATTTGGAGAAAGGAGGCCTTGGAGGCTAAATAATGCTCCCCACTAAATGTTCAAGTCCTAATCCCCAGAATCTATGAATATATTATACATTGAGTATCTGTTATCCAAAATGCTTGGGGCCAGAGGTGTTTCAAATTTCAAAAATTTTTGGATTTTGGAATATTTGCATATACATAATGGGATATCTTAGAGATTGGATCCACGTATAAATAGGAAATTAATTTTTGTTTTATATGTACTTTATACACAAAGTCTGAAGGTAATTCCATGCAATATTTTAAATAATTTTCTGCATGAAATGAAGTTTGTGTACACTGAACCATCAGAAAGCAAAGGTGTCAGGATCTCATGCACCCATGTGGACAATGCGTGGTTGCTTAAATGGTGGAATCTAGGTGTTATGTCGAGGCTCAAAAAGTTTCAGATTTGGGAGGATTTGGGAATGCTCCGCCTGTACTTTACACAGTGAAAGGGACTTTAAAGATTGATTTAACTGAAAGATCTTAACATGGGATGTTATCCTAGATTATATGGGTGGGCCCAATATAATCACAGGGGTCCTTATGAGAGGGATATGAGAGGATCAAATACACAGGTACAGAAGGTAATATGACAACGGAAGTGAGGGTGGGGAGTGACATTTGAAGATGGTACACTGCTAGCTTTTTATATGAACAGGCCACAAGCTGTGGAATGCAGGTGGCCTCTAGAAGTTGATAAAGGTAAGAAAACAATTTTCCCCTAGAACCTCCTGAAGGAACTCAGCCCTATAGGCTCACTTTAGACTTCTGGCCTGCAGAATAGTCAGAGAACAACTTTGTATTGTTTTAAGCCATGAAATTTGTGATATTAATAATTTGTTACAACAGCAATAGAAAATGGATACAGAGGGTAAAATCTGTTAACAAATGTAACTTCAATCTGAACAGATATAAAGCCCAAATTTACACTTCCTAGTGGTGGTCTAGTAATCCGGAATTGAAATGTTAACACAAAAACTAGACAAACTCCTACAAATCCATTTGAAACCTCACAAAAATGAATGGACTTTCTATATAGGGACATGTCTATCCTCCTGAGCATATGGGTCTCCCACAGTTAACAAAAAAATCTGCTAAAAATACACCATGCAATGACAACCATCATCAGGAGCAAACAGAAGTTTCAAGTATTAACTGGCATGCAAAAACCTAAAAATAATGGAAGAACCTGAAAGATATAAAATACATATTTAAATTCATTATAAAAATCTAAGAGCAGAGAGTACAATTTTAACAATCTATACATTGTGCGGGGGGGAAAAAAGAGGACTTGAAAAAGTGGGACATGAGGAACTTTCTGCAGGGAAGAAAATGTTCCTTATCTTGACAAATACGATGCTTGCACAGGTAAATGTTCATTTGCAAAGACTCATTAGCCTGCACACTTAATGACTATGTATTTCAGTATGTGGAATTTATACTTCAATAGAAAAAATTAAGAAAAAAACTCAAAGGACAATTAAATATCAAATAGATTCTGTTTAAGAATGAATTATATCAAAAGTTGTCTTCAGAAAAAAAAGAAACATACTGAACATTGAAAAGGTTTAATAAAAACAAAGCCTAAAGTAACCAATCATATTAGTGTACCAGTGGATACCCAAGATGGAGAGAAAAATCTTAAAAAGCAACCAGAAACAAAAAGCAAGTATTTACAAAGAAATAACAATTAGATTGTATGCAGAATTCTCATTAGAAAGGAGGGGCAAGAACACAATGGAATAATACTATTTTCAAACACTTAAGAAAAAATAAGTGTCAAAATATAATTTTATACTTTTATCTGGGTAAACGTTAATTAAAGAATGATGATCTTAGAAGCTAAAATAACACTTTGAGAAATCTACACAATTACTGACTAAAAAAGCAACAAAAAGAACACTTATAATAAGGATTTTTAAGGGTGAAAAGAAGGCAAATCTAAAATACTAGGCTGCAATTAATGGGCCTCAGAAAGAAGGTGATTCAAGTTAGCATTTTAAACTCCTGGTATTATTCAGGGGAAGATAAAAATACTAATTAATATAAAACTTTTAAAGTCCAATATTCATAAACCTTAAAAATTTAAAGGTTGAGTTCAGCAATATTGCAAGATACTGTAGGATGTTGACATAAGATAAACACACAAGAATCTATTGTATTTGTATACATTAAAAATGGATATTAAAAGGCAAAATTAAAAACATAATACCATTTAAAATCATTCCAAAGGAAATGAAATACTTCAGTACAAAATTCACAAAACTTGCATGGGATCTGCATATTGAAAATAACTAAATGACAATGGAAGAAATAAAAGAAGAACTAAGTAAACAGAGAGACATACCAGGTTCATGAACTGGAAGGGTCAATGTAAAAAAGATGTCAATTTTCCCCAAAGAAATATATGGGCTTAATAAAATTCTTATCAAACTCCCTGTAAGGTTTTAGTAGACATTTTAAAACTTACTTTAAAATTTATATAGAAAGATAAGCACCCTAGAATAAAGCAATCTAGATAAAAAAGAAGAATATGAGAGAAATCAATTTACCCAGTAATAAGGCTTAAACATATAGCTACCTTAATCATGACAGTGTGATACTGGCAGAGAGACAGACACATAGATCAATGAATACAAGTAGGGAACCCAGAAATAGACCCAATACAAATCCACCCAAGTTTTAAAAAAATAACAGTTTTATTGGTATGTAATTCACACCCCATAATTTTCACCTCTTTAGATATACAATTTAGTAAATTCAATAATTATAGATTCTGTTTAGTATGTTAATGGAGTTGTACAACCATCATTATTATTTAATCAGGAATATTTTCATATCCTCCAAAATAAACTCTATATCCATTAGTAGTCAAACTAATTTTTGAGAAAGGTACAAAAGCAATATAATAGCAGAAGGATAGGCTTTTCAGCAAATGGTGTTGGAGCAACTGGATATCCAGAGACAAATGAATATCAACCTAAATCTCACACTACAAGCATTAATTCAAAATAGATCATGGACTTAAATATAAAATATAAAACTATTTTAGAGGATGCAAGAGAAAATCTTCAAGATCTAGGGTTAGGCAACGAGTTCTCAGACTTGATACCAAAAGCACCATCAAGCCAGGTGTAGTGGCTTACGCCTGTAATCCCAGCACTTTGGGAAGCTGAGGCGGGCAAACACTTGAGGTCAGGAGTTCGAGATCAGCCTGGCCAACATGTTGAAACCCTATCTCTACTAAAAATACAAAAATTAGCCTGGTGTGGTGGTGCACGCCTGTAGTCCCAGCTACTTGGGAAGCTGAGGCAGGAGAATCACTTGAACCTGGGAGGTGGAGGTTGCAGTGAGCCGAGATCACACCACTGCACTCCTACCTGGGCAACAGAGCAAGACTTCATCTCAAAAAAAAAAGCACCATCAATAAGAGGAAAAATTGCAGTGGCTCACACATGTAATACCAGCCCTTTGGGAGGCCAAGGCAGGTGGATCTCTTGAGTCCAAGAGTTCAGTATCAGCCTGAGAAACATGGTAAGACCCCGTGTCTACAAAAAAATACAAAAATTAGCTGGGCGTGGTGGCATGCGCTTGTAGTTCCAGCTCCTCTGGAGGCTGAGGTGGGAGGGTCATTTGAGCCTGGGAGGCCAAGGCTGCAGTGAGCCATGATCATGCCACTGCATGCACTCCAGCCTGGGTGACAAAGCGAGATCCTGTCTCCAACAACAACAACGACAACAACAAAAAGAATGGCTAAAACAAACAAACAAAAATTAGCGAAAATATTGCTTGCTAGGGAAGATGTGGAGAAACTGCATCACTCATACATTGCTAGGAGGAATGTAAAATGATAGAGACACTCTGGAAAACATTTCAGCAATTTCTAAAATAACTGAACTGTAATTACCACACAACCTAGCAGCAGTGCTCATGTTAGGTTTCAGTTATTAATGAATATGTTGCCATAAATGCAATCAGTATTTACTCCATAAGTATTCATATATATTCAAAATCCATATATATTCATACTCCATATATATTCCTCATATATATTCAAACTCCATAAGTATTCATATATATTTGCAAAAATACATAAAGATGAAATTAAGTAGTAATATTCAATGAATTGGCCATATATTATATCATGATATAAACAACTTTTTACTACCATTGACTTACTATATTTCTATAAGGCATTTGAAATTACTTCATTTGTTTCTAATTTTAGTAATAGTTGATTATGGGTGGGTGGAAAGGTAGAGAAAAAGAGTAGAAGTGAGCAAGTAAATAACTGAGAGGATTCACTCAACTCATATTTATGGTCTATGTGGTGCCGATCATATTGAAGAGCTAGACAAACATGACAATTATGAGGTTTATATCCCGTGGAGGGAGAAAGATAACAGATAAGTAATTGATAAGTAAATTCAATAGTTATAGATTCTGTTAAGTGCTCTATAAGGGATTCAAAAGTCATAAGAGAGAATAAAAATTTTAGCTCTTTAGTATTCAATCGGGTAGGCAAGAACAGGAAAATGACATTAAATAAGTTCACATCACCAATCAGCAATATTAATACAAAATATATGAAATTTCATATGCCACAATGCTTATATAACTTCACCTGGATCTTATGAGACTTAACTCCCACCCCTAAATCCTCAAACCTCTTCTTACTGAAGATCGCTTAGGTCTCCCTAGGTTGCCACTCATGAGCACAGGACATTAAATGGTTCATTATACAAGTCAAGGTGAGAACTACTAACAGTAGGTGTGAAAATGTACCACATTCTGGATTTTCCAAAAACTACATAATGAGCTAAGTCATTTGAGGGTGAAAATGCTATAGGGATGTGAACTACAGGTATTGATTTTAGATACTGGGGGCCAGTTCACAGTAATCTTAGGTGCCAAGGACTTTATATGTGATTCAATAGGGGAAGAGTGTCCATTAAAGGTTGTAGTGAGAAGAAAATGATGACATCACTTAAAATTTCAAACAGTGTCAGAGGAACACAGTGAAATACATATGAAAGAAGAAGGAAGTGATAGTTAAATTAATATGTCAACTGAAGTGGGTTAAGGAATTCCTACATAGCTAGTAAAACATTTTTGGGTGTCTCTGTGACGTTGTTTCCAAAGTACAGATAATCTGCCCTCATCAATGTGGGCAGGCATCACCTGGGTCCTTGATAGCCCAGACAGAACAAAAAGGCTGAAGAAGGGCAATTTTGCTCTCTTCTGGAGCTGGGACATCCATCTTTGTCTGCCTTTAGATATCAGAGCTCCAGATTCTCAAGCCTTCAGACTCCAGGACTTCTATGAGAAGTCCCCAGTTCTTAGGCCTTCAGTCTCCATAATTGTGAGAGCCAATTCCCACAATAAATGACCTCTTAATATATTGGGTCTGTTTCTCTGGAGAGCCTTAACACAAGGGAACACTTATTACCCATATCACATATTTCCATTTGGAAAAACAATGGTAGGACAACATTCCTGGACCTTCCTTAGTGACTTTGGAAAAGGGAACTGAACATAGGCATCTCAGCTCTTCTTCTATTCTTTTTTCTGAAACCCTTACCTTCAAAAATGGTGCCTTCTGTTCTGCTTTCCAACCACCCATCACAGAGCCTATCTCCAGGAGACTGAAATTGTCCAAGCGTGAAAGTAACTGGGTAGGTAAATCCACTTAATTCAGGGGTGAATTATTAGCACTCTACTGGTCAACAAATCTATGTCATATTTTTCACTTCATCGATAATAAATGTTATATTTTTATTTGTATCAGACTGTTACATATGTTTCCCCATTGCTTCTGAACTTTGTGGAGAAAGAGAGGCATTGTTTTTAAGCTCCCTAAAATCCTAAAACAATATTTTCCTGACATATCTAAAAATGTCCAATACCCCAGTAAAAATGAAATGAGCTAATAAACAACAACCAAGCAGAATTAAATCAATATCGACTGTAAGCACATCGGACGTCATCAAGAGTAAATGGCTTTCCTACTGGTAGAATTTTACAGTGCCACTACATTTTGGAATGACATGACAAATCAGAATTTGTATCCAGAGGAAACATTTGATTAACTTTCTTTTGTTTTATAACTACTACACAGAAAATAGAATGCTGACAACTGATATCTCCCAGGTAGAAAATGGTTTATATCTTCTTAAGTCTAATTTTTCTGAGCCCGCTTGTGCATAAATCTATCATCTGGATGGTTAGGGACAGAAGACAAGAGGCCAATCTGTGTTTCAGCCAGGTGCTGTGGACTGCCATCTGTGCCTTCTCTGTGCTATGTTCTAGTGGCTGAAACCTGGATCCAATTTGGAGCCTTCCTATTAAATTACTTTTGAGGCTGAAGTTTCCTATGTTTTCAACCAGTGGTCCCCAACCTTTTTGGCAGCAGGGACTGGTTTCATGGAAGACAATTTTTCCACGGACCAGGCAAGGGGAGTATGGCTTCAAGATGAAACTGTTCCCCCTCAGGTCATCAGGCATTAGTAAGATTCTCATAAGGAGGGTGCAACCTAGATCCCTCGTATGCAGTTCACAATAGGGTTCGCACTCCCATGAGAATCTAATGCTGCCACTGACCTGATAGGAGGCAGAGCTCAGGAGGTAATGCTCGCTCGCCTGCTGCTCATCTCCTGCTGTGCAGCCAGGTTCCTAACAGGCCACAGACAGGTAACCTGTCCATGGCCTGGGGATTGGGGACCAAACAAGAGCCATATTAAAAGTGTAGTGTGTCCACCAAAATAAGCCAATGGATTCAGGAATTTATTCATCCAACAAGGATTTATTGAATAAGTCATATTTGTAAATGGCTGGGGATTTAATGGTGGTCTAGATGTGATATTGGCTTTCAAGGAACTTGAAGAAGTTCAAAACACACAGGTAAGTATTTTAAGAGAGTATGTATTAAAGTATTATGGGAAATTAGAAAAGGGAAATATTATTTCCTACTTGGCAATTTGAAAAATATTTTGGAGAGGAAGAGGTATTTGAAATAAGAACTTGAAGGCCTGTCATTTTAGACATTCAGAGATTGCTATTAAATATTGATTATGATGTTGAAGGCGGCATTTCAAATAATCTTCTACTTTAGCTGCTCTGCAATAGATGAAGCCCTTCTCTAGATAAATATCATCTTCCTATTTTGAGCACTGTCTCTGATATCCAGATCTCTCGAGGACTTAATGGACTACCTTTGTAGGAAAAAAAATGTATATACAAGTATAGTTTTTCATAATACCTCAAGAAATTCATGAACTTTGGGTTGAGAAACCCTGATATAGAACAAGGACTATTATTAATGGAAAACATATTGTACATACATACAGTATTTTTTACTCTCCTCCCTTTGGAATTCAGGCACAACTGGCCAGCATTAACACAGAGATCTTAAGACTGACCACACAGACTATTACAACCAGACTCTGGTATAGCATCACACAACAGACAGCAGGCTCTGAAAGAAATCAAAGTATTTTACCCTGAAATATATTTCTTTGACATATTTTGAAATGACCCCGAAAAGCTGTTTCTTGTGGGGAAAAGCTACATTCTGTAGTGAATCTCCTTCCCCTGCCAGGACTTTCCCTGATCCAGGAGAGATTTAACTAAGAGTCTGGTACCTCTTAAGGTCTGATAAGAGACATTTACCAGCTATTCTGTCTGCAGCTTGCTACCTGGAAGCTTCATCTACATAACAAGAACCTTGGCTTCAACAAGGCCCCTTATCTTAACTACAAATATTTCCTTCTGCTGACCTCATCTCTTCAGTCAGAGCTTAACCCTGTCAAAGGACTGCCAATCAGCAAATCTTTAAATCTACCCATTACCTGTAAGCCCCCTGCCACATGCTTCAGGTTCTACCACCTTTCTGGACAAAACCAAAGTATACCTTACATGTATTGATTGATGTCTGCCTGTAACTTCTGTCCCCTAAAATGTATAAAATTGGTCTGTAACCCAACCACCTTGGGCATGTGTTCTCCGGAACTCTTGAGACTGTGCCTTAGGCCTTGGTCACTTATATTTGGCTAAACATAAATCCTTTCCAATATTTTACAGAGTTTGACTCTCTTTCATCAATAATTGGTTCAATAACATGTAAGAGGAAAATAATAATAGCTCAAATAAAAGAGAAGTTCATTTCTGACTACAGGAAAAAAAAAAAATCCTAATAAACAATCCAGGACTGGTATAACAGTTCTATAGTCATCAATTAAAGATTTAGGCTTCTTCTATCTCACTCTGCCACTATTCTAGAATAGCATTTTCATCTTCAAGATCATCACTTGGTCCAAGATAGCCACTAAAGCTCCAGTCATCAAGTCTGTATTCCAGGCAGCAAAAAGAAGGAACAAGAGGATGACAGCACAATTCCCAGCCGAATCATTTCCCCAGAAACATCTCTGAAGTCTCCCCATAATAGTTCTGGTTAGTGGACAAAATTTAGCCACATGACCGTATTAGTTGTGAATGTGTTAGCAATTACAGTATTTTATCTGGGCACATGGTTGCCCAAAATAAAATTGGTGTTCTATTATTAAAGTACAAAGAAATAAAGGATATTGGTTGGCAGCTAGCAGTTCCTTCCAAAATGAATCCTCAATACTAACTGCTCAAACCAACAATAAAACTATAGTGGCAGAAATCACTGGAAGAATATTCTAAAAATAAGATTTCTAGTTCATGAGAAGACACCAACTAGATCCGTGTGTGGTTTGCATCTCCAGCCCTGTAAAATGAGGGAGGCCAGAAATGCGAATGCTTCCAAGACATCCTTCAGCTTTGAGGTTTCAGGAAAGTTTTCCTGAAGAAGCTAAAATATTATCTCACTACCTTATGTCCGGAGGAATGGCATTTTCTGATACGTAAACTCTTCCAATGTCCAGTATAATCTAGTTTAGATTCTGCAAGAGTATTAGGGTAGTCCCATTGAGTCAATTATCTTAGAGCAGGTAGAAACAAAAGGAATAAGAAAGAAGTTATTTTGAGAGTATGGACAGCAACTTTATCATCTTTGTACCCAGAAAAAGTATGACACACTCTCTATATTATCTTCTTGTTACTTGGGTTGAAGGATGGAAATGCACAATTAAAATGAAACATTTACGCCTACAATTTAAGAACTTTCAGATACTAACAGTAAAATGTGCAGCTGTTTTTAAGAACTACCATTTATGCAAGTAAAATATTCAATCAATAAAAACAGTTCTTAATGCCCCCAGGAAAATCAATTTTTTTATGTTCATAGAATTAAATCTGTGTAACTGTACCATCAAGTCTTTGTGGTATCTTCCTATAAAAACCTGATAGATTAAAACGACTTTAGACAATACTGTTTGAACTATAAACTATCACACCATGTATTTGTTAATTAGGGTACTGGCATGCGGTTCTTCCTAAACGATATCAACAAAGACAGCTAATCCAAGTTTATTTGCTTCATTCCTCTCCTTCATTTATTGCAGTCTCTTAAACAGAAGGATCCAAAGTGTCATAAAAATAGATTAAATAAAAAACTAAGAAAATTTGATAATAAGCCAAACAACTAAGAATTTTCTTCCCAATTATTTCAACAAAGAGTAAAAAATATCTATTACAGATAACATGGTCACCTACGTATCTGTAAATATGGAAAAGGAAGATGAGAAGAAATGGCTGCTCCCAGCTCTTGGATCTCCAAAACAATATACCTAAAAGTAGAATCTGCTCTCTCGTTCTGTCAATGAGAGAATGAGGCCTCGCAGACCTGAATTAGAGCCCCAGTTGTCAACCGGGTATGACATCTCAGTTCCAATGTCTTTAGATTACTGCCCCAGATCCATGATAAGCCTGCAGGACTAAGCCCAAAAATCTGACCCACTATCGCAAACTCCAATCTCTCTGAAATTTGGGACACGTTTAGAAGGAAGGGCTCACAAATGCTATAAAACAGGCGCTATAATAAAAGAGTACAAAATATCTGCAAGGTACATGTGCCACCTTTTACATCAAAATTCAACAGTATTTACTAAGCAGCCATTGTATAAAAGCCACTGTGCTAGAAACGCAGGAGGCAACATTTCCTGCCTTCAGGGAGATTTCAAGTTATTATTATTATTTCGAGTTATTATTGAATAAATGCAGAAAGGTGCATAGATTTTTTTTAAATAAATCAAAATCAAAACAATGTGATATAGTCTAAATTCCCTCATTTTCTGATTCACAGGTAACTAAAAAAAAACAAAGACTTAAGATAATCATTGCCTAAAAAGTTTACAGTATAGATTTATGAAACAAAGTAAAAACTTACAAAATGACTCACAAATAATCACAGAGAAGAAAGTGGTGTAAAGCACCAGACTGCAATAAAACCACGGCAGGCAGTCTGCTCCTTGACGGAAGATTCGAGAAAATGTCGATTTCTAGTTTTACTGAAGGATTTAAATTAGGAGACTATATATGTCTTTAAGGGCATTTCTACCATACTGAATATCAAAGGCCATAAATATGAAAACTATAATTAAAGAGATTTGAACTACACACGAAAATACAGGTTGGATAGGATAGTTGAAACTAAATAATACAAGTTTGAAAATGATTTTTGCAGCCTGTGAGGGCCTATAAAAGATTTCACAGTAATATCTCTTTTATTAGACATCTCTTATTATGCAACAATACTTCTTCTCCTAGTTTCTTGTGAAAGTGCTTACACGTTCAGAAAAATATTTTTTAAGTATAATAATCACCAATACACCCAAAATTTAGATTCAATAGCAGTTGACATTTTATCATACACATATATCTATCTATACACGTGTATTTTTTCTTTTCATGTCAATTGTTGACCCATTAGAGCGTAAGGCATCTGGTAAGGAGACTGTGCTCATATAAAAATTTTCAATCTATTACTCTTGTGTAATTCAGTTCTTCAATTCTTACAACTATCTTTATTTCTATTGATAATCATAAATTCATACATTTGGGGGTGAATTTGTTCACAATAAGCTGTTTCCTACAGACATTTCTGAGTACGTACTATGTGCTGGGTGATATGGAGGAGAAAAGAGATATATTAGGCACAATATACACTTTTAAATGTCTTGTTCTATTGGTTTTCCAGATTGATTTAGGCTCTGAAGAAGTATATTTGTTGCTTTCATGTAGAAGATTCTACCCTCCTGGAAAGACTGATTTTTCCCCCCTATTCTTTCTTTATTTGGAAATTTGTATACACTAAAGAAGGTGGTATCTTGATCTCTAGATCTAGGTCATTCTGTCAACTGGGAGGCCTGAATAACAGCATCTTGGTCGCTAAACATAGTACTTTGGAAACTAAGAAATAATTTCTGTGTTTCTTTTCATTTCAGCTGAAGTTTCTCATTTCATCCAGCAAGGAAGAGAAGTATAGCATACGGGAATGAGAAAATAAAGGGTGGGCGTGATTTGAAAGTTGATTGCCTTTAATTCATGACCATATTTCAGGGTGAGATTTTTCCTATAAGATAAATTTAATAATACATACAAAGTAGACAAAATTACTTATAATGCAACATATATTCCAGTGTTCAAGCTATTTTCCATGTTTGCAAAATGTTGCTTAGTGCACAAATATAAAACTGTAAAAGAGTTCTGCATTAGCATAAAGGAGGATAAAATAGGCATTTCCACCATACCCGGAGACATGCATTTTTGAACAACTTTACTCTTTGTAAAATTATATCCCCAAAATATGGCTTATGAGGAAAAACAAATTTTTGGTAGGCCACTAAAAACTCTTACAGCTCCATAACAAGAACATTACCAAAGACAATTATTAGTGCCCCCTAAGAAATTATCTTGGATAACCTAGGTAGGCAGCTGAGCATAGTTGGAGACTAACTAGGTGGTACTTCAAAGTACACAAAACCATGAGAGTGGGCGTGACAGTTTCTTGCAGAAAGCAGTAGGCTTTGAGAAAGTGCAGCCTACACCGGCAGAAAGCCATGCTCAGATGAGCGTGTGCCTTTCAAGGGGAAAAGCCCCTGGTGCAGATGTTCACGTTTGCTTGTTTGCTTGTTTTCTTTTTTCCTTTTTGTAAGCAGACTTGAAAATTCTCTTGTCTATATGGCTGTTACTTGAGAGGTTTTTTTTTTTTTCCTTTCCTGGTAGAGATAATAATTCTAATCCTGCTATTTCAGAAACCTCTGTATAGGATAATATATGACTTCATATGACTTTCACATTCCCCTATTTACAATTTGGTTATTAGTGGTTGTAGAAAAATATAAAATGGCAGAATAGACTGTATGTTTTATACGAGACATACATACATCCTTTTCAGAGTAAAGGTCAAATAGGCAAGATAGGCTGGGCTCTCCCCAGCATTCTTTAGAGAAATTGAATAAAACAGAGAATGTTGGAAGGGAGGAAAGTAGAAAGAAAGGAAGGGAAGAAGAAAAAGACTAAATTCCATCATCTTTTCACACAGCTAAATATGTGGCTTATTCTAAGCAGAAGCATCACACCCTATAGAAACATTTTTTAAACTTAACATGCAGAAAAGGCATTTCTATGAGTGACAGATACTGGTATGACTAGCATTATTTTGGAGTGGGGAGGTTATAAAATTACTACATAACTCTCCCCAAATTGAACATAGGAAGTTACTCTTCAAACTCTCTTAATTCCTCAGAACATTGTACTTTGGAAACTAAGAAATACCTTCTGTGTTTCTCTTCATTTTGGCTGAGGCTTCTGGTTTAATATGGCAAAGAAGACAAATATAGCATAAGGGAATGAGAAAAAAGAGGGTAAGTGTGGGAGTGAGGGCTTCTTTCCTTTAGCCCAGCCTTTCTCCAGTTTCATTCAAATAAGTAAAATGGGTGAACGAAGCTACTACATTGCTTCATTTGTTACCCAAATCTTGGTGAGGCCTGGGAAGCCTTAATCACTATGATGACTGCTATTAGACATAACATGATAATTCTAGGATACTTAAAAATCTAATGTCTTTTGTTGAGAGGGCAAAAATAATTTTCAACAAGTTTCTTATCCTCTCAGGACTGGCATAAGTTCCCGTTCAATTGAGTGATTTCAATAGTGCACCAAAAAGTAAACTGAGTCAATACATGCTAATGTGGAAAATATTTCAACATTAAAAACTCACAGAAAAAAAAGTAATTTGCAAAAACAGAGGTTTGATGCCAGAAAAAATATCTGATGGAAAGCAGCATGTTTCTGTAGAGTGATGCAGAGATGAATGATTTGGACTCTATTGTATTATTTATCATTCCTTTTTATCTATGATTCTAGACTATCTATTATTAAAAATGGAGCCTACATTCAATTTAAATAACACTACATTAGTTGCTTTTCACACTTGTAAGCATTCATTTCAATTAAAGGGAATGTTAATGTACTAATGCATAGAGAAGTTTATGCATTTCCGTTGAATGCTACTACACAAGCTTTGAAAGTTCAGATGTGTTCACAGTAAGTCCTCTTTTCATGTTGTTGATAGGTCCTTGGAAACTGACTTTAAGTGAAATGACATATAAAAACCAATTTTATCATAGGCTAATTTATATAAACAAGATTTAATATTAAACATTGAGATGAATGTAAGCTATACTTACATTTAAGAAAGATTAATCAAAACAAATGATTTACCCAGTTCCTCCAGTTCAGGGTCACAGGTGGCTGGAGCCTATCCCAGTAGCTCAGGGCACCAGCAGGAACCAACCCTGGAGAGGAGGACATCTCACACAGGGCACACACACCCCCCAACACTCACTCACACTGGAACAATGTAGACACACCAATTTACCAAACATACACATATTTGGGATGTGGGAGGAAACTGGAGTACCCAGAGACAACCCAAGACATGGGGAGAATGTGTGAACTCCATACAGACAATGGCTCCAGCTAGGAATGGATTTTTTCCCCTCAAACTTATAAGGAAATGACATTGAGCAAAAGGATGTTATTTGAGGACTTGCTGTACATTTTCCTAGCAAACATGAACTTTGATTGCTAATTGTCAAACCTCTGCATCTAAACATCTTAGATAATTACCAGTAGTTGTATTTGAAGGATAAGTGATCATAAAATGTGCATTCTGGCTAATGCCCAAGGAAGTAAATGTGTATTAGGGATAACTATATATAGTTTAATTGCTTTGAGGGTGTTGATTGGTAAGGTACACACCAATGGAAAGAGGGAGAAACTAGAAGTGTCTTAATCTGTGTTGATCAGCCACAGGTTTGCTAAGTTGGCTCTTTATTTTCGGTCTTAAAATTCACCAAGTCATAATATAACTCTCTAAATGTATTTTCATGAACAAATATAACTTATTGGTACATGTCATTTGTTACTGCGAAAATTAATTTGCTACTAAATGCTAATATTGTTTCCTTTCAACTCTATGTGCCAAATACAATAGGAGATTGGAAAATGAAAGGAAAGCGTAAACGACAGTTTCTCATGTATTTCAAAAATTACAAAGGTATAAGAAGAAAGAGATCAATATCAATGTAGTATCTAGCCAAAGGCTTTTAAACTTTCTTGAAGTCACAATCTCTCATACAAAACAAAACAAAACAAACAAAAAAAGAGTCATGCACACATTTTATTTTAATTTGAAGGAAATAATCTGTGCTAAAGAGTATTTGGAAATGCTGGTAGTATCCTAAGGAATATAATTGACTAGGGCTTTTTGAAGGCAACGATTATGTATTTATCTCTAAATCCCCTGGCAACAAATAATTGTTGTGGGGTGGATGGAAGGATAAATGCTTGGCTGGTAAATTGGTTGGATGGTAGAAAGGGAGGGAAGGGAAGTTTGGTTGCTGGACAAAAGGTGGCTTTCCTTCTTGTTACTTTCTTAAATTAAGTTTAAACAATAACCCTCCATACTACGAATTGGTAATAGTTGTAAGAGCAAATATATTGCAGTAAAGATAAGCATGCTTATACATAAGCAGAGAAAAGAATCAAGGTCAGAAATGATATGTTTATATACACTAAAAATTATTTTTACATTAGTAATTTTACCAACAAATTGGCTACCAATGGCAAAATACACCGTGTGAAACCACAATAATTATGTTTAGCAGTGTTCTTACAAACTGCCCTTTGTGGATCCCTAGTGATGCCTCAAAAGCTGCTAGATGAGAAAAAAAGTGGGGAGAAGGTAGCAGGAATTTGGTGGCCCATTTCAACTAGGCTATAAATTTCTATGTGATTTATATAAAGAAAGGATCGCCTAACTTATTTTTTTTAAAAAAGAACACAAATACATAAGATAACATAAATATGTTGTTTTATATAATCTTGAAGTTAATAAAAAACAGTTTGGAGAAAACTAGGACCCTAACTTTAAATTCAACACTCTAAATGGTCCATTTTTGCCCATTCTGGTAACATGACCAATCTACCCAATATTCTCCAATTATCAAACATGAAGGCTAATCCATTCCTTTACAGTTGTACCCAAATAAATGTTATTCAGAAAATATATAAAATTTATGGAGACAGTAACAAAAATACTCAGCCAAGCTGGTATTCTGACAAAACAAATACTTGTCAGGTATAAATTTTCATTTTTAAGTTGGGTTTTTAGTGTCTTATAATTTTTTTAAAAATGTATCCAGCTATGAATCCGGGGGGTAACACAGTAGACTTCAATAAATATTATATTTTTCTATAAGAATCAAGTTAAATTATCTGGTCTTTAGTGAACAACTGTTTTTCACTATCATATTAAAATCATTCAAAAATCCAAACATTTCACTATTTTGATCATAATGTTCTAGTCAGATGTTTACTACCTTCTAGAAGTTCCTCTTGATTCAGCTAAACATAAGACTATCATAGTGTATCTGGAATTGGTGGGTTCTTGGTCTCACTGACTTCCAGAATGAAGCCGCGGACCCTTACGGTGGGTGAGTGTTACAGTTCTTAAAGCTGGTGTGTCCAGGGTTTGTCCCTCCTGATGTTCAGCTGTGTTCCGAGTTTCTTCCTTCTGGTGGGTTCCTGATCTCGCGGGCTTCAGGAGTGAAACTGCAGACCTTCGCAGTGAGTGTTACAGCTCTTAAGGTAGGGTGTCTGGAGTTGTTGTTCCTCCCAGTGGGTTCGTGGTCTGGCTGGCCTCAGGAGAGAAGCTGCAGACCTTCGAGATGAATGTTACAGCTCAAAGGCAGTGTGGACCCAAAGAGTGAGCAGCAGCAAGATTTATTGCAAAGAGCGAAAGAACAAAGCTTCCACAGTGTGGAAGGGCACCTGCGCGGGTTGCCACTGCTGGCTCAGGCAGCCTGCTTTTATTCCCTTATCTGGCCCCACCCACTTCCTGCTGATTGGTCCATTTTACAGAGAGCTGATCGATCCGTTTTGACAGGGTGCTGACTGGTGCGTTTATAATCCCTGAGCTAGACACAAAAGTTCTCCAAGTACCCACTAGATTAGCTAGACACAGAGCACTGATTGGTGCATTTACAAACCTTGAGCTACACACAGGATGCTGATTGGTGTGTTTACAAACCTTGAGCTAGACAGAGAGTGCTGATTGGTGTATTTACAATCCCTTAGCTAGACAAAGATTCTCCAAGTCCCCCCCAGATTACCTAGATACAGAGTGCTGATTGGTGCATTTACAAACCTTGAACTAGACACAGAGTGCCGATGGGTGTATTTACAATCCCTAAGCTAGACAAAAAGATTCTCCAAGTCCCCACCAGATCAGCTAGATACAGAATGCTAATTGGTGCATTTACAAACCTTGAGCTAGACACAGAGTGCTGCTTGGTGTATTTACAATCCCTTAGCTAGACATAAAGGTTCTCCAAGTCCCCACTAGACTCAGGAGCCCAGCTGGCTTCACCTAGTGGATCCTGCACTGGGGCCACAGGCGGAGTTGGCCACCAGTCCCGTGCCACCGCGTGCCCGCCCTCCTCAGCCCTTGGGCAGTCGATGGGACCGGGCACCGCGGAGCAGGGGGAGGTGCTGTCTGCGGAGGCTCCGGCCGCGCTGGAGCCCACAGCCACAGGGGGAGAGGCTCTGCATGGCAGGCTGCAGGTCCCAAGCCCTGCCCCACGGGGAGGCAGCTGAGGCCTGGCGGGAATTCGAGCGCAGCACTGGCCGGCCGGCACTGCTGGGGGACCCGGCGCACCCTCTGCAGCTGCTGGCCAGGGTGCTAAGCCACTCACTGCCCGGGGCCAGTGGCACCAGCCCGCTGCTCTGAGTGCGGGCCGCCGAGCCCACGGCCACCTGGAACTCGCGCTGGCCGGTGAGCGCAGGGTGCAGCCCTGGCTCCCGCCCGTGCCTCTCGCACACCTTCCCGCAAGCAGAGGGAGCTGGCTCAGCCTCGGCCAGCCCAGAGAGGGGCCCCCACAGCACAGTGGCAGGCTGAAGGGCTCCTCGAGCATGGCCAGAGTGGGCGCAGAGGCTGAGGAGGTGCGGAGAGCGAGCAAGGGCTGTGAGGGCTGCCAGCACGCTGTCACCTCTCAATAGGCTCAGGATACACAGAAAAATACAGTTCAAGAGCACAGCATGTCAGCAGGATAGCAGCAGTTCCTCACTGTGGATGTCCTTGTAGCCGTTGACACAGCCTTCTGGGTGACAGTTCAGATACAAGGAGACAAGAGTCACATTGGTCCTGTGCTGAAGTCACCCTGGTTTACAAGCCTCATCCCCTATAGGAGCCAGTATTTCCTTTAGCAATTCCATATAAATTGCTTCCAGGGTCCTCACATGGAATACACAGTTATAAGAGTCACTGCATGCCAGGGAAGCCCAAAGCATCACATCAC
The DNA here is from genome assembly GCF_000001405.40 of Homo sapiens. NCBI lineage: Eukaryota > Metazoa > Chordata > Mammalia > Primates > Hominidae > Homo > Homo sapiens. Next base: position 2,484,428 of record NC_000003.12, on the reverse strand, counting down.
AATCTAGTATTCATAGGCCATTTGCAGTTCCTCTTCATGCCGATGCAATTAACAAACCATGAGTTATTTTTACATTGAGCAATGTTGTCTAGCAATAGAATTGGACTTACTGTCTTATCAGGTTAGCAGGTTGTCTGTGTTCCAAGATTGGCTTATTGTTCTAATAAGCATGTAGTAGTATCTCATAGTTATTTTCATTTCTCTGATGACATATGGTGTGTAGCATCTTTTCATATAATTATTTGCTGTCTGTGTATTTTTTTCAATAAAATATCTGTTAATGTAACAGATTTTTAAAATTTGTTGTTTGTTTCCTGATTGTTGAGTTTTAAGAAAGTTCTTTGTAGATTTTGCTAACAGTCCTTTATCAGGTATGTCTTTGCCAATGTTTTCTCCCAGTTTGTGGTTGTTCTTTTCATTCTCTTGACAGTATCTTTTTGCAGATAAAATATTTTTAATTTTAATAATGTCCAGCCTATCAATTCTTTCTTTCATAGATCTTGCCTTTGATGTCATATCCAAAATATCATAGCCAAATCCAAAGTCATCTAGACAGTATTAGTCTGTTCTCACGCTGCTATGAAGAAATACCTGAGACTGGGTATTTTATAAAGAAAAAAAGTTTAATTGACTTACAGTTCCACATGGTTGGGGAGGCCTCAGGAAACTTACAATCATGGTAGAAGGCACCTCTTCACAGGGTGGCAGGAGAGAAAATGCATGCCAGCAGGGGAAATGCCACTTATAAAACCATCAGATCTCATGAGAACTCACTCACTATCATGAGAACAGCATTGGGGAAATGGCCCCCATGAATCAATTACCTCCCAAGGGGTCCCTTCCACAACACATGGGAATTATGGGATTACAACTCAAGATGAAGTTTGGGTGGAAACACAGCAAAACCATATCATTCTGCCCCTGACCCCTCCCAAATCTTGTTTCAAAACACAATCATACCTTTCCAATAGCCCCTAGTCTTAGCTCATTCCAGCATTAACCCAAAAATCCAAGTCCAAAATGTCATCTGAGAGAAGACAAGTCCCTTCTGCCTATGAGGTGGTAAAATCGAAAGCAAGTTAGTTACTTCCTAGATACAATGGGGGTACAGATATTGGGTAAATACGCCCATTCCAAATGGAAGACATTGGCCAAAACAAAGCGGCTGCAGGCCCCAGGCAAGTCTAAAATGTAATAGGACAGTCAGTAAACCTTAAAGCTCCAAAATGATCTCCTTTAACTCCCATGTCTCACATCCAGGTCAAACTGATGCAACAGGTGGGCTCCCACAGCCTTGGGCAGCTCTACCCCTATGGCTTTGCAGGGTATAGCACCCCTCCTGGCTGCTTTCACAGGCTGGCATTGAGTGTCTGTGGCTTTTCCAGGTGCACAGTACAAGCTGTAGGTGGATCTACCATTCTGGGGTCTGGAGGATGGTGGCCTTCTTCTCATAGCTCCACTAGGCAGTGCCACAGTGGGGACTCAGTGTGGGGCCTCCAACCCCACATTTCCCTTTCACACTACCCTAGCAAAGGTTCTCCATGAGGGCTTTGTCCCTGCAGCAAACTTTTGCCTGAACATCCAGGCATTTCCATATACCCTCTGAAATCTAAGTGGAGGTTCTCAAACCTCAATTCTTGACTTCTGTGTATACAGAGGACCAACACCATGTGGAAGCTGCCTAGGCTTGAGGCTTGCACCCTCTGAAGCCATGCCCTGTGTGTACCTTGGCCCCTTTTAGCCACGGCCGGAGTGGCTGGGATGCAGGGCACCATGTCCCTAAGCTGCATAAAGCAGGGGTTCCCTGGGCCCATTCAAGGAAACCATATTTCCCTTCTAGGCCTCTGGGCCTGTCATGGGAGGGCCTGTCCTGAAGGTCTGTGACATACCCTGGGGACAGTTTCCCCATTGTCATGGTGATATATTCAGCTCCTTATTACTTATGGAATTTTCTGCAGCTGGCTTGAATTTCTCCCCAGAAAATGGTTTTTTTTTTTCTATCACATCATCAGGCTGCAAATTTTCCAAACTTTTATGATCTGCTTTCTCTTGAACCCTTTGTTACTTAGAAATTGCTTCTGTCAGGTACCCTAAATCAGCTCTCTAAAGTTCAAAGTTCCACAGATCTCTAGGGCAGGGGCAAAATGCTGCCAGTCTCTTTGCTAAATCATAGCAAGTCACCTCTGCTCCAGTTCCCAAGAAGTTCTTCATCTCCATCTGAGATGACCTCAGACTGGACTTCATTGTCCATATCACTATCAGCATTTTGGTCAAAACCATTCAACAAGTCTCTAGGAAGTTCCAAATTTTCTCGTATCTTCCTGTCTTCTGAGCCCTCCAAACTGTTTCAACCTCTGTTACCCACTTACAAAATCGCTTTCACATTTTCGTCTATCTTTATAGCAGCACCCCACTCTCTGCAGTACCAATTTACTGTATTAGTCTGTTCTCACACTGCTATGCAGAGACTGAGTATTTTATAAAGAAAAGAAGTTTAATTGACTCACAGTTCCACATGGCAGGGGAGATCTCATGAAACTTACAATCATGGCATGAGGCATGGAGGCCCCTCTTCACAGGGCGGCAGGAGAGAGAATGAGTGCTAGCATTCTCTCTAGGGGAAATGCCAGTTGCTTATAAAACCATCAGATCTTTTGAGAACTCACTAACATGAGAACAGCATAGGAGAACCACCCCCATGATTTAATTACCTCCCACAAGGTCCCCCCCACAACACATAGGGATTATGTGATTACAATTCAAGATGAGATTTGGGTAGGGATACAGCCAAACCATATCATAGATTTTCTCCTTGTTATCTTCAAGAGGTTTTACAGTTTTAAATTTTACATGTCGGTCTTTGATCCATTTTGGGTTAATTTTTTTGCGCGGGGTTTAAGTCAGTGACTAGATTCTTTTTTTGATTTGTTTTTGTCTTACATGTTGATGTTCAGTTGTTCCAGGACCATTTATTGAAAAGACTATCTTGGCTGGGCACAGTGGCTCACACCTGTAATCCCAGCACTTTGGGAGGTCGAGGCGGGTGGATCACTTGAGGTCAGAAGTTTGAGATCAGTCTGGCAAACATGGTGAAACCACATCTCTACTAAAAATACAAAAATTAGCTGGACATGGTGGCGTGCACCTGTAATCCTAGCTGCTCAGGAGGCTGAGGTAGGAAAATCATTTGAACCTGGGAGGTGGAGGTTGCAGTGAGCCAAGATCGCCCCACTGCACTCCAGCCTGGGTGACAGAGCGAGACTCTGTTTCAAAAAAACAAAGAAAGAAAGAGAGAAAGAAAGAGGGAGAAAGAGAGAAAGAGAGAAAGAAAGAAAGAAAGAGAGAAAGAGAGAAAGAGAGAAAGAGAGAAAGAAAGAAAGAAAGAAAGAAAGAAAAGAAAAAGAAAAGAAAGAAAGAAAGAATTAAAAAAACTATCTTTTCTTCATTTTATTGCCTTTACTCCTTTGTCAAAGATTAGCTAACTATATTGATGTGGATATATTTCTGGGCTCTCTGTTCTGATCTATTTGTCTGTTCTTTCAACAATACCACACTGTCTTGATTTCTGTAGCTATACAGCATTTCTTGAAGTTGAGTAGAGTCATTCAATTGACTACTTTGTTCTTCTCCTTCCATACTGAATTGGCTATTTTGGATCATATAAACTTTAGACTCAATAAGTACATATCCACAAAATACCTTTCTGGGATTTTGATTGGGACTGCATCGAATCTATAGATCAAGTTGGGAAAAACTGACCTCCTCACAATATGGAGTCTTCCTATGTATAAACATGAAATATATTTCCACTTATTTAGTTCTTTTATCAGAGTTTTCTAGTTTTCTTCACATAGACCTCGTACATATTTTGTGAAATTTATATCAAAGTATATCATTTTTGGCGTGCTAACATAAATGGTATTATGTTTTTATTTTCAAGTTCCAGTTGGTCATTGTTGATATACAGGAAAGTCAGTCATTTACTGGTCTATGTTAACAATGATATCCTGCATCTCGGTTACAATTATTTATTACATCCAGGAGATTTTATGTTGATTTTCTGGAATTTTCTACATAGGTAGTCATGTCATCTACAAGAAAAGGCAGTTTAATTTCTTCCTTTCCAATCTGTATACTTTTACTTTTTCTTGTCTTGTTGCATTAGCTAAAAACATCTAGTATGATGCTGAAAAGCAGTGGTAGAAGTTATCCTTGCTTTGTTTCTGATCCTGGTAGGAAAACTTTGAGATTCTCACCATTAAGTATGATGTTAACTGTAGGGTTTTTTTTAGATATTCTTTATCAAAGTTGAGGAAGCGCTTCTCTATTCTTAGTTTGCAGAGAGTTCTTATCATGAATGAGTGTTGAATCTGTCAAATGCTTTTCTGCATCTAGTGATATAACTGTCTAATTTTTCTTCTTTAGCCTACTGATGTGATGAATTACATTAATTGATATTTGAATGTTGAACCACCCTTGGATACCTGATGTGAATCCCACTTGGTGGTGGTGGTGTATAATTATTTTTATACATTATTGATTCAATTTGCTAAGATTTTGTAGAGGATTTTGCTTCTACATTCATGAGAAATTTCTGTTTGTAGTTTTATTTTCTTGTAATGTGTTTGTCTAATTTTGGTAGTGTGAGAAACACGCTCACCCGTCCAAATCCAAAGAATGGACTCAGAGCCATGAAGAACAGCGGAAGCAAGACTTTTAATGGCAGTATTGCAAGATCTGGTGTCTGATAGACAGGCACACCCAGGGAAGCTACAGCAGGTAATTTATCTCCTAGCATGCAAGTCCCTCCCCCAGTTCCTCACTGGTTGAGTACTATGGGGTTACAATCTTCCCGGGCATCGCGTAAGTTTCATTATCCCCCTTATAAGGTTATACCCTGGTTCCCTTCCCCGCTTAAGTTTCAATTTCCCAATAACGAAACTTTCTTCCCTTTTATGGGCTGACCCTTCCTCTACATTCTGTTCACTTATGGTGACCTTCAAGGCGCATGAGTTGTGTGGTTTGTTACATTCGCAGGCTGGCTGCCAGGGCTTAGACTTATGCCTTGAAAATAAGCCATTTAAAAGGTTTTCTCACAGTAGGAGCTAAATTTAAATTTTAAAAATGTTCATTTGTTTAGTTAAGTGAAAAAAGGTTTACAAGTAACTTGTTTCCTGGGTCAAAAAGATAAAAGGCTATAGAAATGGTAACAACAGATAAAGTTATTATTTTTTTCTCTTAAAAAAGCAAACCTATATAGGTTTTTTGATATTTAAAGGGAGAAACAAAACAAATATTATTGAAATGGTTGATGCTTTCTAGTCATAGACTGTGCCAAAGTGACAGAAAGATGGAAAGAATGAGCAAAGATGAAAGTCCTGCTGGGAAAAGGAAAAAGCTTAAATAAGAGAATATGCAGTTAAGATAAGCTTCTCTCATTGGTGTGAAAAGGAAAAAAAGCCTTTTGCCAAAGCTGTGATCAAGATATTATATAGTAAAAATTAAAGTATAAATATAATATAATTAGGGCTAAATATGTTCATTGCAGCACTATTCACAATAGCAAGGACATGGAATCAACCTAAATGTCCATCAGTGACAGACTAGAGAAAGAAAATGTGGTATATATACACCATGGAATACTATTCAGCCATAAAAAAGAATGAGATCATGTCCTTTGCAGGGACATGGATGGAGCTGGAGACCATTATCCTTAGCAAACTAACGCAGGAACAGAAAACCAAATAGTGCATGTTCTCACTTATAAGTGGGAGCTAAATGATGAGAACAAAGGGACACATGGTGGGGAACAACACAAACTGGAGCCTGTCAGAGGGACGGGTGTGGGCGGAGGGAGAGGATCAGGAAGAATAGCTAACTGATGCCGGGCTTAGTATCTGGGTAATGAGATGATCTGTGCAGTAAACCATCATGGCACATGTTTACCTATGTAACAAACCTACACATCCCACACATGTACCTCTGAACTTAAAATAAAAGTTGGAAATAAAAAAAAAAAACAAACAGATAAAGAAAAGACAACTATGTATCACGGAACTCACATATTTCATTTATTATTTTAAAAAGTAATTAAAGAGCATTTCTATGGTATTCATACACACTATAAAAGAGCCAGAAGGTAGACTTCTAGCCCTCGATCCTTGGATCTATAGCACATCTCAGACAAAGATATGCATTATGCGACACTCTGAAATAAGAAAACATCAAAAATGTACTTTTCTGACTTTGTAGAATGCATTTTCCTTCTTTAAAATGAAAAGGTTTCAAGTCAACGCATCATCTATTTTATTTTTCATAAATACATGGTGACTGCCCTTTCCCCCTCCTTAGATTATTGAAGATAAAATAGGAAATATCTAAAAGTCTATTTCAAGGTATTTTCTATAAACCATCCGACTGTTGATAATCCTCCTCTGTATCAATGCCCAAGTGACTATTTCAAAGTAATTTAAAAATAGATTATATGTTTCAGCAAAATCTCCTGTTTGTTTTCTGGCCTACTAATAGCCTTTTATTAAGCAGCTGTTCCTACTGAGCTTACTGCCTTCTTGCTTGAATGGCCACAGCCTGCAATACCTCAGCATTTTCGCACAGCTCATTAGACGTAGCAGTTTAGAACTCAGTGATGGAAATTAGTCCCTCCCAAAGGATTAGAGCGAAAATAAACCAATCTTGGTATTGGTAAAATCATCTGTGTTCTCCCCGCAAAATGCATAGACTATGTACTTCTTTGCTTTTGAATTTTCACTTTGCTAGATTTCAAGAACTATATTCTGTGAATAAGAAATTCTAAGGGTAGAAGATAGAGCTTAAGAGTTGAAAATATGGGCCCTCAATCCTGACTAGGTGCTTTCTAACTGGGCTGCCATTCACTAGCTGTTTGACTAAAGGCTCACTAAGACTCAGTTCTGCATATGTAAATAGGATAAAAATATTCTGTTTGTAAGGTTGTTATAATTGTTGAATGAGATAATGTATATAAAGCATTTACCACAGAGCTTATGTCATGGGAAGCATGGAGTTTTATCATTATAAATATAATAATAATTACTATTATTAGTATATGAACATAAAACATGGAATGTCCAACTAAGTAACTCTTCCAGCATCTAACAAAAACCTCAGATGTCATTTATAGTTGGAGCCTTCAGTTTTGGCCTGAATCCTGTCCCAGGTTTTCTGCCACTCCCTTTCTGAGAGGCACAAACATTTCTTATAAGAACAAGAGCTACTTTAGAAGCCAGCTGCTTAAACCTCTTTTGCTTGCCTGAGGAACCCAGCCTGTGCCAGATTTTACATTTATTTTTGTTCAATTTCATCTTATGGGCTTCAACCAGCTTTTTAGGCTGTCAAAACAATTCCAATCTTGGTTAGGGGTTCTAAGCCATTAGTTATCCCTTCCAGCTGTGTCATTCTCAAATGTGAAAGCATGTTGTCATCCAAAAAGTAGCTAAAATCCTGATGAAGTTCAAATACAGGGTCCTATAGCACATCCCCAGAATCTCTCAGTTATATGAACAATAAAGACTAATAATAAAAAATAAAATGATACCAACAATTATTGACTACTTTTTTTATGTTTGCTAAGGTATACTTTACAGAGTATAAAAATTCACCTGTTATAAGTGTATAATTCAAGGAGTTTTTAGAATATTTAAAGAATAGCACAATCATAATCACAATCCAATTTTAGAATATTTCTATTACCCCAAGGAGATCCCTCAGGACCCTCTGCAGTCAATCCTCCACGCACATCTATAGTCCCAGGCAACTACTATTCTACTTCCTGTCTCTCTATATTGGCCTTTCCTGGACATATATAAATGGAATCATACAACGCATCTGGTTTCATTGACTTAGCAAAATGTTTCTGAGTTCACTCTTGCCGTAAGAGGTAGCAGTGCTTTGTTCCTTTTATTGCTGAACAGTATAACATTGTATGGATGTGCCATGCAAACATAGTACATACATGACCCCATTTTTATGTTTACAGCTATCAGGTGGTGAATGCTGCACATTAGCATCCCTAGAGCAGAGAGGAAGAATGTGAAACTTTTAGAGAAACAAAAATGTACTCAAGATCCTGCAGTGGAAACGCCAAAATCTTAACTGACATTGGCTCACTCCACTTCCATGTACTTAACCTACTCTGCCTCTGGTTTCATCAGAAAGTGCAAGCCCACAAAATCACCTGAACTACTCATTGTCATCCACAATTTCCACAAGGATACCATTAAAGTTGCTGCTGCATATCTTGCTGAAGGCCAGCAGTCCCACCCTAAAGGAGTCCTCTGGCCCACCAGTCATGAACAAAAAGGGATATTAATTTTTTGTGACTTATTTGGAGTGAATTTAGACTGCTTCTCAGACCATATGCTTTTCAAACCCAGATTTTGTGAGCATTTGGCAAGTATTCCCAAACTACAACTACAAACCAGTCCTCAAGAACACCTTTTATACATTTTGCAGACAGTATTTCAGAATTTCACCTATAACTACCTGAAATACTAAACAAAAGAACCCTGATCCACTGTGTAGAGCATATGAGTTAAGAGCTGGAAATTCAGACTAGACTGCCTATGTTTGAATAGCAGTGCAATTTTGGACAAGTTACTTCATCTGTGACTCAGTTTTCTCATCTTTGAGAAAACTCAATAAACAGGCATTATTATTATTGTTGTTATTTTTGCATTACTGTTGTTAATATAGGGCAGGCAAGTGCATCCTGAACCACCAATAGCTTAAATCATGGCAATTAAACAGTCAAACAAAAATAAGCATCAATAAAAAGGAACTGACATGGGAGATTGGCAGAAGGGAATGTATACAGGAAGATTTAAACATCTGTGCACTATCATTTGTTACATTTTGAAATGAAACATATTGTAAAACACCCTTAGAGCAAATGAAAATCAGTCTATTGCTTCTATCAAAGCCAAGCTGTGAATACATGTTTCTTCTGGGTTCCTAAGCTCACTGGATCCTACTCCACATAGAGTGATGTGACACTAATGTCATATCCTTACCCTCTTGAGTAAGAACACCTAAGAACTCAGAGTTTATAAAGGGGATATTAACTTTGGTGTAAAAGAGGTTAGTGCTTTAGTTTAAAGAACTAAGTAAAACAAATGGCATCCTTTTCTTCTTTGAACGGACTTCTTCCTCAACATGATAGCAGTTATCTCCAAGTGTTTTGAGACATATTTCCCACCCCAGATACAACTTTAAAATCCTTTTTGTCCATTTCGTACCTGTCAAATTAACAAAGAATTTAAAATGATGACAATGCCTACAACAGTATGAAGAAATATTTGGCAAAATGTTTCAATAAACTCACATATTTTTAAACCAAAGCAATTCAGCTTAAGGTAAAATACCTCCTTCTCATTAAGAAAAACTGTTTACATGAAAATATTGAATGCATTGCTATTTAAAATATGAAAGATTAAAAACAATTTAGCTGTCTAAAAGGTAATCAGAGAGTTTCTAAGTAAATGATACTGTCTTCACAGAAAGAATATCATGCAGTCATTAAAAATAATTATACTATGTTGGATACCTACAATGAAATATTAATTCTAAAACTACAAATATAAACTACCTGAGATATGGATTCAAGTGGAAAATTATGCATTCATGTACTCAAGGGTTGGAGGCAACATAGAAAAAAGAAAACAGTTGATTTGTACTAATTATATTAAATAATGGGTTTCTAACATGGCTTGACACAAAGTAGGCTTATTCTAAATGTTGTTTCCTTCTTAATAGGGTGTGAGACTGCCTTATTTTTCCTTACATTTCCTATTATCATTATTACTACTACAACCACCACCTTCATCATCATTGTGTGGTTTAGGGTTAAATATATTTTACATAACTTACACATTCCTTAGAGTAATTTTCTTAAGGGCAATGTCTGAAGAAATTAATTTCTAGTTTTATAATGAAAGCGAAATGTTTTAAAAGGCTTAAGTTCATATAAATTATAAATGCATTAATTCTATTAGGTGTGCCTGTTTATTCTGAATAAACATTTTAAGTAATTCACTAATTAATCAAAAGTTTATTGAGTGTTCAAGAAGTGCTAGGCATTAAGCTGCATGCCCCAAGCATGAACGTGAGCAAGAGCAAGAGCAAGAAATACTGCTTTAGAGTTTGGTGGAGGGTAGAGACTAAAAACCAAACAATTACGATATATGTGATGAAATGCTGTGCTAAGGGAAGCCCTATGTAAAAAGAACAGCATAGAAAGGGTATCTAAACAAAGTTAAGGCAGGCTAGTGAGGTGGCAAGAAAAAGGAGATGACACCCCGGCAGACAGTCCCAGAAGGAACCTTAGCATATGAAACCAGAAGGGAAATGAGGAAGACTTGGCAATATTTTTTTTTTTTTTGAGACCGAGTTTTGCTTTTGTCGCCCAGGCTGGAGTGCAGTGGCGTGATCTTGGCTCACCACAACCTTCGCCTCCCCCGAGTTCAAGTGATTCTCCTGCCTCAGCCTCCCGAGTAGCTGAGATTACAGGCATGCACCACCACACCTGGCTAATTTTGTATTTTTAGTAGAGACAGGGTTTCTCCGTATTGGTCAGGCTGCTCTGGAACTCCAGACCTCAAGTGATCCGCCCACCTCGGCCTCCCAAAGTGCTGGGATTACAGTCATGAGCCACCGCGCCTGGCCGGCAAATGTTGTATACTGTTACCCCAGTAACTTTCTGGCTTATGAGAAGAATGCAAGGGAGACCACTAATCTTTGAAGCATCACTGCCCAGCTGAACTTTCTGCAATGACAGGCATGTTGATAGGTATGTTCTAAAATTGGTGCAATTCAATATGTTAACCATCAGCTACAAGTGGCCATTGAGAATCTGAAATAAGGGTAGTATAATTTACGAACTGAAATTTTAATTTTATCTGATTTTAATTAATTTAAATGTAAACAGACACAGGTGGCTAGCAGCTACATTATTGGAGTACACTGCTTTGGGGCAAATAAATTAACTTTACAATGGCTAGTATAAAAGGTATGGAATAGTAGAGAAGAAGGAAAGTGGCAAGGAGTGAGGTAGAGTCCAGGTGGAATTGAGGAAGCCAGTTAGAGACAGGGAGACTAGTGAAGATGCTATCGTAGTACAGCAGGAGAGTAATGCTGGCAGGTGTTTTTTTTTTTTTTTTTTTTTGAGATGGAGTTTTGCTCTTGTTGCCCAGGCTGGAGCACAGTGGCACGATTTTGGCTCACTGCAACCTCCACCTTTTGGGTTCAAGCGATTCTCCTGCCTCAGCCTCCTGAGTACCTGGGATTACAGGTGTCCACCACCACGCCCAGCTAATTTTTTGTTTAGTAGAGATGGAATTTCACCAGGTTGGCCAGGCTGGTCTCAAACTCCTGACCTCAGGTGATCCACCTGCTTCGGCCTCCCAAAGTACTGGGATTACAGGCATGAGCCACCACGCCCTGCCGACTATGCTAGTCTTTCAATTCAATTTAATCACTTATTGACTCACCACACTCCTACCCCTCATGCACACATTACAAGAAAAATCAGGAGAAGCTGAAAGAATAAAAATAGACAATCTTATACTTTTAGTTCACCTATAAAATTCTATGGTTCTCTCTACAACTTCTTCCTTATGTTGGAATTAGAGGAATCTAATGTCAAATGTTTTTCTGGGAGAAATCTTGCATTTCTTCTGCAATGGAGCCTGCTTAAGGATTCATTTCTAGTTTATTTATTGCTTCTATTGTCAAGGCCCTACATTGCCTCTGCCTCTTTCCTTTTTCAACTTTTTCTCTAAGGTTATCTATCACCTTTATTGCATTCTATCATTTCCAAAATAATCTTGCTTACCATGTAAGTAAAATTTGTCCTTGAGGCCAGGTGCAGTGACTCATGCCAGTAATCCCAGCACTTTGGGACGCCGAGGCAGGTGGATCACATGAGGCCAGAAATTTGAGACCAGCCTGGCCAACTTGACAAAACCCATATCTACTAAAAATACAAAACTTAGCTGGGTGCAGTGATGCATGCATGTAATCCAGTTACTCGGGAAGCTGAAGGAGGACAATCGCTTGAACCCGGGAGGTGGAAGTTGCAGTGAGCCAAGATGGGGCCATTGCACTACAGCCTGGGTGGCAGAACAAGACTCTGTCTCAAAAACAAATGAATGAACAAACAACAACAACAACAACAAAAGAAAAGCACTTGTCTTTGATTTATCAGGTGGAGAGCTGGGGAGAACTTTTTTTTTTTTTTTTTTGAGATGGAATTTCGCTCTTGTTGCAATTCTCCTGCCTCAGCCTTCTGAGTAGCTGGGATTACAGGCGTGCACCACCACCCCCGGCTAATTTTGTATTTTTAGTAGAGATGGGGTTTCGGGGAGAACATTTTTAAACTCAAGAGTCCTTCTCTTGTTTACAATTCTAGGTAGCTTGAGAAATACTTCACATCTATGGGATTCTTGATGTCAAAATTACTCAGATCACATTTTGTGCCACATCTGAGCATTTTATCTAGGTTTTACAATGTGTATTGTATACAGCTTTGACGAAAATAAGGCATTTATAAATGTGCTCAGAAGCTAAGACCCATGATTCTAATACAAGATTCAGGCAAGGTTAATGAAAAGTTCATTGGCAAATGATTTTGACACCATAACCTGATGCTTAGAACATTTAGAGGAGAGCTTTTTTAATTTCCCGTTGGCACATGCCATGATCACCTCATTTTGGAATACTGTGAACCAATGCACCTCTGGAGGGACAGATGGCCTCCAATTCAACAAAGCCAGATGATTTACAAGTTTAACATTTATGGAGGACAATCATAAGATTAAAAGGGCACTATTCCTTGAATTAACTATTTCGGAAGGGAAATAATAATTTTTCCCCATTAAAAAGAGAAAACACAGATGCCACTCACTTCTAAGGAAAAAAAATTATTCCATTAGTTCTAGAACATGCTATCATTTTAGGGAAAATAAAAGGCAAGAAGCAGAAGGCTAGCCCTTAACCATATTTTTTAACTCTCTCCTTTCCATAGATAAATGCTTATTTTTTTCCAAATACATCTGTCAAATAAACATATTCTTTTCCACCTAGGATTTTTCTCCATTCCTTCCTGAATAAATCAAGTCTATCAGTCTCTCCAAATAAATACTGGTTCTGTCAATAAAAGCTTGTAGCTCTTTGAAAATCACAGTCACTCTCTGGGACTTAGTTTGAGAAGTCTCTTTACATATCTGGGTGATGGGGAACTCGATAACCTCTTCCAAATCAAATGTGCTGTGATTTTTTTAGTTTCTTTGACTCACAATGATTGGTCCCTCCTATGAATTCCTATAGGTGTTCTTACTGGAGCTGTATTCATTCAACAAAATTAATTCAACCAATAATGTATACAGAGTCTTATGTAACAGTTAATTTTTCATGAACATGTGCCATCTTTTCCCTTGGAAATGTGACAGCATCTTAAGGGTAAAGGCTGTATTTTGTCCTTTTTTCATCTCTCGAAGCATCCAGTCCCAAACCTTACATATACCAGACGTCTCAAACATAGTTGTCTATTGATTGACCATTGGATTTATTAAACTTTCCTCAGTTCAGCTTCAGAGGCTGTGCAAACAGGCATAACTCTAAGTATGCTATATTCCTAAAACGAGAGGCAGGCCAGGTCTAATTTTATCACTATCTCAAGTGGGTAAGAAGTAACATTCGTTCTTATGGGTTAGAGACTATTAGAGTCTTTCAAAAGAATATGAGAGAGAAATACATTGTGGGGGTGTAAGTGTCTGTTGGCCTCTCATGGTGGCAGACAAGACTGTGGGAAAAAGGTCACAATATTAAGACAGGAGCAGAAATGAGACTATATGTGAAGTTAAGAGATACATCTACAACCTTGCTCCAGAATGCACAAGAGTCTCAAGATGCGATAAGGAAGCAAAAAAAGAGTAAGTTGTACAATTTTATCAATAGAAAAATTACACTGTTGAGAAGCGTAAAACTATCCAATAACCCTGTTTTATAAAAATAAGCAACATGGCCAGGCGCGGTGGCTCACACCCGTAATCCCAGCACTTTGGGAGGCCAACATGGGTGAATCATGAGGTCAGGAGATCGAGACCACTGGGCTAACACGGTGAAACCCCGTCTCTACTAAAAATACAAAAAATTAGCCAGGCGTGGTGGCATGTGCCTGTAATCTCAGCTACTCAGGATGCTGAGGCAGAAGAATTGCTTGAACCTCGCTTGAACCTGGGAGGCAGAGGTTGCAGTGAGCTGAGATTCTGCCACTGCACTCCAGCCTGGGCGAGAGAGCGAGACCCTGTCTCCAAAAAAAAAAAAGAAAGCAACATATACCTAGTCATCAAAGAAATGTTATAGAACCTTGAAAAGCAATGTCAGTCCCATGGTATATACTTATATTAGCAAATTAATGTAAAAAACCATTTCTTTAAAAGATTTTTAGTCAACAATTTTATCTCACATATAAACACTAATACAGTCTTGTGCCTCCTCCTGCAAAATTCATAAGCAGACTTCAGATGAGTTAAATTAGACAGTGAAAAGTTATTTACGTTTTTCACTAAGACCTTAGGGAGTAGATTCTAATAACACATGTCAGAAATTCAAACATTAGATTTTTATACTGAGCCCATCACCCATATATATGAAACAATGGATCAAGAGAATGGAAGGCCTGTTTTTGTACTGACACAATGTACCTCTAGCTTCTATAAACTAGGTGAAAAACTGGTTGCAAAATGGCCATTCCCTCCAAACAGCAGATTGCATATTCTGATAAATCCCAAAATGAGGCTTTAAGTTGACCCAGTGTTAGAATATTCCTCTAATTGTATGAGAAACCTACATCTGAAAATCTGGCGCATTTTTCCTTTTAAGAGTTATTCTAAAAATTTAGGGCTATAAAAGACTCAAAGTCCATAAAACTGTATATAGATTAAAGAAGAAATAAGGCATCATGTTCAGCTATGACCTCTGTTAGAATTAACATGGGACAGAATGAGCACCTGCTAGAAAATCAAATGATCAGTTGCAGGTTTAACTTTGTTACTTACTTAATGAATCTCTCACTGTTTTCTTAGTCTGAATAGCTTCAACTTTAAAAGTAGAATATTAGAAATAATTGCCATACTTAAGAGGCAAAGAATTAAGTAAATGGTTATGTCTTAGTACATTTGGATATTTTAGGAATGAAACGTATTTCTCAATCTAGTAAAGAGCGAAACTTAGTCAATTCATCTTGGTTTGTGCAAAATTATCACAGTAAAGAGAGATAGTGGTTAGCTAACTACCAGTTTCTCCTTTTTCTGAGACAACAGAACACCACTTCTCATCTAAGTAGCAATGAGCTCGACCACAGTGACGGATTTTGACTGGACTAGGCCAATTATAGCAATCTTATTTCTCCTTGCCAGATGCTTATGTACTTTGACACCTTAAAGCTAGGAATGACCAATGAGCTACAAGGAAAGTCTTACATGGAAGAGGATTTCTGGGAAAACTTTCCCTTCTTTATAAAAGTGTCAGGAATAAGAGAAGCCTAATGGTGCATCCCTTTCCCCCATTTTTCCTTACTTTCAACCCTGATGTGATTCTGATAGAATGATGGCATTTTGAGACCATACCTTGAGATGCATGAGAACTAAAGGCGAAGATACTTAGAAGCATAGAGAAGAAAGAAAAAAAAAATTAACCTAGGTCACTGCTGACATGAATGAACCTCTGAGATAGTCCTAGAACTACCTAATCTACAGGCCTCCAATTAAAAACTGTAATAGTAATATAGCATAAAATATTATTTAAGGTAGGTATTCTGCAGCCTAACACATTCTGACTGATGTAGTCTTCTCTGTAGATCCCAGACACAACAGCCTACCGTAAGACTCTGCATTTCTGAAATGTAATAATATATGATACCCTTAAAATGACAACTTAGTATCTTGTTCTAACAATCTGCTTATCTCATATGCTTGATGGTATCTTTTCTTGTTATATGTTTAGAGAAGCAGTCACAGACCCAAAATCTGATATGCCCACTGCCCTAGAAATACACTGGTAGCATACAACATGGAACACGCAATTTCATGGGTCTCGAGGAAATTCCTGAAAATCCTCCATGAACACCCTATATGGTCTTCAGAGGGGACCATCTTGCATTAAAATTGTTTGTTATTTCTTTATTCTTAGTTTTTCTATTTTGGTTAATTACATTTAATAAGAAAATTAAAATGCCAAAAATGTCCAAAAATTTAAATGTCAAATTCAGTCTTATGAATAGGACTCTTTGTGCTCTGGTTTCTTAACAAAGAAGGGACTCAATTCACTAGGAGCAGCATGGTCGAGTAAAATATCACTAAACTAGGAATCAGGAGAGCCTGGGTCTGGGTATAACTTTGTCCCCACTTATAGAATGACGAAGTTCTCTTTGGGCTTCAGGTTTGTCGGCTATAAAATATAGATAAAGATACCCACTTCATCAAACTCTTTTGAAAAGTATGAGGTGATGTGTGAATGCTGCATGAATGGCAAAAGAAAGGTGGAATTCGCATTAGCAGGAATAGTCTCTGCACTCAGGAGGGACCAGGACACTGCAAGGCCAAGTTCAGGTCTGTCTCTGTCACATTTGGTCTTGATTTTAAAAGATTATTATCTTCTGTTGTAATTTACACCTATATCTAAGAGATTTTTAATTAATTAATTACTGATAATAATAAGTTATTAATTAGTGCATAACTACTGTTTATAGGGCATTCTACCTGGACCTTTACATATATTGTTTTATGTAATCATCACAAGGCAGATATTACTATTCGCATTTGAGGGAACAGTGGCTCAGAGACATTAAATAAATTCCCAATTGTCATACAAACATAAGGAGAAAGGCTGAGATACAGGCTCATGTCTATTCTACAATGAAAACCATTCTCTTGCTATTATGTTAAGATGCATTTCACACATGTAACTCAATTTTGCTGTGACTTACCAAAAAATATGTTGAAGATAGTTGGGAAGTAGAGTTAATAACTGTCCAAGGGCAAATATAATTAACATTTACAGTTTCCCAGTCCTTGCACTGAGAGGCCAAACTATAGAAAGGACTAATGGGGACTCTAGCTAGAAACTAAATTTAGAATTCAGAAAGTAAATGTATTAGCAAAAGTGCACCAATTTAGGAATCTCATCAATATTCATACCCTTGGGTATTTTGGGAAGCCAGGTCCTGACCAGGATTTCTCTTCTCAAAAAAAAAAAAAAAAACCCATAATTTTGCATATCATCCAATGGGAAAAATATGTATTAGCGATACTGGAAGACTTTTTTTAAATAAGGCAAGACTGGCATCTACTCCATATGTGTGAATACTAAAATTAGATCAGTGACAGCACTTTGGCAGCTGGAAATGCAAAAAAAAAAAAAAAAAGAAAGAAAGAAAGAAAGAAAGAAAAAAACTAATTTAACGAAGAAATGAAGATTAAGGTCTTGCTAAAAGAACAAAGGACCCTCTACTTTCTCTACTTTCTACAATGATTAAATAACAGTTGGAATGAAAATAGTTAACACTTCCTGTTATTAAAAAATTACCATTACCATAAAAGAGCTATTTTGTTCACTTATTATGCTCATTTTTAAGAGGGTTTTGTATTAAATAATTTAATTTGAAATAGAATATATATCAAAACAATCCAGCTTCATCATGAAAACAATAGTCAAAATGCATGTATGACACCCCCTTAAAATGACCAGTTACAGCTATGACAGCCAATGCCCAAAACATTGTCCAGGGATACCATAGCAACAAGAGTCTTTCTGCCACACCAGCAAACTCACAATCACACGCTGAAAGAATGAATCATTCCAGTCCTTTTAAAAATGTACTTTACAAAATTACTGCCCTCCCCTCTCTCCCATGAAAATTTCTTTTATTTTGAAATCCCAGATTTGGTTTTTAAAGCTTTGAAGGGTTCTAATCTTATTATTCTACACAACTCCTGTAGATGTTGGTGAAAGATACAAGTTAAGAGCAGCGACAAACACTTACGTTTTGTTTCACATATGCATACTTTCGTACCAAGAAAACAGTCTTAGGTTTAGGGGCTGAGAACGTGCAGGATATATTAGTTTGACAAGCATTTCATCTTTTGTATCAAATATTCAAAGTGAAATTCTCTTAAAATTCTAATGGCCCTAATATTTGAACAGAATAATGCATCCTAATATAAATGCCTGTTTTAAATGATCAGGAGACACCTGCAGTAATTATTGCAGCGAGATTAGTGAGGCCATCCTATGTTCTGATGGCTTCATGTAGTGTTGGTTTAGTGCAGTGAAGTGCATGTAATAGATTGAATTCCCTGGTATCTTTGACAGACAGCCAGTTACAAAGTACTCACATACTTGAGGCTTTTGACCTTGAGCATGACACATGAATGCATCAAGTCAATTAAACACTCCTCCCTATACCTTCCAATTATGAATTGCACACTCCATTTTAGGTAAAATATTCCATATCAAAATGTTATGTAAATTATCTCAGTAAACTGTAGACCTATAGCACCTCATGTCAGAAAAGGACCAACAAAGATATCATCTGATCCAAGGCAGAAACTGAGAGGTTTCAAGCTTCAAGAAAACACAGAGAGGTTTCAAGTTGAACACCTGCTTTGCTATCCTAATTATTTTTATTTTATTTTTTTATTTGAATTTTTTATTTTTTTGAGATGGAGTCTCGCTGTGTCGCCTAGGCTGGAGTGAAGTGGCGCAATCTCGGCTCACTGCAACCTCTGCCTCCCGGGTTCAAGCAATTCTCCTGCCTCAGCCTCCTGAGTAGCTGGGACTACAGGCGCACGCTGCCACACCCGGTTAATTTTTTATATTTTAGGAGAGACGGGGTTTCACCGTGTTGCCCAGGCTGGTCACGAACTCCTGAGCTCAGGCAATCCGTCTATCTCGGCCTCCCAAAGTGCTGGGATTACAGGCGTGAGCCACCACGCCCGGACATTATTTTTATTTTTTAAGAGACCGAAGAAGGCATCACTCACATTTTTCAGATCTTTGCTGAAATTTAAAAGTTTTAAAAGAGAGAAATCAACTGCAAAAACTTATTTTTTCTAAATTGATGAACAGTTAGTTAGTCTTCATGGTTGTCTGCCTCACTGAAGTCCTCATCAGGAATCATGCCCACAGATTACTAAAATAATCTCAAAAGTTGTAGTGAGTTAATAAAGTTATTATTGTAGTATACATAGAATATATAATATAGCAGTAAAATATACATAAATACCATTTACTTTTCAAATGTACAATACAGTGGCATAAGTACATTCACACTGCTGTGCAACCATCACCACCATCCATCTTCAGACCTTTTTCATCATTCCCAACAGAAACTCTGTGCTTAGTATATAGTTTATACATTTCTAGA
This sequence comes from Homo sapiens, assembly GCF_000001405.40. Lineage (NCBI taxonomy): Eukaryota > Metazoa > Chordata > Mammalia > Primates > Hominidae > Homo > Homo sapiens. The sequence goes on along the minus strand of NC_000003.12, from coordinate 2,464,969 downwards.
AACACAAGAAAGAAATTTTTCTTCTTATCCCAACCTGTTCCAGAATCCAAATTAAGAGCCTATAAGGTTATCAAAGCCTCCACAGGAAAGTCATTTCCAGATGAGCTACATGCCAGGGAAGGAGATTCAATAAATGTGGTTGCCACAAAATAACCTCAGTCCTGGCCTTCTGCCTTGAAGAAGAACCAGAAAATGGAATTTAGGATACCTCATTTTCCTCTAGGGCAGAGTTTGCCTTTCCTCTACAGCAGAGTGTCTCAACTGTAGTCCTTGATAAAATGCATTTTGTTCCAACCTGAAACCCAGTAAATCAAAGCCTCTTTGGGAAGAATGTAAAATCCCAATAATGTATCATTTTAATTCGTCCCCAGGCGATTGTGATCCACACCAGAGTCTGATAAACAACACTTGACTACATGTAGCTTTCTCTTTAGTCACTCCTCTTCCTCCCTCTGTTTCCCCATCTATATCCCCACTACTATGCACAATACCTTTATGCCTACTTTTTATTTCCTCAACATTCCTTTAAGCTACCCTGGCTGATGGGAGAGGCAATGGTTCAGGTAGAGGGAGTTACACAAGTGCTAGTTGCACAACAAACCAAAAAGACTAGTTCCTAATGCGCCACTTCCTGCAACAACACTTAGAAATAACTGGTCAAAGGAAGAGCTAACTGCGGATTCTCCTGCTTGCCAAGCTGGCCAAAAAAGAATACGGAATGTTCATCAAATACATATCTCCAGTAGTGTGTTATGTTTGGCATAATCCAGGCATATTGGACTGCTAGGACCCTAGGTATTCTAGTACCTAGGATAGATAGAGCAGAGGACAAATGAAGTTGTCATAAGCCATTCCATATACACAAACAATAGTAAACTTCATGTAGAAATCAAACTTGGTGCAATGGTCTGAGAAGTACAAAATTACTGCCTACGGTTAGGGGTGCAAATATTGTTTTTAAAGAAGATTGGACAGGAAAATGAATACTTCAAGGCATTTCATTATGAGGCTTGGAAAATGAAGCCTAACACACTTGTTCTGGTTCTAGGTCATAAGAATCCACTTCACATATAAAGGCAGCATCTTCCTCTAGTAAGATGCATGACATATCATACCGTAGTACCAGACACAAAGAAGCAGGGTGAGACAAAAAGTAAGTCATTCCTATTTTAATAATACGTTTCCTTATTTTTATTTTATTTATTTTTTTTGAGACGGAGTTTTGCTCTGTTGCACAGGCTGGAGTGAATTCGCACGATCTTGGCTCACTGCAACCTTCATCCCCAAGGTTCAACCAATTCTCCTGCCTCAGCTTCCCAAGTAGCTGGGATTATAGGTGCTCGCCACCACACCCAGCTGATTTTTGTATTTTAGTAGAGATGGGGTTTCACCATGTTGCCCAGGCTGGTCTCGAACTCCTGACCTCAGGTGATCCATCCGCCTCAGCCTCCCAAAGTGCTGGGATTACAGGCGTGGGCCACCGCACCTGGCCAATAATATCTTTCACATGAACCAAAAAACAGTATATTTTTATATAAAGTGTTCCTCATGCTAAAACCTTATCCTGTATGCTAAAGATGACCTGTGTCCATTTAACTTTGATAATATAAATTGGTAGGTCCTCCCACATGCTTTTATTTCAGCCTGGGACACAAAGGAGCTAAACTTTAGTTTTACTTTGTTTGATGTGTTCTTATTTCAAAAGTATGCTCTTATTTTACAGTTTTATTAGTAGTCTTAAAGTCAAGTGTTTTTTTTTTTTAAAAAGCCCATTTAGTAGATAACAGCCTTCTATTTCATTTATATCTTGGTCTTCAGCCTTTTCACATTTGTATTTGGACAAGACACTTTTAGTCATCATCATCTATGACAACAAATAAAGGTAAAAAGACACCGCGTCCAACAACTTCATTCCTTAAAAGCACAGACTAAGGAAATGGTTCTCAAATATGGTAAGTCTCAGAAACATTGTTATAGCTTTTCCAAAATGAGATGTGCTGGAAGTGTGAAATACATACCAAGTTCAAAGACAGCAAAGAAAAAATGTAAAATATCCCATTAATAATTTTTATATCGGTCCCATACTGAAATGATACTATTTTAGGAATTTTATAAGGAAATTTCTTTTGCTTGGATTATCTGTCCTCACCTCTTTATGTAATGTATACACTGGATTTAGGCCCAATCCTGATTAGCCAGTAAGTAACCAAATGTAAGATTCACACAGTTGAAGATTTTTGGATGAAATTCATGGATAATTATACTTGGAAACTCTTGTGAGAAATATACAATGTAGGTATAAAAATATTTTTATTCCTCTTTTTATTTTTGTCCAAACTTGCTGCCCAGACTGTAATTGAGCTGCATGACTGATAAAAGGCATACAAAATCTGCAAAATAGGTTTGTTTAAACAAAAAGAAAACGCCTGAAACATCAGCTTTCTTCCTATCCAAAATATCATGTTTTTGAATAACAATGTGGCCACTTCTCTTTACTGAAGCCAAAATCATCACCACTAGTCATCAGAGTGCTACTTTTATGATTTTCTCCAACTGAGTTCCCATTCTTTCATCCTATATCTAAACACACCAATTTGTGCTTCCATTGTAATAATTAATGAGCCCCCATTGGCTCTTGCTGGGCACAATGCTAGTCTTTATCCTTATGAGGTACATACTAAACAGTAACATTCCAGCCCAGAATTGCAGTCATGATAAAAGACACACTAAACTAAGCATGGACACTGGAGGCTACTCTCTGCTTTCCTGATTTGGAAATCTTTTGCTGGATGCCACTGATGGTGTGTTATAACCATAGAAAGGTGGTTATAACACTGTTGACACTTGAGGACAAATAATTATTTATTGTAAGGGTCTATCTTGTGTACTTGAGGATGGTCAGCAGCATACCTGGCCTCTGTCCACTAGATTATATAAAGGTCTCCCCTCCCCCAAAGTTGTGATAACCAAAAATGTCTCCAGGCATTGCACATGCTCCTGGAGTGGGAGAAGAAAGCTTCTTCTCTTTGAGAATCACCAAATCCGAACACAAAGTCTGGCACTAGACAGGCTGAGTTAGAATCTTAGCTGCTTAGCTTGGCAGCTGTGTGACCCTAAGCAACTTGGTCTCAGAAAGCATCAGTTTGCCTCTAAGTGAAATGGGGACAATAACCAGTAGTTATTAAGTAAATGAGCCAATATAAAAAGCACTTAGAAGAGTGGCTGGCATATAATAAGCACTATAAATGATTTAACTGTTGTTATTTACACTATATTAATACGAAAATTCAAATCTGTTGCTGAATAGTCTGTTAACTTGACAAGTCACTTAAGAGCCTGGGCTTCAGTTTACTCATTGATAAAGCAGAGAGCAGCCCAGATGTTGGCTAGTGATACAAGTCGGTACAGCGGTTAAGAGCTCAGGTTCTAGAATCAGACCACGTGGGTGGGAGCCCTGGATCTACCGCTTAGTAGCTGGCCAGCCTGGGAGAGATCACTGAGCTTGCATAACTTTGTTTTCTGAAACCATAATACCTGGATATTAAAACCATAACTCCACAGGGTTAGTGTGAAAATTCACTGAGATAATGTAGATTATCTCATTAATTAATGTTAACTAATTAATTAATAATTAATAATTAATGATAACTTCCATAAATAAAAGGGAAGAAGAGTGAAAACAGTTAGTAGCTTTTTCTATAACTACTAACATTTCTAGATTTAAAAATACACATATCTGTACAAGGGAGGAGAACTAAGTTATTTAAGAGTAGAGAACACAGACAGGGGAAATGACCAATTCATCTGTGTTTATATAATCATGGATACAAATAATGGCCATGTATAATAAATATGGGCCTCAAGGTTCCTTGGAATATGGGTAAGGTGGGTTACTAGTCTTTTAGGACAGACATTTGTAAGACTGGTAAGACTGTGTAGATGAATTCCACTCATCACCCAGAAGGACAGGGGCTTCCTAGATCACACGAATTTATTTCCTAGTAAGGGGCCATAAAGGAGCAGAATTCTCAGCTTAGCTTATCGTCTTCCATAACTGGAAGCTACATGAGAACTCTCACTCTTTCAGCTACTGCTACTATTTCCAGTGATTATCATGGCACCACACACACAGTAGTTACTCAAATATTTATTGACTAACAAATTTAAAACCAAAGTTGCCATCCCTGCCAGAATCTCTGGTAGAGATGCCCCTCACATTTAATAGACTAATCTATAAGAAAAGATTTGCGTTGAGACCTTTTGGATAAAACTATCTTCAACTGTAATCCTTAAAGGCCATTCAGTCTACCCAAAGCGAAACATGAATTGTTTTTCACTTAAGATAGGGAAAACCATCATCTTCATCTATGTCAACACCCAGGAACATCAAGGAAGTGAAGAGGATAAAGGGGTCATGTACGTCAGAGGAGAAATATTAATCAAAGGCCCAGTATCTGCCCCTATCTCCTTAATATTTGAGCCCAAAGGAGGTAGCAGTCATGGCAAAGTTCCAGGCCTCACAGTGCTGATGGTGGTATCAAGCATTCACAGAACCATGAATTGACCCTGAGATTAATGTCTGGGAGTTCCAGAATAAGCATATTTATCTCTAGTGACCTGGCACGAGATTCTCAAAGTGGAAACAGTCAGAATGGCTCACCAAATGACTTTTGGAACAGTGGCAACTTTAAGGTGATTGAAAACCTGAAAAACAATGATGACCAAAGTTAGGGTTGAGCTAGGGATACCAGAAAAGAGCATGCCGAGCAACCGTGGTGATAAACTATACATAGGATAAGAAATCCAGGTTCTTCTATTGTCAGGGTGACCTCCCAGAAAAAGTGAAAGACCTTTAACTCTACACCTGCTATATTAGAGATCTATCAGAGGGAAATGTGACCGTAACTCAGCCCAGAGATAGATGGCCAGATAAGATGCAACTCATGTAACAACTCTGACCCAGCAGCAATAGCTCTCTCATGCGCTATCTTGTGAAAGATTATGAAGCAATGCCTGGGTTTAGCAGAAAAGACTACAATATAAAATTAATGATAACTTCCATAAATACAAGGGAAGAAGACTGACAACAGTTAAACTATATATTTGCTATGCTTGGCTCAGAAATGGAAGTAATACCATAAAAATCAGATCATCCTCTTATATCACTGGTTGCCCTGTGGACACATTGGTTGGGCTTATTTAGCTAGAAAGGACAGGAACCAGGTTAGCCTTTTGTTGCAGCCATAGTGGTCTAATAAAAGACTTAAACACTTTCTAGAGCTTTGAGCTGTCTTTAGTACCGCCTCTAGAATGCCCCTCCTTCTCTGCTTGCCACCTGGCCACCAGCATCACAAAGTATATCTAAAGGGCAAGACCAAGATGAAAAGTCTAACTGGCCATATCACGAGAGTTGCTCTGCACCTAGAAAATGTTATTGTTTAATTTGAAATACCATACATGACTTTTTCATAATATATTTTGCTTTGGAGATGCGCTGTAGATGGAATAATGATGGGACTGAAAATGCCATGGGAAAAGCAGGGGCAATTATAAGTGATCCCTATATGACCTGTGCATTTTTCTGGTTTTCAAGTTCGTTTTTACTGTCTTCTGAGATATCATGGCATGTGTCCACATGTGGCCAATTCTAAATGCACATTTTATTTTAGATATGCATACAACTCATAAAATTAGGTGAGGTGAAGAAAAAAGGCTGGAAAAGTATAGTGATGCATTCAAATTGCCAAAGGAACATTCCCCATTGAAGATCTTCCTAGGAAAGTGTTAACATCACTTTTGCATCACCATGGGGCAGATCATCATTTAGGAATCTGCTGAGACTGCAAGCCACTTGCCTTAGGTATTAAGTGTCTATAATTTTCATAACCACAGGGTATCCTTTTATCAGATTTGGAATATATAGGGGAAATCTGATGCTGACACTTGTTAGCTTCAGCTGAGAAAGAATGCTACATTCACACACATCTGTCTAAAGAGTGGAATGCAAAGCATGCTAGGCGGAAAGGAAGAATTGTACAGTCTAATGTACAGACGAAAGATCCAATATTGCATAAGTCACTAATACAAAGCAAATGTGCTTGGGGAAGTTTGATAGCAAAGCCAATACCCTGCATTATAGTCACCAGGCTAGAAATTTATGAGCTCCACTGTTACTTCATTTGCATTTTCTTCCTATCAAAAAATCCATTTAAAAAGGAAGCCAAGAAGAATCTCTAGTTATATAAAACAACCTTAAAAAAGCAAGACAACCATTTGGCTTGTCTTTATCCTTAAGAAAAGAAATCACAAAATTCATGGGTACTAACTTCGTGGGGAAAAAAAAATCGCACATTCTTGAAAGGCTCATTAGAAAACTGCACATAGTTTTAACAAGTATTGTCCGCTCCCAAATGATCTCTATCAACATCTCATAAGAGGGAATAAATAGATAGATAATGCTTAATTAATATCTTTAAACTTAATGAAGATATGAAAACTCAATTATACATATCTGATCATTAGAGATTTCCATTCTAACAAAGATAGTTTATTTAAAAAGATACAAGTAAAAGCTTAGCTCAACTTACCCTATAGGACTGTTATACACAAGAAAGATATGTATGTCAGGGTTAGATAAAACATCGTTCATTTTTTAAACACAATTCACTTTATAGGTTAATATTAACTTCTAATGGTATAAAAATGGACTCATACATTGTAACTTTACTATTTGGTTTAATTCATTGTAGCACAGTTAAATTAAAATGTGGTCAAATACTATTAATGTAGGCACATCTCCAGCTAATAAATTATACTGAGCAGGAGAGTGTGCAATTCAGTACTGCAACTGAGACTTGTATACAGTCTCCATAGTTTGCAATGCTGTAGAGAATGGCTCCCTATCACTTCCATGCAAATGAAGCTGTGGTTCCACAGACGGAACACATTACTCTGAAAATGGAAGGTGGGAGATGTTTGGTCTGAGCAGGAATCTTTCCAACACGCTTCTAAGTGAATCCTGAGGTGGTCAAAATCTCATTTCTACTAATAATGTAATTCATGAGCCCTCAGCATGGCCAAGTGGCAGAGTTATCTGTGCTTTCTCAACTGAGAAAGACAGTTAACAGACAGGATCTCACACTTGGGATGTAAACGTACCTTGAGAAGGGCATTGGGCTAAAACATGCTTAATGAATTACACAGGGACATGGAAATTTCTGCATTTAGGTTGAGAAAATCAACTGCATAAGCCCAATATGGCAGACAGGGGCTATGACTCAGTAGCAGATCACGAGAAAAGGACCTGGGAGTTTTAGTCTCCCCTGGTTTGTTATACACCTGCTGAATGAGCTTAAAATGAGCTGATTGAGGACATAAATGGGAATCTGCGCCCAACCATTGTCAGAACACATCTGGAACAAGCATTTGGGAATATTCATAATTTACTTTTCCAGAAAAAAATCCTAATAAACATTTTACATATTTCTTTACTGTTTGGATTTTTAACCCTGTATATATACCGTGACTTTATTTTTTAATGCCAACAGGCATACTCTGTGCTATGAAGCTTGGGGCTTGTTTTTTGTTGTTTGTTATATAATTTTCATTATTAAGGAAGAAAACTAATACATATTGTTTTGAAAAACATCAAAGTGCCTTTCAAATGTTATCAAAATATCAACAATGGCAATGATGGTAATAATTATAAAAATTACTTTTGGAATATTGTATGCAACATTGGATTCTGAATTTTAAGAGGAAACACAACAATTGAAAGTATGCCCGGGAAAAGCAGGCAAGCTTGGTATTGGGGAGGGAACAGCAGAAGCAGCTCTAGGTGTCAAGTCTGAAGCTGACGCAACAAAAGAAAGAAAGAGTATAGAGTACAGACTCAGGAACCTGGCTCATTGGGTTTAATCTCAGCGTGACCCAATATGAGGTACTTTAACCTCTCTGTGAATCCATTTCCTCATTCGTAAAACAGAGATAATAATAGTATTCACCTCATAGGGTTCTGAGAATCTAAAGAGTTCCTGGTACAAAGCACTCAGTTCATTGACTAGCACAAAGTAAATGCCAAAAACAGATGTAGCTCCCAAAGAATGGAAAACAGTTCCTCAAGCAAATACTTGTGTATGAATGTTCACAGCAGCACTTTTCACAATAGCCAAAAGGTGGAAACAACTCAAGCGTCCATAGATAGACGAATGGATAAACAAAATGCGGTATATATACACAGTGGAATATTATTTGTACATAAAAAAGAAGGAAATACTGACAGGTGCTACGATGTGGATGAGTCTCAGACATATCATGCTAAATGAAAAAAGCTAGACACAGAAGGTTACATATTGTATGGTTCTATTTATACGAAATATCCAGAATAGGTAAATCCAAAGAGACGGAAAGCAGATTGGTGTTTGCTAGGGTTGGAAGTGGAGTGAGGAAGAGGAATGCTGAGTAACTCCTTAACGGGAATGGGGTTTTATTTGAAGGTGATGAAAATATTTTAGGACTAATAGAGATGATGGCTGCACATCGGTGTAAGCGTACTAAATGCCACTGAATTGTTTATTTTAAAATGGCTAGTTCTATGTTATGTGAATTTCAACTCAATAGAAATAAATATATACAATTTGAGATAACATTCATAATAATAGAGGCAGGTGTTGCTTTATTAGGAGTAGGAAAAGAAGGGAGAGGAGGAGGAAGACTGCTACTCTTATCACAGTGATGGGGAAATTACTCCCTCATAAGGCCAGTCAATTCACATTCAGGCAAGTTTGTATGGTAAAAGATCATGAGATTCAGATTCAGGAAGGCTTGAACTCAGTTCCCAGCTCTACCTGCTCTTAGCTGTGCAGATAGCAGGTGACCCAATCTCTCTTCACCTCAATTCATGATAGTACAACAGAGATTATAAATGCCTATGTGACCTGTCTACAGTATGGATTAAATAATCTACTGTGCCTAGCAAAATATTCCCACATAGTAAGTGCTTACTAGGAACAAATTCAATTTGAATTTAATATATTTGAATATTAACCCTGATTTTGAGAGAACTGACAGAGAGAAGAGAGGCAAGTTTTGAATATCTAGTGTCCAGGTTTAGTCTCCACTAATACAACAGTTAACTTTGCTGACCTGTGCACAAAAGCTTTCCCCCAAAACTTGGTTCCAATTCTCTTTCAGGGACTACACAATAATGTTATCTCTGCTCAATAAGACACACTTCAGGAATGACTACCCGAAGAGGCAAGAAACTCAGACACGTCTGGCTAAACAAACAATTTATTGAAACACTGAATTTAACTTTGCATATTTTTTGGAGGCGCCCTTCCTCCATCACTGACAAAACAGTAAAACCTTAACAGTAAAAATGTCCTCCTTCTTCTGATCCACTACCAGGGCAGTTAAAACGGATCGCTGAAGAGATTTCCGGTAATGGGAAGTAAAGTATAGAAGCAAAGGTGTCTCCCCTTAAAAAAAAGAAAAAAGACTAGGGAAGGAAGCAAGACCCACTTTCTCCCTTTTCTAACTCTCTTCTTTTTGCTGTACTTTCAGCACTTTATTTATATTGTCCTCTCTGGATAATGATCATTTGAGGGCCAACATTCACCCAAAGTGGTGGTAACAGTTCATTACACTTGTCGTAGCCTTCAGAACAATCAATAACCCCAAATGAAGAATAATGGTTATTATTAAGCCAAACACAGCTTGATGATTCTTCCTTACTGATATTAAATTTGCCTATTGCTTCCTGCATATCTGTCTGCCACAGCCCTTGCTGTGTTCAATGGCAGCCCTTTACTGGAAGAACTCATAAGTCCATCCCTACCTTTATGTGGGTCTCACACATATCCTCTCTTGAGCAATCCAGCGATGATTAGTTGCTTCCACACCATATTTACTGGTTTTATTTTTGTCCCTAAGGCCACTAACAGATGAAGTATGCCTGGTATTTAGTGATTTGGCTGCTCCTTTTAGTTATTTATAATCAAAGACTCTTTTATCTTTTAGCTCTACTTCCAAAACGCTTATTATGATATCTCTAAATTACTCACCCACTACTTACATTCTTAAATGCAACAGCTATATTTTCATCTCACTCCAGGATAAATGTGATCGAAAAAGTTTTTAAAAATATTCACACATTCAGGTATTCAGCCGTTCAATCATGAAATACTTACTGAGTATCAAATTAATATGAAAGGTATCCTAGAGGAGAGGTAAGATCACTAATGGAGTAGGAAACAAGCACGTAGACTTTGGAACTTAAACAACCTAGACTTGAATTCTGGCCATACTCTTGCCATGTAACAACAGGCAAGTTAGCTTCTTCGAGCCTCAGGTTCTTTGCTTATAATATGGGGCTGATTATATCTACCCTGTCAGAATGCTATAGAATTCTGAGGATATCCATGCAACAAGCACAGAAATCACTTCAATCATGAAATACTTACTGAGTATCAAATTAATATGAAAGGTATCCTAGAGGAGAGGTAAGATCACTAATGGAGTAGGAAACAAGCACGTAGACTTTGGAACTTAAACAACCTAGACTTGAATTCTGGCCATACTCTTGCCATGTAACAACAGGCAAGTTAGCTTCTTCGAGCCTCAGGTTCTTTGCTTATAATATGGGGCTGATTATATCTACCCTGTCAGAATGCTATAGAATTCTGAGGATATCCATGCAACAAGCACAGAAATCACTTCAATCATGAAATACTTACTGAGTATCAAATTAATATGAAAGGTATCCTAGAGGAGAGGTAAGATCACTAATGGAGTAGGAAACAAGCACGTAGACTTTGGAACTTAAACAACCTAGACTTGAATTCTGGCCATACTCTTGCCATGTAACAACAGGCAAGTTAGCTTCTTCGAGCCTCAGGTTCTTTGCTTATAATATGGGGCTGATTATATCTACCCTGTCAGAATGCTATAGAATTCTGAGGATATCCATGCAACAAGCACAGAAATCACTTCAATATTTTTCATATTCCCATCATGAAAGTGTGATTTTCTTTTCAAAATAACTTCTAAATTGTAATTGTAGTTTTATAAATACAGTTTCATATGATTTGCTGGTTTCAAGTCAAACCATCTTAATGATTTTGCATATTAACCAAACTATAATTCACTCTGTTGACTTGTAGTTTGGGCTATGTTTATAACACTGACCTTCAAGTTATACATATCTATTGCTTTTGTGCATTATAAATAAAGTCTTAACTGAATTCTCAATGATGCAGTTCCTAATCAAATGTGCTAATATTTTTTCAGAATTGATATCCCATAGATATTTCACTTTTATTTTCTTAACAGCACATAGTTAAAAGAGCATGAAGTAGGTAACAAATTTTGAAGCCGTGCCTCTGAAAAGCTACATGATCATGAACACGGCATTGAATCCCACTGAGCCTCAAGTTCCTCATGTTGAAAATGGACTTGGTTATATTGTGCCTTACTCCTTCACTCATTTATTTTGAGATGAGGTTTTATGTTGGTGAAAGTGCCTCATAAGTACTAACAACAAGCAGCTATCATTACTGCTTTTCGAGATTTTCGCTGTTTTTCCTTCTTGATTGTCTTTTGAGTTTTAGGGTTAATAAATGTACATCTTTCCCCTAAATGTTTTTAAAATAGTATTTATGTTTTGGCATTCACATGAAAAGTTCACTGTAGGTAATGAATTAACTGGGAACATTCCAGACATTTTTTTTGATTCTATAACTTGATGATTCTGACTTGATTGACTTTTTTTTTTCTTGGTGAGTTAATCACATAATTACCAACCACTAGATTATTTTGTACAAGAAGATTGTTCCACAAATTAGGTCACTGTCATTTATCATTACCATTTCTTTTCAAAACATATCAAATCTTACAATCTGTTAACACTGCTTCAGTGTATATCATTTTATTTCACTCAGATGAACATTACGAATAATTGCAAAGATCTAATCAGGAAACAAAATTAAAATCATTGTAAAGTACAACCAGGAAGATTTGCAATAATGAAGGCCAGTATTACAACAAAAACACAAAAAAAGGTGATTTTTTAGAGTTCATGGAGAAGAGGGGTCTAGGCTTCTCTGGGGTCATGACTCTTTAACAAGCTGGGCTTTGATATTCCCTTTCCCTGACATTGTTTTGTATTTTTTATGATCTTATCTTCATACGAGGATTAGGAAATAAGCTGAGTAATAAGACACTGTCTCTCATATACTCCTACATGCTCTGGTCCCTGTCTTTTTCCAACTCATAAACAGAAGTGATTGATTCCGAAAGGGTAGAAGCCTGGCATTCATTAAAGATAAATACCAATTCAGCAAAAAATACAGCACTAAAAGTATGGATGCATTTAAGTTTCAGGAACCGTGCGCATGCCCTCCTCCACCTAATGTTATGGCCTCGGGGACAATGAGTAACAAACTAGCACTGTAATTATAGATGAGGATCACTTGGCACTTTTGTAATTACTAGGCTCTAATCATGCCAGACTAAGTCCCTTCCCAAATAGAATCTCTCTCTAAAGCCACCAGAAGGCATGTAAGGACAGAACTACTGCAGCAGAGCATGGCTGCACAAAGCCTCGGTGAATTCGCATGATGCATGCACAAAGCAACTAACACTTGGTGCTCCTGCAGTAATCAACTTTATATATTGCTGGGGCTCAGATGGGATGCAGAGACCTTCCTTCCCAACGGCCTAATTTTGCAGAGAAGAAAACTCAGGCCAGGGCAAGTAAAATGACTTTTCTGGATCAAATAGCAGTAGATAGCAGAGTCTATAAATGAGCTTCTGATTCCTGTTCCCATTTTTCCTGCTCTGTATACAATGCTAACACTTTATGTCAATTCTGGATAGGGTTATTCTTTTCCATTCTCTGTGAATGTCACCTAGGCATGTACCTGATTTGCAGGCTACTCTAAATTAAGAGTTTGAATGGTGAAAACTCAAAGAATGTCACTAAGAATCTATAGTATCTATCTCCTTTTCAAGAGCACGCTTTATGTAAAATAGAGATTTAATGTGTGCCCTGAGTTCTTGTTTTTGGAATGTGAGGGAAAGAGATAAATGGGTTAAAATTTACAAAAGTAACCAGTACATTGATGCAGTGACTCTCAACAAGGCTGAACAGATTTTTCTATTAATTTAAAGGATTTACTGAACCTGGGAAGGCATATTACATATATAATCAGGATACAATAATGAAGGGACCATGAAAATGGAATACTTACTTCATCAGCGCAAAAAACTCAAGAAATATACACACTAAAGAAAATATGTTGCATGAAAATGATTATTTTTAAACTATCGTGAGGATAACTACATTTATATGGTTACAGTCAACTAATATTTATTAAAAATTTGATAAAAATAAAAAACTGGTAATTCCTTAATATTGGTGAATAAATATATTTAAGATCTATATAAAAATACATATAACCAGTTTAGTACAAAAAAAACTGATTTCAACCCTCTGGGGTTGTCTTTTCTTTTTTTTTTTTTAAGACCTCCCCAGTCTAAACTATTTTAATTCACAAAATACCATATTCCTCTCATTTCAAATCATAATGAAAATAAAATGTATGAAGCTTGCTGGTGATGCCCCAGATTGTATAATCCTACAAAAGACATTAATAGAAGCTCTAAAAATCTAATTAAATTTTAGAGTGCTAGTAATGTCGCCATAAGGCCCATGTAAGCTATTATTACATTAATAAAAATTAAATTCAGACTATAACCATATCTGGATAATAATATACCTAGTTTCAAGGTCACTCTTACTTCCTTACTTAGGAATATTTCTTCTCTATTCTCATAAATAAAATTGATTAATCATGAAGGAGAAAACCAAATACCTTCCCTTCTATCTCTACATTCTTCTTTTAGGTCATAGAAAAGTAATTGAGTAGTCTTCCCACCTCAGGGGGCAAAGTTAATACCACTCTTGGCCCCCCTTCACCCTTCCTCACTTGTTCCCTAGGGAAAGGAAGGTCTCTGTAATATCTGCTGTGATCTTTTCCTTTAACAATGTGAGTGGTGAGCTCAGCTTGGTTCTTGCCTGCCTATGGTAAGCAGAGAGGACAGGGTCTGCCTTTTCAGGCCCAGCCAGGTATTTTCTTTCTTTATTCCAATTTATTTGCCTGTAACTTGTTTGGTTGAGTCAGGTTGACTCTTCTTGGGGACAAGTTATCTTAATTCAAAGTGGGGGCTTTGGTCCAAGCCAAATTCACTAGTTGCATTTTAGCAAGGAGCCTGTATTGGGAGTTATTCAGTCTCTATTAATAAAACCTTGAGTGGCATTTGGCTCCTTAGTTCTTTTTTTTTAACCGGTAAAAACCTGGACAGGAGACAAAGTGACACTGATAAAACCTTTACACCTCCAAGGAATCCCACTGCCAAATAGCTATGCTAAACCTGTCACCAAACTACCATTGCAAAGTGCAATATTGAGAATCATCATAGCCTTCAAAAATCTTTAAACAAGAAAACATACAAACACATCTCTTCTATCTCCTAGCTCCTATACACACACCTGACTGGCATCTTTTTTATTTTATTTATTTATTTATTTATTTATTTATTTTGAGACAGAGTCTCACTCCTTCACCCAGGCTGGAGTGCAGTGGTGTGATCTCAGCTCACTGCAGCCTTGACCTCCCAGGCTCAAGTGATCCTCCTGCCTCAGCCTCCCAAGTAGCTGGGACTACAGGTATGTGCCAGCATGACCAGCTAATTTCTGTATTTTTTGTAGAGATTGGATTTTTGTCATATTGCCAGGAGGGTCTCAAATTCCTGGGCTCAAGTGATCCACCCATCTTGGCCTTCCAAAGTGCTGGGATTATAGGTGTAAGCCACCACACCCAGCTTCTACCCTCTTAACAAAAAATAAAGTGACAATACAGTACTGTTAACTATAAGCACTATGTTGTACAACAGATCTGTGGAATTTTTTCATCTTGCCTGACTGACAGTCTATACCCATTGAACAACAATTCCCATTTCCTCCTCCCTCCATTCTCTAGCAACTGCATCCCATTCCCTGCTTCTGTGAGTGTAACTATTTTAGATAACACAAATAAGTGAAATCATATAGTATTTGGACTCCTGTGTCTGGCTTATTTTACTTAGCATAATGTCCTCCAAGTTCATCCATGTTGTCATAAATAGCAAGATTTCATTATTTTTTAAGACAGAACGATATTCCATTGCATAAATATACCACATTTTTAAAAGCTACCATTTGATCCAGCAATACCACTTCTGGATATATGTCCAAAAGAATTGAAATCAGGATCTCAAAGAGCTAGCAGTCTGCATTTTTTTTTTTTTTTTTTTTGAGATGGAGTCTTGCTCTGTCACCCAGGCTGGAGTGCAGTGGCATGATCTCAGATCACTGCAACCTCCGCCTCCTGGGTTCAAGCAGTTCACTTGCCTCAACCTCCCTAGTAGCTGGGATAACAGGGGTGCATCACCACGCCCGGCTAATTTTTGTATTTTTAGTAGAGACGGGGTTTTGCCATGTTGGCCAGGCTGGTATCGAACTCCTGACTTCAGGTGACGCACCCACCTCAGCCTCCCAAAGTGCTGGGATTACAGGTGTGAGTCACCACGCCCAGCCCTATCTGTCTGCATTCTTAAGTTTATTGCAGTATTATTCACAATAGTCAATAGCTGAAAACAACCCAAATGCCCATTAATAGATGACTTACCTATCAGTGGTTGATGAAACTATCTTTCAAATAATGATCTCGAAAATAGCAAAGCTTTTCTCTATTATTTTTCTGTCTTTTAAATCCAACATGCTCCAAACATCACCCTAGCTTGGGAAAATGTATAAAGATTCTAGGTTTTCCTTATATCTTAGCATGATCCTTTGATTAAACAGTTATATAAGTAATATGCACTCTCTGAAAACTGTGACCTTTTTTATGGAAGTGGAAATTAGTGTAATAATAAAAAAAAGTTACATGGGCTAGGTTGGAGATTTAAAGTAAAAGCCTCTGGAGATAGAAAGGTAGCCTTACATGGCTTGGTACTGATGATAAAATAGTACCTCATATTGATATGGTACCTCATCATTCACACGATGCTTTCCTATACATTTTTACTTAATCTGCCTACCAAACACAAATTAGACTTGCTCACTCTCAGTTAACAGGTGAGGACACCTGGGCTGCTGGACAACCAGGGCAGAGTTAACAGAGGAAGTAACATATTCTCTATATTGTCCTGTACTCAGTAATAATTGTTAAATGGATAACGGATACAGCTGCCACGATATGTTACTAGCAGAATATATCCATTCAGAGAATCACTTCCTCTGGCTCCATGGGAATATGCAGAAAAGGGAGCTGTTAATAAAAAAGCCTTGGCAGAGTACTACTTCATGCCCTCGACCAACCTTCCGATAGCTTTCGAGTGTTCAATTTAGATCCTGGGGAGAAAGAGGACAATTCTCAAGTTCATTTGAGTTGAGTTTTCACCACTTGCATTTGAGAAGCCCAATCACTGCACACAACTCCCTATCACTCCAACAGTCGAGAATAGTGTCCCAATGACTTGATAGATCTTCCATTCCATCTTTATTCTCATTTGCTTTTTTCTTCTTGAGAGGTGAATATACTTGCTTTTAAGGCAACACTCTAGTTCCAGAATCACAGATCACCCAGATTCTGATTCATGATGCTTCCAACTGGACACTACATTCTCTGCCCCAGGCTTGTGACCTCTTTCTCTTGCGTGCCCCACAGCTTTTCCCCCACCAGGCTTCGCTGCCTGCTCTGGGCTTGGCTACGCTCACCTCATCATAGGGGACCACAGGACTATTTGATGATCTTATCCTGTTAGTGTCCATGATCCCACCAGGCACAATTATTTCCATATTTTCACACAAAATTTTCTCTCAGTTAATTACTGTAGGAGAAGTATATCACAGTAGCTAAGGGCATTTGCTTTTGTGTTAGACAGGCCTGGACCTAAGGCTTGATTCTATCTTTTTTATGAATTGAATATCTTTCAGAAAACCACTTACCAATGCCAAACCTACATTTCCTCATCCTTAAAATTAGGATAATAATAGTATCTACACTTAACTGGAATCTTGAGGGATTGAAAGAGATAATGCATTTGAAGTACTTATTAACAGAACCCAACACATAAGAAGTACTCAATTAATTCACTCAAAAATATGTATTGAGTATAGATATGTATAATGTATTGAATATTCATACTGAGTATATGAACATATAAGGTATATACATTTTTAATATATTCATTCAGAATATGTACATATATCTGTACTCAACACATATTTTTGAATAAATTTATTGAATATATACATACATATATAAATACAGTATCTCTCCTATATTCTTACAGGTCTTGCTACGTAGAAAAAGAAATTGCTCTTATGAACATTATAATAGTGGATACAGAGAATAAACAAGCACATAAAATATATTATAAATATAGACATAGCATATTTAAATGTTAGAAGTTAATCATAAACACTGGCTTTTTTTGAGGAGTTACTATTCCTGGTACACTGATATCAACTTAATGATTGATAGACAAATAATTATTAAGTCTTTATTACAACACTAACTCTTAAAGACATTAGATAATTAGAATGTGCCAAAATTTGTGATTGGTGAGCAATGTTTCAACACAACAGGCATGTACTTGGAATCTGTTACATTCATGGCAATATGCTTAGGCTCCTTGTATGGAGGGAGGTGGGGTACTGGGAAAAGATACACCTATGAACAACTAATCAAGAAATAAATGTTAAATAGAGGTATATGTAATGTGTTGACTGGGAGAAAAAAAGAAGACTCATTATAATAGAAGGCAGTTAGTAGAGGAATAATGATAGTGTCAAGCATATGAAACTCCCATAATTTTTTCTTAAATTGAAAGATAAAATATGACATGTCTTTTGTTGCATAAGCAACTTTGCCGTTCATGTTGTTCTTCCCCTAGTTATTTTTTGCTCATCTACTCTACCCCAGTTTACTAGTATATGATCCTCACAAATAAAGTAAATAAGGGAAGAACGATTATATTGTTTACATTAGGCTAGCAGGCTGGATTTAACTTGGCTTTCTCCAATACTGCAGAGAGGTTTTCTCAACCTGCCTTAGTCCCTCAGGACATATTTAGCACTGTCATTTTTAAGGCAAAAAAATGATGAGAATTCAACTCAGAAGACGCTGATAACGTGAAGTAGAACATATGCTGATGCAACTCATCTAAGTATCAAACCTAAGTAAACCGAGTGTGTTTATTTATAGCAGGAGGTGTTTTACACTTAGAGAGACAAGCTCCAAATCAGATTCTGAATTCATTTCAAGGAGTGAGGGTGAAGGTATAAATGAGCTGCAGGATAATGTACTGGAAGATGAGAGTTTACTGAATTTGAGTGAAAGGAATCAGGGAGAGAATGAGAAAATAATTGGTATGAATAAAGCCAGCCCTTTAAGAAAGATGCCAGTTAAATGGGACAGTGACAAAATTCTCTAAAACTCTGGAGGCTATAGAAGAGAAAAACAGATTCTACACTCAAATCTCATTAACATCACATTTGTTTATCTTTGCATGTGGCATGGCTCATTGTAACATATGTGCTGCAGTCTAGTTGGGTACGCTAATAAAAACAGGACCGTGCCACAGCAGGAATAAAGAACCCACGTTCTCTCTAAGAGGTTAAAACACACAGGAAAAAAGATCCTACACTGAAAAAATGTCTCCCACTGCTTAAGCTAATGCTGCCCTTCCCTAGGGTCTCTCCAAGGTTAAGGGGAATTTTGAAATTTGTATCTCTGAGCAAAGTGGGCAGATTAGGGAATTATGGACTTAAGAATCCTACCAAAATCAGAACAGGAAATAAAATATTCACTCATTCATCTGTCCATCTAGTCATTGAACAGCTAGCTGAATACCTTCTATACAGTAGAGTTTCTGCTAGGTGCTACAGGAAACAGAAAAAAGAATAGGATGTAGTCACTACCCTCAAGAATCATACAACCTAGACAAGGGCAGAACATGCAGACAATGTAGGCTTCCCCCATCTCTGCAAAACCTCAAATTGATATTAGCAGCATCCCGGAGTGTCAGTAAAAGAGGATGTGGTGGAGAGAGATGGGTTCTGGAAGCTCCGATCAAATATGTCGCCTGGCAAATACATGGCAAGAAAAAGGTGCTAACTTTAGGATGAACAGGATCATGAAACAGAAGTTAAATACTAAGACATGAAAAAATGCAAAGGTGAATTACTATTAATATAATAATAATTATTACATGATGAATCTAGCATTAACATCCATGTTTTCTTTGAGCTTATTTGAAAATCTATGGTTAATTTTTAGGGATAATTCAAGCAAAGAGAATTATAAGAAAATTAAGAAGACAGTTCCTACTTAGCAATATAAAATGTTTTTCAAGCGGCAAGATAGTCTATAGATCTAAATATTTTCAAAGAGGACTACTTAGTTAACACTTGCATGATGTTCCATGACATCCTTGGTTCCACCTCTATCTTCGAGATTTATCAAAGAATTAAAAATAGCTGTCACCTTTCTTCTCCCAGGTGGTAATACCTGGATGTGGTGTGACCCATTATGAGAGAGGAATCCCAAGAATATGCAGGTCCTCCTCTAACCAGCAGGAAGGCTGTTACCAAGGCCACAAACACATCTCCTGACTCCAGAGTCCCCCTAAAGGGAGATTAATCGGGTTATCATCATTCTTTCTATCCCATCCCATCATTTTAGGAGAGCTGATGTCTGATCCTCTGACCTCTGTGCTGCAGAATCTGGCTTAACATTATCCTTCAGGATTAGTAATCAGATGAAAATACAAGTAGGCTTAAATGGACACTCAATCACGTTCAAGCTGTCGAGCCAATCAGATAGATAGATAGATAGATAGAGAGATAGATTTTTTTTTTTTTTACATAGTAAGAAGTGGGGTGGGGGGATGCGGCATTTCAGGCATGTGAGGTAGGAAATTCTAATTATCTAGTGATAATAAATAGTAAACTTCCTTTTGTCAAGGGGTACAAATGCAATACCAATAACAATATGTGTAACTCTGATAGCAACAAAGCAAACCAACAAAATGCTTTGTTTTTAATAAAACCACATAAGTAAAAGCAACAGGGTTGGAAGGACATTAGTTCATCTGTCTGACCAGCCAGCCAGCCAGCCAGCCAGCCAGCCAATATTTATTCAGTACTAGGCTGCAGTGGTAATGGCAGACTCTGTCCTCATATGGCAGGCATGGTCTAACAGGTGAGCTACAATTTAAAATCCTACTTTGATCTTCCACTTAAATTAGAAAAAAATATGAATTTCTTATGTCACCCAACAAGGCTCTATGTGATCTGATCCCTGTCAGCCTCTACACTCGCCATTTCTGCCACTTTCCCTCATTCACCACTCTTAGCGTCACTGGTTGCCTTTCTCTTTCTCGAATACGGTAAATGAGCTTCCAAGAAGGCTGCCCCTTCTGCCTGAAGAGTTCTCGCCCATCTTCCCAGGACAAGCATCTCCTTGTATTTAGTTCCTGGCTCTGCATCCCTTCCTCAGAGAGGACTCTCCGGAACAGCATACCTAATGTCGCCACTGCCTCTTCTCCTAGGTGATTCTCTATTTCTACTCTGCCTCGTTTTATCTTCATAGCACTTTTCATTACCTGATGTTCTATTACATGTTATTAACTTCTGCTTTTTTTTTTTTTTTTTACTAGAATACAAGCTTCATAAGGCAGAGATTTTTATCCATTTATATTCATTGAAGTAACGGGACTTGGTATAAAGTAGTTGTTCAAAAAAGACTGAATGAAAAGCCTTAAAAAGAACATGTAAATATATACAAAATTACATTGCCATGAAGGAAAGATAAATGCTCCCAGAGGAGTGTAAATTAAGGTGGCTGGGGCTATCCAGGAAGAGGTTAAAAAGGGTTTCCTGACAAAATGATACTCAAAATTGGTTTATCCGATAAACTACGTAAATCCATTTGGTCCTTCCTAGCCCACAGCCTAGCAAAAACAAGATAAACTACAAATGAATCCATTTATACACAAAATCAGCTGGATAGTAAAGTTAAAACTGACTGCTTAACTAAGTAAATGGGAAAAAAAGAAACACTGAACTTCACCCCAGGAGGAGTGGTCACTGCTTTTGGTCCCTTTATGGATGAACTAACCTAGGCACTGGTCTGTAGGCAGAGTACAAGTCTAATACCAGATCAGAGAAGCAGGTTCAGTGTGTTGGGTAAGTCGACACTGAAATACATATTTAAAATTGAGCTCAGTCATATATGACTGAAATTACTTTGGAAAGATCAATATTCTTTCTTATTGGACTATTGTGATTTGTGATGATTTGTATTCTTTGCTATGGAAGCTCAATATGTACGTTACAAGAGGCCATCAGACTCTTTAGAACTAACGCTAAGAAACTAATAAAAGGGCAGTCGCCCTGGTGGTTAAAGGGAGAGAAAGGCACTGAAAGAAAAGGAGGGATGGGCACATGTGAGAAAAGCACAGAAGAAAATTCAGGTATCCTGCAAGAAACTAGTGGCCCTGGCTGACAAATGAGACCACAACATTCATTTTCTGTGTCATTTCCTACTCAGTGCTGGATGGGTCACAAGGAACCAGGCTGGAACCAACTCATCAATTATGTTGAAAGGACAGGTTTGTCAAAGAAAACTTTTTCCTGCAAGGCTTCCACAGGGCTTCCTTTAAAACTTATCCCTCTGAATTCTAAGTTACTTTTCTTCTTTTTTTTTTTTTTTAACTTTTATTTGAGGTTTCGAGGTACATGTGAAGGTTTGTTACACAGGTAAACACACGTCATGGGCGTTTGTTGTATACATTACTTCATAACCCAGATATTAAGCCC
This sequence comes from Homo sapiens, assembly GCF_000001405.40. Lineage (NCBI taxonomy): Eukaryota > Metazoa > Chordata > Mammalia > Primates > Hominidae > Homo > Homo sapiens. The sequence goes on along the minus strand of NC_000003.12, from coordinate 2,443,041 downwards.
AGTAACCAATAGTTACCTTTTCTTCTCCTCTCCCTCCTTACACCCTCCCTATTTTTCATAAATAAGCTACTATTTTATGTAAATTACTTCTCATAAGTAAATTATTAAAAAGGATCAAAAGGCTTTTTCCTCCTCTAGGAAATACTTCTTCAGAGACAAAGTGCAGATATCCAGTTGAAAATTAAACTTGGAATAAAGAAACAGATGCACTCTCATTAACCATTTCAAAAATGTTTGGTAATTTAGGATTCACATTTAGAAGTAAGCCTCTGGATCTTATCTGTCAAAGAAATAGTACTAGTGGATCTATCACTATTTAAACTACCCAAGTAGCTTAAGGTCCACATAATAGAATAAAACTAATCATTATGCTGAATATTACCAAAATCCTAAATCACAGTGTTTCCTTTTTTAGACAAATCCACAAAACTCCCAATTAAAAAAAAAATGTGTGTGTGTTAGGGATGGGGGTTAACGACAAGATTACAATAGTTCAATATTTAAGGAACATAGGATAAAATAAATAAAGACAAACAAGCCTTGCAGTTCTGATTCTATTAAAAAAAAATCTTAAAATTTAGTAGAATGCTTTGCAGATAGCAAGATAATTTTCTCATTTGCCAAGATCTGGACTTTCTTCATTTCACACTTTGGAATAACTCATTTTATCTCTTGAGTTATATCTGCTTAAATCTTTACAGTTCCCATAATAATGTGTATTTTTTGTTAGGTATTTTTTTGGCAGTTCCAGACAATTGTAAAATGCTAATTACTTGAATTCCTTCCTCGATTTAACAAAAGCATAATAGAAACAGGAGGGAAAGGAAAGAAAAACAATGTGACCAAAATGACATAGGAACTGTGCTTTTTCACAAGGTTACAGAAATATCTGACTTAAGGATATACTAAATTCCCATTTTATAAAGCTTACTTCAACACATATTTTCATTATAAATCAATTTTGTTTCATATCCAGTTAAATCCCCTGGTGGTTTTCTAACCAGCATATTAAATACTAGTTATAGAATATTAGTTACTGGAAAGAGGAAAAAAGCAAGACATGAGAAGGAAGTATATGTTGCTAAGAGCCAATTTCAAATGAAGGTTAATCAGAAATGAAAATACAGCATTTTTTCAATGATTACATTTTCACAGTTTTCTATTTATATAAAAATTCATTTTACACAGGCTTGTCTTTAAACTTAGATCCAACATTTTGTATACTGCACACTGCCAACAGCTTAATGGCTACAGTGCTCCAGACTGCCTCCTCACGTTGCCAGTGTCCTTGGGTAAAATATGATGAAAATCTGGAGACAGGCCTTTCTAACGCCCTTCCTATAGACAATTACCAGCAATTAGTCACACTGCAGGGCTAAGTAACACTCTCTCTCTGCACCTGCAAATCTATGTTTGAATGCCACAGTCGAATCCACTGCAGGAATCAAAATTAAATTTGAACTGAAAAGCTACCCTAATACCTTATTTATTACCTGCTACTCTGCAGAATAGAATATGTTGAAGAAGAGGCCCCCAAAGGTTATACTTTATCTTCAGCTTTGTTAGAATATTTCTCCATGAACAAGAGTCTCTTTCGGGGACAGATAATATTGGGAAATATAGTTTTATTTCTCTTGGGTCCTATGGTAAGCAATGCTGATTCAATCAGATCATACAGGCAGGAGGCTTAAATAAGATACCTGTCCTTCATAGAAAATGTTACTTTTGAATCACATATTAATACATGTGCTTATTACTGCATATCATAGTCCACTCATCCCAATAATGGAGTTCTTAGGAGCTCCCTCGGATTTTTCCAAATGTTTTCACTTCTTTTATTTTGTAATTACTGAAGGTAAAATGCAGCAACTCATTTTGTCTTTAGTGACACTTTATAAATGAACTGATGACCATATAAGTGAATGGTGCCCAAAATGTACAGTAGATATACCTCACCATAATGCATCAATTCCAATCCTGAATTAACCATTAATCAAATACAGGGCCATGGAATACTCATTTAACCTTTATATATATATACACACATATACATATACACACATATGTATATAGAAATATATATGTGTGTGAAAATATAAACACATATATAATCTTTTTATATATGTATATATTTTTGTTATATACATGTATATATATATACATATATACATATATGTTAGATATATGTATATATGTATATATAAAATATATATAGTTATATATGTATGAATATATTTGTTATATATGTATGAATATATATGTACAAATATGTGTGTATATATATTCACACATATATTCATTCATACACAAATATGTGTGTATATACATACGTGTGTATATACATATATATACGTATATGTGTGAATATATACATCTGTTGAATGGATGAGTAAATTAAAAAATTCAGAATGTTTAGCTTTGCAACGTATAGATACCCCATCATTCAAAGACAAACACATGTCTCTATTCTCAAATACACTCACACGACATCAGTTGGAAGCTTTAGCACAACACGCACATATTAAAAGTGAAGAGAGGAACTGGAACTCTTGAGAATTATGAGCAATTCACAAATTATCTGCTCACAATATGTATTAAGGTCATATCTAAACAAAGACACACAATGACAAATGACAACACAAAATTTCATTCATACATTTGGAATTTAAAGACATATGAGGGATTTTCAAGTTGTGTCAGTTAATGGATCTGAGGTCAGTGTGACTTAATCCATCAGCTCGTACCTTTGCCGGTATGAAACTAAAAAGTGATCTGGTTTTTTTGTCCTTGCGATAGTTTACTGAGAATGATGATTTCCAGTTTCATGGTATACATATGTAACTAACCTGCACGTTGTGCACATGTACCCTAAAACTTAAAGTATAATAATAATTTTTTAAAAAAAGTGATCTGGACAGTGGACAAATGACTGAATGCCAAGCATATCTTTACAAATATAATATTTATGGAAGAAAAAGAAAACTGCTCTTCAGGTTTGTAACACTTCTGTGCAGTTCCCTTGGCTTTGTTAATCTCATTTACTTATTGCCAGAGGCTTTTGCTAGCACTAGTTTTGACACTCCTAAGGCTAAAACTAAAAAATTTACTCCCAAAGATTTTTTTTCAAAAGGCACTGCTTTTAAAATGGTCAGAGTGTTGAGCTAAAGATCTGGTGAACTTGACCATCTTGGTGTTCACTGCAGAGCTGAATGCCTCGGGCACTGGAAATGGAGGATCACAACCAGGCCCTCTAAGAAGACAACTGCTTCAATGTTTGTCTCTGTTTTATTGCTCTTCTCTTCTCCATAATTCCTTTCACTCCTTTCCCTTAGCTATCCAAGCCACTAGACTTGTCTTCTTCCTCCATTTTAGAATCAGATACAGACACACACACAAGCACGCGCGCACACACACACATACAGAGACAGAAAGAGAGAGGAACACAGATACTTCAGATGACCACAATTCAAGCTAAGGTGGAACATTCATATCTTCATATCTCCTTATAGCTATCTCTCTATAGTTCTTTCAATGATGGTTAAAATTCGATCATCACTGACATGAGGAAATGCTAGTGGGAAGAACATCCAGATTTTTAAAAATCATATTATTATGATACCAAGTAAAAAAAAATAAAATAAAGTAAAAAGACACTGGTTTGCCAGATCCAACAGAACAATGGTTCTCAAACTTCAGTATGCATCAAAATAATAAATTGGAAAGTCTTAAAACAGATATCCTGGCCCCATCCCAGCTTCTAGTTCAGTAGGTCTGGGGTGAGGCCTAGGGATCTGCATTTCTTACAAGTTATCAGGTGGTGTGGATTTGTTGGTCAGGAGCCCACACTTTGAAACATCTAATGTCCTAATGCTCTAATATAAAAGTTATCTTTGTTTTAATTTCCCAGAAACAGGAAGCACTGCAGATTCCCATTTGAATTTCAGACATCTTAAAGTAATCCTTAAGGATCTCCAATTTTAACAAACATTTCCCATGATTCTAGGTATGGTAGTTGAGAAGCAGGGTGACCATGGCCACAGTCTAGCCTGGACTATCCTAGTTTGCACTTGCTGTCCCAGTGTTCATCCAGCTAGTGGCCCCTTTCTCTCTAAAAAGTAGAATTGAAGATACAGTATATCTTTATCGTCTCTGTGAATCATACCTGGAGAAACACTGCTGCAGATGTTAATCAGATCAGTCAATCAGAAATGGCTTCATATCCTGTTTAAAACTCATTGCCCACTTGAGAACCAGACTCCAGACCGTGGTCCACATTCTTTAGCCTGCTATTACCGCACCTGCCAAGCCAGTGGGAGATCCACCACCATATGTGAGCTGAGCATCTTTTGGAATATCATTAACTGTACTGAGTCATGACTTTCTGCCTGTTATTTCTTATCTTGGCAAACAATTCTGAATAGGAAGTGTGAGTAAAAGACATTGTTTGGGCCTGCTACAAAGTAAACAAACAAATAAGTAAATGAATAAACAAAACAGGTTTTTTTTGGGGGGGTTGTTTTGAGACAGAGTCTCACTCTTTCACCTGGGCTGGAGTAAAGTGGCTTGATCCTGGCTCACTGCAACCTCCACTTCCCGGGTTCAAGCAATTCTTCTGCCTCAGCCACCCAAGTAGCTGGGATTACAGGCACGCACCGCCATGCCTGGCTAATTTTTGTATTTTCAGTAGAGATGGGGTTTCACCACGTTGGCCAGCCTGGTCTTCATCTCCTGACACCTCAGGTGATCCGCCTGCCTCGGCCTCCCAAAGGGCTGGGATTACTAGCGTGAGCAACCGTGCCCAGCCAAATAACACAGTTTTAAAATAAAGGAATATCCTGAAAATTCTACAATGCTGAACGCTTTTAAAGAACTGGTGAAAGAAATAAAGGGCGAAAGGGAACAAACTGTTAAGAAAGAGTAGAAAGTCTATGACCTTGCGGAGGTCAATAGAAACATAAGTGAAAAGAAGTGGAATTAAAAAATTAGAAGGTAAGGTAGGCAAAACCACTCTGGCTGGAGGCAGGGCATCCCCTCATAGGCTTAAAATATAATGCAGTACCAATTTTGATGCTGGGAATGGATCTATTAATACTGAGACATCAAAGACTGCAAAGACCCCATTGAATGCTGATTTATTTTCAAGATGTATGCCTTAACTGGTAAAGTAGGCAAGCCATTACCCCCAGACATCTACACGAACTCTCCCTCAGCTCACCATGTGCCCCTTTCCTCCTTGCCAATATAAATGTCATGAATCTTCAAAGATATTGGCGATTACGCTTCACGCTTCAGAGTTTTTCAAAGTGTGTACTAGAAGCCACCTGAATCATAATCATTCATGATTTCCATTTAAAAAATGGCTTCAGAGCCCAGGCCAGGGTTTTTCCATCAGAATGGTTGAGAGTGAGTTTGTATATCTATCTTTTAATCAATATAGAAAGGATACTTTTGCATGTTAAAATTTTTAGAACTTATGCTAGGGTTTTTCTTTTTTCAATTGCTTTTAAGTAGCTAGTTTTCTGGAATAAAATATAGGAATTTAGAAATATGGGGTTTGATTATTTGAAATTATATGTTTTAAATTTCACAATATAAAGGGCTTTACATAAAATGCACATTTACGGCAGTAAAAATCTGTCATTCATCACATGGCAAGAAGAAAATTAAGATAACTGAGTCTCTTAATAGATATTATTTTATTATACAGTATTTTAAGGGACACTAATGGAGTAGGTTTCTTTATAAAAACTTTTCTTCTAAAGCATTCCAAGAGAGGGAAAAACCTATGAAAGTGTCAACTAAACAGACTTAATTATTAGAGTCTTCCCTTTACTCGCTAGAATTGAGACTGAGGAATATACAGTTCTTAAATGTGTCTGAGCACTTTGGCAATGAACAGGATCCACTGGCATAAAAATGGGTAGAAAGCAGAAAAAAAGTTCAAGATGAAGAAACACTTAACACAATCTGTCTCAAGCAATCTATACACAAAGTAAACATTTTATCTAAGGACCTATAAACTCCAAGTCCACCATTCTATACTCTAAAGAAAAAAACCGATCAGAAAAATCAACTAGCCAATTCCCAAAAGAAGGAAAGTATAGTTCTAAGGTATATTCTCAACTTAATACATATATTTTATTTTCAATCTACCAATTTACCTCCATATCTATTTATAAAATATATACATATATTTCATATATATTTGAAGAAAATATATACATATATTTCATATATATTTGAAGAAAATATATACATATATTTCATATATATTTGAAGGAAATATATGAAGTTGCTTAAAATAAAAGATATAAGAGACATTAAACTGCAGATCAGAGATTAAAAACTGTAGTGAGAATGAATATATATAAAATAGCTGTCAGAGTTGATGGCATAATTTGCAGTTAACATCCCAACCAAACATTAAAATCACAAAGGATTCCTTTCTAACACCCTATTTCCACATCCACAACACCAAAGGCCAAAAGAGAGTGATTCCAGAAAGATTCAATAAAATAATTAAAAGCTTAAAAAACACCTAAGAGAAAATACTAACATTATCTCTTGCCTACTAAATGGCAATTATACGTCCTTCCTCATCTGATTAGGAAGGTCATACCTTGAGACTCTAATCAGTTGCTGAGTCCTTCAGAATGCCTTCTCCTATAGCACTCACTGCCTTTCCTGTCTCATTTACTTATGCTTGTGAGAGATGCCTACAACTCTTTACTTTTACACATGGATGGCATTATCTTCCTTTGTACATCTTGAGTAATAATAAGCTAGGGACCTTGTTTATTTAATCTTTGAATCTACAACCCTGAACCACATTTTTGCCTGGCTCATAATAGGTATGCACTCAATAAAAATGTTGGTTGAATGAATAATTGTTGAAACATTCAGCTGAAAATACTGGCCAAAGGATAAAGTCATAATTGGCTCCAGCTACTGCTCTCTCAAAGCAATTCAATTCAATTCAACTCAAACTAATTCAATTCAACTTCACTCAACAGACATTTACTAAGGGTCTAGCTTTTGCCTCTAATAGAGATATAAACAGTTTTTTGACCTGCATTGTCTCTTCAATTGCCTTAACACTTTACTTTGCCAATAAAGGCACAGTTTAAGTCGACAACCAGAAATTAATTACAAGGGAATAGAAATCATAGTAGTGCTCCACGTTCTGTGGGAAGAAAATAAGAGTAAATAGATATAAAATGATTTCTGTAGAATTTGTACAGATTGCATGTAGGCATGTATTTATGTCTAGGTTTTATTTTTAAATAACCTACCAGCCTTTCTTAAGTGGGCTTTCTAAATAGAGGAACATCCCTTGTATGTAATAGATTATCTGCTTCTCTTATGCACCTAAAATACTAACAGAACAGCATTAGCATTTTTTGGGAGAACTAAGAAGATGAGTAACTAAAATAATTTCCTGTGTTCTGCAGGTCAACTGAGAAGCCTTGCTGAAACAGGCTGCCAGGGTCACTATTACAGATTGTATACAGCTTATACAGTTGGCCTCTCCCTAATAACCAACTGCAGATCAAAAATATTTGGAAAAAGTTGGATGGTTGTGTCTGTACTGAACATGTACAGACATTTCCCCCTCATCATTATTCCCTAAATGGTACAACAACTATTTACATAGAATTACACTGTATTAGGTATTATAAGTAATCCAGAGGTGATTTAAGGTATACAGGAGAATGTGCATTGGTTATGTCCAAATACTATGCCATTTTATATAAGGGACTTGAGCATCCATGGATGTTGGTATATAAGGGAGGTCCTGGAAGCAATTCCTCGCAGACACTGAGGGATGACTGTATTTATATTTAAGTTTTTTAGAAGTTTATGAATTGGTAATTAATTGGTAGAATTAATGGTGTTTAATAATACACACAATCATGGGAATAATTCAGGATATTCACTTTAGTATTAAGCTCTTTGACTTAAATGATTTAGATAATTGGCTCAACTCTCTGCTTCACATATTTTGGAAAGACACAGAAATAGATTTCATGGGGGACCATTTGAAAAAGCCCTTCTTGTGGTATAAGAGAATTATTCTCCTCTGTCTCAGAGTTTAAGAGAGCTTCACTTAAAATAATGACGACTTTAAATGCTTCCTATTGCCAAGATTCTTTGGATATGAAGAAGACTTTCATTTAGGACGCTGGCGACATGAATTAACAGCATATAGGAAGAGGCAGGAGTGATGCTCCAAATATATTCAATATTGCCTTCGTGGAAGAAATGGATGATAGGTCTTTGAGTCTGTCACAAAAACGGCTCCAAGGTGTGGAAAAAAATTGTAGTCATAGAGAACTTTAGCTACTCACACCTCCAATATAAAGTGCCTGCAACAGAGAAAATGACCTAATTACATCACCTTTTAGAGTCTTCCACACCTAAGATTCAATGATTCCAAGAAAAACAGTGCCAGCCCCGGAAATTACAAAACAAACTCTAATCTTTCACTGTCTCAATAAGGGCTGTGCCTTCATTGTTTTCCCCTCAGATGCTGCACCAATCTGGGACTACAATCTTTGTTCAACTGAAGCTATGCTTCTCCATTTACATTCTCCTTGTTTCAGTGGCTGAATGTCCCAAATTCTTTCCTAGCTCAAGACTTTTGCACATGCCCTTCCCTTTACTCTTCTTGTAGAGTCTTTCTTTCTTTTTTGTTTTTAAACAGATATATTTTTACATTTTATTTGTTCAATTCTTTTAAATTTTATTTGTAACTGACAACTAATAATTATACATGTTTGTGGGGTACAATGTGAAGTTATCAAATATGTTTACAATATGAAATGATTAAATCAGGCTAATGAACAAATTCATCACTTCACATACTTTTAATTTTTTATGGCAAAACATTTAAAATTTACTCAGCAATTTTGAAGTATGTAATGCATTATTATTTATTATAGTCATCACTTTGTGCAATAGATCACCAAAGCTTATTCCTCCTGTCTAAATTAAACTTTGCACCCTTTGATCAACATTTCCCCTTTCCCTATCCAATCCCTCCCCCAGCCTCTGGTAACCATCACTCTCTACTTCTATGAGTTCAACTTTGTAAAATTCCACATGCAAGTCAAATCATATGGTATTTGTCCTTCTGCGCCTGGCTTATTTCAATTGGCATAATGTCCTCCAAGTTCATCCATGTTGTGGCAACTGGCAAGACACTCGCAAGTAGAATGAAATTGGAAACTTACCTCACATCGTAAACCTAGATCAACTCAAAATGGATTAAAGACTTGAATATAACACCGAAAACTACAAAACTACTAGAAGAAAACATACAGGAAATGCTCCGCAACATTGGTCTGGGCAAAGATTTCTTAGATATGACCCCAAAAGCGCAGGCAACAAAACCAAAAATAAAGAAATGGGACTGCATCAAACTAAAAAGCTTCTGTACAGCCAAAGAAACAACTAATAAAGAGACAACCACAGATTGGGGGAAAATATTTGTAAGCCATACATCTAATAAAGGGCTAATATCCAAAATATATATGAAACTCAACAGCAAAAAAACCCACAAATAACCTAATAAAAAAATGAGCCACCTAAATAGACACTTCTCTAAAGTAGACATACAAATGGCCAATAGGTTTATGCAAACATGCTCATCATCACCGATAATCAGGGAAACACAAATTAAAACCACAATGAGCTATCACCTGATATCTGTTAGAACAATTATGGAAGAGACAAAGGAAGTGTTGGCAAAGGTGTGGAGAAAGGGAAACCATTGTGCACTATTCATGGGAATGTAGATTAGTAAGCCAATACAGAAAACAGTATGGCAGTTCCTTAGAAAACTAAAAATAGAATTACTATATGATTCTAATAATTTCACTTCTGGGTATATGTCCAAAGTAATTGAAATTAGTGTGTTTTGCTGGGCACTGTGGCTCATGCCTATAATCCAGCACTTTATGTGGCTGAGGTGGGTGGATTGCTTGAGCCCAGGAGTTCCAGACCAACTTGAGCAACACGGCAAAACCCCATCTTAACTAAACAAACAAACAAACAAACAAAAAAACAAATGAGCTGGGTGTGGTGGTGTGCACCTGTAATCCAGCTACTTGGGAAGCTGAGGTGAGATCACTCAAGCCTGAGCTGTGGATGCTGCAGTGAACCAAGAGCTCACCACTGCACTCCAGCCTAGGTGACAGAGTGAGACCGTATCAAAAAAAAAAAAAAGCAGTTAGTGTGCCAGACATATCTGCACTACCACGTTCACTGCAGCAGCATTATTCACAAGAGCTAAAATATGAAAGCAATCTTGGTGTCCATTATCACATAAATGGATAAAGAAAATGTGGTATATATATACATACACACACATATATATACACACACATATATATACACATACATACACACACATATATATACACACATACACACACGCACACACACACATACACACACACACAGGGTGGAATACTATTTGGCTTTAAAAAGGGGGAGAAATGCTGTCATATCTGGCTCTTTCTAATGCTGAAGTCTCAGCTCAGTGCTACTTCCTCAGAGACCTTCACTGAAAAAAACAACTAAAATAAGCCCTCTTCTTTATTCTCTATCTTGGCACCTCAATCATTTAATTCATAACATTAATCACTTTTTGTGACTATTAATTTTTGTCTGTTTCTTCCAACAGAATACACATTTATAGAGTAAGGACCATGTTTGCTTTCCCCAACATCTAGCATATACAAAACGTTCCATAAATATTTTATTGGACACATGAATGCATAAGCACAGTGATGGAAGGGAGAAAGGGAGAGTTAGTTCAGGTGATATTTGGGTATGGCTTGGGCAATGGCAGATGTTTAGTTACTCAAATAATGTGGGTGATGGTGAGTTGAAACTCACTTGGGCCACTTCTACGTAAGTAAATCAAAAATGAAGAAACAAAAATATTCTGGCTTCAATATTACCTGGCTCATTGTTTGTGCAGTGAGAGTTACAGTGACCCATCTTTTTGGATGGTTTGCGATTTGCAGGGCATTACAGATTAGTTGAATTCAATAAGATAGATGAGATAATCTGGCCTATTTCTTAAAATTTCCACTTAACTCAGGTATACTCTATATGTTTATTCACCCAACTCTCTCTTTAGTGTTTCAATTGTTTTGACTTCATAAATAACCTCCTTGTATAGTTAACCTTGATTCAGGCTCCAGTTGTTGGTGCAAAAATTCCTTCCTCAGGAAAACTTCACTGACCAGAAAACTGTAAGATTTTCTAATTTCCTGTACTTTTCCTACATAATAATAAATTTGCACACTTATACAATTTCCTATAGTTTCTATATCCCTGAGGTCAGGGCCAGCATGTTTCTTTGCTCTCTACTGTGTCCTCAGCGGCAAGCATAGTGACTGACACATAACACGTGTTCAGTCCCTCTGAGTTGATTGGATTAATTATGGTTCCTCTTATCTATTCCACGGAATTTCTTCTTTAAAAAAAGTCAATTACACACAATTAGACAAAATTCAGTCTAATGCATCACTTTTGCAAAACTGAAAAGTGGAGATGTTTGTATCAAAAGCACCTTTTCAATGTGCCCTATCCCATTCTCCTCCATAAAGGAAGATAATTTTGCTTCAAAACTTATTCTTTGCATTTACCTACATACACGTACATATAAAAAAGAAGTACATTTTTTCAATGCATTTATGAAATGAAAATAATCACAATATGCATATTGTTCTATATGCTGCTTTTCTCACGGACACACACATCTCTTCATAACAGAATATACTGGCCTATCTTATTTTTAATGGGGTTATAATATTCTAGTACAGGTGCGGCCCATACCTTTTAGAACCTTTCCTCTACTGATAGAATATTAGATTATTCATGATTTTTTCATATTACAAACAAAGCTACAATGAATATCTCTGAATACACTTCATTATATACTTGTTTAAAGTTTTTAAATGATAGAGTCTTAGACCACAAAAAGGCTAGGTGAATATTTTTTTTTCTTGAAGTGTACCACATACTGGATGCAATGCTCCATTTATTTCACAAGATGATCAAGTCTAAAGGGTGGATATGTGAGACACTTAGCATTATGATTCAATTCTAATTTTCATCAGGAACTTGGAAGACCCATGAGCTGTTTAGATAAGTCTGTTGCATAATTTGAGCACATCTGTCTTCTTGAGCTATCTTGTGCCCCAGGGTGATGAAACAAAATCTCAATCAAAAGAAATATAAATGCTAAAATAACAACACATGTAGAATAATATAGGTATACTTAGCCTTTTCCAAAAACTGATTAGGATATTCTCCCACACAACAGTTATAAGTAAATCATTGCTAAATATAATGCACCTCTAGCTGGGGTAAACTAATTGAACACAGAATTTTTTTTTTTTTTTTTTTTTGGTAATTTGCTCCCAATAAAAACTGACACAGCAAACAAAAAATTTATTAAAAAATGGCACCTTCTAATTATAATAAGCTAAACTAGGGGAGGTTCTAAGATGGCCGACTAGGAACAGCTCCAGCCTACAGCTCCCAGTGTAAGCAATGCAGAAGACAGGTGATTTCTGCATTTCCTTTTTTTTTTTTTTTTTTTGAGACAAGAGTCTTGCTCTGTCACCCAGGCTGGAGTGCAGTGGCCCAATCTTGGCTCACTGCAAGCTCCGCCTCCCAGGTTCATGCCATTCTCCTGCCTCAGCCTCCCAAGTAGCTGGGACTACAGGCGCCCGCCACCACGCCCGGCTAATTTTTTGTATTTTTAGGGTGATGGGGTTTCACCGTGTTAGCCAGGATGGTCTCAATCTCCTGACCTCGTGATCCACCCGCCTCGGCCTCCCAAAGTGCTGGGATTACAGGTGTGAGCCACTGAGCCCGGCCAATTTCTGCATTTCTAACTGAGGTACCAGGTTCATCTCACTGGGGATTGTCGGACAGCGGGTACAGGACAGTAGGTGCAGCCCATGGACCATGAGCTGAAGCAGAGCGAGGCATCACCTCACCCGGGAAGCGCAAGGGGTCCGGGAATTCCCTTTCCTCACCAAGGGAAGCCGTGACAGATGGCACCTGGAAAATTGGGTGACTCCCATCCTAATACTGCACTTTTCCAATGGTTTTAGCAAAATTATATCCCGCGCGTGGCTTGGAGGGTCCCATGCCCACGGAGCCTCACTTATTGTTAGCACAGCAGTCTGAGATGGAACTGCAAGGTGGCAGCAAGGCTGGGGGAGGGGCACCCACCATTGCTGAGGCTTGAGTAGGTAAACAAAGCAGCAAGGAAGCTCAAACTGGGTGGAGCCCACTGCAGCTCAAGGAGGCCTGCCTGCCTCTGTAGACTCCAACTCTTCGGGGCATGGCACAGCTGAACAAAAGGCAGCAGAAACTACTGCAGACTTAAACGTCCCTGTCTGACAGCTTTGAAGAGAGTAGTGGTTCTCCCAGCACGGAGTTTGAGATCTGAGAACGGACAGACTGCCGCCTCAAGTGGGTCCCTGACCTCCAAGTAGCCTAACTGGGAGGCACCTCCCAGTAGGGGCCGACTGACACCTCATATGGCCGGGTGCCCATCTGAGACGAAGCTTCCAGAGGAACGATCAGGCAGCAACATTTGCTGTTCTGCAGTATTTGCTGTTCCGCAGCCTCTGCTGCTGACACTCAGGCAAACAGGGTCTGGAGTGGACCTCCAGCAAACTCCAACAGACCTGCAGCTGAGGGTCCTGACTGTTTGAAGGAAAACTAACAAACAGAAAGGACATCCACAACAAAATCCCATCTGTAGGTCACCATCATCAAAGACCAAAGGTAGATAAAACCACAAAGATGGGGAGAAAGCAGAGCAGAAAACCTGAAAATTCTAAAAATCAGAGGGCCTCTTTGCCTTCAAAGGAATGCAGCTCCTCGCCAGCAATGGAACAAACCTGGATGGAGAATTACTTTGACAAGTTGAGAGAAGAAGGCTTCAGACGATCGGTAATAACAAACCTCTCTGAGCAAAAGAAGGATGTCCGAACCCATCACAAAGAAGCTAAAAACCTTGAAAAAAGATTAGATGAATGGCTAACTAGAATCAACAGCGCAGAGAAGTCCTTAAATGACCTGATGGAGCTGAAAACCATGGCACGAGTACTACCTGATGCATGCATAAGCTTCAGTAGCCGATTCGATCAACTGGAAGACAGGGTATCAGTAACTGAAGATCAGATGAATGAAATGAAGCAAGAAGAGAAGTTTAGAGAAAAAAGAGTAAAAAGAAACGAACAAAGCCTCCAAGGAATATGGGACTATGTGAAAAGACCAAATCCACGTCTGATTGGTGTACCTGAAAGTGACGGGGAGAATGGAACCAAGTTGGAAAACCACTCTGCAGGATATTATCTGGGAGAACTTCCCCAACTAGCAAGGCAAGCCAACATTCAAATTCAGGAAATACAGAGAATGCAACAAAGATACTCCTCGAGAAGAGCAACTCCAAGACTCATAATTGTCAGATTCACCAAAGTTGAAATGAAGGAAAAAATGTTAAGGGCAGCCAGAGAGAAAGGTTGGGTTACCCGCTAAGAGAAGCCCATCAGACTAACAGCTGATCTCTCGGCAGAAACTCTACAAGCCAGAAGAGAGTTGGGGGCCAATATTCAACATTCTTAAAGCAAAGAATTTTCAATCCAGAATTTCATATCCAGCCAAACTAAGCTTCATAAGTGAAGGAGAAATAAAATCCTTTACAGACAAGCAAATGCTGAGAGATTTTCTCACCACCAGGCCTGCCTTACAAGAGCTCCTGAAGAAAGCACTAAACATGGAAAGCAACAACCGGTACCAGCCACTGCAAAAACATGCCAAATTGTAAAGACCATCGAGGCTAGGAAGAAACTGCATCAACTACTCAGCAAAATAACCAGCTAACATCATAATGACAGGATCAAATTCACACATAACAATATTAACCTTAAATGTAAATGGGCTAAATGCTCCAATTAAAAGACACAGACTGGCAAATTGGATAAAGAGTCAAGACCTGTCAGTGTGCTGTATTTAGGACACCCATCTCACGTGAAGAGACACACATAGGCTCAAAATAAAGGGATGGAGGAAGATCTGCCAAGCAAATGGAAAACAAAAAAAGGCAGGGGTTGCAATCTTAGTCTCTGATAAAACAGACTTTAAACCAACAAAGATCAGAAGCGACAAAGAAGGCCATTACATATGGTAAAGGGATCAATTCAACAAGAAGAGCTAACTATCCTAAATATATGTGCACCCAATACAGGAGCACCCAGATTCATAAAGCAAGTCCTTAAAGACCTACAAAGAGACTTAGACATCCACACAATAATAATGGGAGACTTTAACACCCCACTGTCAATATTAGACAGATCCATGAGGCAGAAAATTAACAAGGATATCCAGGAATTGAACTCGGCTCTGCACCAAGCGGACCTAATAGACATCTACAGAACTCTCCACCCCAAATCAACAGAATATACATTCTTCTCAGCACCACATCACACTTATTCCAAAATTGACCACAAAGTTGGAAGTAAAGAACTCCTCAGCAAATGTAAAAGAACAGGAAGTATAACAAACTGTCTCTCAGACCACAGTGCAATCAAACTAGAACTCAGGATTAAGAAACTCACTCAAAACTGCTCAACTACATGGAAACTGAGCAACCTGCTCCTGAATGACTACTGGGTACATAACGAAATGAAGGCAGAAATAAAGATGTTCTTTGAAACCAATGAGAACAAAGACACAACATACCAGAATCTCTGGCACCCATTTAAAGCAGTGTGTAGAGGGAAATTTATAGCACTAAATGCCCACAAGAGAAAGCAGGAAAGATCTAAAATTGACACCCTAACATCACAATTAAAAGAACTAGAGAAGCAAGAGAAAACACATTCAAAAGCTAGCAGAAGGCAAGAAATAACTAAGATCAGAGTAGAACTGAAGGAGATAGAGACACAAAAAACCCTTCAAAAAAATCAATGAATCCAGGAGCTGGTTTTTTGAAAAGATCAACAGAAGTGATAGACCGCTAGCAAGACTAATAAAGAAGAAAAGAGAGAAGAATCAAATAGACGTAATAAAAAAAGATAAAGGGGATATCATTAATGATCCCACAGAAATATTAACTACCATCAGAGAATACTACAAACACTTCTATTCAAATAAACTAGAAAATCTAGAAGAAATGGATAAATTTCTGGACACATACACCCTCCGAAGACTAAACCAGGAAGAAGTTGAATCCCTGAATAGACCAATAACAGCCACTGAAATTGAGGCAATAATTAAGAGCCTACCAACCAAAAAAAGTCCAGGACCAGACAGATTCACAGCTGAATTCTACCAGAGGTACAAAGAGGGGCTGGTACCATTCCTTCTGAAACTATTCCAATCAATAGAAAAAGAAGGAATCCTCCCTAACTCATTTTATGAGGCCAGCATCATCCTGATACCAAAGCTTGGCAGAGACACAACAAAAAAAAGAGAATTTCAGACCAATATCCATGATAAACATCGATGCAAAAATACTCATTAAAATACTGGCAAACCGAATCCAGCAGCACATCAAAAAGCTTATCCACCATGATCAAGTGGGTTTCATCCCTGGGATGCAAGGCTGCTTCAACATAACGAAAATCAATAAACGTAATCCATCACATAAAAAGAAACAAGGACAAAAACCACATGATTATCTCAATAGATGCAGAAAAGGACTTCAACAAAATTCAACAGCCGTTCATGCTAAAAACTCTCAACAAATTAGGTATTGATGGGACGTATCTCAAAATAATAAGAGCTATTTATGACAAACCCACAGCTAACATCATACTGAATGGGCAAAAACTGGAACCATTTCGTTTGCAAACTGGCACAAGACAGGGATGCCCTCTCTCACCACTCCTATTCAACATAGTGTTGGAAGTTCTGGCCAGGGCAATCAGGCAGGAGAAGGAAATAAAGGGCATTCAATTAGGAAAAGAGGAAGTCAAATTGCCCCTGCTTGCAGAAGACATGATTGTATATTTAGAAAATCCCATTGTCTCAGCCCAAAATCTCCCTAAGCTGATAAGCAACTTCAGCAAAGTCTCAGGATACAAAATCAATGTGCAAAAATCACTAGCATTCTTATACACCAATAAGAGACAAACAGAGAGCCAAATCATGAGTGAACTCCCATTCACAATTGCTTCAAAGAGAATAAAATACCTAGGAATCCAACTCACAAGGGTTGTGAAGGAGCTCTTCAAGGAGAACTACAAAGCACTGCTCAATGAAATAAAAGAGGACAGAAATGGAAGAACATTCCATGCTCATGGATAGGAAGAGTCAATATCGTGAAAATGGCCATACTGCCCAAGGTAATTTATAGATTCAATGCCATCCCCATCAAGCTACCAATGACTTTCTTCACAGACTTGGAAAAAACTACTTTAAAGTTCATATGGAACCAAAAAAGAGCCCACATTGCCAAGACAATCCTAAACCAAAAGAACAAAGCTGGAGGCATCACGCTACCTGACTTCAAACTATACTACAAGGCTACAGTAACCAAAACAGCATGGTACTGGTACCAAAACAGAGATGAAGACCAATGGAACAGAACAGAGCCCTCAGAAATAACACCACACATCTACAACCATCTGATCTTTGACAAACCTGACAAAAACAAGAAATAGGGAAAGGATTCCCTATTTAATAAATGGTGCTGGGAAAACTGGCTAGCCATATGTTGAAAGCTGAAACTGGATCCCTTCCTTACACCTTATACAAAAATTAATTCAAGATGGATTAAAGACTTAAATGTTAGATCTAAAACCATAAGAACCCTAGAAGAAAACCTAGGCAATACGATTCAGGACATAGGAATGGGCAAGCACTTCATGTCTAAAATACCAAAAGAAATGGCAACAAAAGCCAAAATGGACAAATGAGATCTAATTAAACCAAAGAGCTTCTGCACAGCAAAAGAAACTACCATCAGAGTGAACAGGCAACCTACAGAATGGGAGAAAATTTTTGCAATCTACCCATCTGACAAATGGGTAATATCCAGAATCTACAAAGAACTCTAACAAATTTACAAGAATAAGTCAAACAACCCCATCAACAAGTGGGCAAAGGATATGAACAGACACTTCTCAAAAGAAGAAAGACATTTATGCAGCCAACAGACACATGAAAAAATGCTCACCATCACTGGCCATCAGAGAAATGCAAATCAAAACCGCAATGAGACGCCATCTCACACCAGTTAGAATGGCGATCATTAAAGAGTCAGGAAACAACAGGTACTGGAGAGGATGTGGAGAAATAGGAACACTTTTACACTGTTGGTGGGACTGTAAACTAGCTCAACCATTGTGGAAGACAGTGTGGCCATTCCTCAAGGATCTAGAACTAGAAATACCATTTGATCCAGTCATCCCATTACTGGGTATATACCCAAAGGATTATAAATCATGCTGCTATAAAGATACATGCACACATATGTTTAGTGCGGCACTGTTCACAATAGCAAAGACTTGGAACCAACCCAAATCTCCATCAATGATAGACTGGCTTAAGAAAATGTGGCACATATATACCATGGAATACTATGCGGCCATAAAAAAGGATGAGTTCATGTCCTTTGTAGGAACATGGATGAAGCTGGAAACCATCATTGTCAGCAAACTATCACAAGGACAAAAAAACAAACATCACATGTTCTCACTCATAGGTGGGAATTGAACAGTGAGAACAGTTGGACACAGGAAAAGGAACATCACACACCAGGGCCTGCTGTAGGGTGGAGGGAGGGGGGAGGGATAGCATTAGGAAACATACCTAATGTAAATGACGAGTTAATGGGTGTAGCACACCAACATGGCAGATGTATACGTATGTAACAACCCTGCACGTTGTGCACATGTACCCTAGAACTCAAAGTATAATACAATTTAAAAAAAGAAGCTAAACTACCTCTTTTATGAGAATTTTGAAAGGAATTTTGACAGCCATGTTGGTGTGCTACACCCATTAACTCGTCATTTACATTAGGTATGTTGCCTAATCAAAAAAAACCCCCTCCCTCCACCCCACAGCAGGCCCTGGTGTGTGATATTCCTTTTCCTGTGTCCAAACATTAAAAGGCAAGAAAATAAGAACTATTACTCCCACCATAGACCGGAACGATGTTCGGCACCAATTAATTCAGCAGTACTTGACAGAATTTATGTATGGTAAAACTACCCAGTAGGAGGTTTTGTAATTAACAGGGTATTAAAAGAGAGCAAAAAATCAGTTTTGGAACAGATGATGCTACAAAACTACAAATAGCTAGATAGCAATCTAATGATTATCCAAGTCATCAAAACTTCTACTTTAAGTAGACAAATACTGGACTTAATATTAGCAAAACCAGAGCAAATTTTTCATCAACATCTTTTCTCTTTTGTAGTGAATTTAAGGTACATTTTAGTCATGTTTATTAATGCATCTATTTTGGGCAAAAAGGATTCCACAGAGGCACATTTGAAAAAAAAAAAAAAAACAAGTTTTCACCCTGTCTTTCAGAAACCACTGACTTCCTGCTTGCAGCATCGAGAAGTGTGTCTGGATGAGCATGATCAATGTTCATTAAACGCACTAAACTGACAGGTACACAAAATGGCACCACATGTTTGTGCATCTGAGCTTTCTATAATGAATAAATGGAGCGTGTGATCCCAAAGGCAGCTGCACCAGCCATAACTTTGTATTTGACACTTGACTGCTCTTAGAAGTTTGTTTGTCAAAAATTGTCCATTTGGAAAAAATAAAGAAAGAAAGGCAACAACTTGTGAGGCTTTCCAGAGGGCAGTTACACAAAAGCTTCTTAGGAACACCACTTCTAGGAGTCAGACTGTTCTCAGATGAATCAATTATTTATTTAATTGGTTATCAGTTCATCACTGTTGAAGTTCATTCTAAGTTCATTCCACTAAAACAACGCAGTCGCTTTACATGCTAAAACCCTAAGTTAATGTGAAAAAGAGGGCAACTAAAGCCAATGCTGCTTTTTCAGTTTGGCATGGAAATTCAAATTCGGCACTAGACATCCAGGACAGGTGGCAAACAGGAGTAAAAGAAATTTAGTTCCTGGACAACACACCACTAATTAATTTCCAGGAAATGTTATATCTCATTACCTGATGGTCCCTCCATGTCTACATGTGATAAAGCAACCCTTTGAAACCATGCCACACTCAGGCATTAGGGGAAACAGAATATCAGCAGCTCTCTCTTTATGTCAAAAGATCTCTACACTATGTGACAAAGAGCTAAATGTATTTCTTTCCAATTCTGAATTATTTTAAGGATGTACAGAGATTCAGGAAATCAATAAAATAAATTCTTGTAACCCATCCAGACCAGAAATACCAACAATCTATAGGGAAGAAGGAATTGGCAGTGAAGACCAGCTTATAAAGCAATGGCTTTAGATATAAGCACTTGATCCAAAACTTTGCTTATTTTCCTGATATAGGCTGTCAGGAATCCAAATAGTGCTCACTATTACAAATCATTTAGAACTTCTAATTGAGAAGGTACCTGTGGCTTCTAGAGGCTGTGAAAATGACAACATCTGTTTGGAGTTGGAAGGAACATTGCACACTATCAAATTCAGACATCCCATTTTATAAAAAGCTCTAAAGCCCAGGTCTCCTAACTCCTGAACTACTACTGTGTTTCTACCATGGAAATGTCTGGAAAGAGGGGGAAGGAGAGTTCCTTAAATGTAACTGGTATTGGAACCCAGGTTAAGGAGCAGGGGATAACACAAATTGACTTCAGAAATTGGTCTGCATTCCTCTATGGGCAGTGCTCTAGATGTGGTTAAAACCCCTCTCTAATTCTGTACAACTTCACCTCTGGTGAAAGCCACTTAGTGACACCTTGTGCTGCCTTTTTATTTTACTATTTTATTTTCTGAGTACGGAAAGATAAACTTATCCATAAAAGCTAATTACAGAGGCAGGATTAAATAGTGGCTAGGAGTACAAAATCAGGTACACTAATTTTTTTTTTTTATGAATGACATCTAAAAGGAAGGGAAAAGTACAAATTCTCTCCCAGACTCTTACTTCCTTGTGTGTTGTTGAGCAAATTATTTAATCTCTCTGTGACTAAAGTTTCTCCTTAGTAGAATGAGAATAGCATTGTTAGCTCAAAAGATGAGTTTTATTGCAGAGAAATATTGTAAAGTACTTAGCATTTTTTCTAACAAAGTAAATATTCAATAGTCAGCAATTGTATTACAAATGGTCTTGGTGTTTGCCCTATTTTCAATGAACAGATGTTAGAGTTTGGGGAGAACACATATGTCATTTAATAGAATGCCCAGTGAAGATGTGAAAAGGGCTTCAACTACTGATTGTCTGGTGCTATCCACTACAACAGAGAAGAAAAAAGAAATCAAGATAAACAATATGAAGGCTGGGGCTGGGAGCGGTGGCTAACATCTGTAATCCCAGCTCTTTGGAAGACCAAGGTGGGCAGATCACTTGAAGTCAGGAGTTTGAGATCAGCCTGGCCAACATGGTGAAACCATGTCTCTACTAAAAATACAAAAATTAGCTGGGCATGGTGGCAAGTGCCTATAATCCCAGCTACTCGGGAGGCTGAGGCAGGAAAATTGCTTGAACCCGTGAGTAGAGGTTGCACTGAGCTGAGATCACGCCACTGCACTCCAGCCTGGGCAACAGAGCCAGACTCCTAGTCAAGGAAAAAAAAAAAAAAAGAAACCCCCTGAAGGGTACCCACCCTAAAGCTCACTCCTAGTCACCTCTAATGCCTCACAAGAAGGCATTGCTTGTTATGCAATGGTGGTCATTAAGGTGATGGGGGAGGGCTAAACTGGGACTGGAATGTGAAAAATGTACCTGAAGCAAGGACTCTTCTGCAGACTCTTTCAACAGGGCATGTGTTTGCCAGTTGGGTGTGGGGTGTGTCTTAGTTTGAGTTTTCCCAGAAGCACATGTGTACTTCAAAAACAGGGCAAACACTGGGATCATTTAAAATGCAACTGCTGGGTCCTGAACGTTTACTTTATTAGGCAAAACGTGAAGTACATTCTTTCTCTGACAAAATACGGCCATCTCTTGAGGTAAGCAGTGCTATGCCATTTTACTGATCAGAAACGTTAATCACAGAAGCAGACTCTAAAACAAGTATTACAGTGTAACTAGTTTAAGAAGTGCAGGCCAGAAAGAAAATGAGGAAATGACAAGGGGATTGAAGGCGTCCAGTAAAGAACATTTGGCCAGGCGCGGTGGCCCACAGCTGCAATGCACTTTGGGAGGCAGAGGCAGGCAGATTACTTGAGGCCAGGAGTTCAAGACCAGTCTGGCCAACATGGTGAATCCGTGTCTCTACTAAAAATACAAAAAATAGGTGGGCATGGTAGTGCATGTCTGTAGTCCCAGCTACTCGGTAGACTGAGGCCCAAGAATTGCTTGAACCTGGGAGGCAGAGGTTGCAGTGACCCGAGATTGTGCCACTGGACTCCAGCCTGGGGGACAGAGTGAGACTCTGTCTCAAAGGAAAAAAAAAAAAGAATTTTCTATTCAAGCAGTGAATATAGCAGGCAATCCTGCAGAGAAACTCTGACATGACATAAAGCACACCTCACAGAGTTATCCCACCAGAGAGGTGAGAGAAGTTGGTATTTATACAGCACCTCTTGAGAGTCATTAATTAAGAACTATTCCTAGAGGGTTTTCTTTCTCCTTATATGAAGCTCACTTGTGCATATAAGCAGTGCAATTTCCCACAGTTTTTGGAAAAAGTGCTGAGGAACAAACCTGCAGATACTAGGAGTTAGAAGCATTCCTCAGAAACACAATTAAAGGTCTGAGGCATATGGATAGGGCACTGACAGCACCAGCTGCAGGGAGTCACAATGCTTGCTTGTACTATTGCACTGTATGAGGAACAACTTCTAGCAAATTCCCTGACTCTACATGCCAGACTGTCTTCCAGATGTCATGTTGCCAATGACCGTGGCTTTTGGCAGCATCCACACCTGGGACAATTCGATCTGTAACTAAAAATTACAGTCATCAAGCAGAGTAATTATAAACATTTAATAGTCTGAAACCACAGGGAAATAAGTATGTGAGCTGATATATTTGTATATGTTTGCATGTATAGGGAAGGAAAAGAAAAATGGGTCCTGGAAACCACACACATTTGTATAAACATGATTATTCCTTGAAAGACATGGTAAACTCATTTAATACAAGAAGGCATTTGGTTTTCTACAGGTTTCCTTAACATATTCTTTGCTTCCTCATCATCTTCTGCATGACACTATGTTATGTTTGTTAGTGGAAGTAAGTTTTAAAAACTGGTTGAAAATTTCATTTTAGATTTATTTACACAATGCTATTTGACATTTAAATGCTTTATCTTTTAGTTGCAGACTTCACTATTCGCAATGTTACCTTATGTTATCCATATTACATTTCACTAAAATGCCAGCATTTTTTGAAACATTGGGCTAGAATGGACTTACGGGTATCAGTTTATTCTGTACCCTGCCTAGGAACAAATAAACGTTGAATATATCCTGAACACATGAGAATCTCCAGAGGTAGATCTCCCCACTCCCACCTCTTTATTTCTTGATAGAAGATTCCAAGTTCTTTATTAACTCTATTCCTAAAAACTATAAAGTCTTAATAAAGTTGAATGTTCTAAGATACAGAAAGCTACATTAGAGTGGAATGTTACCTATATTCATTCGAGCTTTTCATCCAATATAATTTTTGGTATGTAACTCATGTCAGGAAATTACCTGGTATATGATTGATTACTTGCAATAATTGGAATATAAACTATTACTCAAAGCCACTTATATTTTCTCTCATAAGGGGTATCCAATTTTTAGAAATTATTTTTAAACGTGAACCATATAGCCATTTAACTTCTACCAATTAATCTTACTCATGAACCCTGGAGCTAATTTTAAATAATTTGACTTTTCCCATAAGATTCTGAGGAAGGCCTTTATCTTTTTGGGCATCAGTGCCCTTGTCCTGGCATGAGATCCAAAGCTTTTTTCATCCTACGGGTTGTAGGATTCTTTCCTTTCCTGGGATTCTCTAAACACAATAAAAATACAAACATCTAAATACAAATATCATGAACTGTAAATTATTCCCTTCTTTCACAATGCAAGCCAACATGGATTTAAAATGTTACTGATTACTTTCATCAATTCAATGTCCCTGATATTGTTTTATGTATTATTTTTTCTTAATATAACACCTTTGTTCTTTTATATATCAGAAATGCTGAAATATTTCCTTTCCTATAAACCCTGGATGTGCTTTACAAAAGTGAAACCTTTTTACTGATTCTTTATTTCAGCTTTATCAGCAGTTATTAAATAAAGAAATGCAATCGCCAAATTACAGCCTTATGCTGACACTGGACCATGTTAAGTAGTGTATAACAGAATCAAAAGTAAACATTTGCTACTGGGGCAAATTCTATTGTATCTAATGATTGAGTATCTAATGATTAGATTGATCTAATTTTAGTACCTGGGCTGTGAGCAGTTTTACGTTTTGAACCCTATGTCTTAGTTAGCATTTGTAAATACTTTCTGTGTATTATTTTGAAGAGGTTGTTCTAATCTCACATTTTGCCTCTGTGGTGATTTTTTAACAGACTTTATTTTTTCTAGGCAGCTTTAGGTTCACAGCAAAATTGAGGGGAAGGTGCAGAGATTTTCCATATATGCCTGCCCTCCTATACACACAGCCTCTCTGAACTATCAATATACCTCACCAGCGGTATATTTATTATCATCAGTGAACCCACATTGACATATCATTATCACCCAGAGTCCGGAGTTTACATTAGGGTTTACTCTTATGTTTTACACTCTATGGTTTTGGAAAAATTTGTAATAACATGTATCTGTATCTATCATTATAGTATCATATAGATTAGTTTCACTGCCGTAAAAATCCTCTGTGCTCTATTAATCTCTCCATCACCCCAAATCCCTGGCAACCACGGATCTTTTTACTCTTCCCATAGTCATTCTACCTTTTCCAGAATGTCATATAGTTGGAATAATAAAGTATATAGCTTTTTTCCCAGATTGGCTTTTTCACTTAGTAATACACATTTAAGTTTCTTCTATGTCTTTTCATGGCTTGATAGCTCATTTCTTTTTAGTGCCAAATATTATTCCATTCTCTAGGTGTACCACAGTTTACTTAACCATTCATCTACTGAAGGACATCTTGGTTGCTTCCAAGTTTTGGCAATTGTGAATAAAGCTGCTAGAAACATCAGTGTGCAGGTCTTTATGTAAACATAAGTTTTCACCTCCTTCGGGTAAATCTCAAGGAGTGTGATTGCTGGATTGTATCATAAGAGGATGTTTAGTTTTGAAGGTTCTAATCTCATTTTATTAGCTAGTTTATTACAATCACTCCCCTAGAGGTCTCCTGGCAGGTTATTAAAATGAGGGAATCGGAATGAAGCAGAAATTCACAGCCTTTCTCATGACCCCAAAGTGAAGCAGGAAAGAGCTCAGTGCAAACTCAGTATTTCTGAATCCAAATCTTGATTGTGGAATTGAGGTTACTGTTTTTGAAACCAGCTAAAAATAGGTAATCAATGTTCCTGTCTTGTTCTCAATACATTAGAAAGAATACAAGACTGAAGGGACTGGATTCTGGTCTAGAATTTTTCACCAACTGTCTACGATGATACAGTCCAGCAGTTATTTATCTGTAGTTGGATAACTGCTGGATTGTTTCATCATTTTAAGCTTTAACACTGACAAAAGAGAGGAAGTGGAGAAATGGAAGTAAGCTAAATGAAAAGCAGATGTGCTTCTGTCTGGTCCAGGACAGATAAGTACCTGAAGGGAGCGGGCAGCATGTCCCACACTAAGGGAGCTGAAGCCCTTATTTATAACCAGTCTGCCAGCTCTCCACTGAGAAGGTTAATTCTCAAACTGTGAGACTTCTGCTAAACAAAGTAACTCTTATACCATAGAAAGTTGCGACACTGGGCCGGGCGCGGTGGCTCACGCGTGTAATCCCAGCACTTTGGGAGGCTGAGGCAGGTGGATCACAAGGTCAGGAGCTCGAGGCCATCCTGGCTAACATGGTGAAACCCCGTCTCTACTAAAAATACAAAAAAATTAGCCGGGCGAGGTTGCAGGCGCCTGTAGTCCCAGCTACTCGGGAGGCTGAGGCAGGAGAATGGCGGGAACCCGAGAGGCAGAGCTTGCAGTGAGCTGAGATCACACCACTGCACTCCAGCCTGGGCGACAGACAGAGACTCCGTCCTAAAAAAAAGAAAGTTGCGACACTGGAAAGCCCTCTGATTTTTGTTACATCACAAGTCATACACGATTTTCAGAAGCAAGAGTGGCATCTGGAAACTCCAATGAGGAAACATGAAGAGTCAACAAATGTAATATCCACTAATGAAGCTCAATATTCCATTTTGGGGAAGCCTCCTACTTCAGTGTGTTGATTTCCTCATATGTAACACAAGATGGTTAGATTACCTCCCAATTTTCATTTCTGTATATTTAAATTACATTTTACATATGTTATATAACGCAGATATTCCTACTATCTCCAATTTAAAAATGAAAAACTAATGGCATTGATAAATTAAGTAAATTTTGAAGGTCACAAAATTACTAGGAAAAAGTTAATTAGGGCTAATGTAAAGTGACACAATCTATTAAACATCAAATTTAAGAATCCTATTCTTTTATGGAGGATGCAGGTGGCCTGTGATATGGAATGATCACTATGAGGAAATAAGCTTATAACTTATTTTAAAAGTTCTATTTTATTACCTAAAACCATTGTCATATATATATATATATTTCTTGCTTCCCTAGATTGTTCACTCTGTGAGAACATGGCACACTAGTATCTTATATGTCTCTTAAAAATTCCAAAACATGTAACCAAATGCTTATTAAATGGCTATTGATTGACTAAACAATTCTCATGCCAATTCACCTTATACTGAAATCTGCCCGGTAGTTAAGAGTATTAGAGCACAGTAAAACAAATGTAGGTTATAACTTTGGTTATTAAGCTTCTAGAGTTGTTACTGAAGGAGGAAAATGTGCTGCAACCAAGAACGCTAATAAGCCAGCGCCACCCCAAATCCCAAATCAAAAACCAAATTTAAAAAAAAGGTGAGAATAAATAAGGCCAACATCAACCTCAATAGTGCAGAAATGGAGTACTTTATTGTTTAGAAAGTTTCTGAAACTTATAGAAATCATATTATTAATAGAAGAATAAAAGAAAAAAACTTAAATAGGAAAAGGCAAAGGAAATTAGCAGACCAAAGCCAAACACTGGGTCCCACAGAAATGTATACCAAGCAAACGTACTTTCTGTCTTACACCTACCATTGAACTAAAAATAATGTGGTACGTTTAATACATTTTCTTCTTTCTTATAAAATGACCCATTACATCCCTGTCCCTGGAAATGTTATGACTTTTTAAAGGCACCCAACAATTGCCCACACCTGGTTAAGCCAAGTGAAACTCTGCACTATTACAAAGCTGATCCATAAACTGAAATTCTGTACAATTCATATACATTACCAGGAGGCTGTAGCTATTATGGTTCTCTTACACAGAGAGCACAGGTTTGATGTGGGAAGAACATTATGGGGCCCTTTACAAACCAACACAATCAATACTTTTATAAAATACTGTTGCTCCTTGAATGGTCATTCATGCTGAGAAGGCTAAAGCGAGGAGCCACATAATAGACACTGGTTTTCTTAGCATGAATGCAAGGCAGAAGAGCACATTTAACACTGCAGTATGACTCCCTGGCACTCTTTTAAGGCAACTGAGAAGTCAGAATACCTCATCCACAGTATAAAAAATAGTGATGCTCTTAAATGAGTTACCAAAATAGAAATTGATTAAACCTACACTTGTATTATACTTAATATATTGGAAATAATGATTTACATGGAAAGGAAACTGCTTCCCAATTTTGAAATATCAGAAGAGTTTTGCAACGAGGCTCACTCAATGTTTATTTTCTTTCTATGTGCTTTTCCTTTAATGTACAAATAATCTGATGAATTAAATTAGGATTCTTGAACATATATTCTTAAGTATAATTGATCTGAAATATTCTTTTGGGCTGTGTTTGGCAGATCTTTGTATTAATGTAATGGTGGCTTTATAAAAATAATTTTGAATATTCCTTCTTTCTCCATACTATAGAAAAATTTAAATACAAAACAAAATCAACTCCTTGAATGTCTAGGTATGATAATTTTGGGAAAAGTAGCTTTGAAAATTTTGATTTTTCTACAGTTAATGGTTTGTTTATGTTTTCCTTTATAATCTACTATGATCATATTCATTTGTTTCTGATAATATAAATAATATCAATTACTATTAACAAGTGATATAATTACAAAAAAGAGAAGTTTTAATCACTTGAATTCCCAGCCAAAAATAACTACACAATTAACATTTTATTGAGAGTCATTTTACATATTTATTTAATGCATACATATGCCATTTTTGTTGTCATATTCTTTTAAAATGGCATTTTTAAAAAATTTCACTGTACTTTTTAGGCTTATATGCTTACTTCATTTAATGAGAAATTTTTATGTGGGATCTACTAAGCGCACGCAATATGCTAAATGGTGTAGAAGAAACAAATTAATACCTAAAATTTACTCCCAAAGAAGGTGCAGTTTAATAGGAGGGATGAAACACTTACATAAATAATTCAAGTATCATCACTGGTCTATGAAAGCCATGGACCTTTGGTATCTACCCACCATCCTACATTGTTAGAAAACCCTGAAATCCCTCAAGTCAGAAAGTCACATCTACCATTTTGCAGCCATATCTCTACCTATATCATTCGTATGCTGGAGGCACTGTCCCCACTGTCTATGGGGTGATGGAGGTTTAGCTCTGTGCCATCCTCGGTATTCAACGAATGGCACCAATATAGACTCTGGATTCTGAAATAGGGATTAGGCTAAATACTGAGTTGTTGGCACCAAACACGTTAAATATTTAACTGAAAGAATCCACACTTACAGCTATAAATGGTAGGTAGTCAGAAAAATAATTTAAATTTGTTATTTTAAAAATCATGGGCCGGGCGCAGTGGCTCATGCCTGTAATCCCAGCACTTTGGGAGGCCGAGGCAGGTGGATCACTTGAGGTCAGGAGTTCCAAAGCCTGGCCAACATGGTGAAACCCCGTCTCTACTAAAAATACAAAAATTAGCTGTGTGTTGTGGTGTGTGCCTGTAATCCCAGCTACTTGGGAGGCTGAGGCAGGAGAATCACTTGAACCTGAGAGGTGGAGGTTGTAGTGAGCCGAGATCACGCCACTGCCCTTCAGCCTGGGCAACAAAGGGAGACTCCGTCTCAAAAAAAAAAAGAAATCATGGTTTATATAAAAATATTTTCAGAATAGAAAAATACTATGAAAAATTTATTTTTCAAATCTAAAGAATTTAGCATGACACACCTAGATGTCCAACAAATTAGATGGCTGTCTTTCTTTCACACTTAACACCATTTTCCCAATATCAAGAGGCTTAATGCTTCAAGAACAGAAATTTGAGTTTTCTTTTGTTATTCACAGCAGTAATATCTGGATTCTGAAAATAAGTGATTGAGAATGATTTGATCAAGAACATTGTTGAACTAATTTAAACTGGAGTATCTCATTATTTGTAGTCAAGAAGCAATCTCTCTCTGGTTGTTATCATTCACTTTGGTTCCACTAAAGTAGAGATACAAGAGCCAAAATGAGTGAGAAGAGTTAGCCCTCTGACAATTTTGGTTAGAGAAGACAGTCATTAGATCAACCTAATCTACATAGTACATTTTAACGATGCATATGTATGTAGAATCATATGGAATCCTGTAGAATCATATGGAATCCTGCACACATTTTTGAATAAAAATAATGTACATACTTGGAACAATAACAGTTAACATTTATTGAGTGCTTACTGTCTACTCTGAAGGTAAAGTCTAACTTAATCACCAAAACAATTCTATGAGGAAGGTTCTAATATCCTTTTTTATTTTTTAAAAAGCAAGATACAGCTAATATAAATAAATTGCCTCAACTCACACAATATCAAGTAGAATATCTGTAATTCAAATTCAGGCAATCTGATTCTACAGCTTTCTATCCTAACTACTATACGATTCTACCTTTTGTTTTCAGTTACAAAGGTATATACGTATGATGCACACATGCAGTGAAAAAAAAAAGCCCTGTTATTTGCTAGATAATTTCTGAGATTTCAAGAACATTCAAACACAGGATTTTGTTTTAAAGACTCATTACTATTGCATAAGAATTAGAAGAGCAAACCACAACCCCACGTGGGTACACCCATCTGACACGAGAACTGTTGACTGGGCCGGGTGTGGTGGCTCATGCCTGTAATCCCAGCACTTTGGGAGGCTGAGGAGGGCAAATCACCTGAGGTCAGGAGTTTGAGACCAGCCTGACCGACATAGTGAAACCCCGTCTCCAATAACAATACAAAAAATCAGCTGGGCATGGTGGTGGGGACCTGTAATCCCAGCTACTCGGGAGGCTGAAGCAGGAGAATCACTTGAACCCGGGAGGAGGAGGCTGCAGTGAGCCGAGATAGCGCCACTGCACTCCAGCCTGGGCAACAAGAGTGAAACTCCGCCTCCAAAAAAAAAAAAAGTATTTGTAAATTTGCTTCAGTTATATTCATCACTAGGAGGAGGATGAAGAGATTGCGATATATTCATATAATGACATAATATACAGCAATGAAAAGAACACACTCCTGATACATGGAATACAAAAGAATCTCAAAAAATAGTATGTTGAGCAAAATAAGCCAGACATAAAACAGTACGTACTTTTGGATTCCACCTATATGAAGTCCAAGAACAAGCAAAATTAATCTACGGTGATAGAAGTCAGAAGACAAATTACCTCAGGATAGAAGAGGTATTGACAGACAAGGAGTAAAAGAGAACTTTTAAAGTTAATGGAAATATTCTCTATCTTGATCAAGGTAGTGGTTACATGAGTACATATATGGAGCAATAGATGAAACGTAATATTTAAGGGGTTTTTTACATTATGTATACTACATCTCAATGGAAAAGGGGAAAACGATGCTTCGAAATACAGCAACGACAGAATAAAAGCAAAAAGGCACAAAAATTTGAAAC
The DNA here is from genome assembly GCF_000001405.40 of Homo sapiens. Classification (NCBI taxonomy): domain Eukaryota; kingdom Metazoa; phylum Chordata; class Mammalia; order Primates; family Hominidae; genus Homo; species Homo sapiens. The sequence goes on along the minus strand of NC_000003.12, from coordinate 2,411,754 downwards.
TTACATAGTAAGACACAAAGAATAAAGTGACTCAATACTTTTTCCAATAACTTGATTTTTTATTATAAAGGAAAGGAAGAAAGAAAGAGCAGGAGGGAGGAAGGCAGGCAGGCAGGCAGCAGGCAGGGAAGCGATTAGTCCATTGATTGAAAGTACTGGGAATTTTGGAATTCCAAGTTTAAAGAATCAAACTTCCTTATGAAAAGACATTCCAAAAAACTAAACAGGGCAATCATGTAAGGCTGCAACTTCAAAATATTTTATATCAATAGTCTACTTTTTTGCCAACAAATGCAGTAAACTAGGATTCTCTTAGTTAGATTTCAGGTAGCTTTATGGCATCTATTAAATAAACATCTCAATATTTCTGAAGAAATAAGCATGCATCATGCATATCAGTTTTTCTTCTTTTTAGCTTAATTTCTATTAAGTTCTGGGATACATGTGCAGGGTGTGCAGGTTTGTTACATAAGTAAATGTGTATCATGGTGGTTTGCTGCACCTATCAATCCATCACCTAAGTATTAAGCCCTGCATGCATTAGCTATTTATCCTGATGTGCTCCCTCATCCTGCCCCTGACCCCGATAGGCCCTAGTGTGTGTTGCCCTGTGTCTGTGTGTTCTCATACGTGCTCCCACTTATAAGTGAGAAAAATGCATGTCAGTTTGTAAGTAAACTACATAATAACCACAGAAGAGAGTGTATTAACACCATCTTTTTATATGTAAAGTACAGTTGAAATATTGCATTTGTCTGTATTTGTTGGCTGGTGCTCATTCTGAACACATGAGACTACAGTTAAGAGCAAAACTAACAAAGACACTAAGGAATAGTTCTGACACTACACTTAAATAATATGAAAAATTAGGAAAAGAACATTTAGCTTTGCTTGACCAAGATCCCACAGTCAGGCTGACTATGCTACTGCTCTTTTAATATGAAACTAGAAAGAGGTAATTTATCCCCAAGCTTATTCACATGAATGAGCTCATCTAGTCTTTGATTTTTGATGTCTCAGTAAAGGAGATGTATTCTAAAGCAATAACATTGAAAATATATCTGAAATTGGTTTTCTGTGCTGATACATTCTTCAGAACCCTAGTAACCTACCTGTGGCTTTCTACCGCAGTCTTATTTGACCACCAGCAATGAAATGGGCTATACAATATATGAGGTTATGAGACAGAATATGAAAATAGGATAATAAAAAAGTTATCTTCAAATATCCTCTGAGAGGATAAAATGGAGGATTACCATTTTACAATTGTCAAGAGAAGGGATTAATTTTATATCATTTTCTATTTCCACTGCCTGATGTGGTAAAGTGGACGAATAGAAAGCCATTGTCTTTATTATTGATTTCAAGAGATTGTTAGAAGATGGAAATCTTCTGGAATTATTATGCCTCTGTAACAATCTTTATCTAAAAACTATGACTCTTACAGAATTCTCTGTTCTATTCCAACAGCAAATGTTGTGAGAAGGATGAGTTAGAGACATGCTGTCAACACAGATTTTCAGTGTCTGTCCCACAAAGTTCATGGGAGGGTCCTCCATCTTCTTACATTGGCCAAGATAACACTTTATCAAGAAGAATATGATTTAAATTAGATAAAGAAAAATGATTAAATGTGCACCACTGAATTCTGTTTCCCCTCATAAACCAGCATGTGCTAAGTTAATATCGGTAAATGAAACTGCATATAGGTGCTGTCCAAACTATAATATGGCTAATTTCTATTAACATTCCCCCAAACTGAAATTTTTATAATGACCCAGTAGAATCTTTTCTTAGTGGTGACAGCCAGACACCAACAAACCCATACTGGTAAATTATTTTCACCAGAAAATATCAGCCATAAACTGTATCTGTCTGTTTCAGTATATATATATAATTTAGAAAATTACATATAACATATAATTTTATGTATACATGGACATATTTAAATAGTGTATACATAGATAATATACATATGCCTCATCTTTTAAATAAAGATAACATGTGCTTAATTATGTTTGAAATTTATATTCAAGTACAGTCTAAATATTCAAACAGAAATGAAATTTTAAAAAGATTAAAATGGGATCAGAAAAAAATATTAACCACAAAGTTATGATTTCACAGTTATGAATTCACTGCTTATATCTTTGAGATTAATGATTGCTATAATGCAACCACTATAGCAGTATTGAAAAGATATCTAGAGGCCGAGCACAGTGGCTCACGCCTGTAATCTCAGCACTTTGGGAGGCTGAGGCGTGCAGATCACAAGGTCAGGAATTCGAGACCCTCCTGGCTAACACAGTGAAACCTTCTCTCTACTAAAAATACAAAAAACTAGCCAGCCGTGGTGGCGGGCGCCTGTAGTCCCAGCTACTCGTGAGGCTGAGGCAGGAGAATGGCCTGAACCCGGGAGGCGGAGCTTGCAGTGAGTCAAGATCATGCCACTGCACTCCAGCCTGGGCGACAGAGCGAGACACTATCTCAAAAAAAAAAAAAAAAGAAAAGAAAAGATACCTAGAAATTACTCAGAACTTTAAAAAAAGTAACAAACGTTTTTATTAAATAAAACCTGCAAGATGAGTGTGCTTTAATTCCCTGGAATTAATAAAATTTTAGAAGATGATTCCAAAGCTATAATTTTGTTCCTCTTTAATTCTGGGTGTAGAGACACAGCTATTGTTCATCTTCCTTCAACAACGCAAATGTAAAAGATATTCTCATAAGACACAATCCTAATCTGACTGATTAGCTGAAAAGCAGATTTCTTTCATACAAAAACTGCCTACAAGTGCAAAAATAAATCTTGAAGCTTTATAAATAATCTCAAAAATTTAATATCTTAAAAGTTATGAGACCTTAGGTAAGTCATAAACAGGGATGACCTCAGTTTCATCATCTGTACAATGAGAAGATTGTTCTAAAATAGCATCTGGAATCCCTTCTTGCACAAATCTATGATGACACTGACATCTACTAACACCACATTTTATTCTATGATGAAGCTATTTTCACCTAGTATTGATAAATACTATATTTTTGTCATGAGGAGGAGTTATGAGATAGCACATATTGATAGGTCACTTCTGCTCTTTATTATTTCCCAATTTTCCAAGGGTTCACTTGAAGAGAAAAATTGGGAACTTCTGTCTTCACAATTTATTAAAATGAATCACATGCCCAAAAATATACATTGAAGATTCTCTTCATGTACATCTCTATTTATTACATAAACCACAACTGTATTTCTATGAGTGACTCTCAGCATCCTTCCATTAGCAAACTGCTGGCATGACTTTCTCCTAAATGAGAATTATAAATTGTACCTCTTACCACTTTTTTCCTCAAGTACATTTTCCTAATATTTAATTTATAAATCATTTCCCAGATGAATTAGTAATAAATGGTTGAAGGCGGCAGACAGGCCTCCAACAGGAAAGCATCATGCTTGCTGTTTACTGGGAGACCTCATTAAAAAGGAATCAAGAGAAAACAAAATAAAAACAACCTTGTGAACCTTTGTAATTGGTCTCCAGGGATATGTAGGTCTCAGGATATCAATACAGAAATGGCCTAGTCCAAGCCCTCTCTTAGGATGTACAGAAAAATATCTACTTGGTCATATACTGTATGACACAGTTGTCTGCAATCAGAATAAAAACAAAGCAACAAATAAGTGCTACTTTATTTCAGATACTTTCTTCTTAAAACAACGTTTGACACACAGAATGACCTTCATAATCCTTTTAAACTACCATACTGCTCATAAATAAACTTTAAATAAATATGTCACAAGTATTTAAAATGTGCATAGACACACACAGATATGTACATACGTGTATTATTAGGAGTATGGCTGCCAACAATTTAGACTCATCACATAGGGAATATTACATGAAGGGAAGATTTATTTTATGTAGTAATTTTTTAACTTACCCATTCTCAAAATAGTGGATTTTCTTAAAGTCTTGTCAGGATGGGAATAACTTTTCATGATTGCATTTGTTTGTTGTCCATCAGACCACAGATACGACATTTTGACGCATTTGGGAATCAATTTTAACATACAGTGCTATTTCCACCTTCTCACAACCAAATAACATCTCAAATGACAGAGGAGGAAGCAAGTACGAAGTATGTGGTCAGGCAGCACATGAAGCTAAGACTGCAAAAATACAGACACAACACCCAAATCCCTCTCCAGTGTTCTTTATATTTGTTCCCTTTATTTTATGATTTTTATATGTTTTGAGGCATTTTTCCACAGACAGATTTATGAAAGTTCTGTTCTGAGAGTTATCAGATCTTGGTTTACCCATAGACAAAGTGGTTCATAAACTGATTAGCCAAAACAAAAACAAAAAGAAAAAAAAAATTCCTTTAAAAACCTAGAAGTATGTCAGATCTCAGCATGATTCTTTAAGTATATTTGGGTTTCTCAGAAGGTATTTGACAACTGATTAATCTCAATTTTTTCCCTCTGTTTCAAGCTAAATAAATTACAAGTAAAAATAACTCTTTTATGAACCTTCTCTCCAGATGCAAATATGCCTGTAATCTTATTAATCAAACATTTATTCCTGCCACTTTCAAAATAACACGAGCTAAATTTTCCCTTGTCCGCTGTTGTATAAAAACTCCCTAAATAAAAGTTGTTCACTTCAATATGTGAGTTAGACGAAGAAAGATATCTTGCATGCTTAATTTTAATATCTGCTTCATGTAAAAAAATCCTAATAAGTGCAACTGGAATTTAAGACTTTGGATTCAAATTTGTAGTTCCTCATTCTCAGTTCATCTCCTACTAAGAAGGGTTAAATGTTTACCTGCTATATCATATTTAAGATTCACAGTAAGTGCATCTGAGTACTAAAAATGGGGAAACTGAGGCTTAATAAAGTTAGGTAAGTTTTGCATTCCTCCACAGTTTTAACTGGTAAAACCACACTTATATCACTTCAAAGCAATTGCTTTTAACTATGAGGCTACATTGTCTCTCTGTTAGATTTCACATACTTTGTAACAGGCTCTGTATTGTTAGGCAAACTTTACAGATGGACAATGTGAGACTCAAAAGAGGTATGTTGTACAATATTACAAAGCTATTTAATGAGAGAGCCAGACTTAAAAAAAATTACTTTATATTTTAAAAAATTACAAAAATAGTACAGAGAATTCCCATACACTCTTCACCCAGCTTCTCCAAGGTTCATACCTTACATAACCACAGTGCAATTATCAAAACAGGGAACAAACTATAAACTTTACTTGGATTTTACCAATGGTTTCACTAACATCCTCTTCTTGTATTGTGATATGAAGATACGATGAAGAATGATGCTAAGTTAATTTATAGAGTGTCCTTCATGTTAGGTTTGCCTGGTGCAGCCTCATGATGAGATTGAAGTTATATATTTTTCACAAGAAACCACAGAACTGATGTGCCCTTCTCACTGTGTCATGTCAGGGGTACATGATGTCAAAATGTCTTACCATTGATATTAAACATGATCACTTGATTAAGGTGGTATCTGCTGGGTTTTTCCAATGTGAAATTTAACATTTCCCCTTTATAATTAATAAATTTTGGGAGGATATACTTTGAGAGTAAGAAATGTTTTTTTTGAACTTTCATCCACAAGATTTAGCATGCCAGTGTATCTCATCTGCAACAATTATTACCATAGTTTTTTTTTTCTCTTTCCCTGTTTTTTTTCTTTTTTTTAAGATAAGCTCTTACTCTGTCATCTAGGCTGGAGTTCAGTGACGTGATCTCCACTCACTACAACCTTGACCTCCCGGACTCTAGCAGTCCTCCCACCTCAGCCTCCTGAGTAGCTAGGACTACAGGCATGCACCACCACACCCAGATAATTTGTGTATTTCTTGTAGGTAGAGATGAGATTTTGCCATGTTGCCCAGGCTGGTCTTGATCTCTCAAGCTCGAGTGATTCACCCACCTCAGCCTCTCAAAGTACTGGGATTAGAGGCATGTGCCACCATGCCCAGCCATTAACATAGTGTTTTGATGATGGTGTTCAATTTCTTTTATTCCTTCTATAATTCATTTATTAATTATAATTCTTCTGGAAGGAAGAGCTGATCCTTGACTCCTATCTATCTATCTATCTATCTATCTATCTATCTATCTATCTACCTATCTATAACAGTATGGGTTCGCATATATCTATTTTATTCTATGGGTTAAATAAATAACTATAGTTATTAATTGGGTTGCTCCAATTTTGCAGCTTTGGTCATTGGGGGTTCTTTCATGTCAGTGCCTATGTCCTTTGACATGCACTCTTACTTTTTGAGGACTTTCTAACTTTTTAGTGCCAAAGTTGCTCCAGGCTCATCTTGTACTATAGCTACCCCAGATTTGAAATCAGCTACTTCAAAGAGCATTTGAAGAACTGATATTTAAATACCAAGATATGAGTCCTAGGTGTGCTCATTGCTACTGGGTTGTCATTAATTTCAAGCTCTCTCACCAAACAAAGCTTGGAAATATATGTACCATACTGACCAAGAGCTAGGCATTTAATCCATGTATTTTTACTCCCCCAAACAATTCCTGCCCCTGCTCTGAAACTGGATGATAATCTCATAGGATTCATACATTGGGAAGAAATATGGAAAGAACAAGTCAATTACATAAATGATTAAAACAGAAAGAATAAAATAAGGGCTTGTTATCTTTTATTATGTTAAAAACTAGCAGACGTACTTTACACTGAGAAGAACTCTGATATACTTTAAATTATACTCCCTGTGTATCTGATAAAACCTTTTAAACTTGTTGCCTTTACTTTCTTATCGAAGAAATGGGGATGACTGTCTCCATCCCATTCAGATGCCATAAGAATAACATAAGTTGAAAGCACCTAGTACATTCTAAACAACATGATTTTGGGGGTAAAGAACTGATTTGAAAATGCTTAATGCAAAAAGAAAAAAAATACTGAGATGTTATAGGCCGAATTCTAGAGCTGTCCCTCAAAGGTTCCCATTTACTGATTATTCTATCAAATACCGATCTAAGTATTACTGTGAAGGGACTTTGCAGATGGAATTAAGGTGATTAATTAGCTGACTTTACAACAGGGAGATTACCCTAGATAATCAGTTGGCCCAATGTAATCATATGAGTCCTTAAAAGCAGAAGGGGAAGACAGAAGAGCCTCCTTCAGAAATATGTGGAGGAGAAGGTGAGGCAGGACAGATGAGGTAGAAAGGGAGAGCAGAGAGAATGTGAGAAGAACTCTACCATCATTTCTGGCTTTGAAGAGGGCCAGCAGCCAGGGTATGCGAGCAGATGCTAGGAGCTGAGAATGACCTCCAGCCAAAAACCAGCAAAATATGAGGGCCTCAATCATACAATCACATCCTGCTGGATTCTGCCAACAGCTTGAATGAGACTGAAAACAAATTTTCTCCTCCAGCTCCAGGAAGGGGAAAGGCCTGTCACGACCTTGCTGTAGGCCTTGTGAGACCCTAAGCAGAGATCCATGCTGTGTTTACACTTCTGATCCATAAATATTGTAAGCTAATAAATGGGTGTTGTTTTAAGCCACTAAATTTGTGGTAATTCATTAGAGCAGCACTAGAAAACAAATACATGAGGTTTCTGCAGAACAACAATTCAGAGAAATGAAACAATTCTTTTCACTATTTATGTCAACTATAGAGCCTCATGCACAATAACCACTGTGGATAGATAATAGAAATCACAAATGTCTGATGTGAAGAAATTGAGAAAGTATTATATGGACAATCTGTACTCATAGGGTCCACTATGTAGTTCCATGGGTTTCAAACAGAGGTCACAAACCTTACTATACCCATTTTCTAAAGAGCAGCATAATGATAGAGCAGAAAGAATTCTAGGTTTGAAATTAAAAACTCTTAAAATCTAATTCAGGCTGTATTAATTACTAGCCAGGTGACTTTTGGCATTTCATCACCTCTACACCTGAAGTTTGACATCTTTGATAAGAATATAAATATTAACTATGTTGGTTTAGATGTAATACTGTAAATGAAAGTTCTTTGTAGTTCAAAAAAATATAAACAATCAGCAGGTTTGAGTACATTATTTGATGATTCTCAGAAACCACAAAATTAACAGCTGACAATCAGATTAGCCTAGACTACTAATTTACTAAGAGTGATTTACAATTATTCAGTGCTTATCTTATGGTATGCATATTCTTGTACTTTGAGATTATACAAGAAATATATTAGAAAGTAGGTTGAGATTTACAGGAAGAGCAGGGACAGAGGGACGGGAAGATCCAGAAACATCATGGTCATCCCAAATTTTTTGAGTAAAAGCAGCAGTAAGTTAAGAACAGTGAGACAAAAAAAATGTTATGTTCCTTGTTATGTGTTGAACTGTGTCCCCCTTCACATTAATATATTGAAGTCCTAACTCTCAGTACCTTAGGATGTGACCTTTTTTGGAAATAGGGTCACTGCAGATATAATTCTGAGGTTATATCTAGTGTAAGGGATGAGGTCATACTGGAGTAGAGCAGGCCCCTAATCAAATATGGCTGGCATCCTTTAGAAGGAGGAAATTTGGACATAGACTAGTATATAGAGAGAAGGTTTAAGCAGAGCTCGGCGTGATACAAGACAAAGAAGGCCAAGGATTGCTATCAAACCACCCAAAGCTAGAAGAAAGGCATGGGACAGATTCTCACAGACCTCAAAAGAAACGAACCCTGCCGACACCTTGATCTCTGACTTCTAGCCTCCAGAACGATAAGACAATAAATTTATGTTATTTAAGCCACCCAGTTTGTGGCAGCTCCAGGAAGTTAATACACTCCTCTCTTCAAAAGATGAGATACACAAGGAACTATTGCAATCACAGCAATTTGTACTGCGTAAGGTATAACCTGCTTAAAGAACTTTCATATACTTTAGGTATATTAAATTCCCTAGAAAAACATTGTACCATAAAGAAGGTGGGAATTGCTATTACTATATTTTATAAGAAACTAGTAGATATAAGACACATTGAGAGGCTTAGATAAAATCAGAGTTGGGATAAAGAGGGATGGCAAACGAGTACGAAAATACAGATAGAAGGAAAAAGATCTAGTGTTCAGTAGCACAAGTAGGGTCACTAGTTAACAATAATTTATTGTATATTTCAAAATAACTGAAAGAGTGGAATTCAAATGTTCCTAATACAGATAAATGGAGGGACAGGAAATTGAGGTGATGAATATCCCAATTACCCTGATTTAATAATTACACATTGTATGTTTGTTTCAAAATATCCCATGTACCCCTTTAATATGTACGACTACTATGAATTCATAATACTTAAAAATCTAAAATAAAAAATCAGAGATGGAGGAGGAAAAGACTTGAACCTGACAATTCTAAGTTTAAATCTACATCTCCTTTCCAAAAATTTCACCAATTTTTGTTTGGTCTAAGTCCCAATATTTATCCCTAAGCTCATAAGAGAGATTCTGTCAAACAGAAAAGAGGTGGGAGTTCAGCTCTTAGACTGCATGTTGGGGATATGATAAAATCCCATTAAATTCAGCTGCAAGGGAGATTTGGGGCAGAACCCTGAAGGAAGAGGATAGCTGTCCTAGTGAGGCAGTTTCCATAAGCCTGTTGTCTTGATCAGTTTGTCAAACCAACCCGTTTGATCTACTCAAGTATGGTTGTAGCAGAGTACATGTCATAGACCTCATCTTTGTCAGATTCTGTTTTATTAGACTACAGTCCAGCAGATGTTCTTAGCCCCAAGGGCAGCTCTAATACATTTTAAATTCTATGCCTAGCTCCTCTGAGAAACTAAAAATCCAGGTATTACTTTGCTGGCAAACAAAATTGCTTTTGTAGGATTAAAATATCAAATCTCTTGAGCTTTCGGTTAAAGTTTACCTGGCAATGCACTGCGGTGAACAAACAGCCACACTCGTGTGGTGAAAGTTTTAACCTCTACAAAGTTTAGCAGCCTATCTGAAGAGCAATCTATTATTAGCTATAGAAACAACAGATTCGGAATCCCTGATGAAAACTTCAAACCATGTGCACTGTTCACTCCTAATAAGAATGAAATAATTCTTCCTTCTTTCTTGTTTGCCTCTCTAGTCTTGAATTACTCAGATTGTCTTCAATCAAGTCATTTGAGAAAACTAGAAAAGCCAAAATATTAGAAACCTATGATTATTTTACAGAAAAAAATAAAGCTTTAAGTTGTGAAATAATTTACACACAAAAACATAATAAAGTGAAAACTCTATTTTATTATCTTAACTTCTAGACTGATGCTCCAAAATAGCCACTAGCTACATTATCTACAAATACCTGGGAGATTTCTGAATGTCAGCAGGGACGAGTAGATCGATCTGACTGAGGAAATATGGTACACTAAAAAGGACATTATACAAGAAGTCAGGAGACCTGATTTCTGGGTCTGACTCCTTCCCTAGCAGGCTCTCTGACCTTGAGAAACCTCTTGGGGTCTATCTTCCCATTAGTGGAATGAACAAAATGTTCTCTAAACATTTCTAAAATCATGAGATCCAAAGAACGTAACTCAGATACTCTGCAAAGTCTACTAAGAAGCAATTCTTAATTGCAATTTTGTCAAATTTGGAAAATAACCTAATTCTGTAATACAGGTGATCAAAGTGGGATCAGCCATTTCAGTATCTGGTATACATACCTGAAAGGTGGAAATCAGAGCAGAAAATTAAAATGAAGTGATTATTTATGTGTAAAAATAAGTAATGTGCTAATTTCCCAATACACACCTATCCTATAAGAAGTCTAAGAAGAAAACTATTATGATGTTCCCCAAGAGGGTTAATTTCAAACCTGTGATGGGGTTTGAATAATATACTTATATATAGTAATATATAAATAAATTTAGAAATTGAAAGTTGGAACATAGGGCAGTATTTCTCCTATTATGCACAGCATAATCCAAATGTCTTTAAAGTAAGGATTGGAAAACTTGAAATAAAAGCCACCACAAAGTTAGTTTCTTTGCTTATAGGTACAACACTTCAAATATTTAAAAAATTATAATAGTCATGGCTTTTGCACCATTACTCATACATGAGAACATTAACTTGTTACTAAACCTACATTTTGCATCTTTTTATTTGATTTGTTGAACTAAGACTTTTGAAGCTGAGCTATATTGTTTACTTAAGTATCTACAGAAATACAAATATCCACCAAGTGGCAGGAGGAAGGGTGGATGGTAAGCATGTGATTCCAATATCTTGTAATAAAATTTAAGAAGAAGGAAAAAAAGAGATATATATATATATATATATATGTATATATATATATATATATATATTCACACACATACACACACCACACACATATACACACACATACACCCACCCACATATATATATATATTTCTTTTACATATGTGTGTGTATGTTTGTGTGTGTACATATATATTATGGAAAAATGGAGAAAATTTCAAAATAGCACAGAAACAAGCTTCTGGTTTTGTGATACTAGAATTGTTTAAAGTAGAAAAATATTATTTCGTGGTAGGGTTACACAGGAAAGCTTCACAAATGAGCTAGCTCTTGAAGATGAGAAAGTGCTGCATTACTGAAGGCAGAAGAATGTCAAAATCCTTACAGGACTGATATCCACCTATAGAAGTTACTTACATAAATATTTCCTGGGAAAACCCAAGCCCGTAATTAGTCTTGGTTTGTCTGTCCACATTCAATTATATTACATGATGCACACAATTATATTTCTTCCTGAATTATTTCATAAGTAATGAAATCACTCACATTTATTGATTGTATCTGAAGAAAAATGCAGAGGTTACTCTTTACAAGTAGATTTCCACCACAGCATGATTATGTGGTAAGCTGGTAATGATGAAACCATTTGATTTTCACTCTTCATTGATATAAATATACATTTAAATAACATTCATAGTTATTCCACTTAGAATCCATATAACAGACCAAATCCATTATTAACCCAAACTAGAATTAATTGCAGTGATTTTTAGAGAAGCATAAACCTTCCTCATATCATACTCGAACATAGTAGATTTATTGAGCATTTAGTATATGGAGGGTGAATTCCAAGTATCTTACATGTGTTATCTCATTCAATTCTCACAATAATCAAATAAGATAGTTAATATTAACATTTTCATTTACAAATAGAGAAAAAAACAGAGACTCAGAGAACTTATGTAACTAGTAACAGCTAGTAAGTTAGCATAACTTATTTTCAAAAACAGCTCTCTCTCACTCCATTCTGAAATCACAAATGAATGAATCCTAAGGTATCCCACAGAAAAAGAAACAAACAACAACAAAAACAAAAACACCTTCATCCACATCATAAGCATAGTCTTGAAACTATGGCCACAGAAGTTACAATGGCTCAAACTTACAGGGGCAAAAATAACATAAGACACTAGATAGGGTACAGAAGTGAGGAAGCTGAACATGCTTACTATGGCTTACCATGGCTGGTGATAAGGAATCTAAACTAACCCAGAGTAAGGGCAAACCAGAACAGAAAGGGACCCCAGAGAAACTGACACAGATATTGGGTGGGGAAAGCCAGCACTCTAACCTAAAGGATATTATTTTTTTCTCTTTTCTTTCTTTTTTTCCCCAGTTCAATAGCTCTTTCTTGTTTTAATGACTGGGTTGGACCAAAGGATATTTTCTGTATGTTGCTTCTCCCCAAATGCTGTCTGATTCCTAAGTTACCATATGGGTTTTAAACCTACTACCTTTGATTTGGCCAATTTAAAACTTAAGATGTATGTAATAAATCAATATATGGAAACGCCTGAGCCTCCATATTCTATAGTTTATTGCAAATCCAAATACATAATTCAAATCTCTGGTAAAACTGAAGGCAGGAGATCAAAATAAGTTAGCAAAATTGAAAGGAGAATGAGCCCCATCATTTGGGATCAAGTCCAGATCAGTGATCATTTCCAAGTGTTTCAGGGAACTCTCAGTTCCGTGGTATACACCCCAACAATGATGGGCCAGAAATGTGATTTTGGAGATGCTTATCAAGATAATTTTGTTTTAATACTGAACAAAATTTCATAGTCTGATGCACTGTTAATTCAGGTCTAAATCTACCCTATATCTCATGCACAGTCTACTCAACACAGTATTGACTAAACCTGTCCATAGTAAACTTACTTCTACATAGCTTTTTCCCCTCAATGGCAATATAATGAATCAATCTCTCATACAGAAAGTAAATTTGGAAAAGTATTAATTTTTTATAGTAGCTGTTGGTCAATAGTATTAATGAACTGAAAACAGTACCATATTAAACATGAAAAAATTTCAAGTAATTGCCATTCTGATGAATATTTGCCCCTAATTTGCCTATAGAAAGCAATTAATTTAAAATAGAAAATGAGTTATTTCACACTAAAGAAGAAATATCATCTTTTGTTTTTGTTTTAATGAGTCATAAATTATGTGGCACAATCTATTTATTTCAGGAAACTTTTTGGATATAAATCCTATTCTTTAAGCATACTTAAAAGTTTTCATAATTTTTGATGCACTGTTATTTATTTTTCAAATGCTAATATATCACACCTTTGCCTCTCAGGCCTAATGAAGAAAACTGTCTCGACTTTTAATATTTTAACTTTACAGAGAGTTCGAGAAAATTTTTAATTTGTCAGTTTCTTAAAACTGACTATATAGAAACAGTAGAGCATAGTCAAGGTACTTTTATCACTCAAGCCATTTTCATATTTAGCCATTTTTTAATAGAATGAATACACTCTTCATTTTCTTAGACCAAATTCAACCCCATAAAATAATTTGTTAAAAAATGTAATCTATTTAAGTCAAAGAGCACTGGGGTTGCTGTAGTGTGCTCAGAGTAACAAAGCTACTGAAATTTCTATGAATAATATGAAAGTTTGCAGAGATTTAGCAAACTAATTATTTCTAAATAATCTCTTAGAATGGCTAAGTTAGTGAAACAGAACACATTTACTTTAGCATAGCTAACTCCAACATATATTTCTACTTGGTTAGAATTTCCATTCATAGAACCCCCAATCCATTGGCTACATTACAGCTTAGGTGTTACTTCCTTCTTTATACTGCAATGCTGAGCAGTGTGGCGTTTGCAACATTAGCTGCATACTGTAGTCTGTATTTGATACAATCAGATGTATGTATATGTGAGGAGCACACTTCTAAAATATCCAGAAACTGCTAAAAAAAAAAACTTGCACCTAAAAGGAGACTAATCTTGTGCTCACAAAACGGAACAGAATTTAAGCTTATAAATTTTTTTCTTCAGAACATTTTAAAATAACATGACATTACATATTAAAGACAGAACCAAAGAAAACTGGGAGGCATCATCAAGTATTAAAGCTAAGTACTCCAGCAAAACAAACAAACAAAAAATTAATACGTTTTTAGTTCTTGCTTCAAAGAATATAAGAGCTGTAATTCGCATAAGAAAAATATACTTACTATATCAGATGTTTGCTTTCAACATATACTGAATGTATCTTTAGCACAACTTCAATCCATGGTGCATTATTTATTTCCTCCCTAACAGCAGCAGAGATGCAAGATGTTCCAAAGCTTTACTTTCAGGCAGTTTTCTTCAACCACAGTCTTTTACATGCCCTGTTATTTGCTTTAGCATCTATGAAACAACTCCATCCTTCAAAACAATCAAAACCCTTGAAGCAATCCACATCTGCTTCCTTATACTGAATTTCAAATCTCGTCACACACAAAAATATCCTTTACTTTGTATTTTATTTCAGAAGTTTGTTGGGTTGAATATCCTAAACCCCATAACACACCACTAAATGGGAAGAATGACATTACTGCAGCTCCTTAGATTATAACTGATAAGGTGAGGCTTTTGCATTTATATTGGGTTCTGAGGAGCTGATGCCATATCAGTCTAATAATTAATAATTCATGGAACCAAATTACAGCCTTAGAAGGAAACAGCCACTTTGACTAGTTCTTTCATAATCTTCTGATTTATGTATGACAGCACAGAAGAGTTCTAGGAGAGGTTAATAAAAAAAAAAAAAACCCAGACATAACACTTGAGTTTTAAAATTAGTGCTGCCTTTGCACAAGCTGGGTTTCTTGTGGCATCATGGTAGCTCCATCTTTTTAAGCAGCTAATTCAAAGGGGCTCATTTTCAATGAGGATCTGGCTCGTGAGGATGTCCAGAGCAAAGTACAAAATGTGGGAGGCTGGGGAGGGGGTAGTAAAGCCAATGTGAGGACTGCTTTGGGCAAAAAAGGGCAGATTCCCCCAACTGTTTTCATACGGTGGGTCTTTAACATGATTTCTGAGAAGACATTATAGGTCCAATCTACCTTATGTCTCATTATCCTTCATACTTAAAAACAGGCTAGGCTGGGCGCTTTGGCTCATGCCTGTAATCCCAGCACTTTGGAAGGCCAAGGAGGGCAGATGGCTCGAGCCCAGGAGTTTGAGACAAGCCTGGGCCACGTTACAAAACTTAATCTCTACAAAAATACAAAAAATTAGCAGGGCATGATGGTGCATGCTTGTGGTCCCAGCTAATTAGAAGGCTGAGGTGGGAGAAGCACCTGAGCTCGGGAAGTCAAGGCTGCAGTGAGCCATGATCATGTCATTGTACGACACTGAGGCTTTGTCTAAAAAAAAAAAAAATAACAACAACAAACAGCCCCATAAGGAATATGTTCCCATGCATGTGTTATATGGTGTTCCTGTGTGTTTGCGCTCATTCCTACACGAGCATGTGGGTAAGCACAAGAATTCACATGTAGTAGTTTCTTCAACACAAGAGCTACCTATAAGCCATACAGCTTGATAATCTTAAAGATTATTTTTATTGAACAATACTTCACATATGGTAAACCGCAACAATCTAAAGGGTATAGTTCTGCTATAGAATACTATACAGCCATAAAAAGGAATGACATCATGTCATTCATGGATACAGTTGGAGGCCATTACTCTAAGCAAATTAACTCAGGAACAGAAAAACCAAATACCACATGTACTCACTTATAACTGGGAGCTAGACGCTGGGTGCACATGGACATAAAGACGGGAACAATGGACACTGGAACTACTAGAGAGGAGAGGAAAAGAGTGGGGCAAGGACTGAAAAACTGCCTATTCAGTACTATGCTCACTGCGTGGGTGATGAGATCGATCATAACACAAACCTCAGCATCACGAAATATTCCCATGTGACAAACCTGCACAGTGTACCATGTGATCCTAAAAGTTGAAATTTAAAAGGAAAGTATATAGTTCAATCCATAATCCTATTAATATATAAAATACTTTTATCACTCTAGAAAGTTTCCTTATATTCTTTCCTTGTAAAATCCTGCCCCCAAAAGAATGGCTTACCTCATTTATTACACTATAGATTATGTTCCCCTATCCTGGTGTTGTATGTGAATACAAACAGTATGCATTTCCTTGTGTATGGCTTCCTGTACTCACCATGTATTAAGATTCATTCATGTTGCTATTTTTAACCACTGCATCATATTCTACTGTATGAATAAACAACAGTTTATGTATTCTCCTACTGATGAACACCTAGGCTCTTTCCATTTTTGCTACTTTGAATAAAGCTATTAACATTCTGGCTGGGTGCAGTGGCTCATGCCTGTAATCCCAGCACTTTGGGAGGCCAAGGCAGGCAGATGACTTGAGGCCAGCACTTCAAGACCAGCCTGGCCAACATGGTAAAATCCCGTGTCTACCGAAAATACAAAAGTTAGCTGGGTGTGGTGGTGGGGGTCTGTAACCTAAGCTACTTGGGAGGCTGAGGCAGGAGAATCACTTGAACCCAGGAGGCAGAGGTTGCAGTCAGTCGAGATTGCGCCACTGTACTCCAGTCTGGGTGACAGAGCGAGATTGTCTCAAAAAAAAAAAAAAAAAAAAAACTAATATAAGGTTTGTTGTAGACATGTTTTCAATTCTCTTGGAAAAACTCCTTTGTGTACAAACATAATAAACATAATGGCTGAGTCATAGCATAGATGTGTTTAAGCCTTTTATAAACCTGTCAAACCCTTTTCCAAAGTAATTGCACCAATTTATACCCTGACTTATAACACATGAGAGTTCTAGTTGCTCCACATCCTTGCCAGTATTTGTTACTGTCAGCCTCTTTCATATCAGCCATTTCAGTGGATATATATTGGCATTCCATATGGTTTCAATCTTCATTTCTCTTGTAACTAAAGATGTGAGCACTTTTTTCATGTGTACATTGGTATGTGGTATAGGGCTCAGTTTTCATTAACTGTTAATAAAGGAGACTTTGGGTTAGCAGTAGATCAAAAGGAGATTTTCCACATAAGTCTCAATTATCTTTGAACCAGTGCATCTATGAAATTCCATCTTCTCACCCAGTTAGGTCTAGCCCTGTCCCTCTGATCAGATACTGTTCCTGTTAACATGGAAACCCTAGAATCTGCCTACTCAGCCTCTAGGGGCTTCCTTTACTCTGGATTGATGCTATTATGCCTTTTTTTCATTCTCAATATTAAAAAAAAAACAACTTCCTTTTTAAACGACACACTCTGCAAATTCATGTTCATTAATATGCCTAAAATTTAGCTTTCATTGATGAGCTTTGGATTAAAATAGACTGGTGTTTGATTTTACGTGGATAACCCTGACCAACATTGGAGTCTTACTTTTCTTATTTGTAAGATGAGAATAATATTAAAAGTAATAGTAAAAACCACAATTACTTTTGCACCCAACTAATAGCTGTCTCTTAGGGTTAGGAGGATTAAAACAGATAATTGATATAAAACATATCTAGACCCACCAAGAGCAGTGACAATGATGGGGGTAGTAGCAATAGTGATTCCTACTACCCTGTCTAAAGGTTATCTCAGTTCATACTGGTCATTATATTATTTGAAGAGCATAGTGGACTTACAATGATTCTTTCCTATCTTTCCTTGATCTCTTTAGGTATATAACTTATCTTCTCATAGCTTCAATGATGAAGACAGAAATACTTGAAAACATCATAAGATTTATGTAAGGATGATAATTTAAAAAAGAAGGTAATATGATTTGAAATGTTCATTATTATACTTTATATAATCTCACACATTGTTAGGCCCGTACACACATATTAATATTTTTGTTAAGTGCATATCTCCCTAGAATAAAGATACATAATATTTCTCTAAGTATAGTAGAATAGACAGAAATATATACATCTGTAAAAAACAGAAATGTACTAAAAAGGAATGACTGATTACTATCTGCCATATGCTATTAAAAGGTGGAAGGCCTCAAGACACTGTGGCAAGATGAGTGTCACGCATTAAATTGTGTCTCTCATAATTCAAATGATGAAATCCTAAATCTTCAGCAGCTCAGAATGTGACCTATTTAAAAATAGGGTCATTACAGGTATAACTAGTTAAATTAAGATATGGTCATAGGGTGTGCCCTAATCCATTATGACTGGTATTCTCATAAAAATAGGAAATGCGGAGACAGACACATGTACTCACTCAGGCAGAACACCATGTGAAAATGAAGGCAACAAGCTGTAACCCAAGGAAATTCCAAAGATCGCAGGCAAACCACAAGAAGGTAGAAGAATAGGATGGAACAGTGGCTCACAGCTCTCAGAAGTAATCAACCTGCCAACTTGGATTTTGGCCTTCTAACATCCAGAAATGTAAGACGATAAATTTCTGTTGTTTAAGCCACTCAGTTTGTGGTACTTTGTTACAAGAGCCCTAAGAAACTAATATAATGGGAAGTCAAGAGTTCCAGAAAGAGGTAAACGTACGAAGTTTTAGTTAAATAGGAGGAATGAGTTTTGGTGTTCTATTGTTATTGTTGAAGCCACCCAGTTTGTGGTACTTTGTTACAAGAGTCCTAGGAAACTAATAGAATGGGTAAGTCAAGAGTTCTAGAAACAGGTAAGTGTACAAAGCTTTAGTTAAATAAGAGGAATGAGCTTTTGTGTTCTATTGCACAACATGCTGACGATAGTTAATAATAATGCATTGTATATTTCAAGATAGCTAAAAGAGGACTTAAAATTTTATCACTGCAAATAAATATCTGAGGAGGTGGATATGCTAATTATCCTGATTTAATCACTTCAGAATGTACACATGTATCAAAAGATCACACTGTACCCCATATATACAATTATGTGTAATTTAAAATAGAATAAAATGAAAAAAAAGAAATTGAGAGGCTACAGAGGTTCTCCTTGAACATGAAGACTGTGTGCATATTTTTCATCTGGTAACAAGGCATAATGAGTAGGAAGCCAACCAGAGACATTTAATGACCAGAATTTGATGGATATGAAGGTGGAGAACAGAGATTGCAAAGGAAATGTTGGAGGTTCTAAAGCCAGGAGAAAACAAGCTAAGTGACTTTATACATAAAATCACCAAATCTACACCAGAGGACAGCTGATTATAGACTTCCTGAAGAGACAGCCTCACAGGGGATGACGTGAAAGTTGTTTTTGCTTTCTTGACACTAACTTTTCCTTACAGAAGATAGCCAAGTGGATTTGGGAAGGCTGAGAGACAGTGTGGCAGGATCTGATTTAGCATTTCTGATCTGGGGTCATGTAGCAACATTTTACTTGGCTCGGCGCTGCTTAGCAGGGTGCAATTTGGAGATGGTTCAGTTCTAATCTGAGATGCATAAGAAGCAGCTACAATAATTCTAACATATTGAATGAAATGAGTTGAATAAAAACTCACCCTCAGTGCTTTATGCTGCTGTCCATATTTGCCCCATTTAAAGAGTAGACTGGAAGCCCCTATTCGAAGAAGCTTCACTACCACTTTTCCAAAACTGATGGGACATTAGAATGCATTCAATGAGCTTTCCTGGGTCAAAATCAAAAAGCTAGCTACGGTAAGTTTTTGTGATCAAGGGCAGTCTTTGATTCTCAAAAGTTTATGGGAGAAGCAGCTCTGAGCTCAGAATTCTTGCTGCGTCATGTAAATTTCCAATGCAAAGCTTTTGTAGTCAGTTCTTTTTCTCAATCTAAATTTTGAGCTAACTAACTTGGCATTACATATAAACATCACGTCTGTTTCATCCTTTATTTATTATACTTCCCAACAAAAAAACAAGGCTCAGTTCACTCATATTGTGTGGGGGATATGTTAGAAGAACATGAGTTAATAAACTAGACTGGTATATCTGGTTTTCATCTGTGACTTTATTGCTGTGGACAGCTACTTCATTGTATTCTTCATATAATACCAAAGCTTTTCCATCTTTCTCTGGGTTTCTCATGGCTTCATATATTGTTTGATAATGACTCAGCCATGTAGAGCTGAGATAGTACAGTTGTAAAAATAGTCATAAAAGGGGCTTGCGTGGATTTAATCAGAGAACAGGATGTCAAATGAGTTTAAAATCAGCACACACCAAATGACTCTAACACACTCTTATTATGCACTCTGTTTCACTCTTATGCTTCAGTCATTTTTGATTGGATGCTGGTTATTATATTTGAAGATATGGCAAGTATCCAACCCCATAAACAAAGGTGCTTCTCGGATTCTGGCCATTTTATCATGTTAGCAAGATGCCCACAGGTAGTGCAGCAGGGAAGGTCAGTACTGAGCCCATTACAAACTAAATCTGGTTCCCCATTACAGTCCAGCTATTTGGAATCTGCAAGGAACACCTGTTATTACAATTTTATGCCAGATAATAACCATTATGAATTCTGCTTTGCATCTCTTATTTTATAACCTCAAAAACATACTTGAAGAACAAAATATTTTCTGAAAGAAGAAAATGCCATTTTTGAGTACAAACTATTTAAAAGACATTCAATTGAAGGTTTGGGTCGGGCAATTCACTGAGCAAAATTTCCAAGTGCAAGAAACAAATAAAACATCATTATTTAGAAATTAAAGTGGCTTGATGAAGTCTCGGTTATATGGTCAACATTATTTCTTTTGTAAAACTGCTTTAATTCTGCAAACATTGTTTTACGTCAAAGGAAGTTAGGTGGGGAAAAAAATCCTATTGAGGTTATTAATCAACCAGTAGCTGTATAGAAAATATTTAACCTGTATGTTATTCTAAAAGTGGAACCCATAAGCTCTACTAGCTTACCTACAATTATTTCAACAGGAAAAATACAAGTCTTCGGTATTCATATCAATTCAACTTGTAAACAAGTAAAACATTAATGCTATATCATGTGTTTTAGTAAGCACATTGAATGTACACCAGTATTTGAAGCTGCTTCTGTGTGGCTATTTTGCCCTCTGATTATATATTAATGGATAGAAACTTTAACTAGGTGCATCTTTCTTAACTTTTATGATCATTTCAGACTTACAGAAAGTTGCAATAATAGTATAATTACTATATGCTTCAATTCGCCAAGATTATCAAAATTTAACATTTTACTACATTTCCTCTATAATTTCTATGCCCTCTGTACACACACACACACACACACACACACACACACACACTCTTTTTTCCTAAACCCATTGACAGTAAGTTTCAGACATGACATTTATTTAACCCTAAATAATTTATTGTATATTTCCTAAAATCAAGGAAATTTTCTTCAATAACCACAGTAAAACTGTCATCTGAAAATAAACATGTATATAGTATTATTATGTAAACACCCTATTCATATTTTTCCAGTTGTCCCAGTAATGTCCTTTAAAACCAAAGCAAATCTGAGATAGTTCATATACACTTGACATGTCCCTTTAATCTCCTTTAATCTTGAACAGTTCCTCAAGCTTTATCTTTTATGTTCTTGACAATTTTCAATATTACAGGACAATTATTTTGTAAAGTTTAGCTTTGTGTGATGTTTCCTCATAATTAGATACTTCCGTGAAATTTTTTTTCTTAGTGCAACCCATCAACAAGCTCATAATAATGATCTGTCCCATTACTGTCATGCTACCTTTGATCACTTGATTCAGTTGGTATCTGCCAGGTTCCTTTTCTTCACTGTAAAGTTCCTGTTCTTCCCTTTCTAGGCAATGGGGATACATCAATGAAGGAGATAGATAAGATCCATTTTCTCATGGAATATTCATTTTCTCAAGGGAGATAGACCATAGTAAAAGGAAAGAAAAGGAAGAAAAAAGGAAAGAGGAATGAAGGAGGAACAGAAAGAACAAACAAGTGATAAACTGCAGTAGTGGTAAGAGCTATTAGAAAAATAAAATAAGGCGATCAGTAGTAGAACTGGGATCATTTATGAAAGATAGTTGAAAGCAAGGCCTCTCTGAAGAGTTACACCTTTCTTCGAGAACAACATAATGAGAAGGCTGCAGCCATGTGAAGATACATCACGGGGAAGGTTTCTCCGAGAACAACATAATGAGAAGGCTGCAGCCATGTGAAGATACATCACGGGGAAGGTTTCTCCGAGAACAACATAATGAGAAGGCTGCAGCCACGTGAAGATAGATCACGGTGAAAAGGGTATTCTTTGGAGGCACAACATGCAGGAATGAGTGGCAAGAGTTAAAATTAGGTTGCTTAGGTGGCTTTTTTTTTTGAGATGGAGTCTCACTCTGTCGCCCAGGCTGGAGTGCAGTGGTGCGATCTCAGCTCACTGCAACCTCCCCCTCCCAGGTTCAAGAGATTCTCCTGCCTCAGCCTCCGGAGTAGCTGGGATTACAGGCACACACCACCACGCCTGGCTAATTTTTTTTGTATTTTTAGCAGAGACAGGGTTTCACCATGTTGGCCAGGCTGGTCTCGAACTCCTGACCTTAGGTGATCTACCCACCCCGGCCTCCCAAAGTGCTGGGATTACAGGCGTGAGACACTGCGCCTGGCCTGGTTTTCGTTTGTTTGTTTGTTTTTTGTTTGAGACAGAATCTAGCTCTGTTGCCCATGCTGGAGTGCAGTGGTGAGATCTCGGTTCACTGCAACCTCTACCTCCCAGGTTGAAGCGATTCTCCTGCCTCAGCCTCCCAAGTAGCTGGGATTGCAGATGCATGCCACCATCCCAGGCTAATTTCTATATTTTTAGCAGAGACAGAGTTTTGTCACATTGGCCCGGTTGGTCTTAAACTCCTGACCTCCAGTGATCTGCCTGCCTCGGCCTCCCAAATTGCTGTGATTACAGGCGTAAGCCTCTGTGCCCAGCCATTGGTTAGGTAGATTTCTAAATAAGACTATGCAGGCCATAGCAAGGAGTGTGGATTTTATTCTGAGAGAAAGCAAAGGAATGAAATAATTTAGCTTATCCTCGAGTAATTAATAGCAAGGTGTGGCCAGAGTAGAGGAAGGGAGGCCAGTGTGGGCTCCTCTATTTGCAACATGGTATCCCAAATCTCAGCTCTTCATCCACTGAGAATGGCAATGCATTGATCCCAGAAGAAAACAGTTCTGATATACTTACTTCTTAAGCATTTTTGTATCCAGAACATTTAAATTATGAGAAACAGATTTAACATGTATTTAGCATATTAGAGCAATAATAACTGAAAATTTTTTAGCAAATGTATCTACAGCTCATCAGAAATAGTTTGTACTGGCTCTTTCAGCATGAAACTTCCCCACTTGAAGGACCTTCTGCAGACAAAACACAAAAATTGCTGCCAAAACATAAATTTTTTAATTTCATATATTGTTAATCTAGCTCTACTAAGCTAAATTTCCAATAAAAGCCTTCCACTTAAATTATAATGCCACACTTAAGTCACTGTGTGAAAACCAAAACAATGGATCCAAAATATTATTTTACACAGGCTTTTCCAAGACGCTGACTGTACTCTTCTAGAACTTCACAGCTTGCATGGCACAGAGCAATTTTAAAATCAATTTGATTCACACTTTATTCTTGGGAAGACCAGCTCTTTGTTTTCTGTCTTCTAATGATACACATAGTTCACGTATAATGGGTGGAACATAAGAAATAATGAAGAATAATGGAAGTGTATCCCTTAAAACCAGTGTCTCAACTCTTGCAGGAAAAACAGCAAAATAAAACAAGAAAACCTGCTTTGAAAATTGGCTTTTTGGAAAAGAGCTTAGAAATGAAAATCAAAGTGAATTTCATCCAGCTATCTTTAGGTTTATGATCATTATATTCCTTATAATTTTTATATTTTTCAAATGTCTCTATTATTAAATATTCTTCTATGTATTAAGTAACCAAATAGTAATATAAACAAATTTCTTAAACAATAAAAAAGCCAACTGCATAAATGAAGAAGGATGCCATTATTATGTAACATCATAGTCAAAACAAAATAATACAAAATCATACTTCTTTTGATAAAAAATAAATTCACAGTAGTAGCAAGTGCTGTACACTTATTTTTTAAATGTTCTTTTTACTCTTAATAAAGATTTGCCTTAAGAATAATAAAACTAACTCATCAGGTTAAATATTTAATAAGTGATTTGCCAACTGCTTCACAAAGACAATACTTTGTAAAGAACCCTTGCATTACCAAAAGCATTTTTAAGAGATATACAGCAAAATAGACTGTGTCACATCTAAGTAACTTTAGATATTTTTCAATATTTCATTCATTTAAATTATTGTATATTTACTATCAGATAAGTTTTATAAATTTGAGTAATTCCAGATGACACACAAAATGAATATTTATTTATTACTATAGTAGACTATAACTGATATTGGAAGTCACACGACTTATGGTTAGCAAGTTCAAAACTCTAACTTCTATTTCTTCCCTTTAGGTAGTCTTCCTGAAGTAAAGATGCAAAGCCAACAGATGGAGAGAAACAGAGGTTCACGGGTTTGCCACATGCATGATTTCTATAATCTCTAAATTGAATGCGCTTAGTTGCAGCTACATCTTATCTCAAATATCTGCAATAATTATCTCCAATGCTCAATTAAATTTTTGCATTTCTCAATTTATCACTAACTACCCTATGTATATGTTTCAGTTATAACTCATCTCAAATAATTTTAAAAGACTTATGTAATACTTAATAATTCGTTGAAATGTTTCCCTTTCGTTTCTAAAGAGGAAAATGTGCCCTTAGCCATCACTTTTTAAATCTAAAAGCTACAAACAGAAATTGCTTTGCAATTTTCATGTACTCCTTAGAAATTTTCTAGCTTCAAACATGTGATATTTGCTTCTCTTACATAAACGTCTCCAAAAATGACTGCTAAAAATGAAAACATCTTTTCCAACAAATATTTTCAATGCAATGTAAACACATATTGCAAACAATGATTTAAACTAATTCCAAGAAACCCAGCTATTGGCATTCTAGGATTTTGCTAGTTAGGGGAACTGGCCCCAGATGGGGAAAGCATTCTTTGTTGTCTGAAGTGATTACAGTAAAACAGGCCCAGACAGAAAAACTATGGGTTGTATGTCTCAATACTGCAACTTTACCACCTGGCCATTCTACTGTCACACAAAGGTCAAGCAGACAGCAATGCAATTTTGAGGTGGGGAAGGAAAATAATCCAGTCAGAATTCAAGCAAATGTTTGAATTCAGAGTTTGAATTCAGAGAATGTTTGAGTTCAATAAGCACTCATTTTTCCCTTCTGGGAACCATGTAAGGCAATGAGATATGAAGATAAATAATATATAGGCCCTTACTTGAGGAATTCCTAATCTAACCAATGTCATAGATATATGAACAAATATACTGTGACATGAAAATTAATAAGTAGTGTGTGCAAGGTATAGTAAGACGTAATTCCTATAAAATGAAGGTGGGGTGATAACCTCTCTTCTGAACATAAAAAGAAGGATTCTCGGGAGCGACTGCTGAGTGAGAATGCATGTATTCATTCATTTATCAAATATTGATGGAACATTGTTATGGGTTGAATTGTGTCGCTAAAAAGATGTGTTGAAGTCTTGACCCCTGGTACGTGTGAATGTGACCTTATTTGGAAGCAGGGTCTTTGCAAATGTAACCAAGTTAAGATGAGTTCATTAGGATAGGTCATATCCAATAAGACTTATGTCCTTATGAGAAGAGGAAAAAATTTGAACACACAGGCATACAGGGAATGCAGCATGTGAAGATGGAGGATGAGAGATGAGCTTGGAGTTATGCTCCCACAAGCTGCAGAACAACTGGGGCTAACAGAAGCTGAGAGATGCGACCCTCCCCTAGAGGTTACAGACGGAGCACAGCCCTACCAACACCTGATTTTGGACTTCTGGCCTCTAGAAGTGTGAGAGAATAAACTTCTGTCATTTTAAGTCACCCTGTGTATGGTACTTTGCTGTGGCAGTCCTAAGAAACTAATACAAGCATCTGCTATGAACAAGACACCAGGAATATTGCTCAGGTAATAGTGGAGAAAAGGACAAAGACTCTGCCTTAAGTATGCTAATAGGTTATTCAGTGCAACAAGAGTAATATAAACAAAACTATAAACAGGTATTGTTTGTTGGGAGAGTTTTAAGTGATTTGATATTACTGTAGAAATAAAAAGTGTAGAAATAAAAATAAAAAATAAAAAACTGAGTAGAAAGTTGAGTAGTAGACAGATTATTTTTAAAAAGAGTTTGGGATTAACCTTGTTGATATGAGTTATGGATTATGGTTTAAAGTAGAAAATGATATGTTTATACTTTTAACAGGTCACTCTGATATCAGCAATGTAATTTATTTGTTCTGGGTAATACCAGAATAGACCAGTTAGGAAGGAAGAGTAAGAGGCGAAGCAAGAGAGAAAAGGAGGATCTGAATGGAGGCAGTAAAACCAACAATGACTTTCAAGCCAAATGAGTTTGAACGTCAACCACTGTAGAAGGGGCTATATGAAACCAATGTTTTAAAAAAGAATATTGCTTAAGGCAGTGCACTAACAAAAAAGAAAAATCTGCAAAAATAGGTTAAAAAAAGATAGGTAAAAATTAGTCCTTCTACTTAGAAACCAAGGATATAATGTAGAGGTAACATGAACACACACACACACACACACACACACACGCACACATTGAGTTGTTACTGGTGTAGGAGCCAGGGACAAATTTACATGTGAGAGCTGCCTGAATAGCTGGGCTAAGAGCATGGGAGATGTGAGAGTCCTATTCAGGTGTCATAGAAGAAAAAGAGATTTCCACAAAGGGAGTAATTTTAAGTCCTGATTTAGCTGGGCATTTGCAATTCACCATGACTTAAGATTTGTTTTTGACAAACTCATGATTTCCCAATCTATTGTGTTAGAAAACCATTAAAATAAGCATAATAAATATGTCTCTTCTTGGCATTCTCTAACATTAAATCTAAGCAGTTTCCCTTGCTTTTTCCCCACAATTTAATCTAACAGGCGGATTTATGTGCTGCGAGTAATTAGGCGACTTTGGAAGAGGTAAGATGGTAAGATGAGAACTTTGGTGGAAGCATGCCACGGCTAGACTAAAGCAACTTAAGCCAGGATTCATAGCATTTGCCCTCCAGGTGCTCAGAAGTAGTGAACTTAAGCAGGTCCATCAGTACACCAGGGCCTACGTTTAGGCTTGTTCCTGTACAACAACATATTAATGATGTTAATAATAATGATAGCAATTAAAGGTTACTGAGTCCTTATGATGCACACGGCTACATGCTGTAAGCTCAATTCATTAGCTTATTTGATTCACCCAACAACCGTATAAAGTAGGCCCTAATCTTATTCTCCCAGCAGAAAAGCCAACTTCAGAGAATATAATTTTTTCAAGGGTGAATTAGAGATGTGAATACATTTTTAATTATAGTTATTACAGTCAGTCATAGGTATCAAATGGTTGTGATATATACATACACAGAAGGTCTCCAACTTAATGGTTTGACTTATAATTTTGTGGCTTTACAATGGGTTTATTAGAACACAAGTCAAGGAGTAACTGTATACAGAATTTATATATATATGGAGTGAGATAGGGAGAGAGGAGAGGGAGACAGAGGGAGAAGAGAGGAAAGAAAGGGAGAGGGAAGGGAGAGGAGAGGGAGAAGAGAGGAGAGGGAGAAGAGAGAAGAGGGAGAGACAGAAGAAGGAGAGGGAGGGAAAGAAAGGGAAGGATAGGGAGAGGAAGGGAGGCAAAGGGAAATGGGGGAAGAGAGAGTGGCGGAGAGGGAGAGGGGGAGAGAGGGAGAGGGAGCAGAAGGAGAGAGAGAGAAAATAGTGCTGTCGTTACATTTATGGATTCTTGACAAGATTCCCTAGGACCCAGACCCATTTGTGCTGTGTTACCTGGGACAATTTACCTAATCCCTCCAGGCCTCAATTTTCTCAACCGTGAAATGGAAAAAATAAATAGTACGTACTTCAAAGGGTTGTGGGAAGATTAAGGCAGTTAAAACTGTGCATAGAAAGTATAAAGGAAGAAAGCACTACTTAGCCATTATCATTCTCACTTTCATCATCATCATCATCACTATAAATGGTTACTCATTACTGTAGATATTTAAACAGAGGTTGGATAAATATAAGGCAAGCGTATTATAAAAAGGATTCACATGCTGGATAGGTAATTGGATAAGATTATCATTATTCTGTGAGTTAAGTTATATGCTCATATAAGTCTGGGAAATACTACATAATATATTGCCTCC
The DNA here is from genome assembly GCF_000001405.40 of Homo sapiens. Lineage (NCBI taxonomy): Eukaryota > Metazoa > Chordata > Mammalia > Primates > Hominidae > Homo > Homo sapiens. Next base: position 2,383,156 of record NC_000003.12, on the reverse strand, counting down.
TTGGACTTTTAAAATTAATGTCAGACATATTAAGGTCCTCAATTGTCAATGAAGCTATTTATCTTACTTTTTTTTTTTTTTGAGATGGATTTTCGCTGTTGTCACCCAGGCTGGAGTGCAGTGGCACAATCTCGGCTCACTGCAACCTCCGCCTCCCGAGTTCAAGCAATTCTCCTGCCTCAGCCTCCCCAGTAGCTGGAATTACAGGCGCCTGCCACCATGCCCAGCTAATTTTTGTATTTTTAGTAGAGATGGGGGTTTCACCATGTTGGCCAGGCTGGTCTCGAACTCCTGACCTCAGGTGATCCGCCCGCCTCGGCCTCCCGAAGTGCTGGGGTTACAGGCATGAGCCACCAGGCCTGGCCTTTATCTTACTTTTAATCCATCATTTTCCAGTTCTGTCAGACAATGCTACCCTTCCTGTACTTTACAGCTCAGTTTAACTCACAGCACTGGCATACCTAACAGGGTATATTGTCTAATCTGGAAGCAAAAGGAAGCATTCCTTATTTTCGTTCCTAATGTACCAGTAATTCAAACTCAAATAGCCAGTCACATAAATGAGCAGAATAAAAGTAGAAGTCAAGCCTTTTAGGAACTAGAATTTTTTAGAAAGTGTTCCTGTTTAACTGATTACAGATTTAGGCTAAAAAATGCCTCCTGGTGTAAGTAATCTAAACTCAGACTAACAAATCACAATAGGGCCGGACGCAGTGGCTCATGCCTGCAATCCCAGCACTTTGGGAGGCCGAGGCGGGTGGATCATGAGGTCAGGAGTTCAAGACCAGCCTGGCCAAGATGGTGAAACCCAGTCTCTACTAAAAGTACAAAAATTACAGCGCGCCTGTAATCCCAGCTACTCGGGAGGCTGAGGCAGGAGAATCGCTTGAACCCGGGGGGCAGAGGTTGCAGTGAGCTGAGATCGCGCCACTGCACTCCAGCCTGGGTGACAGAGCAAGACTCCATCTCAAAAAAAAAAAAAAAATCACGATAGGAAGAAAATGTAAGAAAAGAATGTTCAGTAAGGTGTATACCATGTTTTTTATATAAAGCTGTATAGAGTGGTCCACTTTAAACATATCTCTAGCAGACATCACAGAGCCATAAATCTTATGTCCCTAAGCAAATCAAAATTATTTTTTGTGTGTGAATGAAACAGGGTTTGTGCCTTTGTCTCAAGATTTGGGAAGAACAATACATTTTCTTGCCAGTTCGAAATTTTATTTTTTTAATTTTACACAGCTCTACAGAGACAATTTGGTCTTAGAACCTTGCACCTTCATAGAAAAATTTCAAATTCTTGGCTAAGATATTAAAATATATGTTTTCTGAATATTTTCAATGAGCTAAAAACATTTTTAAAATATGCAATATTTTATAAGAAATACATAATTTTTTAATTTATATAATCAAAACAGTACCAGAGCCTTTAACAGCCTTTGTTAAAGAATGGAGACTTTTTATACATCATTTACAAATATTTTAATTGGAAGAAAATCAGTTTGAAAGTCTTCAAATATTCATCTTAACCTACAGACTTAGAAGGGAAAAACTACCATGCATTATGTGCCAGATATTCTCCTAAGCGCTTTTACATATTTTATATCTTTTGACTTCAGATTTATTAATGCCACATTACAGAACACTATAGTTCAAAGAGTTTAAGTTATGTTCCCAACACCTCCAGACTAGTGATAGCTAAGTAAGAGACCTAAGTGCAGAAGGTGAAACTTGATCTGATTGTCATGTTGACTGTTCTGTACATTGTTCTAAGGGGGAAATGTAGGACAAGGTACAAAGTATTATAAGGCAAATATTGGGGCCCATTTCTCTCTAGAAAAAACAAAACAAGGCCAGGCGCAGTGGCTCACGCCTGTAATCCCAGCACTTTGGGAGGCCGAGGCGGGTGGATCACGAGGTCAGGAGATCGAGACCATCCTGGCTAACATGGTGAAACCCCATCTCTACTAAAAATACAAAAAAATTAGCCGGGTGTGGTGGCGGGCGCCTGTAGTCCCAGCTACTCAGGAGGCTGAGGCAGGAGAATGGCGGGAACCCAGAAGGCAGAGGTTGCAGTGAGCCGAGATTGTGCCACTGCACTCCAGCCTGGGCGACTGACCAAGACTCTGTCTCCAAAAAAAAAAGGAAGAAAAAAACAAAACAAAACAAAAGAAGGGAAAGGTTTAAAAATTTGGAAACATCAGTACTCAAGACAATAGAAAATAACAGTGTTGAATTCAGAAAATAGAAAAACACATATGATTCAAATTGATCTGGTCAATTATAAACCAACTAATACAGAAATCACAAAATAACAATCTTTGAAGCTAGAAAGACACCTAGTTTGCTCTTTCCTCTCTTAGGCATCCCCTTTTGCAAATGAAGCTACAAACTCTAGAGAGAATAAGTTATTCGTTCTTATGTAAAATAGGATAAGAATGGAAAAAAAAAAAAAGAAACCCACTAAGCATGCATGATCAGCAAGTCCAATCTGGATATACTGAATTTGGCAATAGTCAATGTAGTAAATGACCTGGGTAAACTGATCATTTTGTTAGATCTACTCAGTGTAAAGTGGGAATATTTACTTAGCCCCTAAAAGTGGTGTTCAGATAAACCAATTAAAATTTGCAAAATATCCTTCAAGAGTGGTAAGCATCGTTACTATTCAAATTCATACCAAATCTCACCTGTTCTGCATAGCTATATAAAGGTAAAATAGACACATTTCATGTTCTTCAACTATTTCCTCTTTCCAATCTACAACATCAGATCTTAGTGCTCTTTAATATTTTATCCAAATGACTTAAAGAATCAAAAGAGAAAAACAGATTCCTGGACTAACAACAGAGATGCAAACCCTAATGTTACCATTGAGGCTGAGATACGCTGCCAATATCTAAATTTTACATAAAAAGGAAGGGCTGCTTTGGAAAATTCTCATCCCATTTTCCCTAACTTCTGTGAAAACACAATGGATAGAGGAAAGAGAATGACATTTTTATTTCAGATGATCAAAGTTATTGAGAGCTTATACCAAGAGACACAGTATCTAATTAAATTATCACCAAAACCCTATGATTTTTTTTTTTTTTTTTTGAGATGGAGTTTCACTCTTGTTGACCAAGCTGGAATGCAATGGTGCGATCTCAGCTCACCGCAACCTCCATCTCCTGGGTTCAAGCGATTCTCCGGTCTCAGCCTCCCGAGTAGCTGGGATTACATGCATGTGCCACCATGCCCAGCTAATTTTTTTGTATTTTTCCTAGAGATGGGGTTTCTCCATGTTTGTCAGGTTGGTCTCGAACTCCCCACCTCAGATAATCCGCCCACCTCGGCCTCCAAAAGTGCTAGGATTACAGGCGTGAGCCACCGCGCCCGGCCATGATGATATTCTTATAACCCACAGTAGTTTAAGCAAATGAGGAAACTGTCACTTTGAGAGGTTATATAATGTTCCCAAGATCAAATAGCCTGAAAAAGTCATGACAACAGATTCAAATTCTTGCAGTCTAATTTCAAAAATAAGATTTTAACAACAAATGATATCTCCTATCCCTGACATATTTTATAAATACTCATCTAATGCTCATAAATAACAATTTATACTAACATAGCAGTTATATAAAAAAGACAAAAGAGGCCTGTGGTACTCCGGATGCAATATCTTCATCTTTTACATTAGGATATTGAGGTCAACCACCTCAATTAATAAAGTTATCTATCCAAGGTACTATCAGAAGTTAGTGGCCAGAGTGGGATCAGTACCCAGAATCTGTAACCTTATAGTTTTCCCTTCTATAATAGGCAGATCTGCATGCTTCTTGAAGAATTTTAATCATATTGGTAACCATCTGCAGGGTAAAGCTTAAAAACAGAAGAAAAAAAAAGGAAACGGAAAAAGGTAGGCAGGAAAAAGAAATTCAAAAAAAGGAAAGGAAAAGAAAAAAAGAAAAGTGAAATAAAAGAAAAAATGGGATATATGTTGTGATTATTAGAAAACTGTCTCAATCTTTTATGCTGCTTGTGTTGTTATTCCATATTTAAAAGACTATCATATGCCTATTGTATAGGTAAACATGCTAGGCAATGAATGGGCAATACAAGAGACACGAGCATTGTATTTGACTTCATTTAACCTACATGGCAATGAAAAGGAAAATTGTTGAAGTGTGGATGGTGACTGATTAAACTACCTTACATTGAAAAGATTATGAAACTATGGTATAATCCTCTAATTGATAGTGATATTGGTATTGGTATTACATTCCTCTAATACCAGTAGTAAAGGGAAGCATTCTTACAGAATACAAATAAGAATGACAACACAAATTCTCCTCTTCCTATGGCTGATTCACAAGGGAGAAAAAAAAATAATGCTACCACCAGATTATTTGTAATCCTTCTTCAAAAAAAAAAAGGAGCTAAGCTTGAAATGTCAAGTTTCCTATGTGTTTTAGTTAGATCTGGAGTCTCATTTATCTCATGAGAGACACAAATTAATTAGCTGTTTCCCTGAAGTACTACGGGGAGGCCAGTGGGCTAATGAAATGATAAACCAAGCACCTAGCACAGTCTCTAACAAATAGGTTGTTCCAAAACATGTTGAATAAAAAATAAATGAATGAGAGTAGCAGAGATTGCTACCTGTCCATTAAGGTCCACTTTCTCCCGTTTTCCAGGGCACTAAGCTGGACTATATTCCCCAGTCCCCTGTGCATGGCCAAAAAACGCAATGGGACTGACTTCTAACCAGTGTGAGTGGAAATAAGGTATAGCACAGCCAGGACTGTCCTCTCACAAGCTGCTATGGGTTCTTTCCCCCATCCTGAGGAATGGAATGGTGATGTCCAGAATTTGGGAAGGCCCATACTGAAACAGCAGTGCCTGCATCCCCGAATAACTGTGGATCAGAGGACTCTCTCCTTCCCCCGCACATGAAACCACCCAGGATTTTTATGAACTTGAGAAATAAATTCTATTTTGTTGAGCCAATGTATGTTGGGCCCATTTGTCGCATCTATTTCTCCTCCCCAAATTAATGAAATGGGTATTTATAGAACTCAAGCCTCAAACTACACTGTGGTACTTAGTTTATATTATTCCAAATATTGCAAGAGTCAGTAACGATGCCATCTCATACAGACAACTGAAAAAACCATGAGGTGACAACAACAGTTGTTAGCACTTGTCTTTCTTTTAATCCACTCTTTTGGAAAAATAAATCTTTACATTGGTATTTTATCTGCTTTTTAAAAATGCCTCATCCAGGAGTGTCCAATCTTTTGGCTTCCCTGGGTCGCACTGGACGAAGAGGAATTGTCTGGCGCCACACATAAAATACACTAACACTAACAATAACTGATGAGGTTAAAAAAAAATAATCACAAAAAAATCATGTTTTAAGAAAGTTTACAAATTTATACTGGGCTGCATTCAAAGCTATCCTTGGCCACATGCGGTCCACAGGTCACAGGTTGGACAAGCTTGCTTTATGCAAACATATGTTATAAATATTCCGGGTATCTTCAGTTTTACTGTCTCAGCTTCAGAGGAGCTCTCTCTCTCTCACAGCTGTGTTTTTTAAAAGAAACTCAAATCTTAAATTAGTGTGATACTGTGCAAAGACAATGAAACCTATTTGACCTTTCCTGTGAAGATACCAGATCTCTAGAGAGGAAAGCTTTCACAGGGCACAGCACAGAAGTAACACATCTCTTGGTGACTTAACAACCTGTGTGTGGGTGAGGAAGCTAGAGAAAATGACTGAGGATTGCAGGCATGGCCAGTCATTCTATTAATACTTTGTATAATGAAGCACTGCTGAAGATAGCACTCATATTAAAGAGAGTTCAATGCAACCCATTTGCTTCCTTCCTATTAGGGAGAGGAGCTACTGAAAACACTAATAATGCCATCATGTTCAACAACAACTGGATATGGTATCTAAAAACTTGGAATGAAAAGAGCTCTGTCATTTTCTTTTTTTTTTTTTTTTCCTTGAGATGGAATCTCGCTCTATCGCCAGGCTGCAGTGCAGTGGCGCAATCTCGGCTCACTGCAACCTCTGCCTCCCGGGTTCAAGTGATTCTCCTGCCTCAGCCTCCCAAGTAGCTGGGACTACAGGTGTGCTCCACTATGCCTGGCTAATTTTTGTATTTTTAGTAGAGACGGAGTTTCACCATGTTGGCCAGGATGGTCTCGATCTTTTGACTTCGTGATCCACCCGCCTCAGTCTCCCAAAGTGCTGGGATTACAGGCGTGAGCCACCGCGCCCTGCTGAGCTCTGTCATTTTCTTTTTGTGTTAATTCAGCTGGTGCCTTAACACTGTATAAGAACTGAGCATTGACAGATAATGAGTCAGTGCATGGTCAGCACACAACCAACATGAGAGAAGAAAGCAAATATCAAAAGTGGAAATAGCAGAGCATATTATATGTTAACCTGACCTTTTTTTTTTTTTTTTTAACATACAAGTGCCCAACTCCACAAAATTATACAGAAACAAACAGAACATGAAAATTGAGAACTGGGAAATCCTCAAGGTAGAAAGACCTAAAAACAGTGACAACTGCAACTGTGGACTGTGCTTAATGCATCAAAAACACTTATCTTCATCTCAAGAATCACCTAGTGATATAGAAATACTGATACTTCAAAGACCACTTCAAATATTACCGCCTCTGTGAATTCTTTCCTGACTGCTCCTGCCCAAAAGGGAAAAGTCATCCACCTTCTGTGCTCCCATAATTCTTGGTTCTTACCATAAAACACATCAACACCATCATCATCACCATTAACATTAATATTTATTGTGCACTTACTAGGAACGTTAAACAAGAAAGTGTTCTAATTTGGATCAGGGAATAATAATTATTATTCCATTTAATTAAATAGTTCGATAGAAACTGTTAAAGGAGAAGTGCAGCACAGCAAATCATTTTCTGCCTGATACATGGATTATGGGTGTCTTCAAATTTATAGTGGAGTCCCTCAACATAATCCTGGGGCTACATGACTTTACTCAGCAATTAGCACTCTATTGTTACCTTGTAACAGAATAGTAAGTGTTTATTTCATATTTTTTTTCTTTCACAAGCAGTAGGAAATAGCTTTCATGTAGGGTAGGGCACCCGTCTATGCTTCAATAAATGGCAAAGTCAGAGAAGAAAGAAAAATATATCAACCATTAAGCTGAAAGAGAACAGCAGAGGGTTTTCTCTTTTTTTTTTTCTTCTTTCAACTGATGTATGTCAGGCTGGTATAAAAGGGGCAAGTTGAACATCTGGACCAAAACCAAGGCATTTAACATTTTCAAGCAATTCAGAGGCATGGATGATTTATGATGTTATTCTTAGATTTTTACCATATGTCCTCTAACTTTATGAAATGTGGACAGGCACATAAACCCGGTAACACTTCATGATATAAAAATAGTGACTGAAGACTGATCAAGAAAAAAGAAAAGAAGAATCATTTTAGTTTAGAGATGTTCAGAATAGGGCAGGCCCCTGGGAAGATGAGTTGCTTTTTGCTCCAGCCACTGTGCCTTTCAGAAATTGGCAGGAGCTTTGTGTTTAGGCAATCACCTGCCTCCTCCATTGCCAGAGAAAGCAGAGTAGGATCTGTAACTTAACTGATGCACCCAGGCGGCCTTTTCTGCTAGAGAAGCTTAGGCTGTCATATTATGGAGTATTGAAAGTCCCTTAGAAAATAGGGCCACCGTAATATCTTTTCTATCTTCAAAATGACCCATCTCCTTCAGTTTTAGGGAGAAAAAGAAGAAAGAAAAAGAAAGAAATGAGAGGGAAATGTTGGGATGACTTGTGACATACCAAAGAAAATACAAACAGCATGACACTTTGGCAAAGCCAAAGTTTGTTTAGAAATCACTTCTCTAACATAACAGATACCCTCCGCAAGGCAAAATAATGCCTCAGATAATATCTGTAGGTAGCAATTTCTATTTTATGGCAAAGACATGCCATATATTTAGAGACACTAGAGACTGTCTACTGTCAACTTGTTGATTAATTTCAAAGTTAATATGCAATCATAAAACCTTTTTTGACTGAAGCAGATTTTTACAATGACTTTCTAAGATATCATATTGTCAGATGGACTTTTCATTTTTTTGAAGAGTATGACACAATGCGACAATAATCAGTGGATTGGGACTTTGCTAAAATAAGTAATAGGTTATGGTACAAAATGGTAAATTATATCTAAATATAGGTCTAACATTTTGGGAAAGTCATTCATCTTTTTCTCATTTATTTGATCACTATTTCAACCAGTGACACGTGATTAGCATTGCTAAGGGTGAAGAATGTGATCTTCATTTCATCATTAAATGAAAATTTAAACATTCATGTATATTTTCTGTATTTGTGATAGTTTTGGAATTCAATACTTTTTAATTTCCTCGTGGTCAGTGTGTTTAATGAATGGAATATAAATATTTTATTGCTTCCAATAATTATTTCTCATTAGAAGCATGGCCTTTTTTTCTTCTTTTTTTCAAACAAGCCTTGCCACATTAGTGAGGTCCATCAGGAATGCATGATGTCCCTACTTCACACATAGACAAGTGAACACCACCACTGGAGGTTTTTAGTTTATGTGAAAATGCAGAGGACTTCTGAGGACCTAGTCTGTGAAGTATACGGGGTAGTTACAGATCATACTCAAGCAATCTAATGAAATGGGTAACATTTTTAAGTTAAACTCTTAATATACACAGAGGATGTGACATCAAGGGGAAAGAACAACTCTTCTTTTTAGGTATTAGAGTTAAACTGCATGAAGAAGCATGGAGGGGAACTTCCTATAGAATGATTTTAAGGGAGCTGGGTAACCTTCCTTGCAGAGACAACCTGTAGTATCCAAAACTCTGTCTGGGATCCAGGGATAGGTCATTCTGTATTTTCCACACAAGCCAATTCATTCCACAATCTATGGACAGACAATGGTAAATAAATGTCCATGCATATCACCTTCTACGTGAGAAGCCCATTTCCTTTACTGAGTTAGATCAGCACTTGCATTACAAAAGAACCATCTTCTTTAGGGGTTCTAAAATAGAGCTGCTAAATATTCCTGCCATGTATCCCGGAGAACAAAAGTTCTCCTAATCCTAACAAAGAAATCATTATTATTGATTAAAATGTCATTTAAGTCAGAGATCAGGAACCCCCCAAAAAAGATGATTTTTGCTTTCTAAATTAACCATAAAAAGTTTAAACTGTAAGTGAAATGCCATTCCGTGCTGTTGCAATGAATTTCCAATAATTGCATCTACTTTGTACTGGCTCAAAAACATTGCTTTAATTAGGTTGACCTTTAAAGAGCCTTTCTAGAACTGAAATTCCTTAAAATGCTTCCACATACTGTATCTGCACAGTATCTATCTGTCCAAATATGACAATAGAAGCTTTAAAATTACAACTTAATATTTATTTTAGGCGCCGATGTTATTGATACTTCTGCCAAACATCAAGATCCTACTTAAAACCCATTAACAGATTTTAAATTTTAATACATGCTTGTACCAGAAGCATTTGCCTAATGCTGAAAACTAGATTCTTAGGTGGGGTGAAGAGTAGACAAAAACTGCAGCTTGCTTCGCAACATCAAGCAAACACTAACTCATGTATCCATTTAAAGAGTGTTTATAAAATAAGTGTGACATCCACACTTTCTAATTATTACCTTGGCTTTCAGCGTTCAAAAACAACACAGTTGTACGTACTCGATTCACGGCATTCCTGGGAAGTACAGAAAAGCAGTCCTCCCTTTTAGGGATGAGAAAAGAGGTGCAGGCAGAGTAATTATTTCATTAATCTCTAGGTCTTTAAACAGCCACTACCTCCTCCTGCCCAAGGAGTGCAACTGTGCTTAACCCACGTGGGGCCTACCTCACAGATTTTCTGAGGTTAACTAAAGAACAACAGTCATCACTGAATCTGTAATTACTGGATGAAACTTTGAGATTAATTGGTCTAACCCCAGTTTTCTTCCCTACCTTAAAAAGTTTTGGGAACCCCAGGGGGATTAGAAACAAAGCCCTTTTCAGGTCAATCTATTTATCTTATTTTATTATGATTTTTGAGACAGAGTCTTACTGTGTTGCCCAGGATGGGGTGCAGTGGTGAGATCTTGGCTCATTGCAACCTCAGCCTCCCAGGTTCAAGTGATTCTTGTGCCTCAGCCTCCCAAGTAACGGGACTACAGGTGCACGCCACCATGCCTGGCTAATTTTTGTATTTTTAGTAGAGATGGGATTTCACCATGTTGGCCAGGCTGGTCTCAAACTGGCCTCCAGTGATCCGCCCACCTCAGCCTCCCAAAGTGCCGAAATTATAGGTGTGAGCCACCACACCTGGCCTAAGTCAAACAATTTATTACAGCCCACCTACCACTAGATCCCACATCTTCTGACTCTCACTCAATTGGTTTTTCTACTGCCTCCTTCCTCTTTTCCTTTTCTAGAGCTGAAGAAATAAAAACATTCCTGTCAGGCTCTAAAAGCCAGCTAGCCAGCCCCAAAAGACAATGAATTTACTTGGAAACATTGCTTTCCTTTATAAACTCACATTTTTCAGAGGACATTAGGGATTGGAACCTGGTGTCAAATTTCAACTATGTCCCTGATTTATAGTTTTAGAACAATGTGTATACTTCCCATATGGACATAGACAGTCAGCTTGTAGCACTGAATGTGTCACATCCTATGGTAAACAAGGAAGAATACACAAATTAGAAACATATTTATATTTTATTGCCCTTTGGATTCTACATTCTATCACATATTCCTAGCCACGATGTTCATAAGTCTTTAAGTTTATCTGCTTTCAGCAAGCATTAAAAGCCATTTATGTCTCCTTTATAATACTGCTTCAATCTTTTAAGTTTTAAGCCTCTGAAGCATATGTCCTCAATAAAAATGAATAAATAAATAAATAGAGCTACTGCAAGTGCTTGTCATTACCCCCTCCCCAGGATGTAACAAAAGATTATTTTGAGAGTGATCACATTTATGCAACTTTCCTATTCTAAGCAATAACATAAGCCCTTATTACCAGAGCTTATATCATCATTTATATGAAAAATATGATGATTGTTTATTTAAATGAGATGAAATTGTTTCTATTTAAGCCAAACAGCACAAAGTAATCAGATGCTGGTTTTAACTCATCTACTGAAAATATATTTGTATACTTACAGAACTTGGCCAACTGCTGTATTTTAAACAGCACAACTACATGCGCTGATTATTTACCATGTTTCCCAATCACTGCCTGCCAGAGGAAATTAGTGAATAGAAATCACATCAGCTTCAATTTAGCTTTGAGTTTCTAACAGGTCTAGTGAGAATATTTTAACAGACAGGTAAATATTAAAATTATTCCAGAACCTTTTTCTTGATTCATTCATTCATTCAAAAATATATGTTACATGAAAAATAAGTGAAAGGCACTGGGGATATAATCCTGAACACGAATCTAGCGGAGGAACAAAAATTAAATAATAAAAGAAATACAAAAACAACCACTCATTCAACAAATGTTATACTGAGAACCTACTATGTACAAAGCACTATTATAAACATTTGAGTTACATCTTTGAACGATACGGACAAAATCGGGTGCTCTTTGAGATCATATTCCAAGATGCTGAGACAGACAGATGCAAGGATAAATGCTAGAGGAAAAAAGGAAAAAGTGAAGGGCAAAAGTTAGCCAGAGCATTGGGGTTGGGGTTTGTAATTTTAAATAGGGTGTTAAAGGTAAATTGTATTGAAAGGTGACAGATGAGCAAACTTTAAAAAGGCAGTAAGTACCTTGAATAAGTGCTACAAAAGAAAGAGTTGAATGGCACAGTGGCATGTATGAGCCACAAAAAGAATGCTAGTCTTTACTCCAAGTGCAGTGGGAACCTAACCTCAGGGGATATCAAGGTTAACTTAAATTTCTGGCTGGCTTGATGAACTATGTTAGAAGGAACCTCTGGGTATCAATCCATTCTCCCACAAATGCAGCATCTGGGATATATGATCAGCAACCATTCTACACATTCTCCCACTTCCATCTCAAATTATAGCCCAAAACAAGTAAAGACCTTCACATTGTAATTCTCACTCGATATAAACCTGAAATTATGAAATTGCCAAGCAATGCAAGAACTTTGCTATACTTAGTTTGGTGCTTTTAAATCACGCTTTTCAGGTGGAGGATAGTGAAACTTAACACTATCAATAGATTGATTGGGTCTTAAAAACTGCATGCCTAATCTTCCACCAAAAGAGGGAGGTGGGGGGATGCACCATGTAATTTGGAAAACTGGTATATATTCACCTTCTGGTTGATAGAAATTGGGATAAATCTCTAAAATTATATCATTTTTTGGATCTATAATAAAAATTCATCAATACTGGTTAACAATAAGTAACACATTCACTTACACAAAATATCAGAGGATACCTGTACTTGAAATTAGCACCATATTTAGAATAAGGGACTCATTCCATAAACTACAAACCACTTTTTCTGGTGAAAAATATGCAAATCATTTGAATCAAATTGTCTCATTCAGCAGCTGTCATTCCAATGTTGTCAGATCAAACAGGAACAAAATCAGTAGGGGGCAATTCATTACTCTGTCACCTCTCCCTCCTCTATCCATGCTCATTTCATTCTTTTGGATGTCATTATACTTGACTATGGTACTCTGGTACACTCTAACCCAGTTTTTTTGTAAATCATTTTCATGACCATTTTATGATTTCAGGAAAACCAAAGTATGACAGTTATAAAACATTTCTCTTCAACATAATATCATTACTGAGGTTTTTTTCATTTTAATGGATTCAGGCATACTACAGAATAGCTAACACTGGGCTTGTATTAAGTGCTTTCAAAGATATTAAATATCAGAGATAAATTTTGTGACATGGGGCCTTTAGATGTGGATAACTAAGCTCTCTGCTGGCCTCAGGCTGTGAATTCAGTTGTGTGTATTAAAGAGAGCAGAGAGAATGTGAAAGCAAAATAATATTTTTTCCCCAAATTTTGGAACTAAAAGTGGTGTCGGGACTCAGTTTACCAGGGCTGGGCACTGTGTTGGCAAGGCTGTGTTCCGGCACTATCAATGAGTTCAGAGGCTCTTTGGAAAATTAATGGTAAAAACAGAGTATCAATATGGACAATTGTGTATCAAAACGATGGTGACAGTATAAACAGGCCCAGACATTCTCAAGAGGGAAGTATCATTTTAGTTAGGAGAAATAATTAAAGCACTACTCTATCAGGGTGGATAAAAGAAAGGCAGCTGGTTCTAAATCAATGCAACTGTTACTATTTCTTTTATTTTTTTTAACTTTCTGACAAGTTTTGTAATTTCTACAATTAGATGCAATGCAGGGCTCTGCTTCAGAGAAGAACCTCGCGCATTCTTGAAGATGTAAATATATTTCCAATTTCCAAGCAGGAGGAAGGAAGCATCTGGTTTCTAAGAGAACCTGGATATTCTGCTGCATGGGCTCAAATCCTGATGATAAAGCCATTATGTGTGATGGGGGGCATCCTATTCTCCCTAAAATTAGGAACATTTGTGATTTCTGGCAACTTTCATAATTGCTGCAACCTCTTGCTAATCTTTGTACAGATGAGGCTTCCTTGGAGAGCCTCTTGCTCTTCATATCAATATCTGTCATTTAATACTTAGAAGAAATAATACAGACTGCAAAATAATAATGGCTATGATGTTTTAAAAATTGATACAAGACCAACGATAGTAATATGATTAGCACAGTGAGAGGGGAAAGTCCTACTCTCACCTGTTTTGTGAACAGGAGTTTAAAATGTTAGCTTTCCAAAACTCAAAAACAGGGACAATGCCTAGGTCTTATAACCAATAAAAATCACAATTTTGGGGCCAGGTGTGGTGGCTCACGCCTGTAATCCCAGCACTTTGGGAGGTTGAGGTGAGCAGATCACGAGGTCAGGAGTTCGAGACCAGCCTGGCCAACATGGTTAAACTGTGTCTCTACTAAAAATAGAAAAAAATAGCCGGGCATGGTGGCAGGTGCCTGTAATCCCAGCTACTCGGGAGCTGAGGCAGGAGAATCACTTGAACCTGGGAGGCGGAGGTTGCAGGGAGCCGAGATCTTGCCACTGCACTCCAACCTGGGCAACAGAGTGAGACTCCATCTCAAAAAAACAATCACAATTTTTATGGACATGTTTCTGTGCTTTAGTCTTAGGATGAGCTCAACACACAATGAAAGTTTAATTCACCATCCAATTTTACGTTATCATTTCCCTCTTCACTTCTTTATAATGCTTGAGATGTGGCTGTAAGTTAACCAGAGAAGAAAACTTATTTTCTTGCTTTGTAGTCATAACCATACACTTGAACACTGCAATAATGATCTCCTAATGCAGTCAGAGATTTTATAGTCTTGCACTTCTGTTCAGTTTTTTTTTATTATTTAAGAAAATGTGAAGGGTACGGTTTATTCATATTTTTATCTCAAATACCATCCCTAATAGGTATTCACAGATCTGAGAGAATAGACTCAATCTGATTTAGAAATGCTTTGGAATTAGTAGTCTATTAACCTCGATAAATTTGTGGGGTGTCAAAATAAATAGCAAGAGAACTTGCACATAGGATAGGTAAAGAAAGGCAGGTTCAAGTGAAAGATGGGTTTTGAGTCCAATTGACCTACGTAAATGGCTAGACACAGCCACATATAAACTCAGACTAACTAAAACACAGATCAAACAGAAGCCTCGAAATGAGAGGTTAAAACAAAAAAAGAGGCCAGGCTCTGTGGCTCACGCCTGTAATCCCAGCACTTTGGGAGGCCGAGGCGGGCGGATCATGAGGTCAGGAGATCGAGACCATCCTGGCTAACATGGTGAAACCCCGTCTCTATTAAAAATACAAAAAAATTAGCTGGGCGTGGTGGCGGGCCCTGTAGTCCCAGCTACTCGGGAGGCTGAGGCAGGAGAATGGCATGAACCCAGGAGGCAGAGCTTGCAGTGAGCCGAGATCGCGCCACTGCACTCCAGCCTGGGCGACAGAGCGACACTCCACCTCAAAAAAAAAAAAAAAAAAAAAGAAGTTTTCTAGCTGTATTTGGATAAAGTGCTGAATTGTAAAGCTATAGTGAACCACTGAGAAGGTTCATGCTTAAATAAATGTAGAGGTAAGCTCAAGAGAAAAATAATAGTACTTACGGATCCTGAGGCCAATCTAATGACACTCAGTAGGGCCAAATGGTTAAAGGCTGAAATAGTCCGAACGTTGTTAGGGGTTACAGAGAAAAAAAAGTTTCAATGGATTCTCTCCCTGTGTTAAAAAGATGCTAGGTGCAATGGCTCACGCCTGTAATCCCAGCACTTTGGGAGGCCCAGGCAGGTGGATTGCCTGAGGTCAGGAGTTCGAGACCAGCCTGGTCAACATGGTGAAACCCCTGTCTCTACTAAAATTACAAAAATTAGCCGGGTGTGGTGGTATGTACCTTGAATCCAGGAGGAGGAGGTTGCAGTGAGCTGAGATTGTGCCATTGCACTCTAGCCTGGGCAACAAGAGCAAAACTCTGTCTCAAAAAATAAAAATAAAAAAAAGACTCATCTCAAAGCCAAGTGACATTTTTCCATCAGTAGAAAGATATTCTAACTTCACTTATCCACTGTACACCGTAACTATAATTAAGATTTTCGTATTTTCAAGGGTGGTTTGTGTTTTTCGTTTCATGTAAATAATCCAAAAATCTGATTGGGGAGTGGGCAGTTTAATCTTACAAATACAGCACTAGTAATTTGCCTTTGTATTTTTAAAATAAAATCTGGAAAAGCAACTTATATATATTGCAAGTCTCATTTGATAAGCTTTTCTCAAGAATAATAAATAGTTCACTTTTAGAGGTCCAGCATTTTTTTCTTCTGTAGATTAGTGTTTTTTCTGTAATTTTGTGTAGTTTATTCATTTTGTTGTTTATGCTAGAAACTGCTTTTTATTATATACCATTTCTGTACTCATACACACACATACACACACCACAGAGAGAGAACTGCACAATAAATATTAGAAAATGAAGGTTCAATATAGGGAGATTCAAGAGACCACATATATTAAATCAGAGGATCATCCCACAAAGTACATATATCCTTAATATTTTGGGTTTCTACACACTGTAACTAAGCATGAATATTTTTAGTTAAAATTGTTAGAGTGCAACATATTAAACGTGGTATTCTTTTAGCTCTTAAAAGTTATGTGAACATAGTCAATAAGATAATGCTTACAATAAAATCTCTGAAAGAAATGGACTTTGAATCCAAGGTTTGGTAGATTTTTTTCCACTCCCTTTTATTTATTTATTTATTATTATTATTACTATTATTATTTTTTTTTTTTTGAGACAGAGTCTCGCTTTGTCACCCAGGCTGGAGCGCAGTGGTGCAATCTCGGCTCACTGCAAGCTCCGCCTCCCGGGTTCAAGTGATTCTCCTGCCTCAGTTTCCCGAGTAGCTGGGACTACAGGCGCCCGCCACCATGCCTGGCTAATTTTTTGTATTTTTAGTGGAGACAGGGTTTCACCATGTTAGCCAGGATGGTCTCGATCTCCTGACCTCATGATCCGCCCACCTCGGCCTCCCAAAGTGCTGGGATTACAGGTGTGAGCCACTGCGTCCAGCCTTATTTTTTAACAAAGAGGAAAATTGTAATTAGAAAAGTATTATCATGAATGAAATGGGCATAAGTTTTTAATCAGAATCCCAGAATTTAGGTCCTGATGTTTAAAATTTTGTGGATGACTTATAAAAAGACTTTACTTATATGAAATTGACAACATTATTTGATGAATTTAGTTTCCTGGATTCTCAGTTAATTAAAACGTGAAAATGTACTTTTTTCTACCTGTATAAATTCACTTTTTGGAAACTGAAATAACCAAGAAATGAAGAGGCTTTCCAAACATTGATAGGCTGCCAGTAGAGAAAGTAGTATAATTGAGAGCTAAGGTTCAAAGAACAAGCTGAAAATATCATGTAATAAAATTACCCAAATTCATTATGGAGTTGCCATGTTGGGTATGGATAAAATATTGTATTGTAACTTCCTCACCCCCAAAGGATAAATAAATGCTTTGAAAAATGTCTACAATGCAAAGTTAAATTGCTCCACTGTTAATATAATTTTGTAGACTAGGAAAACCGTATTTGAGGCAGAACCGAAAACAAAAATAAAACATTTTACCCTCTTTTCATCAAACCCAACATAGACAGACTTCTGTGTTTTGTGTTTACGTTTTGTTTTTTCCTAGCATTGAAATAGGTCACTGTTTTTAAACTCAGCACTATATGTGGATGACTTTTGACCTGTATTTAGGGACAACATGGTATATATATATTTTTTTATTTAAACTCAAGAATCACACTGAGAATTGCAAGATATTCACACAAAAGAGGCAGATGGCAACTTGGAGAAGGGAATCTCACATCTCATCTCAGCCTCACTTTGGCAAGAAGCATCACCAGCAGAACGTAAGATAGAAATATATGTACATTCTATTGTCTCTTTCTCCCACTTTTTCTCTCTTTGCATTTCCCCCAATTCCTTGTTCCTTTATTATTAACTGTGTAGAACAGAGTTTGAAAAGATAAATTTGTGTTCAATGTAATTCAACATCATTAAGATTAATTTGACTGGGCCTGGAAAGTAATGGGAAACATGTTCATTCAGAAATTAGAAAGTCAAGTTGAGGACAAATCATGAAGCATGCTGAATGTCAAGATCAAACTCATTACTCCAGAGAATGGGGCTGACTTTTGCCCACATGAGGGACCAAGAGGAGCTGTGTTTCAGGCAGGTTAAACGTAGGAACTACGCAGGGAGTGCAGATGAAAGAAACTGTCAGGCTGAACCAAGTAAGGTAACTTGGCATTGAGGAGAAGAAAAGAGATCCTGGATACATTATTACCTGTACTCGTTACAAGGGCTTCAAATCACATTACAGTCTTTTCTGTCATCATAAAAAAAAAATTAAACCAAAGAACAACCATAGGAGTTTCCAAAATTGAAAATTTAGAAACGTACTTAAGTTACCAGGTGAAATACACACGAAATATCAAGTATTGTATTGTAACTTCCTTATCCCCAACGGATAAATAAATGCTTTGAAAAATGTCTCCAATACAAAGCCAAATCGCACTATTATTAATATTATCTTGTGGACTATGAAAACAGCATATTTCAGAGAGAACAAAAAGTAAAATAAAGAAATGACAAGACTTGATATTGTCATGGCAATGGCCTAGATTCACCATAGAGAGGTGTCTCTTTTTAACAATAGAATGTTTTCCCTTAACTTTGTTGGAATCACTAACAAGTGCTTTCAATTACCAGGAAACTAGATTCATTGGGCCACATTTGATATAATTTTTTTCCTTTTACTTGTAATTTCCCAACTCAGTGCAATAAAGTATCCATTGACTTTATTTGCTTCATGCGCAAGGCCTGCACTATAACTATTTAACTGTTCTCCGGGGACTCAACTAGATTAAAAGAGATCTAGAATGGCTCTATTGTCAACAAATGCCAGAAGGTTCTTTTGAAATGATCTAACCTCAGCTAACATTTGAGAGGTTTTTTAAAGGAAATTCTATTGTCAACACTTCCAAAGATTCCAGTAGGACCCCTTTCTCCCTGCTGTGCCAACCCTTAGGGGTCCTTGGAAATAGAAAGATTAACAACAAAATAGAATAAAAACAGCAAGGGCAGCAACTATGATGATGACTATGTTGGAACTTTCCAATTTAATGAATTTCTATCTAATACTCTGCTAGGCACCTTATAAATATCGAGACAACAACTCTGAGATAAATATTATTTCCATTTAATAAAAAATGTCTCAGCGAATCAGAGGGTTAAAGTTGTACTGCCAGCTGGTTTCAGCAGTAGAGTTCAAATCTAGCACTGTATGATTTCCAAAGTTAATTTAATTGAAATATACCACGTTGCCCACCCCCAAACCAAGCCCCCAACTAGACAAGGTTAAGGAGTCATATTGAAATATTATAGCACTATATCCAGGCAAAGCTCTAGCTCTCAGATGGGTGAAACATAAAGTTGCCTAGTCTGTTATAAATATTCTATTCTCCAATGATTGTTAAGAAGAGATCATATAACTGGAAATATGCAATAGGCATTATTTATTTTCTATTTGTAGGAAATCACCTACATTAAAGCTATAGATTATATGTTACCTTACTATTTATTGTTTCAGTCTTTGGCAGAATTACTACAGTCCATGCTTTATGAAGCTTGCTATCAATACCACCTTGAAGATTACTTTAAATTATACAGAAAGCCACTTTGAAGAGGATGCTGACCAGTTATTCTCTATCTTCGTGAAAGTCTATAAAAGGAGGAAAGATGTTAGACTTTGGTAATTTTTGTAGACAGTATCAGAGTGCAGTGAAAAGAAAAGAGTTTCCAGAGTCAGGTAAATCTGGATCTAAACTGCAGCTCCCAGGAATTACTAACTGAGACACCCTAGATAGAGATTCTACACATATAAAATATGTGAATAATAATGTCTACCTCACATGGTTGTTATATAGCTTAAAAATGAGACATATAAATGACCTAGCTCCTCCATGTTGCAGAGAGAAAAGTTGCAGTCTTGGGAGTCAGAAAGATTAGTTCTAACAGCATGTTTACCAATTACTAATTGTAGTCTTAACCTACTAGGGCATTTTAGAACTTCTGAGACCTGGTTTTCTAATCTTTATGAAAAACAAAACACCTGCTTTAGAGGAAGAAGAGAGGTGACAGGCTTAGCCTAGTCCTAGCACTTGGTAAACAACCAATGAATGTTACTTCCCTCCCATTACATAGGAGACATTTGAAAAATACTAGTTTATTTTCTTTAGTAACACTGAAAAATATTTTACCACAAGGTGCTAAAAACATGGCTTACTAATGGAGAGGTGCAGTATGAAGATACTTTGACATTTTACCACATAAGAGAATCAGCCAGGCTTTGACTGGTTCAGATATAGATACCTACAATAATTCAATCCAATTAATGGATCATAAGATCCTCCTGTAGAAACCTGGAACATTGTCTCAGCAGATACATGAAAAATAAGAAAATATAAAGAAAAAGGAAAAAAAACAGTCTGTAATGTTCTTCAATTGCTTTATTTAGGCTTTATGTGAGAATCTTATAATAGTTGTTCTCCCTAAAAGTCTTCCCCTGTTTTCATTATTTATGTATGTATTGACTGATTGATTGTTTTTTGGGAGAGAGCAGTTTTATTAACATCACAGCTTCCCTTTTTCTCTTTCCCATCCAAGCACCCAGGTCTAGGGTCCTTGGTCAGTTCAGAGGTTAAAGCTGGAGGCCACTGGAGCTGTCAGCTCCCAAGTAAGTGAATGTGCAGGTCATTTACGGATTGTTCACCCAGCTTCTCATCATTGATCTCAAGTTGGTATCCATCTCCTAGGCCCTCAGCCCTTGCTATCTTCTTACACACAAGGAGTAGGTGTCCAAGAAGCTGCTGTCTTCTTCTTCAGCCTGGTTAATCCGAGGAATGGGCTTCTTAGGAATGACCAGAAAGTGCACAGGAGCCTATGGAGCCACCTCAGGGAACACAAGACACTGCTAGTCCTCATATAGGATGTAGGCTGGGAGGCGATGGTCCAGGATCCCACAGAAGATGGTTGGGGCTACACCCCCAGGAATTGCCCGCTGGGCCTTGGTCATTTCATTCCCACCAGTCACACCTACAGCTCCTCAGATGTGTGCCGCGCAGCCCTGGGGCCGCCATGGCTCTGCAGAGGGCACAACCCAGCTGCCAGCACCACGGCCACCACCATCTTGCCAGAGCTGGGATAAACTCCTTCTCTTGTTGTTAGAATAAAGTTAGAAATCCTTTACATGGAATATAGGGACCCCTGATAGATCTGGGCCCTGCCTCATGCTCAAGCCACTCTCCTTAACTGCTGCACTTAGTCATACTTGGTTCCTTACAGTTTTTTGAATGCACCAAGTTCATGCCTATGCTGGTCCCACTCCCTGGAATGCTTAATCAACCTGGTCAACTCTTACACCTCCTTTTTTCTACTTAAATGGAACTTTTCCTAGACCCCTCCAACTCAGGTCTTTCTATAGTTTCTGTGTTTCTGCTGACCATAAATCATGTATCTATATTAAAATTTTAATATGTATTTAAGTAATTATTTGTTTCACATCTGTCTCAGATCCTGTGGAATTAGAGAGCTAATGAGAACAATGTGTCTATCCTGCTCCCTCACAGATTCGCAGGGCCTATCAATAAGCTCACTGCTCAATGTCTACACACTGAATGAAGTCACTAATGCTACGGCCACACAATAGTACAAGAGAAGTTATTTCTTCAGCTTTTTTAGGTAGAAAATATTTTTATTTTATAAAAGTAAAATTTTTTTATAGCAGCAGAACATGTAATTTCCAGCCTAATAACTCAGCTCTTATTCCAATACAGTTGGATAAACACATTAGGTGATCAATTTCTCCTTTTTAGTGTGGGCTGAATGTATGAGCTAACAATGCCAAAGTCACAGAATGACCCCAGGGTATAGTACAGAGCAGGGTTTCTCAACCTTGACACTTGACATCTTTGGCCAGATGATTCTTTCTTGTACAGGCCATCTTCTGCATTGTGGGATGCTTAGCAGGATACCTGGCAGCTACCCACTGGTTACAAAATAGCACCTATCCTCCAGTGTTGACAACTAAAAATGTCTCCAGACACTACCAAGTATCTCCTGAGGGACAAAATTGCCCCTGGTTGAAAAGCACTGAGTTAGAACAACTGTATTAATACAAATATTCCTTGTGCTCAGTGAGTTGCAAACCAAGGTGGGTGAGGTTAATACAGGTACACACGTTAACTTATGTTCTAGGAAGGAGATACAGAGAAAATGCTATTAAGATTAAAGAAGAATCTCTCCTCCTTTAAGAATTGAGCATCTCATCATGTATTGTCTAATACAATTTATATCATGACCATGATACAAGTCACTTCCTTACTTACTTTATGAACTGCTTAAGAAAAGCAACAATACATTGTGCAATACCCACAAAAGAGCCACAGTGAACATTTATAACAATCAGTATTCTGACTCATTACGCTAGAGGAAATCCTGAACCCCACACCACTCTTTCAGACAGGTAAATGATGAGCATTTACAAATTTTTTAAATCCCAGTGATATGGTAAGGATTTGTGTCCCCACCTAAATCTCATCTTGAATTGTAATCCCCATAATCCCCATGTGTCATGGGAGAGACCAGGTGAAGGTAGCTGAATCATGGGGGTGGTTTTCCCCATGCTGTTCTCCGGATAGTGAGAGAGTTCTCACGAGATCTAATGGTTTTATAAGGGGCTCTTCCCCCTTTACTTGGGAATTCTCCTTCCTGCTTCCCTGTGAAGAAGGTTCCTTGCTTCCCCTTAGCCTACCTGCATGATTTTAAGTTTCCTGAGGCCTCCCCAGCCATGTTGAACTGTGAGTTAATTAAGCCTCTTTCCTTTATAAATTACCCAGTCTCGGGAAGTTCTTTATAGCAGCATGAAAATGGACTAATACAGCCAGTTTTCAGTATTATGCAATATTGTGTTCATATTTCATTGGGCAAACATATTATAGAAGACTGAAATACGGACAAAATTATATTTTTTCAGTATTTCCAGTTCACTGAAAGATGAAATAGAATTGTTTAAGGGGTGGGGGGAGCAAAAGGAAAACCCTAAGGATTCCAGAAACATTTTTAAACTGAACAGTAAAATATTTTTTTTTACTGCTAAAAATAAGGGAATAAAAATTAATCATTAATTTATGCTCAAACTGACCTTCTGTTTAGAAGTTCTCAAACAGAATAGATTTCTCTTGCAATCTCCTACTCTTTACCATCCTGTTCCAATGTCACCTCTCCTGTGACATTTTCCATTTACTTCATGCTTCAAAATAACACAGGTCTAATCACAATAAATAGTCATAATCTGTTCATATGACAGAAAATATGTGAAAGTGCTTATGAGAAGATCTGGCAGATAATGCCTGGTAGTTTTTTCCTTCTAAGTCTGTAGATTAAGACGAATAATCTGTTCATCTGGTTTTCACTCTGCTTTGACTACTACTTCCTTTGAAACAAGGTTGTGCTTAACAGTATACTGCACAATACTTAGAATTTGGTAGAAACTCCAAAATATCTGTTCAGCAAGTGAAGGAATTAGTGAATAAACAATCATATATACGGCCAGGTGCCGTGGCTCTCGACCCTAATCCCAGCACTTTGGGAGGCCGAGGCGGGTGGATCACGAGGTCAGGAGATAGAGACCTTCCTGGCTAAGACGATGAAACCCTGTCTCTACTAAAAATACAAAAAATTAGCAGGGCGTGGTGGTGGGCGCCTGTAGTCCCAACTACTCTGGAGGCTGAGTCAGGAGAATGGCGTGAATTCGGGAGGCGGGGCTTGCAGTGAGCCTAGATCCTGCCACTGCACTCCAGCCTGGGCGACAGAGCGAGATTCTGTCTCAAAAACAAAACAAAACAAAATCATATATACATGATTTCAGTTAAGCACATGCTAGTTTGGATTTGACTCAGTCTTAAGGTAGAAAATGATTTGTTTGAAATCATACCAATAAAAATCCCTCCATGTTTATGTAACTTCTATCAGAAACTACAATTGTTTATAACAGATACAAGACCAATTCCAGATAGGAACTCCTAAGTGAACACTGGAGTATTATACACTATATATATAATGTATGTTGTACATTATACGTTGTAATAATTACATAGCTGTATGCGGTTCTCTCCAATCAGAAAATAAGCCCATCTGTAAAAACTAAGTTGACTCTACTGTAGACTCACATCCAGCTAATTAAATGGTGCAGATGTATCTTTGGGGCATCGAATCTTACAAAGTTACCATTTTATCATATGAGAGGGCTGTCACAGGTTGATTAAAATCTGCAAATAAATATTTACAATACTTCATTTGGAGAAGACAATTGTTTTACTTGGATGAGGCGAAAAGGCTCAGAATGATTAAAATATTTGATATAACTATGACATATTTATAAATCTACCAGTAGCACCTAACCACAACTGGAGGCCAGGAAAAAGTACACTCTGCAGAGGCTCACGTAATTGTGAGAGAGAAAACCTCATTCTCCTGCATACACAGCCTGCACCGGACTAGCCATATTTCTTCATTCATGACATCCTCTGGTATTTTATAAAAGGAACTTAGTCTCCTTGATCAAGTAACTATATTGGAATAAAAAATAATTTCTACAAAACTCCAGCATAGTAGTTCATTATATATAACCAATAAATTGACATTAATAATACCGTTTTAGCTGCATGATGAAAAATGACTATGCACTTTAGTACTGATTTGTGTTGCCATTATTTGCCATTAATTCTCACTTATACCTGCTAATAGGAAAAGCAATGGTGTGGGGAATATGAAATAGCAGATCATCTAAAATCATTTTTAATTGGTTCTGGAAAGCATGTCCTCCTTATTTCTCCCTCAGCAAGTTTACACTATTAATCGTTCAGTTTTGATTACAATTAAAACTTATTCCAGTCACCAAGAGCATTCTAGATGCCAGAGGTAAGTAAAGAGAATTATCATTTTGCTATCGCTTAATCCTAAATATATTAAATGCTTCAGGAAATAAGAAAAGAATATTTGCTGAGTGCTTCCTATGCCAAGCACTGGTTAAGTGCTTTTAAATATGCTGTCATTTCATCCATATTATCCTGCGAGGTAGGTGTTACTGTCTGCATGTTGTAGTTGCAAAAACGGAGGCTCGAAATGGAAAGCTTACTCAAGGTCACAGAAACTACCAAAACATTCCTCAAACTGTTAAGTGGACTGTGATATACATCTTAAATAGATAGAAATATTGTATCCTTTTTTTGTCAAGTATCCTACAGATAAGGCTAGAAGAAATTGTTAGAAATCAAAAGAAATGATTTTGCTGCAGTTGACTTCCCCTCGTCCACACTAAGTAAAATGTCACATGGGGTACACAGGTGTTCCCAATCCACTGATGCTGCTACATACGGTTTATAAAACGAAACGATAAGTGTAGAATTCACATATTACATAAAAGACAGTAGCTGGAGTTATTTTAAAAACTTCTAAATGAAATAGGATGTATTCTGTAGAGTATTATTTTGGAAATTCATTGAGTACCCCAGTATTTAAATTTACAGGCATTAAAGCCTGATACCAAATACATACAGGATTAAGAAGATGATAGCAATTTATAGCAATTAATCAAAGCTAAATTACGTGTTGCAGGATCATATAATTGGAATTGGACACTACTTATTTTTGCATTGAGAAATGACACAGACTGCTCACTGGAAAGGTCCTTAATAAATCTAAGTTTTATTCTCATCAGTCTCCTTTAGCCCAAGTTACTCATCTTGTTGCTGAAAATATACTCTCAGCTGTCAAAATTTTAGTATCAATCAACAATCTCTCTGCAGCCTGGATTTTGCTTTGCAAAAGCTTGGCTGGAAAATAGATAAATCTGTTTCTGTGTATGTTTATGTTTACAATACCTACTAGAGCTGAAAACTAGACAGCGATAGTGAATTAAGGCTACGTATGCAGTGATTTTCAGTAAAGTGAACAAAACAGCATGGAATCGACATAATAAATATTAGTCCCTTAAGTTGGTATAACAGAATCACCAGAATCTAGCTTTTAATTCCAACACTGTTACAAACTATATTGTCCTTAAGCAAGTAACCCACCTAAACTGAAGTTCATTTTGTTCAGGTCTGAAATAAGAAGGTAGACTATTAATTTCTATTCTGAAAAGTACAGTGATTCTGGATATGAAAACAGTATCTTAACGTCATTGCTACTTAAGTACGGTTTGTGGGTCACCAGCATCAGGATCACCTAGGTCTTGGTTAGAAATGCAAAATCTCAGGTACCATACAGGCTTCCTAGGGCAGAATCTGCATTTGTAACAGGATTCCTAAGTGGTCTGTAAGCGCTTTTAAGTTTGAGAAGTACTGGTCTAGTTATCAAGTTGTAATAATAAACAACACCATACCATCTAATCTGCATAAATCTTATTGTGTTGACAATCCTGGAATTTCTAGTAAAAATGTCTAGTGCTAGTCTTTAACAGTATCTAAATGTCTCTTATAAAAATTTATTCTTAGTTAAGAAGCTAGATATTCCAAAGAAGGCCAAAGCCAAAGACAGCATCTATTCCCTTATCCCTCCTTTTTTAAGCTGTAAAGCACTTTGCCTGTAATAAGTTCCTGACCAGAGCTGAAAAAAGACAGCAACTGTGTCAGAGGTGTTTGAACAAGAGCAACTCCATCTTGAATAGGGGCTGGGTAAAATAAGGCTAAGATCTACTGGGCTGCATTCCCAGGAGGTTGGGCATTCTTAGTCACAGGATGAGATAGGAGGTTGGCATAAGATACAGGTCAGAAAGACTTTGCTGATAAAACAGGTTGAAGTAAAGAAGCTGGCTGAAATCCACCAAAACCAAGATAGTGAAGAGAGTGACCTCTGGTTGTCCTCACTGCTCATTATACGCTAATTATAAACCATTAACATACTAAAAGACACTCCCACCAGCGCCATGACAGTTTACAGATGCCATGGCATCAGGAAGTTACCCTATACGGTCTAAAAAGGGGAGGAACTCTCAGTTCCAGGAATTGCCCATCCCTTTACTGGAAAACTCATGAATAATCCACCCCTTGTTTAAAATATAATCAAGAAATAACCATAAAAATGGGAACCCAGCTACACATGCCACTGCTCTGCCTATGGAGTAGCCATTCTCTTATTCCTTTACTTTCTTAATAAAATTGCTTTCACTTTATGGACTCTTCTCGAATTCATTCTTATGTGAGATCCAAGAACTCTCTCTTAGGGTCTTGATTGGGACCCCTTTCCAGTAACAACTGTTCTCCCCACCAATAGCTAGAAATGACGTAAGCAACAGGAAGTGGAAACACCAATACCTGTATTGGATTCTCTTTGATACAAGATTAGCAGTCAGGAAACACTGAGCCAATCAAGGTAAAAAGCACCCAGGCAACAACTGAGGGGAGGTCTGGAAGGCAGGAAGGAAGTGGCTTCCCGGTGTTGTTATATACTAACCAGGGATAAACCCTGCCCCTGCTACAATTTGAATTAGATTACAATTGAGCATTGATGGCAATTTTCTGAATGTATTTTAAAAATCTTTGGGTTCTCTGCCAAGAATGCAACTCTTTATCTTAGGAGGTCCTGGTTTTTCCTTGTACTAAAAACTGTTTGGAGCAGGAGATTTTTCTCACTGTGGAATCTCTGGTTAGGATACAGAGACCCAATCCAGTGGGTCATGTTAGTCTAGAGCTAGGATGGCCAGTATCGACTGAATACATACTAAGGTAGAAAGAAGAAACTGCAAAGATGAAAGAAAATACCTTCAGGGGTTGGAGGAGGGCGCAGGAGGGGATTGGGGAAGAAGAGAGAATGCTAAGTGCCACAGGGTCCCTGAAATAGGTCCCAGAAATACAGAAAGGTAACCTTTGCTCCTGACCTGAACAAAGCTGTACTTCGTAGCTGTAAGTTCTATGAGATTCCCTGTATCCTTCAGGTAAACTAAATTCTTGTTTGGACTAAATTAAGAGGGTTTCTGTTTCTGACAACTGAGATTTCTTGGCCAAGACATTGATCAAATGTGTGCAATGACATTATATTTATGCTCCATATTTTTACACAGACCAAAAGTTCCTTGAGATCAACATTGTAATTTTAGCTCATTGATTGACTCGCTAGGTGATCTTGAGCAAAATATCTCTAGTTCTTTACTATTCTGTATTACTGTCCTTAAACACGAACAAAATTCTATCACTATGCTTTGACACAGGTCAGAAGTTAGGAGAAATGCTGAAGCTACTTGAGAAATAGGCATACTGCGCATAATTCAAGGATGTTACTAAGCAGATGCTAGCTTGGGGGCATTCACAGCAGTTCTGGCAACTTTAAATAGCTAATACAGCTTCTGAGGCTGCCCAGCTACTGACACAACAGGGCTTATCCACTGGGAGGCTATGACTCACTTATTCTCCCAACTCCTGGATGTAATCTGACACAATGTATCCCCAAGACACTTCCTGCTGCTAATGCTCCTATTTCTGTCTTGGAGCCTTTTAATTTGTATTTTCCTCAAATGGTTTATGCCTGCTTGTCAAGTGGGATTCTCACCTCACTTAGAACTCCTGGCTGTTTGATAAGGAAGAGTAGGTGGCAGGGAGAGCTGGCATGCCACAGAAACCCGTGTAAGCAATCAACAGCTTACTTACAGCCAAGTGTGATTTTTTTTTTCTGCAATACCAGCTGAAAGCACTACAGCACAACTGCCTGCTGCTAATATCAGACTCTCATACACAAAGTCCCTATTAGTACTTCACTGCAAATAGTTGCTCTGGTATCACTCTGGTGGGTGCATTTCTTGAAGCCTACTTATGTAACTCCTTTCACTTAAGGTTCAAAATATTCAGGTTTTTCTTTTCTGATGGAGTCTCGCTCTTGCCACCCAGGCTGCAGTGCAGTGGTGCGATCTGGGCTCACGGTAACCTCCGCCTCCCGGGTTCAAGTGATTCTCCTGCCTCAGCCTCCTGAGTAGCTGGGATTACAGGCACCTGCCACCACACCTGGCTAATTTTTCCACTTTTAGTAGAGATGGGGTTTCGCCACATTGGCCAGCCTGGTATTGAACTCCTGACCTCAGGTGATCCGCCTGCCTCGGCCTCCCAAAGTGCTGGGATTACAGGCATGAGCCACCATGCCCAGCCCAAAATACAGTTCTTATTCAACTGTAGCAATATGGAAGTGATTATGAATTCTGACCCTGGAGTCAAGATAGAACTGAATGGGAATCCCATCTCTGCTACAGATTTACACTGAGATATTGGGAAGCTTATGTAACCACTCTGAACTTACGTGTTTTTAATCAACAAGATGAAGAGATGTTATGAGATGTTGGAACCTACTTTAGGTTACGTCATAAGAAAATGTGTTTATAAGGATTAGGAAAGTACCTAGTATTTCATATGTGCTCTAAATATATAAGCTGTCATCATTGTCATCAAGTGAGGACTCCTTTATGTTTTTTTTGTTTGTTTGTTTTGTTTTTGTTTTTTTTGAGACGGAGTCTCGCTCTGTCGCCCAGGCTGGAGTGCGGTGGCGCCATCTTGGCTCACTGCAAGCTCCGCCTCCCGGGTTCCCGCCATTCTCCTGCCTCAGCCTCCCGAGTAGCTGGGACCACAGGCGCCCGCCACCACACCCGGCTAATTTTGTTTTTGTGTTTTTAGTAGAGACGGTGTGTCCAGAATTGGTGGGTTCTTGGTCTCGCTGACTTCAAGAATGAAGCTGCAGACCCTCACGGTGAGTGTTACAGTTCTTAAAAGATGGTGTGTCCGGAGTTGTTCATTCCTCCCGTCCAGAGTTGCTCATTCCTCCCGGTGGGTTCGTGGTCTCGCTGGCCTCAGGAGTGAAACTGCAGACCTTCCCGGTGACTGTTACAGCTCTTAAGGACATAGCTCTTAAGGGCAGTGCAGACCCAAAGAGTGAGCAGCGGCAAGATTTATTGCAAAGAGCAAAAGAACAAAGCTTCCACAATGTGGAAGGGGACCAGACCCGGTTGCCACTGCAGGGATCGGGCAGCCTGCTTTTATTCCCTTATCTGACCCCACCCACATCCTGATGATTGGTCCATTTTATAGAGAGTTGATTGGTCTGTTTTGATAGGGTGCTGATTGGTGTGTTTACAATCCCTGAGCTAGACACAGAGTGCTGATTGGTGCATTTACAGTCCTCTAGCTAGACATAAAAGTTCTCCCAGTCCCCACCAGATATCCTAGATACACAGTGCTGATTGGTGCATCCACAAAACCCGAGCTAGACACAGTGCTGATTGGTACATATACAATCCTCCGGCTAGACATAAAAGTTCTCCCAGTCCCCATAGATTAGCTAGACACAGAGCACTGATTGGCACGTTTACAAACCTTGAGCTAGACAGAGTGCTGATTGGTGCATTCACAATCCTTTAGCTAGACACAAAAGTTCTCCAAGTCTCCACTAGATTAGCTAGACACAGAGCACTGATTGGTGCATTTACAAACCTTCAGCTAGACACAGAGTGCTGACTGGTGCATATACAATCCTCCAGCTAGACATAAAAGTTCTCCAAGTCCCCATCAAAAACTCAGCAGCCCAGCTGGCTTCGCCTAGTAGATCCCCTGCTGCCCACCAGTCCCGCACCGTGCACCTGCACTCCTCAGCCCTTGGGCGGTTGATGGGACTGGGTGCCACAGAGCAGGGGGTGGCACCTGTCGGAGAGGCTCCAGCCATGCCGGAGCCCACCGTGGGGGAGCTCGGGCTTGGCGGGCTGCAGGTCCTGAGCCCTGCACCAAGGGGAGGCAGCAGAGGCCCGGTGAGAATTTGAGCACAGCACTGGCGGGCTGGCACTGCTGGGGAACCTGGCATCCCCTCCGCCCGTTGGCCCAGGTGCTAAGCCTCTCGCTGCCAGGGGCTGGCTGTGCCGGCCTGCCACTCTGAGTGTGGGGCCCGTGGAGCCTGCACCTACCCGGAACTCCAGCTGGCCTGCGAGCGCTGCGCAGCCCTGGTTCCCACCCGAGCCTTTCCCTCCACACCTCCCCACAAGCAGAGGGAGCCGGTTCCGGCCTCGGCCAGCCCAGAGAGGGGCTCCCACAGTGCAGCGGCAGGCTGAAGTGTTCCTCAAGTGCGGCCAGAGTGGACGCCTTGGCCTGAGGAGGTGCCCACAGTGAGCGAGGGCTGCTAGCACATTGTCACCTCTCAACGGCGTTTCACGGTGTTAGCCAGGATGGTCTCAATCTCCTGACCTCATGATCCACCCACCTGGGCCTCCCAAAGTGCTGGGATTACAGGCATGAGCAACCGCACCAGACCTGTTTGTTTTTATTAGTATGAATTGATAAATCATAATTGTATACACTTATGAGTAAAATGTGATGTTTTGATATATGTAAAAATCAAAAATGATTAAACTGAGCTAATTAACATATCTATCACCTCACCTCTATTTTGTGGTGAGACATTTGAAATTTACTCTTAGGTAAATATACATTATTATTGATTATAGTCACCTTGCTATGCAGTAGATCTCAAAACCTATTCCTCTTGTCTATACATGAAACTTTGTACCTTTTGACCAACAATCCCCCATTCCCTCCCCCTCTCAACCCCCAACCTCAGTAACCATCATTTTACTACTTCTGTGAGTTCAGTTTTTTTAGATTTCATAAACAGTAGTCCCCTCTTATCTATGGTTTGCTTTCTGGAGTTTGTTGATGCAGTCAACCACATTCCAAAAATATTAAATGGGAAATTCCAGAAATAAAGAATTCATAAGTTTTAAATTCTACACCATTCCGAGTAGCGTGAAGAAATCACGCTCTGTCCTACTCCACGGGGAATGTATCTACCTCAGATAAAGGGGGATAAGTGAGATCATACATATTTACTTTCTGTTTTCAAAGCATGAGAACTCTGTTCTCTTTTTCTTTCAAATACAACTAAGTATCATCCACTTCTTTAATGCGAGTAAGGTCACCCTTGTCCCATCTTTGAGGAAGAAAAAAAAATTGTGGAAAACTACGTTCTCTCCTTCTGCATGCTGAACATCAAGACTTTGGTTTTGTGTGAATCTGTGCCACTTTTAACCAAACATTTCTGCGCCTAAGTTTCCTGCACTATAAAATGAGATTTGGTCTGGATGTTATCTGGGGTACATTTTACTTATGGTGTTCTATGAGTTCACTCTTTCTAGTTTGACTATTAGATGGTCTCACATTCATGGCAGAAGTTGTACGATATAGTTCTCCAATTATGGAGAACTATAACTATGACTTCTCTAAGACATATTTAGACCCTGACCTTTGCTATAAACAGAACTTGAGCTTCAGCAGTCAATACGGTTGAAGCAAACTCAATATAGGAACTTTTACAAATACAGAATCACTAAAACAAGGAACCAGTACATTGTACAGAAATTAAGGTATATATTTTGGGCCATTTTCATTGCAGACTATATCATGCGTTGGGAGGCTGCATTAATCAGAATTATTTAGGCTGTGCTAGAGTAATCCAGGAATGTAGCAAATGGCTTCAAACATGAAAGTTTTCTCTCATGCATATTTCTTACTCATGCATAATCTGGTACCATTTGCCTGCTTTGCTCCCCATTTTCCTTTGTTACATTTGCCTTGCTTAAATTTTCGTTGGTTAGTGAGTCATTTAGATAGTTCCTGATTAAATTCAATGTATAAGCATCAATTAAATATTGACTGAGAGCTATTCATTTCTCGCTACTTCATGAACAAAAACTTAATGAAGAGACATTACAAGGTATTTAGGCCCTCAGTGAATAACAGCTTTAGAAGTGCCTAGAAAAAAGAACCACTCCTAGAATTCTACTCTATTTTTTTCTTTATTTAAGTATACTAATTATGTATTTATCTTACACTAGTACAGAGCACTTTACAGCAATTTCCTGGCCCTTTTGTTCAGAATTATTAGCATCAGGACAAATCTGTCCTTGTGTACTTTTTGATGCTCCTTTTGTTTCACTGCCACCAACCACTTGGTGGAAGCTTTTATTTTCCTGTTATTTTTCTCCCTGTGGAGTAAAGATGAGGTTAAGAAGATTATTCAGCAGCTGCGTCCAATCACCTGCTCTCCTAATCCTTGTTTTTTACACTCTTAAAGAACACTGCTGGGGATACCTTAGGTTCTGTCATTACCAACATGGTTAATCCTGTACTTCCCTAAGACTTGGCATCTACCTACTCTGAAGACAGCTGTGACTATGGCTCTCCTTTTAAAACTTCATTCTCCTAGCAAGGATCTAGTTAGATTTCATCTTATCTCTAATCTTTTATTTCAAAGGTGGATGAAAAGGTAAAACAACCACGATGACTTCTCTAAGACACATTTAGTCCCTGACCTTTGAGACAAGCGCCTGTCTCACTTCAAAATAGATCTTAACGGCAAGGGTGGATTGCTCTAAGTCTGTTCCCTGTCCCTCACAGGCTCAGAGATATGTTAATATCATCCTGTTGTATGCTATTTCATCCTGTTCATATAAAGTTGACTGTTGTTTCTCTTCCATTTCAGGGCACCAATCCTCAGGTTTAAGCTTCTCCAATTTCTCTAGCTTGTTTCGGGTTGTTTCAACATTCTCAATGTGTTATATAGGTCCATTAGTACTCCAAGATCTTAGTTCACTTTGCATTGGTATGTCTCCACTGGGTAAGATTATCTGAGTCCACGTGTTTGCAAAATCAGAGCTATGCTAATATTCTGCAGATAGTCCATCATTCCCTACAAGCTTGGATTTTTCATAATTTTCTCTACAAGTTCAAACAAATGTATCATTTTTACATTTTCCTTAAAATTTTCATGGATAAAACATGAACTGACAGCAATTCATTGGCAACCTAGGTAATATCTGTTAGTACATCTTTGACTGTGTTGCTGAAATCATGGAGTCTGATTCTGAGACCACTTTTAAAGAGGATACTCTAAAGGGAATTACATTGTGTTCTTCTGGGTGACTTATGAAGTTTACAGTCCTTCATTTCACGTGCAATTAGAAGGGTTATTGTGTACTAAATGTTCTAAAGACTGTTTTGCAATTTTGAAGAGCTACTATGTGTCTTAGTTTAAACATGAAAAGGTTAAAAATGTACCCTAATTTACTTATGTAAAAGGCAGTAGTGCAGGCTGGCTTCAGAAGGTCATGTGAAAAAAAAAATACGTCAACAAGCACTTTGTTAATATTAACTCTTGAGACCCTTAAAATGGCAAACATAATTGCATTCATTTCTAGGTATAATAAGATATGATGGTTCTTTATATACAGATGCATATAAAATATTTACCAAACCAGTTCGGGTAAAACATTTATTGCAATAATGTAAATTTTAAAAGACTTCAGCTGGAAATAATTAAAGAATCAAATATTATAGTACTGAGGACAAAGTTGTATCTTTCCTAAAAGCTCATCAGATTTAAACTTGCTTAGCTTGGAGAAGAGAATGCATTTATCTAAGGCATATAGTTTCAACTGCTGATTTTATAGATGGGGAAGCTTGAGCCCAAGAAAGTTTAATGACTTGTCTAACATGACACAATTGATTAATATCAAAATGGAAAGAAGACAAGAGACCTGGTATTAATTCTTGTTTTTCTTCGTATTAGTTCATATTAAGATATGAGTCATAGGGTTAAAAGAGCATTGTGGATAATGCAACTTGAATAATTTTTTATAGGCTAGGAAGCTGATGTTAGAAACTTCCAGTTTTGAAAACATAATGAACCCAGCTAATATAGATCAATGACCACCTAAAGGCACAGAAAAATAATGAATAAAATATAAGTAAAACAATTTAAAAAAATCTATCAAGTTTAAGGAAAGGAAATGGAATGCTGAAGGTCTGATAAAGGAACAGAGGAACTGAAGACTCTGCAATAAGTTTCAGTTAATGTGGTGGTGGTTCAGGGACAGGGTGGTTCTCGCTATAGGCCTGAGGGCTGGTGAGCCAGGGTTTTGATGTCTAAGGAGGGACAGGAGACATAGTCTTCCAAGCACAGGGAGATATATCTAAAGTCCCTATATAAAACACAGATTCCCTAAATCCATGAAAAGAAGGTAGAAAAATGATGCAAATGGCCTGAACAAGAAGTGAGGAATTCTGTTGTCTTTGGACTCAATATGACCCCTATAAGAAATAAAAACCTCACGGCTGGGCCAAGCGTTAAGTATATGATCTAATTTACTCTACTTATAAAATGCAAGAAGTTAACAAAAACTGATATGTGACCTTTTATATCCTAAAGACTCAATAAAAGCAAAAGCAGAACCACTCTTGGGGAATGCTGTCACAACACAGAGTTCACAACATTCCCAAAGAAAGGAAGTAGTTCACTAAGGTGGGCTCAAACTATAAAATTACGAACTATATGTGGAAATAAAAACTACCATGAAAAAATTCAGTTGGCACAGTAAAAGAAACATACAGTATAAACAATAAAAATAATAAAAGATTAATGAACATGAGGAGAAATTAAGAGTATGTAAAGGAATTACAAATAAAAAGGAACTGAATCCATGATAAAGCAAGAAAACATGACTTAAAAAAAAGATAAACCAAAAAGAGCTTCTAAAAATTAAAACAAGAAATTGAAATTAAAAAAAAAAATGAACATTTGGAGTAGCCGTGCAGTGCTTTTCATAAATACTACAGTTCTCCTTTGTTTCCAGGTGCATATTAAGATTGTATTTCCTGGCCAGGCATGGTGGCTCACGCTTGTAATTCCAGCACTTTGGGAGGCCGAGGTGGGTGGATCACCTGAAGTCAGGAGTTTGAGACCAGCCTGGCCAACATGGTGAAACCCTGTCTCTACTAGAAATACAAAAATTAGCTGGGTGTGATGATGGGCACCTGTAATCCCAGTTACTAGGGAGGCTGAGGCAGGAGAATCACTTGAACTCGGGAGGTGGAGGTTGCAGTCAGCCGAGATGGTGCCACTGCACTCCAGACTGGGCGACAGCGAGATTATGTCTCCAAAAAAAAAAAAAAAAAAGATTGTATTTCCTTATAGCCTTTGGAGTCATCCATTGGCTTCTTTTGCTAGTGGAATATGAGGAAAAATGACGTGTGTCAATTCCGGGAGGAAGCTTTCTGAGCCAGTTTATGATTCCACAGGTTTTCTTTATTTTGCCTTCACATTCCCAGATGGTGCCTCCACCAAGACAGAGCTCCCCTGTTAACTTTCATTGAGAATGTTGCATGAGAGAGAAATAAACTTTTCTTGTTTTAATCCATGACACTTGGGGCTGTTTGCTAATAATGCAGCATGAACTAGCCATCCTGATGATACAAAAGTTAAGTAGCAGAATAGACACTGATGAACAACAAATTTAAAAACTGAAGGACTCCAGAGGAATTTTCTTATAATGCAAAATGAAGACATAAAGAAAAAAGTGAAAGGCTAGCTAGGAGTTATGGATAGGAGAAATAAATGGTCCAAATATGTTTAAGAATGCAGAAAAGAGACAACAAAAGTAATTTTAGAAATACCAATATTCACATAAATAATAAATGAGAATTTTCTACAACTGGAAAAAAGTGTGTCCTGAGGTTGGAAAACAGAATAGCGTAAGAGAAAAACTCAACAAAAATGCATACTTGGACTTATCATTGTGAAACTGCAGAACTCCAAATGTAAGAAATATCTTAAAAGTGAGCAGGAAAGAAAAAGACAGATCACATACATAAGCATATCAATTTGACTAACAGCAGATTTCATTATCTGTAGTAATAAAGGATAGAAAACAATACAACAATATCTTCATGGTATTGAGGGGAAAATACCATTAACTAAGAATTCCAATCCTAGCTTAACATTATTCAAAAATAACAGCAAAAGAAAAATATTTAGTGATACAAAAAAATTAGAGAGTTTACCATTAAAAGAAGCTACTAAAAATTTAATAGGAACTTTTGAGCAAAAGGAAGTGGGATGCTGGAAGCAATGATAAGAAATAAACTGGTCAGTATATAAGAAAATCTATGTAAGTTAAAACCTGAATGTATTAAATATAATAATAATTACTAAGAGGAAGAAAAAGTTGAGCTAAAATAATATGCATAGAAAATAACTTGGAACTTTGAGTGATACAATTTGAGTTAAAGAATT
Organism: Homo sapiens; assembly: GCF_000001405.40. Taxonomy (NCBI): domain Eukaryota; kingdom Metazoa; phylum Chordata; class Mammalia; order Primates; family Hominidae; genus Homo; species Homo sapiens. The sequence goes on along the minus strand of NC_000003.12, from coordinate 2,346,294 downwards.
TTAGGTTTTATTTGGGAACATTAAATTTGACTTTGCTAAGGTTAAAATTTGGCAGAGCACACTAAAAATGAAAACAGTGAAACGTCCGAAATAATAAGAAATTAATGGAATTAAGAAAACCAGTTAATTTAGAAGAAGGTGGAAAAGCATTTAGAAACAAAAATCCTGACACAAAGTAAGGTGATGGAAAGAATGTTAAAAATATTTCAGGAATCAAAATAAGTGCAAAAAAATTCAATTCCCTTAGTAAAAAAGAAGGGGGGAAAATTCACACTGAAAAAATCCAACTACACGCTGCTGAAAGGAGATACACCTAAACTAAACATAAAGGTTGAAAACAAATTAGAAAGGAAATCTCAGGCAAATTTAATTTAAATGAAGTAATATTTTGTCAACAAGCATCATCAGGAATAAAAAGAGGATCACGCCATAATGGTCAAAGGATTAATTCGTCAAATTTATAGAAGCTCGGTGCCCACTCATCATCAGTAGCCTATCAGAGGGTCACACAATAAATTAGTTGTGGTGCGGAACTATAAGCTCTGCTTCTCGATCATAATATTCTCTTCCTTTCCTTTACAGTACTTAGCACAATATGTATTTTTTCTACTTGTATGTTATCAGTCCCCCTATTAGACAGCAAACTCAAAATTCCAGAAGATATACATATATTATTTGGCACCATATCACCTGGTCCTAATACATGTTCTGGCATGTACTTAGCTTCCCAAAAATAGTTGTTGGGAGAACAAATGACACCCATGCTCCTGATATTCCGGCCATTCAACATAGCATAATCCTTTCCATTAACCATAAGGAAAAGCATAAAACATCACTTGGATCAAATGGAGCAATTCATATACATATTTTTCCATACTTAAGATTAAAAATTTCTGCTTAACATTACAGCTTATAAAATACTTCACAGAATAACACAATTATCCCTTATATTTCCAGATGATAATTTTCATTTCAATTTCCAAAAACAAACTTTTTAAAAAAGAATCTCTAAAATGTGTCTGAAAGGGTAAAAAAAAATCATAAAAATGATAGACAATTGAATCACACATTTTCAGGCAATGGCTTATTTTCTTATTGGCAGCAGCTTAAATTGTATTCAGAAGCATATGCATGGAACATTTTAATGTAAGGCCACAGGGATGTGTTCTCTTAGTTCTAACATCTCACTTACAGCATGTTAATACTCCTCTCTCAGCACAGGTAATGTTACCTCTGCCAGGGAAAGCTCTGTCAACTACCAAGAGAAACACAGAAAGAATAAAAATCATGTTTCTCTGTCAACTATTTCCCTGACATCAAAAGTCCCTCGGGGGCTGATTAAATTCATTAAGTGCTAACAGAAATTCTAGGCATTCTTTTCTTTCTGGCTAAGATGCCAGGAAGAGAAAAGCCAACCCTGGAACAGTTGAACTGCCAAAAATCTAATGTGATAGCCTAATATTTACAACCAAATAATACTAATTATAAAAGTATCAGTTATGGAGGGTCTATTTCCTAACTGGAACCACAGTAGGTTCATGATATTTATTTTTCCTAAGCTAACAAAAGAGCTAATCAGTACCCTTATTTTACATTTTGAGAAATATGAGAGAGGTAGTCAGTAAAATATTTAGAATAGAAATTCATTCCTGTCTGACCCCATCATTCAGAATCTCAGTATGAAACCATGAATCCTGATGTTTAAATTTTTTTCCTGGGCCAGGCACCGTGGCTCACGCTTGTAATCCCAGCACTTTGGGAGGCTGAAGCGGGTGGATCATGAGGTCAGGAGTTTGAGAGTAGCCTGGCCAACATAGTGAAACCCCATCTCTACTAAAAATACAAAAATTAGCTGGGTGCGGTGGCAGACGCCTGTAATCCCAGCTATTCACGAGGCTGGGGCAGGAGAACTGCTTGAACCCAGGAAGGAGGTAGAGGTTGCAGTGAGCCGAGATCACACCACTGCACTCCAGCCTGGGCAACAGAGCTAGATGCCATCTAAAAAAAAAAAAAAAATTTGACCTGGCCTTTGGCCTTGGCAGTCAGGTCAGACAGGACTCTCAGGAAGGCAGTGTGTGTGGATTTGAATGACAATCTGCTTATTTTGTTATATCACTGATATAGTTTGGATGTTTGTCCACTCCAAATGTCGTGTCGAAATCTGACCCCTAGATGGGAGGTGGGGCCTAGTGCGAGGTGTTTGGGCCATGGGGGGAAGACTGTTCATGAATGACTTGGTGCCATTCCTTGGGTAATGAGTAAATTCCTGCTGTATTAGTTCATGCAAGAGCTGTTTGTTTTTAAAAGAGATTCGCCTCTCTCTTGCTCCCTCTCTGACCTTGTGGCATGCCTGCTGCCCCTTTGCCCTCTGTCATAATTGTAAGTTTCCTGAGGCTGTCACCACACACAGATGCTGGTGCCATGCTTCTTGTACAGCTGGAAGAACCATGAGCCAAGTAAACCTCTTTCCTTGTAAATAACCCAGCCTCAAGTATTCCTTTTCAGCAATGCAAAAAAGACTGAGAATGTCACCATAGCTATGTTGCCAGTGGAGGGTCTTGACTATGAGTTGTCCAGGTTCTTGGCATTTTGAACAAAGAATAGGACAAAACACACAAAGCAACAAAAGAATGAAGTAATGAAAGCACAGGTTTATTGAAATGAAAGTGTACTCCACATAGTGAGAGCAATCTTGAGCAAGTGGCTCAAGAGCACTGGTTACAGAATTTTCTGGGGTTTACCCTCTAGAGGTTTCCCACTGGTTACTTAGTTACACTATGTAAATGAAGGAGTGACCCGCGACCAGTCTCACTGGTTGCAGAGAGTGACCAATAAGAGACTGAAGTGAAGTTACAAAGTTACACCCTATGCAAACGTCTGATTGGTTGCAGGAGGGGGCAAATTAGAGGCTGAAGTGAAGTTACAAAGTTACACATGAAGACTTGGCCCGTGACCAGTGTGACTGGTTGCAGGAGAGAACCAATCAGAGGTACTTTCCATTTTTCATCGGCAATGCAGTACAAAGGGAGTAGCCTCTAATCCCTTTGTTAATTGGTTGTGGGGAGGTGGGGTTTTCCTTTTGATTCAGTTGTAGGAAGTCAGTGCAAATTGCCCTTAGGTTTACCCTGCCTCCAGACCCTATTCTCCTGCCTCAGCTGAAGATGAAATTTTGTCTTCCTAAAACATATATTTCCTTATTACTTTATTGAGATGTAATTCACATACCATAAAATTCACCACTCACTGCACAATTTAGTGGTTTTTAGTGTATTCACAAGGCTTTACAGCCATCACTACTCTCTAATTCCAAAACATTTTCATCACCTCCAAAAAGAAATCGTAGCAGTCAGTCACTGCCCGCTTGCATCTCTCCTTAGTTTCTGGAAACTATTAATCTACTTTCTGTCTCTATAGTTTTGCCTATTCTAGGTATTTCTTATACATGTATATTAGTCCATTCTCATGCTGCTAAAATAGACATACCTGAGACTGAGTAATTTATAAAGGAAAGAGGTTTAATTGACTCACACTTCAGCATGACTGGGGAGGCCTCAGGAAACTTAAAATCATGGTGGAAGGAGAAGCCAACAAAGTCCTTCTTCACATGGCAGCAGGAAGAATAGTGAGAGTGAAGTGAGGGGAAAGACCCTTCTAATACTATCAGATCTCATGAGAACTCACTCACTGTTACACGAACAGCATGAGGATCACTGCCCCCTTGATTCATTTACCTCCCACCGGCTCCCTCCCACGACAGGTGGGGATTATGGGAACTACAAGATGAGATTTGGGTGGGGACACAGCCAAACCATATCAACATGGAATCATATAATATATGACCTTTGGTGTCAGGCTTGTTTTATTTATAATATTTTCAAGGTTTATCCCAGTTGTTGCATGTATCAGTACTTCATATTGCTAATGTACCCTAACAAAAGATGAAAATTTTTGTACCAATCCAGAAAAAGAAGAATGTAACTGTCTTCTTCTATTTTCCCTATGAGTGCAGTTTAGACTAAATTGTCTAGCATTAATAAAGTAACCTAACATGACCCAAGCCTATGAAGAATATCACAGTCTCCATTTTACAGATGTGTAAAAAAAAGAGGTCAGAGAGATTATCTGTTCAAATATTACATGCAGGAATTCAAGTACAGAGCTTTGAAAACAAAGCCAAAATTATTTTTACTTAGTTGATGGATATATAATAAGAACATCTAAATGGCCCATTCAACCACTGACACTTCTTTGTTCAGACATTTAGAAGCAAAGCTAAGCCTCCACACTGTATCAATCCATGTATCTTTGGGTAGCTAAGGATATTAAACTCAAGTGTCTACTGGGGCTAGAAGATAGCAAATGGCATGGTGTGACGAACTGGAGAGGGCACTGGAAGGCTGCTATTGTTCAGCTAAGCCCTCTTTGTCATCTGGAAATGCATTGTCCAGGATAGAAAGTTATTATGATTTCTTTTAGGAGAATTTAAAAAATCATTTTATGTAAAATCTCCAAATTTTTAAGTGCTGGCAACAAGTTAAACTTTATTTTTATTTTTGAAATTACTATGTTAAAAAGAGCTATTATGTAAATCAAATTAACTGTTTTGGGGATATTCTGTCCCACAGACTACAACTTTTACAATCTGTGGTAGAGGAAGAAAGGCCAGGGTGGCACCACAGGGTGCCTGGGCCCTCTTTGAGTAGAGTCCAAGGGGCATCATCAAAATGAGAGGAAACCTACCTCCTGCCTTTCAGTCCAAATTCTGGAAAGTTTCAACAACTTAAATTTTAAGAGAGGAATTAGAATAGGGAAGATGTCATTAAATCTTTCATTCTGTCCATGGATAGTTATGGAAGACATCATCTGTGCATGCACTGCTAGGTTCTTGGAATACCATGAAGAACAAGAAGATGCAATCACTGGCTTCAGAAGTTCACAGTGGGAGGGTAAGATAATTAAGCTAGCAATTACAAGACAATGTGAATATCATATTGTTTACACTGATGTTGGCACAAGAGGGAAGCCTCACCCTAACAGGGATATGAGTTCAGTATCTTCAGCTACACAAAGATATATGAATGAATAGGATCAAAGAAACCAGAGCAGTATTCATAAAGGAAATACATTTTCAAGTGGAATAAAAAGATGGAAAGAAAGAATATTCCAAGGAGAAGGAACAGAGTAAGTAAAAGCAAGGGAAAACACAGCACATCTAAACAAGCTTGAGGACACTCAGAGTATCTTGGAATAATGTTGCTGCCTTAAGAAAGATGGTTCCTGCTGGAGGAGAGGGACCTTGTGGAGCAGCTTGCACTGACCTGTGAGCTGCGCTCAGACCAAGGAGCATACCCAGTCAATACTGCAGAGTCTGTTCCAGATCAGAAGACCCAAGCAGCTGATCCCAAAGACTCATAGGAAATAATAAAGTTACTGTTTTTAGCCACTGAGTTTTGGGGTGGTTTGTTACAGAACAATAGCCAGTTGGTTAAAAAACACCTTACTCAACCTTAGCTCATGAAAAATACCTGAAGAATCAAGTGAAATAAATTTCTGACTCTCTCTCTCTCTCTCTCTCTCTCTCTCTATATATATATATATATATATATATAAAATTTATGACAAGGTCTTGCTCTGTCACCCAGGCTACAGTGCAGTGGTGCAATAACAACTCGTTGCAGCCTTGACCTCCCAGGCCCAAGTGATCCTTTCGCTTCAGCTTTCCCAGTAGTGGGACTACAGGCATGCACCACCATATCCGGCTAAATTTTCCTGTTTTTCATAGAGACAGGGTCTCACTGATGTCCAGGATTATTATTTTTTTTAACTGAGGGTGTTAAAAATCTGAGAATCAGAATTATATACTAATATTTTACCCAATGTTATCAAACCCTGTACCGAATAATTTTTATCTTGCTTGGGAGAAAAGCTGGCCATCAAGAGATAATTATTATATCATTAAAATAAACAGCATTTTATGTATACCAATGGAATGAGACCTTCCTCCACTCCATGTTATGATTATTTTCCCATAAATACATTGTTAACAATAATTAACTTTAATTTCACTAGACTCTCTTTTTAGGCATACTGTTATGAGTGAATTAGATGTCCCTAAAAGATCTGTTGAAATCCTAATCTCCAAAATCTGTGAATGTGACTTTTTAAAAAGGATCTTTACAGATAAAAATCAAGTTAAGATGTGATCATATTAGATTAGCATGGGCCCTAATTCAATGACTGCTATCTTCCTAAGAAGAAGAATATTTGGACACACATAGGGGAGACAGCCACGTGAACTGAAGATAGAGGCAGAGATTTGACTGATGCATCTGAAGCCAAGGAACACCAAACATTGCCAGCAACCACCAGAAGCTAGAGGAAGCAAAGAGATTCCTCCTTAAGAGCCTTCAAAGAGAGAGCATGTTCCTGCTGAGAGTTTCATTTCAAACTTGTAGATTCCACAAATGTGAGAGAATAAGTTTCCATTGTTTTAAGCCACCAGTTACTTTATTGGATCAGCATCAGGAAAGTAAAACATAACCATTTTACTGTTTTACATCTATATATTTTATTAAGGAAAAAATTTGCATACATTGTAGACAGTGAGTTACATTTCTCATGTTTTATCCCTTCAAAAGCTTCAACTTTTAAGATCTGAGTATTTATAGGACTGCGTTAACTTAATATTTGTGTTGGTTTGACTGCTAAAACATCCTCTCCTATGAAACCATTTGGCAAAAGTACAACAACTTTATTCCCAATATACACTTTCTATGATTACAAATTCTAAAATTTTTGGATTATCAAATTAATCTAAACTACAGAAAACCTACCTTAAGTATCTTCTCCAGAGAGAAATGTAAATAGTCCCTATTTCTTAGTTTCAGGCTTTAATTTATGTAACTTCACTACTTTCATTAATTTCAACATTCATAAAAACATCAAAAACAATCTCATGCTATCACTCTGTAAGGGAAGGTTTTCAATGTTTCCATAGAAACTAAGGATGCTAATCAAGGTGAACTACACATAAGGAAAATCTTCCCTTGTGGGAAGCTTACCTTTTAGGGAAGCTCTTGAAGACACATGCTGTGGAGTTACTCTATGTCAATGATTCCTAGAATAAAAAGAAAAAATACACAAATAAATACATTTTTTCAAGCATAGATAGGCTTATGGGTAGGTGATGCTTACCTGTAATCTTCCCGGTCTAAAATTAAATCAGATTGGATTAGGACAAAGTAAAAATTAAATACATTTGGTATAGATTTCCAGCTTAATAGAATTGTGTAGATTAGGATCCAGGATCCATTCTCCGCCTTGCCTCCCATGAGCTGAGTGACTTTTGAGAAGGTCATCACCACTCTATCTTTCCCTTGTTAGTATGATGGCTCTAGGAGCCTGCAATATTTTATGGCATTCAGATTCAATAAAAGAGACAATTTCTTAAGAGGGTACATTAAAAGGATTTTAAAATAATAAAAATTGAGCAATAAATGGAGACGTCATCGTTTTTGTTAGGTATATGAATACATAAAATGAGGGTACCTAACAAAAACAAACACTCTTCACATAAATTGTACATTCTCTTAAAGCTACCGACTTAAACTTTAATTGTGAAATAATTTTTGCCTCACAATATTTTTCCCTGAAGAACTAAATTTATTTTCCCTATAAATATATATATAAATACACACACACTTAATTTTACGTAGAATAAAGGTATATATTTATGTTTTCATGTTTATTCATATGTGTATCCTCTAACCAAGTTTCTGCTATAGATCACTTCTTTGTAAAATAACTGTCTTATAGTTTTAATAACTGAAAATAAAATTTTATGTAGATATATATAATATAGATTAGCTAATCAGAAATATCTTTAATCATACTATTCTACTCTGGCTTATTCTTAAATATAACATAATTGATTGGATAAAAATGTTATAGTTTCTTGATTAGCCATAAAAACATGATCTTTTCTTAAGTGTATGCCTTCTCTGGCTGAATTGCAAAATAATTCATCTCTATATTAAATACCTAACTACCTTTACTCTCAGGATAATATCGATAACAACCAGAAGGTAGAGACTAAACAGGTATTCTTCATATTGCTAATATATTCAGAAATGTAAAATAATCCCTGACCTTTCTCATATACCCCTAAAACAAATACAATTTCATAAATGATGACATGTGTAAGAAAATGTTTCCTATGGATTATGAAAAATTATATATTCACATTAATTCTGAATCACAAATACATCACCATCTGTTTGGTTTTAATATGGTCAGTTACCAGCTGTATATACATTAGTCAGCTACAAAAGTTTAGTATGTATCTAAACACCTATCTTTCTTACATTAAGGACAGCAACTGATGTAAAACTAAAGCTCTATTTACAGCTATTGGCACCATTTGCAACTCCAGCCTACCTATCAATAACAATTAAAATTATAATAATCCTACAGACATCGGTCAAAGTTTTTTGTTTTTTCAAATATTACTAAAAATTTGTCATATATATTTTTTCTTCTTCACAGAAAGAAGGTAGAGATTACATTTACCCTATCCAGTGGAATAATACTTGAAATGAAAACTTAATTTTATTCATTAAAATAATTATGTTGTTCTTGTTTGAGAACATAAGCTCCGGGATAAATTTCTTGGGATGGGATATTGGTTCAATTTATTACTAATCATGTGATCTTGAACAATTCTTTAATTGATATAATCCTCAATTCTATTTTTAAAGTGGGGACAATAACAGTATTCATCCTCAAAGGATTATTTCAATCCTCAAATTAATAATTAAATTACATAATGCAGACTAGCTATTCAGTTTAGCCACTAGTTATAGTATCCACTAGTAGCAGTAACATTGGCAAGAGATTCTCATACATTATGGATAGTTTCATGCATGGTGACTGTACACACAAAAAGCAGTATCAGCACCACAAGAAAACATATGTTCCCAAATACTTGCCCATTATAGAAAACATTATTAAATTCACTCCTTTGATTTTTGTAATTGCATCCAGAGGGAATCCTGGCCAAAAGAACTTATCTGTTGGGTGAACTAACATATCATGAATGCATTTATCAGGTCAGTTAGCTACCACGGAGCAAAGAGCAATGCCAAAGAGAATAGAAAGCAGGATGGAAAGGTAAGAAGAGTGAGGGGGAATATATGGGACTGACCCCAAGAAGGCCTCTGAAACAATATCTCCTTTGTAAAGAATGCATCCCACCTGTTGCTCCTGAAAAGACCAGCCCTATGTTCTACGTGATTCAACCTAATAGGCTACAGCTATTGAACCATCAATTAATACTTGACCCACATTAAGTCAACAAGATTCTCTCTCAGAGATTTTGAATTGCAACACTTGAGAGTTTGAGGCATGTAAAGTTGGAATTATTGTTAAAGAAGCCAGTCTTGAGAGAACCAGAAAAATAAGACTTTAGAGAAAACCAGAGTTAGGATTACATACATCCTTACTCCTGATCCACATGAGAAATGAAGAACTGAAAATAGGGTAAAAGGTGAGGGGCAGCCACATTTCCTGACTTCCTAAGTCAAGTCCCCATGAGGTTAGGTTTTAGCTATAATTTTTTTATGCTTAGAAGACTATCATTTTGCCTGGCATATGGTTTCAACAACCCTTATTATGTGAGCTAGTTTAAGTTTCTGTATATTACAACTAAATGGTTACTAGTTAAGAAATCATAAGCCCACTGAAGCTAAGTTTTCTGTGAGTAATACAAAGTCCTGGCTTTGTGCCTGTAGAAATGAGGCAGACAAATAAGTGAGCAATGAATACAAATAAGTCACAATGCTAACAACCTACAAATTTGTAAGGAAATTCCATATATAAAAATTCCTGGCTCATGAATATGAATCATAATCAACTGTTCCTTTACTATCATAGACCAATAGCTTTTACATTGACATTAATTTTTTTTATTCAAAAAGTATTTACTAGGAGAAAAGAAACAGACCAAGATTCCTGACCTCCTGGGATTTGCTGTCAAAATAAAATTACTACTCTACTCTGCCACCTCCCCCCCCCAAATAAACAACAAACATCATCAAAATGTATCTAAAACAGTAAGAGAATATTACTTTTGAAATAATCCTTTTAACAAAACCATAACCTCTCAGGACCGTAATGGATCTTGTGCTCCAGTTACACTCAGCACATGTCTTTAGCATACCACTCATCACAAAATATTTATCACTGTTCGGCTTACCCCAAAACACACATACCTTTTACTGTGGGAAAGTATGTACCTGTGTTGTCTTATTCTTCAGTCTGAAGGTGTACAGTCTAGTACAACCTGGTCTAAAACAGGTGCTCCTTAAATGTATGCTCAATGATTGAATGGATCCAACGTATAGTCTTAGTTATTATAAACTAAGGGTTACGCCAAAATAAGTTCCACTTCCACAGTGGATTTTCATAACTGATCTTAAAAGAAAATATCTAATGATACCTCAGTTGATGTTGAGAAGTTGCTGATTATATAAGCAGGAATTATTTATTCACACCTCACTGGGAAAATGTTCAGTTGCTGTATTCTTGTTAGGGGAAAAAGTAGACATAGTTAAAACTTCCCATCTTAGGTTAGCCAGCATGAACAGAGATGATTCAAGTAGGTAGATACCCAATTTCATACCTTGAAAGAAGGTTAAAAAAAAAAAAAAAAAACCCACAGAATTTTTTTCTGGGCCGCTTTTGTGCTGCTTTACAGGGGGAAAGAAACTGAATCTATTGCACTTGATTGGCTAATAGTCTCTCCCTAGAGGCGAACACAAGGCAAGACCTTTCATTTTACCCACCTTCTTTAAGCTCAGCTTCCTTTCGAATAAAATGAGCCTAATGTACTCCTACCTTTAGCTGTTGTTTTGAGGCTAGACTGAGGTAATCCATGAGAACACTGCCCAGTTCATACTATGCAGAAAATAAATGCTATCATTATAATCATTTTTTTAATCATGAAAAATTCACTAAACTTTCCATGTTCAATCCATAACTTGTACCCGCTATCCTAAGTTAAAGTTTTTATTATAAACTAAATAAAATCACATGTGAAAATAGGCAGGAAATTAATACACAACCAGGTGAATAAATAGACGACTCTCCCTCTGCCCAGAAAGATTGGGTCCAATCTTTGAACAAATCAGCTGCTGTCAACATAAATGTACTCGCAATTTTACAACAAAGGAACCAGAAATCCATGAATGACTGCAGAGCTTCTCAGCTAATAGCAAATAGTTAGATGCAGCAGCTGGCAAGGTCTAGGTCAAAAAGGATGATTTTACCCTAGGGAACAAACAGTCCTGATCTAGACCCTTTCCAAATACCTCAAAACCAAAAGGTGTGTCGGTTATTTATTAAGAACAAAAACAACCCTTCCCAAGTGACAGGTAAGAGCATGAAAATAATTCTAACGAACATGTTCAAAAACCCAGATGCGGCATCTCTAAAGCTTTCAATTCTCACAGACATAGCATATAACATTAGGAGGGACCAAAGAGTGGTCTCTTTACTTTGCCTGTTAGAGTCAGACCTGGATTTGTCTAACAACAAATGTGTATGTGATCACCATTGATTACAAGTCTCCTATAATTGCGCTTAGTCACTCTGTACATTATGCCTTTAAATAATCAGTGGACAAAATATAGGTTCTAAAGTCATATTTGAGTCTAAGCTTTACCACGTTATTTGCTGCATGAACTCAACCAAGTTATATAACCTCTTGTAGTTTGTTGTTATCATCTGTAAGACAGGGCCAAAATTATCTACCTTGAAAGGTTCTTCAAAAGATAAAATGGGCCAGGTGCCGTGGCTCCTATCTGTAATCCCAGCAATTTGGAAGGCCGAAGGGGGCAGATCACTTGAGGTAAGAAGTTCAAGACCAGCCTGGCCAACATGATGAAACCCCATCTCTACTAAAAATACAAAAAATTAGCTAGATGTGGTAGCGCACACCTGCAATCCCAGCTACTTGGGAGGCTGAGGCAGGAGAATCGCTTGAACCTGGGAGGCAGAGGTTGCAATGAGCCAAGATCCTGCCACTGTACTCCACCCTGGGTGACAGAGCGAGACTCCATCTCAATAACAATAATAGATAAAATGAGACAAGCCAAACCAGTCTATAGCAGGTATTCAATTAATGATACTTGTTATTATTAACATTATTTGAATATCAAAGGATAGCCTAAAGTGAGAGGTAAGAGTTACCATTTAACAACTGTCCGTATTCTTAAAGGCCATTGTATTTAACAGGCTTTTCCTTATATTTCTCCTGTTTTGCTTAACTTATTGATGGCATTTTCCATCACAGAATCAGCAGGTTATTTCTCATGGGTATCTACTTCCTTCACAGGTAGTTAAAACCCAACCTGAATTTTCTGTGGGAGGTAAAGGTCATGTAGATACTAAATTATCCATGTTTATTTTCAGAATTTCCATTAGCTTTGCTTGATATAATTTAGTATTAACATCAGGGTTATTAAACTAATACTAAGCAACAGATTACATTTAAATGCATTTTTCAGTCAGAATTGGGATGCATTTCTAATCGTGCTGTCTAGCTCCAAGCAAACAAATGGTCATTTGATTCTTTTATCATTTCACAACGAATACTATCAACCACAGAGATCACTAATGGGTTCCCCACCACACACTCAAAGTAAACAAAATACAAGATGATACATAACAGGCTTTAGAGTTATTAAGAGATAATCACATCCTTGGGACTTTCATTGGGTACAATAAGTAGCACCACTAGAATATGATTATCTCTTGATAACAAGGGTCCCTACAGCTCTCACGAAGTGAGAAAAAAGTCATTACCTTAGGGAAAATGTGTATTTATTTCACTGAACCATAAAGCTGACAATTTAAGCTAATGAACAGTGGCTCTCCCTGAGATGACAGTATTACACAGTGTAGGAGGTTTCCTATCAAGGTGACACAGGCATCATCACCTTGAAGAACCTGCCTTGAAGAGCTATGTTTCTGGAAGTCTAATTTCTGGGTCTTGACTACAAGATAAACAGTTCTGGAAGACACTTAAGAGCCTAGGGATCTATGAATCTAAGACAGGGAGGGGATTGAGAACAGCAGTGGGAATGGCTTATGCTGCTCATCAGTTGTAAGGCCAGAAACTTGAGATTCTGAGCTTCACAAGTTGTCTTGATGTAACATAATTAGGACAGCTCATTGGAGAGGATAGAGACAGATGCTCCAGTCTATAGGACATCCCAGGGTGAACAACCAGTGACATCAACATAGGAAACTGCAGCACATGGTTTAGAATTTGGAGATCAGGAGAAAAACAGTCATGAGCCTTTGACACTGCTCTCGAGGATAGGAAAAAGTCTTATTTTTTTTTAATTTTATTTTATTATTATACTTTAAGTTTTAGGGTACATGTGCACAATGTGCAGGTTAGTTACATATGTATACATGTGCCATGCTGGTGTGCTGCACCCATCAAGTCCTCATTTAGCATTAGGTATATCTCCTAAAGCTATCCCTCCCCCCTCCCCACTCCCCCCACCCCACAACAGTCCCCAGAGTGTGATGTTACCCTTCCTGTGTCCATGTGTTCTCATTGTTCAATTCCCACCTATGAGTGACAATATGCGGTGTTTGGTTTTTTGTTCTTATATATAAAAGTCTTATATGTAAGAGCTTTACTTGAGGATTTTAATCAGCAAGAAAACTCTTCTCACCTAATACTACTCAGAACAGTGGTATTTTCTGATCTCCCTAACTCAGAATAGACAGAAGTTACTCTTCTTAAGTCTCTGTTTCTAATCAAATGGGTGAATAAAAACTCTTCTCAGAGTTACTGGGGAAATTAAAGAAAAGACTAAGTTGAAAGCATCCTGTAAATATAAAAGACTCTTTATCTGTCAGCTATTAATATTATACTTATTTGGAGAGATTACTTACGTAAACCTTAAAATGAGAAGAGAATACATCTCAAACATTCAGCCAGTGATGTGATTTGATTTTATTTGTAAAAGATAATGCTAGTCCAGGGAACACATTAAAAACCATCATACTGTAACATTACCGGAGCTGTAGTTGGCATTGTGGCCCATAAGTTACTATCCTGAAATCTAAAGTTTTCCAATATGTGCAAAGATATCATCAATCTCAAATATTTACAACAAAGAGCCTGTCACGCTGAACCCCTATCGACTCTAAAGGGGATGGCACCAGGTTCAAGAGACTGAAAAAGAGACCCAGGGCCAGCAAACAAGACATGGGATTTTACTGGAGCTTTACTTACCACGGAGAAAGGCCAGTGGTGTTGGGCTGGACAGGAGAATCGCCTTACAAACAGCCCAGTAGCAGTGGGCTAGACAAGATAACTCCGCAGCCCAGCGGCAGGGGACTGGGCAGGAAAACTACAATCATTTGCAAAGGGCATGCAGTTTATATAGCATTTTCACTCAGCACCCTTTCCCAAACAGTCTCCACCTGGCAACCTTCATTCAACCCAAAACTCGGGGTCTTGAGCCCCTGTGTGGCCTGAGTTCCAATAGACAGGCTGGAGGTTCAGATGTTCCTCATAGACAAGGAATGAATCTCCCTGTTGGCCATTCCCGAGTTCCTTAGCTTGGAACACACATTCAGGTGCATCTGCCATACAGGGTCATTCTCAGGGTATGCGTCATTTATTGCTATCAGGTGCACTTCATTTACCCTACAGAGCCAAAAATTCTATTGCTCTAAATCAGTGATTACATCTAAAGGTAATTTGTTGGCAAAGTCTGAAGACATTTTTGGTTGTCATAATCATAGGGAAGATGGGGTTTGTTACTGTCATCTCATGGGCAGATGATGGCAAAACTGCTAAGCACCCCACAATGTACAGGACCCTGTCCTTAATATAGACACCTACTCTGAGCACTTACTCAACTTGTATATGAATGGCTTGATTCACTAAGGGCCTACTTCTACAATGCAGTATCCTGAAAAACTACCTGAACTGCCTCTATATCCTAGAAACAAAGAAGGAAAATAAGTATCTTCAAAAAAAATTGAAGCCCATATCCAAGTGTAGGTAGGCATTTTAGCCCCTTCAATTTCAACTAAGGAAAATTATCAGATTTGGCTAAATACAATTCTGTCCTTCCCATTGGGAAACCATACAGGAAATGTCAATGTGCTGGCAATCTGCAGAACCAGAAAATGAAATTTTCCAGAGTTTACCATTATCACAAAAAAAGGCACAATTGTATGAAAACTTGTCACTCTACATTCCCAAGTCATCTATTATGCCAATTTTTGACATTCCACAACTGTTTAATGTGTCACATTATGTGATGTGATATAAAAGTGTACTGGACATTTATAATTTGATTTTTCCTAGAGGTGCTTGCCCCTTATCTGAGTATTAATTAACAACTTAGGGGAAAACAGTACCTACGTTTCTGTGAAGCAAAGAAAAACAATATAGAGCACAGGTCACAGAAAACAGCTATAGAATGCCAGAGTCTAACTATTTTCACAGGGATAATTTCATATACTCTAAGAAGAAATACAGCATAGAGTAATGATTGAGTCCAGAATCTGGGTTTTCAAAACCCAGCTCTTCACTTTCTAGCTGAGTGACCTTCCACAAATTACTTAGATTCTCTGTGTCTTATAAATGCCTCCCTTATAAAATTAAGATACTGACCCTCTTTTCCTCTGTGATATTGTGCTTTAGAATAAGAAATATATATTTGGTCTTCATTTCTTTCTTCTTCATTTCTTGACACAGAACTCCTAAAATCCCTGGAATCTCCAAAGTGATAAGTCTTTTAGAAGGGTAATGACTGGTGGCCCAAGACTCCTAAATAGCCTCAGGAGGGAAGAGGGGCTGAAGGTTGACTCAACCACCACTGGCCAATGGTTTAATCAATCATGCCTCTATAGTGAAGTCGCCATAAAAACCAAAAAGGACTGCAACTGGAGAGCTTCCATGTTGCCCAACATGTGGAGGTGCTTGGGGATGGAAGATCTGTGCTCCTTCGCACATACCTTTTCCTATGCATTTCTTCCATCTGGCTGTTCATCTGTATTCTTTATAATATCCTTTATTATAAACCAGTAAATATAAGTAAAGCACTTTCCTGGGTTCTGTGAGCCACTCTAGCAAATGGCTGAACCCAAGGAGGCGGTCATGGGAATCTCTAATTTATATCAATTGGCCAGAAGTTCTGGGGAGCCCGATTTAGGACTGGCATCTGAAGTAGGGGGCATTCACGTGGGACCGAGCTCTTAACATGTGGGTTCTGACTGTAACTCCAGGTAGACAGCATCGGAATTAAATGGAATCATAACTATGTACCTGAAAATGGATGTGTCAGAAATCAAAACCCACACATCTGGTCAAAAAGTGTGGCATGTTTAGTGTAAGTAGAGAGAAACGTTTGTTTGTTCCTTTACAGCCTCATAAGGGCTGTTAGGAGGACTACATAAATTAATGCTTATTAAGTGCTTTTAATTTTTCCTGGTACAAAGCAAAGGCTGTTTTTAATAAAAAAAAATGCCTCAATAAGGCAGAGTGTATTATCTCATTTTATAGATGTGATAACTAAAGTTCTGTGAGTCAAAGTAACTTTCCCCAGTTATCACTGGTTTCTCTACTTGAGTTTTTTGTACTGCACTGCCCTGGTGCTCCTAGACTGTAGTGGGCCTCATTCCTGGTGATTGCCATTTGAGTGCTTAACTCCTTTGCTTTAAAGACAGAAGGGTTAATTACACAGGGATATATTTTTGAAAAGGAATATGTCTAAAACAAAATGTAAGGTGTAAAGCATGACCTGGCTTTCTTCGTTGAGCGTTTATCCTATATGCACTAGATAACTATGCAGTGGGTGACATAATGGCGTTTAGAAGTGAAGGAAACATGGTCTGGAGGCCTGAGAGGCTCACAATTTGGCACTTCTTGGCAGAAAACATTTCCACTGACATAAGTGATTTGTATGTAGTAGAAACGATGGTGAGAGCTCTGAACTACAATTTCAGCCATGAAATATAGACATATAGGAGAAATCATAGTTTAAAAAATATGGTCATTGCACTTCTGCTGGTAGACAGTATTATTTTTATTTTGTAAACATTTGAGTTTAAGTTGATGTGTATTTATGTTACGCTTGTAAATATTTGCAAATTTATTTTTATGTTAATTTTCCATTTGTGAAAATTTTTATTTTATTATTTTCCATTTGTGAAAAATTTTACTTCTATTTATATTGATATAAACTTTCTTCATATCAAAAATTAGTTTAAAACCCAGTAGATTTATAGAAAATGGTAAATAGACAACATTAGAGATGGTAAGCAGCTATGTTAAGAAATATGGTATGCCCATGCCCAGGATTTGGAGAATGCAGTCGTCCCTTGGTATCCACATGGGATTGGTTCCAGAACCCCCTGCAGATGCTGGGGTCCCTTATATAAAGTGATGTCGTATTTACATGTGACTCCTGCACACCCTCCAGTATATTTTAAATCATCTCTAGATTACTTATAACACCTAATACAATGAAAATGCTATGTAAATAGATTTTATACTGTATTTTAACATTTTTGTTATTTTTTATTGTTTTTTTTTTCCAAACATTATTGATCCGCAGTTGGTTGAATCCGCAGATGTGGAACCCAAGGATATGGAGGGCCAACTGTATACGTGTAAGGAAGAAAATATTTCTAACTCCTATCAATGTTCATGGCTAAAGCCCCTACAACAAAAGATAGATTAATAAGAGAAATGCATACAATTAATTTAACGTAAGTTTTACATGATGCGAGATTATTCAGAAATGCATAATTAAAGACCTGGGGAAAACTGTGTTTTTTATTTTTTTATTTTTTGAGACGGAGTCTCGCTCTGTCGCCCAGGCTGGAGGGCGGTGGCGCCATCTTGGCTCACCGCAAGCTCCGCCTCCCGGGTTCCCGCCATTCTCCTGCCTCAGCCTCCCGAGTAGCTGGGACTACAGGCGCCCGCCACCACGCCCGGCTAATTTTTTTGTATTTTTAGTAGAGACGGGGTTTCACCGTGTTAGCCAGGATGGTCTCGATCTCCTGACCCCGTGATCCGCCCGCCTCGGCCTCCCAAAGTGCTGGGATTACCACGCCCGGCCAAAACTGTGTATTTTTAATGGACAGCCGTGCAGAAGTATGATTGGAAGACAAAAGGGTATAATATAACAGTAATAAACCAGGAAGAACTTAGCAAATTCTGTTTGTTCAAATTCTTCTTGGCAACCATGTGTGATATTGCTTTCCTCTGGGTATAAGTCAGGACTCCTCCAGATGAGGGTCTTATGACCTACTTCAGTGGGGAAGGGGTGAGGGGAATTCTTTCTAGTTTGTATGGTCTGCTTTGGCTGTTTCCTCAAATGCTAAGATGCCATGTTTTGGGGTAATGAGTCCTGAACACTGTCACCTATATATGAAACAGGAGATTCTACATGAGTAATCAGATCTGGAACTCCAGAATAGGGGAGGTTCCAAATATAGTCCCTGCTTTTTGCTAGGAACATCTATTTATTCTGGCATTTGGAGGAAGATCACTAGTTCCCACCACTGCACTAAAGAATGTGTGTCCTTTTCCATATATATGTATCACTATTTATGTTCCTTAATGAGATCTGCATTATGGTTTTCTTTAAAGGGAAGGACTAAGTATACCATGACACATTTTTGAAAGGAAATACATGTAAAACATATATAAAATATAAGGCATGACCTGGTTTTCTTTCCTAAAGAGGGAGAGATGCAAAAGCCAAGTGCCTCCTGAACGCTAAAACAAATATAAAATAAATCTTAAAGATCCATATGTGTTTACAATATCATAGACTATTTCTCCATTACCATGAGGAATGAGATGGAAACTAAATAGCATAAGGAGGATGAAATAAATAATATTTTGCCACTTTACTGAATTGAGCTACACACACAATAACTTCCAGGATTGATTTCTTGACTAATTTTGAAGCAAAATCCATCAATTTGGAAATCCATGCACAAATACATGAAGAATGCAAACATTTCCTACTCACTGGGAAATACCTTTATCCTTTTGGAAAATAAGCTTGGCACTTTATAGACACACACACACACAAACACACACACACACACACATCTATTCCCAGGAGTCTGTAATTCTAGACCAACTTGATGAAATTTCCCCAAATTACCACAGATCAGTTGTGGCTTAACTGAACTCCAGGGTAGGCAATGCTACATTTAAAACACTTTGAAAATTATCTTTCCTACCTACATCTTTGTAGGTGGGAAGTTGTTTTATGGATACTCAAGTCCAAGGAAGCTTTATAGGTAGAAAATTGATTTATGGATAGTCAACTAGTAAGAGGATAGGCCTCGGAGTTAGAAAAAGGCTGGCTCAAATTCTAGCTACTTTATTTACTTCTGTAGGACCCTGGGCAAAGTATTCTTTCTTAGCTTTGATTTCTGCGTTTGTAAAATGGAGACAATAATACCTTCATTGCCCAGGGGCTCACAGACAGTACTAATTCAAAAACAGTTACAGCCATTCCTATTCTTGCTTCAAGTAAAACCTATTTCCCTATTCTGTCCTTGTAAGGCATCCAGTGACCAGAAGGAATGAGTTCTCAGACTGAAGAAGTTATAGAGATCATTGCTTAATTTATGCGATAGTATATTTCCTTTACAGTTTGTGTAATCTCCTGTAGCAGAGTTCTCCAGAGAAACAGAATCAGTAAGATTGTGTGTGTGTGTGTGTGTGTGTGTGTGTGTGTGTGTGTGTGTAAATTTATTAGAAGGAATTGGCTCACACAATTAAGGAGGCTGACAAGTCCCAAAATCTGCAGGGTGAGTCAGCAAGTTAGAGGCCCAGGAGAGCTGACAGTCTATTTCCAGTCCAAGTTCAAAGGCCTGAGGCCCAGTAGACGTGAGATGCTGTATTTCCAGTCTGAAGGCTGACAGGTGTGAGACCTAGGATGAGCCAATGTTTCAGTTTCAATCTGAATGCAGGAAAAAAGCCAATGTCCCAGTTCAAAGGTAGTAGGGACAGGGAAATTCTCTCTTCCTAGGGGAAGGTCACTATTTTGTTCTATTCAGGCCTTCAGCTGATTGCATAAGGCCCACCCACATTTGGGAAAGCAACCTGCTTTATTCCATCTACTAATTCAAATGTTAATTTCATCCAGAAACATCCTCACAGAAATACCCAGACTAATAATGTGATCAAATATTTGGGCACTCTGTGGCCCAGTCAAACTGAACCATAAAATTAACCATCACATCCTCTAAAAGAAATATTTATTCTTTTCACTCTGTATCAAGTTATAATTTTCCCCAAAACAGGCTCAAATATTATAGGATAAGTATCACTTTTGTTGATAGCATATTTCTATTAGAAAATAAAGCATACACCTCTAATTAGGTATTTTTATTTCTAAAGTACACATATGTACTCTATTACTGATGTTATATACATAATGAAATATAAATCACAATCGTTTCAAATCACATAAAATATATAAATAAAAATTCTTACATTTTTCGCTACCCTTAAATGGCTATCTTGCCTATAATCCAGTATGTGTAGTGACCGCTGGTAAGTTCCTTGTTGTACAGCAAAGAGACATCTAAATACAGGAAAAAATGGGAAATTTTTAATTGTGAACATCCACTGGAGGGCTTGAGCTGAAAAGATTCTGTGGCTTTCACCGGGCTGGAAATGTTGGAGTTCTAAAAGCCATCGTGGCAAGAACTTGATGAAGACTCAGGTATTCAAGTAAGACCATAAAAACAAAAGGCGTTCTTAAAATTAGGGAGAATGCTAAAGAGTTTTAATTAATGGATTAGGTTTATTGATATTTACTACATTAGAAATTAAAATGGAAACTTCTAAAATACTTTTCAATTCATAAAATAACAGTAAGTCTATTACATATTAACATAAATAGCATGTTCAATGGGAAAATATTATATAAAGCAAAAAATAATGAGGAGGATAGCATGTTCTACATTTTTGTAAATCTCTCTTTAATGTCTGGCTTAATCATAGACAAATGGATCCTCCTATTTGCTTCTGCATTCGCTCTTATGTGACATCAAATGTCACGCAGCCTCTGGAAAACTCCACTGTATGCTTGTGAGAGACTGAGAGTGACAAAGGCAAATACCTTCTTAGTATTATTACAAAAATAGCTTTGATCTGACATCCATTTGAAAGTTTTCACTACCCCTTCAGGTTTCCTCGACCAGACTTTGAGAACTACTATAAGAGAATGTACATTTAAAGTAGAGGATGAATATCTCACTGAAAATAAGGGAATGAAAAACTGGGGGGAAGATTTTCAAAAAGAAATTGCAGCTTCATTTTGTCTTCAGAGTACTAAATAAAGCATCTCTGCTTTTGAGGTGGGGGGAGCACTCCTTATGATTGTTTGCGAGGTTGGAAAGTTGGGGGCTAGGGGAGGGTAGAAATTAGATGAGCCAGGCTTGTCCAGCCCCCTGGAGAAGTGCCTAGGTCAGAAGAACACTTAAGACTCAAGCAAACCCAAAAATGTTTTTCTCATTTTAATCTGTGGACATAGGGAAAGGTGATTCCTTTACCTTTTGGGGTAGGCTCAGGGTTCTCAGAATCAAGTTACTCCTGTCCTGGCTATAGATGGAGGGAAACAGATCTGGGACACAAAGAGAAACAGAAGCTAGCAGGGGAATTGTTCAAATCTCTGGATTTATAGAAATTAAAACTGAAACCAAGAGTCCTGACAATACCCAAAAGAAAGCACATTTTTAGATAAAACAGTCAGATTTTAAGTTACCGTCTTATGCTTCTGGATATAGGATAAAGGTATAACTCTGACGACAGTGTTATAACTCATAAACTTCATACTACACAATATATATGTTATGTAGAACAAAAGTATGAGTGTGAGTGTGCGTGTGTATCTTACAAGAAGCAATGCCATGGGAAGAAAATGCTGCAGACACATCCAGTTATTTCTTCTATCATTCTTCTCCTCTCACCACTCACTGCTTCAAAACCCTAAGCCTCTTTGAATTAGCCCAACACCCTGCCCCTGGGATTTCATGCCATGCTCTAAACTGCTCTTCTTGCCCCCTCCCCGCCAGAGGACACTAGACAATATCTGGAGACATTTTTAATTGCCATGGCTAGAGGAGAACAGATGTTACTGGCATCTAATAGTAGAGGCCAGGAGTGCTGATAAATATCCTATAATGAACAGGAGAGCTCCCCATAACCAAGATTTATCTAGCCCAAAATGTGAACAGTGTTGAAGTTGAGAAGCCCTTCTCTAGGAATAACCTTAGTTGGGAACCATTGTGTTAGTCCTGTCTCCACCAGCACTCTCTGGATTGCCAATGCACGGTACAGATTTCCAAAAACACACAAGCATATTATAGAGCCCAGTACTAAACTTTACTGTCTCCCAAAATTGTTTGTATTAGTATTGTATTGTTTATACTTGAAAGTAATGTAAATTTGAGTCAAGGCACTAAAGCAGCCCACATGAGTATACACAGCTATATGAGCATGCATGTACTTGTTTATTCAAGTCAGGGTTGCAATGAAATAGTTGCTTTGACCAAATTCTGCCAGGAAAAAAGAAAGCATCAAAGAAACTTAATTTAATGGTGGATATTTGTTTAGTTTCAAAACATGTTACGTGTTTGGGGGCACATCCCAACTTGACTACAAAAAAGAACAGGTGATCATTTAAATCTAAGAGCTACAAGCAATGGAAGAAGGAGAGACTTCTAAAAGTCTGTACAAATACTTCTAAAAGTCTGTAAAAGTCTGTACAAAAGTTAAGTAAACTTGAAGCAGCATGACAATTTAAGGGACGGATGTGCACTTTAATTTACCAGGTTCCATGAATCTCCATGAGACCATGGCACGCAACAACGTTCTCCCATTTTCTACAATTTCCAATCACTTGCCCTCTCCTGTGTGACTTTCCCTCCCCTGGCCATTTAGAGTTTGTGCTCCAGGGACAGACTAATGGGGCTTGATTTTGTTAGCTCAGCCGGCTTTCCTATAGGAGACTTCATCCTGTAATAATCATAGTTCCAGCGGTGCATGTCTATGAAATTAAAATGGAAGAGACCGATTCTTCAGGTATATGGTTGTTGTTATTGACAGTCATTCCAGATCAGTCTCTCCAGAGGCAAGAGAGCTCTTGCAAGAAAAATACCTTTGCTTATCAAGCTGAGGCTCTGTGTAGCTGAGATGGCAATTTTGGGCCTATATGACAGGAGTCAGACATGAACTAGAGCCCCCAGGAAAGTGAACTTCGGTAATCCTCCAGTATTCCATCAATGTGAAATCCACCAATCTGAGACAGCAACTTTTCCTCTATTTTAAAGATCTTAGAATGTTAAATAGGAAAAGAGCAACTTTTCCTCTATTTTAAAGATCTTAGAATATTAAATACACACAGCTAGTTGCTCAATAAAAGAAAAAGACACTTAACAGCATATTTCAGATAATTAGATGCTTAGTATTTTAGTTTCTAAGTTTCTGTTCACTTTTTAAAATTCAGTATACATTTTATTGTGGAGAGCTAACATAATGTAAAGTCTGCATTTTAGCCACTTTTAAGTGTACAATTCAGTGGCATTAAGTACATTCACAAGATTGTGTCACCATTGCCATTATCCATTTCCAACACTTTTACATGATCCCCAATAGAAAATCTGTACCCATTAAAAAAATAACTCCCCAGCCCCTGCTAACCACTATTATGCCTTCTGTCTTGCTGAATTTAACTACTCTGGGTGCCTTACATGTGATATTTGATATAGTTATTCATCCTTTTGTGTCTTGCTTATTTCAGTCAGTTAGTGTTTTCAAGGTGCGTCCATGTTGTAGCAAGTATCAGAATTTCATTCCTCTTTAAGGCTGAATAAAATTCCGTCCTATGTTTACACCATGTTTTGTTTATCCATTCACACATTGATGGACATGTGGGTTGTTTCTACCTTTTGGCTATTTTAAGTAATGCTGCTGTGAACATTGATACAGAAGTATCTGTTTGAGTCCCTGCTTTCAAATTAAATTTTGATTCATTTTTGCTCGTTTAAAAATACAACCTTACAGCTATAAAGTGTTACAAAATAGATAGAGTAATCTAATGTATACTTTATCATACAGACAATCCTATGTGACCTTGTGGCATAAGTAGAGAATTTTTTCATGTATGAACACTGCTCCTGAGGGCATTTAACTTATTTTCCAAAGCACATAAAATAAATAACTACAGGTGTTGGTAATGTTCTTTCCTCTGTTTGTGGTTTCCCACAGTGCCTGGTTTATATTAAGGATCATGAATGTGGGTTTTTAATACACAAATACTACTATATTTTGAAGCAGCTCACTGTTACTTACCAAAGGTTAAGTAAAAATGAAGGTCAAATCATGTCACTAAATATGACTCCTTTCTCTCTTATAACAGGAATACCCAAGTGACAGAGAAGAACTGGACATAAAGGATTCTGAAGTTTATGTGACCACAAATGACTTTCCTAACCACATCCATGTATTAATTCAATTGTTTTACAAAGAGAAACCTGAGATACTAGGTCGTCTAACATCAAGACCTCCGAGACAATCTGGCTTTGACAAGACTAAGTATGAAAAGAGAATAAATTTAAAGCTGATATGAAGAAAAAATAATAAAATAATAGTACTGAAAACCCAAGTGATTGAAAGTGACAATAATGGCATGCTAAAGAGGACAAATTTGGAAACCTCTTAATAAAAATCTCTTCTCATTTAAACAGCTACAGAATTCCACAATTTTGGGAGCTATTTACTAAGTACAGGTCACTCTGGAAAGATTCTTTAACCCTCAGGACAGTTCTGTGGGGACAGCCTTATTATTTCCATTTAAAGCTAAGGAAACTAAAAGTTTAAAATAATTTTCATGGGGGTACATGGCTAATAAATGGTGGAGATGAGATTTGAACCCATATCTATGTGACTCCTGAGTTGAAGTTTTTTACCACTATACTATCTAGAATTGTTCTAAGCCACATTTCACAATTGAGATAATGCTTCAAACAAAGACATGTTTATAAGGGGGATAACAATTAATGTGCTCTGTGAATTAAAATGGGTCCCTTCAGAGCTATAGGACAGAGCTTCTTCAGACTGCTTTGAACAGAGCCCAAATTATCTGCTATTTCCACTCTGAGAATTCAGCCACCCAACAAGGGTCTATCTGAAATAATCTATCATTTCTCTTTGAACTCTCCCATGAGATCCTAATGGTGGCTGTTTCCACTGAAATAAAAATATTTTAGGAATGATAGTAATTCCAGGATATTTTTTAGAGTTTCACTGCTGCTGTTATAATTATTCCTAATTATAACTGTTGTTTCCCTTAGAGCAAATAAACACAGATGTACTTATGCTGTTCCCTTAAAGAAAGAGGTTAATGGTAATCTATAAAGAAATTATCAACCAAATGTGCACTCATGTATTTCTTTTTCCTATGTACTGGCATTAATAATTTCAGAAGTCATCAGCATGCATGGTTCTGAGTTCACATTGATATTTGCTTCGGGATAATTTATGGCAGCCAAAAATGACACAAACAACTTAGAACAGCAGTCATCATGAAAATGGTAAATTAAAATGGGATACTGACTGATGTCTTATAGAAAATTAATGTGCCATTAACCTTAACTATACCAATAAAGTTACATTATGAAGGTCAACTACAAGAACAGTTATCCACCTGGGATACATAGCAAATAGCATAGATTGATTCTATGTTAAGGTGGGACGCTGAGGTTAAAAGGGAAAGGTAAATGAAGCCAAATATTAAGGCCAGGTTTAAATAAAAATCACAAATTTAGGCACATAACCTAATATTAGTTCAGGATTTCCTATCTTATATTACTATTTCTGTTATAATTCATCTTGATTACTTTTTATTAAGTAGCTTCAGTCAGTTTCTTTCTGTATATAACATTAACACATCTAAGTACACTTTCAAGTAGCAAAACATTTTAGAGCTTGAAAGGTCACTAAACGTAATTAAATCCCCCCACTTCTCATTCTAAACATGAGAAAACAAAGAGCTCAAACAACAAAGATGCTTAAGAACAAATTCAGTCTAATTTTCATTCCAGAATTATATCCCCAACAGCCTGATTGATTCTTGTTTCAGCTATATTCTCTTTGCTAAGGCACTTTCTCCTTTGATTCTCCAACTCTGACAGATTGTAGAAGTCCAGGATTTTTAACAAGTAAAACGGAGGTAATAATGCCTAATATAAGCATTTATTATGATGGGCAAAGAAAATGTTCTTTAAGAGCACGCTTTAAAATTGTTAAAGGCTATACATGTATTACTATTACAAATGAGGGACTTGAAAAAGTTTAATTCTCTTTTACAGGGTCTCTATATACACCAAAAAGAATATACAGTTGCCCCTTGAACAACGAGGAGGGTAGGGGTACCAACCCCCATGAAGTCAAAAATCGGTGTTTAATTTTGACTGTTCCAAAACTTTAATAGCCAACTATTCACCAAAAGTCTTACCGATAACATAAACAGTCAACACATATTTTGTATCTTATATGCATTATTCTTACAGTAAAGTAAGCTAAAGAAATGTTATTAAGAAAATCATAAGAAAGAGGAAACATTTACTTTTCATTAGGTGGAAGTGGATCATCACAAAGGTCTTCACCCTCATCATCTTCAAGTTGAGTAGGCTGAAGAGGATGAGGAAGAGGAGGGATTAGTTCTGCTGTCTCTGGGGTGACAGAGGTGAAAGAGATGGAAGGCGAGGCAGGAAAGGCAGGCACCCTTGGTGTAACTTTTATTTTAAAAAATGTGGGTATTAGTGGATTCATGCAGCTAACGTTGTTCAAGGGTTAAGTGTTCT
This sequence comes from Homo sapiens, assembly GCF_000001405.40. Lineage (NCBI taxonomy): Eukaryota > Metazoa > Chordata > Mammalia > Primates > Hominidae > Homo > Homo sapiens. Next base: position 2,319,357 of record NC_000003.12, on the reverse strand, counting down.
GGCTTTCAGATTTTAAAAATGTGTTTTTTAGGCAATGTTCATCCAACTTACTGGCTATGATTCTTGAATATCTCTGGATATTACAGATGTGTAAAATCATAACTGTAATATTTATCTTATGTGGTACTTGTGAATGTTAAATAATATATATAAAATATTTGAGATGATGCTAAAAGCCTAGTATGCATTTGATATATATTGATTAATATTAATTTTCTTTCCTCTTCCTTTTGAATCGTCCTTCCTTCTTTTGACTAGGTATAATAAAATTGCAAAATTCTAAATAGTAGTAACAGGCAAGAACAAATTTGGATTTACAAAACAATTTTATTAGAAGAGGGAATTAGTTAACTGGCCCCTCCGTAAAATAAACAGCTAGGTGCAGTGACTCACATCTATAATCCCAAAACCTTGGGCGTTTTGGGGATTATCCCAAGTGGGGTTATCCCCAACTTGGGCGGCCAAGTGGGGAGGACTGCTTGAGCTTAGACATTCAAGACAAACCTTGGCAACATAGCAAGACTTTATCTCTACATTAAAAAATAATAATAATAGCCAGGCATAGTGGCATGCACATGCAGTCCCAGATACTTGGGAGGAGGAGGCAGGAGGATCCCTTGAGCCCAGGAGGTGGAGGGTGGAGTGAGCTCCACTGCACTCTGGCCTGGGTGACAGTGGGAGACCCTGTCTGAAAACACACAACACAACACACATGCATACACACAAAAAAACCAGACGTATAAAATAAAAAGTAAATCTGCACACAGAGACAGTACTACACATCCTGAAGCATTCTCATTTAAAATACCTGCAGCTCTCACATGTTAGGAGGAGAGTAATATACAAACATCTTGATTAATTATACAAATGCTTCAATGAAGAAGAATATAGTCATTTCATTCAAGAGAAAGGAATCCTGATGTGTCAAAAAGAACACTTTGCTATATCCCTGTAATTCTGACAATTCCTGATGGAGACAGGGCCAACCTCTTCTGGAATAAGCTTACTTTCTGGTAAGAACAGTTCTTATAGTGTGTTTTTCTAGCATATTATATATCTTTTCCTATATAGTATACAGTGAAGGGTCTAGTCACATGATTACATATCAATATACACATACTCTTTTTTTTTTTTTTTTTAGGGACAAGTTCTCGTTACCCTGCCCAGGCTAGAGAAGTTATTCACAGTTGCAATCATCACACACTGTGGCCTCAATATCATGGGCCCAAGCAGTCCTGCTGCCTCAGCCTTCCAAGTAGCTGGAACTACAGGCGAGAACCACAGAGCTCGGCGTCTTAAACTCTTCGTTTTAACATATCAAATCATGCCATCTAAGATTAATATTCAAGTTAATTATAACTTAAATCTAAAGAAATACAAAGCAATGGGGAAAATGCAGACAAAAGACTAAGTGTTCTGTTGAATCCTGTAAGTCATACCAAAGGCATCTATATCGTTGATGCAAAAGTAAGATAACACTTTCAAACGACGTTAGTCTTCTCAGAAAAAAAGGGATGCCAGCTCTCTGGGACACAGACTCTGAGTTCTAGCACATCAGTCGTTTTAAAGAAATTAGTAGCATGCTGTGTTTGGTTTCCTGTCTCCTACCTAGCATTTTACAAACTGTACCAAAGCACAAAGTGTAACAGCTCCAATTTCTTTCACAGCAGCTGCACTGTGTGAGAAAAATTGACAGATTAACTAGAAGAAAGACTTCAAACTCACTATGAACTATGACTGTCCATTAGAACGGAATGGTAGGCCAAAGAGTACACATAAAGAAATGCCTCGGTGATCCACTGCACAACGAACCAATGGGTATGATAATGCTCTTCAGGATTTGTGTGTGAGAGGGAGCGCGAAATCCAGGAATGATAACCTGCACAATTTTGCTTAGAACTCACTCTGGGTGAGGACAAAGATCAGGAGTTGAAAAGTAGCTATTGATTTTTCTGAGTGTTTTGGTTATTATTTTGATGAATCCTCTGCCCGCTAGCTTCTTCTAACAAATAAACTACACTAAACAAATTTGGTCCTTGCATAAATTAATGAGATTGAGTTAAATGAAACCCCAACTCCATCACAAACAAGTACCACTGTTAATTGAATTCAGATATGCAAACTTGTCTTCTTTATGATAATCCATCAGGTCTAGATTCAGCGGGCAACGCTAATCCTTGCATTTATACAGACATTTACAGTGTGCTTCAGAAATATTTGCCATGTAGTCCATACAATTATGCTAACAAAATAGGTAGTATTGATAGTGTTACAAGTATTTAAGAGAGGTCTGAGAGCTTAAACATGGTGCCTAAAGGCAGGGGCCACTAGAATGGTGATAGTGTGCATGTATGTAGAAAGAAAGGAAGGCATGGGGGAAGGAAAATGAAGTCACAAAAGGGAAATTAGAGGAAGAAATATATGGGATCACTGTCAACTTAATTGGTGTGTGTTTTTCCTTTTGAGTTACTTATTAAAAAGGTTTGCATCAATAGGCATTTTAAAGAAAACCATGGATAAATGAAACCTGTCAACTGGCAACTGTAATGTGTACATTACTAAGGCGAGAACCACAGAGCTCGGCGTCTTAAACTCTTCGTTTTAACATATCAAATCATGCCATCTAAGATTAATATTCAAGTTAATTATAACTTAAATCTAAAGAAATACAAAGCAATGGGGAAAATGAAGACAAAAGACTAAGTGTTCTGTTGAATCCTGTAAGTCATACCAATGTGATAAGCAATGTTTTACACTGTTTGGATAAATGAAAGGGATAAAAACATCAACAGACTGTATCTTATGCCTCAGTCTTGCAGGATTCTCTTAAGAAAAAGACTGCCCGAATATTCTTTATAAACCTTAATTTATTGATCTATTTAAATTAGTTCAATAAATTAACTAATTGAGACTAATAAAAGTTTCAAATTGGCAACTTACTATTTGGGACTTTTTCTGCAGTCATTTAGTGTAATTTGAGCTTTCAAAAATTTTTAAGTACAATAGATCAGTGGGGGGAAATGCCTCAAATACATCTTGATAAAGCATGTCTTTAAAAACACATTTTATTGTCAGACAGATGAATTAATATATAGAGATCAAATAAAATAAAAGACTCTATCTGCTAGAGTACTTAATATCTATTAACAATCCACCAAATATTCTACTGTTATTTCCATTTATTAATTTGTTCATTTCACCATAATCATCATGAGATTATGATATAAAAATAGAACCTGTGTTCATCATAAAAGATGACCCACATCTTCAAAATCAAATAAAACACAAGGATGAGACATTTGGGAGGTGACATTTTTTTCAGTGAAGAAACGGTAACAATATAACCAAATAATACCAGAAGTTAGAAGTCTCAAGATAAATAAGTTTTTGACTAAGTGATATTTGGGATTGGCATTAAGAAACTCTGAAAATATTCAACAAACATTCATCAAAGGTCATATATATGTTCAAGGAATTCTGCCTTATAAATATATTAAACATGTGGATGTAATTTTTTAAGCCAAATTTTTAAAAGTTTTATATAGATAGTAACATAATTCATAATTTCTAGTTAATAGCTCCAAGACTCAACACTAGTTAAATGTCTTACTAATGTTCATTACTGGTAAAACCAGAACTTGATTGATTCAAAGCCTTCTGATTCTAGGACGCATAAATTTATCTAGCACATTAAAAAAATGAATTGGCTAAAAATGGGCCAGTTCAGGGTGTCTCAACATATTCTCCAGTTACATATTTCAGTAACCTTTTTACTTCTGATTATAACAGTCTTATTTCTGAGGAAAAAAATAGAAAAAAGCAAAAAGCATAAATAGAAAAATAGAAATCTCGTAAGCCCACCATTAAAAAAAATAATACTGTTAACATCCTTATTAATAACCAAGCTGGATATCCACTGTTTTCGCCTACCAAGTGCCTCTCTTTACTTCAGATAACAGCATCCCACTTCTCGTTTGGGAAACTGATGAATACATGTTGGATGAGTGTCAACAAGACAGCCCGTCTAAAGTTTTCACCTTAATTCATACAAGTGGCAAAAATTACCTAAGTTAAATCAATTGGTCACTTTCTCTACTAGAAATTCTCATTTCAAGAGAAGTTACTTATTATAGCGTGCAAAAAAAAAATGGAGCTGATTTATGCTCAATGATATTGACTAACTTTCAAATTCCTTCTACATAGCTGTTCATAGCTAATTCTTTTAATTCTGTGAACTGTCCTATACATTTCCAATAAAGCTCCTTTTGTTTTTGTATGCATGTTTCTTTTTGATGTACATTTCAGTGGATTTTATTATTTAAATTAAAAACTCTTAGGAAATATAAAATAACATGTTTATTGAAAACCTCTGAAACAGTGGGCATTAATTTTTCTTTTTCCTGTTTACCAATTTGATACCTGAAACATGATATAATAACTTAAATGAACAGTTCATTGATTAACACTGAAGCTGTTAAGAAGCTCTCTGTATTTCTTATTCTTCAAAATTGATTGTTCATATTTTGCTGCTTAATTGATATGTCATTTGCTTATTAGATTTAGAGATATCGCAATTTTTTTCCGTTTAAGATTTGCAAATTTTTTCTCATTTTGTTAATAATTGTAATTGTATTTCTTTTACATTTGTATCAAATTACTACAGTATTAAATCGATAGATATCTCATTTTATCCTTTTTTTTAAAGAAAGGCTCACCTTATCCCCAAATCATATAGTTACCTTGTTTGTTTGGATTCTGTTGTAATTATATATTTAACATTTATTCCTTAATAAATCTGAGTTTCATCTGATATACAGGGAGATAATGATTTGCCCTACCCTTTCACCTATTATCACATCATGCTCATATAATCCACATTTATACAGCTTCACCGAAATGCCAACCTCAACAGAAATTCACTTCTAATATGTATGTAGGTCAGTTTCTTGACCTTTTCATTTGTCTAATCCATCTAATATTATATAAACATTTCATTAAAAAATTTTTTTAGTTATTTTCGAAACTCCCTTGGCTACCCTTGAATATTATTCCTCCAGTTGTACTTCAGGATAATTTTAGAATTCTAATATATATACATATGTATGTGTGTGCATGAAACTAAATTCTGTATCATATTTAACCTTCCCATTTTATTGAAACTTCATGTTCTTTGGCAAATTATTATGGCTTCTGTCACATAAGAATTGGACATCTCTTGTTAAGTCAATTCATATGAATTTTATACTTTGTTGTTATCAATTTTAATTGTACACTCTTGTTTGTTTTTGACAAGAAAACTGAAATTAAATAAAAACAGTACATTTTAAAAGGTGTTATAAAACATGTATTTTTAGTTTAAAGTTTTCAGATTCATAGGTATAAATAAGGGCATAATCATATTTCTTATAGGCAGAAATAACTTTATATGCTTTTCCAATTTTACAGTTATTCCTTTTTCATCTCTTACTAGACAGAAAAACTTTAAGAATCACTAAGTTAAACAAAGTATAAGGGAAGCATCCTTTATTTTGGGGGGTATTTGGTGGGTATGCCTGAAATGCTTTCTCCTTAAGTACTATATTGTCTTAGGTTTGCGTCATATAAAGTATCAATCTATTACTACACTACTAATTATTTTTGTTACTCTATAGTGTTTTTCAGTCAGGAATGGTTAAGAAAGTATATCAAACATATAGTTGGGAGTGACTGTATGAGCATGGCTAATGGCTAACAGGGGTTTCAGAATCACCACCCCACCTCCGGCCCTGATATTTATTCTGAGCGTCAGATTCTGTTTCAGGTGTTTAAAATTATGCTGCTTGGTAAAGGACACTTTTCAGTTTTTCCTCTATTTCTGAATCAATTTTTTTACCATAAAATTGCTTATCTGTTAATAATTTAAAGTGGTTTATCCATTAAGATGACAGCACACTGCATTTTTTTGGAGGTAAAAATGACAACTTTTCAGGGTTTCTTTTCCTAGGTTATCTTGTTTATTAATGTTTTTAAACATGAGTTAATTTATATAATTTGCATTGATAAAAATATTATCCATTTTCCTTAATATTTTTAATCCCTTCAGTATTGATATAACCCCTTCTTATAATGACTATATTTTTGTTTTTCTGTACAAGACGTTTAAACAGTTTATGTACGTCTTGCTTTTAAGTAATAGTTCTTGGATCTATCTAATCTATTTTCTGTTGTTTTCTATTTTTTGTTTCTATTTCTTGATCATTATTTAATCATCTTTTAATTATTTTACTTACTCCAATAGTTTTATTGTCTTTTCTAACTTTTCAAGTTGAACATTACTTCATTTTATTTACAATATGTCATGTGATAACTTTTTTAAGGCTATATATATTTGCCTGAAGATAAAATTTTTGATCCTAACTCACAGATTTTCACACAGTGTTTTTATTTTTGTTATGTTCTTAATAACATATAACTCCAGTTTTCAATGTTATTTCCTATCATAGCAACGAACAGCACACATCCATAAATACAAGCCACCACACAAACACACAGAAACATACACGTAAAAACAGTTTAAAAATCCAAAAGGGCCTAAAACACCCATCTTAGGTCAATCAACTGGAAACACTGGTTTCTCCAACATTTGGAAAAAAAAGTTTATTTTTTTCAAAAGCTGTGTTCTTTATACTCATAATGTGATTTATAGTTTCAAAAAGCACAAGTATTCCAAAACGCACCATTTTTTTTATTATTGGAAAGGACCAAACCATCTGTGTCACAATGGATGTCACATAGAGAGGCATGTGTTCCTACTTTAGATTTCAGGATCTCCTGGGAGAAGTTTCTCCTGGCTCACTGGGATAAGAATTTTTCATAGATCTTTGTAACAAACTGGCCAATGACTAAGAAGTTTACACCAGCAAGATTTGCTTAGTGATAGTCCAATATTAACAGCAAAAATAAATGCAATTTACTTGACTTTTATGCTGTATGTCAAATGTTGGTTGGCAGTGTTTGATTGCCCTAATTATTCAGGAGGATGAAAACTATTTAATATTAATAAACATTTCTGAAATCTCCACAACATTAATAAAAGGAGACCTAGCAACTGGTTTTAAAACCTGCCATCCTGTTGTGATTCATGTTCTTTCCACTGGTATTCCACTGGTCATAGCAATATGTTTGGCCTCACGAGGTGTGCACCACTATACCTGGCTAATTTATTTTTTGTAGAGACAAGGTCCCACTATGTTACTCAGGCTGATCTTGAACTCCTGGGCTCAGTGATCCTGCCGCCTTAACCTCCCAAAGTGCCATTTTTATCTTAAAAAAAAGTTTTATCGTATCAAAAAAAAACTCTCACTTTTTTCTTAATTAGTTTCATTCATCCATTTAATAAATATTTATTACGTGCTTACAATATGTCAGATACACATCCTTAAGAATCCTCCAAAACTCTATAACTCAGGAAAATATCTAAGGGTTACCTAAGAAGTTCTGTTTATCTTTAAATGAAGGACAAAGAGTTTTAAGAAGGAAACGTAATTGCTTGGAAAACATGTTTCTATTCAACCATTTCCCATACAAGCAATTTTCTAAATAATGATCTAATCATACAGTTTACAAAGTATTATAAATGTGCATAAGCCTTTCCTTGACATAATGAGCTACCTATACAGACAGTAGATTAAATGCACACTACAAACTACTCTTAGCATGCCGGATCAGTGAAGAAACCTATTAAAATGCTATTCCTGCTGAGTGACCAAAAGGAACATCAGTTATTTGTTCTCACAGGTGCACAGCTGCATTCTCTGTCAAGAATGCTTCAAGTAACACGCTTTATACTACTTTTACTTCAGATGATTAAAAAGTAGATTGGCAAAGAATCATTAAAAGCTTCAGTAGAAAGAAAACCCAACAGTTCCAGTATCAGTGGAAGGTTTCTTTATGCTTCTTGTCAAGTATGATTCTGTTTGATATATTTTTAATGGCTACAAGAAAAATAATGAAGCAAATTAAAATCAATATAAAATTACAAATCAAGGTACTATTCTAGGGTTGACGGAAAGACAGAGGCAAGAGTATTTCAAATCAAGGGGGAAAAATTCATCATTAACTCAATCTGCAATGCTTTACTTTCTGAAGAGACTATGACTCATTCTTGCTACTACTGCTAGGCAGGACAGGTTGAATCAGGAGTGGGGAAACAGTCTTTAATTAGAAATTCATTGAATTTTGTCAGATCCAATAAGACATTAATGTTATTTCAGGGGGAAAGGTAGGTGTGTTTTTATTCTGTTTGCTTCTGATTCGGATATTTTCATTCCAGGCCACATTCCTTAGCTGTTATTTTTCATTCTTAAAAAATAAAAAAGTCTGGAAAACAGGAGGATAAAGTCAAGGGAGTCTTTTTGTTTATAAATCAAATGTGAAATTTTCAAAACACATCTACTGCTTTGAAAGACAGGTTGAATAGCTATCATTTGAGAGTTAACCGGATTTGTGCACTCAAGCACTGGCAGTAAGACAATTTTTCAGTATTCAAATGCAATCCTTTTATTTCTGTATTATAATAGAAAACAAGTGAGAGCACAGAACGAGTGAGTTTTAGGTAGTGGAGGGTTAAAAGCCTTTCATATACACAGATAATCATGGTAATTTTAGTTAAACTATCAAACAACACCTGAAGTCTCACAGGTGCTCGATATGCCATTGGGGTACAAGTGAAGCCATTTTTAAAAGGGAACAAGTAATGGTGTAGGTTTTAGGTCAAACATTACCTGCAGATGATGGCATAAAACTAAAAATAAGGAGAAAGTGTGATGAGGTAGCATGTGCTGAGGTGAAAAAGTGGGAAGGCGGTCCCTTATGCTGCAAATGTCTCCATAGGCTTTGTAAATCATAGAGGACATCACTTTTAGGGATAGCAAACAACAGACATTCTGCATTGTGACATAAAATAAAGCCATTCTCCCTTGTGCATGCTGTACTGACTGAGAAAAATTTCTCATGCAGATCCCATAGCTCCACAGTGTCAGTCATAGCCAATGTTAGCCTGGGGGACTTTAAAAATGATCAAGGCTAATCTTTTCATTTTATAGAAGAGAAAACTGAAGTTTATAAGAGTAGGAAACTTGAAAAGCACCCAATAAATTAGTTGAGGGCTAAAGCCAAGTCATTTGTCTGTTGCTGTAATACTCTTTCCCCTTATCGTAATGTCTCAATCATGAGAACACAAATTCATCCATCCATCCATCTGGTACCAACAGCTCTAAGACTTAGAAACTACTGCAGTATTTGATTGGAGTCTGATAAAATTTGAACATATTCCACCTGAAAACTAAAATAAGTTGATATAAAAAGAGGTAGGGACATAAACATCACCAGCATACCATAAAGTATTTAATACAAGTAAGCTTTTACTATTTCTATTTCCCACTATTTTACAGATAGGAAATATTTATGTAAGTATCAGTAAACAACATATATGAAAGCAAGCATGCCAGAATTGAGCTGGTCCTGAGACTTTCCACATGTGGAAAACAGAGGTGGCAAATGGTTTCTCTTTGATTCCATGTGCTCATTAGACATAACTTGCTTGTTCCACAAACTATGTCTAATGTATTTTTTAAAAACTCTATTAGTTGTCAACATTAAAATATTGAAGTGTTCCAAAAACTTAAAAATTCTGATTTCCACTCATATATTAAAAGACCAAGCATCACTGGGACTCCATTCTGAAATGGCAACAATTACCTAAACAGGGTATAATACATCTGTCATTTCCCTGCCATGTGAAGGCCTGGACTGCAGGGATGTTGATGGAAATGGGGAAGAAACAAGAGTCGCAAACAAAAAGAAATAAGTCATATAAAAAACAAGTAGGAAACACAGGCATCAATATTACTTTGTAATTATAGCAAATATAAATATATTAAGCGCTGTAATTAAAAGGTAGATATTTATACACTGGCTTTTAAAAAACACATGATCTAACTATATATTGTCTACAACTGAAATATTTTAGGTTCAAAGACAAAAACAGGCTGAAAGTTAAAAGACAGAAAAGGACATATGCAAACAGTAACCAAAAAAAGAGCTGGAACAGCATTACTAATATCACACTTCAATACTTTAAGCCAAAAATTTTAGTACAGATGAACAGATTTTATAATGAGAAAAGGGTCAATCTGCCAGTAAAAAATAATACCTATAAACTTACACGCACCTAAAAAACAAAGACTCAAAATAGAGGAAGGGAAACTGATAGAAATGAAAGAAGAAATAGAAAATTCAACAATAATAGTTGAAAAGCTTCAAAATCCTTCTTTAAATAGTGGAAAGAAAATCAGACAGAAGATCAAAAAGGATCCAGAAGATTTAACACCATAAACAAACTAGACCAGCAAACAGGTATAGAACACTCCACTCCAAACAGTAGAATACACATTCTTCTTAAGTGCATTGAAAACATTTTTCAACTTAGACTGTAAAAGATCTACAGACTATATTTTATATACATTTTTCCTACATTTTAGAGATATTGAAATATTAACGGTTTTATAAATAATATAAAAAATGATACAACAAACTTCAATGAGTTTAAAAGGAATAAAATCATAAAACGTTCTCTGACCACAATAAAATTAAATTAGCAATCAAAACTAAAAGCAAATTTGGGAAATTTGTAAATATGTGGAAAATAAATAACTTATCCATAAATAACCAAGGGGTCAAGAAAAAAATCAAAAGGGAAATTACTTTCAGACTTTGAGATGCATGAAAATGATAACAGAATATGCCAAAACTTAAAAGATGAAGCTAAAGCTGTGCTTCAAAGAAAATGTAAAGCTTTGAATGCGTATATTTAAAAAGAATAAAAATTTAAAATCAATAACTTAACTTTCCACCTTGAAACCCTGGAAAAGAAGAGCAACAGAAGGGAGAAAATAATAAAGACTGGAGTAAAATATAAAGGGAATTGCAAACAAAAAACAACAGAAAAAAATCAATGGAACAAAAATTGGGTCTTAGAAAATGTAAATAAAATTGACACAACTTTAGCTAGACTGACAAAACAATTGAGAAAATTCAAAATCCTAAAATTGAGAATAAAAGGGGGGATAACAACAGAATTTACAGATATTTTAATAAAAAGGATTATAAGGCAATTACTATAAACCACTACGTTATCAACAAATTAGATAATTTAGACAAAAATAGAAAAATTCCTAGAAAGACAAAAACTACTGAAATTTATTCAAGAAGAAACAGAAAATCTGAATAACCCTGTGTCAAGGAAAGTAAATAAATTAGTAATCAAGAAACTTCTCATAAAAAAGTCCATGAGCAGAAGGCTTCACCGGTACATTCCACAAAATGTTTATTGAAATTCTTCAAAAACTAGAAGACAAAGAAACACTTCCAGGCTCATTACATAAGCCCATTATTACCATGATACCCAAACCAGACAAGAACATCATAAGAAAGCTACAAATTAATACTCCTTATGAAGATAGACACAAAAATTTTCAAGAAACCAAATCTAGCAACAGATAAAAAGAATTATGACCACAACAGATTATTCAAGTAAAGCAATGATATAGACCAGATTATTCAAGTAAAGCAAGATTAATTCAACATATAAAAATCAATCAATGTAGCACACCATATTAATACAATAAAGAACAAAAGCCACATGATCATTTGATACATGCATAAAAAGTATTTAAAAAATGCAACACTCTTCCATGATAAAAAAACACTCAAGGAACTAGAAAGGAAAATCCTTGGAAGGAAGATCCTAAACCTAAAAAAGGGCACCTGCAGAAATGGGCATCTCACAGCTAACATCATACTTATCAGTAAAAGATGAAAGCTTTTCCCGTGAGATCAAAAAGAAGACAAGAATGGTTGTCTTGCTATTTTTTTTTTTTTTTTTGAGATGGAGTCTTGCTCTGTCGCCCAGGCTAGAGTGCAGTGGCACAATCTCGGCCCACTGCAAGCTCCGCCTCCCGGGTTCACGCCATTCTCCTGCCCCAGCCTCCCCAGTAGCTGGGACTACAGGCGCCCGCCACCACGCCCGGCTACATTTTTGTATTTTTAGTAGAGACGGGGTTTCACCGTGTTAGCCAGGATGGTCTTCATCTCCTGACCTTGTGGTCTGCCCGCCTCAGCCTCCCAAAGTGCTGGGATTACAGGCGTGAGCCACTGCGCCCGGCCTTGCTATTTCAATTCAATTGTAGTGGAGGTCCTAACTAGGACAATTAGGAAAAATAAAATAAAATAAAATGTGCCTAGATTGGAAGGAATGAACAAAACTATCTCAATTTCTTCTACATAGAAAATCCTATGGAATCCACAGAAAATTTTAGATTTAATAAACAAGTTCAAGCAAAATTCTAGGATACAAGTTCAATATATAAATATAAGTTTTATTTCTATACACTAGCAATGAGCAATTCAAACATGAAATAAAAAAATTTCATTTAAAATATCAAAAATAATAAAATACTTAGGAACAAATTTAATAAAATCAGTATATTAAAGATGTGTACACTGAAAACTAGACAACATCATTGAAAGAAATTTTAAAAAGACCTAAATAAATGGGAAGACATCCCGTGTTCATGGAATGGAATATTTACTAGTGTTAAGATTGCAATACCTCCAAATTGATTTACAGATTCTATGTAATCCTTGTAAAAGTTTAAGGTTGTTGTATTGCAGAAATTATAAAGATGGTCCTTATATTCATATGGAAATTCAAGACGCTCCAAGTAACTGAAACATCCTGAAAAAAAACAATGTCTGACGACTTAGACTACATAGCCAAAATATATCCAGAATATATCAAGAACTCTTATAATTAAATATTGAAAAAAGACCCAGTTAAAAAATAGACAAAAATTTGAACAGACATTTATCCAAAGATGATACACAACTGTCCAACAAGTACATGAAAGATGCTCAAATCATTAGCAATTAGAGACATGCAAATCAAATCCACAATGAGAAACACTTTCCATTCACTTAGATGACTATAGTTAAAAAACAAGCAACCACAAATCTAGCAACATATAGAGCTGACAAGAATGGGAAGAAATAAAAACCCTCATGCATTGTTGCTGAGAATGTAAAATGATGCAAACACTTTGGTAAACAGTTTCATTTATCACTCTTCAAAAAGTTCATCATAGCTTTACCATATGACCCAGCAATTCCACTCCTAGGACATCTAAGCAAAATAAAAGCATATTCCACACAAAACCTTGTACACAATATTCAAAGCAACATTATTTATAATTACAAAAAATAAAAACAACCCCAAAGTCCATCAAATGATGAATGAATAAACAAAATGTTGTATATCCATAGAATCAAATATAACTCAGCCATAAAAATAAGTGAAGTACTGATACATGCTATAACATGGATTAATTTTAAAACGTCATGCTAACTGAAAGAAGTCAGACACAAAACTCTACATATAATGTTACTCTATTTGTGTTACACTTCTTGAACAGGCAAATCTATACAGGCAGATTGTACATTGGTGGTTGTTAGGAGTTGATGGACAGGTAAATATGGAGTGGCTGCTAATGGGTCCTGGGTTTCCTTTGGTTTTGAAAATATTATGGAATTTAATAATGATAATGGCTGCACAATCTGAGAATATACTACAAACCACTGACTTGCGTACTTTAAAAAGGTTATGTTTATCATACATGAATATCTCATTTAGAAAAAAAGAAGATTCACAAAAATAATTTCATCAAAGTATAGTATATGAATTGGTCAACATAAAGAGAAAGTACTATTCAAGAAGAATCTAAGATTTGGAAACTATATCATTGGTATATAAGAAAGGATAAGTTAAATTTAGCAACTAATAAAGTACATTACTTAGAAATTCAGCAATAGGTTGATTCAGAATATTAAGCAAATAAACACAATAAAAGGTCATGATCAACCAAAAAAACAATAAATAAAATAATTCTCAGAGACTTGCCTGAAACAAGTGTGCTGTGAAATACTTTTCAATGAATTCATTTATAGGAACAATTAACCCTCTCAGTTGTCACATATGTCTCCTTTCTTTGAACTGAGGGCATTCTCTAATAGGTAAGAAAGCTACTTACTGCCATGCTAGGCTGACAGCTGCCCAGGCCAGAGTAGAATCAGAAATTTCTAGCACCAATAACTGTGGGAACTACATGATCATTCATACAGCGATTTTTCAAGTGTCAACATTTGAAAACAATTGATAGCTCTGAGCATAAAATGAATATAAAGGTCATAGCAGCACCAGGGAAATGGACCTATAAGTGAATTCTGCTTGCCATAGGAAGTGAAAAATCACTTTTTAACACCCTTATTATTATTCTAATCATTTTAGAATCTCAGTTTTGCCCTTATTAGTGGCTTATGAATAAATAAATAAATAACTGCATAATTTCCCCGTTGGCCAAATCACTTTGAAAAAATAACACATTTGATGTTTTCAAAAGATACAATCTTACCAGATTATTACAAAGACAATGGTCCCAAGCCACATACATTACAATGGAGACATAAATTACAATGGAAAAAGCTCCATTGTAATTTATGTCTCCATTGTAATGTATGTGGCTTAGAGAAAGCTCCTTCTGTTTATCTGCTTCTGTTGAGCAAACAAACTGGGAATATGCTGTATTTCTGACACATTATTGTTGGGTCAGTTCACACAATGTGATAAAGCCAACTCCTCGCCTTTATTATTTTCCTAATTACCAAGGCCAACAGTGTTTCATCTAAATTATGTTGTGAACTCAAGCGAAAAGATGTTAAGTGTCTTCCTCATAAGTGATATAACACCCCTTTCCTCCCTTTGGTCTGTCTTTAATCATAATCAATGTCAAGGATCATGTAAAATTTTTAAAAGTACTAATAGAATCTGGCCCTAAATATGTTTCATAGAATGTAAATGGTGTAGATTAATAATCCAACTAATATTTTCCACTGTGATGTTTATAACGTGTAATTAATTTCATTCTTAAGTATACAAATATACCTTATGACAGAAGATTGAGCATTGTAACTAAGCTACATGATTATTACATAAGGCATTCAATAACAAATTTAATTTGATATGAAGGATAAAGTTAATAAGCATATAAATCTAAACTTGAAAAGAAAATATATTGTAAAAGAAATTATCTACTTACATATTGGCTTCTAACTTCCCATTACAATGTAATGAACAAGTAATTTCACCAAATGATCCTTAATACTACTACTTCGAATAACCCATCAAAAGATAGATGGACTGAATTTCACTGTGCATCTTACCTACTTATATGTAACCTAGATTTACAGGAAATCTAAATAACACTCAACCAAAGATGCCATAATCTAATTCCTATTGAAAATGAAAAATCCAAAGGTGATAATCTATTGTGACACAAAATATACCGTTTACACAGTATTCTGAGGATACAATCAGCTCTAAATACCTGCAGACAGAGGGAAAGTCGCTGTGCTCCTACCCAGATTTGCTTGCTTTATTATACCTCTCTGAGGATCTCAGCTAGGCAGAATCAGAGGCGCCTGTGGGACTCAGAAACCATAAACTTGGAGCTGTCCTCTGCGGTAGTGCTGAAAGAGAACTAGCAGCGCTGAACAACGGAGCTGCTGAAATTGCAAGGTATGAGAGACCTGCTATAGTAGTAATTTAATCCAAAGTCATGAGAAAGACAGATAACAGACAGCTGTGGTCAAATGAGCATTGATTAATATCCATCATCTAATGAATAAATAAATAAAATGTGGTATATCCATACAATGTAATATTTTTCTGCAATAAAAAGAAATTGATACATGCTATAACCTGGTGAACCTTAAAAACCAATAGACTAAGTGAAATAAGTCAGTCATAAAGAACCACATATCGCCTGCTTCCATTTAATGAAATGTCGGGACAGAAAGTGGATTAGTGGTTGTCCAGAGCTGGGTTGGGGAGTGAATAGGGGAAACGAGTGGAAGCAATTTTGGGGGGCAGGGGTGATAAAAACATTCTAAAATTGATTGTAATGATGAATTAGTATTATAATTATTATTCACTCTGAATATACTAAATTGTACACTTTAAAAAAGTAAACTATATGGTATATAAATTTCATCTCAATAAAGCTGTATTATTTTAAAACAAGTGCACAGATTTACGCCATGGCTCTATGTCTTAGGAAATCTGGAATGATTGAAAAGTTACCTAACTTTTCTAAGTGCCAGCACCTTATCTGAAAACAGATGTTAACAGTATCTATACTTCATACTCTTGAAGACTATATCATCATTATATATGTAAACTGTGAAGGACAATGTCTCACACAATAAATATAAGCTGTTATGGGTAAACAAAGCAGCTTCTTCCAGGGTGGCTCCACCATTATACAAAACATATTGAATCCACAAAAGGGCACCTCATGGTTTTTGAAATTTCATTCACATATTTATTCACAAGTATTAATGAAGCACATACAGTGTGCTTGGCATTGCTAGGTACAAATAAAACATAAGATTGACTAATAAACTTATGGATGAGACATCCCAACATATCATTAGATGTTCTTCCACATGGGACAAAGTGATCAATATCACCTTAGCATCTAAAGTGGGCAGAAATGGTGAGTTGTTTGTCCTTCATGCATTTCCAATGATAAAATAGTTGGAGGTGGAGGAATCCTAGGTAGAGGTAGAAGTTAATTATTACTATCTGGCTCACAGATTTTCAGGCGGGAGCATTAATTTGAGAAAATATTATTGCATTTCAAAATTAAATATTTCAACGACTTTAGTTAATATATACCAGTTAGCTCACGTTAAGATTATCCCACAACATATATTTGTTTCAAATTACATAACCAACGTAGAGCCAAACAATTCTAAGATGTCTGTTTGTTTGTTTTTTGAGATGGAGTCTCGCTCTGTCACCCAGGCTGGAGTGCAGTGGCACGATCTCAGCTCACTGTAAACTCCACCTCCTGGGTTCAAGTGATTCTCCTGCCTCAGCCTCCTCAGTAGCTGAGATTACAGGTGTGCACCACCATGCCGGCTAAGTTTTGTATTTTTAGTGGAGACATGGTTTCCCCATGTTGGCCAGGCTGGTCTCAAATTCCTGACCTCATGAACCACCCGCCTCAGCCTCCCTTAGTGCTGGGATTACAGGCATGAGCCACTGTGCCCAGCCCAATTCTAAGTTTTATAAAGTCAAAGTTAATAGTGCCTTCCTTCACCCTGCCTACCTCATAAAATTTCTGCCACAAAAAAATATAAATGGGTTTAAGATCAGTTCCAATTTAGACAGAATTGTACACAAACACACACACACGTGCACATGCACATACACACGTATGATTAATAACTAGTGGCTCCAATTGTATCCCTCTCATCAATTTCAGACTTTCAGGCTATATGCTTGATGTTATTGCTGATTTCTCTCACGTAAATTGCTAATCTGTGGAAATACTTAAATTCAGTTATTATTATATTAAGTAGAGTTTATTTATTTGTTTTAAAGACAGGGGAAGCCAGTCTGAATACCTTATGGAGACTTCTCTGTCCGAAGTGGATTCGGTCTGAAGTCTGATGAGTGCTCTACTAGAGTGGGCATCTGAGTCAGTTAAACTCAGACTTCACACTGCTGTTCAAATGACTCTGTATTATTCCCCAAGTTACTTGCCTCCTTTTGCTGTGATTATGATTTCTGTTCAAGGCTGATAATCAAATTTCTTACAAATCAAAAGGAATAAAACATATGGTGAAGCTGTTAAAAACCAGCTATCAACAAAAAAGATCAGGGCCTCTGGTATGAAAAAGAACAAGAATTCTGTGGTCTGGGAACAGATTTATTCTTGATATAGAGCAGAACCATTTACAGCTACAAATTTTTTTTAACTAGTAGTAAAGCGTATTACAAGCTTTCTTAATTCAATTTCCTCTGGCATTTATTGTGTTTAATAAAATACCTAAATGTCAACCAGATTTATAAAAATGTATTCATAGTTTAATAAATGGTTAAGATAGATTATTCATGAAGAAATATAATGCAGACCATAAAGATATAAATTAATATGGATTTTTGTTTTCCTCCCCATCACAGAAGTAATTAGCGTGTGCTAACAAAGTTTTTTCTTCTACAGTAATGGATACTAACAGTGCATCTGTGATGTGTTTGAGATTGTATCATTATTATTGTACAGCTATTGTTCAGTACCAGAACATCTGGCGGATTGAGATATTTCAGTCTGCAATGGATTCAAAGAAGGATCAAGGACATAGCAAGGATGGCTTAATACAAATCCGGATTTAAAGAGTAATAACAGCAATATTTTCAAAAGGATCATTTACTAAGCTGTCACTTCCTGCAGGTAAATCAAGTTCCTATCTGGAAGCCACCAAATGGACACGCCTTCATGCTATTTTCCAGGTTTCTCTGATTAAAGATTTTATTAAAAATAAAGAAGGATCGGCCAGGCACGGTGGCTCACACCTGTAATCCCAGCACTTTGGGAGGCCGAGGTGGGTGGATCACAAGGTCTGTTGATGGAGACCATCCTGGCCAACATGGTGAAACCCCATCTCTACGAAAATACAAAAAATTAGATGGCATGGTGGCGCGCGCCTGTGATCCCAGCTACTCGAGAGGCTGAGGCAGGGAAATCGCTTGAACCCGGGAGGCAGAGGTTGCAGTGAGCCGAGACTGTGCCACTGCACTCCAGCCTGGAGACAGAGCAAGACTCCATCTCAAAAAAAAAAAAAAAAAAAAAAAAAAAAAAGACGGTCACTGTGTAAATAAACTCATCCCTTTTGATGGGGCTAAATGGAAAGAGCAAGGACTCATAAATGAGACTGTTAACTATTTTAGCTCAAAACAAACATCCACCTGTGGCTGTAATTTTCAATGTCTTTGGTTTTAAGGAAAAAGTATTGCTTAAGATAAAACATGCAAAGCTTTCCCAACAATTCTCCCCTCTATTTTGAGAACGTTACACATACAAATCTACCCTGAACTTTCAGGACATTATGCAAATGTATTTATTAAATTGCCAGTTGAAATAATTAAAAATAGATTTTTAAAAGTCAACACATGTGAAATGATAGAAAATGAGCTAAATCCTAAGAAAAGTTATTCAATTCACTCTGTCTAACATTCTTGTTCAAAATGTCTCAGTAATATAAAATAACTCTGCTCTTGTTTGCAGGGGCTATAAATAATCTATCTCAAGTAAGCATACCACTATTCAGTAATAGAGTCAGTTTTTCAAATCACTTCATTATCTTCATCTGAAGAGACTGACCTAGATCATAAGCTGTTATGGGACTTACCTTCTCTGATTTATTTCAAGTAGTCATTAGTGGAACGCTAAATAAAATATGACCCTGACAAACAATTTGATGTAATAAAATAAGATAAATTCATATTTTAATGCGGTAAACGCTATTTATATTTAAACTTGAGTAAAATTTATAAACATATTTACTATTATGTTTTAGATAAATAATTATACTGTATGTGGGAGATTCCTATTAAAACTTCCATGCAATTTATTTTGAGGAGAATATAACACTGATTTCAAAACTACATAAATGATTTAATCATGTAAATCAAGTTTTTAAACACAAATTTCATGAAATATTCTGTTGTGTACACACGTTAAATTTCTACATCTACTGTAGCTTACCTGATTTTTATGATCATTATGAATGTTAACCCTAAAATAAACATACTTAATAAATAAAATAGAAATTAAGCATCAGATTATGGCATAAAAATAATATAAAATTATAGGGAAAAGTCTTCAATAATATGAGCTTGAGAGGCAGACAGTGTGATATAATGGACTTTGAAGATTCAGAAGAAAGAGGGTGGGGGTATGGGATAGAAAATTACATATTAGGTACAACGTACACTACTCGGGTGACGGGTCCACTACAATCTCAAAATTCACAACTATATAATTCATCCATGTCACCAAAAAACACTCGTACCCCAAATAAAAAATAATGAGTTTGTTTTCATTAGCATCCAGTAAAATAAAAGATTCATTTAATAAAAACATTCCCCAAATGTTGCAACTCTTCACAAATAATCCAAATTTTATAATGTGTTTTGTTAATCTGCTCAAGTGTTTAATTTTCTGAACAATAATGCTGGATTAATTCTCTTATCATTTATTTGTTCCTTAGCTGTATAAAGATTTCCTGTCCATTTTCAATTTCACTGGATATTAGCACAGTTACTTGTCTGTGTACAAGTCAGAATGCTGTTTAATCTCAGCCACTGAAACAATACTGAGGTCAGAAGCTAAAAACCCCCCGACAGGTGAAATTTGACAAAAATAGAAGTGACTTTGAAGAAATGGCTAAAAGAAGATTATCAAAATTTTATGAACAAGATGCTTTAATGTCTAATCATTTCAATACAAATTCTCATATACCAAGTGTTTCACATGTTACAAAGCCTTCTCCCATATATGCATTAATTTACTCCTCACAAAAACTATCATGGCCATACAGGTAATAGGTTAATTTTAAAACAATACTCATTCCATGCTTAATCTACACATATATGCCACGTAATTTCTTTGCTGCCACTTGTAGTCTTCAGGAATAACATTCACTAAGTAAACTATAGAATATATATTTCATACACAATACTTTTTTGGTTGAAATGTAGCTATATGATTTTTCCTCCACATATGTGGCATTAGATTTTTAATATGAATGTACCAAAGATGGAAATTCATTCTCTATTAAATTGTATGAGAGAAAAGGAGAGATATATGGACGGAGAGACTAAGAAAGAGGCAAGAGTCGGGGGACAGAAGAAAGAAATTTTCAAATTCCATTTTTTTCAAGGGCATTTTGATATACACAGAATGCAATTGGGAAACTATTTTCTGAAAATTCAAGGTTTAATTAGATAATTTGATAAGTAGAGCAAAAGATGAGGTAGTGTGTGTTTAAAAATTAATATACTAATTCTGACTAATTACAACTACAAGAACAAAAGCCAGGTGTGAAAATAAGCCTGTTAAATTTCAAGAAAAAAGTTAAGGCTAGATTTTAATTCGACTGACAAGACGACAAGAACCTTAAAGGAGGAGGTTAAAATTATACATTTGTAATTATTTTTAAACATAAAATGAGATATATTTTTAAAGGTGATTTGCTACTAATTACATTCTTAATTAAATGCCTTCATTTATCAACCTAATTGTTCATTCAACCAACATCTACCTAGTGTTCACTTTGTGCCAAGCACTCTTCCAGCTGCTAAGTATTCTTCACTTAACATAACAGATGACCAGGCACGCTGGCTCACACCTGAAAACCCAACCCTTTGGGAGGCCAAGGCAGGCAGGATGCTAGAGCTCAGGAGTTCGACACTAGCCTGGGCAACATAGTGAAACCCTGTCTCTAGCAAAACCTATAAGAATTAGCCAGGTGTGGTGGCATGTGCCTCTGGTCCCAGCTACTCAGGAGGCTGAGATGGGAGGACTGCTTGAGCCCAAGGAGGTGGAGGCTGCAGTGAGCTGTGATTGTGCCACTGCACTCCAGCTTGGGTGACAGAGTGAGACTCTGTCTCAGACAAAACAAAAGAAAACAAAACAAAACAAACAAACAAAACACACAAAAACAAGCAAACCAAAACACATAACAATCAAAAACCTCTGGTCGCATGAAGCTCAAATTTATTTGTAGGTAGACGGAAAATAAAAATAACAAGTAAGAAAAATATACAGTATTTTATAAGTCTAAAATGCGTGGGGATTAAATGGGCAGGGTGAAATCAGACAGACGATGTATGGGATTTGCTATTTTATATAGGCAGGTCAGCATAGGCAGCACTGAGGAGATGGAATCTGATTTATCTTATCTCACTGTTTTCAAAAGCAACAACATAACCTCTTAACACAATCTTAAATCAATTCTGTAATTTTTAATGTAATTGTTAAAGCATCAGAATGTTTAACATCATTTGGAAATATTCAACAGTATGATGTATACAGATGATTTCCTTCTGATGAAAATTTTAAAATAAAACTAAAACCAAATCTGTCCTGCATTCCTTTTAGATGTAAATTACGAAGCTTTCTGTGCATTCTCATAGTTGCAAATAATGTAAGTTATTTGATACCACACATCAAATCTGGAAAAATCTCAGTAATAAACTGATTGAAAGACATTACGGTTGACATTTAAAGTACCCAAACTGAATTTATATTGCAGAATAAATTCAGATTTTGACAATAGACTTCTTAGGTAGTCAGAATACCCCAGTTCATCCAAATTGAAAATAATGCCTATGATCAAAGGCCTGAAGAAAGACTTTTTGAAATTGTTTCCATTCCTCTATCCAGACTTCTTTAATGTCACCTAGTTCTTTTCAGAAGAAAATAGAAATAACATGGTTTAAAATAATTCAATAGAACTTTTAGAATACTACATTGAAGATCTTTCAAGAACATCTGAAAGGTGAGTTTTCTGTTACAATCCAATTTTCTACCTCATTGGAATTATAGTTTTTTGTTGTTTTTTTTTTTCAGAGCAAAGGGTGATAACATAACCTAAACAAACACCTGTTGCATATAGTACATGTCACCTGCAATATCTGTGGACCATTTTATTCTTCTTGTGCCCTTTTGTTCTATACAATATCAAAGTTAGTGTTGCTCTTTGTATTTGCCTAAACTTTGTCATGGTGGGTTGGTAACATTTGTATCTACGCACCCTGAGACAAATCATTCTTCCCAGGAATAACCATTTAAGCTTGGTCTCCTCCAGTTAGTACTCAAATAGTTATTACTTGTCAATTATGGTATATTACAGTGACATCCTCTTTTTTTCTAACAAACTTCAATGTTCTTTAGTAACTTCCACTGAAATAATTAAATTGCTTCAAAGAGAATAAAATACCTAGGAATCCAACTTACAAGGGATGTAAAGGACCTCTTCAAGGAGAACTACAAACCACTGCTCAATGAAATAAAAGAGATACAAACAAATGGAAGAACATTCCATGCTCATGGGTAGGAAGAATCAATATCATGAAAATGGCCATACTGCCCAAGGTAATTTATAGATTCAACGCCATCCCCATCAAGCTACCAATGACTTTCTTCACAGAACTGGAAAAAACTACTTTAAAGTTCATATGGAACCAAAAAAGAGCCCGCATCGCCAAGTCAATCCTAAGCCAAAAGAACAAAGTTGGAGGCATCACGCTACCTGACTTCAAACTATACTACAAGGCTACAGTAACCAGAACAGCATGGTACTGGTACCAAAACAGAGATATAGATCAATGGAACAGAACAGAGCCCTCAGAAATAATGCTGCATATCTACAACTATCTGATCTTTGACAAACCTGATAAAAACAAGAAATGCGGAAAGGATTCCCTATTTAATAAATGGTGCTGGGAAAACTGGCTAGTCATATGTAGAAAGCTGAAACTGGATCCCTTCCTTACACCTTATTCAAAAATTAATTCAAGATGGATTAAAGACTCACATGTTAGACCTAAAAACATAAAAACCCTAGAAAAAAACCTAGGCAATACGATTCAGGACATAGGCATGGGCAAGGACTTCATGTCTAAAACACCAAAAGCAATGGCAACAAAAGACAAAACTGACAAATGGGATCTAATTAAACTAAAGACCTCTGCACAGTAAAAGAAACCACCATCAGAGTGAACAGGCAACCTATAGAATGGGAGAAAATTTTCGCAACCTACTCATCTGACAAAGGACTAATATCCAGAATCTAGAATAAACTAAAACAAATTTACAAGAAAAAAACAAACAACCCCATCAAAAAGTGGGCGAAGGATATGAACAGACATTTCTCAAAAGAAGACATTCATGCAGCCAAAAAACACATGAAAAAATGCTCATCACCACTGGATATCAGAGAAATGCAAATCAAAACCACAATGAGATACCATCTCACACCAGTTACAATGGCGATCATTCAAAAGTCAGGAAACAACAGGTGCTGGAGAGGATGTGGAGAAATAGGAACACTTTTACACTGTTGGTGGGACTGTAAACTAGTTCAACCATTGTGGAAGTCAGTGTGGCGATTCCTCAGGGATCTAGAACTAGAAATACCATTTCACCCAGCCATCCCATTACTGGGTATATACCCAAAGGATTACAAATCATGCTGCTATAAAGACACAAGCCCATGTATGTTTATTGCAGCACTATTCACAATAGCAAAGACTTGGAACCAAACCAAATGTCCATCAATGATAGACTGGATTAAGAAAATGTGGCACATATACACCATGGAATACTATGCAGCCATAAAAAATGATGAGTTCATGTCCTTTGTAGGGACATGGATGAAATTGGAAACCATCATTCTCAGCAAACTATCACAAGGACAAAAAACTGAACACCGCATGTTCTCACTCACAGGTGGGAATTGAACAATGAGAACACGTGGACACAGGAAGGGGAACATCACACACCGGGGACTGTTGTGGGGTTGGGGGAGAGGGGAGGGATAGCATTAGGAGATATACCTAATGCTAAATGACGAGTTAATGGGTGCAGCACACCAACATGGCACATGTATACATAGGTAACAAACCTGCACGTTGTGCACATGTACCCTAAAACTTAAAGTATATTAATAATTAAAAAAAGAAAGAATTAGAGACAGCCTATTCTTTTTTGTTGTTGTTGTTGTTTTTGAAACAGGTCTCACTGTCACCCAGGCTGTGGTGCAGTGGCACGATCTCGGCTCACTGCAACATCTGCCTCCCAGGCTCAAGCGATCCTCCCATCTCAGCCTGTCGAGTAGCTTGGATTACAGGTGTCTGCCACCATGCCCAGCAATTTTTGTATGCTTTTGCAGAGACTGGGTTTCGCCATGTTGTCCAGGCTGGACTCAAACTTCACAGCTCGAGTGATCCACCAGCTTTGGCCTCCCAGAGTGCTGGGATTACAGGCGTGAGCCACCGCACCTACCCCAGAGACAGCCTATTCTTAACAAGCTCTTGAGTGAGGTATTCAGTAAAAAAAAAAAAAAAGTCACAACTCTTCTGCCTTTCCTTTGCAATGTAACTTGGCAGCTCCTGACATCAATAGGTTTTGTCTGTTTCTCAGGTCCCTAAATCTTATGATTTACACTAGGAATAAAACATGGTGGAAGCAACACTGCACAAGAGCTAAGGCTGGGCCTCCAGAGACCTTGCTTCTGCTCTTTGCTCTTTACAGTTTGGCCTGCCTCACCACCATGGGAACAAGCTAGGGAAAGCTGGCTGGCTGATAAGATGTATGGTTCAAATGCTTCCACTAACTGAAGCAACTCAACTGCTAGAAACAGAGCTGACCATCCATGCATTCAAGACCAGGGTAAACATCAGCAGAGCCCAGTCAAAACTGCTGACCTCCAGAATTGTACACTAAATTAGTGGCCAATGATTTAGGCCACTGAGTTTTGGGGTTTGTGACACAGCAAGAGATAATTGACACAAACCCAATACCAAGAGAACTGCCTACACTTAAAAAAAAAGTTTCAACTTTTATTTTGGAGAATATTTAGGTAAACTGGATTGCTGGATTAAAATTAATATTCTATCAATATGCTAAAATGAAAACATTTAAATAAATTGCTACTTTAAAGAGATATACTCGTAAGAAAGATATAAAGTAATAACAGCACCCTGTTAGTAATAATAACAGCCAACACATTTATCTTGTTTATTATGTGCCAAGAAACCTATTGACTCATTTAGTATCACAAAATCTTATGAAACAGGTGCTGCATTATTCCCATTGTATAGATGAGGAAACTGAGACACAGGGAAATTAAGTAACTTGCCTAAAGTCATTAGTTAGTAAGTGGTAAAGCCAGGATTTGAACACAGGCAATAAATACTATGCCATTCTGCCTCTCAATAATACTAACAATGATGAAAAAACAATATATTGCCTTTACTCACAATAATAGTTAACATTTTATATAAAGTGATTACTATGTGTCTGGCACTGTGCTAAATTTATCTCATTTACTCTTCAGGGTCACAGTATAAGATAGTACTACTAATATTCCCGTTTTTCCATGAATAGCAAAGGCACAGGGAGACAAAGTAATTGCTGCTTTTTGTACAAAAATATGTTTGAAAAATGCACAATTTACACATACTTCTCTTAAAATTAGGTATCTGCAATCAACAGTCCTCAAGAACTCTTGTTAAACCACAGTGCAATAGCACTATACACCCACAAGAATCGTGAAGGTCAAAAGAATAACAATACGCATGTTAGTGGGAATGTGGACACAAATGAAACCTCCATGCATTGTTGGTAACAGTGTAAATGTGACAATCACTTTGAAGAAGAGCTTGGCAGTTTCTAATGAATATGTGCATATACTTAACCTATCATTCAGCAGTTTTACTCCTATAGAAATGAGTGCATATGTCCACAACAAGACTTGCAGCAGATATTCATAACTGTTTTATTTATAGTAGTCCCAAACTGGGAACATCCAAAATGTCCATCAACAAAAGAATGGAATAAATTGTGATATATTCATCTGTAGAATACTATCTGGAATTGAAAAAGATCACACTACTGATAGATAGAATAATATGTATGAATATTAAAATGTTGAGCAAAAGAAGGCAAAGAAGAGTATATACTATATGCTTCTATTTATAAGAAATTCTAGACCAAGTAAAAATACTCTAAGGGATAAAAAGTCAGAAAAGTGGTAACCTGGGGTACAGTGGAGACTACTACCTAAAAGGGACATAAAAGAACTTTGGAAAATTATGAAGATATACTATATCTTTATCTGAGTAGTAGTTAATGGCTGTCAAAAAGTTAACACATTGTACACTTCAGATATGAGCATTTTATTGCATACAAATAATCCTGAAAAATTCAATAAAACAAAGCAAAACAAAGTTGTCATATTCAACTTATTCAAGTTAACAAATATCAGTGGGGTACCTAATACATGTTTGGTACTGTGTTTCAATAAATCCTAAGTGACAATTATTCACTAAGAGATAGAAGAAAAGCCAATGCCCTTGTGAAGTTCATTCTGTTGTGCAAGAGACAAGCTTATAAATATAACACTATTAGAGAAGAATCCAGAAGAAAAATAATCTGTTGCCAAAATGTGTGGGACAGATAAGTGCCGTAGAAGTGACAATACAAGTACCACTTTTTACAAATGAGACAGGGAATGGGCATGAGACATTTTAACGGTTAATTATGTGATGGATTAATATTTTACTTACTGTAAAAAATGGCATTAAAATATTATAGTTCGCCAGGCGCGGTGGCTCACGCCTGTAATCCCAGCACTTTGGGAGGCTGAGGCGGGTGGATCACCTGAGGTCAGGAGTTCGAGACCAGCCTGACCAATATGGTGAAACCCCATCTCCACTAATAACACAAAAAAATTAGTCATGCATGGTAGCGAATGCCTGTAATCCCAGCTACTCGGGAGGCAGAGGCAGGAAAATCTCTTCAACCTGGGAGGCGGAGGTTGCAGTGAGCCAAGATCCTGCCATCGCCCTCTAGCCTGCACAACAGAGCGAGACTCTATCTCAAAAAAAGTTAATAAATAAAATAAAATAAAATAAAATATTATAGTTCAAAACAAATCAACACAAATAAGCCACTTAAAACTCAGAAGAATTTTAGGGATCCCCAAATACTTTATCATAAGGACTTCAGTGAATTAATCCTTTAATAATTTTATATTAGCATTATCCTATGGTGAAATATAGAATAAACAGTAGGGAAAAAAGCTAGCATGCATTCAATAATCATCAATCATAATATCATAATTAAAAATTTATTTTGAGTTCTTTTAACATACTTTATTTTCTTCAAATATCTAAAGGGGGAGAGGATAGGAACCAGTTGTAACTAGGGTGACTCTGCTAGTCTAATTGCATGTCAAAATTTATTTGTCATTTTTAAATGATGCTGAAAATTTGGAGATAAATTCTTGAATAGTGAGAATTCTCCTATATGGGTTGGAATTCTCCATAAGATTCATTTGAACAAGAATGTATTGAATGCCTAGGGTCTGTACTTAGCACTGGGGACGAACACAGCCTTTATATACTCCCTGATACCAAAAAAATTATAATGTAGTTAGGTAGGCTGGAAGGGTAAAAAAATTTACATAAATCCAAGCAAAGAAATAAGAATAACAAAAATATCATCACATCTGCAGTGATGGGGTCTAGATTCTCAGTGGCCATGGACAGATGCAGTTATTCAAAAGTACAGCTACAGTATAAGTCAGGACCAAAGTGACCAAGACACTCAATATATATAGTTGGATTCTTTTAAAAAATGCAGCTGAATATGAGATGGTGATTTAATTTATAATGTAAGGCTTTCACATGTCATTTTAAAAAATCCTATAGTGTCGATTTTTCTTTGAAAAACGTGGTCATTTTAGCCACAATAAACTCTACAAAGTTCAGACCCGAAGTTTCTGTTGAAAGGGAAATAAGTTTTTTCCTCTCATCAGATTTAAGTCAGAAAATTTTAATGGTTATCTCTAGTTAGCATCCAAAGACCCCAGCAGTATATACTCAATGATCTCACACTCTGCTTAAACTCTTCAATGGCTTCCTGTTCCCTCGCAACAATACACAAATCTTTAAGATGCTCTAAGACCCTGTGTAGCCTGGCTTACCTGTAGTTCTTTCATCATGTCTCTGATTTGACAATTGTGATTTCATTCAAACTGAACTTTTTCATTCTCTTGAATGGACCCCTCATTTTTTCACTTATTTAGGTCTCACGTATCGTCTTTCTCTCTTTTTATCCAGCCTTTCTTGCTTCACCATCATCGTTAATGATTTTCCCCTGTAACTGCAACCACAGACCTTACTAAGTACTTCATTAACAGGTGTTGTACGTATAAATGTAAAGATATGAATGTTCCAATGTCAATTCCATAAAACACAATTAGTGCAGTGTTATTCAAGTCATAACATACCAAGACAAGCCTGATCAGTTTCTCATAATCACTCTGGATATTTCCAGGATCCACCTGGCTTCCCCCTTCCTGCATTATGGCCCGGAAGCTCTCTTTGAAATGTAAGCCAGGACAATTCTAACGCTTGTCTCTTTCATTGCCCCTGTTTCTGGGATCAATGCTCTGTGCTGCTTGTTATTGTTTACTGTCTAGAAACTGTTGTTTCATTTTTTCCCACATTTTTGTTGTTATTTTGGGCAGAAAGATAAATCCAGTCCCTGTTACTCCATCGTGTTAGGTGTAGAAAAGTTTCAAAATCTAAGAAAATGACTGGCTCAGAGAAGGTACACCCTAAGATGGGAATTTTAATCTAAAAAATACTAAATACTAATAATGAACATTCTGTAACCCTGAAAACTATGCCTCCAAGTTTCCGAGAGGTAGTATGAAATTTTCAATCATCAAATGTCTAGAAAGAACTACTTCATGATAAAATATTTTTAATGTTATTCAGCCACTATCGTAATAACTTACACATCAATGACTATTCTTAGAAATGCAGTAAGTGGAATAAAATTAGAAAGAGATCAAAACCAGATATAGTTGCAAGAAGCCTCTAAATTGTTTTATAGTTCATTCTTCATTATCTTATTTTCTCTTATATTTATACGGGGAAGCGGGAAGCACTGAAGGTTGAAAGGTAGCTGCCCAAAGTAAAAAAAAATCCCAAGTTGATTTGAAGGGACAGGAAGACCATCTTATGTAATCCAATCTTCCTCCCCTGAACTGTGTTCAATAAATGCTGACTTAAAGCAGATGTCTTCAGCCCTTCTCATATATTAACAGCAACGTTTAATGAACATCATAAATGTGCCATGCACCATGATATGGTCTTCACATATACTATCCATTTAATCCTTATAGAAACTCTGTCTTATAGATACTATTATTATCGCCATTTCACAGATGAGAAAACTAAACATACAAAAGTTTTGAAATCTTCCTAGGATATCTCTATGCAATGAGAAACATAGGTCAAATCCATGCTCCTCTTTCTGTGCAAAAGTCCCAAATGACATTTAGTCTCTCTGGGTTTTAGGGGACCTGGTCTCTCATCCTTCCCTGTACCTATCACTCCATCATTCATGTTAGAAATCATCTAAAATATTTCTTTTTAAAATAATATTTCTAAAATATTTCTAAAGCGAATGTATGATAGGCATTGGGAAGCTGTTTAAAACTATAAATGTATAGCCTTATAAGAAATGTACTTTTGAGTCTATACTAAGCAAGCACTTCTCAAGAATATAGGGCCAAGCTCCATTCACTGGGTATGGGATTGGATTATTTTTAAGGCCTTTCAGACCTTAAGATGGTTCTGTGTACCTTGAATTTCGCTACCTATCTTTAATACTCATATAAAATGCCTTCATTTAACTCTATTCCTTGGAATTTCTTGCTTTTCACCACCTTCCCTATGTCACTGAATGAACATTCAAGACAAACATCCCTCTTTTCTCTAATTTATATCTTTATTTAACATTTTCCAGCCAACATTTTCCTACCAACAAAACAAAACTTGTATTGTTTTCTTTCATTCTGATTTCCAGATTCATATTCTTCTTACAATCCTTCCACTTATTTGATAACATACATTTTCATTATATTTTGTTTTATACTTAGTATGGCTTTATCTATTCCATTTGAAATGGAAACTGTTTAAGGATCTCAGTGTGTTGCAATCTTTCCCAATTTCTTTGATCTGTTTTTATAGCAACTTCCTCTTGCTATAGTTTGGATGTCTGTCTCCTCAAAATCTCATGTTGAATCCGATCCTCAATGTTGCAAGGAGGGGCCTAATGGGAAGTATTTGGGTCAGGGAGATAGATACCTCAAAAATGGCTTAGTGCCATTTTCATGGTAGTGAGTGAGTTCTACCTCTTTTAGTTCCTGCAAGAGATGGTTGTTAAAAAGAGCCTGCCACCTCCCCTCTATCTCTCTTCCTTCCTTCTGGCCCTGTGATCTCTGTACACACTGGCTCCCCTTCACCTTCCACAATGAGTGGAAGCAGCCTGAGGCCCTCACCAGAAGCAGGTGCCAGCACCATAATTCTTGTACAACCTGCAGAACTGTAAACCAAATAAACTTCTTTTCTTGTAAATTACCTAGTCTCAGGCATTCCTTTATAGCAACACAAATGGACTAAGAAATCTCTGTTCCTTATTTTCCTTTCAAATGCATTTCAGATTATTTCAACTAATATCTATTCTAATTTATTTTCTAATTCTGCTATTAATTTTCCCACTGCATTGTGAAACGCCTATGTTTCTGTTAAAATTGTCATCAGTGTCTGAAATCATTCTGGCTCTCACAGATTCTTATAAAGTTAACACAAAAAAAATGAGATCTTTATTCTCAATTTACCAAGTTTACAATAAGTTCATACATTTTTATTAGTTTTGTATTCTTGCAATGTAATACAAGCAACAATAGATGAATATAAATAGTTCACAAAGTCAATCAGATCAGCCTTCTTCTTCTTCCTCTTCCTCCTCACCTTCCCCTTCCTCCTCTTCTTCTCCTTCTTCTTCTTCTTCTTCTTCTTCTTCTTCTTCTTCTTCTTCTTCTTCTTCTTCTTCTTCTTCTTCCTCTTCTTCTTCTTCTTCCTCTTCTTCTTCTTCTTCTTCTTCTTCTTCTTCTTCTTCTTCTTCTTCTTCTTCTTCTTCTCCTTCTCCTTCTCCTTCTCCTTCTTTTCTTTAGACAGGGTCTCACTCTGTCATCCAGGCTAAAGTGCAGTGGCACAATCACAGCTCACTGCAGCCTTGATCTCCCGGGCACCAGTGACCTTCCTACCTCAGCCCACTCAAGTAGCTGGGACTACAGGTGTGCACCACCATGCCCTGCTAATTTTGGTGATTTTTGTAGAGATGAGGTCTCACTAAGTTGCCTAGGCTGGTCTGGAACTTCTGAGCTCAAGCATTCTGCCCACCTCGGCCTCCCAAAGTGTTAGGATAACAGGCGTGCACCACTGTGCCCAGCCTCATTTATCTTTATACACAGCCCATTTCAAATGTTCAGTTTTAAAATGTGCTATGAAAAAAACTAGCATATTTTTCACGCATTGTATGCTAGAGTTACAATGTGTATAATGGCATAAATTCCTCCAGTTGTTCAAGTTTGTTTTAATTTCAGGGCTGAAAATGAGTGTAAAACTTAGCTAGTTCAACTACCATCAAATGATAAAATCATCTCTACAACAAGCCTTGCTAAGTAAATGTTCAGTTTCTGAACAAAGAGTTCCAGTGAGACAATGTGCCCTGAACATTTTTAGGGGAATGTTTGATCTAACTACGAATATCTCCACAAAACTGTTTAGATTCTTCATACTTCTACCTACAAACGCTTAATCCATCTCAGGGGTACAATCAAAACCTGAAATCTGCATTGATAGCTCATCTAGCATTTGTATATAATGATGCCATGCTTGAATCTTAACTCATTCCGGCTTTTTTTATCCCTGGTTTCTTCAAACGTTTCTCATGTGACACTATGATTAACCATGTCCCAACATTTTAAGCATTCTCTAGTTCATTTATGTCCCTTTGAAAATATGGTGCCCAGAGTAAACTAAACATATGTTCAATTATGATCATGGATAATCCCAAGACTTCAGGCTCCCACTATGTTCTAAGAACAAAATGCTCTGTTGTAAACATACATAACTTTATTATCAAGTCATCTATAATGCATCTCACTCATGCATTAATACAACATTTTGGCTGTAAGATTTAACTGACTTAAACACCACTTAACATATTTAGAAACAGTGGTCCTATTTAGAAATTGTAAGTTTTATGTTACTCTTGTTTTTAATAGCTTGACAAGCCTTGTTTAACAACCATGTAGTTTTTTTAAAGCTAACTAAGCCCTTTCTGCTTGGGGTTGTGGTATTTTCTTTTCAGGTTTCACAATATTTTGATTTAGTTCCTATATACTTAAAAAAAAGAGAATTTCTCATTTTTCTAATCAATTAGAAACTGGTGTATACACAACCAAAAAATTCAAGTTCATAGTGTTTTTTAAAGTCCAAATATGTATTTGTATGTGTATGTTGTGGGGGGGGCAGGGGGTGTATGCACACACACACACACGGCAGGAGATCCGAGAAATACAGTATAGTTAAATGTTTAAAAGTTCAACCTACCAGTAGAATTAAAGAAGATATAATACCATTTTTGCTTATAAAAATGGGAAACAGAATAAAAAAGCCACCCAAAGTCAGCAAGGATGTACCTAACTGAGGATGATAGATGTATAAATTGATACAACTTTCTTAAGGGAAAATGTATTAATGCCGTAAAGCATCAAAATATATACATATTTGATTCAGCAATTCCACTGCAGGAATTCATCTTCAAGAGACAGAAAATTAGTTAAATAAGTACATACATCTACAAATGGAATAATATTTGGCCATTAGTATAATGAAGAATAATATTTTCTGACATGGAAGATGTTCATATTATAAAACCAAGTGTGAAATACAGGCCATAAAACAGTGTGAGAAATACATAATCATGTATTTATGTGCCTATTTAAGTGTAGAAAAAACAAATCTCAGTAAATAATACCAAAATGACATTAGTGATGATCTCTTCGTGTAAGAATTACAGAAAACTAATTACCTTGGCTCTGCTTATCTAGATTTTTCTAGTTTCTTAATGTGAACATACACTGAAAAATAAGGGGTAGGAGAAGAAACGATATTTTTTAATATGAGAAGGCTCTCATTTTGTTATCTCCCCTTTGTAGCTAGTTTTTAAAATCATAGCAGAATACTTAAATATAAGAAGTAAAAAATGTGCAGGGAGAGGAAGAAGAAAAAATCAAACTGTGAGGTATCCCAATGCTCCAATGCAATCTTAAGTGTTTCCTTTTCACAATAATTTTAATGAGTCATTAATGAAATTATGTTGTGGCTGAATAATATGCAATTGCAATGTCGTTAAATATATTTATCAACAGTAACTGAACCAGATAAACTATTTTGGTTAACTAGACCATTCATCAAATTAAATCCTATTCAAATTTTTTGCGATTAAGAACTCCTTAAATGGGCTTTTAAGGATGTATTTGTTACTCATCTTGTAGTACTTTATCTTAGATCTTCCTGCAACAGTTAGGAACTCCAATCTCTACATGTTTGACAATAGTTACCACCATTTTTGAATTCCATAGTGCATCTTTGTTGCAAGAAAATAATTTTTATGCAGACTGAGCAGTCCTCATTCTAAAATTTGTATCATTTGTCTCTCTTTTTATTATTAATAAAAACGTATCTTATTAGATAATCTGGCAAAAATATATATAGAGAGAATAAAAACTATCCTATTACCCACTACCCTAAGATAACAACTGATGAAGCATTAATGCATTTTTTTCAAGTCATCTCCCTGTGGTATATGTTTTGGATCACTTTACTATTAATAATGTCCTATAATATATATTTATGCTACCACATCAGAAATATTTTACATATTATTAAAAATCTTCCTCAAGATTTTTTTAATGACTCTTAGTCTACTCACCTCATAAGTTAACTTTTTCTCTCCTGTTGGATATAATTTATATTACCTTTAAGAAGGAACATTCTCAAAGATGATGCTAGCCCATTTTAATAGCTCTATTGCAGGAATTTGATTTCAATAACTAAGCAGATAAATTTCTCCACAATAGAAAATTACAAAAGTATGATTACATAACCAACTCCTCCCTTGATGCTCCATTATAAATTCCTTGAAATTACACTTTATATAAAAATTTGATTAAATTCAAGCAAACATGAGAAGTTTGGTATAAATAAGATTCATTTCAAAAAAGTAACTGACTTAAAACTAAATTGCCTTCCAGACCAGTTAAAAGGATTAATGGCATAATAAACACAGGATAGCCAAACAGTATAAAGCCACCTTGAACACCAGAGCAAGCTAAGTTTTGATATGTATACTATAGATTGGCCTAAAATAAAGCACATTTTCAAATAATTTAATTGGTTTTGCATCCTTGCAGCACAGTTAAAAAGTAAAAGCTTATTTCCTATTCTTAACTTTTGCCCCAATTTCTGATGTTGTTTCCTTCACTGCTTCCAGTCTACAGGCATCATTCTAATTTCTTCCCAACCATTTCTTCACTTTCTTTAATTCCTCTGCCTGAACCTCATATAGCCATCTATGATCTCTGCTCTTTTTCCTTCTTTGGGTACTTACTCTATTTGCCTCTTTTTCCTTTCCTTTTTCCCTCTGCTAACATGCCCTTACTGTTTCAGCTGGTTTTAGCCCACATTTGCATTGGCAAATAGCAAGAGATGAACTAGATAAGTAAGAAGCAGATTTCAGGCCAGGCAAAGGGGCAGAGAGCACACAAGCATCAGATGAGCATATGAAAAATTCATAAAGGGAAATATGCTTTTTTAGCTTTTGTAGATTAGAAATAAAAACAGGGTTTAATGGCCTCCCTTGAAGAGAAATGCAGAAGTTGGAGGAAAACTAAACCTTACATACCAAACCAAAAAAACAAGGATTGTAAGCCGTTTGAATTGTATTTAGGGAATGGGTGATGGTGCTCAATGCAAAATTGACTAACCCTTTCTGGATAGAAGAAAGAAGTTAAAGGTTAGATGAAAGTTCTTACTGCTCATATTGTTCCCTCATTATCCACACTATGGAGAACTCCTATGTATCCTTCCAAAACAAGTTTAAAGGGAACCTCTCTTATGAAATCCCTCTTTACTTCCAGTTTAGCTATACAGCATTGATTAACCTCTCTTCTATACCCCAGTTCCCATTATATGGCATGTACTGCTTTGTGAGCCTGTTTCAGTGACATATTTATGAAAATGTTGCTTAATCTTTCCATTCCAACTTTCAAGGACTACTTGCCTATACTTTGGGGGAGATGGAGTGCATTTGTGGAAACTGGAATACATACTAAGTTAACATTATAAAGGATTGTAATATGTGTTTCTTATCCAAATGCATCCCTGATATTATTTATGCAATATTTTGTCAATTATGGTCAATTCTCCCTGAAATTGAGACTTACAATGCTCTTCATAATGTCAAATAATTTCCACCAATTTCTTTTGTCTTCTGATCTTTGTACTCTCTGTTTATTATAATGTCTTCTCTTAAAATGCTTTTAGAGATAAAATTCACGTAATGTAACATTTACCATTTAACCTTTTTAAAGCATACACTTCAATGGTTTTTAGTATATTTCACAAAATTGTGTAGCCACCACCACTCCAGAATTTTTTCCTCTAAAGAAACTCCATACCCATTAAGCAATAACTCTCCATTCCCCTCTGTACCTGGCTCCTAGGAACCTCTAATCTACTTTCCGTTTCTATGGATTTGCCTATTCTGGGTATTTCATATACATGAAGGCATAGAACCTTGCAAGTCTTTTGTATATGACTTCTTTCACTTAGCATATTTTCAAAGTTCATCCAACTTGTAACACGTATTAGAACTTCATTCCTTTTTATGCCTGAATAATATTCCATTTATGGTTATGCCAGATTTTGTTTAATCGAATTATCAGTTGATGAACATTTGAGTTGTTTCTACTTTGGGGCTATTACAAATAATGCTGCTATGAACTTGTGTACATGATTTTGTGTAAACGTATGTTTTTAATTCTGATGAAGAGTTTTATCTTTTTGAATGCAATTCAAGATACCCTGAAGCCTACATTTCAAAAGACAGTGGAATAGTTTTGCTTTGTTTGCTTAAATCATTTGCACACCTTGGGTCAGTCATTATTATCCAAACTATTCATCAAAACAGAAAAAAAAGTGGAAGAATGAGGCCATATACTAAATGAACAACACAGGAGAATAAAACTAAGGAGAGCATGTTAAAACACAGATGGGCTAACAGTGATCACAACATTATGTGCTTGCTCTCATTGCTAGAGAATGAAAAAATGCATGCTGTATACATTAAAGGTCATTTATATATGCTTATTTTAAGGAAGATGCCTTAGAGAAAAATGGAACTACGACCAATCAAAATAAACCAATCATTAAATATTTGTCATCACTGATACATTTTCAGTAATTTTATAATGTTTGCTACATTTGACTGGCCTCATAAAATCCACGCCAATTACTTGAAAATTGTGTAAAACACCCATTCACAAGAAAATCAACCATAAAATAAAATTTTATATCAATGACCTCCTAGAAAACAAAGTATAAATATTATCAGCTTCCACATAGTAATAAACTGGAATGTGTAGGAAAATAAGAAAATTTCAAAGGGCAATTTTAGAAATGGAGCAGGATTATATGCAAAAATAAAAGCAAAAAAGAGTGGCTATTGGAGAAAATGTGAAATGTTAGACATTACCTGATTATTAAAATTTCAAAGCACATAAAAATCTTTGTTTTTGAGTCAGTAGAGTGGTTCACCAAAAATGAGAGTCACGAATACCAAACTTCTAGTATATTACTCAAAATTAACTGCTCTTTATCTCCATACAGCAAGATGATGCTAGACGAGCAGAGAAATAACACAATTCGACAAATTAATTAATTCCTATAATTATACTACGATAAACAAAAAGGTAAGAAGAAAACCGAAAACACCTAGCAATACCAAAAGCTGTTACCCAAATATTTTTTCCAAGCAGATATGTGAAATACTACTATAGAAGGTTGTCAAGAATTGGGAAAAGTAAAAACGTATCAGTTGGTATATAATGACATTGCCAGGCATGACAGGGAGCTTCAGAAGGCCTCTGAAATTGCTGTATTCCTTTAGGAATAACTCAACAGTGGCCAGGAGCAGTGTAAGACCACAACGTGCAGTAGACAGAACTGAAGAGATTAAAAAACACTTCAAGGGCATTACAGTGCTTAGCTCCAGAAGATGCTTTGGGCTTAAAATAAATAGGCCATGGGGACTAACAAGCATAATAGTTGTGGTTAGGAGTTACTAGACAGTCCCTGTACTAGGCATTTTATCATGCTCACAACTACACTATATGGAAAGAATTGTCATCATCCCTACTTCATTGACAAGCAGATTGAGGCTCAAAGAAGACAATGCTGTCTGACTTCAGATCCTGAGTTCAACAATGCTGTCCATGTTAAGAGAGTAGGAGGTATAAAAAATGGAAGAGGTATATCTGGTAATCACAAAAAGCTAGTAATAATTAGCTTTTAGAAATGAGGAGGTGAAACCTCTTATGTGACCAGGGATGACTTGTGTAACTTTGCTTGTTAGGTCACAGCCAACTTTTAGTATGCAGTCTCTCTGTTTCATCCCATCAGCGTGTCATAAACTGTCAAGAGTGTGAAAAATACCATCCAAATCTCAACTTTTCACTAACAGAGCAAGGAGAGGCCTCCTCCGAACGGCTGCTTCTGTCATCCCAAGGCTCTGTTGGAGGTTGATGCCAGTGTGACGTGCATTCCCCAGATGATCTGAACAAAAACCATGTGTGTCATTCTCATAATGTTTCCAACTTCTGTCAGGAACTTAATTTAACTGGTGTTGAGGCTTTTGGAACAATTTTTTCAGGAGCTGGAGCTATAGGTACAAAACTTCATACTGAAGTTCTCAAAGCTGACAAAGGAAGCAGGCAATACAAGTTGGGTTTTTCCATGAAAAATAGTGAAGTTTCATTTATCCTTTTTTATTGTGGTATTTTGCTGTGTTCTCTACGGTTATGACCACATATTTTATAGGCAGCTAATAGCTAAAGACCCTTCAATGTATTGGTCAAGAGCATGGTTTCTGAAATTGGACTGTCTGCATTTCAATTTTTAGTGACTGTCTGTCACTAACTGTGGGACCAGGGGCAAGAAACATTACTCTTCATTTGTATCCTCAGAGCTAAATTAAGATTTTTGTTACTTGAGTACAAAAGGAAGAAACAAACAAAATAAGAAACAAAAAAGGGAGTAGTGATTCATTATTTTACTCATTTTTATAATAATCACCTTTCAAGCAATCACAATAAACAATTCTCAAAATATACTTTTAATCAATCAAGAGCACTAGATTATACCTATGCTTATAAATGCCTGTTGATACTGGGTGCAGTGGCTCACGCCTGTAATCCCAGCACTTTGGGAGGCTGAGGCAGGTGAATCACTTGAGCCCACGAGTTTGAGACCAGCCTGGGCAACATGAGAAAACCCTGTCTCTATTTAAAGATAAAAATAAAAAAATAAATGCATGTTGAATGGTCTGGTATATACATATATCTGATGTTCAAGAAAACCTGATCAAAAAAGAATACTTGTAGGTCATAAACATACTATATAGATATATATTCCTTTATATATCTATACCTAGCTCTATATCTATCTCTCTCTCTATATATAAGAGCTAGATATATATCTAGAGCAAGATATATCTAAATATATATAGCTAGATATATAGATTTATAGATATATAAAGGAATATATATTTAGCTATATCTAGAGCTAGATACAGATATCTCCTAATTCTGTCTAAAATATCTTTACACAGAATTGTGAGAATTTTTAGACAGAATATATATATAGATATATGTAGATATAATCACATATATATCATATATATATACCAAAATTCTGTCTAAAGATATTTTAACAAAAGTCTTGCTTATTTTTTTCAATGCATATTTTGGGTTACAAAAACAGGCAATCCTGTCAAAAATGCCTTTTCATCTGGTTTGACAAAATAAGTATCTAATTCAAGACCAATCATTGCATCTGATTCTGTTTCTTCAGTCATTCTTAATATAGTTCAGTCCTTTTTCCAGACAGTGACTTGTTGAAGAGACCAGGTCTGCTGTTTCACAGAATGTCTCGCACGTGTCATTTGTCTGATTGCATCCATGTGATGATGTCTCCCTTGTTCTTCTATCTCCTGTATCTCCTAATGATCTGATGTTGGTAAAACTTTTTTGACTAGACTACATTGTGAAAGTTGCTCATTATATCTTGCATTATATCCCAGGGCATATAACAACTGACTGACTACTGGAATAGGATGGAAATAGTAGGATCTCTCCAGTGTGTGTTTTTTTTCTTTGATTAGAAAGTTACACGTGTGATTCCACCTTGACATTATACAATTATCCAGCCCCTCATTATCAAATTTATTAATCCTTATTCCTTGCCTGAATCAATAATTTTATTTATTTGGATGTTTTTATTAGTTTTGATTATTAGTTTTGTTTGTTTCAGTTTGTTTCTACTTAGATAACGTGAGCAAGCCACTTAGGCCAGGTATTAAGCTTATGTGGAAGGTAATCTCTCTAGGCTTGCACCTTCAATTGTCAGGTCAAAACCTTAATTTTAACTTGATGGGCATGATCTTGTAGCTCAACCTTCAAAGCTAACAGGGAGTCATTTCCTTCTAAGCCTAACTTAGTAACAGTGTGGTATAATAATAACTAAAGATAAATATTGAATTTATTTAGGGTAAATAACAGTAGTGACAATCATCCATCTAGGGCTTACTACAGTTACCAAACACTGGACTTAGTTCTTACTTTTTTAATCCTCACAGTAATATTATGAAGTGTTTAATGGCCATTTTACAAATGAGGAAACTAAGGCACAAAGAAGTTAGAAAACTTTTTCAGGATTAGGCACAGGGGTCTTGCAATTCAAAAGCATCTTGTCTATTTAACATCTTTTCTCTTAATGACTATGCTGTAATAGTATCTTAAAGTTCTTCTTTGAACAGCATAAAAACTTACAAAAGTATACACTTGTGCATACTGTATACTTCTCTTTCAACAACTAAGCATGACTGCTTCTCCATACCACTTATCTAAAACATGTTACATTCTGAGATTAGTCGTTTCTCTGTTGTAACACAAGAGGAGCTGACCTTGGCAGAAAGAGACCAGTAAGATCCTAGTAAGTAGCACCCAGTTCACAAAAGGTAAAGGTCAGTTTACTTTCCTACCTTCTCAGTAACCAGCTAATGTGCTGAGGTTCACTGGGATGTGTGAAGTAGGAATGCATGTCCAAAGCCAATTCCAAAGACTAAGCCATTCATGAAAATAACTCTGTTGATTTTTTAGTATTTTGTACTGTGAAGAAAATGAGGTTATTCTGATTTTTATTTCTTCATTGATTATACGCTTTTGTTTGTCTGTTTGGAGGAAAGTTTTTGCCTATGTTAGAGGCTCCTCTCATTTTTATTTCACAATCCTGCTGCCAATTCATGTCTTTCTGTGTATTTCTTAGACATTTAATGAAAAGCTGAGAAGTGCCCCATTAGAAAATCATATCTGTTGCCATGTTCACCTAGACAGTCCTGCACACACTTTACAAGTTGCAACCTTCTGAAGGGATTGGTCCTCAAATTTAGTCTCTACTTTTGATTTACAATTTTCTGCGAAAAAAAAAATTTAAGCCATTATCCTCTGTGCTTCTGGTATTGTGCTGATTCCACTGAATTAGTCAGCCATGCAAGGAAGAAGAAA
Source organism: Homo sapiens (assembly GCF_000001405.40). NCBI lineage: Eukaryota > Metazoa > Chordata > Mammalia > Primates > Hominidae > Homo > Homo sapiens. The sequence continues at coordinate 2,277,861 of NC_000003.12, read as the reverse complement.
TTGACAGATAAATTCAATAAATAGCATTGTGCTGAACTTGCTGAGTCTCCAAACAAGAAGGAAGTAAGCACAAATGAGCCATGTAGGTGCATCTCACCTACAATGGAGGGAAATCAATATTTTCCAAGTGACAAAAGGACAAACCAGGAGGAAGAGAAGAGCAAAAAAGTATATTAATGTTAACTTGAATGAGAATTCTGCCAACAATGGAGACAGGAGGGAAACCTGAATAGTTATGCATATATGTGTTTCACGTACGGATATGCAACACAAAGTACCTGAAAGATGGACAAAGATGTCCAGCTGTGAACGTTGGCAAGAGGGGGAGACCAGAAAGAAAAAAATAAAACAATGGTAAGAAAAGAAAATGTTTTATGGCAAATAGAACCTGCTGAAAACTGCATTCCTTTTTGTATTTTTCAGTAAGCTGTTGAGTGGGAACTTTTGTTCCACTCCATATATATATATTTAAAACTAAGCAACAGTTAGCATGTGTTTTAACTTCAAAAGTCATTTTCTTAGTATTTAAAAAACCAACTCAATAGGCATTTTGCTCATTATTAATATGGCTGACCGTCTTCCAGGAATAAGTTTGCACCACCTTTCTCTAACAAGAAAAGAGAAACAATTAAATTACGTATTTAAATGATGTTTATCAGACTCTCAAATGACTCAGGATGCTAAGATTTTATGAACTCTTATAGCCTTTAAAATTCACCTGGTGAAAATGTGTGGGTTCTAAAACACATATCTCCCTCCTCCTCTCTTGCTTTTTTGGTGTATTTTTACCAAATATACCAGTTTTTCTCAATCTTGTTGCCTATTTATTTGTATAATAATTTTTCTAAGATATAGATTGATATCCTGAGCCATCCTGTGGCATATGGATTTTTTTAAAGCAACTGAATTAATCTATACTATATCACTATATTTGTAGACCAAACCCTTGGCTGGAGTGCAGTAGCTCGCCCAGGCTGGAGTGCAGTGGAGCGATCTCGGCTCACTGCAACCTTTGCCTCCCAGGTTCAAGCGATTATCTTGCCTCAGCCTCCTGAGTAGCTGGGATCACAAGCACGCGCCACCACGCCCATCTAATTTTTGTATTTTTAGTAGAGACGGGGTTTCACCATGTTGGCCAGACAAATCCCTTGGTCTACAAGTATAGTGATATAGTATAGATTAGTATACCAAAGGGATTTTAAAAGAGCAAATGACTTTAGAAAGTAACCAGTGTGTTAGTTTACAACAAAAGCTATTTATTGAGAACTACTTGCAATGCACTATGCCACAGAGATCCTAAAAAATAGAAGAGTCTTACTTTCTAAATACCTACCACTTAATTGACCCAGCATGACAAATTTTTTAAAAGATCATAAATCAAGCAAAGAAGCCTGCCGCAGTGGCTCACGCCTGTAATCCCAGCACTTTGGGAGGCAGAGGCAGGTGGATCACTTGAGGCCAGGAGTTCAAGACCAGCCTGGCCAACGTGGTGAAACCCTCTCTCTGCTAAAAATACAAAAAAATAGCTGAGCACAGTGGCTTGCACCTGTAATCCTACCTACTCGGGAGGCTGAGGCAGGAGAATCACTTGAACCTGAGAGGCAGAGGTTGCAGTGAGCCAAGATGGTGCCACTGTACTCCAGCCTGGGCAGCAGAGTGAGACTCTGTCTCAAAAAAAAATAATAAAAATAAATTAATTAATTAAGCAAAAAGATATTCAAAATTATAATGCAGATAATGTTAAAAAGATATGACATGAATTCAACATATTTGCATATATACGTTTTTTCAATATATAAAAGTTTATAGACATACAAAAAGCAATATTTTTGAAATTATTAATTTCAGTTGTTAGAATTACCAATGATTTTATACTCACCTGATATTTCAAATCTTTCAAATCAAGATTTAATATTTTTTTTTGTTTTTTTTTTTTTTTTTTGAGACAGAGTCTGGCTCTGTCACCTAGACTGGAGTGCAGTGGCACAATCTCGGCTCACTGCAACCTATACCTCCCAGGTTCACGTGATTCTCCTGACTCAGCTTCCTGAGTAGCTGGGATTACAGGCACACACCACCACGCCCGGCTAATTTTTGTATTTTCAGTAGAAACGGGGTTTCATCATGTTGGCCAGGCTGGTCTCAAATGCCTGACCTCATGATCCGCCCGCCTCAGCCTGCCAAAGTGCTGGGATTACAGGTGTTACCCACCGCGCCTGGCCAAGATTTAATTTTTTGATGAGAAAAATAAACACATGAAAGAACATGTAATTGTGAAACTCACTGCATATACTTAAATGTATATAATATATAATTGTGAATTTCACATTAATAATATATAATTGTGAAATTCATTGCTAAAGGAGTTCAGAAGGAGTAGTGATTCCTAAGAGTCAGAGAATAGAAAGTGTAGAATACTATTATAGGAAACTTTCATGTGACTATGTTTTAGTAAATAAAAACTGTAGTGCCGATAAAAGATAGTTATGAGGATGTCTAATGGACATGATCCAATTAGCACATAAATCACGTATTCTCCATGTGGTATTGGAATTTGGTCATATAATTTATAAAACACAATCTCTAAACGCTGGTTTATCCAAAAGTCCACATGAAAAGAGTGCTCACTGTGGCAACTGCACAGCTCAACTGACATGAAAGCATTCAGCTGATATATTCATAATTAACCACTTACAGCAGTAAACATTATAGTGACAGACTCTGATAAACAGGCAACGTAGATGATGGACACATAAAATGTTTAGACATCTCTCTTACTCTTACCTTAATCTCCCTAGGGTGTACATTCTAATCTTTCTATGGAGTGAATAATAAATGATATCCACTTGGAGTAGTTTATCCAGTCAGATGTTTGGATTTGCAGTAATTTATTCTCACTCTCCAAACCCTTCCATTCCTCATCCTGTGCCCTTTGACACAGTATCAAGATGGATCATCAGTACTCAGGATATGATCCCCATTCTTGAATTCCTAGCATTATGTTCTAGGAATTAACCAGCCTTATCACAGGGACATGGGTTGTGGACACTGCAAATATTTAACATTTTTACTCGGAAGCTTGACAGTAAACTTCAGTATTTATGTACAGAATTCCTGCTTCTCAGGTCACATGGCTTCCCTCCTCCCTCCTCAAATTTCTCTTCCCTCCCTCCCCAGGGATATCTTTTGAAACCTTTCTTAAAGGCCCATATACTTGACATTTTAACTTGCTGAGAATGCCATTGGAGACAGCTTTAATAAAGGAGAAATATGGTGATTCATTGGTTGTTAGCATTTGTCTATGAGGGAGAAAAGTAAGTAGCCAGACTGAGGAAAAAAAAAGCAAATAAGGAACAGTGTTTCTTTAGTTTTGGTGAAAAGAAAACAAACATAGATCCTAAAACAATTACAGATTTGAGAAACAAATAATGTCTAGAATGATTCCTGGGTTGTTTGTTTGTTTGTTTGTTTGTTTGTTTTTGATGGAGTCTCTCTCTGTCGTCCAGGCTGGAGTGCAGTGGTGCAATCTTGGCTCCCTGCAACCTCCGCCTCCTGGGTTCAAGTGATTCTCCTGCCTCAGTCTCCCGAGTAGCTGAGATTACACGCACCCACCACCACACCTGGCTAATTTTTTTATTTTTAGTAGAGACAGGTTTTCACCATGTTGGACAGGCTGGTTTTGAGCTCCTGAGCTCAAGTGATTTGTCTGCCTCGGCCTCGCAAAGTGCTGGGATTACAAGCGTGAGCCACGGTATCCAGCCTCATTCCTTGATTTTTAGATGAAGATGTGGGTATGACATGAACCTCTGTAGATTGAAGAAAGAATGGAAAAGTGTATCTACCTCCCTAAGATCCAACATGGGTTGTTTTCTCTCAAATGAGTTTCCAGCAGATGTTTATTTCTATGTTTATATAAAATAAAATAATGCTAACCTCTATTAAGCGAAGGCAAAGAAAAAGAAATTCTTCTATCTTAGATACCTCATAAGAAAAAAAGATACATTAAGATAGATATTATTATCCTTATTTTATTTTCAGAAAGTTGTTAACTAACCAGGATAACAAATGGTGGTACCACAATTTAATACCAGGTGTGTTATGCTATAAGCCCAGGTTTTTGTTTTTGGTTCAACATATATTAGTACTGCATTAAGAGGAAAATAGTAAAGTGGGAAGCAGAACTTCACACTGGCATGACAAAGATTTCCTTTACTAGGCAGGCTCAGTCAATTAAATTTCTAGGACAAACAAACTTGAATATTCAAGAAATGGACTTCCAACCAAGAAAATCCTGTTCCCATCTACTTAGTGACTATCCCAAAGACTAATTCAACTGGCTCATCAGTCATGGAAGTTGCTACGAATAAGACCAAGAAGTGAAGTTAAATATCTCCCCATAAGACATCAATAGTACAAGAAAAACAACTGGAAGAGACACATCCTATTGAGATGTTTGTTGCCCACATTGCAAAACAAGCTGAGTTGGGCCTTTTATCATTTCACTGGGACAATGACTAGATAGATACACAGAATAGGACTGAAGGGAATCCTGAGAGTCTTCGAAAAGTTACACGTGGGGTCAACTATAAAATGACAACTAAGACCACAACAGAAAAACCATCTATTTTAAAAATGGTCATGGAATAATCTTGCAGATAATTTAAAAGTATCACAGTTTACAATTACTTACTGCATTTTTAAGAAAAATTTGTACTAAAACCTTTTGGATGGCATCACAAAATCTGGTCACCACCTGACTTGTAGATTTTAATATGGCAGAAACATTTGACCACAAAGAAATTTTTCTTCTAAGCTTAGCTAATCTAAGAGAGAAAGTTATATCCTATGTTGATATTTTTGAAGATAATTCCCATGCCTACCTCAAGACGCAGGGCTTTGGGGACATACTTAACCCTAAGGAGATATGAAAGGACATGACAGGGCACTTTGATAGGGCTTGATTTGACCATGCGATATTACAAAAGCAGCATCTGAGAGTCCAATCACCACCTCATGTCCAGGGCAAGAGAGTGGTTAAATAAAAAAAAAAAGGCTCTGTAGTGTTTCTGCTACCCTTACAATGCTCCTTCCAATAAATGAGAAACCATAAGTAATCACTTAATTGCAATAATCACGATAATCATACAGTGAATAATTGTCAATACAATTGTCAAGTTGAGGGGCTCAAAGACGCCTATGGAAAAATACTCCACCTCAATAATCAAATGAGAGTAAGTTAAAAGAATAATGAGGTTTTCATTTTAAAATTCAACTGGAAATATTCTCATATCTTTTGGTAGGGTAAATTGGTATGCACAAAGATCTTTATCATAGTATAACTTTAATGTACAAATTGTAAGACAACCAAACTACACATCTCCATCAGTAAGTGATTGCTGTATCTCTATTCAATGACTTTAAACTTTGGGACAATGATGAGGGTCAACATATAGTTCAATATATTATTGAGTGAAAACAGGTAGATATTATAAACTCCATTTAGGAAAATTAGAGAAATGGTGCATATAAAAATTCATAAATAAATATGTGGAGTAAATTTTTGTTAAAAATCTTAGTAAGGCCATTTTAAGAAACTGGGATTGTGGATGATTTTAATCATCTTTACCTAATTTTCTATTTTGCTTGTAATAGCTACAGTAGTAAGCTGTATTACTGTTATAATCAGAAAAAAAACTTGTAATTTTAATTTTGGAAAATGTTAAAGCCAAATCAAGAAAGTACTCATTAGAATTTATCACAGGATTATAATATTTTAATAACATTTTTCATGATTATAAAATTATTTAATGATTGCAATTTAGAATCATACTGAAATACTGTTTTACAACCTGCTAACCTGTTTTTTTACTTAACATCTTGTGAACATGTTTCCATATTTCCAAATATTCTTCACAACACATGATTTTAGTAACATTTTAGTATTCATTGCATAATGTCTTGGTCCCTTAACATTTAAATTCTGATATAGAAAGTAATGACATAACATGATTCTGGATTACAAAAAGGTGTTTATTGATGAATAAATCTCAGATGTCAATATAAGGTTAGGGTTCTCAAGTCAGAGATAGTTGCCTCATAATTCTTAGCCTCCAATAAGATACATTCTTTAGTTGGGGACCCCACTAGCTGTTTCTGCTGTAGAATATCAGTGACCACACCCAGAAGCACTGATATAACCAAGGTAATCTAGGAAGAAAAGTCTCAGTTGGCTGTTTTCTTGGCTATTTATATAACCAATACTTTCCCTATTAAAACAACAATGATAAGTAATTACATAGAACATTAAAAATGTGAATCCATTTCATTTTTTATAATAAACCTATGATATAGGTGCTATTATTATCCCTATTTAACAAATGAAGAAATGGAGGCAAAGAGAGATTATATAGCTAGAGAAAGATAATACAGCAGGTTACTACGGAGACAGAAATTGAATCCATGTAATTATCTTTAAAATAATAAGCACATTCACAAAATTTGAGGTTCCTTCAAGAACATATTCTTACTTTTCAGAAGATCCAAGATTACAGCCCAGCTGTAAACATGTATTCTTTCCATTACACTCCACTCTCTCCTAGTAACAATAACAAAATGATCTTTATGGAGTAGCAACATCAAAATGATCTGCTGTTCATTTTGTTATTTAATTCAAGGGGCAGAGAAAGGACATCACATTTGTCCCTGTTTCTGGAGGCAGTTAATTCTAAAGAGTTTTATTATATGGAGACACCAAACCGTTTACAGAAACAGCATGATATTTCGTTTTCTACCATCTATATTCTGCCTGCTACTGTCACCAAAAGCAGAGAGGTCCCTAAGTTAATAAGCAGTGGTCTAATTAATATTCAGATTTATACAAAGAAAAACAGAGATGTTCAACTTCAGAGATAGTTCTTTAGGAGGGAACAGGTACCAACTGACCACAGCCTGCACGCCTGTGAACTAACACTTCACATAGGTAATGATTATTGATTTGCATACTAAACAACTGCACATCGGGAGGCAGCTGAACTGTAAGAAATGAGTGGAATAGAAGGAACTAAGCCATGGCCTGCCCCTCTCAGGACCCTCCAAAGGAATGTAATTTATTCTGGGTCCTCCTGAGCTCCATTTTCTGTCACACTAGCCTTCAGTCTTCCTTAAGCAAATCTCATGGTTCCAGCTAGAAAATGACAACAATGAACAATATTTTCCCCCCTCCTTGTCATCATGTCTGTAAGCATGTAGCCACAGAGCATATTAACAGATATTTTAGGCAATTTGCAAAATCTCTCTGAGAATGAAGGAAAGTAGGGCCCCACAGGTCATAACAAGTACTCCTGTCCATTCCCACACTTAAAGCCAAGTGATGTATTAACATAAGGCAATCCCATATATATATATACCCTCTGTGCCTCTAACTGTCTAAGAACAACCTCATTCCCCCCCTTCCCCAATGTACACACTTTAAACTGGCTATCAGGTACTAGGCTTAGTACCTGGGTGACAAAATAATCTGTACACCAAACCCCCATGACACTAATTTACCTATATAACAAACCTGTATATATGTCGTTGAACCTAAAATAAAAGTTAAAGTAAATAAATAAATAGGCCGGGCGCGGTGGCTCACGCCTGTAATCCCAGCACTTTGGGAGGCCGAGGCGGGTGGATCATGAGGTCAGGAGATCGAGACCATCCTGGCTAACAAGGTGAAACCCCGTCTCTACTAAAAATACAAAAAATTAGCCGGGCGCGGTGGCGGGCGCCTGTAGTCCCAGCTACTGGGGAGGCTGAGGCAGGAGAATGGCGTGAACCCGGGAAGCGGAGCTTGCAGTGAGCCGAGATTGCGCCACTGCAGTCCGCAGTCCGGCCTGGGCGACAGAGCGAGACTCCGTCTCAAAAAATAAATAAATAAATAAATAAATAAATAAATAAATAAATAAACAAACAAACAAACAAACTGGCTATAATAGGGGATGGGCGGGGGGTGGTGGCAACTACTAGTCCTGAATGCAAAGCTCTACTACAAACTATCTTTCCATCTACAAAAGTCAATGAACTACTGAGTTTCATTTCATCGTTTTTTATAAATAAGGGTAGAGACTCTGTAATCCATCAGGTCTCTTTTCTCCAAAATGATAGTTTTAATGTAATCGATTACATCACGGACATAGTTATACTTAATCAATTTCAGAACCCTGACAAAGAAAGGTGTAATTCTTTGCGGGACCTCATTGTATCATGGTCTCCCAAACCATTCCTAAGTGATTTCTTAAAGCAACTTGAAAAGGTGACATCAAAATCCTGAAGTATTTACAGCCACCGAAATGATTCCTCTGATGTTCTTCTGAGAGATTAAAATGGTGCCATTTCCTGTCTGTCATTCTTAGTCTGGTAAACTAATCAGTACCCAGCACCCAGCATGTCTTAGGCTCTGGGACAGTGAACAAAACAGCCATTTAGAGATGCTGAAATGCATGCTGTGGAATTACCAAACTGTGGAAATTCATCCAGGAGAACATATGTTATTTCAAGAATATAAATGAATTAATCAGTAAGCATGCCACCCACATACCAGAAACATCCCTGATTAAATTTAATGTAGTGAATTTGTGCAATCACCACCAAACTAACCATTGATTAAACAAAGGCCTCTGAGCACTAGTTCTTTTAAGGTACAGTTTATTTCTGCTCTCCTTTGAAGGGTACACCTTTGAAAACGTTGCTAATTTTGGGGACACAACCACATTTGAAATTCAGTGTGGATTTATTTCTCAAGGAGGCCCATCTCTTTTACAGGCAGTGCAACTAATGCATCAGACATTTCGACAGATGCCTATTTGGTTAATCTGTCATAGTGGCACTAAGGACTCCCTGCCACCTTGTGGATCGGCAGAGAAACCTATTTAGCACAAGATAATCAGCCACCTAATTCCTTCTCCCCACATATATAAAAAGGAGGAGAAACTACCCCCAGGCTACTTACTCCATAGACAAGAGTTCAAGAGTGAAATGCACCAAGGATTCCACTCTCATATATCTTACATGTTTTAACTTCAGACATAATGCTGTTTGCATGCAGGTGGCTGATAAAGAACGTAAGGGAGTTGCATACCATGTTATAAAAAATTTTGATTCTCCAAGAGTGCTTCTTTATTTTCTTCTCTTGATTGACAGATAAATAGATGATACATAGGTAGGTAGGTAGACAGATAGATAGACAGAAATAGAGATATATCACATTAACTAGGACCTAGTCTATCCTAAAAAATCCACTTACAGAGACTGAGACTATAGTTTTACAATAGCATACCCTGCATTTACTGAGTTAATATTATGTAACAGATACTATTAATATAATAAAAGAATCAAATTCCTGCTCCCAAGGAGCTTAAAATTTAGTGGCAGTAACTGGGGTATAACATCTCCGGACTGAAAATGTTGCCCCTGGTAATTTTTCAGGCTCTCGTTATAATTCCTGAGAAGTCACACGCATGTAAATACTAGATATTGAAAAGCATATTTTTAGACTTAAAACTGAGCATGAAATCTCAATTCTGATCCATAATAACATATAGGCTTGCTCTCTCAAGTCAAAGCATGAGAATGGAAAGAAAGGGAACCCCTCCCTCACCATAAGAGGCCTGACTAATGTTCTCTTAGTCTTAGAGAATAGTCCTACCTGTATCATCGAACAGCTATGCAAATGCACATTTAATTGTGCTACAATGCCTAGCAAAGTATATTGAGCAGATAGTAAATGCTTAACATATGTTAGTAAAACATCTTCAGGTCAAAAACATTGACTGCTCTTTCTCACAGCCCACATCCATTCCATGATCAATTCCTATGAACCACACCTTCTGTCTACTGCTGCCATATATCCAGAATATGATCACTTCTCATTACCTCCATCACTATAACTCTAGCGTAAAAGTCAACAGGTTCCATAGGAAATTATTACAATATGAAAATATTTAAGGACTGTTACATATAAGATGAAAAGCCTGTTATATATATGATGAAAAGATAGAAAGTTCCCTGTGACTCTTGGTGGTAGAATCAAAACCAATAAAGTGTCATTTTTTCAATGTACATAAGAAAATCCAATATTCTTTGACAATAGGTTACTTTAAGAAGCAATGGGTGTTTTCAAGTAGCTACAGAAGAATGTTTTAGAGGGGAATTAGCATGGTCAACCAAAAATGGGAAAAGGAGTGGAAATAACTTAGAAGATATCGTTCCATCCAATCCTGCAATTCTATGCTTTCAAATTGTCACTTTCTTATAAAGTTCATGAGTCACAGATGAGATATGATTGTCATGTATAACAGACATGACATGTTTATAATACTGTAGAACCGTGAAACAATATCCTATTCGAAACTGGGATGCAATTCAAATATTCCTTTCATTCCAAATGAATCTCTCCTGCTTTGATTTGTATACATCATTTCAGGATTTCAAAAACCAGCTGTGAAATTGCTGATTTTTCTGCAGTATGAATTTCTTTGTTAGGAAAGAAAATGGCTCTTTGAAATAGTGTTCTTCCTATGAGAAGAGGAGATATTTAAGCTTGTTTTCCAAACACACACAGGTCAATTCAAAGGGAACCTACTTATTCCTTGAGTAAAAAGCAGTATCATCTTAGGAAATAGTTCTTTCAGTGGCTGACACTAAATTTCTACACACCACAATCGTAAGTTGGCACAGAAGCCAGGAAAGGAGGTGAATGCTATCTTTCCGACACAGGAAAGGTTCACTCATTAGAAGTTCTTTACATATTTGAAAGGAAAATTCCCCTGGCACCATCTTTCTTTCTTTACAAGACATAACTATGCCAAAAAATGCATTTAATTCTTAATTTGATTCCCTGTAACATTATATAAAAATAAGCTGAATCACAGTAATGTTTGCTCATATTTGAAGAGGAATAAAAATAACTTTTGCAATTTTGTCACTGGTTTTAGTATTGAAGAAGCCATACTCCTTTGATGTCTAAAACTTCCAAGCCAAGCAAACCAACTGCTTGACTGTGGTGGCAGCTGCTATTCTGCTGTTGACTGTCACCTTCCCAGAACTCTTCAGAGATCCTTCTGAGACGACTCCAACATTGTGGTATTTCCAAAATGCTGAGAATAGCAATGCTGTTCCTTACCAATGAATTGGTTTGCATAGAAGACATTATAAATTCTTCAATGGCAGGGCTCAATAAATGTGACTTTTAATTAATTTGATCCTAGTCCCTTAAGGCTCCTTGTCTCATATATACAGGCACCTCAATCACAGCTAACAGCCCTTACTTAAAAATCCCCCAGCAGGACCAAATCTCCATCTTGTTGGGGGGAGATTTGATTTTTAGGAAGAGTTAAAAAGTTATCAGAGCAAGATAACTTCTCTGAGAAATGAAGAAAAGTAGGCTTAAAGAGAAAAATTAGTCGTAAAGAGAATTATTTCCATAGGTGTTTTGAACCTTAAGTCTGAGACTCATTTTTAAGGAGAAATCCAAAACATGACTTGATAAATGGTTAAAGAAGTCACTATAAGAAAAACAACACTTGTGCATGAAATAAAATTCAACAGCCCTCATGATGAAAACTGTCAACAAAATGGGTATAGAAGGAACATTCCTCAACGTGATTAAGGTCATATATGACAAACTCACAGCTAACATCATACTGAATGGGGTAAAATTGAAAGCCTTCCCAGTAAGATCTAGAACAAGACAAAGATGCCCATATTCACCACTTCCATTCACCATAGTACTGGCAATCCTAGTCAGAGCTGTTAGGAAAGAAAAAGAAAGAAAAGGCATACAAATTGAAAAGCAAGTGAAATTATTCTTGTTTTCAGATGATACGATTTTTTATTTTAGGAAATCTAAAGACTCCACGAAAAACTCTTAAATCTGATACACAAATTCAATAAAGTTGCAGAATACAAAATCAACATACAAAAATCAGTAGTGTTTCAGTACACTAGCAGAGATCAACCTGAAAAAGAAATCAAGAAAGCAATCCTATTTACAATAGCTACAAAAAAAATTCTAGGAATCCATTTAACCAAAGACATGGAAGATCTCCACAAAAAAAAATATATATATATAAAACACTGATGAAGGAAATGGAAAAGAACATTAAAAATGAAGAAATATCCCATGTTCATGAATTAGAAGAATTAATATTGCTAAAATATTTATACTATCCAAAGCAATCTATAGACTGATTGCAATCCTCATCAAAATACCAATGACATCCTTTACAAAAATGAAAAATACAATCCTAAAATTTCTATAGAATCGCAAAAGACCTTGAATAATTAAAGCAATTCTGAGCAAAAAGAATAAAGCTGGAGGCAGAGGCATCATACTATGTGATTTCAAATTATATTACAAAGTCATAGTAACACAAACCACATGATACTGGCATAAAAACAGATAAATGGACCAATGGAACAAAACAGAGAACTGAGAAATAAATCCATGTACTTACAGCCAACTCATTTTTAGAAAAAGCTCCAAAAGCATGTAGTCTCATTTAAAAATGGTGCTGATACAATGTCCAATTGCAAAAATATGGAACCAGCCCAAATGCTTATCAATCAATAAGTGGATAAAGAAAATATGTTACATACACCATGGGATACTACTTAACCATAAAAAGGAACGAAATAATTGCATTCACAGCAATCTGGATGGAAATGGAGACTATTATTCTATGTGAAGTAACTCAGAAATGGAAAACCAAACATGGTATGTTCTCACTCATAAGTGAGAGCTAAGCTATGGGGGCGCAAAGGCATAAGAATGATACAATGGACTTTGGGGACTCAGGGGAAAGAGTACGAGTGGCGTGAGGGATGAAAGATTACACATTGGACATATTGTACACTGCCTGGGTGATGGGGGCACCAAAATCTCAGAAATCAACACTAAAGAACTTATTCATGTAACAAAATACCACCTGTTCCCCCAAAACCTATTGAAATGAAAAATAAATTTAAAAAATAGTGTTGGGAAAACTATATACAGGAGAATGAAACTAGATTCTCATCTTTCACCATATAAAAAATTAACTCAAAATGGATTAAACACTTAAATGTAAGACCTGAAACTATGAAACTACCAGAGGAAATGATACAGAACATTGGTCTCAAAAAAGATTTTTGGGGTAAGGCCTCAAAAGCACAGGCAACAAAAACAAAAAAAATAACAATAGACAAATTGGATTGCATGAAGCTACATTAAGCTTTTTAAGCTTCTGCACTGCAAACAATTAACAAAGTGAAGAGATAACTTACAAAATGGGAGAAAATATTTGCAAACTTTCCATATGAAAAGAGATTAATCACCAGAATACATGAGAAACCCAAACAACTCAATAGCAAAAACCAATAATGTCATTAAAAAATAGGCAAAGGACCCAAATAGACATTTTTTAAAAGAAGACAAACAAATGGCCAATGGGTATATTACAAAATTTTCAATATCACTAACCATCAAGAAAAGTACAAGTAAAAAACACAGTGAGAAATAACCTCACCCCACTTAGAACAGCTATTATCAAAAAGACAAAAAATAACACATGCTGGCAAGAATGCAGAGAAAGGGGAAAGCTTATACACTGTTTGTGAAAATGTAAAAGTAGCACAGCCAGTATGGAAAAAAGTAAGGAGTTTCCTCAAAAAACTACAAATAGAATTACCATATGATCCAGCAATGTCACTGCTAGGTGTATATCCAAAAGAAAGAAAATCAGTATATGGAAGAGATATCTGCACTGCCGTGCTTACTGCAGCACTATTCATAATAGCCAAGATATGGAATTACTCTTTGTGTCCATCAAGAAATGAATGGATAGATAAAATGTGGTATAGCTACACACAATGGAATATTATTTGGCCATAAAACAGAATGAAATTCTGTCATTTGCTCAACTGGAGGTCATTATGTTAAGTAAAATAAGCCAGGCACAAAAAGACAACACATATTTTCACTTATATACAAAAACTAAAAAAGTAGATTTCAGGGAGATAGAGAGTAGGATGATGGTTACCAGAGGCTTGGAAAGGAAGGGAGAGGCAGATGAAGAGAAGTTGGTTAAAGGGCACAAAAATATAGTCAGATAGAAGAAATAAGTTCTAATATTTGACTCTACAATAGGGAAATTATAATTAACAATAATTTATTGTCTATTTGAAAATCGCTAGAAGAGAAGATTTGCAGTATTCCCAACACAAAGAAAAAATAAATGTTTGAGGTAATAGGTATCCCAGTTACTCTAATTTGATCATTACTACATTAAATACAGATATCAAAATATCATATGCACTCCAAGAATATGTAAAACTATTATATATCAATTTAAGATTTTTAATTAAAGAAAGAAAAATGATACTTTAATGAATCGGTATATACGCTCAGTGATTACTGAATGAATAAACAATGGTTGGGTGCATTTGTTTTAAAATGTAAAAAATCAGTCTCATTTTGAGTCATATTTCACATGATAAAAATACCATCTCTCCATGTACATTTTCAATGAATATTTATTCATTATTTTGCTGACACCGTTAAGAGCTGACAACATAATATTTTTTATTATACACAGTCCTTGCCCACATGTAGTTCACAATCTACCCAGCAACAGTGTTTTAAAATATAGGATATATTAAAATTAATGTTTGAGAGCAAAATACTGCTAATTTTTCTCTTCTTAGAGGACATAAATTTTAGCTGGACACATGGCCACAAGAAAAAGGACTGTATCGTATCTTCCAGCCTTTTTTGCAGCCACACATGGCCCTCTGACTAAGCACCGATCCATAGAATTAACCAGCACAGTTGTACCACAACTACTGGGAACTTTCCTTACAAGGAAATAATTGTACCTTTTCACATTCTGCTTGGAATGTGACTATAACACATTGTCCTTATGCTCCATCTGCAATCATGAGGACAAAAGCTATGTCTGACAAATCCTGGATCCCTGACATCATGGA
Source organism: Homo sapiens (assembly GCF_000001405.40). NCBI lineage: Eukaryota > Metazoa > Chordata > Mammalia > Primates > Hominidae > Homo > Homo sapiens. The sequence continues at coordinate 2,262,858 of NC_000003.12, read as the reverse complement.
ACACTACAGTAGCTTTGGAATGCCTATCTCAAGTTTTAATTCAAAGAGAAAAATATAGTTGTATCTCATTTAAGCTCCTGATCTTATGAATTTTCTGTTTCTTGCAGCCAAGTCTAACCCTAACTAAGTATAGTATTTAAAAAAGTGTTATTTAAAGTCATCTTGAGTCTCAGGATAGTTACCAGTAACAGTTCTGGAGGGAAAATGCATATTTGCAAAAAAAAAAAAACACGGAACAGCAAGTGTATATCACATCTTTGTGTATCTCACATTTGTGAACCTCAAAAATCCACTGGGCAGAAAAAGGACAGATAGTAAATTATCAAGGTACATACAAGAACAAGACACAGAGAGATTATAAGACAGGCCCGAGCTTATAAAATCCACTCTTCTTTTTAGTGAGAACCTACATGGACTGTTTGCCTTACCTCAGCATGAGAGCTTTTATTCCCTTAAGTAAAGTTGCGAAACAGTCCAAGTGGGCTCTGGCAGTGTTTCATCAGTTAGCGAAGTCTGCAGTAGAGAAAGAATATGAAAAAAAATAAAGAAAGGAAGAAATGCTTTCAGTTCTCTGAATTCTACGATGCAGATAAAGTTGGAAAGAAAGGAGAAATTATCTGGAAAAATTGGTCCAGTTGGAGATACAGAGCAGAAAATGGAAGACACATTTTAGATATCTCCTCTCGTTACTTTATATAGTGTGAGTTTTCCATAAATGGAAAGTGTTGTGCAGAAGGGTTTAGAAATATATTTGCAATTTTCACATTAAAAGTGAAGGGAAACATACAGGGAATAAGAACAGGGCAAACTCTGAATCTGGCTGAGGAAAAAAAAATCCATTTTACCAGCTGGAGAAAAGCCTGGGTAATAAGTAGAGACAATGTGATTTGTGAGGCAAGTTGCAAAAAGGCACTTAAGATGGGAGAGGGAAAGCAAAAGACGACAGCATTTGGGGACTTATTGGGCAACAATAAAATCGCTTTCAACATGCATCCCACACACAGATACTCGGGCAGATTTATTTGATCAGTTCTGACAATAATAAAAAGTAGTACAAATGGAAGGTGCCCAGCCATTCTCAAGGTAAACAGTTCTGTCTGAAAATTCCACATCTAACTTCCACATCTGGGCAATACTCCACTTAAAGGAAAGCACAATGAAGCAAGCGGGCCTTCACTATTCCATAGAATTTTAGAACCGTTTCAAACTGAAATTCTGCAGCCTGGAATAGTTGGTGTTGATAGTTAATGGTTGATGCAGAAGCTTCTATCCCAGATGGCAAATGTAGCAAGTTACATTAAAATAAAATAGTAGAAAGTTATTAACATAGAGAATGCTCACATCTCTCTTCTGGACAGCTTTCTCAAAGCCCCATCACCAAAGCCTATCACATAAATAATGTGTAAGATGTTATTTAATAAAATCTTATATATGAATACCAGCTGGCTGGACAATAAGAGCACATGCAGTAACATATCCATGCCATTAAGACAAGGATGCCTCATGGGGCTTTGAGAATTTTACTCTGTAAGTAATAGAGAAACCAACGTGTATGACATTGTTTTAAATTTAATTGGCAGGTTCTATGATTTCAATTCAACAAAACAAATATAGTATAAATGCTGTAACAACTTTGAGTAACTACATAACACCAAATACCACAAATAAGAATAGTATGCAATAAACTACGTGGGAAAAAAAAATTAGGAATTTTTCTACCTCCAAATGTGATGTGTTCATTTATTTTGACAATTGCAATTTAGTTTTAATTATTCATCATATGGTAGTGAATATGCTACACAGTATTTCATAAAGAAATGAAAACTTAGGCCGGCTGCAGTGTCTCACACCTGTAATCACAGCACTTTGGGAGGCCGAGGCAGGCAGATCACTTGAGGCAAGGACTTTGAGACCAGCCTGGCCAACATGGTGAAACCTCGTCTCTACTTAAAAAATGCAAAAATTTAGCCAAGCGTGGCGGTGGGCACCTGTAATCCCAGCTACTCAGGAGGCTGATGCAGGAGAATCACTGGGAACTGGGAGGCAGAGGTTACAGTGAGCCGAGATCACACCACTGCACTCCAGCCTGGATGACAGAGAGCGAGACTCTTGTCTCAAAAAAAAAATAAATAAATAAAATAAAAAGAAAAGAAAAGAAAAGAAAACTTAAATCTGTAATGGGAAGTTCTATTAGCAGGCAACATTGTATTAAATATTTGCTTGGAAAAATACAAAAGCAAGAAATTTATAGCAGGAATCTGTATGAGTGAGCTTTCACAAGACTATAATAGGAGACAGCCAACTCTAGTCCTTAATGTCTATACCCTGTTTTCCCTTCTGCTGCTTACCTCATCTGCCACAATGATTTTTTCTATTGTTCTTAAATCTCATCCTAATAACACCTTGAATTGGAAAATTGTCTTAAAATGTACATTTTCACATTTATTATCTTAATTTAATCCGGAGGTTCTCAACCATGGGCAATTTTACATCCCCTGGAAGCCAAAAAAAAAATGATAATGCCTGAAAACATTTTTGATTATCACAACTCGGGTGGTGCTACAGGGTAGAGGCCATGGTAGCTGCTGAACTTCCTATAATGCGCAGGACACCCTCCTGCAACAAACAATCACCTGGCCCAAAATATCAATGGGCTGGAGTTGAGAAACTTCAGCTACAGGATTTCATCCTACAGCTACATTATGTGGTAGAAAGTAAAAGAATTGCTATCCCCATTCTTGGGCAAGAAAATGGTGCCTACGTGCTCTCTAAATTATACAAAACTGTAATTGTAGCCAAGGATCTTATTTCAGTGTATATTTCATAAAACAATACAAAATTCCAATGACCTATGAAAATCATGGGAAAGCTCAGTGACTAAAAAAACTTGAAAATAACAAAGAGTGACATTCTCATCAACAGTGGACACACACACAACAAAGAAGAGTGGGAATGGGGAGAACTATCTGCTCTTCCCACAATACAATGGATGGGAAAGAATGCAAAGATACGAGGATGTGAACCCCAGGTCTGATGCTCACTCACGAGCTGATATCATTTGGCTGCGTCCCCCGCCCAAATCTCATCTTGAATTGTAGCTCCCATAATTCCCACATGTTGTGGGAGGGACTTGGTGGGAGAAAACTGAATCATACGGGTGGTTTGCCCCATACTGTTCTCGTGGTTGTGAATACATCTCATGAGATCTGATGGTTTTATAAGGGATTCCCTTTTTGCTTGGCGCTCATTCTCTCTTGCCTGCAGCCATGTAAGATGTGCCTTTTGCCTTCTGCCATGATTATGAGGCCTCTCCAGACACGTGGAACTGTGAGTCCATTAAACCGCTTTTTCTTTATAAATTACCCAGTCTCGGGTATGTCTTTATCAGCAGCGTGAAAACGGACTAATGCACCAGCTATAGACTTTTGGCTGTGTTGCCTTTGGCACTTAACATTTGCAACTCTGAGATTAGTTTCCCCATCATGTAACATGAGAATAACTAAATAAGAATTCCTATGAAAAGCTCTTCATAAAACATCAGTCATTGTCCAAAATGTTTATTATCTTCAACATTAGTGACGATTTTCACTGATTTCTCCCTTCCTCCTTGTTGATTGGTTAGCAGATTCCTTATTTATGTTCACTGACTGACCAGACAAAACCTAGGCTTATGAGCAAAAGCAAGTGCATAGCCAGGTACCATAAAGATGCTGGGGAAAAGGGAATGTTCTGAAGAAAAATGGCCTCAAATTTACAGAGCCAAAAAAAAAAATCACTAAATAACCAACTACTAGAGCAATATAGCTTTGGGTACATTATTTAACCTCTGTATGTCTTCGTCTCCTCACCTACAGAATAGCACTTATGCCTTATAAGGTTATAAGAAACAAATGAAATAATAAATGAAAAAGAATAATGTAAGAGTACACAATCAATCCCTCTTAGGCCACACAGTTCTCTAAGTGCCTGAGAAACACTGGTGGACAAGATGGAAAAGTTTTCTGCCCTCATAAATCTTACATTTCAATGGGAGAGAAATAAGAAATCAATATATAAATAATACAAATAATAAAAAAATATAAAAAGGTTAGGAACTCAGACTAAGACATGAGATGCCAGTTCAAAGTATCTGTGAAGCAAAAGATTAGAGTTCCCAGAAATAAATTGAGAAATAGGCTGCATGCATGAAATTATTGAATACAGGATTTGCAATTCAGGAAGTTCAGAGCCAATTATATTATGTGTGGTAGGTTCATAAACATGAGCAAACACAGTACACTAGCAGGATGAGATGATTAAAAAGGTAGGAAAACATTATCCAGTTGTTTTCTTAAGCAATAGCTAATGTTAATATATTTCATCCAACAACTATCTAGATGTACTTCTTACTTATTAGGAAGTAATTTCCTAAATGTATATTGAGACAGAAAAAAAAATAAGAAAATCTGTGCTAATATTCAATGAAACCTCAAAATCAAAAGATCAGAAAGCCCAGTCTATCACTGATGGGCATTTGGGTTGGTTCCAAGTTTTTGCTATTGCAAACAGTGCTGCAATAAACATACATGTGCATGTGTCTTTACAGTAGAATGATTTATAATGCTTTGGGTATATAGCCAGTAATGGGATTGCTGGGTTAAATGGTGTTTCTGGTTCTAGATCCTTGAGGAATTGCCACACTGTCTTCCGCAATAGTTGAACTAATTTACACTCCCACCAACAGTGTAAAAGCGTTCCTATTTCTCCACATCCTCTCCAGCATCTGTTGTTTCCTGATTGATTGATTGATTGATTTTGAGATGGAGTCTCATTCTATTGCCCAGGCTGGAGTGCAATGGTGCGATCTCAGCTCACTGCAACTTCCACCTCCCGGGTTGAAGTGATTCTCCTGCCTCAGCCTCTTGTGTAGCTGGGATTACAGACGTGCACCACCACGCCTGGCTAATTTTTGTATTTTTAGTAGAGACAGGGTTTGACCATGTAGGCCCCAGGTGATATCCAACTCCTGACCTCGTGATCGGCCCACCTCGGCCTCCCAAGGTGCTAAGATTACAGGCATGAGCCACCATGCACGGCCTATTTCCTAACTTTTTAATGATCACCATTCTAACTGATGAGAGATGGTATCTCATTGTGGTTTTGATTTGCGTTTCTCTAATGACCAGTGATGATAAGTGTTTTTTCATGTTTCTTGGCTGCATAAATGTCTTCTTTTGAGAAGTGTCTGTTCATATCATTTGCCCACTTTTTGATGGGGTTGCTTTTTTCTTGTAAATTTCTTTAAGTTCTTTGTAGATTCTGGGTATTAGCCCTTTTTCAGATGGATAGATTGCAAAAATTTTCTCTTATACTGTGTTGCCTGTTCACTCTGATGATAGTTTCTTTTGCTGTGAGGAAGCTCTTTAGGTTAATTAGATCCCATTTGTCAGTCTTGGCTTTTGTTGCCTTTGCTTTTGGTGTCTTAGTCATGAAGTCTTTGCCCATGCCTATGTCCTAGATGGTATTGCCTAGGTTTTCTTCTGTGGTTTTTATGGTTTTAGGTCTTAGGTTTAAGTGTTTAATCCAGCTTGAGTTAATTTTTGTATAAGGTGTAAGGAAGGGTTCCAGTTTCAGTTTTCTGCCTATGGCTAGCCAGTTTTCCCAACACCATTTATTAAACAAGGAATTTTTTCCCCATTGCTTGTCTTTCTCAGGTTAGTCAAAGATCAGATGGGTGTAGATGTGAGGCATTATTTCTGAGGCCTCTGTTCTATTCCATTGGTCTATGTATCTGTTCTGGTACCAATACCATGCTTTTTTGGTTACTGTAGCCTTGTCGTATAGTTTGAAGTCAGGTAGCCTGATGCCTCCAGCCTTGTTCTTTTTGCTTATGATTGTCTTGGCTATACAGGCTCTTTTTTGGTTCCATACAAAATTTAAAGCAGTTTTTTCTGTTTATGTGAAGAAAGTCAATGGTGGCTTGATGGGGATAGCATTGAATCTGTAAATTACTTTTACCTTATGGCCATTTTCATGATATTGATTCTTCCTATCCATGAGCATAGAATGCTTTTCCATTTGTTTGTGTCCTCTGTTATTTCCTTGAGCAGTGGTTTGTAGTTCTCCTTGAAGAGGTCCTTCACATCCCTTTTAAGTTGTATTCCTAGGTATTTTATTCTCTTCATAGCAATTGTGAATGGGAGTTCACTCATGATTTGGCTCTCTGCCTATTGGTTTGTGTATGTTGAACCAGCCTTGCATCCCAGTGATGAAGATGACTTGATCATGGTGGATAAGATTTTTGATGTGCTGCTGGATTCGGTTTGCCAGTATTTTACTGATGATTTTTGCAACGATGCTCATCAGGGATACTGACCTGAAATTTTCTTTTTTTGTTGTGTCTCTGCCAGGTTTTGGTATCAGGATGATGCTGACCTCACAAAATGAGTTAGGGAGGATTCCCTCTTTTTCTATTGTTTGGAATAGTTTCAGAAGGAATGATACCAGTTCCTCTTTGTACCTCTGGTAGAATTCGGCTGTAAATCCATCTGGTCCTGGACTTTTTTTGGTTGGTAGACTATTAATTAGTGCCTCAATTTCAGAACTTGTTATTGGTCTATTCAGAGATTTGACTTCTTCCTGGTTTAGTCTTGGGAGGGTGTATGTGTCCAGGAATTTATACATTTCTTCCAGATTTTCTCGTTTATTTGCATAGAGGTGTTTATAGGATTCTCTGATGGTAGTATGCATTTCTATGGGATCAGTGGTGATATCCCCTTTATCATTTTTTATTCTGTCTAGTTGATTCTTCTCTCTTTTCTTCTTTATTAGTCTGGCTAGCAGTCTATCTATTTTGCTAATCTTTTCAAAAAACCAGCTCCTGGATTCATTGATTTTTTTTAAGGGTTTTTCATGTCTCTATCTCCTTCAGTTCTGCTCTGATCTTAGTTGTTTCTTGTATTCTGCTAGCTTTTGAATTTGTTTGCTTTTGCTTCTCTGGTTCTTTTAACTGTGATGTTAGACTGTCAATTTTAGATCTTTCCTGTTTTCTCTTGCAGGCACTTAGTGCTATAGATTTCCCTCTAAACATTGCTTTAAATGCGTCCCAGAAATTCTGGTACATAAGTGTCTTTGTTCCCCTTGGTTTCAAAGAACTTATTTATTTCTGCCTTAATTTCGTTATTTACCCAGTAGTCATTCAGCAGCAGGTTGTTCAGTTTCCATGTAGTTGTGCGGTTTTGAGTGAGTTTCTTAATCCTGAGTTCTAATTTGATTGCACTGTGGTCTGAGAGACTGTTTGTCATATTTCTGTTCTTTTGCATTTGCTGAGTAGAGTTTTACTTCCAATTATTAGAGTTTACTTCCAATAATTAAGTGCGATGTGGTGCTGAGAAAAATGTATATTCTGTGGATTTGGGGTGGAGAGTTCTGTGGATGTCTATTAGATCCACATGGTTCAGAGCTGAGTTCAAGTCCTAAATATCCTTGTTAATTTTCTGTCTCATTGATCTGTCTAATATTGACAGTGGGGTGTTAAAGTCTCACACTATTACTGTGTAAGAGTCTAAGTCTCTTTGTAGGTCTCCAAGAACTTGCTTTATAAATCCAGCACGGTACTGGTACCAAAACAGATATATAGACCAATGGAACAGGACAGAGCCCTCAGAAATAATGCCACACATCTACACCCAGCTGAACTTTGACTAACCTGACAAAAACAAGCAATGGAGAAAGGATTCCCTACTTAATAAATGGTGTTGGGAAAACTGGCTAGCCGTAAGCAGAAAACTGAAACTGGAGCCCTTCCTTACACCTTATACAAAAATTAACTCAAGCTGGATTAAACACTTAAACCTAAGACCTAAAACTATAAAAACCACAGAAGAAAGCCTAGGCAATACCATTTAGGACATAGGCATGGGCAAAGACTTCATGACTAAAACACCAAAACCAACGGCAACAAAAGCCAAGATGGACAAATGGGATCTAATTAAACTAAAGAGCTTCCTCACAGCAAAAGAAACTATCATCAGAGTGAAAAGGCAACCTATAGAATGAGAGAAAATTTTTGTAATCCACCATCTGACAAAGGGCTAATATCCAGAATATACAAGGAATTTAAAGAAATTTACAAGAAAAAAACAACCCCATCAAAAAGTGGGCAAATGATATGAACAGACACTTCTCAAAAGAAGACATTTATGCAGCCAAGAAACATATGAAAAAACGCTCATCATCCCTGGTCATTAGAGAATGCAAATCAAAACCACAATGAGATACCATCTCACGCCAGTTAGATTGGAGATCATTAAAAAGTCAGGAAACAACAAATGCCGGAGAGGATGTGGAGAAATAGGAATGCTTTTACACTGTTAGTGGGAGTGTAAATTAGTTCAACCACTGTGGAAGACAGTGTGGCAATTCCTCAAGGATCTATAACCAGAAATACCATTTGACCCAATAATCCCATTACTGGGTATATACCCAAAGGATTATACATTATTCTACTATAATGACACATGCGCATGTATGTTTACTGCAGCACTGTTCACAATAACAAAGACTTGGAACCAACCCGTATGCCCATCAATGACAGACTGGATAAAGAATATGTGGCACATATACACCATGGAATACTATGCAGCCATTAAAAAAGGATGAGTTCATGTCCTTTGCAGGGACATGGATGAAGCTGGAAACCATCATTCTCAGCAAACTAAAACAGGAACAGAAAACCCAACACCGCATGTTCTCACTCATAAGTGGGAGTTGAACTATAAGAACACATGGACACAGGGAGGGGAACATCACATACTGGGGCCTGTAGGGGGGTGGGGGGCTAGGGGAGGGATAGCATTAGGAGAAATACCCAATGTAGATTATGGGTTGATGGCTGCAGCACGCCAACATGGCACGTGTATACCTATGTAACAAACCTGCATGTTCTGCACATGTATCCCAGAACTTAAAGTATAATAACCAAAAAGAACAAATTAAAAAAAAATCAGAAAGCAATAGGACACATATCAACTATGCAGAAATAGTTGAAAATGTTAAATTAATAAGAAATCTTGACCAGGTGTGGTGGCTCATGCCAGTAATACCAGCAATTTCAAAGGCTGAGGCGGGAGGATAGATCGAGTCCAGGAGGTTAAGGCTGCAGTGAGCCGAGATGGCACCACTGCCCTCCAGCCTGGGTGACAGAGTGCGACTCTGTCTCAATAAAAAAAAAAAAATGAAAAAGTAATCATGGCTCAATATGACCTAACTGATTCCAATAAAGATGAGATTAGTAGTAGTAGTAGCAGGAACTTATATTCTGTTTCAAGAAAATAATTTAATTAAGAAAAATTAGTCAGTAGACCTTTTTAGCTGTTGAATTTATAAAAGGATAAAGTAAATTCTAGAATTATGGTATAAATCGTGTGGCAGAATATTTGTTCTTTTGTTTCGTTCACTAAAACAATGTGTTACAACTTTTTAATTCTGGTCTCAGCTCTCATAAATACCATACCATCAACTCCTGTCAAAAATAAACGTTTAAAAAGGCTATAAGGCTACTTTTATGTGACATAAAGTCACTGTTTATTCTAATGGGCAGAAAAATAAGGTAGCAGGAATAGAAGTCATTAACACACTTTGTAAAATGCTGACAAATGGACAACGTTCTTCAATACGATTAGAATAACTACACGGCACAAAGTAGACTGGGGATTTAGCATTATCTAGTTACCTTGACCAATTTCAATTCAATTGAAAAAAAAATGAAACTACTAATTCTAGATTGCAGGAATGCTCTTTGGCTCCTAAACTACTTGCAGTGGCCATTTATATTGCTGAAACTAATCAAACAACTACTTCATATTGGTTTTTTTCATTGTGCTGTGCATGTATTACTGGTATTCTTTTGTGAATATAGTAGTCCCTAAAAGACAAAAAAATTAAAAATCAGCTTTAAAGACTAAGAACTTATTTAATAACTAAATAAGAAAACGTACCAAAAAGCAAAGAAGTATTAAACAATTTGGGAGACAATCTGGCTTTCTGAAGTCTTTCGACAACAATAATATTGATGATTTCAGAAAGAACCAAATGTTACAGTGTTTTGGAAGACAAATCAGTGGATCATCAAATATCATCATCAAGCCAAGATGTACTTAAAGGGATTCAGCATTTATATCACCTTTCTTAGTGTGTGAGTTAAGTTTCATAGTAGACAGGATTCTAAATCATTAGCCATATTAAATCTACATTTTATCTCCCCCAGACAGGACAAACTAACCTGCAAAATCAAAGAGATGGTCTATGAAATAGTAGTAAGAGTTACCTTTGCTTTCCAATAAATCTCTTCTAATTTTTTTCTTTTTCTTATTCATGAATGGAACATAGTCAATGGAAGTGCAAAAAGAACACAGTGACAGAGAAGACTAAGTCGTTTTTATTTTTATCAATGTGTAAATTCAGATTTTTGGAAACATGTTTAGAAATATCAAAAACGTTATATACTAATAAAGCAATAAGATCCCAAAAAGAGATACATAAAAATGTAATAAAGGTGATTTAAAAACCTAATGTTTTGCTGAAGATCCATTTGAAAATGAAGTCCATTTTATTTACCACTGTACTTAATACATTATAATAAAAAACTTTATCAAGAGTATAGTTTCACCACTCAACTATGTTGGAGGGAAAAATAAATTCAATTATTTCATTAGAGACTGTTGTTTCTAATATCTGCAATGTCTTCATTCATTAAATCAGTGCGTATCTGGCAATATCCTGATTCCTATAAATGTGAATGTAGAGTTTGAGCAGAAATCATCACAGGTTACACTGAAATACATACACGCTATTGATTTGAATTAACTTAGCCTAAAGTAAAATAAATAAAATTAAATCAATGAAACTGAGTTTGATGTACTCACTTTCCTAAGAGCTGTTTTTTAGTATATAAAATAAATTGGATGAAAAATAAACACATCAACTAGACAACTGATTGAAATGGGAAAACAGCCTTCTCTTTATAATACTTATGTTTCATGATGTGGCTTCAATAAAACTACACCAACATTATTTTCTAATACAGTCTGTGGTGTGTAATGTACAGAAAAAAAAACCTACCTACATAATGTATTGTGAATTAAAAAAAAGAAGTAATACTAAATCAACTTTTAAAATAGAACATCTTGTTTTTGGTAACATGCCACCCTAAGAGACTACATAATATGTTATAATAAGGGCTAAATTAAATAACAATGCTTCATTTCTCTCCTATCCAAATACAGAAACGGCAATGGCTCTACAAAAAAAAAGTGAAGGGAAAGTCAAATTCATTCTTTTTTTCATTTTCTTATAAAAGTCTCCTCAATGACGTTGATTATGCAAAGACATATTTCCTAAAGGACATTAGTGATGCATCCCTGAAAGCCCTGTTTCCAGACTCTGACCTCAAATGCAGGTGAGAAAACTCAGAACCAAAATGAGAACACAAAAATTAGAATAATTGAAGAAAACAGCTCTAAGTAGATCTTCCTTCATTTATTTGGTAACCCTTAGCTTTGCTGTTATTGGTAAACAATACCTTGGGAATATAACATCAGTGGATTTCATTAGCATTCCTGTAGCAAATATTTAATATCTTAGGTGGCCATGCTGAACTTCCCAAATGTTAATTGATGCTATTACCAATTGCTTGTGGCATATTCAAGGTGTATCACGAAATTAACAACAGAGCTTATAGGAGAGAGGATGCATTTTAATAATTGGTCAGATGATCGGTTTTCCATTAGCTTCTTTTCTATAGTAAAAAGCAGGATATTCTTATTTGGTATTTTTAAAATATTTAGATATGACACTATATATATAGGTGACAATATAATATTAGCATTATCAGCAGAATTTCTCTTACTCAGACTTATGCATAAAATTTGCAGGTGTCTTTACTAATTATTCCTTTAAAATGATCTCTTCTTTTCTTCATTAACTAGAACTAGAGCAAAATCAGTAAAAGGCTCTATTTTAAATTACTAGGTATTATATTGATCATTGGATAGTATGTTCTGGATTCCACGATCACTGTCTACTTTTGTCTTCACTCAGGACTGTTAAGATTACACATTCTTTGAGGGATAACATTTAGTATGTTTTAAATATGCATAATGCAGTCCAAAACCAAATGAACATGCAAATAGTGTGACAAAATGCAAATTCCTTCATGAGCAAGGGTTCCAAAACAGTTTGGTTATTTCCCACATAGTGATGTTTCCATACATGTAATGTGATCAGATCAGGGTAATTATCATATGCATCGTCCTGAACATTTATCATTTCATTGTGTTGGGAATATTCAATATCCTCCCTCTAGCTATATATTATCAACTACAGTCATCCTACAATGCTATAGAAATGCTATTATTAACTTCATTTTATAGATTAAAAAATAAGAGGCTTACAGCATAAATAACTTGCTAATAGGGTTGATAGCTGAAATTTTAATCTAATTTTGTTTAACTACAAGTACTCTATCTGCTCTTCGTAGGAGAAACAACACTGAGTCCATGATTCAGAAAATCTGGGTTCTAGTCACATTTCGCTATTAATTAGTTATGCCATTTAAGGGAAAATGTAGAATCTCTTCTTCTCTAGTCTATTAATTGAAGGAGCAGTAATTCTCATGAAATTAAATCTTTATATTTGTAATTGATCACACAGAAGTGAATATGATTTTACATAGAAAAGTTAAATTATAAAGGGCAATTATATGAAATGTTATTCGATCAAATGAGCCATCTTCTCTATATGAGACCCAAAACCCATACTGAAAACAGCAATATTTTGGAGCAATGCACAAAGCACTGGAAATGGATAAGGAAATTCTAAGAGCTTTCTTATTTTAAAATCCATGCACTGCTTTACATCCATTTCTGGCAGACATCCTGGTTAAAGCAGGAAATGAAAAGTATTCAAAATCCCTCTATAGGGATCTTGAAAAAAATCTAAAATCAATAAAAACACTCATTATGTAGAAAATAAGGCATAAGAATATTCCTTGTTTGTTTTAAAGAAAAGGTCTATGGCAAGGGGCATTGTGGTACTAGGACTGAAAACTAAAGCCACCACATAATGGGACAACCATTACCCACTCTATTACCTTCAGCATTTGAAATTTGTTTGGTTGATTTCTTTCCAGCTCATTTAATCTCATTTACATGTTTTACCAAGACCCATTTTATCCCACCATTTAATTCTTTGCCCAACCTATGCTGTTTCAACTACTCTTCTCTCTTTGTGCTTCCTGTAAACCTCAACAAATGACTAAACTTGACTCTACAAGCTAGATTATTTGGCCCAAACCCTACCCATTCTATAACCAAAAATAAGTGAGTCTGCCTCCTTGAACTTTCTAGCTGCTCACTTTCAGACACACTAACTGTCCTGGAAAAAAAGTACACTTTCTAGTCATGAGATCACTTATAATTGGTGTATTATCCTATTTCAGAGGTCGGAAGATTATTTTAATCTCTCTGACTGCAGTAGACCTTGTATGTACAGTGTCCTTTGGATGTGATACTACATGCCTGCTTCCAGAGATGTGACTTTTCATTTTTCATAGTACTCCTCTCCCAGCCCCAACCTTCTCAAAATAGTTCATCAATCCCTCTAAATAGTGCTGGTGACAGAAGCTACCTATTTCTTCACTTTTTAAGCCCATCTACAATGTTTTTTTATAATTTATTTTATTTTCTTTAATTGACAAATAATAATTATGCATATCAGGAGATACATAGTGATGTTTCAATATATGTAATGTATAGTAATGAGGTCAGGGTACAATTTTTTAAGGTAATTCATCTCAGACAACAGATAAGATGACTTTGCTTTTAGCAGCTACTACTCTCAGTCTCATTAGAAAACTCCTTATGCGTTTGGAGGGTACGAGGGAATACCTTTCGTATCTGCATTGTAGCCTTTTCCATTCACAACCTAATTTCCCATTAAAACAAATCCTCTTCTTAAAATTCAGCTGAATTTCATTACACCAAGCCCACACGAATATAAACAATCTACAATATCCTGTTTTATATCGTCAGGAGAATGCATGTTTGTTCTGTCGCTTTAACAGGCTTTTCTTTTCACAAAGCCACTAAGTGGCTATTTTCAGTATTAACGGAAGAGAGTGCTCAAGCTCATCACCCAAACTTCCAGATATGATGAATGGCCAAGGCAAAAAACATATTTGTTAAGGAAGCAACCCATAGAAGGCTTGTAGAGCTTTGATTGATCGTGTTTACCCAATGGATACAAATGTTATTGGCCTTTAAAAAATATTTGGGGGGTTTATGTTCTGTTTTCTTTTCCTTCCTGAAAATGGCTTTTTCAGACCAGTGTCTGCACAGGCTCACACAATGCAGTGGTATAGAGTAGCCATTACCAGCAATTCTGTATAAACAAAATTGATTGATTGATTCTAGAATGTGATGAGGTACAGAAATGGTTCACACCTAAGAGTAAGTCTTCACTATTACTCCTTTTTTTCAGGGCTATTTGTTGTCTATGTTACTTACATAGACACAAACCAAAGCAATTTGGTTAAATAAACTGAAAAGCTTGAATTTGATTCTGGCACCAAACATTAGCTTCTTTTTATATCATGACCACAATATTCAGTCGTCTATGTATAAAATAAAGATTTATTCATAGAGCTAATGATTCAAGAATTACTAACTGAGTACCTATTATGAGCCAGGAACTTTTATAGGTTCTTACTTTATTGCACTGAAGAAACCAGTCTCAGCATTCACACGGCTTACAACCTAGCATGAGGAGATAGTAAACAAATACATATATCACATGTCAGGTGGTGATAAATGCCATGGAGGAATGAGAGACTGCAGAGAGGGTGCGGCTATTCTTCTAGAGAAAGAAAACAAGCCATGTAGGTATCTGAGGGGAAAAACAATTCAAGGAGAGGAAACACATGCATGAAGTCCTGAGAGAATTGTAGAGAAAATTTAATAGTAATACATACGAAAGTTCTTTGATGACTTTAGTAAGACACTATTATTATCATAACTTCTAAGTACCACACTTTCTGCCACTTTTGCTGACTAGACATGGGTTGCTATTTGTTCCCCAAAATATAACTCATAATGACACTGTAAAGCCAAGAATAACTGCTGTCGCTCAAATAATATGTATAAGTCAACTTATAATCATTTGCCCCATAGCTCAGTTTTAGAGCCATTTTATCATCAAGAATACAGTCCTTAGCAATTTTCCTTTTAATCAAAAATGTTCCCGAATATGACAAGAAATTCGCAAATCTAGAACTACAACATCAGCCAAAGTAGAAAAATAGCAATTTTCCCTGTAAAACTGATTTCAAAACTATCATCATCTGTCATCATCATCATCAATCACAAGAGGCAACTGCTTTGGCAGCATTATTTTAAGTCCATATTTAACTAGATGACAGCTTAACCTTCTTAGGGAAGCAGAATAATCTCTCCTTACAACACCAACCAAGCACAGAAAAGTAGATCTGCTCTAATACAGAAATTGGCTTTCATCTGATTTTATAAACACACTATGGCATCTGATGATTTAATAGGTACTTGGGTTTTTCTTTTGAACATTCAACACTCTAGCAGAGCTGGTAAAGATGGCATGCTCAAGAATTATTGCAGTCACTGCAACGGCAATAGCTTATCAACAGAATTCGCTGGGTATGACATCCACCTAGAAAGGCATCCATGCAAATCTCCCTTCCAGAGAAAGAAAAGGCACCTGTGTAAATATATAGTAGAACACAATGCATATGTGCTTTGTGCATGGCATTCACATTCATTTCCCATTCTATGCTTGTACTTAACCAACCTCCTCCAGTTGCTGTTCACATCCACGCCCTAAGACTTTTCTTGTCTCTATGTGTATGTTTGCACTACTTACTCAACTTGCAGTGAACATCTCCACCAAGTCTGTATGTCCAAATCGCAGCCACATTACACTGAACAAATCCACTGCCAACTCATTCCACGAACATTCCCTGAATCCCCCTGAGAGGACTTTTCCCCACCTCTGAATGCCCCATCAAACTTCATCTATGCCTCTTTTAGGAACTCATCTTCTATTAGAACAATTTGTTTGAACCCACCATCCCCTCTCTCCTTTTCATGGTAAAAAGCCCTTTGTGGGTAATTATTATAAGCTGTTTGTCTTTTAATTTTTATTTTTCTTGGTATTTCCTATAATAGTATATACACATTGCATTGCTGCCAATATGTGTAATAAATCAACAAATACTACATTTACTAACAATTCTGCAACTTCAAACTAATTCCCGAGTTAAAGATGTGCCTACCACTATCCCCAGCACAGCTATGGGCCAGCATGAAAGTAACTATCTATGGAAGTTACTTAAGGCAAATGTTAAACACAGCAATTTTATTACTCAAAAAAATGTAATATGATAGCAAAAATATCTTCCCATTAAAGGTTTCCTTTCAGGATAAGGGGTATTAAAAATGCTTTCCTTATTATCCCCACAATTGCTAGCCCATTGCCTTGATGACAATTTGCTGAATGAATAAGTAAATGATTGCATGATTTTGTGCACTTTACTGTATCTCAGCCACAGAATCTAAACATTTTGGGGAGGGAAAGTAGTTGCAGGATGAGAATGTCCAAAATATGCAATTGCATTGTATGATATTTTTTTTAAAAAAACACATCAGTGCTATTAAACAGAAACCTATCAGAGAATGTAGGGTTAAAATTTTAATCTGTACCTGAGGAAAATAATTGGGACCACTGACATTCTGAAAAACTAACATCCAGAAAGGTATTTATCTAAGAGCATCTGACAGTGTGAGAATGTGAGAGTGTAAGGTAGAGCACGCATGTGTGCACACAGATGTATCTCTCTGTGTGCCTGTTGCTGGTAAAGTTGAAAGAAGAGCTGAGAGAAAAGGAATAATTCTCAAAAAAGGAACTCTAGTGCTAGGATTTAAGTACGAATTCATGAAAAATATAAAAACTTCAGCAGAGCTAGACAGTTCATGATTACTCATAGAAGACATAGTTACAGGTAGCTGAAAGGTATATAATTTTTCATAACATGTGACCAATGAGAATAAAATATTAGGTTAAATTTACAAATTTTCACCCTACAATCTTTTGTCTACAAAAGAAAATACGTACACCAATTTTTATTATTTTAAATCAAAATGCTAAGAGTTCTAAAAACATGTACATGGTACATTTCTAAAACTCAATGTACGTTACTATTTTATTTTACTTATTTCAATGTCTATACTTCTGAAGAATAGTTGCAACAGTTTCAATGCAATAGGAGTTATTGGAAAATTAAGTATAGCAGGACAATCACCCTCTGGGTCAGTGTACACACTGTCATTGCCTTTTTCTGAAAACATGAGAACAATCACCTGAGAATCTATGAATTGTGATATTCACCAACCTGGCTGTATTATTCGTCTTATTGCCAGAATGAATAACTGGCACAAAGTAGCTACTCGGAAAGTGTTTGTTAAACTGTGCTGGATATTGCACCAATCTGTCTATTTTGCCCACATATTAGATCTCAAATGAATTAGGGATCTCCCTAGCCTCAGTTTCATCCCTAATAAAATACAGTGACTTTATCTTCTACTAAGTATCTCCCAAAATATATCTCATAGAATACTGATTATTAAATACATAGGAGGAGTGAGTTCTATCATCCAGATATGGGAACAATTCTGTTTGAAACAGTGATAAATTTTTAGCTGTAAGACTTCTCAGGGTATTTAACATTAAACCATCCATTGTATCTATTATGGAAGACGGACAGTATTTCTCCGTTTATTTGACGTTAGAATGATTTTTAATTAAAATATTACAGTAGGTTGATTAAGCCTTCTCATAGTTATTGAACATTAAATATCATGAATTTTTTAAGTTTATATGTTATATAAGCACTTATTTTCATTTACTAGCTCTAAAAGTATTTTCATAGACCATTACAGCATTTTCAGATTCAGAGCACAAGCCCTTGAGCAATCGCCACATGTTTCCATGCTTGGCTGACTTACCCTGTTCCCTCTCCTTGTTTGTCTCTCTCCTGACGGGTCATACTTTATTTAACCTTTCCTTTTATTTAATGACTTTATTCTCTGGATAATCATAATTTCCTTTCCAGGACTGTCCAATGGAAATATAATGCAAGACACATATGCAGTTTGAAATTTTCTAGCAGTAACAGTTAAAAAGTAAAGAGATAGGGATAAAATTAAGTTTAATAATATATTTTATGTAACCTAATATACTCAAAATATCATTTCAACAGAGAAACAATAGTGAAATAGTTCATATTCCTTTTTTTGTACTTATCTTCTGAAACCTAATGTTCATTTTTCACTTACAGCACATATCACTTTGGGCACACATTTCCATTTCCCAGTAGCCACATGTAAGTAGTGGCTGACAGACTGGACAGCACAGCTCTACAACACATACAGCAGTCCCCACTTATTCATGGTTTTGCTTTCCACAGCTTCAGTTACCTGTGGTCACCCACAGTCCAAAAATAGGTGAGTACAGTATAATAAGATATTTTGAGATGACAGAGAGACACACAGAGAGAGAAACCACATTTACATAGATTTTTTTTATTACAGTATGATGTTATAACTGTTCTATTTTATCAATAGTTATTAATTTCTTACTGTGCCTAATTTATAAATTAAACTTTATCATAGGTATGTATGCACAGGAAAAACATAGTATATATAAGGGTTCAGTACCATCTGCAGGCATCTACTTGGAGTTGTGGTATGGGCTATGGATAAAGGAAAACTACCGTACAACTCATCAACATGTTACTTAAAATGCACAAATTAGGCTGAATAACATATTAAGTGCAGTTCTTCAAAGATACATTCTGCTTTTTCACAAGGTTTTTACATTGCTTTCAGCTTTGTCTCCAATATTTTCCTGTGGGCAACCAGCCTATACTGCAGAAGTATGGCAACTTACACCATTGGGAATGTCTTCAACACTGATTACTCTATCAAATGCGAGTCTGAACAATGACCTCTCTACATGTAAAATACTAAAGGTTTCAAGGATAATGCATGTAGAAATCTCAGAATTTTCATTTTGCCCTTATCATTGAGAAAAGCATTATTTAACTTGTCCATAGTGAACTACACTATTCATCCACTCCATTTTGTTTATTTACTCATTACTAATAAGCTTTCACCCAAGGGTGTCCAGTCTTTTGGCTTCCCTGGGCCACATGGGAAGAAGAGTTGTCTTGGGCCATACATAAAATACACTAATGATAGCTGGTGAGCTAAAAAAAAATCACAAAACAATCTCATAATGTTTTAAGAAAGTTTACGAATTTGTCTCAGGCCACAATAAAAGCTGTCCTGGGCCACAGGTTGAACAAGCTTGCTTTAATCCTTTAATACAGCCCACACATGGGCCTAGAAATTCATCACATAAAAATGGATATTAAGGTTCCACTTCTAACAGAACCTCTTGTCTTATTTGGGAGAGAAAAATATAGTAATAACCCAGAGCAGTGGTTGCTGACATAAGAAAAATACATACAGTTACAAAGTAAAGTCAACATTACCTTGGACAATCAGGGAAGTCTTCAAAGAGCTAGGTCTTAACAAAGGTAGGTCTCAAAAGAAAGTTATGCATTTGCCAGGTTTAAGAGGACAGTGGCAGAGGATAATAATACATTCCATGGAGGGAGAACAGTTACTTGCTAAGTATGGAAGTATACAAATACAGAAGCATGGAGAGCTGAGATGATGAGGCAACTTAGACCGTGCTCAGCTTGCACCAGATTCTGCATACCAGGCTAAGCAAGTCAGCTGAAATATTTTAAGAAGAAATGTTACAGATCAGAGCCTTCAAATTTTCCATCTTTTGTTCTAAATTCCTGCCATACTTTGGAATATCTATATCAGTAGATTTTGACTGAACTGTTATACGTGATTAGTGTTTTTATGGAAAGTTCGTCAACTCTCAAGATACTGGATCCCTGTGAGATCATGAGGATCTGAATAAAACTTCTTTAACTGCAGCAAGTAATTTGTGATGCATGATATTATTAGTCTCCTTATAGGTTTTACTCCCATATGCGGAAGGGTGAAATGTCCAGATCCATCTTTATTCATTTTGTATCCACAGATAGATACACTCAATAGAGCACAGGAAGATTGAACTGACTATTCAAGGACAATTTTCTTACTTCTACAAGTTTAAATGGTGCTTACTATGGTGTATGCATATATATTTTGACCCTGTAATCTGCTATGAACTCACTGGAGAACTGATGTTAAAAAAGTGTCTCTGCTTCACATTTACCTATGTAACAAACCTGCACATCCTGCATATGTACCCCTGAAATGGAAAGTTGGAAGAAAACATTGTGCTTTAAGCTTATTTTTCTCATGAACCCTTTCCTAATGAATCCTTTCTATCTTGAGTCTGAATAACATATATAGCCTCAGCCTCACCAACTTCATGTTATGATATGTGGACCAAATCAGATGAAACACGTGAATGCATATAGTACATTCTATGACATGGTAGTGGCCATTATGGTTGTCATTACTGCTGTTATTTATATTAATATTAAATATACATTAGAGAAGCAAAGCAAGAATGGTCAAAGAAAATGTCTATCGTTTTGTGATTTCTATTAGAGATTTCTTCCTGACCCTTAATTTTAAAAGTTATTATGCATTTAATGTATTTTAAAATAATTGTGTTCTTCCTAGTACTAATATAAGTTTTTGATGGTCTTTCACCCAATACCTAAGACCATGTATGCAGATGCAGACATGCTCTTTTTGTTCTCGTATTCCTCAACATTTAGAAATTGTGTTTGAAGTTAAATAAATGATGACATGAGATGATTTATCCAATGGGGCAGAAAACAAGAAGATAAGTGAGATCCTTTGAAAAGGAACAGAAATAATTGGCCCACCCACCGCAAACACAACACTCAGGAAAAATCAAGCCTAGACTTGTATTACCTTGTCTGGCATACCGTTTTAATTTTAGAAAATAATTCAACTGAACAAGCCTGGATTGCTTAGAAGAGCATGACTTGTGTCAAAGGAGGGAACATGGGGAAGAGAAGTACACAGTCTAATTGGGAGGCAGATACAGAGAGAATGTGTTTGGTCACAAAGCAATGTGTTCTGGATGAGCTCCAGTGGAAAGACAAGCTGACGGTAGTGACCTTGAGTAAAGAGTTCTGACTGCAGACATCTGAAAGACATTGCAGAAGATGCAGACATTAAGCTAAACATTAGAAGCCAAACACAGCTTTGGCAGGTAAGAACTGGAAGGAAGGGGTATCCCTAGAAAAGAGAATTGAATGAGCAAAGACAGAGAGATAGGAGCAAATAATGAGTGAAATGGCAAGTGATAATAAGTAGCAGGAGGATAAGGGACATATAATGAGTTGATGATTAGAAAAGCGGAGAAATAATCGTGGGAACACTCTTGATGTCAGCATTGTAACTATCTATCCAATGCCTGGAATACCAAGCAATAAAATGTAAGCAATAAAGACAAATTAATTTACTACAGTAATTATGATATCTACAACTTTTCTAATTAGTAGTACACTGGCCTCTGAAAATAAGTAGACCTAAGTGCTCTATTTACATATTCATATCATCTCAATAAGTAACAAACAATAAATATCCATTATTTTAATTGTTTATTTTTAAATATTTTCCTTAAAATTTGTTTATACTGATTTGCATTCTTTTGAAGGGGAGTAACACATTTACATATTGCTTTTGTCAATGCCATGCTGCAAACCGCCCTTTGCCATAAAAATATATTTTTACTAATGGCATATAATCAAGCATGCACTTCATTAGTCATTAAACCTTACTACAAATATTCAACAGCTATGTAGCAATTGCAATGAAAACAATGAAATTGATTTCAAACTGTAATGCCTGTGATTTTTCTCATAAAACACAGGAAAAAACTCCCTGTGAAAAGAAATAAGATATGCAAAGAACATTTTATTCTCACTGGATTTACAAACGTTTAAAATATAATTTTTAATATCTAGTATTCAAAACTAAATTTTAAAAATGATGTTAGTGTCTTAATAAGCTTCGTTGCTTGACATTACCATTTTCATACATGAGTTACATAGTTTTCCTAAACAATGCAATGACTAAGCTTCCATATGTAGGTTGAATCATATGAAACCGACACTGTCTAACTATTGTTCACCTACAAAATTACAATTTTGTAGGTTTACTCTAATATATTAAAAATCATAAAATCATAGGATTTCAGAGTTAGAAACAAAGTTTGAGAAATCTAGTGAAGTCTTTGGCCTGGTTTATAAAAATTCCTTCTAGTATGAAGTAATGGTCATTTGATATCTGCTGTTGGTATATTTGGAAAAACGAGCTTAAAATAATACATAAACAGGAACAAAAGGAGCATTTAATGCAAACTAAGCCCAATACTCAAATTCAATGGATCTTTCCCCTTATTATCCCACTTTAGGGTAAGATTTCGTTTTAACTAAAGGAACGGAAAAGGAAAAAAGAAAACATATCTCAAATGAATATCTAACCCCACAATATGAAAGCCAACTGAAAATAATTTAGTTTTTTAAATGGCCAGAGTAAAGGGCATTCAGGACTTACTATCTAGACTAAAAATATAATGCATTGATTTCTCTAATCTCAAACAAAAGGAACTAAGATTAGCATTCTTAGATAACACTCTTTCATTTAAGTAGCCTGGAAGAATCAAGTGAATTATTCAAATCCAGAAAGGAAAACCACTAAGAAAACAGATATTTTAATGCTCTTCAGTCTGCAACCTATGCAGGAAGAGAGAAATCAGATACAAGATAACCTTGAGCTAACATGGTTATGAGGGATTCTTTCTAAATGAATGATTTTAGGATGGGTCAGTCCTGAGTTTTACGTCAGGTAGGGCAAAAGGGTACAGACGAGCCTTCCTTCCTAGATCTGTTCCCATCCCATAAAATTCAGCAAGAAAACAAGAACACTGGTGACCAAATAAATTAATTGTACCCTTTTATTGTCTTATCCCTATAAATGAATTTACCTTTCTCCCTTGGTCCCTGTAACTTCTTAATTTATTAATTATAAGAAGAAGACTGCTATTGCAGTCTTACCAATACAAAATTATTAACCTCTAACTTCAACTTTTTGAATTACGAAATAAAAGGAACCTAAGAGACCATAGGATTCATCTCACTGACTATAAATAAGGAACTGAGCTTAGGGAAACTGAATTGCCCAAGATCCCAAAGCTTGTAAGAGCAAGATCAGGCCCCACAAGACTTGCTCTACACTGCTGATCCATAATGTGATGGCCTAGCAGGATAGGATACTATCCCCTTTGTTGTAATTTGGTCATTTTTGGTATGAGATTTGAGGGTATGTGTGTCTGTGCATGTATCTGTGTGTAGCTTAGACAAGCATTAGCAGAGTTAGGACTCAATGTTATACTCATTAATTAATCTTTCTTAAATGGTCAGTAATCCTTTTTAAGTCCAAGGATCGTC
Organism: Homo sapiens; assembly: GCF_000001405.40. Taxonomy (NCBI): domain Eukaryota; kingdom Metazoa; phylum Chordata; class Mammalia; order Primates; family Hominidae; genus Homo; species Homo sapiens. The sequence continues at coordinate 2,239,277 of NC_000003.12, read as the reverse complement.
CGCATAAATCAAACTCTGTAATGCCACAGGATTATCGGCAACTGCGTAACCAAATACAAATCACATTATTAACACAGAATTACCAAAATATAAATTGCTAAAAGAATCAAATAAATTGATAATTCTCCAGTATATGATATATGCACTAAATTAAAAGTTATTAAAACAGAGAACTTTGCACAAAATTAAAAGGTATTAGGTTGACTCACTTAAAAGACGACGATTGAGAATTTTTCTAATAAAAACAGAGCCAGGCCGGGCACGGTGGCTCACGCCTGTCATCCCAGCACTTTGGGAGGCCGAGGCGGGCGGATCACGAGGTCAGGAGATCGAGACCATCCTGGCTAACACGGTGAAACCCCGTCTCTACTAAAAATACAAAAATTAGCCAGGCGTGGTGGCGGCGCCTGTAGTCCCAGCTACTCGGGAGGCTGAGGCGGGAGAATGGCGGGAACCCGGGAGGCGGAGCTTGCAGTGAGCCGAGATGGCGCCACCGCACTCCAGCCTGGGCGACAGGGCCAGACTCCGTCTCAAAAAAAAAACACAGAGCCAACTGATAATTAAAAATGACAACACATAAAATCATTTTTACAGGAGTAAGTTAGGTTCCAAAACGCACAGTTTGGCAACATTCGGATTTTTAACATAGCAAAATACATACATTTTATTAAAAATCACCAAATATTTAAAGCCAAATAAATAGCTGAAGGGAAAGCATTAAATACATTGAAGATTGTATTTAGCAATTCAGATAACAAATTTAAGATATTTTCTAAGATTTTTTTATTTTGAAAAATCTACAATTTTATTATACATCAGCAAATGAAATTTTATGATTAAAAATTTTCTATTATTCATTTTATTGGCAAATAAATTTTGGACTAAATCTGATGTTAAAATTAACCTACTATTTTATAGTTTAATAGAAAATATATTGCTGTTGCATTATATATTGTTTATATAAGATTTAGCTATATATTCCATAATTCATAAGGAAAAGTAGTCCCGTCAAAATCAGTAATCAAAACTGTTATACAATTCCTAGAAGATAATACATATTTATTATTCCTTCACCATATAATTATTTACTTATTTAAATAAAATGGTACATATCCCAAAATACGTTATTCCTCAAATTCAATTGTTCATAGCCTGCAAATTTAAAAAGTGAATTTTACAATGAGGAATAAACCTGGACTTTTTTTTTTCTTTAGTCAATTACTTTCCAGGGGTATCACTGGTTTTATAAAAACGTCTCAATGGCAAGTCATGTTAAAAAACGTTCTTCACTGGATTTACAGAGGACCTGATTTTATTATGATATTTTATAATCTGTTTAATAAGTTACCCTGATGAGCAAGAAAATTATCACAGTAAATCTATTTTAATAATGGCCTATAGGCTAATTTAAATCTGAATATCTGAAGTAAGCAAAATTAATTATTTAATCTTCATATGAAAGTCAAACTGTCTCACTTGAAATTAAAGGATAAATTTCATCAGATCATAAAAATACCAATATTCATTCCTTACAAACTAAATGAAAACAACTCCCTTCTTATCACTTACCATTTCTTTAAAATCCCTGCCAAATTTTTAGACCAGAAATAAAATATTTTTTAAAACCTGAAATCTAACCTTCAAGAAGGTTATATTAAATAAGTTAGAGAAGGTGCACAACAATTATAAAGCTTTTAAATGGCATAAGCACAATCCAAGATTTAGAAATCCCTCTCTCTTTTTACTCTCAAAGATTTTACACTAAACCTTTCTCCCTTTTCGCTTTTCCTTTTGTTTTTGTTTTTGAGACAGTGTCTTGCTCTGTCGCTGAGTCTGGAGTGCAGTGGTGGGTTATAGCTCACTGCAGCTTCAACTCTTGGCCTCAAGCGATCCTACTGCTTCAGCCTCTGGAGTTTCTGGGACTACAAACAGGAGTAACCACACCCAGCTTACAGTAAACCTTTCTAAATTTAAATTCAATGTGATATTCTGCCTCCCTCTCATCCCTCCTATATAGCCAATCCACCACTAAGTCAAGACCATTTTACTTCATTCACATCTCTTCATCTTCACCACCACCTCCCCACAACCTACCACTACTGACTCCACAAACTTTAGTAGCTAGTATGATCGTCCCTCTTACCTCAACCCTCTTAAGATGCTTCACTGTCTTCCCATTACTCATAGAGAAAAGGCCAAAATTCTTCAATTGGCCTACAAATCCCTGCACTGTCTGGTCTTTGCCAAATATTCCCACCATCTCATCTTCTACCATCCTCCATCTTGCTCTCTGCAGTCCAGCTACACTGAAGAAGTTTCAGTTCTTAAAATGTGCCATGTTCCTTCCCATTTCATACCCTTTCTTCTGGCACGATCTCTCTTAACCGTCTTCTGCCTACTCATTCTATCTCCCTACTTGATATGTGATCTCCCTTGCTATCTCCCTCTCTTTTATGATGTGTGATTTGTGACTGCAGCCTTAACTGCCCACCAAATGAGAGTGGCATCCTGATGTCTAGTGCAGAGCCTGACATCCAATAGGTATTAGTGAGTGAAATTAAAGTGAATAAATAAAAATGATAGTTTGAGGACATGCTTTTTTAATGTCCCATTTGGACACAGACATGGCTTGTGTTGCATTCCCAAGGGAAATAATTAACATTATTCCTGAGCCTCCAAACAAAAAGTACTGGGTTCAATAACGACCTTTTAAAAATGCTCACTGCTTCCTGAAGACTAAAACAAAACAAAACTATTTACTCTTCACATGTAGTTCAATGAATTGAACACAGCAGGTGTGAATAAATATGTATAGAATAAAGTCAGTTTCACTTTATAGGGCTTTTCAATTTACAATATGCTTCCACACACATGACGTCATTTAGACTTTATATCAAGCATTAAATGACATTAAATGAGCACCTAATGGTATTATCCCAGTTCACAGATAAGGAAGTAAAGTAAGAGAGGTTCAGTGGGTGGCCTGTGGTTTCATTGCTAATCAGCAGAGTGGATTCTCCTATCTTCAGCTCCTACGTACTTCCTGCCAAATTACCGAGTTTTAGCAATGACCTAGAGGATGTAAACTTAACAACTGCTCCCAATGAGACTATCCTGTAACTTCATAATGATTATGATTATGTTGCTGCTACACAGTGCTTTCATAATAATGTGTACAACTTATAGTACCTTATATCTAAAGAAGCACTTACTTAACATCCCTCAAAACTCAACTTGACCAACCTCAATTTCCTGAACCCTTCTCCATTGAATTAAGATGGCCCACTGCTGTATCTCCTATAATAACATTTCTACTTGCACTAAATTTTTTGACTAGTTTACTGAAATCTTTCCTTCAACTACATTGTATGTGTACTGAAGCAAGATAATGCCTCGTATTTGTATTCCAGCACTTAGAACAATGCCTCTTTCAGAGTGGCCATTGAAAACCTGGGTGTTAAGTGGATGTATTGTAACAATAAATAAATGAGTTAATATAAAATAAATGATAGTAAAGAAATGAATTAGCCCAAGAATAAGCATAATACTAGATGCTCTTGTTACTTCTAAATTAACAAAATTTACAATCTAGTGGGATCATTTTACTGAAATCTAGTTCTCTAGTTGGCATAGTAACCATTAATCAAAATACATAATCAAGTGTTCATCATATAGGATAGCAAAGCTCCTCTTACTAAACAGTTAACAGACAACACAATTTGCATTGGGGAGAAATTTTATTTTAAGCAGAGAGAAGAGTTCAAAAATTTATAAAAACAATTATAGGAATTATTAGAAAAAGGGGAGGAAAATAAAAAGATACTGAATGTGTTAAATGTCAAAATTTTTAAATATTAAATATTTACTGTAGCATGTTGAAAAACAGGCTAAGATATTCCTTTCCTGGATAGATATTTGAGGTTCTGTGTTTGTAACTGTATCAAAGTTAACTTGGATATTAATAAGCTGCTTAACCTAAATAGTTTTTAGGTTATCATAGCATGCATAATCCTAGTATGCATAACCTTGATAAATGTACAAATTGATAATGTTGGCATCATTACATCTCAAACTATTCACAATAATCACTCATTTCAAACTGTAGTCAAAAGACAAATAGAACAGGCAAAAATAAATCCTTTTTGTCTCTGAAATGTATAAACTTACGGGTGTTCTCTGCCACTTGGTTCTTTTGTTAGTTCTGAGTAAGCTCTGAGACAGCAGATGTTATCTATACAACAGATAAGCCAAGATAAATAAGAACTCAATTTTTCCAAGTATGGCCTTTTTTTCCCCAAAAAAATAAACTCAGGGCAATACTGTTCAAAGCAAGTAAACAGATTTTGTCAAAGCTTCAAGCAACAAGAAAGACAAGTTTCTGGTCTCCAGTTAGCATAAACTTGAATCTTTTGTGAGTGAGAAAATACTGAAAATACAATCACATGTTCCTCTGGCAAAGAAATTGGTGCTACTTCTTAAACAAGAGAAAAAGAGAAGAGAAAAAAGTAAAAGAGAAATATGCTCTTTGTGACGATCACACTCATAAAATGATCAAGCTTATTTTGGAGTCGCTGATAAAGATTCAAATAAAATTTCTTTATGACAAAGGCAATCAACAATGCATCTGCCTCATGCTAAAGAAAATTATTTGACTTTTTCCTAATGTTAGGTATTGTACCCAATCCTGCTAGTTTCATAAAAGGGCATTTAATGAATTTTCTTAATAGAATCAGCAGCATAAATCCCCATCAACAATTTCTTGGTCCAGTGTCAGGAATAAAGTCAAATCAGATAAGTAGCTCTGTATATAAATGAGATGAGCAGAGACTAACTCCACAAGCTGATGAAGTTTGTAAGTCTTAGCCAGACGCAATGAAAACTTCCTCTTTTTTTTTTTTTTTTTTTTTGAGATGGACTTGTTGCCCCGGCTGGAGTGCAATGGTGCGATCTTTTCTCACTGCAACCTCCTCCTCCTGGGTTCAAGTGATTCTCCTGCCTCAGCCTCCCAAGTAGCTGGGATTACAGGTGTGCGTTACCATGCCCAGCTAATTTTGTGTTTTTAGTAGAGACGGGGTTTCACCATATTGGTCAGGCTACTCTCGAACTCCTGACCTCAAGTGATCCACTCGCCTTGGCCTCCCAAGAAAATTTCTTAAATGCATATCCATTACTGGTTTTCTTGTCAAATGGCAGGTTGCCATTTCAGAATCTACCAGACAAATTATCAGCTGAAAACAAGGAAAAATTACTAGATACCTAACAGAGAAAGGAATTATATGGCATTGCTGGAATCGTGAAGAAGCATTACCAATACTAATTGCATAAAGTAGATTTTCCAGGTGATTTTTTTGTTTGATTTTCTTCTACCTTTTGCTGTGTATTTCACTTCGTATTTTAAAAGGGCATGGATAATTCTGAGAAAGGAAAATTCACTGGGCTCAAATTAGGGAGTCCCGACTTTTCCATTGACTTTCTTAGAAAAGTCTTTACTTATTATAATGAACTTCTTCATCCACAAAATTAGAGGAGTAAGCTAGATGACCTTCATGTCCCTGCAACAGATAATAACTATGATCTAGGATGATTCTATTATACGGCTGCTTTGTTAAACGGTTCAATTGGGGGTGAGGGGGTGGACACTGAAATTAGCACCAAGAAAACGGTCTGAAGATTCTCAACAGATTTGATTTCTCAAACCATCTATGCCTATCCTGGTTCACTGGAAATAATCCTTACATAAATACTATTATTCCTAAATTAAGTAGTACATGCTGAATAGTATTGGCCTAGTTCAGAATAGCCATCTATATGCTAATCAATGCATATAGCCCTAACGGAGAATGCAGAATATATCACAAGACTGCGAAAAACAAAAACAGGCAAAGGCTTCTTGATCGACCACTTAAGAGGTTATGTAGAGGCCATACGGTGGAGTTATGAAGTGTGTTTCCAGTGGAGAATGCCATCTACTGACATTAAAATACTCAATATTCATATGATTTTATTGAGTGAAGAGTCAACAGTGGATTTCAGACAGGGATCAGTGAAGAATCTGGTATGTAAAAATAAAAGGCCATCAATTATTAGCTTCTCTTTGGGGTTTCTGTGGGTATATGTTTAATAACTGTCATAGCTCAAGACAGTTCAGTCTGACCCCCATTAGTTTAAAAATATAATCATAGCAGCCACAGCAGCTAGCCATGCTTGAATAGTTTGACTGCTCTTAACAGGCGCCCCATTAACCAATTTCTTTGCATGCACTCAGATTTCTATCAGAAGTGCTCGATTCATTTCAGAGAAGAGAATAGGGACTATTCATAAAAGTAGAATCTGTCTTCCTGGGTCAAAAACCTCCTCTGTCTCTTCTTTCCACTCAACCTTTCTTATGACTTCCCACTCATAATAAAGTCATCTCATTTAGAGCTTGTTAATCCCTTGATCAAGCCATTATGTAGAGGTAGAGAGTGATAAGAGCTAAGAAAAAAACTTGATCTCAATTATAATTAAAAAATGCAAATGAAAACAAATATATTTTCACTCAATGTTTTCGTCTATTGAGTTGGCAAAGATCAAAAGTGTTACACTGTTGATAAATGCCTGGGGTAATAGACATTCACATACATTTTTGGTGAGTGCCTTCATTAGTACAAACTCTATGGAGTTATTTAGCAATATTTATAAAAAACTAAAAACAGCATACCAATTTTTAGCTATATAGTTTTTAGACAGCCTGTTATTGGTCAGAATAGCTACCAAAATAGGGTTGCTGTAAAGATAAAATGAGATAAGGCATGTAAAGAGTATTAAAAAAACTTGCATTGTACTAGTATTAATAAGCATTGATAAATCTTAACAGTTGTTCTCATGCATTCACTCATCAAACATTTGGAGTATGCTATACAACACAGTATAGTGGAAAAGATCTTAAGCTTTGCAGCTAGAGATACTTGACTGTTAAGTTCAACTACTCTGAATGTTTTACATGGCCCTGTAAACCCTGTAAAATTGGAATCAATTATTAATAATTATACTAATTATTTAGCAGGCTTTAGACATTTAAATGAGGCATTGACTGTAAAAATAAGCACAATTTCTGGTTCAGGTCATTGTTTTTATTATTATTATTGGATGACGATGATGATGTGATCAAGTCATTTTAGGAAATATAAAATTTCAGACAGGTCTCAGAAGAGAGTCATATTCACGAAGGTTTAAGAAAAGTACATGTGTGCACTATATATATCTATATCTAAAACATGTTATTTAAATGCTCTCTGGTAAGCTTTGTCATTTAGGGAAAATTCTTTATAGAAATATATAATTCAGGTATAATCCTATATGTTAATTTCATAGGAATGTGTTGTATTGTGTTAATAAATACCTAAAAGGCTAAGAAAAAATACCAAAATCCTTGCAATCTGAATTGCAATTAGCATATTTTTATCAGGACATAATTGATTAAATAAATTGAAGAGTACTTCAAATATTTTCTGGCTTTTTCTTCTCATTCTATAGTAAAATTACATTTTAATCATTATCAACCATTCGTTTTAGATAAATGACAAAAAGAAAAATATGTGAAGAAAAAGTGCTTTTATTTGACTTTAACCCAAAATAACCAATTTGATTCTCGTGAGCCTTGGATGTTGCTAAGGTACATTTCTTAAATTATAGCAGCAATTTTTCCTCAGAAATCTTCTAATTTTGTTCCAATCACTGGAGTCATGTTTATGTATTTCCTTGCATAGATGTACTGCTTCCTCAGAGAACTCTTGAGAATAGAAGCTCTTTATCAGATGATTGAATATCAGTGAGATGAATAGCCAGTTAGGTTAAAAATATAAAAAGACATTTACATTTAAACAAAAAGGAGATCATCTGAATGACAAAATGTGGGGGAGTTAAGGGGATGGATTAGGGAAATTTCCTCCCAGTCCTCTTCTCTGAGCATCTCCATGCCTAAGCATGGCAACTGTACTATCATGCTATTCAGAGCCAAGCTGTCCTACTTGGTAACCACCACTAGCCAGATGTGACTATTGAGTATTTGCAATGTGGCTAGTATGAATTGAAGATTTAGAGCAAAAAATGAGTGTAAAGTATCTAATTGGTAATTGTTTTAATATTGGTACAGTTGAATGATAATATTTTTTGACATATTGTGTTAACTAAAATGATTTATTAAAGTAAATTTCACCTGTTTCATTTTACTTTTTGGTGTGAATACCAAAAAAGTTTAAATTATATTTTTGATTCACATCATATTTCTTTTGTTTTGTTTTGTTTTTTTGAAACAGAGTCTCGCTTTGTCGCCCAGGCTGGAGTGCAGTGGCATGATCATGGCTCATAGCAGCCTCAACCCCCTGGGCTCAAGTGATCCTGTCACCTCAGTCTCCTGAGTAACTGGGACTAGAGGCGTGCACCACCATGCTCAAGCCAATTTTGGTATTTTTTTATAAAGACAGGGTTTTTGCTATGTTGCCCATGCTGGTCTCGAACTCCTGGGCTCAAGCAATCCATCTGCCTCAGCCTGCCAAAATGCTGGGATTACAGATGTGAGCCACCGCACCCATCCCTCACATCATGTTTCTATTAAACAGTGCAGACACATAACATTATTATTCATGACACAGGTATATGACATGTGTTCTTTTGTATGTACCCGTGGGTGCTTTGATGGTTCCAGTGATTAAGTTAGTTTCTAAAAGGAAAGAACCCATATTATTGGTACAATCCTATCTTCACTGGGCATGGGAAGGCTGGTGCAATCCCATTATGTGGGTCCAAATTTTCCCCTCTCAAATTGAGGCAATGCCCAGCACGGTGTTGAAATCAGAAAGTTTGAGTTTCCAGCTGGTATACTTGGACAAATCACCTAAACCTTCTGAGTCCCTCTTCTTATCTGCAAGTTTCTTGTTGTCTATCTGAACAACCGTATTGCTGGGAAAATCACGCAAGGTATATATGAGAGCTCTTCTGGTTGTACACACTATGGCACTTGAGGTGGTATTAATATTTAGTTTTATCTAAACAAATCACATTTGGAAAACCTGATCGTTGGCAACCCATCCAAACTGGAGCAAAAATACCACACCTGTGCTGTCAATGCGCTGCTGTGTAGGACAGGTGACAGCTGATTTGTTCAATCTTAAGTCACAGCTGGGATTGCTCAGAAATGGTATCTTTTCAAAACAAGTAAATAGAGTAGGGATCTCTAATAAAGCTTAATAATGATGACCACAGTAGCAGCATTCAGAGTAGAGAAACTTTAGGTTAAGAACAGATTAAAATTCCATGATGAAGATGGTTTCCTGATAACTCCCTCACATTCTCATGCATTCACTCATCAAACATTTGGAGTACGCTACACAACACAGCATAGTGGAAAAGGTGTTAAGCTTTGGAGCTGGAGATACTTGATTGTTAAGCTCAACTAATCTGAATGTTTGATATGGGCCTGTAAACCCTGTAAAATTGGAATAAATTATTAATAATTATTAGTACTTATTCAGCAGGTTTTAGGACAATTAAATGAGGCATTGATTACAAAAATTAGCACAATTTCTGGTGCATAGTTCTCAGTAAATATTAGTTAAAATAATAATACTTACTCTTATTTATTTACTATATAAACATGAAGATACTTTAAGACAGAGGCTCTGCCCTCAAGATATTATCTAGACTATTATCTTTCAGCTATATCTAAGGAAGTCTTAGATTAGATATTTTCAAATACTTACGTAACTATATGAATATTCGGCTGTAATTCTAATGTTTAGCACTGCATAATTAGAGTCTTGATTTTTCTAAGGGCCTATTCAAGAAGCCTCATGACTTTTATGAACTGAAATGCATTTTACCTAACAGATTTCATTTAATCAATCTTTTAACACTGGACTTCAGGAAGCTGATGTGGAAACAGTGGTTCCCTCTGCTACCACTCTTAAAGCTAGGCTAAGTATATTATATATTGGACCTCCTTTGAAATTATTTTTTAATAATACCCAAAACCCATTATCACCACATCCTAATGCAATAATCATTTACTGTGGTCCAATGAGATAAATGATGAAATACATCGATAACTTCTCAATTCCTTTCACAGACCTGGTTCAATATACTCTTAGTATGAACAACCATCATCTTAGCCAACTTATTTTTTCTACAATAAATGAATGAATGGCAAGGAATTCCAGAGAAAGTCCCTATAGGCCAATTCTACAAGGCTAATGCATTAGCGTCCTCAAAATAAAAGTTGGAGCAATTTGTAATCATTCTTATATACAGCAGAAGCAAACAAGATCCATATGGATGCAGAAAAGTGGTTCTGACATCTATCATCAAAATGAAGCACTGATTTTCTCTTAGTTTGCAGCTCTAAATTAACTGAGATGTCCAAATTTCCATATTCTAGAATAACCACCATCAAATCAATCAACCCAATCCTATTTAATAAATATTAATTGGGTTATAGAAGAAAATCTCACTCTCAAAATACTCACAATGTTGTTTTTAAATAAGTCTAAACTCTAATAGTCATTCATATATATTACAAGTTGCTATAAATATTCCAACTAAAACTCAGCTCTCAGTAAGGAAATTAGTTAATCATTAGACCCTCAGTCTTCTGATCTATAAATGAAGATAATAATATGTCTATAATACCATCATTTGATACATTAGAAATAATGTATATAAAGCCCTTATCACAGTCTTATCATTACTGTTGATGATGATGTTTTGTTTATTTGCTAAGGTAGAGAGATCTGCAAACTTGTTCACAAAGGGCCAGATGATATATACTTTCAGCCTTGCAGGCCATACAGACTCTCAGAGCTACTTACCTCTACTGTTGTAGTGTAAAAACAGCCAATACTTAAACAAATGAGTGAGACTGTGTCCCAATAAAGTTTTATTTATGGACAATGAAATTTAAATGCTATATAATTTTATTGTGAATGAAATATTATTATTATTTTGATTTTTTCCACTACTAAAAATGTAAAAACCACATTTAGGTTGGGGGCAACACAAAAAAGAAGAAGAGAAACAAATCTGGCCAGTGGGCTATGGATTGCCAATTCCTTGGCTAGAGGAGTCTGATCAAAATGTATATAAATTAAATACATAATTATTTGGCCAATTTATTTTTGAAAAAAAATCACTTGTAACTAGAAATGCTTTAAACCATATGCAAAACCATATTATTTTCATTTACTTAAATTCTGTTAGTAATCTTTGGAAAAAATAAACATTTTGTTTTCACTATTTAAACACCCTTAATTTGCAGATCTTTCAGTAATACTTTACTTCTAATATCAAAAGTTCAACTATGGTACTTCAAAGCACTGCAAACAAATTTACTTTGAGTGTTTGTTAAACATATTGCTTATTTTCCTTACTAAATTAACTGTGGTTTGTGAAACAAACAAATGAATCCAACAATACAGGATGTAGAAACAATTTTCAATAAATAGGTCTTCATTTACTATTTAATCTCCTCTCTGCCACTGACTTAAAAGCATCTGCCAGGAAGAGGTGCAAACACCATATTTCTACAGTTACATAATGTTAATTATAATGGAATTACACTACAAATAAAATCTTAATCATGCTGGCCACTCTTCTCTGTGTTCTTATTACTTACCCACAGACTCCCAATCCATTCAATCTGTGCCGCAGCATTAAAATGGGTGGAAGTGCAGAGAGAGAGAAGATGAATCTGATTTGGTCAAAAGGTCAAGGCATAATAATTTAGTCGAATAAGTAAAGTGGGGCATAATCTTTTCATCCTTTCATACCTTATGCTTTTAATGCTGGATTATGTGCAAAATGAAAAAGGACACTAACTATTAGTCAGCTATGATGAGACTATGAAGCTGGCTGACAAAAGCACCTAAGGATGGACTGTTGAGGTTCATATTACTTGCTCTCTTGGCATCAAATTAAAGAGTTTGGAACTATTTACCTAGCATTCCTAATCTATCCATATTTTATCATCTACCAACTTATCTTCTTGAATGTATTTACAATGAAAAGTGAAAATATAGGAATGTAAAGATAAATAATAGAAGTTTGCAAATCCACAAAGTAGGTCTCTTTCCTTTTTTTTGATATGACATGCCATTGGTCCCCAAATAATTAAAAAACATCACAATGAATGCACATATCTGCAAATAAATAAATACGCAGGTAGTAACAGAATGCAGCATAGAATAGGGTACATTCTATCACATTCTATACAGCAAAATTGACTGGCTTTTGTGAGCTCAGTCACTTACATATCTGTGTGACATCAGATAATTTACACAACACTCTGTGCCTCAATTTCTTCATTTATAAAATGGAAATAATGATCACAGCTACTGCAAAGAGTTACAAAAATTAAAGTAGTTAATATTTTTAAAGTTCTTGTAACAATGTCTGGCACATAATAATAATTATCTGCATTTGTTAAAAAAAGGCTAAAATTCTTATTCAATAATATATAGTCTATATTACTGCTTTATAATACTTGCATTTTCATAGGTCACTACTAAATGGCTCTTTTTAAATCTCAGTGAGAAAGAAAGTTTTAATAAACTTAATAAAGTTCTTAATGAAGAACTTAATAGCCCTATCCATGATAAATATTTGCCTATGATGAAGGTGCAGTGGAAATCTAAGGGTTGTTTGCCTCAGATACCACTACCTCTGAGCATAATTAATGAAATGAAATTACAGGGCAATAGGGCACTTATTTCTAAAGCAGCTAATAATTAAGGTGCTGTTAACCAGCAGTGTAGAAGATTTGACTTCCCCATAGTAACCCTGAAAATCTGCCACTTCAGTAGCTCCTGCTCTGTATGTAAAGTGGTTATGCTCAATCCAGTGCTTTTTCCTCTTCCAAAAATCCCCTTAAACTATTGTTTCCAAACTCACAATTCCTCATCAATAAACATGATAAGATTCTTACGGAGCCCAAATAGCAGCATACTACTTTGCTAACTACGATAGGGAGTGTCAAAATGTAGACGAGGCAAGTCCAACCTTCAAGGATATTATAATCTACCTGAAGAAATAAAACATAATAACATAAGTAAGAATGTAATGGCAACATAAAACCATACAGCAAGGAGGTAAGAATTATATATGTAAAAAAAAAGCAAAACGTGGGTGCCGTATTTTGATGTCTTATATCTACACAATGCTTTTACCAGTATTTAAACACATTTATTCCCCCATCCCACTGTAGCCTGGCAAATAATCCCTGGTAAACAAATTATCTTGGCATTACGGATTACAAAACAGGGCCTCAGAAAATCTAAGTAACTTGCTCAAGGTCTTAAAGTTAGAGGAAAAGCTATAGTGCAGAATCCAGATCCTTGTACTCAAATCCAAGATTTTAAAACTACAGCAGGGTCACTCTATCCCCTAAAAGGAGAGACCCATAAGATTCAAGTCCTTCATGACAACTTCCTAGACAGAAGATGTGAGCCAGTCCATGATGAGTGGGGTCAGATGTGAGCTAGCTGATGGCAAAGGAAGGGCACCCCAAATGGGGAATGGTGTCAAGGCAGACGTGAACAGTAAAAAGAGCAGCACAGTAAAGAATAAGTTTAGATCAATGACTTTAAATGGAGTGCTTGTGGAAGAGGCCCATGCTGACGAGAATAGAAAAGTCGTGAGATAGTATTGTTCATTTTCTATTGGCTGTACCAAAGATGAAGGGAAAGGACCTGGGTTTTTGTTTGTTTGTTTTTGTTTTTTGTTTGTTTGTTTTTTGAAATGGAGTCTCAGCTCTGTTGTCCAGGCCGGAGTGCAGCAGCACGATCTCGGCTCACTGCAAGCTCTGCCACCCGGATTTAAGCAATTCTTTGCCTCAGCCTCCCAAGTAGCTGGGATTACAGGCGCCCACCACCACACCCGGCTACTTTTTTGTATTTTTAGTAGAGAGGGGGTTTCACCATCTTGGCCAGGCTTGTCTTGAACTCCTGACCTCGTGATCCACCCGCCTCGGCCTCCCAAAATGCTGGGATTGCAGGTGTGAGCCAATGCGCCTGGCAGGACCTGGGTTTTAAAGCAATTGCACTGAGCATTACTAAGCTAAATTCAAACCTTATTACTTCTTTTTTTTTGGGGGTGGTGGGTACAGAGTCTCGCCCTGTCGCCCAGGCTGGAGTGCAGTGGTGCGATCTCGGCTCACTTGCAAGCTCTACCTCCCGGGTTCACGCCATTCTCCTGCCTCAGCCTCCCGAGTAGCTGGGACTACAGGCGCCCGCCACCGCAACCGGCTAATTTTTGTATTTTTTAGTAGAGACGGGGTTTCACCAAGTTAGCCAGGATAGTCTTCATCTCCTGACCTCGTGATCCACCCGCCTCGGCCTCCCAAAATGCTGGGATTACAGGCGTGAGCCACCGCGCCCGACCCAAACCTTAGTACTTCTAATATCATTTTATGGCTCTTGAGTATCTAATATGACTTTTACAGATTGAGTCAACCTGATTAACTCGGGAATCCCAGAGCCAACTGATACCCCATATTGAGCTGACAGGATGTACTTTAGTAAATCTTAACATTTACTGCACATTTAGGATGTTAGAAGCATTGTGCTAAAGTCTTCTATATTACCTCATTTAATCTTCTCAACAACCATAGCAAGTGTGTCAAGGATTCCCAAGACCAGACCTCTACTCAGAGATTCACTAGAACTCACAGGACTCAGAATCTAAGTTGTACTCATGGCAAAAATATATGACAACTGTGCAGTAATGGTACACAGTTGAATAATAAGGGGAAAGGACCCAGGTAGAATTTGGAGGAACTCATGTGCAAGCTTCCTTATGCTCTCTCTCTCCCATGAGGTGGTCTCACAGACTATCGTCTTTCCCAGGAACAAAAATGCAACAACACATGTGGACTATTTCCGTCCAGGGATGCCTATTAGGAACTCAGTGCCCAGGTGGGTATTTTTTGAGAGGAGCAGGTGAGGAAGGAGAAGCTGGTCACATAGGTATGCTCTGCCTATTGTTGAGGCTCAGGACACACCACCCGAAAATATGACTGTAGAAGACCAGAATGTGCCACCCTAAAATATATTTCTTTGGCATACATTTGGCTGGTAATTCTAAGAAACTGCAGCCACAGGAGTAGCTCTGAAAAGCTGTCCTTTTGTAAAAGAAACTTAAATCTATAAAAGAAATCTACGTTAGTAAAAAATATCTATATGAGGGCTACTCCAGACAACTTTTATTACCTGAAAGACATTTATCTGCATAAGAAGATATCCTGTATTCACCTCACCCTCCTGTCTCTTATCTCTCCACACCTACCTGCCCCCCAAGAAGCCCCAAATTCCTATCCCTTTGTGTAAGCTCAGGACGCTACATAAGCTTCAATCATCTGACCCTTCTTCAAGTTGTGGGACCCCGTTTTGTGGGATGGCTGCACTTACATATGTAATTAGGGTTTTTTTCTCTGTTAACCAGCCTTGTGTCAAAGCGGGAAGCCATTTTCCCTCCCTTATACTACCATGTACCACAATTCCAAACTCCCAGAAGGATGCAGGCATGCAGCATAAACCACATTGTACAGTCTAGGCATGGTGATCCACTCTAATCAGTAAGGGAGAATTTTATATCTGTACCAGCCACGATCCCAGATGCCAGCCAAGGGACATTCTCATAAGCAGGCCTCTGTAAGAATAGCATTATCAGGCCTACTCTGTCAACTCTTTTCTGCACAGGAGGCAATAATAATTATTATTCCACATAGATGAAGCAACTGAGACACAGAAACATTAAGTAGTTCACCTAGGGTCCTTGATATTCTAAAAATCAGACAGTGTGTCAGCTTGACATCTCCTAAAAACAGACACTGAGTTAAGGGCTTATATACAAGAAGTTTAGTTTTAGAAGGGATACCATGAAACAGAAGGGGGAAGGATATATGGAGGGATGCCTAGGAAGCATGGGAAAAGCAGGGATAGAAAGGTAATCCAAGGGAGGGTTATTAAACTGGTTACCACCACGGACACCCACAGGGCAACTGGACGGAACAGTGTAAAATTACCTTCCAAGTTGTCCACCTAGAACAGTAAAGGAGTGCCTTTACTTACTGGCTCTCCATTCCCCTTTGGTGAAGGTTCTCAGAAGCTATTAACTCTCAATATTTGGTAAACCCTAACACAGAAAACAAGCCCTAAGCAGAATGCAACCTGATTTTGCAGCTAAGGTGGGAGCCAAAATTCGCATCCAAAGAATGCAAAATGGGGCATAAAACATGGTAGCACAAGCAATGTGACTTCCCTGTGATATACTTAAGTCATCGTGGTGGGCTTCTGTCAGATTCTTTTATGATGGATTAGAAGTCTGTAGTGGCTTTTAGGGGTTGGGGAAGGTAATAAACAATGTGGACAAACATAATGGTGGTAATTCCAGTGTTTGTTTAGTTTAGAGAAAGATGAGAAAGATGACAGAATGACAATCTGACTTACAAATTCCATATATCTCAGCATTCTTTTCAGGAAGCACATTTGATAAGGCCAACGATAGCTTATTTATAATGATAAGTTTTACTAGGGAGCCTGAATCTGACTCATTTTTCTGTTTGGTACCCTGGGGTGTGTGTTGGGGGTGTGGGGGGTTGTGCGTATAAATTCTTATATCCCTCAAGAGTTTTATTGAGATATTATTAATATAATATAAAATTCACTCCTTCAAAGTATACAATTCATGTATTGGTTCTGTGCCTATTTAAAAAAATTAAAAATAAAGTATATGATTCAATGGTTTTTAGTACTTTCCAAGAGTTTCCACCCAATTTCAGAACATTTTCATCTTCACAAAAATCAGCCCACATACATTTACTCCCATGTTTTCTTTGGAGTCACTGCCTACTCTCCTCTCCTCCCAGCCCCTGGCAACTACTTATCTAGTTTCTGTCTCTATGGATTTGCCTAATGTGGACATGTCATATAAACAGTATCATATAATATGTGATCCCTTGTGACTACTTTCTTTCACTTAGCAGAATGTTTCCAAGGTTTATCCATTTTGTAGCATCAGTATTCCTCTTCATTGCTGAACAGCATTCCACTATTTGGATATAAACACATTTCGTGTACTAACTTATCAGTTAATGAACATCTGGGTTGATTCCACTTTTTGGCAACTATGAATCATGCTGTTATAAACATTCATACACAGGTTTTGGTGTTCATTTATGTTTTCATTTCTCTTGGGTATATACCTAGTAGTGGCATTACTGGGTGAAATGTTAACTCTATTTTAGCATTTTGAGGAATTGTTAAGATGTCTACCAAATTGGCTGCATTATTTTATAATTCTACCAGCAGTGTATGAGGGTTTCAATTTCTGCACATTTTGCTTATTATTTAAAAAGTGTTATTACTGTCTTTTTTATTTTAACCATCCTAGTAATTGTAACAGGGTATCTCATTGTGACTTTTATTTGCATTTACCTGATGACCAATCATTTTGAGCATTGTTTCATATGCATGCTCGCTACTAGTATATCTTCTTTGAAGCTGTGTCTATTCAAATCCTTTGCCATGTTTTAACTTGGTTATTATTCTTGTTATTGTTGAATTTTAAGAGATTTTATGTATTCTAGTTATAAGTCCCATATCAGATATATATGTAAAAGTATTTTCTCCACCTCCTTGGGATGTCTTTTATTTCTTTAATGGCAGCCTTTGAAGGAAATTTTTTTTAATTTTGATAAAGTGCAATCTATCTTTTCCTTTTGTCACTTGTCTTTTTTTTTTTGTCTTATCTCAAGAGAATGCCTAATCCAACGTCATAAAGATTTTTCTCCCATGTTTTCTTCTCAGAGTTTTGGCTCTTATATTTAGATGATTTGTAATTAATTTTAAATTAGTATTTGTATATGGTGTGAGGTAGGGGATCTGAGATATTTTGAGCTATACATCAGCTAAAAGACAGAAATGTTAATGTGAATGAAAAATTTAACCTAAAATCTGAAATGCAGAAGTTTTCAGACTTCCTCAGAGGAAAAACAAATGTTTCCCTTTACATTAAATTTCCATCTCCACAAACTTCCAACGAAAGGCCCACAAATCTGGGATGCATCAATGTTTTCATTCTTTTAGCATAAGGAAGATATTTCAGTACAACCAATTGTATTCTGTCAATTACATATGATACCTCTCCACAATTTCTCTATTAGATGTTTCATCAAAACTCTGCAGGCAATGACTACTTAGAAACAAGGTAGAATCACTCAAGCAGGATTATTTGATGGCCCCAGTCCGAATCTTACATTCTGGCTTGAGATGAAGTATTAATGTGCATCAAGATTGTCCTTTCATAAAATGGACAGAAATATTCACTTCTCTACCTTTTTTCTGATAAAGATACTATCAGGAAATCTGAGTTCTAATTCATGTTTTTTCCAGAGTCAGTCTCCTTGGATACCTAAGATGTATCCTGAGTAAAAAGTTAAAAATGAAGACAATAGTAACAGTTATTACTATCTGTTGATGGTAATTGGCATTTATTGAGTACTTTCTATATGCTACAGTATGGTGTCAAGCTCCTTGCAATTATTATCTATGTAATTATCACAACAATGAGGAGATATCATTATTTCCTTTTTTCAGATGATCAAACTGAGGCTTCAAAAGTTAATTGATTTGATAACGCAAGGCTAAAACAGACGTAAAACAGAACTGAAAGGAGGTAACATAGAACTGAAAGTCGGTAGTTTCCATGGAAAATATTAATGTCATTCATTGCCTTTCTTACATATCTTGACAAAGTAGACAGATACAAATATTTGAAGACCAGTAAATTCAATGGAATCAATACCTTGGCTAAGAAACTTACTCATTTAATGTACTCAACATTCCTGGAAACATATTATGAATAAGGTAAGTACCCTGAGGGTTACAAAATGTAGGGAATTTGTCCATTAGTAATTGTTACCACAGTGGGAAAACAAAAACATCCTCACCTACATAGAACACAAGGCAGGTGGTGATAAGTGTTCACAGTATGATGAATGATTACTGAAGGGAGAGTGTAATTCCAAATGAGAAGATCTGGGGAAATCCAGAAAATGGACAAACTGACACCAGGAATGTGTGATTTGAGCTCCACTTTAAAACTGAGGAAGGGTTTCAGTGAAAGTAAAAGAACATGACAAGAGAGGAACAGTATACCAGAAGGAGAAAACACTCTGAGTGATGGCAGAGAAGAAATGAGTAATTGTATTTGTCTAACAGCAAGTACTGAAATATTGATCAATTGATTTAAACATTTGACCTGAACAAGCAAAAAAACAATATTTTCTTGGGTAATAGGAAGTAGAAAGATAATCTGAAACAAATGAGATGTAAGAAGGTATTTATCATAGGGAAATAAATAGAAGCATGGTATGAATTTGGCAAAGTAAGTTTCATTAAGTTTAATGTCTATATTTCTGAAAAAAATGCCATCTTTTGCTGGGAACATTTGATGGTTTAAGATCCATCTCAAAACAACCATAAAAAATAATGCTTAAATCAGGCTGAAATGTGAATAACTATTATGAGTTCTAAGTAAATAAACAAATCAGGCATAAATTACCTTGTCATAATTAAAACAAAAATAAAGCCATTATTTTATTATATTTTATTGTAGATATGAGCCTAAATTAAAGATTCTTTCAAGAGAACGTGGTTGAAAAAACAGGTAGAGATAACACCAAAACTCTAGGAGAGGTTGTTTGGTAATCAGTTCAGTGGATAACTGAGGGGGCCTCAACATAATAAACAGGAAAAGGATGCAATGGCCTGAAAAATCCAACGTAACACAAATGGTAGATCTGCCTTTCTGTAACACTGAAAGGTATACTAATAGAAATAAAATGTAAGTCAAAGAAATAAAATTAAACTCACTTAGAGAATATCTGACTGGTTCATGCATATTTCTAGAAATTTTCTGTAACACTGGGACACAAAAATCCAAAACAATTTTATACATATGTATGTATTTCTTTGGAGCCCTAAAAAAAGTGTTAAGCAATAGCCAAGATAAGATGATTGTGTTAAACAAGGAACTGGTTAAAATATAAATCACTAACCCTCTACCTCCAGAGTTACTGTAAACATCAAGCTAGACATAAAAGGATCAGCATTGAGCCAACTCACCATTTCTATGAATCTAAGCATTTATGGAAGATAAAATCTGCCTTCATGGAAATATGCTAAAAATTAGCTCTCTAATATGTGCAAGCCCTTTGTAATCCTAGGGGGAAGCTGAGCCCAAAGCTTATCGTTTCTTGAAACCTCTCACACCTTCAGCTCCGGCATTCTCTCTAACAGATGCTCCTCACATCTCACATGCCATAGCACAGCTTCCTACAGTTCCTAAATATAGAAAGGAAGATGACACATTTTAGTCCTAACTGATAAGCAAAATTGGAATTGCTCTAGGAAAATCTGATAAACCACTCCTATCGTGATGAAAAATGGAAGGGCTTCATTCATGATAGAAAAATTCTAGGGAGTAGAATTGTAGGCTGGAATCAATCCTTCTTTGCTGTATGTAAACTTTTACTCCACATTTGTATCAGGGAAAAAGATCCCTTTGGTTTAGTACTACATACGTGTGTAAGAATAACATATAGACAGCTGGAGATGTGGAATTTTTATAGTTATCACAAATATTTAAGCCAATCTGTAAATTTCTACATGTTTAGACTTGGCTATGTGTCAAAAAACTTTTTTTTATTTTTTAATATATGGATTCTCACTATATTGCCCAGGTTGGATGGCATGTGGTGACTATTCACAGGTGCGCTCACAGCACACCACATCCTTGAACTCCCAGGCTCGAGGGATCCTCTTCCTTCAGCCTCCCGAGTAGCTGGGACTACAGGTACATGCCACCATGCCTAGCTAGACTTATGCTTTAAAAGAAAGTGGTAAAATAGTATATACATGTTTGCAATTTCATAAAAAATAAAAATATATCCTATTATTTTATTCTAAAGTACATCTTTTTAATTTTTAATTCATCTGTTACTACTTGTACATTAAAATTAGATTGCACATTTTAACAGTGTATACATTCTTAGCTCCCTTTGACTCCACCATAAAAAGCCGTTATTGTCTCTTCCTAAATTTAGGCAATAAAACCTCTCTCATGCCTGTATACATTCTTCACATGCATTTCCCTTTCCCTGAAGCACTCTCCCCCTTGATCTTCACGTGCCTGTTTTTCTCATCCTGTGAAACTCAGAGGAAATGATTTTTTGTCAGAAATACCAGCCTTCCAATTTTTCACAAATTTCGTTATTTATCTGTTACTTGACTCCCTCTGATAGACTTTAAACTCCCTAAGTGGTAGATCTACGTTTGATTTATTTATCACTCTCTTTTTACTCCTAGCATCTAGGTAGGCACTCAGACATTTATTAAACTAATATACTCGTGGGTATGTTTATATCTCAACTGGTGCAAAAAGTTAATAGTTGTTCTAAGGTCATCTATGATTCTCTTTTTGCATTGCTGTATTTTTCCAAATTTTCTAAAATGAACACATATTACTTCAGAAATCCCTTGTTAAAGAGATTTTTTTCTCTCTCTCTTTATAATGCTTTTCTCAGGCCTTTGGTTTTGCGATATTCTCTGGATATTTGAGCCAAAGACAGTCATTTGCAGCTTGGCCACCAGAATGTGAATATTAGTCACATCTATGGAGAAGACATTGGAATATCTTGTACTCCTGAAAGTGATTATGATTTTCAAAGATTACTCAAAAAGGAAACAGTTTTGTTTGGTTTTGTTTTAATTGACAACACTTTGCACAAGATTGTTTCAAACAGCATGAAATCACTTCTGGAGGTGACAGCAATAAATCTTGTTCTTTAATGGCATCAATGGCAGAATCCATAGAGGAACAAGATTAACTCATCCTGGAACTAGACCAGCCCTCGAGGTCAGAAAGGCGACAAGACAGGGAGCCCAGTCAGAAAACACACTGCTTGCAAGTATGGTAACAAATAAAGGACAACCTTCTAGAAATAGAGACAGAAGTCCAAAAGCAGACAAGAGAGGGTTGTTGAAGCATGAGGAGGAAGACTCATGTCACAGAAAAGCCCAGGAGCATCAATCAAAGTCCCGGGAAGCAGACTGAATTTCAGAGGCTGAATTTCAATCCTTGGGAGAGAAACTTTAAGTCAGATAAAGTCTCATCCTACATTTCATGTAGGATCCTAAAGCAACAGCTGAGATAGAGTAGAAAGATCTACTTTTCAGAATGTGGGGCCAAGAGCTTTTAATATAAAAGAGAAGTCTAGTTATTTGAAGTCATAAAATAAAACCCAAACTTGCAGCAGGCACAACCCACCAATGAGCTAAAGGGTAGTGGATTGCAGCTCCATCAAACCTGCTAAGAAAGGGCAATATCTGTTCAAGAAAAGTTGATAAGACTGAGACCGCAAGACTTTTCAAGAGGCCGTAACTATGGAGTGAGGAGGGGTATGCAGACTGGAACCAGCCAGGGCATAACATCAACTATAAGCAAATTAAGGGAACTCCTTTTTTTAGGTTTAAAAATAGTTTATTGGGACATTTTCCATTATAAAAGTAACACACACTATGAAAATTTGGGGGTTGAAATCCACCACCCTTAGTTTCATTAACAAAATATTAATATTGTTAACATGCTCATGTAATTACTCATTCTAGGTGTTGATTCATGTTTGTTTTGCATTCTTTTTTTGTTTAACTTTTATTTTAGGTTCGGGGTACATGTGAAGGTTTGTTACATAGGTAAACTCATGTCACGGGAGTTTGTTGTAGAGATTATTTCATCACCCAGGAATTAAGCCCAGTACCTAATAGTTATCTTTTCTGCTCTCCCTCCTCCCACCCTCCACCCTCAAGTAGACCTCAAGTGTCTGTTGTTTCCACATCTGTGTTCATAAGTTCTCATCATTTAGCTCCCACTTATAAGTGAAAACATGTGGTATTTGGTTTTCTGTTCTAGTGTTCATTTGCTGATGATAATAGCCTCCAGCTCCATCCATGATGCCACAAAAGACATAATCTCATCCTTTTTTATGGCTGCATAGTGTTTCGTGGTGTATATGTTCCACATTTTCTTTATCCAATCTATCATTGATGGGCATTTAGGCTGATTCCATGTCTTTGCTATTGTGAAGAGTGCTGCAGTGAACATTCGTGTGCATGTGTCTTTATGGTAGAATGATTTATATTCCTTGGGCATATACTCAGTAATGGGATTGCTGGATCAAATGGTAGTTCTGCTTTTAGTTCTTTGAGGAATTGCCATACTGCTTTTCACAATGGTTGAACTAATTTACACTCCCACCAAAAGTGTAGAAGTTTAAGGGAACTCTTTTTTTTTTTTTTTTTTTTTTTTGAGACAGAGGCTCACTCTGTTCACACAGGCTGGAGTGCAGTGGCACAGTCTCGGCTCACTGCAACCTCTAAATCCTGGGTTCAAGTGATTCTCCTGCCTCAATCTCCCAAGTAACTGGGACTACAGGCGCATGCCACCACGCCTGGGCTAATTTTTTGTATTTTTAGTAGAGACGGGGTTTCACCCTGTTAGCCAGCATGGTCTCGATCTCCTGACCTCATGATCCACGTGCCTCGGCCTCCCAAAGTGCTGGGATTACAGGCGTGAACCACTGCGCCCAGCCTAAGGGAACTCTTAACACTGTTGGTAGGAATATAAATTAGAACAACCATTTCAGAAAACAATTTGGCAATACTAGTAAAGTTGACACACGTACCCTACAACCCAGTGATTCAACATCTGTGGGAATATGCCCTAGAGAAATGTTTATATCAGGAGGCTGTATATACCAGGAAAAACTCACTGCTGTGGTTTCCCAAAAAGAAGCTTAAATGCCCAGTAGTACAAGAACAGGTAAATACATCATGGTGCAGTCAGAAAATAGTGTTACACTGCATTTAAAATAAATGAACTAGAATCCATGTTGATCATATCAAATACAGGGGGAAGCAGGCCAGCAGCCAAGGATATTGTATTATAGCATGTCATTTAAATATATGTTAACACCACCAAATACTATACATTTTTTGATAAATGAATTTGTAACAAAAGTATAAACTCATGAATAAGAAGGAAACATTCACTTTGGAATATTTAATACATCTGAAGAGGCAGAAAAGAAGAGATAGAGGTGAGAAAGGATATGTTTGTATCTGTAGTTTAAGAATTCAATTGCGTCTGTAACTAAACTGAACCTAAAGCAAGATAATCCCATTTTTTCAAAGGCTGTGAATACATGGATATGAATTGGTATCAACTTCTGTACATTATGTTTTGAATATTTATAATTTAGTTTTAAAAATTAAAATCCCGAAAGAGTATTTTCTTCTTTGCAAAACTTTCTCTTTTTGAGTGACCTCCAATATTCTGAATCACTATTAAATAAGAATATCAGATTATATTTAACAATGCTAAAGAGTATACTCACTGAGATTTTTTTTAATGTACCTACTGGGATGCAGCCTAACACTCTCCTCACAGATATGCTATCCTACCTAAGGGTTTGATGGTTTTCACTTGATCATTATGATTGATTTCAAGAGATTGAGTGGATGGGCTCTATGATTTTCTTTCTGACCTTGTGATTTTTTTGTTGTCAAATTGTACTTTAGGAGGATGTATGCTGTGATGTCAACTCATAATGTCAAAATTCAGTCATGCATAATTTTCCTCTCCTTCAATCTGAGAAACTGTCTGTTTTGCTACCATCACTAATTTTTGAAAGGTAAAAGAAAGATGGAGGCATGGACATCACCCCTTTCAAGAAAAGAAAATGACAGACATTTATAAAAACTCAATATTAAATACACGGAAATCTGATCATTTGTCTGATCATGGATGACTACCATGAAGACATATTTGAAACTGGTCACTATAATCTACTCATCAGGTGTCTAAATTGAGAGACAAACCCCCCACTGCTCCGAAGTGCTAACCTGTTTGAGGATGTAGAAATATGCAGGCTTCAGACTTCAATTGAAGTGTGTATCCCCTTAAGCTACCACTGAACCAGATTTCCATACTCAGGAGAGGAAGTACTTTCACCACATTACTCACCTTATCTTCAGGAGATCCAGGAGCAAATCTTGAGCAAATATACATTTAAAAAATCATTCCCTCCTCCCAATCATGGAGACCACTTAGGTTAAGCCCAGGTGGGAAAAGTACAGAATTTATCACCATGAAATTAGAATGAAACAAACATAATACTCCACTAGATGACATGATGCAATGAATCACAGTACGAAATAAGCCTCCAAGCATTTTCTATCCTAATTTCTGAACACAATAAGGGCTATAGCATGCCAATGAGCCCATCGTGGTTTGTTGCCAACCTCATTCCAACTTCTGTCATTTTAAAAAGTTGTGTGCAATATAAGAAAACAACAACAACAAAAACACATCCACAACAGATTCATTTTGTTACTTTATGCTCCCAGAAAAATCACTTCCTATGAGAAAGGCTCTATCTCATTTCACCAAGGTACCATTTAATTGTGCAAAAACAAAACTTGCTTTTCAGGGGGAAAGCTGACTTTTGGTGACTGGCATTTGCGAACACCAATGGGAGCCTGGAGTGCATTTTATCTGTTGGCAAGAGAAACCCTTACCCTGCACTCTGCATATGCTACATTTGAGACTCTGGCAACTTGAGTTTATATATTAATGCTGATTGCTACTTCTTGGTGGAGAAACACTGCTGAAGGTACAGGTGTAGATCACATTCCAGCTTTTTATTTCCCCTAGAAAATAACACACATCTGCTTACTGTACAGTAATTCACTGAATGGTAATTAGAATTTAGCATTGGGATTAAAATAACAAATGGTGGAATTTTTAGGACATGGCTCAGAGGGAACAAGTGAAGCCTGAAGCCTATGACAAGGCTCCAGGGAGGCAAGGGGTAAATAAAGCAGAAAGAATATTGGACTGAAAGTTACGAGCCCCAGATTCTCCGTAGTGTTGAACAGACCAGCTATGTGAAGTTAGACAAAACATCTCATTTCTCTGGCCTCAACTTCCTCATCCATAAATTAAATGTGCTTGACTAAAACTCTCAACTCCAACATTCTCAGTGTGTCCTTTCTGATACTTTAAAACAGTAATTTCATTCAGTGAACCAGATTCCTAACTTGCTAACTAACACCAAACAAACCACAGCATTTATGAGATTGATGCCCATTCTGAGAAGATACTTAGGAGGTTTAAAAATGAAAAATTCATTATTTCATTTCAGGAAAAAAATCCACATTAATATCATGAGCGCTCTGATGAGCTCAAAGATTCATAAAAATCTCCAATGATCTGTGGATCACATTTTGGGAAATATTATTTTCAGTCAAAAATCTCAACCCAAGCTATATATGGGAATTGCACAAGGTGAATTTAGAAAATATCTTTGGTTCTCATCTCAGATAAATTAAATCAGAATCTCTAAGAGCAGGGATATGTCACTGCCATTTTTTAAAGTCCTCAGTCAATTCAAATATGCAACAATTGAAAAAACACTATTTTAAACTAAATTAAAGTTTATTTAAAAATTGGTAGGTAGCTGATACGGTTTGGCTGTGTCCCTATCCAAATCTCACCTTGAATTGTAATAAGCCTCATGTGCCAAGGGCAGGGCCAGGTAGAGATCACTGCATCATGGGGTTGGTTTCCTTCATACTGTTTTTGTGGTAGTAAGTCTCATGAGATCTGATGGTTTTATAAATAGGAGATCCCCTGCACAAACCCTCTTGCCCGGTGTCATGTAAGACATGACTTTGCTCCTCATTTGCCTCCTGCCACGATTGTGAGGTCTCTCCAGCCATGTGGAACTGTGAGTTAATCAAACCTCTTTCCTTTGTCAGTTACCCAGTCTTGCGTATGTCTTTATTGGCAACAAGAGAACAGACTAATACAGAAGCATTTTAAGTCCATTCAAGAAGAGTTTCAACATGATGAGGAGGTCTGATGTGGTGTCTCATGCCTGTAATCACAGCACTTTGGGAGGCTGAGACAGGAGGATTACTTGAGGTTAGGAGTTTGAGATCAGCCTGGTCAACATAGTGAGACCCCATCTCTACAAAAAATACAAAAAAAAATAGCCAGGTATGGTGGCACACATCTGTAATCCCAGCTATTCTGGACTGAGGTAGAAGGATTGCTTGAGCCCAGGAGTTTGCGGTTACAGTGAGCTGTGATTGTGCCACTGCACTCCCGTCTGGGCAATAGAGCAAGACCCCATCTCAAAAGGAAAAAAAGAAAGAGAAAGGAACAGTTTTAAAGCATCAGAATCAGAATATCTGTACTGAGCTAAATGCAAAAATGACAACAGAAATTAATGTAGGGAAAATTTTAAAAACATACCCTATACAGTATATGTCAGAGAGTTGGCCTTAGCCTATCCATAAGTCTGCTCATACAGAATACTTGGTAAATGCTTGTTAAATAATTTGACTGACTAAATGGGTTGGTGACTCATGAGTCACGTCACGGCTGGCCATGTGGAAGAATGCTACAGACTGAGATTTCAAAATTTTAAACTAACAACCAAGAAAAAAAATAAAAATTTAAATTCAATGTGAGGAATTCACTAAATTTTTCCTTTAAATTCCTCATTAGTAGTTGGTACAGACAAATCTGTGTTATCATACAGGTTTTAGAATGCCTTATATATGAAAATTTTTTAAAAGGGGTTTATTATAATCCATGTAGGAAAACGTACACATAGTTTTCTATTGATAAGGGAAGAAAATCAATGTGGGGCATAGAGTGACATAAAACTACACAACGCATACGGTAGGAAAAGTTTGCTCTGAACCTACAGAAAAAGGCAGAACTAAAGCAACAGATGCTGCCATATAGTTTAGATTTCTGTCCTCACCCAAATCTCATGTTGAATTGTAATCCCCAGTGCTGGAGATGGGGCCTGGTGGGGTGTTTGGATCATGGGGGTGGATCCCTCATGGCTTGCTGTTGTCTTTGTGATAGTGAGTTTTCACGAGATCTGGTCATTTAAAAGTGTGTGGCGCCCAACCCCCGCCACACTCTCTCTTGCTTCTGCTTTTGACATATGATGTGCCTGCTCCTACTTTGCCCTCTGCCATAAGTAAAAGCTTCCTGAGGCCTCTCCAGGAGCAGATGCTGGTACCATGCCACCTGTACAGCTTGCAGAACTGTGAGCCAATTAAACCTCTTTTCTTACAAATTACCCAGTTTCAGGTATTTCTTGACAGCAATGCAAAAATGGCCTAATACACACTGCGTGATTCAAGAATTCTCTGAAAACCCAATTATCAGGAAAATTGTTTTATGGGCTAAACATAATTGTTTGACAAACATTAGTTGAAAACATCATGATTTGTTTTTCTTCTATGATTTTATTTCTGAAGATACAACAGTTAATAACAAAACGCCTTTGCTTCCAAAGACCTTTTGATGTATTGAAGGAAATGGGCAGATTCAAAAAGACAAAAGATGTCAAGAAAGCCGTGAAACAAAGTGGGCAACTAGGAGACAGATGAGTCTTACCATAGAGAAGAGTGAAGCAAAGTTGAGACTCTCACTCTTGCTGCATTGGACTGTAAATCCCAGGAAAGGTTTAACATTTAAGTTTTGTCTTAGCCTCTGTTTTTTAGGAACCCAAGGCTAAGACATGGATTTTTACATGCTATCAATGGAGATAATCCCCAATTTTTTAATAGGTGAATCATCTGTTATAAAGATTACACTGGCTACATTGTGTGGAAAATGTACTGGAGGGGGCCAAGACTGAAGGTAAGGAGACCATTAAGGAAGCTAACTTGGTGATTTAGGCAGACAATGGTATGCCGGAACCTTGGACTACATTGGGAATGGTGCAGCGTGCTGTCACCTCCTCCAGCTCCTCAGGGTCCTGGGAAGTCTATTCTCCTACAATAATAATAAGTTTTTATTTACTCTGTGAAATATCATGCATATACTTTTATGTATTTTCCATGTAATCATGGCTTGTGGTCATCTTTTCATGTAGGTAAATACAGATCTATCATATCATTTTTTAAAATCAGCTTCACATATTCCATTGTATGGACAAGCATAATTCTCTCAACCATAACTTATTAAACAAGACTCTGGTGAACAACATTGGATAGACAAATAGATACAGGGACATACATATCTTACACACCTTGGTAAATAGTTTTGTAAGACACTGAAAGTAGAGATTCTAGGCTAAAGTGTGTATCAGCCAGGAAAGGCTAGGCTATGCTTTGATAATAATACCAGTACAAAATAAAATAAAAATAAAGCTCTCGGGGACTTATGGAAAGTTTTTTACTCATATTACACATCCAATATGGGCCCACAGAGAGCACTTGCTTATCAAAGTCAATACGGACCCAGTTTGACAGAATAGCTTTATTTAGAACACTGCCTGTTTCATAATAGGAGGAAAGAAGGAGCACAGGAATTGCCAACTGATTCTTAAAATTTTCCCCAGAAGTTGTACTTATTACTTCTGTTATTAAATTTTAGCTTTATCAATAGAGCTACTACAAAATCAAGCGTTGGACCCTGAATAAAACATAAAGTCAAAATCTCAGCTGTGCATCTCCCCAGCTAGCCTTTTCAATGGGAAGATACCATTTGTTTCCAGGGTAAATCATAGTAAGTGGCAAACTACCCAGCACAGGGTTGAAGGAGACCACAGTGCTTAAAAAACAGGGACCTTTTTTGTTACTAGGGAGACTCAGTGTTACCATTATACACGTAGATGATGCTGATGGTATGGAATACTGTTTGAACTTTAAGTCTTAGTTTCATCATCTATAAAGGGGTATAACACTACCTATGGGAGAGGATAGCTACTTGATCAGCCAACTTGATTATATTTCCCAAGCTCCTTAGCAGTTAGATGTAACCAAATGATGGGTTTTCCCAAAGGGAATGTGGATGAAGAGATAGGTGCCTCTCCCAGTGCCCACTCATGTAAAAGATCTGTGCTATCCTCACCTTCTCTCTCTCCTCTTGTGTGAGATTGACAGGAACATAGCAGAGGACTCAGAGGCTCTGTAAAATAGTGGGCCACAAATAGAAGGATACATTTGTATTCAGCTGCTAGGCGATATTAAAACATCTATTGTGTTAATACACTGAGATTTGGGGGGCTATTGCTTATAGCATTTAGCCTACCCAGGCTACAGGAATACACTTCAGAATTATTGTGAATTTGATTCCAGATCAACAGAACAATATCACAATAAAGTGAGGCACACAAAGTTTTTGGTTTCCCCGTGTGTATAAGTCACATTTACACTACACTGTAGGCTATCTGGTGTGCATTGTTTTTTAGCAGTATGTCTAAAAAACAATGTACATATTTCATTTAAACATACTTTATTGCTAAAAAATGCTAACAATCATCTGAGCCTTCAGTGAGTTGTAATCTTTGTTGCTGGTAGAGGGTCTTGTCTCAGTATTATGGCTGCTGACTAATCAGGGTGGTGTTTGCTAAAGGTTTGGGGTCACTGTGGCCATTTCTGAAAATAAGACAACAATGTTTGCTGCATAGATAGACCCTTCCTTTCGAGAAAGATTTCTCTGTAGCATGTGGTGCTGTTTGAAAGCATTTGACCCACAGCAGAAATGCAGTCAATTCAAAATGCAGTCAATTCTCTCAAACTCTATTGCTCCTTTATCACCTAGTTACATAATATTCTAAATCCTGTGTTGTTATGTCAACAATGTTCACAGTATCTTCACCAGGAGTAGATTTCATCTCAGAAAATCACTTTGTTTGCTCATCCATCAGAACCAACTCCTTATCCATTTCAACTTTATCATGAGATTGCAACAATTTCAGTCCCATCTTCAGGCTCTGTTTCTAATTCCAGTTCTCTTGCTCTTTCAACCACATTAGCAGTTAACTTCCTGCACTGAAATCTTGAACCTCTGTAAGTCATCCACGACGGTCAGAATAAACTTCTTCCAAACTTCTGGTAATGTTGCTGTTTTGGGCTCCTCCTTTGATTCGCAAAAATGTTCTTTATGGCATAGAAAATGGTGAATTCTTCCCAGAAGGTTTGAAATTTACTTTGCCCAAATCCATCAGAGGAATCACTATCTATGGTACTGATAGCCTTATGAAGTATATATCTTAAATAATTAGAGCTGAAAGTCAGAATTACTCCTTGATCAATGAACTGCAGAAAGGATATTATGTTAACAGGCAAGGAGATAATATCAATCTTGTCTATCTCCATCAGAGCTCTTAGGTGACCAAGTGCATTGTGGATGAGCAGTAATATTTTGAAAATAATTCCTAGGATTTTTAGAATGGTCAATGAGCATTGGCCTCAACTTAAAGTCACCAGTTACATTAGCTCCTAACAAGAGAGTCAGCCTGTCCTTTGAGGCTCTGAATCCAGGCAATGACTTCTCCTCTGTAACTATGAAAACCCTACATGGCATTTTCTTCCAATAGAAGGATGCTTCATCTACACTGAAAATCTCTTCTTTGGTGTAGCTACCTTCAATGATCTTAACTAGAGCTTCTGCATAAATTTCTGCAGCTTCTACATCACACTTGCTGGTTTCTTTAAACTTCTGAACCAACCTCTGCTAGCTTCAAATGTTTCTTTTTGCAGTTTCCTTACCTCTCTATCTTCACATAATTTTAGACACTTCGTTCCTGGCTCTGGATTAGGGTTAGGTCTTTAAGGGAACGTTGTGGTTGGTTTGACCTTCTATCCAGACCACTGAAACTTTCTCCATCTCATCACTAAGGCTATTTCACTTTCTTATCATTTGTCTGTTCACTTGTAATTTTCAATAAGAACTTTTCCCTTGTTTTCACGACTTAGCTGTTTGATGCCAGAGACCTACCTTTTTGGCCTACTCTCAGCTTTCGACATGCCTTCCTCACTAAGCTTAATCATTTCTAGCTTTTGATTTAAAGTGAGAGATGTATGACTCTTCCTTTCACTTGAACACTTCAAGGCCATTGGAGGGTTATTAATCGGCCTAATTTCAATATTATTGTGTCTCAGAGAATAGGGAGGTCCTAAGAGAGACAGAGAGACTAGGAACGGCTGGTAGCTGCAGTAGTCAGAACACACTCTACACTTATCAATTAAGTTCACCATCTTTTATGAGTTTGGTTCATGACACCCCCCAAATTTACAATAGTAACATGAAAGCTCACTGATCATAAATCACTGTAACAATATAATAATAAGAAGAAAGTCTGAAATATTGAGAGAATTACCAAAATGTTACAAAGAGACACAAAGTGAGCATATGCTGTTGGAAAAATGTCACTAATAGCCTTGCTCAACTCAGAGTTGCCACAAACCTTAAAATTCTTTAAAAAAAAAAAAAAAAGCAGTATCTGCGAAGTGCAGTAATGCAAACTGCAATCGGATGAGGTATCCCTGTATTGTATTTCTATATTAAGGCAGTTTACAAAGACTAAATGTGAAAAATGAAAGAAAATTCCTTCACAGTATCCATAAATAATGCATACTAAGCAAATACTAGCTATGCTTATTATCACTATTCTAATATTACCAGTTGATAGGTCTGAATATTTCATTACTCGAGTCAGTCTCAACTTGTATAGGGGCCATAATTGATCAATAAACATATTTAAAACAAAACCGACTCCAAAAGTCATTCCTGGTATCACTGTCTTAGAATCAAGTGCAAATATTGTTCAAAGAAAAACCAAATATGTCTTCTTATTTTTTTCAGAAAAATCCAATCCTTAAAAATGTTATTTCAGGGTGAAGGAGTATTCACATTCATTATTTAGAGAACACTGACACAAATGTATATTGATTTTAGGTTTTATAATGAAATTTGCTTGATGTAGTTTTCTTCACAAATGAAATGAACATTGACCTGCCTGATTGCATATTGACAATAAAATCATCCCTAGATACAGAAGCCTTTGTAGATACTGTCAAAGAAAGTTAGACATGATGAGTGAGCTCTTTTATAAGTTGACAGTATTAGCTTTGACCCTAACTTTGATGTTTCCCTATTGTTTGGAAAGAGGTTGCAGTGAGGTATTACTTCTCTTCCTCGTTTTACCTCAAAATAGCCTTGTTTCAATAATTTACTTGGTAAGAAATAGAAGAGGAGAAGGTCCATGGAAGGAAAAAGAACATTGTAAGAGCTTGTATCTATAAAACAAATAAAGGTGAAACACTCTCACCTGTCAGTAAAAATAACTGCCTACAAAGAAACAGAACTGGAATACCCTTCCGAGTATTTGCCACCTTCCTACTTTAAATGCAAAGTAATAAAATGCATTCAGTTGTTTTGCATTTCCTCAAAATGAGACTTTTATCTTTCAGAACTGCTGATTCAGTGATTCTTTGGTTGTTTTCATAGGATACACCATTTTATCCACTCATTACAGAAGTTTATTTAATAATCTTATGCTTCTAAAAAAAACAAACAGCTGTTTTTTTGAAAACCATATACATGTCACTTTACTGGAACAAATATTACTAGCTTCGTTCTGGGTTTCTAGTATGCTTATTGGACTCAAAGGCAGAAAAGCTGAGGGACTATGTTTTAAAATTGCATGAGCACCCTTGTCATTCATTACTAAATGGCCATTCTGTGCCTGTCACTGGGTTAGTCCCTTGAAAATCAGAGAGACATCATCTCTGCCCTTTGGGAGCTTACGATTGAGTGAGAACTTGAGCAGGTTTTATTTGAGGCCCAAACCAGTTCCAGGAATACAGAAGTCCCTACAGTTCATGGGATCCCAAGTCTCTGGTAGAAGTTTGAGTTAGAGAAAAACCACCTGACTCCCAAAATATTCAAAGAAGTATAAAATTAGGTTTAATTTTGTAATTACATTACAAAATATTAAGTATATTATAATTATATTACATATATTTTATAATTATATTACAAAATAAATTAGTAATTATACTTCCCTGCATTATCACTGTATTTTTTCACTGGTGGAAAAAAATCATAATAATATTGATATTTAGAAATAAAAAAACTTTTTATTATTAAAAATATCTTGGATATGGCAGAAAACTATCCATGTATTTAAAAGTATGATGAGTAAGCTAAAAAGCAATTTAAAACCAACAGTCCCTAATAAAAAGCAATACAAAAATCTTGCTAGACAATTGGTGTTTACATGACCTCTTCTCACCAAAAAGAAAAAAGATAATTCATGTTTTTGAAAAAAGTAACTATTTTATTAAGCAAAACCTAAGTAATTCCCAACCTGTATCTGTCTAGTACAAATAAATAAATACTTACATATAAATTAAATAAATATGTTTCAAAGTAAGCATTAGATTTCATAGGATTCTGTACTGATAATTATGAGACATTCATATGTTATTAGGGCCAGAAATCCTGTCCTAACTCAGCTTTCTCAATTATCCACTCAATAAGTTACTATTCAAACTCCAAGTGGTTCTTCAGGAGCTGACATGCTGATATTCCTCTGACAAAGCTGACTTTATCCCATGGGGGGGCCTTGCATCCTTTGAGAATAGTGAGTAGGCTAAAAAGAAGTTTAAAACCAACAGTTCTTTTAAAAAAAAACAAAAATTAACAGAGGAGCATTTCTCCTTTGTGACCTACATCTGAAAAGAGGAAAAAGATTTATAAGTTAATTGTTTTTTTCTTACTTTAACAATAGTTGTTTAAAGGTTGTGTTTATGAGTTTTGTGTACAGTTTCAAAAGCCATTCAGAAGTTTTACTTTGCTTAACCAATAAAACAAGTAGAGATACACAAAAGTGCAAAACTTCAAGAAGAATCTGTGAACAATTCCTACAACTGCAGAAAGAAACAGTTGAATTAGCTACTTTTAGGATCAAAAGAGAAGCTTATATTATTTTTCTGCGTAGTTACATATAATTTTATTAAATGTGTATAATAACTTCAAAGGAATTAATTCATTGTTAAGAGTTGAAGGTATTGAATGTTTGGGAATAATTAAAAAGATGTATGCAATTCTTGCTGAGTAATGAATATGTCAAGAAATGTGAATTTTACTGAACCTATTTATTAAAGTGTATAATCAAAGATCTTAAAAGTTACCTGCTCTGCATTTTTAAGTATTCACATGACTCCTGATGGAATATAACAATGAATGAATATAAAAACTCAGATACATGTTATAAAACATATCTTACTATTAAATTTAAGAATTTAAATGTTACAATTGTTTATGACATTTACATGATAATCTTTGGAATATATATGTATGTTTGAAATACACTCATACCACTCATATTCATATATACACATATATGAAGCTATGAAAGAAAAGGGAAGAAATATGCAGTAAGCAACTTTAGGCCTGTAATTTGAACTTATGTGTCAGATTTCTCATCTGTATAAACAGGTTATACTCAACATTCTGTTTACTGGCTTCTACCAAAAGGAGTGTTATTGATCTGGTTTGGACAATCATACAGCATTAGTTGGGCCACACCTCTTAGGAGTTGTGCTTTCAAGGAGGTCAGAAGGCCAATGTACCTGGATATGTTCTAGCTTTTTCTCTTTTTTCTTTCCCAATATGATGAATTGGAGTAGTGAGCTGACTTAGTGCCTGCTCCCTCTACAAAGGTATAAGGATACATCTATTCAGGAACGTACTGGAGCAGGTACATTTTCTCTAATTAACTTAGAGAAAATAGAGCCTTTCTCATGGCCCATGACATTATACTGTTGTACCTTGGCCAAAGACCCAGGTATATATAACATGCTCTACTTTGCTTTCTTTTCCCTTTTTAAGCATCTATTTCTCCCAGAAATATGATAGGAAGGAGAGGTATCTGGGCCAAGCAGAATCTGGATATTATTCACATGCATGGCTATCATAACAACATCATAGTAGCACCCCATTTCTCAGGGTCTAACTGTAACACCTAGCATAGTATCTTTTAAACAGTGTGCATCAGTGAAATGGTAGGTAGTGATTCACATTCTCTCTAAAAGAGCCAAATAGTCACTATGTGATCATTTAGTCCTAATGCTTTCATTTTACACACCTGAAAATGTTAAATACTGTGTAAAAGTCAACACACATGTATAGAAATACACATATGTATATATTTTAATATTAAATTGTAATTGTGGCCAGGCAGAGAGACTCACGCCTGTAATCCCAGCACTTTCGGAGGCTGAGGCGGGCAGACAACTTGAGGTCAGGAGTTCAAAACCAGCCTGGCCAACATGGTGAAACCCCATCTCCACTAAAAATGCAAAAAAAAAAAAAATAATTAGCCAGGCTTGGTGGCATGCACCTGTACTCCCAGCTACTTGGGAGGCTAAGCCAGGAGAATCTCGAACTTGGGAGGTGGAGGTTGCAGTGAGCTGAGATGACGCCACTGCACTCCAGCCTGGGTGACAGAGTAAGACACCATCTCAAAAAGAAAAAAAAAATGTAATTGTTACAAAAAACACATGGCAATTCTCCGGTTAAATAAGCACCTAATAATAGGGAAACAGCAATATCTTGGGGGTCAGTAAGTTACATTTAAAGTTCAAGTTTCATTATTATCTAGCTATGTGACCTTAAGTAAATTACTAAGCTTCTCTGAAACTTAAATTTCTATAGTCTGCAAATGGAAGGGAATGAATTATCAGTGCTGCAAAGTGAAGGGAATGAATTATCAGTGATGCACAAACACTGGCTGTAAAAGAATCCATCACCTTGAGACTTTGGAAACACCTAGACTCAGTAATTAAGTCTTGAGTAGGGTTCTAATAGTCTGATCAGGTTTCAAATCCAGTTACAAATTGATCCTATTTTAACAATCCTGCCTCTAAGCTGAAATTCAAGGTAAATGACTTGCCCAAGTCTACACAGCTAGTTAGTAATGAGGCTGAAATTAGAACAAATACTTGTAACTCCCACCCCCATGGTTTTCCCACAGAAAGCGTAAGCAACCACCCATTAAGCTGATTATCCTGCTACTTTAATAAGAACTAGGAACCTTAAAGATAGGGAACCTTGAAAATACACACTTTTTCTCCAACCAGAAAATGTTTCTGGATCTATATGTATCCTTCAAAATGAAGAACTGCTTAATGGCTACTGAAGCTAGAGGTAGAAACAGCAATTCTTTGGTGGTGGGGAGGGGGTGTCATAATTCCTTCAAAAAGCAAAATAAAAATGCCTGTAGGAAAGTCTCCTTCTAACAAGTGACTCTAGTAGATGAGTTAAGAGCTTCAGTCTTCTAGTTGGAGATACTAAAAATAGCCTCCTGTGTAAGATTTAAGCCTTTTTAATATATTTTATTTTATATGTGGGAAGTGTAGACGAGTTTGAGAAGGATTGGGAAAAGAAGATAAGTAAGATTTTTTTAAATGAACCAAATCATGCATTATGTCAGTTTCTGTATATTATCATAAATGGCTCACTGTCTATCTGATAAAATCTATCATATAATATCTGAAGCGGGGAGAAAAGTCTGAAAATTTTAAGTGGTAAAGACTAAAAATAAAAATTTAAAAAAATATCCTTTTTTGCCAGCAGCGCATGCCAGCTGAAGGATTCTCAAGGCTTTTTATTGTGAGGTCACCTACTAGCACTTCATTTTTGGGTACTTCTAGCTGCCTGCTGGACCTGGCCATCAATCACTCTCTAAGTAAGCAGCTCTTCTGAAAAGAAATGAATCTTTTCAGAACTGGTTATTTTTAGCAATACTTTGGCAAATGTTTAAGTAGTCACTGGAGGAAGAAGGTACCTGGATGTAATTAGCATCTTTGCTAATTCTCTGTATTTTCAGATCTGCATTTTGAATTCTCCTCTTGTTTATTTGAACTGTTGATTAAGTGATTCTCTGCCAGCTAATGTATGCATTCACCTAGCTATTGATTACTTCAAATGACTGCCTTGAATATTTACTGCTGGTTAAATATTTTAAACTTCTACCAACATTATCTTGTACCCAATTAAGAACTCATTGAGGCAGTTTTTTTAACTTCTCTTTCATTTGAGGGAGTATTCTTGAAGCTAATTACAGGTAAGAGTTACTTGTTTCCCTCATTTTAAGGTCCAACTTTCTGGAGGGCAAATGCCCTGTCCTGTGGGAGGTTACTAACAAGAGCTTAGTGTAGAGTGTAGCGTGGGGTGTTTGACACAGAAGGAATGGAGAATAGGCTACTCTATTCGTGCCTTTGCTCTCCCTTCAGCTTCTTTAATTAGTTCCCTTGGCATTTCTCAGGGAAAAAAGGTGGCACAATCCCCCTAAAGTCTCACATTCACCCACCCACTACTTCCTTTTAAAAATAAGTTTACTTTAAAACTCATTTCTAGTGAATTTTATAACCAGACTTTCTACCACAAAATTTTAAATTATGGCTGTAGTGGAGTCAAAAAAATTCTTGAAGCCCAAATTTTCAATTCTTCTCTGCTTCTCTACTGAAGCATAAGGGGGCTATGGCCCAAAGTATCACATTCAAAATGCACCACATTCATTCAGGACCAGGAGAGAAGAGATTCTTTGGAACTACAAGAATGAATTATCTTTACCCCAACAGACACTGTAAAATTGAGGCATCAATAACACTTTGTCTCTGCAGAGCATTTAAAACTTTCATCCTGCTTTAAAATATATTAATTTAGCTGGTCCTCACAACCACCTTGTAAGGTGCTATTTCAGGGTTTCTCAACCTTGGCACTATTGACCTTTGGGCTAGATCATTCTTTGTTGAAGGGGTGGTCCTGTACATTGTAAGATGTTTTGGACCCTGGGTTGTACTTACCAATGTTAGTAATAGAACCCCTCCCCCTCAACACACATAAACAACTAAAAATGCCTCCAGAAATTGCCAAATGTCCCGGGAGGAAACAGAGAGGAGCAAAGTTGCTCTCAGTTGGGAACCAGTGATTTATCTGTAATCCCCATTTTATGAAGGGCCTGTTACTAGAAATATTTAAGTGACTTACCAAAGTTTACTAAGACTTTGATTTCTCCCCTTACTTAACTTCTCCAAACCATCAGCACATCTTTAACTCTATCTCAAACATATCTCAAAATCTATCCACCCATCTCCATCTCTACTACCACCACATAGAACAATGAATCATCTCTTGCTTGGGCTACAGTAATAACTTCCTACGGAGGATCCCTACCATCTCTTTATCCTCGTGAATCCATTCTTTACATACTGCAGGGGTAATGTTTTTAAAATAAACTAAATCATAACCTTGTGCAGCTTAAAGTCTCCAATGCTGTCCCATTGCATCAAGAATAAAATCCAAACCACTCATCTTTTTTATTTCTCTGATAGCTCATCTTCATCCAACATACTCATCACAATGACCTTCATATGCTTAGAATATGACAAGTTCATTGCCACTTTGGAGTCTCTACACAAGTTATTCCCTCTGTTAAGAACGTCCTTAACCTTCATTGGTGGTTTCTTCAGATCTCAGCTACACCAACTACCTAACCTAAAGTAACAACTTACACATTTCCTGTTTTAATTCTCTGCATACCATGTATTGGGTGTTTGTCTTGATTATTTACATGCTATGTTATTTACTGTCTGTCTTCTTCACAGAAATGCACACTCTAGGAGAACAGCGGTGTCTTGTCTATATTTTGACTATTTTGTTCATCACTATATTCCCAGCACCAGAACAGTTTGGCACATAGGAGGCACTCAATTAGCACATGTTAAATAAAAGCATTAAATAATAACGAATCATTATTCAATGACTCCCTGTACTCATGGAGTCAGAAGCAGAATCCAGGTGTTTCATTCTATTATACTGCTAAAATCCAATCATTTCAAAGCTATCAATCTATAAAAATATTTATAATAAAAATATGGTAGGGACAGGGGGAGAGAAGGTACGGAGGGATCTCTGCAGTAGAAAAACTCACAATCAAAAAGAGAGTCACACACACACACAGAGACACACACACACTTTAAAAGTACACGTGAGAAATGCCAGAATAGTGGTAGGAACATAATACAACTGGGAAGAAGGAAGTAGAGGGTGGAGTCACAGAATCCTTCATGCAGGAGGTTAGCTAAAGCTGCATTTTGAAGAATGCATAGTTCAATATGTATTTCAGCAAACTGCAGGCTATCAACACTTTGGCCTTTAGGAGGTCTGGATTAATAATGCCAAGTGAGGGGGAATTCCTCCCAGCTAGAGACAATGAGCTAATTATACTGCTTATATGTTTGCTGTAGGTATTCTGACATCTCTTGGCCATGGGCTGCATGACCCAGAAAGACACTTCTTCCTTGCCTTAGTGAAACGATGATTCGGCTTCCCCAGTCATTTCTTTGTGTGCCTGCTCAGAACAAAAG
The DNA here is from genome assembly GCF_000001405.40 of Homo sapiens. Taxonomy (NCBI): domain Eukaryota; kingdom Metazoa; phylum Chordata; class Mammalia; order Primates; family Hominidae; genus Homo; species Homo sapiens. Next base: position 2,198,934 of record NC_000003.12, on the reverse strand, counting down.
CTGTCATCTGTGCTGAATGTCACCAATGTGGCCCTCGGCTGGTATATTGGAATAGCCCCTGAATGGGATGAGAACATAAAACTAGTATCTTTTGTGATGAGCATAATTTAAGAACTTGGGATCTGTGACAATAATGACTAAATGATAAGAGCTGGTTTTCAAATAAAGTGTAATGGGCAGCCTGAAAAAGAAATAGCTTTGAAAATGAAATTCAAAATGAAGCAGATTAAGTCTCGAGTATATTCTATGAAAGTCCCTGATGATGGGGAAGGGAGAGGAGGAAATATATTTTATTTTTTTATACTCTCTTTTTCTTCTTGACTGATTTTATGCTAATTCAGAGCTCCAAAGTTATTTATAAATTTGGATATTTGGAAATAAATATTTTCTGGGATCTTAATTAAAACAAGCATTTTGACATTCTGATATAACATATCTCTGTATGATTTCACAACCATAAGTAAAGTCATAAGTAAAATTACTGTAAAGTTAGTAAAAATCATCATGATACAAATACTTTCAGTCTGCATGTACCTGCTAGGAAACAGCATAATACAAACTTGAAAGCTGACAACAGTTTGAATTCTATGTGTAATTCTGTTCAAACATTAAAACGACTCATCATCCAAAGTCATTATTTTTTGCTGTGATATGAGAAGATATATATTTCAAATGGTAATAAAACTGAGAGCAACCAAGTTAATAGGAAAAGACTGAAACTTTCCAAGGAGCATTAGCAAGAAGACAACTACATTTTACTCCTTGTATGACAGTATTACAGATTTATGGTTCAATATGAATTTGTCACTAATCAGGAACCCCATGTGCTGAAACTGAAATATCTGCTATACTGTTCCCGTCAAGAGAATTCTACATTGCCAAAATTCTCTCCTTTTTTTTTTTTTTCCAGAGAGAGTGTCTGTTGCCTCTGTTCCTCTGTTGCCCAGGTGGGAGTGCAGTGGTGTGATCTCAGCCCACTGCAACCTCTGCCTCCTGGGTTCAAGCGATTCTCCTGCCTCAGCCTCACAAGTAGCTGAGATTACAGGCATGCAACACCACTCCTGGCTAATTTTTGTATTTTTAATAGAGACGGGGTTTCACCTGTTGGCCAGATTGGTCTTGAACTCCTGACCTCAAGTGATCCAACTGCCTCAGCCTCCTAAAGTGCTGTTATTACAGGCATGAGCCACCGTGCCTGGACAGAATTCTCTAGTTTAAAAAGTATGTATCTATATCCATCATCTCTCATTTTTTCACAAGACTGGTATTTTTTATTTAGGATACAGCTGAAAGCAGAAAATTTATGCCAGAAAACATGAAATTCAAATCCAGATCTGACCATTGATGAGATATTTTAACATGGAAGACTGACAAAGCCTATGAGTCTCCATCTTCCCATTTATAAAATGAAAAAAGCAACTCCTATCCCCACAGGATTATATTGCAGATTACCAGAAATGTAGTGCATTAAGGCACTGAACTATGATCCTGGCACATGATATGTACTCAATAAATTGTAAATGCAGAATAATTCATACGGATTCTTTCCTGCTTCTTCTTTCATAAATGTATATCAATTAATTCCGGCTAGCAAATCAAGAAAGAATGAAAAGAAAATGACAGCTTTTGCAGTTTAAAAGTGTGCCATCACCCTCCACTACATACACAGGATGAATCCAGGTAAACAGAGCATCCGCAGAAAGCTAGAAAGAGCAGTAGAGGCCCAGGGCCAGTATGGAGAAGAGAGAACTAGGGAAGTGATGCCAAATTGTAAAGGTTCCTTAATAGTCGCTATAACTTCAAGAAAGTTTCTTCCTTGATTTGCTAATGAAATAGTTCTGAGTCCAGGCATTTCTTCTTCTTCTTTTTTTTTTTTTTTTTTTTCTGGTGAGACCGAGTTTCGCTCTTGTTGCCCAAGCTGGACTGCAGTGGCATGATCTCGGCTCACCGTAACCTCTGCCTCCTGGGTTCAAGCGATTCTCCTGCCTTAGCCTTCCTGAGTAGCTGGGATTACAGGCATGCACCACCATGCCTGGCTAATTTTGTATTTTTAGTAGAGACGAGGTTTCTCCATGTTGGTCAGGCTGGTCTCGAACTTCCGACCTCATAAGATCTGCCCACCTCGGCCTTCCAAAGTGCTGGGATTACAGGAGCGAGCCACCGTGCCCGGCCCAGGCATTTCTTTTTCATAGGATAGAAATGGATCACTGCTTAGAGCATAAACAAGATAGGAGTGATTCACACATAACACACCCCAGTCAACAAAGCCAACGGCCTTCCAGCAAGATCCCTTGTCTATATTTCTTTATGCTTGGTATAGGGTACGTACTAGTAACTGTTGAATGATGAATGAATGGTACCAACAAAAATTGTGGAAAATAAATCAGAGGTTACATGACTAGCACTATAGTAGATGCTCAATAAATACTTTCTGTATTGGCCGTATAATTAAGTGATGAAGAAATGATAAAATGAAGGATTGAACAAATGCACAAAGAGTCTATTGAACCAACCAACCAATGAATAAAAGAACAAATATGTTCTCAGATTATACTTTAAGTAAAAGATTTTAAAGTCCATGATAGAAGCCAGGATTCACAGTAGGGTTCACAGAAAAGTAAAAATATAAAGTTGGCCATGTCAACAAACACTCTCACACCACTTTTGAAAATTCTCTCCACAATCAGCACTTCACACACATACCTCATATCAGTCCTTTCCAAATAACACAAAAAAGTCAGAGTATCTGAAAAACAGCAAAGAGACATCAATTCCAGCCTGTTCCCTTTACAGAATATAATTAGGAGATGACATAACAGCTTTGTATAAATTAGGGTCTTCTGAATTTTCATTAAGCATAGATACCATGGGTTATAGGACCTGCAGAAGTTTATTTATTTCTATATCATCTCTAGATTTTTTCCAGAAGTTTATACTCAAAAATGGATCAGACAAACATGTGAGTATTTATCAAAAGCTTAACAATATATAAGGTAATGCCACAATCCTTACTGAAAATTCACAGAGAAAGTTGACTTCTTTTATTTCCTGCCAAGAATGTAATTCCATCTCCAGAAATAAGTTCATTTAGAAGATGCTTTAGGCTGCTTCAAGCCAAACTAGGTAACTAAGTGTCACGGAATATTTTCTCTTAAAATATTAGGAAGCCAAGCTCCTTTGTTTTTGATGGCAAACCTCCAGGAATAGAATAGCCATGTGATTCCCAGAGTGACACTTGTCAGTGGTGGGCTTACCGATATTCTGGAATCAGAACAAGTGCCAAACATGTAAAGGTGTTGAATATTTCTCTTCCTGTGTAGGTAACCAAACTTAGAAACACATGCTAATTTCCCTCCCATATGTCTTATCTTAGGCTACAAAATTCTATATTGCATCAGAATAGCAGTTATTTCCAAATATTAAGGAAAACAATATGGAGGTTCCTTGAAAAACTAAAAATAGAACTGCCATATTATCCAGGAATATATACCACCGCTGGTTATATATCCAAAGGAACTGAAACAATACATCAAAGGAACATCTTCACTCCCGTGTTCATTGAAGCATTTTTCACAATGGCTACAATATGTAATCAAGCTAAGTATCCATCAATGGGTGAACAGATAAAGAAAATGTGGAATATGTAGACAATGGAATACTATTCAGACATGAAAAAGAATGAAATCCTGTCATTTCTGACAACATGGATAAATCTGGAGGATGTCATGCTAAGTGAAATGATCCCGGCATAGAATAACAAATACTGTATGATCTCACTTACACGTGGAATCTAAAAAAGTTGAACTCACAGAAGCAGAGAGTATAAGGATAGTAGGATAGCTCCCAGAGACTGCAAGTGTAGGGAAGGAGGGAATGGGGATCAAAGGATATAAAGTCTCAGATAGACTGGAGGAAGAATAGGTTTTGAGATCTACCGCACAGCAAGGTGACTACAATCTAAATATATATATATAGTTTCCAGGACTGCAGCAACCAAGTACTACAAATTGGGTGGCTTAAAACAACAGAGTTTATTGTCTCACAGTTCCAGAGGCTAGAAGTCTGAAATCAAGGTGTGAGCAGGGCCATGCTCCCTCTAAAATTTGTCACGAAAACTTCTTCATAGCTTCTGGTGGTTTGCTAACAAACTTTGGCATTCCTTGGCTTGCAGCTCCATAACTCCAATATCTGCCTCTGTTTTCACATGGCATTTTGCCTGCCTGTCAATCTTTGCGTGGCCCTCTCCTTATAATGATGCCAATCATATTGGGTTGGGGGCCCACCCTACTCCAGTATGACATTATGTAAATTAATTACGCATGCAACAATCCTATTTACAAATAAAGTCATATTCTGAGGGACGGGTGGTGAGGATTTCAAAATATCTTTTTTGGAAGGACACAATTCAACCAATAACAATTTATTATTAATATAACACTGTATCCCATTTGATTTCTTTCCTTTCTTTTCTGTTGACATGGGGTCTCACTCTGTCACCCAGGCTGGAGTGCAGTGGCGCGATCATGGTTTCCTCCAGCCTCAACCTCTCAGGCTCAAGTGATCTTTGGGCCTCAGTTTCCTGAGGAGCTGGGACTACAGGAGCACACCACCACACCTGGCTAATTTGTTTTTTTTAAGAGATGGGATCTCTTTGTGTTGCCCAGGCTAGTCTCAAACTCCTGGGCTCAAGTGATCCTCCTGCCTCAGCCTCCCAAAGTCCTGGGATTACAGGCATGAACCACCATGCCTGGCCCCATTCACTTTCTATAATTATACATATAATTATTTTCCCTGAACATTTGAGACAGACAACATGATGATGAACCTTATATCTAGATATTTCAGTATTTCCTCTAAACAGGGACATTTTTTTATGTACCCATAGTACAGTTACTAACTTCATTGAACTGAAAAGAGTCACACATCACTTCACAAGGATGTGTTTTGAGAAATGTATCATTAAGCAATTTTATCATTGTGGGAATATTATAGAGTGTATTTACACAAACCTAAATGATATAGCCTACTACACACCTAGGCTAGATGGGATAGCATATTGCTCCTAGGCTGCAAACCTGTATAGCATGTGACTGTCCCAAATACTGTGGGCAACTGTAACACAATGTTATTTGTGTATCTAAACAAATTTAAACGTAGAAAAGATACAGTAAAAATACAGTATTATAATCTTATGGGGCCATAGTCATGCATATGTGATGCATTATAATCTTATGGGGCCATAGTCATGCATATGTGATGCATTACTGACAGAAACATCATTATGTGGTGCATGATTATATTTGTACAGAAATGTTATCTAATCTGCTGGCTGTGTTTCAGTGTTGTTAATTCACCCAGTAATATGCCTTACAACACTGTACATCTTCCACTTCAAGATCCAGTCTATGGCCACATACTGCACTTAGTTATCACATCTCTTTACTACAGTATCCTTTAACCAGTAAAAGTTTCCAGCATTTTTTTCTTCCATTATAGTGATACTTTTGAAGAATAAAGTTGATGAGCCATTTTTATAGTCCCTTCTATCACCCTGATGTTCTCTATCAGGAGTGGCTTTTTTTTTTCCTTCTCCTTCAAAGTTAGAAGGTATTTTTTTAATAGAAGAGTAATGAGGCTTTAGGACAAGTCAGGGCCAGATCAGTCCACAAATGACAATGCCATAGATGCTAGGATATGTGGAGGGAATTTTCCAAAAAGAATGAAATTCTGTACTGAAGAGATAATAGATAAGGGGGTACAGCTTGAAGTCTAAGTTTTCTCAGGGGATGGAACTATGGACAAACTTGTGTTGCAGGAGAATATGGGCAAAGAAAGGAGCTGTCAACTCCAGTAAAGATGCATCATAAGTAAGGGAAAGATTGGGTCTTCCCATGGCTGATACACTAAGAGAGAAATAAGGAAATCAGAGAGAGGGCAAAAGGCAGTACTGAATTTCAGCAGTTGTCATCTTAATAGTGAAGCTGTATTAGAAGTCTATTATATGCCTGGATCACACAGCAAAACACACATACACACTCTCACACCCACACCAGTACACACCATGTCGCCCATGACAACAACAAATGTTTGACCTCATTATTTATTTTTTTTAAATAGTGGGGAGCTAATAGTGGTTTTGGTGTAAAGTTAGAAAGTAGAAGAGAAAAATCAGTAAGCCATTCACAGAGCAAGTAAACATGAGTGTAGCTCAAAACAAATCAAAATATTGCTCTGTATAACTCCAACTGCTCTCACAAGAAGTAGAATTTTGCATAAATGTCTTCTTTTGCGAAGTGTCTGTTCATATCCTTTGCCCACTTTTTGATGGGGTTGTTTGTTTTTTTCTTGTAAATTTGTTTGAGTTCTTTGTAGATTCTGAATATTAGCCCTTTGTCAGATGAGTAGATTGCAAAAATTTTCTCCCATTCTGCAGGTTGCCTATTCACTCTGATGGTAGTTTCTTTTGCTGTGCAGAAGCTCTTTAGTTTAATTAGATCCCATTCCACCAGTTACAATGGAGATCATTAAAAAGTCAGGAAACAACAGGTGCTGGAGAGGATGTGGAGAAATAGGAACACTTTTACACTGTTGGTGGGACTGTAAACTAGTTCAACCATTGTGGAAGACAGTGTGGCGATTCCTCAAGGATCGAGAACTAGAAATACCATTTGACCCAGCCATCCCATTAATGGGTATACACCCAAAGGAATATAAATCATGCTGCTATAAAGACACATGCACACGTATGTTTACTGTGGCACTATTCACAATAGCAAAGACTTGGAACCAACCCAAATGTCCATCAATGATAGACTGGATTAAGAAAATGTGGGACATATACACCATGGAATACTATGCAGCCATAAAAAAGGATGAGTTCATGTCCTTTGTAGGGAGATGGATGAAGCTGGAAACCATCATTCTCAGCAAACCATCACAAGGACAAAAAACCAAACACCGCATGTTCTCACTCATAGGTGGGAACTGAACAATGAGAACACTTGGACACAGGAAGGGGAACATCAGACACTGGGGCCTGTTGTGGAGTGGGGGGAGGGGGGAGGCATAGCATTAGGAGATATACCTAATGTAAATGACAAGTTAATGGGTGCAGCACACCAACATGGCACATGCATACATATGTAACAAACCTCATGTTGTGCACATGTACCCTAGAACTTAAAGTATAATAAATATATATGTGTGTGTATGTGTGTGTGTGTGTATATATATATATATACATAGAATTTTGTTAAATAGATAACCTCACTCACTTTCCAGTTCAGTTGTAGGCAGTTGGGGCCTGAACTTGGAAGACCTGAATTGCCCAGTATGACTAGCTAATAAAAAAAAGTTAAATATTTACGGGCTAGAGGTGTCATGGAAGAGAGGGATCAACCTAGTGGCGGCACCACATGAGTACAGAAGGGAGGTTTGAGAGGTCTCTGGTCAAAGCAGCCCAAAAGGGACATAGAGGACAATTACTAAGAATGGCTTTTAAATTGTCTACTACGGGGTGTGCTCCCACCTTTCTCCAGCTTGTATCACTTATAAAACCTTTAATGTAGGGGCTATACTGATCAGTAATGGTTTCCTTGTGAAAATAGATTATTTTGGGTAAACTTGAGAATAATCTGGTAGTTGAGTTCTATGTCTGGGTTAATGCCAAAAAAAAAAAAGCCACATTAAAAACACATTATAAGTTGGGCATGGTTCCACGTGCCTGTAGTCACAGCTACTAGGAAGGCTGAGGCAGGAGGATCGCTTGAGCCCAGGAGTTCGAGGCCAGCCTGGGCAACATAGCAAGACAGACCCCATCTCTTCAAAACCAAATAAAAACAAAAACAAAAATACATTATGCCAGTAAGCTTGAGATGAGGATAGAGGAGATTCTGAGAGAGTCAAGCCCTGGGAAATCAGAAAAATTCCTTGAAAACTCAAGACTTTCAAGGGTCTTGAACTGGTGAGGTGAAAGTCAAGAACTTCAGACGTAAAGACCAGCCCAGCTAATATCTGAATATATGTGAACTGTATAGAAAATTGTACTAAGGTAGTGGTGTGTGTGTGTGTACGAGATATATATTTATGTGTGTGTGTGTATGTGTGTGTGTGTGTGTGTGTGTGTGTGCATAAAGTCCTCACCTTAAGCTGTATACCAATGTATGCACTATGCTGCAAGGTTGAATTTAGAAAACAGCAAGCCCAAAGAAAGCTGTAGAAATGTAATAGGCTCAGGATGGATGGTGAGATCTGCTAGGATGAATGGAGAATGGGGGTCCTGTAACTTCATCTTTTACTGCCCTCCCACCTACCACCCATGCAGACTGTCCCGTAGCTCTGAGATGCTGGCCTGGAACTGTAGACTAGAGTATTCATGTTTGGTACCCAGTTCTAAAGGAAGTAATGTGATGCAAAAAAAGAAAAAAAAAAGGAGAAATCTTTCCAGCTCCTAAAGACCCTTTATGCCCATGGATGAGCTCCAGCTCAACTTTGTGAAGCATTTTATCTATTTTATTTTCCCTGTATAGTGTAGGACACCTCCTTCTGTTTTTGTGCTTCCTCTAGAAAAATTCTTTTTTTATCATTATTTCAGAAAAAAAAAACACAAAGACACACACACACACACACACAAGTCAGATGTGGGAACCCTAGATCCACCCAACTGCTTAGATTGACTTTTGTCATTTCTGTTATTCTTTGAATTTTACTAAATCAATGAGAAGAAATGTCTCAGGAAATATTTGCCCATTATCATTCTAGTGGAACAGACTGAGCAGGGCAAAGGTTAGAGTTGGGCAGAAAGCTTCTTGCCAACGCTCACACATAAACTCACAGAGGACTCTGGGGTAGAATCCCAAACACTGATTCAGTGACCTTGAAATGGACTATTAAGAAAGCACAGGGTATCTGCAGGAGAGCAGAGTCTCACAGCACTTGTTCATCATCACCTTCCTGTATGAGGAGACACTGGTCCAAGCCTTTGTGTCACAACTGATTTGAGGAGCAATGATGAGTCTCTAAAGTCATCAGATCAGATGATAACCTCCGGTAATCACAGGTCTAAAATTTGGCATCCGTCCTTGGCTGAAGGCTACTGACGAGAGAGTAACCTGAGAATCACTCACTGAAAGTTCGTTATTAGAGTTTCACAAAGAGCATTAGAAAATATTTTAGTCACTTTAAAAAAAATGAATAACATAGGAATGGACACAGAGTTCTATGGAAATCGTATTTTTCATGAATAATGAAGAGCGCCATCTTGCTTAGAGAGAGGAAAGTCAGAATGGGGCTCCAGCCCCTCATTCTTTTTTTGTTTTTCAGGGACAACATGGAGGCGAGAAGAATATGGCCTTGGCTGACTCCTCTCTCAGGGTATCAATCTCTCTCAACCTTCAGCCCATTCCATGGATCAAACTGATTCATTTATCTGACATCCTACAACACTGACCCTCTCTATTCCAGCACTACCATATACCACGTTAACTCAATCTGTTGTGCCTGTTATTGCACTGAGTACCATCCCAGAGAGATCTGCTGAGTTCTTCAGCTGGTTAGCCTCTTCTGTTTGAAGGTACTCAGGCATGGACCCCAACTTCCAGGTCAGCCTTCTAGCGGCAGGCATCGGTGAAGGACTTGTTCCTCCCTACCTCCTCACATTGTGTTTTACATCAAGAGCATTTTTCTCTTCACACATCACAGACCCCTGCCTGGGCACACCCTGCATGTGGAAGCTGGCAACTTTTTCTTTTTTAGCCTGGATGTCAATAAGCATTTGAAGATATGAGTCATAAAGAAACTGGATTTTCAGATTTCAGAAAATAAAAAAAGAAGGAAAGGTCATTTCCAAAACATCTCAGGTCAGGTTATGGGCTGAATTTTCTGAATTCCACAGAATTACTTAATGATGAACAGGGCAAAATCCTCAGTCCCTCTAGAGCACTGAAGGGCAACCAGAGCAGCTGCAGTGTACATAGCATCTCCCAACTCTCAAGAACTTGGGGCATGATTTGCAGTGTAAGTAAAGTTAACTCTCCTGGGAGGGCACAGGGAGTCTTTGTAGCTGATAGTCTTAGTCTGTGGTAGCTGTTCCCCAACAGAGTCTCCCTTTGTTTATTCAATGTAAAGCCCATTGCCATCCAAATACTAATGCAGGCTAAAGAATTCCTACTGCTTCCTCAGCTGCAACCTGTTTCCCACCCCAAGGCCCAGCACCAGCATCTTCCTGCAACTTTGCCCTAATTACTGCCTTTCTGTCTGGTTCACAGGTACCTGAGAGGCCAGATTTCAACCCTCTCTCCCTCAGATTAATGCCTATAGAGTATCCCTCCCTAGAACCCAGAAATGGGTACAGTTTCTCACCCTACCTGAAATTCTATGCCTGAAATGGCACTGCAGCAGAAATAGCTAAAAGGTTTCTGGACTTTATTTACCCACTGAGGCCCAGAGATCTTTGGAAGCCTCCATCCCTCCAGCTCCCAATCTTCCTCAGGAGAACTTGACCTTTTCATCCTAAGTCCTAGTCTCTATCTTTCCTGAAGCATTTGTTTTCAGCAAGGAGATGAGGAAGCAACTTGGACACGGCCTTCAACATGGACTCACAGAACAAGAGAGGGGCCAGGCCTACAGAATCCTAGGGACTCTTGCTGATGCAGCCTAAAGATAAATTATTAGGGACCTCTCAATGGAAAGGCAAATATGGACTCTCATGGACTTCCATGTTGAAGGGCCAGAGGAACAAGGATCTCAAGTGGATTGTACTGAAGCACCCAGGAAAATTCTACTTAGAAGATGCAGAAAATTCTGCCTAGGGAATGATTGGGGAAGGGCTCAAAAGGTAACCAATCAAGGGGCTCAGAAAGCCTCCTTGATCCTTCCTTGATCCAGGCACTTGACAAGTATAGCAAACCCACTTTTTTTTTCTCCCTTTTCATTCTTGCTGTCATCTTAAAACCCACTTGATTTGCTTTCACAAGTGGCAGAAGTAGGATGCACTTCTCATGGTCCTTGAATCCATAAAACTATGGTGTCAAAAGAGAACATCTCAATCCTGGCCTTTTTACCATGCCACCTTTCCCTACTCAGAAACCCATGTTTCAGAGGCAGACTCAAAATCTGAGCTGAGAGAAAACAGATAATCATGGGAGAAAAATGTGGCATCTAGTCCTCTCCTGTGAGTAAGCAAGGCTAGCGGCATAAGGTGGTCCTGCTTTGATATTTGCAAGGGCCCTGCATAGACTCATCAGGTTAGGGCAGACGGTAAATACATCTCTGCATGTAGTCGATATTGTGTCCTCACACACACTACAACTAAGACGGAACCCGGCAGAATGTGACTAAAATGGGGGCCAAAAGGGCAACCCAGAGCTAACTATAAGTTACACAACAGCTGATCGTGAACCTAGGAATAAGAATGGGAATCACGCCCCCAAGGGACTCCAGCCATAGCAGAGGCGTGCTTCAGAGAGCAGAGCTATGAGGTGAAATTAGAGCTGCCTTCAAGGACCAATGATTCCCAAAAAAGAGCCCGCATTGCCAAGACAATCCTAAGCCAAAAGAACAAAGCTGGAGGCATCATGCTACCTGACTTCAAACAATACTACAAGGATATAGTAACCAAAACAGCATGGTACTGGTACTAAAACAGAGATATAGATCAATGGAACCGAACAGAGCCCTCAGAAATAATACCACACATCTACAACCATCTGATCTTTGACAAACATGACTAAAACAAGAAATGCGGAAAGGATTCCCTATTTAATAAATGGTGCTGGGAAAACAGGCTAGCCATATGTAGAAAGCTGAAAGTGGATCCCTTCCTTACACCTTATACAAAAATTTATTCAAGATGGATTAAAGACTTAAATGTTAGACCTAAAACCATAAAAAACCTTAGAAGAAAACCTAGGCAATACCATTCAGGACATAGGCATGGGCAAGGACTTCATGTCTAAAACACCAAAAGCAATTGCAACAAAAGCCAAAATTGACAAATGAGATCTAATTAAACTAAAGAGCTTCTGCAAAGCAAAAGAAATCACCATCAGAGTGAACAGGCAACCTACAGAATGGGAGAAAAATTTTGCAATCTACTCATCTGACAAAGGCTAATATCCAGAATCTACAAAGAACTTAAACAAACTTATAAGAAAAAAACAACCCCATCAAAAAGTGGGCAAAGGATATGAACAGACACTTCTCAGAAGAAGACATTTATGCAGCCAACAGACACATGAAAAAATGCTCATCATCACTGACCATCAGAGAAATGCAAATCAAAACCACAATGAGATACCATCTCACACCAGTTAGAATGGCCATCATTAAAAAGTCAGGAAACAACAGGTGCTGGAGAGGATGTGGAGAAATAGGAACACTTTTACACTGCTGGTGGGACTGTAAACTAGTTCAACCATTGTGGAAGACAGTGTGGCAATTCCTCAAGGATCTAGAACTAGAAATACCATTTGACCCAGCCATCCCATTAATGGGTATATACTCAAAGGAATATAAATCATGCTGCTATAAACACACATGCACACGTATGTTTATTGCGGCACTATTCACAATAGCAAAGACTTGGAACCAACCCAAATGTCCATCAATGATAGACTGGATTAAGAAAATGTGGCACATATACACCATGAAATACTATGCAGCCATAAAAAAGGATGAGTTCATGTCCTTTGTAGGGAGATGGATGAAGCTGGAAACCATCATTCTCAGCAAACCATCGCAAGGACAAAAAACCAAACACTGCATGTTCTCACTCATAGGTGGGAATTGAACAATGAGAACACTTGGACACAGGAAGGGGAACGTCACACACTGGGGCCTGTTGTGGGGTGGGGGGAAGGGGGAGGGATAGCATTAGAAGACATACCTAACGTAAATGACGAGTTAATGGGTGCAGCACAGCAACATGGCTCATGTATACATATGTAATAAACCTGCACGTTGTGCACATGTACCCTAGAACTTAAAGTATAATAATAAAAAATTAAAAAAAGAAAAAAACAGTTAAAAAAGAAAAGACCAATGGTTCCAAGGATATGTTATAATTAAGGCTATGGAGTCCCACATGCCTCATAAAACAAAACCAGAAAATAAATTAAGCACACAGAGAACTAATTAGCTTAGAATCTCCCAAATATTCAATGACAATTTGAGTAGTCTAAGGGCTGTAATAACCAAGAAATACTTTGTACCATTATTGGCAGTCCAAGATCTCTGGAAATCACACCCCGAAGACCATCTTTCTTCTTAGTTAAAACTCTAAACAGAGGCACAGACTGAGAGCCGGGCTCATGATTGTACAACTGAAGTGCCCACTGACCCAGAAAATTTGCTAATGGCTCACAGCCTCATCCCCATAGCATACACTGTGGGGATATGGCACCTTCCCATGTTTTATAGATCCACTTAGAGCATATGGAAAGTGCCCTGGGGTAGCAAGAGCTCGAATCCCCTAAGTTTCAGACCCTCCTGAAAGATCTGGGATACTAATTTAGAGCCAAGTGAAAAAAATGGGAATCCTATAATAGCAGTTTCCAATTAGTAAAGAATCCAGAATTTGGACATAGGGTTGGGGACTTTACACACTAGAGGGAAAGCACTTTCCTGCAAAGGTCAGAGGAAGAGAGAGACCGTGGTGAGCAATGTGTCCCCATTTCTGCCCCAAAGAAGACAGACTCCTCAGAAAACTAAATTCAGAGAATGGATGAGTCATTTGTCTCAGTGGATACATCCCAAGAGAGAAAACAAAAGTCAGCAAGGTGCCCTGCAGAATGCCAAATCAATGTCAGCCTCTGTAAAAAGCCCAGGCCAGGCTCCATTCAAACCAAAGTTGTCTTTGAGTGGTGTGGACACTGAAGATAACACAACAGTTGCACAATGAGGAATCCAGGCCCAGGAGGAGCTTGCAGGTAAACAACCCTGTGATTGTAGACCACTCTCCCTTCTTAAGCAAAGCAAAGTAACAAAAGCCACATCCTTCACAAAGATTTTGAGGACCTGAATTTTTGCAGAAGGGCCAGTATCTTTGTCCATTTGTGCTGTTATAACCAAATAACACAGACTGAGTAATTTGTAAACATGGAAATTTTTTTCTCACACTTCTGGAGGCTGGGAAGTCCAAGACCAAGGTGCCAGCAGGTTCAGTGTCTAGTGAAGGCAGCTCTCTGTGTCCAAGATGGTGCCCTGTTGCTGCATCCTCCAGAGGGGATGAGGTTGTGTCCTTACATGAAGGGATGGAGGGGTAACTCGCCCCATCAAGCCCTTTTATAAGGCACTTTATCACCTCCTAAGGGCCCTCCCTCATAATATTGTTTCACCTGAGAATAAATGTCAACATGAGTTTTGGAGGGGACACAAACATTCAAACCACAGCAGGCGGGTGGTTCATACACAGGAATAGATGTCCTAGTAACACTGAAAAATTCAATTGTGTCTGAAGCATCCTCCTTCCATACTTCCCAATTAGCCTGTGTTCCCAAGCTGGTTCCACCAACAAGTGTCTAGGTTTCAAGACACCACAGCTCACCCTCACCCATGCTCTGGGCTCTGTCTCTTTGGGCTGTCATTTCTAGTGTTCTAAAAGTCCTCCTTCATCCCTTCCTGGAAGGGAAGTTCCTTTTAATGAAAATTTCAGGCTGGTGTGGTGGCTCACTCCTGTAAAATTCCAACCCTTGGGAGGCCAAAGCTGGTGGATTACTTGAGCCTAGGCATTTGAAACCAGCCTGGGCAATATGGTGAAACCTCGTTTCTACCAAAATAATAATAAAAATAACATAAAAATTAGCCACGTGTGATGGTGTGTGATAGTGGTCCCAGCTACTCAGGAAGCTGAGGCAGGAGGATCTCTTGAGCCCAGGAGACTGAGGCTGCAGTAAGCCATGATCACGCCGCTGCACTCTAGCCTGGGTGACAGAGCGAGACCACGTCTCAAAAAAAGAAAAAAAAAATTCAGTTTATGTGAACAAAATATATTTCACTACCCTGTTCTCTGGAGAGGATATTCTCTGTTATCCTATCCAAAAATATTTTTTTCCAAACGTATTTGTTTCTTCTAATAGGAGAGAAGTGTCTTCCATTTCTGACACATTTGGGGTAAAGACTTATGGCATCTTAGTAGCTTGGGGTGGTTATGTGACTATCATTCTCAAATATGACATTCCATGTATGGCTTTGGGTGCATAACCATTATTCCAGTTATATACAGTCCAGATATCAAAGAGCTGTTCTCTTGCCCAGTGGCCACAAAATTCTTAATTTATTTGAGGTCAGTGTTGGCAAGCAAACAAACAGATAAAGACTAACAACTAGATTCTCTATTGTCTCTCGCCTAACAGAGAACAGGTCTCTATAAACAATGAATCTACTTATAGATATCACCAAATGGTCAGACCTTAAATTCCCAAATCAGTCCTGTCAATAAGCGGGAATAATTTATTGGGCAAAAAATGAGCCCCAAAAAAAGAGCCATGGAATTAGTAAAGAGGAAAACTGGAATCAGAAAAACAAAGTTAGCAGAATCCTATTGTTATTACGGATTCATCTCTGGGAACCAAGAGAAAACATATGTAGAAGAAAATTTCCCGTGAAGTACATTCCTACATGATAAATTGTGCCTTGCTTTGTCAGTTGAACCCACTGGATATCTCAGTGAAGGATCTCCAAAGCTGTTAAAATTAATTTTAAAAAAGAAAGGTAAAATCACGGCTGTCATATCATGTATAAGATTAATAGCTGTTAAAGATTTTATTTTACTCATAATGAGAGATCCAGTCAAATGTTATAGCTGCTTTCTGTTTCTGGATATATTTTGAAAATAGATCCAAGGATTTCCTAAAAGACTGAATGTATAATGTTAGTTATTGAACTTACTGAAGAATCTTCTTCAGAGAAGATATGAGTTAGAGCTAAAATTTTATCTTCCTACCATATGGATATAGTTCTTTTCATCCAGCATTTTTATAGTTGATTTTCAGTATTTGTGAAGACCAAAAGCATGTTCAATATAATCTGAAACAAAGAAGAGAGCACCTGCTGTTAGGAACAGTCATTTTAAGTTGAACAAAACCATTCAGGAGAAAAAAAAAAAAACCTGTGCTGAGTTGGTGGCTTTATCTCAAAAGAACCAGTTCTCAACCAAGACAAAAACAAACTTATGCGGAAGTTTTGCTTGGAAAATAGCTTCAATATTATTTAATACCAATAACTGGATTATAGGAAGACATATTTTACTTTATTAATGTTACAATGAGTCATATAGCCCATGGCATTTTGACTAATTGACTCCTAATTTTAAGTCAGGTAATTCATAACATATACAATAAGCTGTTTATTCAACACTTTTATTTGACTGGTTACCCCATAATTATAAGGAGTAGTTCAGATAGTTCATAATATATATGGATGGGCAGATATTACATATTGGCTATTTATTAATGAAAAGATGAAAAGACTTAACTTGGAATTTCTTATTTAGTAGTGAAGAAATAAGCTACAACTAATGTTAGATCTCTAGACTTTATTAAAAATAATCAACAACTTTATATCATCTCAATTCAATTAGTGTTGTGAATTTATTGAGAATCTTTTTTTGGATATCCAAGGATAGATATATATGTGTATATGTGTGTGGGGTGTGTGTATGTGTGTGTGTGTAAAAAGACAGAGAAATAGAGAAACCCAAGTAAAGAAAAAGCAAGGCACAGCTGATAACTAATTTTCCACCTACAAATGGCTATCACTGTCTGGATGTCAAAATAGGAACCACTTGCTGAGAATTCCAACCTCAGAAGTACTGTCCAAAACATGTTGCAATGTACGTGTTAACATGGTGGAACTTGTAATTTATGATAAAATTCCACTTTGCTAGAACCTGTTGATTCTATTATATTGTTTTCTCAGGAATTCTTCATTATTGAAATGG
Source organism: Homo sapiens (assembly GCF_000001405.40). Classification (NCBI taxonomy): domain Eukaryota; kingdom Metazoa; phylum Chordata; class Mammalia; order Primates; family Hominidae; genus Homo; species Homo sapiens. The sequence continues at coordinate 2,181,998 of NC_000003.12, read as the reverse complement.
ATTTACTGTGCTTACTGGAAATGCCTAGAAGCATTCAGTATTTATTCTTGCAGAGGAACCAGCAATGACATATAGATCACCACCTAAAATTGGGTCATATTATTTGCTTATGTAGTGTTATACTTTACATATGCAAATGTGACTATCATACCACCAAAACTCGTGCAACTGCCATTTTCTCTGACCGGGAATTTATTTTCATTAGCCCCTACTTTGTTCACCCAAGCTGTGATCAACAAGGAAAAATGTTTTTAATAGTTCAGTTAAAAGGACAATATGGTAGTTGAAAACAGAATGAAAGGTACTAATCCATCAGTGATGAAAAGCAACTTTGGCTTTTTTTAACACTAACTAATTAATAAGCCAAACAGCCCTTGTATTTAAAATGTAATCATTTACAAAGGCAGCAAAGTTACAGGAGGAAATTGCACTGGATTAGTAGTCAGGGGACTCAGAGCCCCATTCCAAGTACAATGTGACATAGGACAATTGATTTCACTTCCCTGTGTTTTCCACTTTTGTCCTCAAAAATAAACTAAGTATTTGCTGGCGTTTGATACGTTCTACTGGCGTTTGATACGTTCTACTAAATGTGAATTTTCAGAATTTCACACAAGGCACCTGTCCCCTTATACATCACTTATCACTGACATCTCATCACCTCTCACTACCCACATATCTGGTACCCAGTTTGGCTAATAGTCTTTAAACATTTGGGGGCTTCTAAAAACCCTCGGGGTGATCACATTTGTTTTCTTATTCCTCTTTAAGGAATTGTGCTTTTATTCATGAGTGTAACTTTCAGCACCTAATATATTTTTTTCAATAATGCATCAATCACTTTTAAATAATAATTTTTTGTAGGTCATGCTGGAGTCATAAAACTAATGATTTTGCAAGTTCACTTTAGGCAGAAACATTTTATGTCAGCAGATAAAGCACATTTCACTGATAAACTAAAAACAAACAAGTTTCCCATGTAGTTGTCCTCAATAAGAAATTAAACACAATGAATCCAGTCTAATCATGAGTAGCAACCAGATGGCTAGGCAATATTTGACACATGACTTATCTGTCAATGCTCATAGCCACATACTCAATTTACTCTGGGTTTGACCTTGATTGTCTTACAGACTCTGTCAATCACAATGGCATGTGATTCTTCAATCCAAGGTAAATTTCCTCTGTAACTACAATCAGATGGTTGCTAAGGCATCGCTGTCAGTCACTCAGTTATCCCCAAAGGTAGGCTTTCTGTAAGTGTGCGTGATAGTCAACAGACTTTCAGTTAAAATGCCAGTGGAAGATGATTTATGCTATACTTGAGATAAGTTTGCTGGAAAGAACAAGCTTTCAGGAGAGACTAATTCAAGAAACTGGACTGGGAAACATGGATAAGGAAGGTCAGGAGAAACCCTAAAAATCAAACTAATCAGTAACTTTCTTGCAGTCAAGCCTTTTACACAGTATTCAGGGAAGTAAAATCCTCTTACTAGACCTATCAATGAGCAAGTGGACCCAAAATATGTGTTTCTTATTTGAAAAGCATGAGACAAAATCTGTGGTCAAAGATGATAGCCAAGTTTGAATCCCAGTTCTACTATTCTACTATTGATAAGGTTAAACTTTACATCTCACTTTTCTAACCTGTAAAGTAACATACCCTTCTAGACTATTGTGAAGAATGAATTTGATAATAAATGTAAATATACCTAGTATCCTACATGACCTAGTAAAGCAGTCCCTTAATGTTAGTTCCATCCCTATCCTTCTAGAAAACATTTTAATTTAAAAAGAAATGTTTTAGGCTAGATGTATTATTTACCAGATTAGGAAATTGAAACTCATAAAAACATCTATAAAATCAGAGAGCTAACTATTAATTAGGACTCTCCTTTATCTACCATGTAGATACAATCAACATATATGCACCATCTAATTCAGCAGCCATAAGCTACCTATGGCTATGGAGCCCTTGAAATGTTGCTCATCTGAATTGAGATGTGCTATAAGTAAAATCTACACTAGATTTATAAGGCTTAGTACAAAAAATGTAAAATATTTCACTAATCTTTTTTACAACTGAGTACCTATGAAGTAATGATTATTTTACATAAAATATATTACTAATATTAATTTTACCTATTTCTTGCTGTTGTTTGTGGGTCCTGGAAAAAGTAAATTTGGCTACGTAGCTCACATAATATTTCTAAAGGAGAGTGCTAGTATATAGAGTTGCTCTTTAATGAATGTCTGAATAAACAAATTTGGTAGGTGCTTTTGGAATTATACCTGTAGATCATCTCACTAAACACAGTCCCTGGAAATTAAAAAAAACACTGAGTGTAAATAAGTGAATATTAAAAGTTTTGAAGAGAGAGTACTATGAGAAAAATAAAAGTTCAGTATAAAATTGCTAATGGCGGTGTTGGACATGAAAAACACATTGTCCTCAATGACATTCATAGTGTACACTCTTAATAGGGTAATATTTTTTGTTATAGCTACTACAGGGAAAGCGTTCATCCATGCTGGAAGTTGAAGTTTATTATCTCAACTTCATTGGAGGTACAAGGTATTGTATTAATGAAATCTAAGTCTCTTCTCTCCTTACTAATTCATCCTATCTGGGGCATTATGGACTGTCAGCTAGACAGCTTTACCTTATTCAAAGAACAGAAGACCAGGAAGCAACATTTCTTATTTCCCCCCTCCAAAAAATACTCTCACGGATAATTTTTATTTGACCAGAAATATTTTAATCATATGAGCACTTAATAAGGTACAAATAATTATGTGCAATTACATGATGATTACTCTCAACATAATTACCACACCAGCGCAGCTTTGTTAGAGATAATCAGATGGTTACTGGTGAACTGCAAATTAATTGATAACAGGACATTTATAATTGCAAATGATCATTATTACCTCGGAGTATGAGCACATTAGAAATGTGAGTAAGATGGCAGGAGGATCAGGGACATTCATTAAACAGAAATGTCATAGAATAAGTAAGATTAGATCATAAATCTACTTTACTCAGTTCCAACCTAAAGGATGCTCTGTGTCTGCTATTTGCAGATTTTTTGGTCGTATTTCATTCAATATATACACAGCCTATTTTGGGTTAGTCTACCAATCAGAGATTTTCTTCCTGTGTGCACCATCTGTGTTGTAGTCTGGCTGTATTTATAGGCATCTTAGTAGCAAATTACACTTTTAGAGTTAGATGATAACAGAATACCTACCCCCCAAAAAAGATACAGATGCCAAGAGGTAAAAATGTCTTAAGATCACACACACAATGAGTGATGGGCCTATAGAATTTCAATTCTCCTCATTTCCAGTCTAGAACTGCATTAAGTTAACATGGAACAAACCTAGTTTCTTCACATACTATTTTACTACATTGTCATACTTGAACATTGACCCTCAAATAAATATTTAATCATTGATTCAAGCCTAACATAAGTCTCTGTTTTAACACCATCCTAAACATTAATATCTGAGAATTCATTGGTTTGATGTTACAATTTTTTTTTTCTAAATCACAGTAACATGAACATGAATCTATTAAAGCAAACACTACTTTGTGTGGTAGGATGCCTATCACACTTTGTGAAACACTCTTCCTATTCCATATTCTGACTGTATGCCAGAACGTTTCTATAATTCTTTGAGTTTAAGATGGCTTAGAATAGCACTCTGCACTTCAGAAAACAAAAAAAAAAGTATGTACCTTTGTGTAGAGCAATGAATTATATATTAATTCAAAGACATATGTGTTACAGCTCTGGCCCTTGAGAAGCTCAAAGCTCTCACAGAGTATAAAAGCCTTACACAAATACCTTCAACACCAGGCAGCATGAAATGCATGCTATGAAAGCAGTGCATCCTGCTACAGAATTTCACAGGTCCTAGCTACCATTCCAGGATGAAGTGAATGGTAATGACTTTGAAAATAAGAGAGAAATGAGCTGGGGCTTGAAGGGTATTCAAATTTAGGAATATGGAATAAGGACATATAAGGTAAAGTATAAAAAATTTTAAAATCCAGACGATAGAGAAAGAAAAGCAAGGCAATTGTGATGGTTAAATTTTATGCGTCACCTTGGCTAGGCTCTGGGGCCCAGTTGTTTGGTCAAACACTAGTCTTGATATTGCTTTGAAAGTATTTTGTTGATAGGATTAACATCTATAATCAATTCAGCTTAAGTAAAGGAGATTATTCTCCTTAATGTGGGTGATCTTCATCCAATCAGCTGAAAGCCTTAAATGTAAAAACTGAAGTTTCCTGGAGATACACACACACACACACACACACACACACACACACACAAACACACACACAATCCCATTGGTTCTGCTTCTCTGAAGAGCCCTGGCATATAGAGCATATTAAGATAAACCTAAGTAGCCAAACACAAGTGCAAAGGAAAATGACTGGAAGTTAGATTTGGCACAGACAGCACAGGCATGCTGAATAGCCTGCTAAAGAATTCATATGTATGGAGGAATTCAGGAAGCAGCCTCAAGAAGTGTGGTGAGCAGAGGAGCAAAAACAATCCAAGAAGTGCACTGGGGAGACAAGTGTGCCAGTAGTATTTCTGATGGGTCAGAGGAAAAAAGATATGAGATGTTGAGAAACCAGGTAGAATGTTATTAACAATATTTAATCGCTAACCTTCCCAAATCAATAAAATACATGAAAATCACATTGAAAATGTTGAATTCCATCCTGTAATAAAATGATACAGTGATAAAGTCATATATTCTTACCTCTACATTTGACTTAAGAGCTCTTTTGAGAAAACACTTGGTTTTAGCAATTCTTGCTTTAAACTTTTGTTTTCATGATTCCTTAATGGATACACGGTCTAGTATTATTCATATCTCCTGCTTTCATCCGCATTTAACTATTTGATATACAAGGAAGTGGACATCAAATGACCTTTACTAAAAAAAATTCTCACTGACTCTTGAGTGATTTTTTTACCTTTATATTTCTGCATGCTGTTACATGTGTCTATAGGTTTTCTTGGGTACAAAGGTGACTCTTTGTTGATTTTCTCCTGACTTCCATTTGACAGGAAAGTTGTTTCTCAAAATATTCTTATAAATTCAGAAAGGGTTCCAATTTCTTGATATTGACCTTGAAGTGATGTTTATTTCTTGCATTACTTGTGCTAGTATAGTTTCTTTATTTCATATTTAAGTTGGTTTTCAAAGCAATCAATCTCCTAAGCTATATCAAATATCTTAAAATTTAACCGCTGAAATTAGAAAGCAAAAATAAAAGTGATAATCTTGGTCCAGTTTGCTTGTGGCATATCATGCTAATCTGTTGACACTTTTTCTTAAAGCAGTGTTATACTAATTACCATCATTAGCAAACATCCTCCATTATGTTGGCCATATGTGCATACCACTAGAACTGTTTACTTAGCATTGTTAAATTCTTATTTTAAATTTAAATATGTATTTTCCATTTGTCTTAATGAATAGACTCAAGGAAGCCATGGGTTTTCCATGCTGGTTATATTTTCCTAATATACATAATAATATATACATATTTCTACTATTAAAACAAAAGCTAATCTTAGGTATGTACCCAAAACAATCATAGTACCACTCACTAAGTGGTATATATATTCTATTTAGCAAACTCATTAATAAGTACATATTAGACCCTTTATTTATATTCTGCTATTCCTTACCGGGACAGTGGTAGAAAGTATATCAAGTGAAGCCCTGACAAATACTCATTCGTTTCCTGTGAAAGACATCTCCCTACTGTTGAAGAATCTGCTCATCCTAGAAGGCCTGTCATTGGCTACATAGTTAATGCATGTTCTGTGTGATTTCAGGAAGCATGACAAGTACCTGTGCATGGAAGCTACAAGGCAGTGCATTTAGACTCAACATATAAAAAGAATCATTTCTGCCAAAGAGATTACAAAATGATGCTGTACTAGTCAGGCCTTTTTTCACATACATGGAATAAACCATATTTTCAGGTAACTTGAGTTCATGAGATTTAACTTAAAGATGAAGGGGTTGGTAAAGAGGGCAGATAATCTTCTCCTAACTCTACTATTTTATTTACATTGAATTTTTTGCTGTGCTAGCTGCTTGCCTGTAATATCATTGCCCTCTCTCTGCCTTTTAGCTTTAGTCCAATCACTCTGCTCATTCTGTCTGTATGATCAGATCAGGTTAGGGTGTTGTGACATTTTCAACACACCAGTTAGCCAGAGCTCTTACCAAGTCACTTATTAAGGATCACAGTCCTTTGGGGACAGGGACCCACCTCTGGTTCATTACATCATGGTTAGAGAGATTAAGTCATCTGGTATCAAGCAGTAGTTACTACTCAAGCCCAATCCTCTGTATGGCATTGAAGAAGCCTCTGTCTCTGACCTTCTGCTTCAAACCTTTCCCCGTATTCTTAATTTTATTTTTTCAGCTTTCTTGTATGGAGTTTACAATCTAATAAGATAAATAAAATTTCTACACAAATATAAACAGTGTTAGGTCATTTGAAATGCATGTCATAACAATGGACCAAAGTGCTACAGAATTTCTCAGACTTTTTTTCCTTGTTGAAATAAAGCGAAATTACTAAGGAGAAGGATGGTAAACTCGGCCATGAAGGATTAGTGATTTCCATGTTTAGGAAAAACAAGCTAGGATATTCTAGACAGGGAATCCTACAAAAAAAAAATCCAAGGTCACAAAGAAAAGGCAAGCTATCGGCAGAGGTTTAGGAGACTAATGAACATTTGCAAGTTTCCTAAAATAGGACAGTGAACCTAGAAGCTACCTTTTATAACACATTCATTAGAGATCTTATTTTATAGATTAAATAAATGTCTTATACATATTTCCATAGATCAAATATTTATGTCCCCTGCAAATTCAAATGCTGAAATCCTAATCACCAATGTGATAGTGATATAGTTGGAACATTTGACCCCACCCAAATCTCATGTTGAATTGTAAACTCCAGTTTTGGAGATGGGGCCTGGTGGGAAGTGACTGGATCATGGGGGAGGATCCCTCATGGCTTCGTGCTGTCCTTACAATAATGAGTGTCCATATACAGTTGTTTGAAAATATGTGGCACTTCCCCACTCTCTTGCTCCTGCTTTTGCCATGTGATGTGCCCGCTCCTGCTTTGCCTTCTGCCATGACTGAAAGCTCCCTGAGGCCTCTCCAGAAGCTGAGCAGATGCCAATGCCATGCTTATACCACTTGCAGAACTGTGAGTCAATTAAACCTCTTTTTAAAATAAATTACCCAGTCTCAGATATTCCTTTCTGGCATGAAATGAACTTGAGAATGTTCATTTCTGGCAACACAAGACTGGCCTATCAGAGATACTATTAGGAGGTAAGGCCTTTGGTAGATGATTAGATCATGAGGGTGGAACCCTTTTGAATGAGATTAGTGCCCTCATCAAAGAGACTCAGGAGAGTTCCTTGGTCCTTTACACCCTGTGAGAACTCAGAGAGAAGAAGGCTGGCTATGAACCAGAAGTGGGCCCTCACCAGACATCCAATTTGCCAGCTCCTTGATTTGGAAATCCCAGTCTCCAGAATTTTGAGAAATAAATGTCTGTTGCTTATAAGCCACCCAGTCTATGTTATGCTGTTAGAGAAGCATGAATGAACTAAGACATGTATGCATATTTATAAGAAAAGAAATGGCTTAGTTTTCTTATACACCTCCATCTAGGGGTATTACAATTTTACAATCAGTTGTTCAATCTGAATGAACAACTATAGCCTCTTTTCCACGGAAAAGACAGCAAGTGATACATTCTGCAGAAACCAAGTTGCTGCACCCTTCTACCTTAAAAGTAAAAATAAATGAATGTGGGCCTTATCATTCCCTTATTCAACTACTCACCAAACAAGTTCAGGCTCAGCGACACTCATTTAGCTTGTACCTGATGCTGCTTGTAAAATATGCTAGAGGGATGCAAAAACTTCTTACCTCAAGATCGTCACCCTTCTAGTTGACTCTCACAGCCTGTTTGACAATAAAATAAAACAACGATAATAGCAACAACAGCTACCCTCTTTGAGAAATTATTTTTCCGATTCTGTTTTTTAACATTGCATATGCATAATTTTATTTAATTATTTTTTCCTTTAGTTCTTTTTCAAATTTTATTTTATCTTTTAGAGTTCAAGTCAACTGGATTTTAGATTTAATTCTTATAATAACCCTATGAGGTAAACTATTATTATTATTTCTATTTAACAAATGAGGAATCATAGTGTTCAAGTCGAACCAAATTATAAAAGGAAGTAAGTAGCTGAGTTGACCTTCGAACATCCGAAAGATTTTCTCTACATCATACTTGCCATAGTATAACCAACTTCAACTTTACTTCACACTGATCCAACTCTCAGGAATATTCAATCTATCCCTTTCTATCCATTAACAGTTTGATATCCCCACAAAAAGCTCTGCCCAAGATAAATAAACCATTAAAATAAATACTTCAATAAAAATCTAGAATACTGTGGAAACTCTGAAGAAGGAGTGTTTAATTCTGCATATAAATTCTAATACAGGTAAATTACATTATGGGATGAAAAATAATTGATCATTCAGATTCCCAGAGGCTCTGTGCACTGGCTTCTCACCATTCTGTATGTCTTGGCTGAAGTCCATCAACCGGCTAGTACCATCCCTAATTAGCAACTTAGTAGATTATGCCTATGTTGACATTTCTGTTCAAGCCAAATGGTCTGTTTGCTCAGTTGATCACTGTGTCCTCGTTAGGAGTTCTTAGCCCATCAAAATCATATTTGATGAGTCTGGCAAAGTACTCAACTGTATTTCTGTTCTCTTTTGTTCTAATGCTAATCATTGAGATTTTTAACCATCCTTCCAATGAACTGAAAAGCCCCAATTTAGAAATCCAAACAAACCAATCTTCTGTGTGATGACTGATATCAGCACAATCTACCACGTTGCAGATCACTGATAGTTGTTCTGATCTGTAGTGCCAATAATACCTGTCACATAGGCTTAAAACGTCAATCATCTTTGCCTTTCTTCTCTTTTGGCCCCTACATGCCATCAGGGACCAAGCACTGTTCTCACTTTCACAATCTCTCTTTCTCATTTGTCTCTTTTCCAATTCCATTTCCTCTACTCCAATCCAGGTTTTTACTACCTCTTGCTTGACCTATTTAATTGCCTTCTAACTTGGCTCTCCATCTCCACTGTCAGTCTCCTGCAATCTGCTATACACTGCAGCTAGAGCAGTTGTCCTGATGGACATCAACCACTCATGTCCTTCTCACATTCAGAAATCTTTAAAGCTCCCTACCATCTACGAAAAGAATGTCAGTCTACTTAACCAAGTATTAAACGGCTTTCATGGGCTGGCCTACTTGCCACCAGTTTTCTTTTTTTTGTTTTTTATTTCAATCGTTTTTAGGGTACAGGTGGTTTTTGGTTACGTGGATAAGTCCTTCAGTGGTGATTTCCGGGATTTTGTTGCAGCCATCACCCAAGCAATGAACACTGTACCCAATATGTAGTCTTTTATGCCTCACCCCCATTTCACCCTTCCCCTCAAGTCCCCAAAGTCCATTAAATCATTCTTATGCCTTTGCATCCTCATAGCTTGGCTCCCACTTATAAGTGAGAACATACAATGTTTGGTTTTCCATTTCTGAGTTACTTCATTTAGAATAATGGCCTCCAGCTCCATCTAAGTTGCTGAAAAAGACATTATTTCGTTTTTTTTTATGGCTGAGTAGTATTCCATGGTGTATATATGCCCCATTTTCTTTATCCACTCTTTGGTTTGCAATCAATTTTCTAATCATTCTTAATAAATTCTGATATACTCAAAAGAGAAAGATCAACTTACAATAAAACTTGACTTAGTAAATAGCTTTCCCCTGGATGCAGCAGAGCAGTGGTTCTCAAACATTCGGATCCATCAGAATCACCTGGAGTGCTTGCTGATTGAGCGTGGGCTCCAGAAATTTCTGATTCACGAGGTCAGGAATGAAGTCTGAGACTTTCTGTTTCTAACAAGTTCCTAGGTGCTCCTGTTCCAAGGACCAATGGTATAGATGACAGCACCACAGAACCAAGAGTCTAGACTAGAACCCAACAGTCAATATTAATACCAAACACACCAAGAGCCCAGTACATACTATTCAGTAAGTAACTCAAGTAAATACAGTATACTAATGATCTTTTCTTGTCTTTCATGGTTTTTGATGTGACTGGAGACTATGTTTCCCTCATAACTATGAGCAGAGTCTAACAGTGAGTGTACTTACCTGCGCTTTGGGATATGTCATTCAGAATATCTCTAAGAATTGGTTTGGCTTAGGATCTCAATCATACAGGTAGAATATAGACGATAATGTCCCACTGACTTTTTTAACCCAAATTGGAAATAGCTCTACTTTTTCCAATTATTAAAGCAATGACTGTTCACCATTCAAATATTTCAGAATATATAAAAATAAAGTTAAAAATCTCCACTGTGTAATTTCATCCCCTTAATTCTTGAAGTTGGTATTAGTTTCACATTATTTTCTTTTTCTACACACAAAAGACAGACAAAAATGCAAAGACGTGGAATTATAAAAATGAGATCACATATTACATCCTATTTTATGAGTGTTTTTGTCCTCTGAAAATGTAATGGCATTTTTCCAGGTCCATACATGTAGACCCACCTTATCATTATTTAAAGTTATTTTAACATTTTTGGTAAGAGCAAATCATTTTTATTTATCTGTCCATTTCCTGGTGGACATTTAGGTGCATGGTTTTTGGATGTAATAAAAAATACTGCAATAAACATTTGTTTATATATGACTTTGTGTTTATAAAGAATTCGTGTTTTACAGAATTTAGTTTTTTAAAGAAACATCTTCCTCTATTATAGTTATTCGACTAAAATCAGGCTGAGGAAGTCCTTGCTTAAAAGTTAGAAACATTCTGTATTTTCGTATAGTAGTATGTGATTATTTCTATATTTAAGTTTCAGAGTAATGTGCTTTTGTTTGAAGTGGTATTGATCTAAGTATTAAAATAGACCATTTTTTCAGTATTTGCTGAGTTATCAATCCATATTACAATTCATTTTATATGACATTTAATATCCACTTAAATTTATAACTACGGTTTGTTCTATTTCTATTGATCCATCTACATCTGCATAAGTTTTTACTGACAGTACATTTTAAAATATTTTGGCTTTTACATTCATATTTATATCTAGTAAAGTCTCCCATTCCCTCTTCCAAAAGGCTCTGTTCACTCCCTACATTTCTCTACCCACTTTTTTCTCCAAATCAAATTTAGGTTCATTAAGTTCTGCCTTTATTCTAAGCAAAAAACAAAAACAGAAAAACTGTAAAGATTTTTACTTGAACTTCAGTAAACTTACAGATTAATGTGGGCACATGTGACATCCTTAGAATGACAGGACTTCCCATTTAGGAGGAGAGTGTGTTTACTTTTCAATCAAGCACTTGTTTATATCATATAGTGAATGGTACTATTTTTTCATGTAGGTCTTGATGATTTCCTAAGTTTCCTAAGTTTACTTCTAATTTTTTTGTATTTCTTTCTTCTGTGAATATAATATTATTCCTCTTTTTGTTGTTGTTGTTTTTTTGTTTTGAGACGGAGTCTTGGTGTGTCGCCCAGGCTGGAGTGCGGTGGCGCGATCTCGGCTCACTGCAAGCTCCGCCTCCCGGGTTCCCGCCATTCTCCCGCCTCAGCCTCCCGAGTAGCTGGGACTACAGGCGCCGCCACCACGCCCGGCTAATTTTTTGTATTTTTAGTAGAGACGGGGTTTCACCGTGTTAGCCAGGATGGTCTCGATCTCCTGACCTTGTGATCCTCCCGCCTCGGCCTCCCAAAGTGCTGGGATTACAGGCGTGAGCCACCGCGCCCGGCCTCCCTTACTTTTTTGATTCTTGCAAGTATTAGCTAATAACTAGTTTCATTTATCTTATCTCTCATCATGTAGTGAACTCATTAGTTCTAAAAGCTTTTAATTGTAAAAATTTATTGAAGAACCCATATACAATCTGAAAATAGTAATATTTGTCCTTTCCCATTATTTATTCTTAATTCTGTTTTCATTTTACCAACTATAATCTTCAGAGCATTGTTGACTAAGAGCATTGATAAAGAGTATTTGTTCTTTAACTTAAAACAGAAACAGTTTTACTGTTTACAGTGAATTGTTATATTCACTACTGTTTTTCATATCTTTCATAATAGCTTTAAAGTTTCTAGGCCGGGCGCGGTGGCTCACGCCTGTAATCCCAGCACTTTGGGAGGCGGAGGCGGGTGGATCACGAGGTCAGGAGATCGAGACCATCCTGGCTAGCAGGGTGAAACCCCGTCTCTACAAAAAAATCAGCCGGGCGTGGTGGCGGCGCCTGTAGTCCCAGCTACTCGGGAGGCTGAGGCAGGAGAATGGCGGGAACCCGGGAGGCGGAGCTTGCAGTGAGCCGAGATCGCGCCACCGCACTCCAGCCTGAGTGACAGAGCCAGACTCCGTCTCAAAAAAAAAAAGTTTATTTTATCATTCCTAATGTTCTAAAAATGTTACTGGGGAATGTCGATTTGATTTCATCAAAAGGCGTTAAACATCTTTCAAAATAGAGATGTGGAATTTATCTTTTCAATGTATTATAAATAATTATATTAATATACCTCTGAATACTGAACTCTTCTTGCATTTTTAGAACAAATATACTTGGTAAGTGTATATCATTCTTTTAACTTGATGATGCCTGCGATTCAATCATATTTACAAGAGTAATAATAAGGAAGCTGGTCTACAATTTTTAATGTTACTTCGTACAGCCTTTCTAAAATTTCACAATATATATTAGACTCTCAAAACATGAACTTTAAATAAGATAGAAAGTGTTCCCTATTACTTTTAGTTTTAAAATTCTGAAACATTTTAAATCACTTGGTAATGATTTGTCTCTTGAGCTTCAGCACTTAACTAGGAAGCCATCTGAATCTGTGTATTTTGCAGAACTGAGGGTAAATCTAAGACAATCTTTAATTTGCTTTATCTTGGCAATTCATTTAAGCAGGAAATTTTTCTTTTCGAAAAAACAAAGTGGTTCTTTCTTTTTCCAAGCAAATCACCAAATCTGCTTGCAAGTATTACATCCATAACAAGCACTACTGATTTTGAAAATGTATTACATACAAATGGTCCTATCTCCTTTAAATTTAATATCATACATTTATGAACTCATTTTTTTGAATCAGAAACAACAAAGCTTTGTTGATTTTACAAGTCTTTTCAAATATGGGGTATTTTTAATTCTATATATTTTATATGTAAACAAGTCATTAATTTCTACTTTTAAATAACTATTCACTTTTTATTAATTTATTTTGTTTTATAATGTCATTTTCTAGCCTCTCGAGTTAAATGTTTAGATTACTTAATTTCAATCTTTCATATTTAAGAATGATGCATTTACATTTTTAAAAATCTCTCTCAGTAAACATCTGACCACATATTAGAATCCTGAATAATTATTTTCTGTGACTTGTTTTAAAGATAGTTCATAGTATAATTGATTTCCACTTAAACCCAAAAGCCATTCACAAGTTTAATTTTAATTTCCAAGTAGCTCATATTTTTGGTCCTTGCTAATTTATAATTTTATTGCTCTTTAATTAGACAATATAACCTATAAGATTTTTAATATTTAATATTTGAAATTTTCTTTACATATATGATCAAATTTCATAAACATTCCAAAAACATTTTTGAAACAATATACAGTCTACATTTGTAGAGTATAACTTTCCAACCATGGAGGCAAGGTCTTACTCTGTCACCCAGGTCAGAGTGGGGTGCAATGGCCTCATCATAGCTTACTATAACCTTTAACTCCTGGACTCAAGCGATCCTCCTGGCTCAGCCTAGCTAGAACCATAGGCACACAACACCATGCCCAGCTAATGTTTTAAAATTTTTTGTAGAGATGGAGTCTTCCTATGTTGCTTGGTCTGTTGAACGCCTAGCCTCAAGTGATCCTTCTGCTTCAGGGATTACAGGCATAAGCCACCATGCCTGGTCTTGAAATAAATCTTAACTGAACTGTAATATTCAAACCAGGGGTTCTCAAACGAGGAAAGGGAAACATCATATACTATTAGAAGCCAAGTGGACATATTAAAATGGGCCAGGGTGAAAACAAAGAAGTATTTTGTTCGAATGTTTTCATTTACTTTTAGTCATCATATTTACTTTATTTTACAATTAAAATGTTATTAAATGACAAGGTAAAAAGCTTATGGTTATCAAAGCATTGGTATGAGCTTAATATTGTGGAAAATATTACATCATTTGTCTTGGATTTTTTTGACTAGTCCAATTCTGAGAGATGTATTAAAATTTCCCAGTCTGGTAATAGTTTTGTTAATTTCTTCTTGAATGTTTATGTTTCCAATTCATCATAATGTGTGTCCTTCAGTGCACAAAAGTTTGATGCTATTATACCTTGTTTAATGGTGGATTTTTTGGTAAAAATAGCCCTATGTGCCATCTAATTATTTATTATTTGAAGTGTATTGTAATAATGGTATTGTTACACGTTACCTTTTTATTTTTGGTTGTGGTTGTGATAGGAGGCTGTTATACTTTTCCACATCCATTCATTCCATGAGGTGGCAATCATTTTTGAACCATATGTCCAATCATGCCAAGAGCTGCAGATATAATAGTGAAAAACTTTCCAATTACTTTGTGCCATTTAAAAAAAAAGTCTTCTTTTAAACAGCATGGAATTGGTTTATCCTTCTTAAGCTAATGCAAAAATGTTTTGTAATTTAAGATTTAATTTACCTACTTTAATTGTAACTTGCATATATATTTTTAAATTTATTTTTATTACATCTATGTCTGATGTACACAACATAATATTTTGATATACATATACATAGTGAAATGATTACTACTATCAAACTACATTCTATCACTCATAGTTGTTTGTTTATATTTTCTCGTTTCTTTCTTCCAAATTTTTACTCTACTATCGAAGCTTTCTTTTTCTTATGTGTTATTTTGCATTCTCTAGCCATTAAGGAGCTATTCATCTTATTTGTATTTCACTGTTGGTAATCTTTAAATATATAAGCATATGTAAGTAATGTTTCTCCATCAATCTCAATGACTAAACGGTCTCTAAGAGCTCCCCCTTCAGGAACAAGGCTAGGCATTTACAAGCTTCTAAGTCTTCAGTGATTCCCTTACACTACACAGCATTCACAACATACACACAGCACCTAGATTCTCTTGAAATAAGCTAGAATTTACTTTCAGACAAAAATGATTGCATTTTTGTCCTTGCAGTTGAGGATCCTTTCTTAACCATTTCATTAATATTTCATAACTTACATTATCAATAATAATTTAATTGTAATATATTTTACTGAACTCATTACTCTCAGGTTACCAAATTTGGCTGTCAGGTGACTTGGAGAACTTATTAAAAATACAGACTACTGGGACCTATCTCAGGTTTACACTCTCATAATCTCTCACTTTGGACTCCAGGAATCAGCATTTAAAGTCTCCTTGGCAGAATTCCCTTGCTTGTTATCTTTTCACTTTTTGATAATAATTATTATCAAAAATAATAGATAATAACCAAAAAAAATCCTAACAGGTGTGAGATGAGATTTCATTGTGGTTTTGATTTGCGTTTCCCTGATGAATACTAATGTTGAGCAAGGATGTGGTGAAAACGAAGCCCTTAAACACTGTTGATGGGGATATAAATTGACATTATGCATTATAATGAATATACCATTATGCAAAACAGTAAAGATTCCTCAAAAAGTTAAAAATAGAACAGTCATATGACCCAGCAATTCCACTTCTGGGTATATATCCAAAAGAAATAAAATAGCTCTCTCGAAGAGACAGATGAACTTCCACGTTCATTACAGCATTATTCAAAATAGCCCTGATATTGAAGAAATTGTGGTACACCCATCACAATTGTGGTATATATAAAATATAGCATATAATATTAATAGTAATATAATATTCCACACAGCTGAACATTTTTCAGTCTTAAAAAAAATTCTGCCAGTTGCAACATCAATGAGCCTAGAGGACATTATTATGCAAAGTGAAGTAAGCCAGGCACAGAAAGAAAAATACTGCGTGATCTCACTTATATGTGGAATCCAAAAGAGTTGAACCCATAGAAACAGAAAATAGAATGGTGGTTACCAGGGGGCAGGTGTGGGGGTAACAGGGAGGTTTTGGTCAAAGGGCACAAACTTTGAATAATTTCTGGATACCTAATGAATGAATGATTTCTGGATACCTAATGTACAGCATGGTGAATATAGTTAGTAATAATGTATTGTATACTTGAAATTTACAAAGAGAGTACGTCTTAAGTATTCTCACCACAACAAAAAAAGGTAACTATGTGAGGTGATGAAGATGTTAACTAACTTGATTGTGGTAATCTTGTCACAATGTACACACATGTCAAAATAATCAAGTTGTATACCTTGAATGTAAACAATTTTTATTTTTCAATTATTCTTCAATAAAGCTGGGGAAAGAAAATCTCATTAGGTGGTTTTTGTTTTGTCTTTTTTTTTTTTTAAGATGCAGTCTTGCTCTTGTCACCCAGGCTGGAGTGCAATGGCGCGATCTCAGCTCACTGCAACCTCTGCCTCCTGGGTTCAAGCAATTCTCCTGCCTCAGCCTCTGGAGTAGCTGGGATTACAGGAGCCCGCCATCACACCCAGCTAATTTTTGTATTTTTAGTAGAGATGGGGTTTCACCATGTTGGCCAGGCTGGTCTCGACCTCCTGACCTCAGATGATCCACCTGCTTCAGCCTCCCAAAGTGCTGCGATTACAGGCGGGAGCCACCAGGCCTGGCCACCTTAGGTGATATTAATGCAATCTGCCCAGGGCCAGTCTTGTAGCAGCATTTGTGACCCATATATCT
This sequence comes from Homo sapiens, assembly GCF_000001405.40. NCBI lineage: Eukaryota > Metazoa > Chordata > Mammalia > Primates > Hominidae > Homo > Homo sapiens. The sequence continues at coordinate 2,164,972 of NC_000003.12, read as the reverse complement.
TGCACCCCTTCTCATATTGTGACCTATTTGTGATATATTTTGACTCATTTTCATTTTGGCTATAGTACATCCTTAAGTCTCCTCCTACTACCTCCTTTTGTTTTGTTTTGTTTTTTTTAAACAGTACATTTGCAGAATACTTTGAGTCCTTTCATGTATCAAAACGCACATTTTTCCGTCAAACATGAGCAAACTGTGTCTGGTGAGAGAATACTATGATTGCAACCCTTTTTACTCACAGTTCTGAAAGGAATGTTGCATTGTCCACTAGCATTTTCTGTGGCAGATGAGAAACTGGATAATAGTCAAATTCTCTTTTCCTTGAAGGTAACTAATTGTTTTTCTGTGTCAACTTTTGTATACATTTTCTCTTTACCTTGGAATTCAAAATTCCATCATGGTATGTCTAAAAGTTTTTATTTTCATTAATCTTCACCAGCTTGTAGTGAGGTCATTCAATGTGAAGGCTTGAAGAATTAGGTTTGGCTTAGAGGAAATGGTAATCTGTTAGTTCTCCTCCTTCCTCTCATCTGTTCTCTATTTCTAAAATTCCTATTATTAGTTATGAGATGAGCCCCAAGACCTATCCTATGTGCGTCATCCTCTCTCTTATAAAACCTCTTTTTTACTTACAGTTATGCGAATTTTCTCAGCCTTCCAGTTAATTAATTTGGTCAGTAGCATCCATTCTGATATTTACTATCTCTACTAAAGGGTATACTTTGTTGTTGTTTTTTTTTTCCTCAAGCAATCTCTCTTTCTTCTTTGTTTTAATTTTGCTTTCCTTTTTTTCTTTTTTATTTCAATAGTTGTGGGGGTACAGGTGGTTTCTTGTTACACAGATAGTTCTTTAGTGGTGATTTCTGGGATTTTGGTGCACTCATCACCCAAGCAGTGTACATTGTACCCAACATGTAGTCTTTTATCCCCCATCCACCTCCTACCCTTTCCCCTGAATCCCCAAAGTCCATTTTATCATTGTTATACCTTTGCAGCCTCACAGCTTAGCTCTCTCTTTTAGTTCCTTAAGGAATCTCCATACTGTTTTCCACAGTGGTTGTACTAGTTTACATTCTCACCAGCAGTGTAAAAGTGTTACCTTTTCACCACTTTCAGGCCAATATCTATTATTTTTTGACTTTTTAATAACAGTCATTTTGACTTGTGTGAGATTATATCTCGTTATGGTTTTATTTTGCATTTCCCTGATAACTAGTGATGTGAAGCATTTTTTCATATGTTTATTGGCTGTTTGTGTATCTCCATTTGTGAATTGTCTATTCATGTCCTTTGCCCACTTTTTGATGGGATTATTAGTTTTTTTTTTCTTGAGTTCCTTGCAGATTCTCGATATTTTAGTCCTTTGTCAGATGCATAGTTTGCAAATATTTTCTCCCATTCTGCGGGTTGTCTATTTACTTGCTGACTATTTCTTTTGCTGTGCAGAAGCTTTTTAGTTTAATTAGGTCTCATTTATTTATTTTGGTTTTTCTTACATTTGCTTTTGGGTCCTTAGTCATGAATTCTTTCCCTAAGCCAATATCTACAAGAGTTTTTCTGATGTATCTTCTAGAATTTCTATGGTTTCATGTCTTAGATTTAAGTCTTTGATGAATCTTGAGTTGATTTTTGTATAAGGTGAGAGATGAGGACACAGCTTCATTCTTCTACATGTGGCTTGCCAGTTTTCCCTGCACCATTTATTGAATAAGGTGTCTTTTCCTCACTTTATGCTTTTGTATGCTTTGTTGAAGATCAGTTGGCTATGAGTATTTGGCTTTATTTCTGGGTTCCCTATTCTGTTCCACTGGTTTACTTGGCTATTTTTATACCAGTACCATGCTGATTTGGTAACTATAGCCTTGTAGTATAATTTGAGACAGGGTCTTGTTTTGCTGCTCAGGCTGGGGTGCAGTGGCATGACCTTCGCTCACTGCAACTTCAGCCTCCTGGCTTCAAGCTAGCCTTCCACCTCAGCCTCCAGAGTAGCTGTGACTACACGTGTGCACTACCACACCCAGCTAATTTTTATATATTTTGTAGAGATGGGGTCTCCCTATGTTGCCCAGGCTGGTCACAAACTCCTGGACTCAAGCCACCCACCCGCCTCTGCCTCCCAAAGTGCTGGGACTACAGGCCTGAGCCACCACACCCAGCCCTGTTTTCTTATTGTTTCTTTTATTTGATAAATGTGATATCCTCCTGAGTAGTACAGGAAACTTCCATATCATTATTGTTCTCTCCTATATTCAACTTTAAATTTTCTCCAAACATTCGTGGTTATGGGCTTTGACAAGTAACATGGCCAGCAGAATGGCAACAGCATCTTTCTCCATTCCCTAAATTTGAATGACACATACTATTGAGTCAATAAACAGGTCAGAACAGCTCCCCCACATCTCTTTGCACAATGATAGCTCTGGAGACTCCTCAAGATTTGAGGTAGATGACTGGGGAGCCTTATGGGTTTTCCAGTTGTGGGACACAGTTTTCCCTCCTATATTATTTGATAGGTAGCTGGGAGAAATAAAGATCTCAAAAACAAAACTAAAACAAAACAAAACCTGCTTAAATTGCCACCATGGTCTTACCCCCAAATTTCTTGGCAATAACAGGATTCTGTTATCTTTTTAAAACATGCATGCATGTGCATATATGAGAACATTCATAAGAAATTATTTTTAGTAAATGAATAGAACTCTGAATAAAAACTATTTGATTCTGGATCAGATGGAAACCTCATGTTGATAAACAAAAATGAGTAATTCAAGTACAAACACAGTTGAAATCATAATGCGCTGAAATGAATATAATGCGTATAGGAAAACTACACTAAATTATGTGGTATTTTATTATCATTCACACCTACACTACATTTAGTTTGAAATCTGTATTCTCATTGAAAAAGAATAAAACTAAATTAAAAAATTTAAAGATACAATTTTAACAGACATAAGATCAATACCTTCTGTAAAATGGCAGTGGTTTTACCTTAATTTGGGGATGCAAACATTCTAATCAATCAATTTATGTCAAAGAACGGAGCAGATTATTCCAGGCTTCTTTTAAAAGAGATTAATTGAGTTGACCTAAGTAGTTTATCTGATTACTGTCGTGGAAGAACACTGTGCCCATCAAAACAGCAAGAAACAGGAATTCCTCAACTCTAACATACACAAACCTCACAATTCGTAACTTAACTATACTGGCTCCTAGTATTTGATGTTCTTACTACTTAACATATTTAAAGTATGTCTTCTGTCCTCATCGTACTTAGCGTTCTCTTTTCACCTCTCATTTCAATCGGTCTTTTTCCAGAACTCAGAACTCCTCCGTGCTTTATTTCACCAGGAAAAAAATATGATCATGGACCAGTCTTACTCCAACATTCATGATGACTGGAGTTCATGTCAAAAGTGGAGTCATTCTTGACATCTCTCTCTGCCTCCACTGACACACCAGTCACACACCAGGCTGGTTCCTTGTACCTCTTTGTATTTCTCAGATCTCTCTCCACCTCCACTGCCCCCACTCTATTACAAGCCACCCCGACCCCAAGCAGTTCTCTCTGCTTCCTCTACTTGTTCTTCATGAAGCACTAAAATTATCTTTATAAAAGATCTGGTGATGATATTTTTCTGTGTATAACCTTTCAATAACATTCCATTTATTTTCTTATAATGCAGCCCAGAAAACTTAACATGGCCTAAAAATTAATGTTTCAGCCCCTCCTTCCTTTCCACCCTTATCCTCCAGCATCCCCTTGCTTCAGCCACAATGACTTTCTATTCATCCCTAAAATTTCAATGACTTCTGCTTCCTGTACCTCCTCAGATACCATCCCTTCAAAATAAAAATAATTATACCTTAGGTCATGCCTAGCTAAGACCTACTTGTCCGAGAAGCCTCCATCTTTGACTCCCCTCTTTTACTCACTCATAGCACTTGGTACTCAACTTTAACCACTGAACACAACCATAAGTAAACAACAGTATGATTAGTTATTTAGCTTCTATTCTCCCAACTCCAAACATAAGCCCCAGGCAAGAGGGATTATACCTTCTTGTTCACCCTGTATCCTAGGGATCTAGTAGAGCTTTGTGTACAGAAGGAAGGTGTTCAATACATATTGATTGAATTTATGGACCAAATGTGACGAATGGAAATCAAGGGGAGCTGCAAACTTAATAATACGCACCGTATACATTCCTGAACCATCTGAGAAACAGTCAACAAATGACAACAGATGCCAAGCCCTTGCTGAGGAAGTTTAAGGGACCCTTTCTTTGGTTTGGAAACATTGCTAGAGCTGTGTGATGACACAAACATAGACAGGTGATCAGAGTGATGATTATGAGAGATGCAGCAATAACAGTAACAACTTACTGAGAGCTTACTAGGTGTTAGATGTCACGCAGTTGATGTGGAATCTATCACTTATTCCACATTATAAATAACAGTGAGCAATATGATAATCTTCATTTTAAAATTTTTGAAACTGAGGCTCAGAAAAGTTATTTGACTTGCCAGAAGTCATAGCAAGATAACTAATATAAGGCCATCCAGGACATGGAGTTTTGTCTGACTCTGGATCCTTATACCTCTTAACCAGGATACAAGACTCTCTCCTGATTTTGCCACCAGCTTATGTTTGACCTTGGCCAAGAGACCTCTCCTATTTAGTTCACAATTGCTTTTTCAGTAAAACGATGGTTTTAGTCCAGGTGACCGCCAACCTGCCTTCCACCTCCAGCATTCAAAAGAAAGCATATTTATAGAGTCATAAAAGGATCACAGTGAGACTGACATTCAATGATAAAAAATTTAAAATTATAATTTAGTAACATGTTCTTTCCAGTCTACTTTAGCTTTTCCATAAGCAAATTAGGAAACTATGCATTTAACTAGACTATTATCTCTCAAGCCATTTTATTAATACAGGCATAAGAAATTAGGAAGACAGAGAGGAAACACAAAGCAAAGAAAAAGAATTTGGGTGAGTTTTGGAGTCCAATAACAAGAAAAAAGAAATAGTCATTTTCTAATTTGCAAATTACATAACCAGCCAAAGCAGGTGGTCCAAGGTTAAACAGAAATGAGGGCAAGGTTTGTTAAAGGATTAAACTAAATGTTAAAAAAAAAAAAAGAGCTGTGTCAAATTGACCTTATTATTCAGATTAAAAAATGATTGTGGGACAAACATAATCCATTCAAACATAACTTTAAAAATAAAACTAGATGTGTTAACGGCTGCTTATATATCTCATATTCTATAAATCATCTGCAAAAAAAAATATGGCCCACCTCACACGGTAAGATGCTGCAATAGTCCTCAGGGAAAGCAGTGAAGGGGAATGCTCAAAATGCTTGACAGACAGATAATCCATTTAATATAAAATCTCCAGGGCAGGAAAATGAGATACCTTTCATGGCAACTGTCTCAAAGCCAAACTTCTGATGCCTTTTGTATCCTTTCCCAATGCTCAGAGACCCCTGCAATTCTTTTCCAATATTCAGGTTGAACTGGCTTTTGTGTCACCTTTTGAAAAGCTTGAAAAAGAACCCGATATAGGTCAGAGTAAGTAGATAATTTATGCCTAACAATTTTTTTTCTGTTTTGATATTGTTAAAATATTAAGAAAGTTCATAAGGAAGAGTTTGGGGCACAGATATTGTAAGCTTCAGGGATATGTTGGGGCTTATTATTTTCTTTTACAAATGCAAAAAATACTTAAGAGAGCAATGTGTTCATACTGAAAATGAAAATATTCTGGTCAAAAGTATACAGTATAATTCTGGAGCATCAATCTTACACAACTCTCTCTCAGATCAGATCCTGTATGGTGCTAAGAGAGTCAAGGTGCTCCAGGAAGAAGTTATAGGCCTGCTACAAGAGGTCTGACTTGTTCTGAGCCTTCATTTTCTCCCACTCGCTGCCTCTCGGGATTCCAACTTCATACACTAGACCTCAGAGACTGCAAACTGAAAGCCTGTGAGTCAAATCTGGCTCACAGGTATGTCCTGTCTAGCCCACCAACGATGCTTACACTGACTATGCTTTAAAAAGAATGTTGTATTTGTTGCCAACATTTTTAAAGCTGGAGATTTCACTCTTCCAAAAACAAAACAAACAAAACAAAAAAATGAAGAGTAACAGACTCCATGCTTTTCTGCAGAAATTGAAGATCTAGAAACAATGGGTTCTCTTTCCCAAATGACAAGAGTGAGTTAATGCTCACCAGCAGTGCGTGCTGCATGTTTTCTGGACTTTTTCTATGCAGGCTCAAAAACTCATCTATGCTGTAACTACTCTGATTCTCATATTAAGGAAACCTGCTGCTGTTTATGAATGCTGCCAATGTGGACATATTCACTTCCATGTATCAGTGAGGATTCACTCCATTTAGTCTACGTTCTTTTCAGATGTGGAAGAGCAAACAATAGGAGGACATCCGGCCCAACCATTTTCATCTAAGAGGTAAGCATTTACAATGGTTGTCTTTATTGCAGCAGCTGAATGTGTCCCCCATAATTCTTTTACCAGTGGTTGAGACCACAACCACATTCATATGGTAAGAAATTGTTAAATCAAAGCTTGTCTGTCTTAATTATTAATGAAATATATTTTATGAAACATTGGGTATGTTTGTACTGAAATAATGATGGACAAATAATGAGGGATGGTAGACTTTTAGAAACATATCTAAACTTCTTACATTAATACTTTTGGGGAAAAAATTCGCCCTTTGTAAGTCATTTGTCACAAGTTTCTTTTTTATTTCTGGAACATAAACTTTGATGTGTCACTTTGCCACCCTGTCCTAATTACCAGGGTTTAAAAGCCCCTTCAAGCATTCTCATTTCCCATATATGCAGTATATGCAAAATTAAAGAACATATGTATGAAATCCTGGAAGCTTCTATTAAATTGAATTCAAAAACTAGTCTTTGTAATTTAGGGTTTGAGGCTGAGGCTCCACTCTAATTTCATGACAAATGCAATTGTCCTTCCTAATTTGGGGTTCCTTTAATTGGTTTTGATAGATTTCTGAGAATGATTTTGTGTGTGTGCCAATTTATCCATGTTTCTTAAATGAAAACAATGATTTATTTGATAGCTATGTGTGAAAGATTATTAATTTCTAAGAAAATCCAAACAGAAAATTTTGAAGTCAGGAGCAACATCAAGATAAACTGAAAACATTCATTTGAAACTATAACTTAGTGATGAGAATTTGAAATTGGTATAAAGTGTAAAAGTTACATTTATTGAACACCTCCTCTAGGCCAGTATTGTTTTAGGGCATCTCATAGGACATTTTACTTGATTTTCACAAAAGCACATTTTTGTAGATGAGAAAACACATTCATATCTTAAATACCTTGTCCAAAGTCACCCAGATAGTAACAGTAAAGTGAGATTTTGAGCCCAAAAACTACTCCAAAGTTTTTTTCATTTTTTTCACTTTTATTTTCCTTTAACAGCTTAAGTCTCCATTGACTCCAGGAACTCCTTCCCTAAGCCAGATATCTTTTCCTCAGATTGTTCTGAATAATCCCATACACTTTTGCCAACTCTCTTCTCACTAACCCCGTAAACACATGTACACTGGACTTCCCCACCTGTCTCATTTCTCGTCGGAGTGCACACCTCCTCCCTCTACTTTCATATCGCATATCTTTAAAATCTTTCTCCTCTAAGAAGCCATCACTCATCAATCTCAACCCAGTCTCACATATTATCCACCAGGTCTTATGTAATCTCATTATATTAATGTGTGCTTATTTAATTTATTTTACTTTTAAATATCTTCTTCCATTTTTAAATGTGTAAGACAGAAATTTCAGAACAGGAACCAGAACTTCTCTTTTAGTGAAGATACATTTGACTCAATGACACACATATCTCACAATGAAATCTATTTGGTAAACCAACGAAACGGAAATGCAAGGAGGCAGGCAAAAAGGAAGAAGGTCATTAGGAAAACTGGAAGGAAGAGGTACAGACATGCAGATGAGAAATATTAATGACCCCAAAATGGTTGCCAGAGATAAAATAAGCATCCAAGAGGGTCAGACTTCCCTCTCCCCAAATAGCCAGGAATAGCCCTAGCAATCCATAGCTCTTAGTAATCTCATAAAGAGTGATCGGATCATGGTCTCTTAATACACATCATCCTTCTTCATGGTATCTTTCAACTGCAGAACTACCAAAACTGGGGCCAGAAGATTCACATATTCTTATCCTAACTCTGCCCAGAGTTAACGCTGTCTGTGATAAATGACTTGCCTTCTCTCTGCCTCCATTTCCTCATCTCCAAAACAAACATTTACCGAGGGTCTACAACGGATCTTACAGACTTATGCAAACAAATGCCTCTCCAAACCGGGCTTCATATACAGTTGTATTTCTTATTTTTCCGATTTATCTCTTGATGTCCCACATGCGTAATGGACAGGAAGTCCGCCGAGGACATCCACACCAGGGAGTGGACAGGAATCCGATCACTGCCATTGCTTACTGCTGCCACACGGTGGCGCTGCTTGAGGACGCTGCTGAGGAAGGCGCGGGACCATTGCTGCAATGAACTCTGCTGTATACAGGTTTATGCACAGACCCCACATGGCCTATGAAGCGCAATTTCTCTTCTGAATGCTAAGCTCATCGAAGACGCCCAGCACTTGGGCTTCCAAGGTTCCCATGGTTCCGTTTTTTGAATCCCACAAACAGCCACCTCCTAAGTCCCCAGCTGGTTATGGAAGCACTGAGGCAGGAACGGCTCTGGCACCTACCAGCTCTCCAAAACTTCATTTCTTTTCCCTCAAAGATACCAAGCATTTTTGCTCTTCACCCTGATTACACCCCCTTCTGAAGCAGTGAGGCCACTGGCCTGCCCTCAGGGGAAAACCTCATATAAATGATTCTAAGGGGAGTGATTCTGAAATCTCTTACTGGAGAAGAGAAAAAGCAACCCGAGCTAACCACCCCCTCATCTATGAAACAATTTATGAACTATGTTAAATATTTTGATGGAAAAGCAAAGGTGCTATGACAACACAGTCCAGGGAATCCTCCTGTAGGCTGGAGGGTCAAGAAGGTGGTGCTTTCTGAGGAAATGACATCTATTCTGAGATCTTAAGGATGAACAAGAATCATTTGGAGGTATTTCACGTAAAACGCACCACAGTTCAAAGACTCTGGTGCAGACAAGAGCTAGCTGTGTTGGAGGAAGCGAAGACCAATGTGGTTTCACAGTAGAGAGCACGGGGAGAGTGAGAAGATGAACCCAACTTGGAGGTCCAAATCTCATGGTGCTTGGATAGCATGGTCACCAAGACCCTTCCAGATCACTGTTTTAGGATTCAGTGCCCACTGGCGACATAGCTGAAACACCTAATTCACTTAAAACACTTAATTCACTTAAAAACAGTTTTCAGTCAAGTCAGGCAAAAGAAAAACAGCTGTGTTCGCAAAAGAAAAAGAGCTGTGTTCTGTAATACATAGATTGTTGTAGGTGCCCTCTGTTCTTATCCCCAATCTGCTGAGGAGCTGCTCCTGGGGGACTCCAATGTCTCCGATCTCACCAAAGTCACCTCCCAGGTACGGATAATCTGTGTTCACATGTCCTGTGGCACCAGGCGTCCCACACCCCTGTAAGAGACAGAGCCTCTGCAATCAGAAGGTAAGAGGTCAGGTAACTGAGTCAAATTTTCATTGCTGCACAGGAATTAATTAATGCAGGCAGGTAAGCACTGGAATAGAGAGAGACAGAGATGGGAAAATTAGGTTTAAAATTAGCTTTCTGAACATAATGAGAAGATTATGTGTAAGGTTTACTGTATTATGATCCCAAGCTTTTTCTGGAAACAAATCTTTCAGGGGAAAAATAGTTAAATTAAAATGGCAAGATGCCAAACTCTAGGACACAAAACACTTAACAAATTTTGAAAAGGTATCTGAAGGAGATGGATGATGGGAGAGGTTTTTTGTTACTGTCAGATTTAGGACACTGGTGTTTTTCTGCCATCTATCAAATCTATTTACCATGAGCAGCACTTTTTTCTCTGGGCAGGCCCATACAGATAGAGATTCTAGTGATTTCATTTCCTCCGTATTTCTGGCACTTTTGTGGATCACACAGAGGATGATTAAATGGCTTTTCTGTATTGTTTGTTAAATTCCACTCTTCCCACGAATTGGGAGTGGTTCCCATGGGAACCTCTGAACGTGGAATAAGAGCAAAACAGATCACAATCATTCAAGTCTCTACTGAAAGCACACTTGGCAAAATACTTTATTCACTATTTGTGTAAAACCAATTCTCTATACATATAAATCTGAGATCTAAGGAAGTAAAAGTCTGTTTTGCTGTTGTTGTTTAATCCCTATCCCAACTACAGATCATAGAACTTATTCCACTTTTTAAAAAAGTTATTTTGCACACAGACTCAGACAAGGATATTATGCCAGAAACCATCTCTAATGTCACTTGAGCGAAATACGCCAGTGTAGACTGAATGATCCAGGATGGAACAAAATATAATTTGGAAAGGAGAAAAATTACCATATCCACTTTTATTTTTTTTTTTTTTGAGACAGTGTCACTTTGTCACCCAGGCTGGAGTGCAGGCACGACTGGCTCACTGCAATCTCCACCTCCTGGGTTCAAGCAATTCTCCTGCCTCAGCTTCATGAGTAGCTGGGGATTACAGGCGCCCACCACCACATCCGGTTAATGTTTGTATTTTTTGTAGAGACGGGGTTTCACCATGTTGGCCATGCTGGTCTCGAACTCTTGACCTCAAGTGATCCTCCTGCCTTGGCCTCCTAAATTGCTGGGATTACAGGCGTCAGACACCATGCCTGGCCAGTCATATCCATTTTATCATAGACAACAGGAATTATTTAAAAAAATAACAGAATGTAAATTTTAATAAAGTAACCAATATATATTGCTTCAAACCAGTATGATTTATATAAGATAAGGTAGAGCTAAAGAGAAGTTACAAAACATAATTCTCATATACATTTGTGATTTTTCATTTGATCACAAACACTTTTTTAAGTTCCTTAAGCTAAAGATCCCACACTGCTGTCTACCTAATACCATTACCCCATGTGAAATTTACACATGACTTTCCACATTTCCAGGGCTACAGCTGAAGCCAACACACTCTCTCACCTAGGAAACAGAAATAGCCTTATAACTGTTCTGCTCCCTTTCACCCCACGCCATTCTCTATACAGCAGTCAGAGCAATATCTAAAAGACAAATAGGTCATTATTTAAACGCTTCAACTACCTCCCCGCTCAGAATAAAGTACACCCTTACCATGGTTTCGCGCTCCTTTTGTGAGGAGGCCATTGTTTCATTTCATTTCTGTCTCCTTCCCACAAACTCCTCAAAAAGTTACTTTGCTCTCTATCTCCAGTTGCTCTCCGCCTATATTCGTGTTTAAAATCACTCTAATCAGGCTTGCACCTCCAACACTCCCATAAAACTGTATTTATCAAAGTCAACAATTCTCCCCAGGTTACCACATCCAATGACCAATTCTTGGCAGTTGCCTTTGACATCATTTGTCACTTCCTCCTCCTAGATATTGTTTTCATCCATTTCATTTGTAGGGCATTTTCCTTCCTCCTCATGGGTTGCTCCTCTTCTTCCAGACATTGTAATGATGTAGTCATGCAATCTTCGGTCACCCTCTCTACTACATTCACTCCCATGGTGATCTCATTTGCCTTGAGGTTTTAAATACCATTGGTATGCCAATGACGCTTACATTTTTGTCTCCAACCAAGACTTCTTCTCAACTCCAGACTCCTATATCCAACTCCCTATTTCACTTCACTCCCTGGATTCTCTATTACTGAGCTATTGCCACAAAACTTCTGCATAACAGACCACCTCCAAACTCATTGGCTTACAACAGTAGCTATTAATTCTCTTGATTCTGTAGGGTCTGGTAATCTAAAGCAGGCTCCATGGGCAGCCCTCCTTCCAAATGTGGGATGAGCTGGGCTTAGCTGGGGTGGCTCTGTGTCACTTGCATTCACTTGGGGTCCAGGCTAAGAGGGCAACGTCTGCCCCAGGAAAGCTCTTCTCATGAAAATGACTGCATCACAAGAGGCTGAGCCCGATCTGGGAGTACATTTCCGTACCCTGCTTTTGTCTCACATCGACATGACCCACCGGCCAGAGCCAGTCGTACTGCCAAGCCTAACTCAGGAAGGCAGATACAGAACTACGCCCTGGGAACGGTGGGTGTCTCCTGCTTTACACAGCCACTCCTCACCTCATCCAATCCTGTTCCAGCACTAGTCTTTCCCATCTCAATCTTCTATTTTTTCAGGACAAAACACTTGGAGTCACATCCTGGATTCTTCTTTCTCTCATACTTCACTTCTGAAGCCTTCTAAATATATTCAGAATCTGACAAAGTCCCATCATCTCTACCACGGCCCTGTAAGAGCAACCAGAGTGTGGCTCATGGCTTATTCCATTATTCTGCTAACAAGTCACCCTGCTCCTAACTTTGCTCCACCCCTCCCCAGTCTAGACCCCAAAGCTACCTACCAGACGGCACCTCGTTTCAATCAAACGGAAGTCCTGACAGTGGTTTACAAAGACTGGCCTGATGCCACCTCTTATCACTTCTCTAACCTCTTCTCCGCCTCACTCATCTCACTCACTCTGTTCCAGTTACAGAGGCTTTCTTGAGGCACTTGGAACAAGCTGGGCCTACTGCTACCTTACGGCTTTTGTACTAGCTATTACCTGTGCCTGGTAATTCCTTCTCCCACATACCCATCTGACAAACTTGCCCCGTCTCCTTCAATACTTTGTTTAAATGCCACCTGCTCTATGAGACCTACCTTGACCTCAGTGTTTTACACTGTAGCCCACCTATTCCTGCACTCTTACCTCCCTGCATACAAACATTTTTTTAAAACACTGATCAGTTAATATTGTACATAATTTACTTAGAAAAAATCATGCATTATTGTCTTAGCCTGTTGCTGTTAACAAAATAAACTGAAACTGGGTAATTCATAAAGAAAAGAAATTTATTTCTTACAGTTATGAAGGCTGAGAAGTCCAAAATAAAGAAGCCACATCTGGTGAGGGCCTTCTTGCTGGTGGGGACTCTCAGCAGGGTCCCAAGGTGGCACAGGCTGTCACATGACTGAGTGTCCTAGCTCAGGTCTGTTTTCCTCTTCTTATAAAGCCACCAGTCCCACTTTCATGACAACTCATTAGTCCATTAGTCATTAATCCATTAATCCATGAGTGGATGAATCCATTCTTGAGGGCAGATCCCTCAGGGTCTAATCACCTCTTAAAGGCCCCAATTCTCAATTCTGCTACACTGGGGATTAAATTTCGACATGAGTTTTGGAGAGGACAACTATGCAAAACATTGCAAATATGTTGGCTGACGTATCCCAAGCACCTTGGATAGCACCTGGAACATAGAAGGCTACAGAAATGTGTTCAGTCATTTATTCCCTTTCTCAGCCAGACTGAGCTTGTTTTGGCCCCAGAGCCCTGGCCCATGCTGTTCCTTCTGCCTGGATACTTCTTTGTTCAGAGAGTCTCTTAGCTGCCTCCCTGTCAGCATTCAAATCTCTGTCCACATACCACTTCCTCATAGATGCTTCGCCCTTCTTGCCTCTTAGTCCCATTTTCCTATTCATCATTTTCTTCATCATATTTCCACATAGTCAAAAATATTTACTTGTTGGCCAGGCGAAGTGGCTCATGCCTGTAATCCCGGCACTTTGGGAGGCTGAGGTGGGCGGATCACTTGAGGTCAGGAGTTCCAGACCAGCCCGGCCAACATGGCAAAACCCCATCTCTACTAAAAATACAAAAATTAGCTGTCTAAAAAAATGTATTACTTGCTTACTAGCTATTGTCTTTCTTCTCCTGTGGGGTCCATGAGAACAAAGAATTTGTCCATTTTGCTCATCCCTGTATCCTCAACTTACTTACGATAGTTCCCGGTGGACCAGTAGGAACTCAAAAAGTATCTTCTAAATAAATAAACATCCTCCCCCAAAGAGGAAGCCAACAAATTTTGTCCTCTTAATGTGTAAGAAAAATGGTAATTGCATTGAAGGGAGGGCAAGCTTTAAGAAATTAAACAGAGGGAACATGAGTTTTGTGGTTAAACAGAATGTTCTCCAGTTCAGTCATCCTTAAAAGCTGCAGGAGAGTGCCCTGCTCTTCCAAGATAACATGCTTGAGAATGACTTTAAGAGTAAAACCAAGAAAAATAATCTTCTGGTGCTCATTTTAGGTTGACTAATTTCCTCAATAAGAAAACATGCATAAAATGAACAAGCAAGTTATCTGATGTTTCAAATGATTAAGTGCAAGCTGAGATAGCTTTGAAGTAGCTGCTACAGAATCCCCAGGGGAGGATCTGTAGACAAATAACCAGCTTGTCCCGTAGAAATAGATTTCTCCAACAAGGGGGAAGAAAATAGAAAAACATATGTCCTACAACTGGGTGAAGATACTTATAGTTTCAAATATCCAAAAAAATTGCAAGGAAAAAAAGAGATATTAATTTTCCAAGAATGTGCAGAAGTCTACGTTAAGAAATAAGTTGCTTTAGGATATATTACAATTAATAAACAACTAATATTTAGCTGACTTTTTTTTACTTATTAAAAACACTGTTATAGATGCTTTATATGGATTTAACAGTGTTCTATGAACTAAATGATCTATCCCTATATTAGAAATGATGAAACAGAGGCAGAAATAGTTTAGGCAACTTTGCTCTAGAGCATATGCTCTTAACCTCTGTGGTAAATGCTTCTTAAAGGATAACATCAGTTTACTGAATGCTCACAATGTGTCAAGTATGGTGCTAAGCATCTTGTAGAATATTAGATTTTAAATGTATATGAATAAAACTAATCATTACATTTAAACTCTAACCTTGCATATATTCAGCTTACTTGATATAATACAGAAAAAAAAAAAAAAGCTATGCCCACCCCATTCCCTGTTGAATTTGCATTAAAACGCAAAGGTCTGCCTGACAACCTTTTTGGTTATTTCACCAGCATTGGTCAGGCCTCTGGTTATGTTGTCAGTATGAGGAAGTGAAAATACACAAGTCAACTACACAACCTGCAACTACACAACCTGTAGTTGCACAACCTACAACTATACAACCTGGTTATTTCCTTTATACTAAACATTAAATTAATTTTATATTACAGGGAAAAGTCATTGCATCAAATTATATAAATGTAAACATTACTATTCTTAAAAACCACAAGCTTCATAGTATTTATAAATACAGATTAAAAAATTAGACATGACCTAGAGTAGTATCTACATAGCATGCTGTTTTAAGAACATCAAATAGTGTTACAGAATGTCAAGCAATATTTCCTGTGGCCTGAGGGAATGCAATTTTCTAACTATGAAGGTCTCCATCTTCAGCATATAAACCTGAAGGTGCTTTTAGGGGACAGCAGTAAAAATGTGAGCTAGTGGGGCCTCTGAAGTATGCATTCATCTCAAATTGGTAATTTATGGTCAGTAACATATTTCTCAACGTATCCCTCTACAGACTAAAAGTTGCCATTGAACTTACCCTCATATAAATGTGCTCCGCATGAAAACAGACAAATGGAAGTGTGTACCCCTTAGAACAAAATAAAAACCACTGCGTATGGTCACGGGATTTCTACAATATTAGCAGTCTTTGCACTACTCCACTACTTGGCCAAATCTGAAGGCCACCAGAAGGCAGACGGAGCATTTCTGAAATGATGTAATAACCTAATAGCTGACCCAAAAGCTTCACACACTGGGAAATTTGCCTGATTCACTGATATCACACACATACACAAAAACTCTTAGAATCAACAAAATATATAAAACTCGATACAATTAAAGAAAGTTTATAATACTTCAGTGTTTGAAATTGCAGTAAGAGAATAGATTTACTCCTTAGACACCACCCCCCCAACACACACACACACACACACACACACACAGTCACGGTAGTAAGGGGATGTAATGTTCAATTGACATCCAAAGGTAATTCCGCTAAATGTTAAAAAGTATTAAATATACATTTCACAGGAAATTACATTTATCCTTGACTTTTGCTTGTCTCTGATCCACATTATTAACACATCATAATACAATATAAATGCCACATATTGGAACTGTCCCAAGGCATCTAGTTACATGGAAGGAGGGACGCATTAACATTCACCGACTCATTTAATTTCGTCATCTGATAATTATTAAGTCCATTTATCAAGCCTCATAAGATTTACACAAACTGGGTAATTTTACCCTACTGTCACTGCCCAAGAAACAGTGTATATTTAAAACCAGAAGTTAGAAAATTACAGTTAGACCTACTAATATTTTTTTCTTTTCTTTTCTTTTTTTTTTTGAGACAGGGGCTCGCTCTGTCACCCAGGCTGAAGTGCAGTGGTGCAATCTCAGCTCACTGCAACCTGTGTCTTCTGAGCTCAAGTGATTTCTACCCCGGCCATCTGAGTAGCTGGGACTACAGGCACACACCACCAAGGCTAATTTTTTTTTTTTATTTTCTGTAGAGACAGGGTACCCCTATAATGCCCAGGCTACTCTCAAACTCCTGGGCTCAAGCGACCCTCTCACCTAGGCCTCCCAAAGTGCTGAGATTATGGGAGGGAGCCACTGCGCCCGGCCTTGCTGTTTTTCTGAATAATCTTATCTCAATGTGTCCAACTTCCACAGCCCAAGAAGCAGCATATGTTTAAGGTGAAATCTGCAGAATTGCAATTAGTCCTACTACTATTTTCTGAATTATCATTAGCGATAAAGTCCCACAACCAATCAACCATATGGGAGCCATGAAATCATTCCAACTTGAGACACACTATCATGCCTTAAGAAGAAAAAAGGCACTAGGAGCCAGCTTCAGAGAAATCAACATCAATAGAAGTAGTGTGGGAGTGAAAGAGAATCAATTAGAAGAGTCACGATGAAACAGACAAGGAATTTGAAAACAGGAGTGGAGTTTTTAATGAGGACAGATGGACCAGGAGAAAAGACTTCTAGGTAGAGGATACAACATAAGCAAATACACAGAGCCTGGAAATTGTGAGATCCATTTGGAAAAAGACAGGCCATCTTGTCTGATCAAAGCAGTAAGTATGAAATACAGAGAGGACACTGAAAGGAAGCACATCTCCAAAGGTAGACTAGAATTGTGTCATAAAGGCCTCAATTCAGGCTGAGGAGCCTGTGACTAATATGAAAGATAATGGTGAGCCAGTGAAGCCTGTTGAGATGGGAAATAATGGGATTGAAGCACTGACTGAGAAAGACCTCACTGGCATCTCTACAAAAAATGGGCAAGGAAGGTTAAAGAGTGGAGGACGGGAAAGAGGGGGAAATATGTGTTGGAAGATGTTACAATAGGTGGTCATAAAAAATAATTAACAAATAAAAGTCATTTCCATTGATGATACATAAAAATTAACGAGCCCCTAGCTTCTGGTCTGGCTTCCAGAGTACTTAATGTTGGTCTGTTAAAATTACTGCAAATTTTTTTTTTTGCTATTTTTAATTTGTTTTTATTTTTTAGTCCAAGATATGAAGAACACACATAGTTAAAATCAGAAATAGCAAGAAAATCCAAACTAAAGGGCTGGAATGCTCCTCTGATGCATGCTGAGGGTAGAAAAATAATAACAATTAAAAAATAAAGTGCTGGAATGCTTAAACAGTTCGACATTTTCTATAATACTATGGAATGAGGCCAGGCACAGTGGCTCACTCCTATAATCCCAGCACTTTGGGAGGCCAAGGTGGGTGGATCACGAGGTCAAGAGATCAAGACCATCCTGGCCAATATGATGAAACCCCATCTCTACTAAAAATACAAAAATTAGCTGGGCATGGTGGTGAGTGCCTATAGTTCCAGCTACTCGGGAGGCTGAGGCAGGAGAATCGCTTGAACCCAGGAGGCAGAGGTTGCAATGAGCCAAGATCACGACTGCACTCCAGCCTGGGCGACAGAGTGAGCCTCCGTCTCAAAAAAACAAAACAAAACAACAACAAAAAACTATGGAATGAAGTGTGAGCTCTAAAGACAAAAGAAACTGATATTTACTAATTATCTACTAGGTACCAGGCTTTACAACTCCCCTGAGAAGTACTGATAATCACCATTTTATAGGTAAGGTGACATATAACTGACACATATCAGGGTAGGGACCAGACCTCTCTGTCTGAAGAGTCATATCATCTTTCTTTCCCACCACACTACATTTGAACAAATGATAAACTGCAGGCTACAACCATTAGGGAGTTATGAAATCAATACTGTGAGTCATGACCAGTATCTATTTTACAATGGGATAAAATGTAAAATATCAAGTGAGCACTGATTATAATAAGGGTAACTAATATTTTATGAAGTATCAATTTCATATATATGTGTTTATATGTGTGCATTTACTGGAACAATATAAAATGTATTTCTTATTTTAGATAATAGCAAAATAAATTGGAAAGCTACTACATAGATACTATATGCATAGATATTACTATAGATAGTAATATCTATCTACAACATAGAGATATTACTCAGGTTACCTTTAGAAATAAATTTTACTCTAATCAAAAATACTTCAATTTGTAGTAGCTAAAAAAAAAAATATTAACAGCAGTTACTCTAGGTTTAGCATATGATGACTGAATTAATAGAAGTCAATTAAATTATTCACTAAAACTACAGTAAATAAAAGTCAATAATTAACATCAATAGAAGTCTTAGGTTCTCATATAGCCCTCAAATATAGATAAAAAATATCATTTATTTTAAAAATAAAATAAATTGAAATAATGTAGCAATTTTACCTGTTTTCCAAATGATTTCTAAATTTATGTAACTATTTTCTTAAAATGGTTAATTATCAATTCTCAGATAAAAGTATTAAAGATTAAAAAACAAAACTAATGCCAACTTCATTTAAAAAAAAAAAACTAAGAATGATTCCAGTGTAGTAATTACAGCATCCTGAGTTTGTTTTCTAGTCTATTATGCTAGCCCATATGACCTTTGTCAAATTACTTAAGCCTTCTAATCCCCAAATATTCTCATATTAAAAGTGGGAATAATAATAACATATTTCATAAGGTAGATAAGGAGAAACCCTACGTAAAGTGCTGGGCAAGATTGCCAAGCTCTTAGAAAATGTTCAACAAATAGGATTGAAATTTCATTTCATGTATAATGCTTGGCATGATTAATTTATGCCAAAAGCCAATTGTCACTGCCAGTAAATTTCATAATTAAACTGAATGTGAGGTGGAATCATAAAAGCTAAAGTTCTGAGGATATTTCATCTTATTCCTGATTTTTCCCAATCTGCCGGTCCTTTCCTATCTGTCTTCTTGCTCTCTGTGAACTTAAAAAAATTAAAAGCTCGATCTCACCTTGCCACACTATTATGTTTTATATGATTATTTCCAAGCCTCTTACTAGCAAAGCCTTGAATCTCAGTCCTGAAGGATTAGTGGTAGCACAGGGAGTGGAGAGAGATGCAATGTGACAAGGCCAGAGTTGCTAGGCCTGCAACATGACCAACTGTAGCTTATAATTCCCTAAATGGGTTCAGATCACTGTGGTATGATAAATGTGTGGACTGCTTTATAAAGAATCATTTAACAGTGATTTATTTCTGGGGGGGAACCAAATGCCACCAGAACTAATTTGATGAAGTGACAAGAGAACACAGACTTTAGTTGTGGGTCACAAACTCTCTTCATCTTTCTGCTACTATATTTCCAAATGAGCAAAGGAATTGTGAAGTTGAAAACCACTCTCTTTCATAAGAGAAAATTATGAATAAGAAGCCCAGAGCACCAGAGATAACCTCCACCTGAACATCTACTCTGTTGAGACCACCTCCCTCCAAAATTGTTTTCATCAGCAGTGCTTTCCTAGGGGAGCGAAAATGATGTATATCATGGTACAAAACCCTTATTGTGGTAACTGATCTGATCTTCCCTGCTCGTGTATTCCTGTTTATGTAAGTACAATAAATCCAATATGAACAGGACAGCTTCGATGTTGAGAAATCCCTCCTGAGAAATTCTGGGCAGATTTTTCTCTTAAGAAGCTTAGAGCTGATATGGCTTTGACAGATACAATTCCAATATTTAATTTAATTCAATAAACTTAATTGATGACTTGCTATGTGCTGGGCACTGGTTTATATTTGAGTTCTCAATTCCAGGTTTAAGAATCATTATTAACATTAGGATGTGGGGTCAGAGGGATGAGTATAATACAAGTCATATCCTCGGTAATCCGTGTCATTGTGTAGGCAGAGTTGAATTAACTACTATAGTTAGGCAAGGGTCACATGTAACCCTCTCAATGATCCTTTGCCACCCATCCCTGAACCCCTTGATCTGTGTGTCCAGCCAAGGTTGATGATTCTTCCACAATAAGAACAATTCTTCACTCTAGTGCTTGTCTTTCTCTTTTAGAAACTCTATGAAAATCCCGTAAGGTAGAACCAACAAAGTCTAAAACACTATCAGTGGGAGTGATTTATCATGGCAACTGTCGACTTAAAACTTTCAAGTAAAGAAACGCTTGTTTTACTGACCTACAAGTAGGAGAATAATTTCAAGGCTGGAAGCTAGAACCTTCAGAATCCAGAAAAATCCCCAGGCCTGATATGTAAGCTGTAGCCAAAGAAACAGATCACAGGCCACACTAAAATTGTGAACTTCATGGCAATTGCTCCAGTCCCACCTGCTCCAGATACCTAAATCATGAAGGCTTACTAGGTAGGTATGCTTACCTCCTACACCCTCTATTTCTTTCTCACCTGCAGAAGAAAGGGATGGAGCTTTGCTCATGTCTAATTCTACTTCATCTTCTTAGTTCAAAATATTGCTGTAAACCCAGAAAGGAGGCTCAGAATCTTTACTTCCCCTCTCACTATTTGCTGTTACAGTTCAAGTATGTGTATCTGAGTAGCCCTAAAAAGTAACCAAAATATTATGGTAAATCAATTTCACCAAACTTGTGTTAGCCATTAAAATTAGTCATGGATACCTTTAATTAGCATCTTACCTTTAATGGCTCATGGCAATGTAGGAACTCAGGCCCTGGAGGACACAGCACAGCAATTTGATTACTGATTCTGCACTTGTAACAACATAATCCTGGGCAATCATTTAACTCTAAACTCAATTTCTTCATCTACAAATCAGAGATAATAATAACTCATATGTTTGTAAATAAAGAACAGGGTGCAATGCCTAGCACACAACATGCATTTAACAAATATTTATCATTGATAAATTAGTAGAATGGTATAATAAGAGGAGCAAGAATTTAGACATTGATGATCTAGGCTCAAAATTACAATCTGCTGGTGATTCTCTGAGCCTAAGATTCTTTATGTCTAAATCGAGAATAGTATCACCTCCTTCTCAGGAGAATAATAATGTGATTAATTATTAATTATCTAAGGAGAATATGAATCTGATAATATTCTTAGTTGTTGTGAAAATTAAACAAGAAAATGAGCATTATTGAACCTAACACAGTTTTGGCACACAGCTTATGTAAAATCAGATTGACAAACTTTGGTTTAACTTCATTAGCCACCAGAATATTTGTGAAGGTAACTGCAAACCAAATGCACAAATAGAATAAGACAACCTGAACTATTTTATTAATTGATCTGGTCATGGTTAATTCTAAGTAACAAAGAAAATGGGAAACGTAAAACAGAAAAAAATCCAGTCTATAAAATGAACATGAACCCCAAATCATGAAATGGTCAGCAAGGCTGCACGGCAGTACAGTGAACCATCCAGAGGCAGTGAACGTGGTGCTCCCAGTGACCTTGAGAAAAATCGCTTACGTAATGAAGGCTCAAAGCATGACATACGTTTGAATCCAGTTAAGAGAGAAATAGAGGTTAAGGCCATAGAGCACTCATTTTGCTCCTTCAGAGGAGAGTAGAAGTAAAGTACACTGTCATTGCCTGGCAATTGCAAAAAATAGAGGCAGCCTATTTACAATCTTTGAAAGTTACGTGGAAATTCACTCCTTAATTCTCTCTCAAGATCTCACATTATATGCCTGAAAGCAGCCGTAGTTTCTATGAAGTCCTTCTCCTTCTCTGCTTCTTTCTTCTCCTCCTCCAGCCCCCTCTCCTCCTAATTTTTGTTCTTCTATCATTTGCAGAGGCAGCTGTAGTAGTTTGTTAACTGGTAATGGAGGGGAAGATTAAAAAGGGAGTGAAAAATGAAAGCATATCAGCCAGGCACAGTGGCTTGCGCCTCTAATCCCAGCAGTTTGGGAGGCCGAGGCGGGCAGATCACTTGCAGTCAGGACGTCGAGACCAGCCCATCTCTACTAAAAATACAAAATTAGCCAGGCATGATGGCGGGCACCTGTAATCCCAGCTATTGGGGAGGCTGAGGCAGGAGAATCTCTTGAACCTGGGAGGTGAGGTTGCAGTGAGCTGAGATCATGCCATTGCACTCCAGCCTGGGCGACAGAATGAGATGCCATCTTTAAAAAAAAAAGAAAGAAAAAAAAAGGAAAGAAAGAATATCAAAAAGTCAGGAGAGCAGACAAAGTCTCTAGCTCTAAAAACAAAACCAGAAAGCTGGTATATTTTGGAGAAATTATGAAATATTTTACAAAAAGATATCATTTGTGCCAGTCATATGTAGAAACAGATGCTTCCACAAATATTGGAAAAAAATATAAGCACCCACACTGTTTACATCCTTTACTTCCTTCTTTGGCTGTATGACCAATCGAAATAGCCCCATGCTAAACCAAAGCAGTGTCCATCACATTTACATGTGGACAGTTAATATGCCTACGACAGAAATCATTAACGTGTCAAAAAATGAATGTGAGATGCATCAGGATGAAGAAATACATAATGATGGTAGTGAGGTCTAATGACCAGCAGCTTTGGATTTATAGAACCACCCTCAGTTTCTGATTAAGCCACTAATTTTTGGTGGTTTAGAGCATTTCAATCTTTATTACTGAAGATGGATTCATAAAATGGATGCAACTGTCAAAAGGTTTAAACATTTTGGAGGCAATCATAAGAACGCCAATTAAAAAGTATTTCATAGTGAGAATTCATCTGCCTGAACACCAGTATGGGGTAATTCTGCTTGTAGTAAACCTGAGAACAGTGAAAGTGTGATTATGTAGTTATCAGTTTGACACTCAGGGAGCTATATGATTTTAGAATATGAGTTAAAGATTAATCTCAAAAGGCTCAGTGAACTTTCTATGGTTTCTTCCACTTTATAGCTGTATTCATTTCCTACTACTGATGTGACAAATTGCCACAAATGTAGTAATTTAAAGCAATATACATTTACTATCTTACAGTTCTGGAAATCAGAAGTCTAAAATGGGTCTCACTGGGCTACAATTAAGACTGGGCAGGGCTTCCTTCCTGTTCCTTTTGGAGGGTCTATCAGAGAGTCTGTTTTCTTGGCTTTTCCAGTTTCTAGGGACTGACCTTGATCCTTGGCTTATGGTCCTCTTTCATCTTCAAAGCCAGCAATCACATAATCACAACTCCTGCCCCTCTCTTTCATTTACAAGTACACTTATAAAATATTAGGTCCACTAGGATAATCCAGAATTTTTTCCTCATTTTAAGATCCTTACCTTCATCATATTGGCAGAGTCCCTTTTGCCATGTGAGGTAGCATATTCAGAGGTTCTAGAGATTAGGACACTGGCATCTTTGGGGCAGGGCCAGCATTCTGCCTATCACAATACCCTGCAATGACAACATTGTAGAAATGCTAAGGTGCTCTTCATTTTGGGAATTGTTTCTCCAGCTCCCCCAGCAACTGATATTCCAGCTGAAGAACAGGAGTAAGTAATATCTCATTTGAAAGTTTCACATAACCTGTAACTTTGAAGACTGTATGCTGAGTGTGGTCAGGCTGGCAGATTATAAAACAGGATCTTTAAAGAAAAGAAGCTGGAACTCTTGACACAATCAAAAGATGTTCCGACACAATGAAACAGTCAACTCATACACATATCAAAGACCTGGACATACAGAAGTAGAGATCACATGAACAAGCAGTTCAGGGAATAAAAGGAAGAATTTTTCTGAGTGCAAAATATAAATTTTGAGGCATACACCAGCTTTGTACCAAAAAAGGAGCCATGCTTTTACATATACCTAGTTCTTAATTGGCCTATGCTATGGTCTGAATGTTTATGTTCCCCCAAAATTCATATCTTGAAATCCTAATACCCAAGGTGATGCTATTAGGAGTTGGGGCTTTGGGGGAGGTAATTAGGACATGAATGGGGTTAGCGCCCTTATAAAAGAGGCTGCAGAGAGCTCTGTTACCTCCTATACCCATGTGAGAACATAGCAAGAAGGCCCATCTATGAACCAGGAAGTGGGCCCTCACCAAAAGTGTCTGAGGTTGCCGTGATCTTGGACTTCCAAGACCCTAGAATTGTAAGAAATAAATTTCTGTTGTTTAGGAGCTACCCAGAAAATGGTAACTTGTTATAGCAGCCTGAATGAACTAAGACAGTCTGATCTGGGCAACAGAGGCACTTATCTTCTGTTAATCATATAAAATGAAAGCTCTGTTTTCTCATCAATCCATAAATAAGGATTTTAAGGGGTACATTATTTCAGGTGGTGTATTAGTCTGTTCTCACACTGCTAATAAAGACATACCTGAGGCTGGGTAATTTATAAAGAAAAAGAGGTTTAATGGACTCTCAGTTCCACATGGCTGGGGAGTCCTCACAAGCATGGTGGAAGGCAAAGGAGAAGCAAAGGCACATCTTACATGGCGGCAGGCAAGAGGGCTTGTGCAGGGGAACTCCTCTTTATAAAGCCATCAGATCCTGTGAGACGCATTTGCTATGACAAGAACGGCACAGTAAAGACCTGTGTCCATGATTCAATCACCTCCCACTGGGTGCCCCCCATGACAGGTGGGAATTATAGGGATTACAATTCAAGATTAAATTTGGGTGGGTACACAGACAAACCGTATCAGGTGGGTTTTGTGGATTGGTAGGAAAAGATGCACACATCTGTGATAGGTTGCTGACTGATTTAGACAACAAAACACATCAGAAGCAGAGTGGCTACACTGAGGAAGAGTGTGCACTGTGCACACTGGCATAGTTTTTCCCAGGCCCTTGGTTCTGGAAACATCCAGCTGGTGTGACACTCCCCAACCAAGCAGTCTTGCAAGAATGCCCTTCAACTCAAGTTGCCATCAGGCTCACATTAGAATTTCAGTGATAATCTATGTCTACCACTCCCAAGCTATGCTCAACTGTCAGGATAGCTCGAGGTAGTTGGCAGTTTCAATATTTGATTGCATTACATTCCTTTTCATTATGTTATATCTTTGCAAAGCTGGGTTCATAGCCATTGCTGTAATAAAATGTGCGTCATGAAAATCAATGTGGATGGGAATCAGGTAGCAGTGTCCAATCTAATTCCAATGTATGTGAAGTCATTCTGTGCCCAACAGGAGGATATATCCCATTAGTAAGCAATAGTGGTTATTTAAGAAAAAAATATTTTATTTCAATTTGTGTGTTTTTTCAAATGATATATATGTTTTTCAAATTACGTTAGTACATAAATTCTTATTCATTTGTTTCAACCTACCTACCTAATGAATAAAACTACTTAATGTTGAGTATTTTCTTTGGCCTAGGGGTATGATGAAAACATTACAAATATACTAAGGGGACTACAAACCAGGATCTACGCTCTGCCATTTAAAGGAATATTTATAAACACTGGCTCTCCTGATTCATTAAGCAAACCCAGTACTCAGAAGGCCACATGCTCCCCCATTTGTTAGAGGAAAAAAGATGCACTACCCAAGTGCCCTGGAAAAAATCTTTTTCCTGCTTTCCTGAAAATCCACTCCCCATAAAACCATACACATACAAACTGTCTTTGCTTTGGCTACTCTATTAGTCAGAGCTCTCCAGAGAAAGAAAACCCATAGGCGATATATCCAGATAACTAGATGGATAGATAGGCAGAGAGAGAGAGAGAGAAGAAAATTTATTACAAAGAATTGGCTCATATGATTATGGAGACTGAGAAGTTCCAAAATCTGCCATCTATAAGCTGGAGATCCAGAGAAGAGCTAATGGTGTAATTCCAGTTCAAGTCTGAAGGCCTGATAACCAGGAAATGGTATAAATACCAGTTCCAGGGCAGGAGAGGACCAATGTCCCAGCTCAACCAGCAGGCAGGAAGAGAAAGGGACAAATTCTTAATTTTTCCCCTTCGGTATTTTTGTTCTATTCATGCCCTCAGTGAATTGGATGATGACCACTCACAATCTGCTTTACTAAGTCCATTTATTCTAGTGGTGATCTCAACCTAACACACCTTCACAGAAACACCCAGAAACAATGTTTTATCCAGGCACCCCATGATACAGTCAAGTTGACCTAAAATTAGCCATGTCAGCTGCCAAGCATCTGAAACTTCTTCCTGTTTTTAGATACCCCCCACTATAAGAAGACATACTGGGGCTGGGCACGGTAGCTCACACCTGTAATCCCGGCACTTTGGGAGGCCAAGGCAGGTGGATCACTTGAGGTCAGGAGTTCAAGACCAGCCTGGCCAACATGGTGAAACCCCGTCCCTAGTAAAAAAACACAAAAATTAGCCAGGCGTGATGGCGGGCGCCTGTAGTCCCAGTAACTAGGGAGCTGAGGCAGGAGAATCACTTGAACCCGGGAAGTGGAGGTTGCAGTGAGCTGAGATCGTGCCACTGCACTTCAGCCTGAGCAACAGAGCGAGACTCCGTCTCGAAAAAAAAAAAAAAAAAGAAGAAGAAGAATATTGGGAGGTGATCACATTCCAGCTAGAAGCTGAAAGAGCCGACTACTTACTTTCCCAGCCTCTTTGCAGCTTGGTTACCAATGGCTGATACATGCTCAGCCAATGAGATGCACTGTCCCCAGGGCTCTGAATTCGGATCCAAGGAAGCAGATATTAAGGAGCAGTGTTTACATAGTGGCAACACAGGCAGTTGCAACACTCAGATGCAGTAGGGGTGGGGTAGGGCGTTCACAACACTACTCCCTTGCCTGCCTGGCCCGCTTTGGCTTTGTCCTTTTCATCTTCCAAGACTGACTGCCCTATCTCCCTTCTGGACTCAAAATCTTTCGAAAAATTCATTTCTTCCTGCTTAAATCATCTGCAGCACTTTTCTGTCACTTGTGAAAAAGCCATGATGTGCATAGCTCCCAAAATGCAATCTTTTTTCTACACAAGGTTCATAAACTTTCCAATGTGATAAAGTTACATACAATAACTCACAAATATAACTTAAGCAAGTGAATCGCCTGCAGGCAATACAATTCATTTTGAATAAAGCATCTTTCTAATCCCCCCACCCCCAAATTATCATTCACAAGGAATGAAAATATAGACAAGACATCCCAACCTGGAATACCTATACTTCCAGAGTTAAGAAACAGAATAAGTGGTTTCTGTCTTCCCTTCACACATTCCCTTTTTCTGCAGTGGCAAGGCAGTGCCCATTGCTGATGTATCTGGTTAGTTCATTTAGAATAAGACCTAAATCACTTGCATTTTATGGGTAAAGCTGACATAACCTTAAGTAGAGCAATATGAAATGTGCCACTATAAGGTATGAAATTGACATTTCATGTCCAATTTAGATACAGCTAGATGACCTCAGTCTAAAGGAGCCATTTTAAATGAGGGCCAGAGTTTTATTTTTTGACAGATGGGTGCCCTGGCTAGAGAATTTATTTAGGTTATATCTGAACTAAAGTGTGATCTACACGATTATTTTGATTCAATGGCTTTAGATACTGGGAAAATATTTTCCTTCTCCTAGATTCTAATTTGTTATGTCACAAATGTCTTATTTAAGAACGGTGGGTTGTTTTCTTCGGGGGGAGGGGTTGTTTGTTTTGCATTTCAGCAATCATATAAAACCGGATGGCATGCAACCAGTTATTCAAACTAATAATCTCTATATTTTCATCTTTACTTATTGCATGTTGTTGGATAAGAACAGACATTATAATTAACGACTTTCCACAGTACACTAATACAAAAGTAAACGGAATCAATTCTTTTGAGTGGTATCTGTAATTACAAATAGCATAAACTGTGTTGTCCCTATTTATACAACTGGAATACCCTTGGATTTCTTTTTTTTTTTTTAAACCAAGGAAGGAAGCAATGTAACCATTTAATTGTCTAAGATGTATACTCTCAAAACCAATTACCACGTCGCTTCTCAAATACAACATCTTTCTGAATATGAAATATGCTTTAAACCAAGCATTACCAGAGATAGCCTATGCATTTTTGTCAAACTCTCCAAAACACAAACAAACAAGAATGGAAGAATATCACCAATATATACACAGAGCCCAAATACTGGAGTATGAAACATTAATTAATTAGTTATTAGTTGGCTATATCACTTACTAATTGGACAGTTTCTCCTAATAATTCAGTGTATCTTTTAGTAATTTGTTCAGTCATTAGTGAAAGAAACAACACAAACTAGTATAACCAAAAAAGAAATTTAATAGTTTACTAACAGAATTCTGGGACAACCTAGCTTCAGGTACAGCTTCATCCAGGAGCACAAATGATATAAGGTCTCTCAACTCTGGTCTTCCTTGAATTAACTACATTTTGAAAAAGTCCCTTTCTATAGTATGACAAGATTATGACCAAGAACGTGGGATTACATCCTTACACCTCCAAATACAAAAGTAAGGAAAGAAAAGAGCCTCAGAATTAACATCAGCAGATCTGACTAGATTGACCTGGGGTCATGAGCCCATACCCAGATAAGACTTATGGCCAAATGCCTCTGAGAGGCTATGCCTATATCACAAACCCAACCCTACAACCAGGATGAACCAAACACCTCTCAGAAAAAAACAGATCAAACATGGGGAAAGCACATCCCCTAGAGAAAATTAGGAAGTATTTACCAGAAGGGTGATGAAAAATGAACTTAGATGGGTCACTGCTATTTAAGAGCACTGGCTTGCCTCTCTAGTCTCTCCAATTCGCTGTAGACCAGGAACCATTTTCCATACTTATGGTAACCCCATTTGTTCTGAACAACAAATCTGCACATAGGTCAGGCAATTAGAGCTACACTTGTGAAGACAATGAGAGAGTGTATTTTACATCATAAGGTTCCCATAGCACCCCTTCATCTGCATTGACCAGCCCCATTTCCACACTTTCCCAAACAAAAAGCTCTGCCCCCACACTTTAGCTCCATTACCAGCCTCGGAAATACAACAAATATGCGCTGATTACTCTCACTGTTTCTCTGATGCTTCTTCCTGGTAAAAACAAGTCTAAAGTTCTGTACTACAAATTTACCATCAAATTCTCTCTGGCTCACATATGCTACCATTGTCTAACATTTCCAATTTTCAAGGCTTAAAAACTACCATTACATCTTACAGAATAGAGATTTACTATCTTAAAGCTGATGTTAAATTGGCCCTACCTTTTTCAGACTTTCAGATAGTACTCGTATTTTACATAACACTGCTAGGAAAAATAACACCTGATGAACATCCCTCTTTTCAAGTACCTGATGTTCATTTTAACCCCATCTCTTCCTGTCTCGAGCTTTTATCCTATGTTCATGCCCTCTCCTCCTCTTTATCTCATCTGGCTTCCTCAAGGTCCACACAGGCCATCTCTAATGCTCTCCTACCTGGCCCTGCCACATCCTTTTCAATGCTGGCCCCTAGAATATTTTTATTTTGAGAATTTCACTGCACTTCACTAGATCAGGGTTTCCCAGCCTTGATACTACTGACATTTTGGGCCTGATAACTCTTTGTTGTAAGGGGCTGTGATGGTCAATTTTATATATCAACTTGACTGGGCCACAGGTTGTGTAGACATTTGGTCAAATGTACTTCTGGGTGTGTCTGTGAGGATATTTTGGATGAGGTTAACATTTGAATCTCCAGACTAAGTAAAGCAGATTGCCCTCCATAATGTGGGAGGTCCTCACCCAATCAATTGGAGATCAAAAGAGGACAAAAAGCTGAGTAAGAGAAAACTCCCACATGACTGCCGCATAAGCTGGGCCATCATATATGTTCTGTTTCTCTGGAGAATTCTGACTAACACAGGGCTCCCCTTGCACTGAGGGTGTTCAGCAGCATCCCTGGCCTCTAATCACTAGATGCCAGCGGCATCCCCTTAGTTATCACAACCAAAAATAGGACCAGCCATTGTCAAATAGCCCCTGGAGACCAAGATGCCCCTAGTTGGGAACCACTGCATTACAGCTTGGCTGGAGACACCATCAAGAAAACTGAGGACATAAAACTTTCTTAGAAACCCGAGAAATTTTTAGCAGTGATTACACCATCATTCACAATACTCATGTCTCCCTAAATGAAGGATTCCTCCATGCTCCCTCCTTGTAGCTTTTCCATGTGTCAGACTGGATCCTATCATCCATCAACCTGTCTGCCTCTCTTTGAAAAGCGGCAGTTTTCAGATGCAGACTGGGGTACGAATTCAAATCACCTAGGAGACTCGTTCAGCACACCAGTGCCCTGGAGATTCTGATTTAATAAACCTCATTGTGGGGACAGAGAATCTTTATTAATAAAAAGTTTCAAGGGTGATTCTGATACATAACCTTAATAGGAGGACAATTTCCTTAAAACTGCAGCAAGCACTGAGAGGCAAATGACACAAACGCTTCTAGACACAAGCAAGTCATTTACCTCTTAATGGAGGTCGGTACATTCCCCAACTCCTGACTCCATAGTCTTTTCCAATAAGTGAAGAAGGATCATGAAATGGGCTGGTTTTTTCAGATTAGGTCAATTTTTTAAAATTTCATCAGTTTTAAAATGATTGCCTTTCATAATAGAGAAATGAAATAAGTCAAACAAGAGAAATATAGCTTTTATAGGAGACATACTCAATTTTCATAGGAAAATCATAAGAAAACAATAGAGCTTTAAATCTAATTCTGGAAAATGACTCTTAATAAATCAAAAGATTGTTAAAGGACCTAGCCAGTGATAAATTAGAAAAAGGAAAATAATCTTAAATTAAATAATTCATGAACTCAGGCATACAAGTAATTTCCTAACAACAATTCAAGTTGCAAGACATATATTTATTTCGCTATGTTAGAATATAAATTTCTCTTCCTCAAGGGCTTTCATTTGTCCAGTTTAAAATTCTACAGCAAATCAGTAAATATTAAGGATAATGTTACTACCTAAAATTTTCCCCAAAATAAAATCTATGTATAGCTAGGAAAAACAGAAATCAGAGACTCATTTCAAAAAAGAAAAGCTTTCAAAAAGCTTTGTAGAAACTTTGAACTATACTCTTTTGAGAACAGATTGACATTGGAATGTGCAATTTGCTCCTTATCACTATTTGCAAAATACCATCATTATCTTATTCTAGTCCTCTGCTAGCAACAGCCATAAAAGGCACCTCCATGCATTTTATTGCCCCTCATAGAGATGCATTTTATGACTCCACCTGAAGAGACAATGACACTTAAGAAATCTTAAGAATTACTTGGGAAAAGAGACTTTAAGAAAATGCCCTTTGATTCTAAACAACTATAACATAAAGAAGATAGTCCAGGTCACTTTATCTTCCTCTAAGGAGAAAATGAAGTAACTAAAGCTAGAATTAATTACAGACAGGAGGGAGTGAACCCATTAAGTGTTGAAGTTCCAACCAACCCTTAGTTGCTTCCTCCTCCCTCTTCTCAACTCCTCCTATCCAACCTACTACTGATTGCTCTGGTGTCCTAATATCAAGTCCTTCATTTTTGTCCCTCTGCATGCCTCCTACTTATTTCTTATTTCTTTGTTTCATTGTCTTGTTTTTCTGTAAAACCATCCAAGAACCAACTTCTCTTTGACATTCACTCTGGCAGCCTGTCCCAACTGCTGGGAAGCTGTTTGACCAACTGTTCTTTGACTCGCTGTCACTTTTTCAAAATCTACATCTTATTTCCCCTGTAGTTTCTGGACAGAGGGACAGTCTACAAAAACAGAGAAATGGGCCCTGTCATCCACAATGAGGATCCATCAGAAGTTTTAAATAAGAGACTTTATGACAGTAATCTTATTAGAGAAAACCCCATTCATTGTGAAAATATAAATACGAGTGAGAAAATGGCAGAATGTTTTAAACTCCTGCACTAAGGAAAAATGATGACAATCTTGGATGCTGGCCAATCACTAACACTCTCCATCCCTGTCCAGAGAGTACAGCATGATCACTATCCTCATCACAATGGCAAATTGTAATGAAACCTCTGAGGATATTAGAAAGACCTTGCTTTCTGGATTGTCAAAGCAATTATAATAAAACAGCTGCTCACCTTCATTTGAGGAATATAACACATTATCTCTCTTCTTCACAGCAAACCTGTTTCTGGATATCTGCTATTGGATAACAAACTACGGGGAAACCTAGTGACTTATTACCGTGGATTATTGCCCCTCGTGTTTCTGTGAGTGGTCTGGGCTCAGCTGGGCAGTTGTCCCTTGGTATCGTTCATGCCATTTCAGTCAGATGGCACTTTAGACTGAAATGAACTAATGGTTCGGTTGGGTGGGGATGTCCAAGGTAATTTACATGTCTGGCACACTAGCTGGGAGAGCTAGAATAGCAGCTGGCTGGCCAGGAATTGATCTTTCTCCACGTGGTTAGCTTGGACTTCCTCACAGCATAATGATCAGACTTCTTACATGGCAGTAGCTTCCCCTAGAGTGAAGATGCCAAGAAAATAAGGTGGACACTGCAAGGCTCCTTATGACTTGGCCACAGAAGTTATGCAGGATCTCCCCTACTGCATCTGCTGGTTATACAAGAACAACACAGAATCAGCATGAGAAATATGAACACATAGGGTATGAACTTCCAGAAGCTCTTTGGGCTATCTTAGCTAACACAATGCCCACTAGGTAAATTGGGAGATGTACTGTTGCTCTCAGATTACAAATAAGAAAAAAGCTCACTGATTCTAGATCTGAGATCCAAGACCTAGAAAGTGTCTGAACTGCCACAGGAATCTGAGTATTCAAGATGATAAGTTAACTGTTTTGCTGGTATCAAGCAGGTGGTAAACTTAAAATGGATTATACTTAAAAAACTAACTGGGGTTTTCATCCAAATGTTAGTTTCATCTGCAATTAATTAATCATCCATACAGTGGACATTTTACATGAGTGTGCTGTCTCACGTGAATCACATCTTTTGCTGACAGCAATCAATTTTCCTTTAGGAACACTGCTCCATCATGCTGGATTTGTGACACCCCACTTTACCCTAGCTAACAGCAACACAAGCTCAAGTATTCTCTCTCATCTGAATCTTACTGCTACTAGAAGTATATTTATTCTAATGGAAATGGCCAAGAAAGACTATCAAAGAAGTGTTGCTACTGAGACTCATTCTTTCCCCCAATTATCCCCTGGGCCTGATACTCCATCACCTGATACCCTTCGTATTAATTCCCTTTATGTTGATGTAAGACTGAGTCTATGGGCTGCAAATCAGAGACACTGAATACGAGGAGGATAACTAGTTATTGTGCACACCAGATTTGGTGTCTAATTCGACTTAGTTGAGATGTAACTCTACCACTTTCTTACTAGGTGTATGTATCCTTAGGCAAGTTTCTTAACTTCTCTGAAACTCTTCCTCATCTGTAAAACAAAATTAATACTATCACCTTCTTCAAAGAGTTGCAAAGATTAAATGAGATAATACAAGTAAAGTACCATGTCTGGCTTGGAATAAACACAATACATGTCAGCTATTATATTTAATATTACAGGTCCATAATCCCTTATCTGCAGTTCCAATATGCAAAACGCTCTGGAAAACCAAACACACTGTCAGCCCAACCTGACCTCAGCTGAAAAAGATGCTCTTTATGATCTTTATCCCATTCAAGCACTAAGAAATGTCAACATGCTTGGCCATTGCCCAAGATTCTATTGGAATGTCACATAGCACACAGCACTAGTAGCATACTACCGTTCTAAAATCTAAAATTCTAAACTACTTTTGACCCCAAGGGCTTCAGATAAGAGACTATAGATATGTAAGTTACTATTATTCAAAAAACCTGTTTATTCAAAACATAGACACCACACAGTTCTCTCTAGGGATCCCACAAAACTTGGGACTATGTATTAAAACACAGAAATTACACTAGAGCCAGTTTCAATAACTAATAAACATTTTATACTGAACTAATACTGCTTATATAGGCAAATTGTGCCAAAGGAACAAATTTACATAAAACTTGATAAGCTGCAAATATCCTACTTCTAGTTAAGGCATGTAATTAGAACTGCATCTTCTGGCTTTTTAATTTAGAGGGTGTTTAAGAATTCTATTTTATTACCTGAATTAAATACCATTGGTTTTATACTTGTAGGTTTCTCACAGGTTTGCTGTTCACTCATATTGTATCCTCTTACTCATAGTGAATCAGATAAAACAAAGGTTGATATTAGAATCCCATCTTGGGACTGCTGCTCCTGCTTATAGTGTCAGTTCTGGCCCTCAATGGTTCAGAGCTCCAGAAAAGCAGACTAAACTACTGTGGCATCTTTCTTTAGGGTTAAATTTTAACTTCAGAAGAAAAATCCTGAGACTCCCTTTTTAAAATAAACAAGAAAAGTTGAGGACAAAAGTGTGCAAACCCCCATACAATAAAAATAAGAATTATAATTCAAATGAGAATAACATATGGACAAAGCCACATTACTTATGATAATGAAGAAAGTTATGATGTGCTCTATCACTTTACCACTAGTTATTTACATCTTTTAAAATAATTTCTTAAGATGTATTCCAGTTCACAGTAGAAATAGTTTTGGGTGCAAGCAACTGATAATATGTAAAATTTACTTACAATGCCAGTTTTGAAAACCTTCATTTAAGGAAACATGTCTATCTGCCACAAATGCAATATTCATTAACAAAGCCACCAATATAAGTGTGTTTGAAAGGATCTATCTGTTAATATAACCATTTATATATATACTATGTATTTTTATGTACAATCTGGTTAAGTAGGTAGGTAAATGAAGGAAACTGAGTTACAGGAAAGCCAGAAAGGTTGTTCAAGGTCATGAAGTTAACTGCCAAGCAGAAGATGCAAAAAAAAATTGTTAGAAACAATCTAACTTTAATAACAGGGTGAAGAGCTTCTCTCCAAAGTCTCCAGCATATTTTTGGTTTTCATGAATTTTTCAGAGAGCATCTGTTTTTAAGTAAGTAGAAACATACTCAGGGAAAATAAGGCCTGTTAGAAGAAGTTCAAGTCAAAGTCTATAAACATGCCCTCTTTGCATGTATGCTAAAGGAAATTTAATACCATCAACACTTGATTATTTCCTAGAGTGAGAGAATCCAAAATAGCATATCGAAAACAACTTTCTTATCTATCCCTGCACCATGCAAAACTACTGGTTCTCACAAGTCCACTACGGAAGCCAACAGTTATTTTGTTTCTCATTACAAATAGCTGCACCCAATGCCCATGGGAAGTCTCTGCACATGATGTGCGCTTTTTTTTTTTTTTTTTTTTGCAGGTTTGGACAAGCATTTGCAATGTTCTATGGGATCTTAATAGTATCACAAGAAGGCTTTCCTAGTATCAAAAAATAATAACAAATGAAAAATGTTAAAGCTCAGGAAATGTTAGCTTCATAAAGTTGGTGAAATTTTGTTTTATTTTCTTTTCCTAAATAGTTGATTTGGCCTTTAACGTGTTAATATATTATGAAAGAAAAAATGAAGCATTTCCCAAATATTTTACCATAGAAAATGTTAGTCTGTAGTTCCTCCATGTTCCATGAAGTATATTTTGGATAATTATTCTCTAAGATACATCTAATATTACAGACACATCTTAATCCATAGATCTAAGAGTCCTGTAAAACCAAAATCTAGCTCCTTTGTTAAAGTTTCCATTGATAGGACACTCACTATACGTTGAGGAAACACATTTATTGATGAATCATTTCATTCAGTTGGCTCTTTATGGTTTTCTTTAATATGTCTTACATCTCACCCCTGTGCAAATGCAAAGCAGATCTAAGTCATCTTTCGCTTGAAATTGTTTCATGTAAATGAAGACACCTATTACATCCCCTTGCACTGAATTTACACCACCATAAGCTAAACATCCTAAGTTCTTCTTGAGACATGTTATGGGATACCATCATCATCCAAACTGACTTCCTCATGATACCAGCTTGTTTGACAAAATCTGTCTTAGTGTCGATCACAGTCTTCAGATTGTGATCACCTCTCAGTGCAGGATTAAAATTGACCAGGTTTCCCCTGGATCCAAGCCCTGCCTCTGACATTGACTACCTTTAAGACCTTGACAAGTTACTTACCTTTCTAAGCCTCACCCTATTCATCAGTAAAACAGTAATGATAATTCTTGCTATGGTGAGGTTTCTGTAAATGTTAAATTTAAAATATTGAATCTACTGCATAATAAGTATTCAATAAATATTAGCTAGTATCACTGTGTCCATTCTGGAAATATGTGTTTTCTTTTGGCCAGTTTAAAAAAGTAGAATTCACCAAATGCTCACCAGTGACTGATTGGCTCAGGGTTGCAATCAGCAGGTAAATGTAACAATGAGAAAAGAAACTGGCAGACGGTTAAAAATAAGCCACAAATTATCTGCAAGCAGATAAAGCCCTGACTGTATAATCATTACCAACCAGGCTCTATCTTTTCTTCCCATGTAGTAACATGTCACTTTCTTTAAAAGTTTCAGAGAAACACTCTCTGCAAAAGCCTGCAGTTTGAAACATAAATTAGGGTGTGGAAATAAACATCTTTTAACAACACAAAATTCATATTTTCCTCGCTCTGCTTGAAAGAGTGGCATTCAGAGGAAGAACAAAATTCAGTAACAAGTTATCTTCTACTCTTGGTTTGATGCCACTCAGCTTTGAGCTTGCTTTTGACTACACCAGTGGAGCTTGCAATCTTTTAATTTGGTGCATGACTTAAAGGTTCCCTGTAGCACCTTTTAAACACTGGCAGATTTCTACAACAATGATGAATGTGGCTCCATTTAGTTCAAACCTTTAGCATCTCATAGGTGCAAGAATTCTTGGTACTGAGCAGCTAAATTGAAATTGGCATATATTTCCAATATGGAATCTGATCCTTCTGTAATGGGTGGGGTTGTGGGGCATTCTTGGCAGGAGTGTAAAAAGTGAAGATACTCAAATTATCTCTCCTGTAATTTTTTTTATATTTTAGAAATATTCTTGATTTTTTTTAAAACAATCAAAAAAGTAATAGAGAAAAGAGACTAGTTTCAATCACGGTCTTGTTCTAAAAGGATTGTGGCACATCACACAAGTTCAATGAGCCTGAATTTTCCATTATATCAGGAGCATGTTATTCCATCCTCCCTCCCTCCACTTAATTTGATCAAATATTGAGTTTATTAAAAAATTGAATAAAAGGGAGGAGCGGCACCCACTAGGCTGTGAAGGATGATTCACAGCAAGGTACTTCTGAAAGTTCTCTGATGGACTTGGCTCTCTCTCAACACCCTGGCCACCCCTTCACCCACAGCACATTGGGGCTGTGATGGGAACCCGACAAAGGGCAGCTGATCCACAGGGTATCAGGTGGACTCCAGCAAGGGCACTGCCCACAAAGGTGGGAAGATGGTAACTTAAGCAATCCAGGCTTCTCTTGAGAAGAGAGCTAGCAATTCATTGAGAAAGGAGAAAAACGCAAACCACAAAGATGAAAAAGACAGAATAAGTCATTAAACTAAATTAACTATGTAACTATGAAAACTGGATCCTCAAACTGCTAGGACTCCTCATCAGACAAAAGTCACAAAGGACCTTCTAGTTTCGAACCACCCTCCATCTAGGTGAGGTCCAGGTGTGCCACACTTGTGCAGCTTTCCCAGAATTCACATCAGAATCTCCCATGTGGACAGTATTTCTCGTCTCTTTATTTCTATATTTCACCTTTTGATAAACCCCCAGTAGTTAAAGGAGCCTAAATAGGTCTCTATTGCTTGCACACAAAGGAGGCCAAAGCACATTTAAAGTAAGAAAAATATTACTTGATGAGTTTTCAAACAGGTTTGAAGTTATATTCTCCTCACCCCCTCTCAACTTTGCCATACATAGCACTCCATTTTGTATATCAAATTACCTTAAATTACCATTCTAGTCAAAACAATTACGTGCTAAGGAGCTAACACCATCAAGCACAGGGCTACAGAACTGCAAGATGCTCAATAAATCTTATTAGCTAATGATTAAATAAAGTTCACAGGACACAAAAATTATTAAATCAATATTTCTTAATTATATGGCATAAATCTACTAGAAACCCAGATACCTACTTCTTATTGCTCAGAAAGTACAAGAAAAGGTGCCAGATAAAGAAACTAAAATTAGAATTCATTCATATATTTACTAAGCATTTTAATCCTAGGAAATCTGTGACACCCTGAAATGTGCCATGTACTGGGCGCAGAGACAAGATAGAATCATAGTCCATTATCTTAAGGAGCTATATGCAGTATGGACATCCTAACATATAGTAGAGATTTATTTTTTAATTTCCCATCCTATCACATAAGAGCTTCTAGATTTTAAGCGGTTAGAGATCCCAAGGGTCCCTAAGGAAAAACTATGTTCCCCGGAGGACATTCTGTAAAGACAGTTAATTGTTTAATACTCAGACATTCAAATAACTGTATTCAGGATTCCATACACAATGGATGCTTGCAATGAAGACACACTACGGAAAGAGCTTTTAGTATAACAGAGTGACAATTAGTGCTGATCACACTCATCACGAGGTATATCCTAAATATGACAGGGTTTTTAAAATTAAAACACACACACATACACACATACACACACACACACACACACACACACACACACACCAGAAATAAAAACTGAGCAACTTATAAATCTTCATAGAAGGCCTGGTGCTGTGGCTCACGCCTGTAATCCCAGCACTTTGGGAGGCTGAGGCGGGCGGATCACGAGGTCAGGAGATCGAGACCATCCTGCTTAACACGGTAAAACCCGTCTCTACTAAAAATACAGAAAATTTGCCGGGCATGGTGGCAGGCGCCTGTAGTCCCAGCTACTCAGGAGGCTGAGGCAGTAGAAAGGGTGAACCCAGGAGGCAGAGCTTGCAGTGATCCAAGATGGTGCCACTGAACTCCAGCCTGGGTGCCAGTGTGAGACTCGTCTCAAAAAAAAAAAAAAAGAAAAAGAAAAAGAAAAAAGAAATCTTCATAGAAATCTGTGCCCAAAGGAATTGAAGTCAAGATGTCAAAGATTTAGATCTAGAAGTGATATCTGCACTCCCATGATCATTGGAGTTTACTTAATTCACGGTAGTCAAGATATGGAAACAACCTAAATATCTATCAATAAATGAATAAAGAAAACGTGGCATGTTATACACACACACACACACACACACACACACACACACAGAGAATAGAATGTTACTCAGCCTTGAAAAAGAAGGAAATCCTGCCATATGTGACAACATACATGTACCTGGAAGACAGTATGCTAAGTGAAATAAGGCAGTTACAGAAGGTTAAATACTGGGTGATTCTACTTATATAAGGTATCTAAAATAGTCAAACTCATAGAAACAAAGAGTAGAATGGTGGCTTCCAGAGCCTGTAGAGGAAGGAAAAATGGAGAGTTATTGTTCAAGGGTACAAAGGGTATAAAATTTCAATTCTGCAAGATGAATAAGTGCTAGAGATCTGCTACACGACATAGTGCCTATAGTTAACAACACTGTTTTATGCACTTAAAAATCTGTCAAGCAAGTAGATGTCAAGTGATCTTACCAGTAAAAACATGGAGCGGGGGCAGGAAGAAACTTCTGGAGATAATAGATATATTTATTACCTTAATTGTACTGATTGTCTCATGCATCTTTGCATATATTAAAATCCGCAAATTGTATACATTAAATCTGTGTAGATTTTTGTACATCAACTACACTTCAATCAAGCTGCTTTTTTGTTGGTTGGTTGGTTGTTTTTCACTCTCTCTTCCAGGCTGGAGTAGAGTAGCATGAACATAGCTTACTGCAGCCTCAACCTCCTGGCACAAGGGAACCTCCTGCCTCAGCCTCCCATGTAGCTGGGATCACAGTCATGCACCACCATGCCCAGATGTTGTTGTTGTTGTTGTCATTGTTGTTGTTGAGACAAGGAGCTCACTTTGTTGCTCCAGCTGGTCTTGAACTCCTGGGCTCAAGTGGTCCTCCCGCCTCAGCCTCCCAAAGTGTGGGATTATAGGTGTGAGCCAGCATACCTTGCTTAAGGGGGTGTGTGTGTGTGTGTGTGTGTGTGTGTGTGTGTGTGTGTTTTAAATAAATCTATGCAGACAAAGGCTTTTAAAAATGCATGACCCCAAAGATAAAAGAATCCTCTATCTGCCAAGAAAGTAATCATTACCTAAAACCGCCCATTTTAATAACATACTGAGTTGACCTTAGTGGCATGGCTAACCGTTGAGAAAACAAGTGACAGCGGAAGTTGATGCTGGCATCTTATTCCTCACTACTGCCTTGTTCATATTTTTCAGATAATCCCTTCCCCTCACTCTCATCACCTCTCCAAAATCTCTGTCAGTGGGTTGGGAATTTTACGTGACTTCTGGCACACTCTTTGACAGGGTATACTGTTAATCTATTGTAAGTGATTTTTTTCCCCTTATTTTCATTCCACAAGCAAGCCTGGCCACAGTCTTCTGGCATCTTTGCTTTTTGTCTTTGTGGAATTGCTAGAAGTCTTCCTGGATTCTTGGCTTTGACTATCCCACATCTTAAATTCTCACATCTGATTATATATTTAAAAATTCACCAGGGCCTAATCAAGATGAATTAATTTAGCCATGCACCATCTTCACTGCTTTTAATTTGCCACACATTTCAGTTTTACTTAGAGAGTCAGGATGACCAGTGCTATGATGTCAAGCTGCCTGGTCATCCCAAACATAGTTTTGATCAGTTAAGTGGTGCAGGACAAGAGCTGTAAGTCTGAAACTCTAACGATCATTTCTTAGTCCCAAAACACAAAGTAAATTTCTAAAGGAATCCCCTATAATAAATCATCATATGTCAGCGACTAATTACAGCCAGTGTAGCGCTAGAAAACTACAGCATCTCAATTAATCTTGCGAGATGTCAGTTCAGAAACATGAGAGTAGGGTCAGCATGGGAAGATACACCAC
This sequence comes from Homo sapiens, assembly GCF_000001405.40. Lineage (NCBI taxonomy): Eukaryota > Metazoa > Chordata > Mammalia > Primates > Hominidae > Homo > Homo sapiens. The sequence continues at coordinate 2,123,565 of NC_000003.12, read as the reverse complement.
AGCTGGACACAGCAGTAGCAAAGACATCTGAGCATCTGAGCATCCCTCTAAGTACAGGGGTGCAAAAGCTGGACCAACCAAAGGAAAGGACCCTTCCAAACAAGAACTGCCTAAATTTGCCTGGATACTGACCAGAAAAACCTGTTTAATGCATAAAAAATTAGTAAAGCCAAGTGATTCTGATGGTCAATTGCAATGATGCAATAAAAGGAAAAACTCCTCTGGAAGCAGGCAGAGGGAGATAGCTCTGCCAATTATTAGTTATGTGACCTTGACCTTGAGAAATGCACTCAGCCGTTTTGAACTTAAATTTCCAAAATTGTAAAGTGAGGATAGTTATTCCCATTTTGGAGGGTTGTTGTAAAGATTAGAAATCATATGCAAGGGTGCTAGGCATATAGTCAATGCTCAACAAGAGCTATAATTTACCATAAACTCCACTGTGTCTGGCTGAGGGTTCTCAGAAGATCAGCTAGGTTATCACTTTGCTGAGGATGCCTTAAGTCAAGAACATACTGTCCTGGCTTCTACTTGCTGTGTAATTCAAAGATCAGAATGGCTCGTCCAGTCATGCCAAGTCTCACCGACAGTACCCAATGTCTCATAATATAACATGGCAACCTTGAACTGAGACATTCAATGAGCTCTTATAACTGGAAAGGATTAAGAACAACAGCCAACCATAAACCTTGCACAAGAATGTCTAACATAAGCTGTTTTACCTGGGTACACGATCACTTGTGAGGCTTCGTGAAAGTTGCAAATGTTGACAGATTGTAAAATGAACGTCTATTAATTGCTAAGGAGCTACTGCATCAACTCAAACATTATGACAACCTTGTTTTGAGAATGTAAATTATGATAATTTCTTTGCAGGGCAATCTGGAAATAATTATAAAAGTTTTTAAATGTACAATACAGTATTTTTGACCAAAAAAATTCCAATTCTTCTTTCAGGAATTTATCCTACAGATATAATCACACATGTTTACAAAGATATTGTTTATCATAGCAAGAGTCTGTAAAGAACATAAATTCTTATGAGCAAGTTCTAGTATTATGGCCTTTGTACAAAGGAATAAATACTCTTCGCAGGGAAGAGTTAGCTACATATAGATTAATGTAGACTGACATCTAAGATTCATCTTTAAGTGAAGAAAAATATTCCATGCCATCATTTTTTATAGTAAGCATTCAGATTTTTTTAACTGACAAAATCAGTTATATGTGCCCATATAACAATAAAGATCTCTGAAATGATAAACAAATAATAGTAACATTGTCTCTAGGGAAAAGAGTTAGCAGAAAGTGACAAAAGGCAAACAGTTTTGACCAGGTACCCTTTCATACTATTAAAATGCACAATCATAGACAAATAACCTTTAAAGAAAAATAATTTTTTTTTTTTTTTGAGATGGAGTGTCGCTCTGTCGCCCAGGCTGGAGTGCAGTGGCGCAATCTCAGCTCACTGCAAGCTCCGCCTCCCGGGTTCCCGCCATTCTCCTGCCTCAGCCTCCCGAGTAGCTGGGACTACAGGCGCCGCCACCACGCCCGGCTAATTTTTTTGTATTTTTTTAGTAGAGACGGGGTTTCACCGTGGTCTCGATCTCCTGACCTCGTGATCCGCCCACCTCGGCCTCCCAAAGTGCTGGGATTACAGGTGTGATAAAGAAAAATAATTTTAAAATACAAAGGGGGTACAATGGCAAACTGAAATGGAAAGTTCAGACACTATCCAGGGAAATTAAATATTAGTAACCAGTACAAATTAATCAAGGTATCAGACCCTACTTCTTGAGCAGAAGGAGACATTTTTTCTTTCAAATTATATGGATAATTACCTTTAACTCTTTCTCTTCATTTCAACAATGCAGAGTGAAGGTTGTACACTTCAGTTCTTCAGATTGTGAAATGGAAACTCTGACAAATTACAGGTTTGACATTTGCTTATATTCTTCAGTGAAAGGTTCCAAATACAGCACAAGTTCTATAGTAACCAACTTACAATTCTATAGGACTGGAGGATATGGGTCCCCGTGCACACAACTTCATTTTTTTTTTTTTTTTTTGAGACGGAGTCTCACTCTGTCACCCAGGCTGGGTGCAGTGGTGTGATCTCGGCTCACTGCAACCTCCACCTCCCAGGTTCAAGCGATTCTCCTGCCTCGGCCTCCTGAGTAGCTGGGTTTACAGGCACGTGCCACCACATCGGGCTAATTTTTCTATTTTTAGTAGAGACGGGGTTTCACTATGTTGGTCAGGCTGGTCTCAAACTTCTGACCTCGTGATCTGCCCGCCTCGGCCTCCCAGAGTGCTGGGATTACACGGCATATAATTTCTTATGCCTGAAATGATATATTCACCATATCCAGTGCTGTACTAGCATTTGGTAAGAGGGAGGAAGGAACAAAGAGAGGAAGGGGAAAAAAGAAGGAAAGAAGAGAGGGAGGGAGAGAAGGAAGGAAGAAGGGAGGGAAGGAAGGGAGGGAGGAAGGAAGTCATTAAAATTCACAAAGTCAATGAGTCTAGACTTTCAAGTGGCTTCAGATGCAGAGAAAGCCTCCCAAAGTGTGAGGAGCCTCATACTAACTCTCTCTGATTCTCAGTTTTCTCATCTAGGACCCAGAGGCCATCATAGTATCTAGTTCATAGGATTATTATAGGTTTAATTGAGATAATAGAAACATTTAGTGACTTCCTTGGTACACTGTAAATGTTCAATTAATATTACTCATTATGATTAAAATTCACTTAGACAGTATTTCACTCAGTTTTAAGATCTCTAGACAAATATTGATGAGCCAGCCTTAGCTAGCAGTCCACACTCGTGAGAGTCACATGCATACTTAAAAAATTATTTATCAGCCAGGCGCAGTAGCTCATGCCTGTAATCCCAGCACTTTGGGAGGCCGACACAGGCAGATCACCTAAGGTCAGGAGTTCAAGACCAGCCTCATCAACATGGAGAACCCTCCTCTCTACTAAAAATACAAAAATTAGCTGGGCATAGTGGTGTGCACCTGTAATCCCAGCTACTCGGGAGGCTGAGACAGGAGAATTGCTTGATCCCAGGAAGCGAGCTCGCAGTCCGTGGAGACCATGCCACTGCATTCCAGCCTCGGCGACAGAGTGAGACTCTGCATAAAAAAAAAAAAAAAAATATATATATATATATATATATATATATATATTTATATATATATATATATATATAACCTAAATGCCTCATGTTATAGTTTAAATAATATGGAAGTTACACATATTTAAAAACTAGTAAAGTGTGAAACTAATGTTTCTCCTTTATCATACTCTCAAAGTAGAATCCAGCTAAACTATCCTCATTTTCCCAGTGTTATTTCTCCTATATGATTCTATTTAGAGCCCCCTTCACTCAGCTTAGTCTAAGGCTTTCTTGACCCATGACAACTTGATTGTTTGTACATTAAAACTTAAATCAGGTTATGAGTCAAGCTCTTACTTACCTACTGCCCCTTACATGCTGTCTTCGTTGCCTGGAACTTTCTTCCCTGGTTATTGCATGGCTAGCTCCATCTCAAGTTTGGGGGTCTCAAAATTCACATTTACCAAGAAGCCTTTCTTGACTCTGCCACCTACACTAGATCCTGCCCACATTATGCACTATCTCAGCACTTTCCTTTTCTCCTTCAGAGCCCCTATACAGTTTATAATTTTTTAAAGTATTAATTGTTTAACTCTTTTTGGGTAACCCCTACCACACCCTAAGCTCTATGATGGCAAGTTCCATATCCACTTCTTTTCTTTTCTACCCATAGGATCTAGCTTGGTCCTACGGCTTAGTAGCACTTGATACCTGTAGGTTAAATGGAAAAATGAAGTGGATTCTAGAAAGAGATTATTTTCCCATTTCTCTAAATTATCCTACTTGGACTGGAAGACAAAAGCCACACCTGGAAACCTTTACCACTACAAATTTCCAGGGAGTAACAAATTCCATCTTTGAACTTTCTGTGTTCCCATTTACTCTATATGGCATCTATGAAATTGCCCAATGCCTGGGGAAACATCAATAGTGTTGGAGATGGCAGTATTTGGTATGATCCATCACTAATCATTCTGCAAAAGTCTAACAGTTGATTTTGCGGGTAAGGACATCCAAATAAAATTATTCTAAAAACAGCTAGAGAAACTTTCTCATACAGGGAGAATAAGGAATATTGGTGTAGTAGTCAGGGTTCTCCACAGAAACAAAACCAATAGGATGGACTAGATGTATACACGGAGAGAGAGACAGAAAGAAAGAGACACACCAAGGAATTGGCTTACGTGATTATGGAGGTTGGCAAGTGCAAAATCTGCAGGGCAGGTTAACAGACTGGACAAGCAATGAAGAGTTAATGTCACAGCCAGAGACCAAAAGCTGTCTGCTAGCAGAATTCTTTCTCCTGGGAGATCAGTTTTTTTCTGAAGGCCCTCTGCTGACTGAATGTGGCCCACCACATTATGGATCTGCTTTATTCAAAGTCCACTGATTTAAATGTTAATCTCATCTTTAAAATATCTTCACAGCATCATCCAGACATGTTTGACCAAATATCCAGACCTAGCCTGGTTGACATATAAAATTAACCATTACACTTGGACCCTGTAATGTCATTTACATATTAGTCAATTTATCTTCTCTGGCAAAATGAAAGACATGCAACTGAAAACTTTTTCTAAATGTCATAACAAGATGCAAAGGCATGTACTTTTAAAATGAAACATCATGTTCTGAGTGACTAATAAGCATGCATTCGGACCCGTACATAAATCCCCTTCACTGAGTTTTATTGCCAGTAGTCCAAATCATTCTTTTCTTTTTGTTTAAATTTCTGGCCAGAGGAACCAAAAAAATCTATCAAACTCAATATTTCTGGAAGCTTAGCAACATTTGGAAGCCTATCGGTAGGAAAAATATATGTAAACAGTGAATTTGGAATATTCAAATACATTCAGATTAATGAATAATATATAACTTACATGCACAAATTACCAATCTACTATAACTACAAAAATTCTGTTTACATTCATATGCAAATATTTGGTTGAAAATCTTCCCATTTTAAAATGGTTCTTAACATTTGGAATACTTTCCTAAACCCCTGTCATTTATGAAGATTCACCTTCCTTGCAATAAAATGTGCTTCACAAAGTAACATGTACATACTAAGGGGTTTTAAGCATACACTGATCACTAAACATAAAAGCCTCTGTCTTAACCAGGATTCCAAATTGGTTAAGAGCTTTAGCTCACAATCAGGTATACCTGGGATCTGATATGATATCAGTATTGCCATTTATTAGCTGCATGACCTGAGACAAATTACTTACTCTTTCTGATTCTCAGTTTTCTCATTTAGGACCCAGGGGTCATCACAGCATCTAGCTCACAGGACTATTATAGGTTTAAATGAGATAATATAATAAAAACATTTAGTGACTTCCTTGGTACATTATAAATGTTCAATTAATATTACTCATTATGATTAAAATTCACTTAGACAACCAATGCATTTTTATCTAAGAGTGTCTGTAATAGCTGGGGTGTTTTTTCTAAGAAAAAGTTTTTATTATAATCAGAAAAAAAGATATTTAAAAACAAGCTCTAAACATAGGATGATACATATGTAAGTTGAGTAAAACCACCTGACAGATGTGAAACTAAAAAATCTGGGTGATGTGGGACACATTGTTAAATAAATAAATCATCCAGAATGTCTTCCAAAGAACATTACATCGCATCTGTGGTCCTAAACCCTGCGTGTCTAATAAAATCACCCGGGAAATTTTAAAATATTCCATTAGCCCATGAAGTGGTAAAATATATGTATTTGTCCTACACCCCATTTCCTGACATAAAACTCCTAAAATCCTTGGGACCTCCAAAGGAAAATCTTTTGTATGCTAATTAGCGGATGAATGGCTGGCAGCTACTGGGTAGCTTCAGGATGGGGGCTGGTCACCATAAAGACCAAGATATAATTAGAGGGTTGGGACTTTCAGCCCCCTCCCCCAACCTCCTGGAAGGAAAGAGGGACTGAGGGTGAGGTTGATCACCAATGGCCAATACTTTGATCAATCATGCCTACCTAATGAAGCTCCCAGAAAAATGCAGAAGGACAGCGTTCAGATGCACTTCCAGACAGCTTAACACAAAAGGTTCCTGGAGGGTAGTGTGCCCAGAAAGGGCATGAAAGGCCCAGTGTGGGGCCTTTCCCCAATACCTCACCCTCTGAATCTCTTCATCTGTATCCTTTGTAACATCCTTTATAATAAACCAGTAAACGTGTTTCCCTGAGCTCTGTGAGAAGCTCTAGCAAATTAACTGAACCCAAGGAGGAGGTTGCGGGAACACCAATTTATAGCTGGTCTGTTTTAGAAATGCCATTAAAACAGGCAACCAGAGGCTTGCCTGTGGCATTGGGAGTAGGGGACAGTCTTGTGGGACTGAGCCCTCAACCTCTGTGATCTGAGACTATCTCTAAGTAGAGAGTGTCAGTACTGAACTGAATTAGAGGACGCTGAGTTAGTGTCTGCTGGAAAACTGATTGCTTGCTTGATGTGTGGGTGATTCCCCCACAAATTTGGTCACAAAAATCTTCTCTATTGATTGTTTTTGAGTGAGAGAATAGAAAACACACTTTGAGTTTGTTTCTCCCACACAGAACCCACCCCCAACCCCAGATCGATCGATTAACCGGATTATTCTAAGGAGGAGCCAGGGCTGAAATCTGCAACATTAGATGTTTAGTAAAGAGTCTTTGTGTTGGGTAGGGAGTTGGCAGGGGGGATAGAGAAGCAAGATTGTTCCATAGTCAGAAACATGCATTTCACAATGCACATAAAGATTCTGAAAAATTCTCGTGTTAGAAAACCTGTTTAAAATCCTGAATTTCCTCTGTTTTTGTTAAGAACACTTTTAAAGGGAATCCTATTTATATCTACCTAGAAGAATTAGTGTTCCACAGAACATGCTTTAGCGCTCAAACCTGGCTGAACATCAGAATCACATGGGGAGCCTATTCAACTACAGTTTCCTAAAACTCATTCCCAGAGACTCTGATTCGGTATTACCTAGCGTGGGGCTGTGAAATTTTATTTTCTTCCAAAGCTCCCAGGTGTTTCTGAGGATGACATTTTGTAGCAATTACCCCACAGAGTTTATATTTAGTCCCATAAACACGTCTCCCCTCCTCCACTTCCAAGCTGAGGACAGGAATGATGGATTGGAGCTGGTATGTGGAGTGACATTCATAACATGTCTAAGCTTTGAGATGTATGCCTGGTCTATGATTATTTTCTGTTATGCCTCACGTTAATTATGGAGGATAACAGTAAACTGGGTATGAAAGTGCATTTACTAGATATGAGGCCTCCTGCAATGCTTTGTTTCTAACATTAGCTGAATAAGACTTTAGTGGTGATGGCTATGTATGAAAGAGGATTTGAAGATCATCAGGATTGGGGTCCAACCCAATGATGAGTGCCAGGCCCAAGTTAGAGGCTTTACATGCAGGTTACTATAAAGCACCTTCGAGAAAGATTTAAGTCTCACTGCATAAATACCAAGACTCATGGTTCCCAAAGTTAATAAGACCAAGTTTACAGGCTAGGCACAAAAAGCTAAATGCCCACCCTAACTGTGATAACAATTTCTAGAAACACATTTGCAAAAGAGTCTTTAAGTATTAGCTAGAACAAGAAAGGACTTTTTAGGTGTTGATCTTATGAAACAATCTGAAGGCACTGGACAATATGAATTATTCAGAGAAGGCACAAGCTTTTAAAAGAAATAACATGGCAGCTGCGGTTGTATGAAATGTTAGAATTCCCTTTGAATAAAGCTATACACCACAACTTGAAAACCAATAGAGAGATTTATACCCCAAGTTTACAAGGTACCTTTCTGCATTCTGCAGAATACTGAGATAAGAGTACTTACCATAAACTGTGGAAAATGCCATGGGCTGTTTAAGAGGATGAATTTTCCAAATTCCTGGACAGGCCTCAAGAGGCACCCTGAAAAGCTAACTTGTGTGTCTCGTGCTGTGGATGTCCCTAACAGAAAGCTAAGAGGATAAACAGGGTTACCTGGAAGAACCTCCATTTCTCTTTATAGTTCCTTGGTTCCAAGAAAGAATAACCAACTTTGGGAAAAGGAGACTATCAAAAGGATATGGAGAGCGCATGGAATAGAAGGAAGAACTAGAGGACAAAGCAGCTCCAAAACCCCCAGTAGAGATACCATTAATATTGGACCACACACCATGTTCAGTGGGGCCAGGACACTGACACAGTAAAAAGCATACATCTACTAACCATTTCTTCATCCTTATGTTACTAAGCCCAAGATTCTACGTATGAGGAGAGGGTCTGATCATTGCAACTTAGGTCACATGCCTGCATGATGTACTGGAGCAAGGAGAAGAGCCTGGCTGAAGGCTCATCAGAGAGGCCTCATGGTCCACTGCCTATTAGGAGGGTGGGCTGAGGTTTCATCATCACACAAGACTGCAAACAGTGGAAGAGATTTTGCTGTTAGAAAAGGAAACTTGTTCCTGTGATTAACAATAAATGTCCATGACAATATCAATGGCTACTACTTGAAATGTTGTCAAACAGCATTAAATTTCCTTTAATAATGTCTGAGGACAGCAAATGTTATTAGCAAAGGAATGCACCTCACTCACAAGAGAGAAACACGGAATGATGCCAGAAAATATATTGGTCAGCAGATCAGCACTGTATACCTTGTCATATAAATCTTGCAGTGGCTTTCTACAGCATAAAGAATATCTCCCAATTCCCTCATATTCCCCAATTTGTCCCATTCGCTAGAGATGCTACTTTGCACAAAGCCATGATGCAACAATCACAGTCACTGCTTGTTGGTGGTCCAACTCTGGGGATAACATTCACATTCTAGTCTATGAAACTGTGTAAATGAAGGCCCTATTGCCACCTTCCCATACCCCTAGCGTCCACTCATACCTTTGGCATTCTCCAAACTTGCCATTTTTCCTCATAAGCCCATGGCCATTGTACATACTATACCCTCTTTCTTAATTTTATTTATTTATTTTTTGAGACAAGGTCTTGCTCTGTCATCCAGACTGGAGTGCAGTGACAGGATCACAGCACACTGTAGCCTCAACTTCCCTAGCTCAAGTGATCCTACCAACTCAGCCTCCCGAGTAGCTAGGACTGCAGGTGGGCACCAACACGCCAGCTAGTTTTTGTATTTTTTTGTTTTTTTTTGAGATGGGGTTTTGCCATGTTGACCAGGCTGGTCTCAAACTCCTGAGCTCAAGTGATCTGCCCACTTCGGCCTCACAAAGTCCTGGGATTACAGGTGTGAGCCACCACCTGGCCACCCTCTTTCTTAAGTGCTCTTTCCAAACCCAATCTGAAAATTCTGCTCATCTTTCTACTTTATCTTATCAATTCTTTCCCATCATCTCGATGAAACTACCACCATTATATTCCACATCACACTGTAATTTGAGTTTTCTTTTTACACCAAGCAAAAAGCTCTTTGAAAGCACAAGTAACATGCCTTTTCATATGTATATGCAAGAACTCTAACTTTAAAACTGGCTATGCAGGACCTCAGCAAAGACTGACCAATCACATTGATGAGTGGGATGGTAGATGTGATACTTGGGGTTCTCGATCTTCAGCATAAGGAAGAATGGTTTGAGTTATTTCACCACCAAGGGCTTAAAGCAAAAAGTGATGACAACATGTTTTCACAAACAATAAAGCCTCCCTCCAGTGATTTTCAAAGCATTGTCTATTCCATTCATATTGACTATATTCTACCCATATTTTTGAAAATTTGTGTATCTGCGCCTTAAACTATATAGACTCTGATCATCATTTGGCCAAACTCAACTGTACCTATCCTTCATCCTATAGTATTGGGTCCTTACTATACAATTAAGCAGGTTGTGTATATGCTTGACATTTAGGCTTCGTAGCAGGGAACCAGTTGTTTCAGTTAGTTAAGAATACAATGCAAATCAATGTCTATCAATCTTTAATAAAAATCAACTGATAAAATGAAAATTCTGATACAGTGCATCTGCGTGAGGAAAAAATTTCTGCATTTCTCACAAGCTCCTTGGAGATGCCAATCAATGGGCTACAATTACAACACGGCCATGGGCAAATTTCTATATAAATGATACTCTATTCTGAACTATAGATCATGTACTTAGACTGTATATCTAGACCCAACTAGAATGCATGCTTTTAATCAATGAAATGCAGCATACATAACATCAAAGATCAATATCAAACTCAAATAGTCCCTATTGATGGACAATTTATTATGTTATATTCAGATATAAGGGAAACAGCCCTTCCACCCGCTTCAGTTGCTCAACCCTGATAATTCAGGCAATTGAGAGCAGTGAAATCCATCAGTGTAATTATATTTCTATAGCTCTTTTTAATATCTAAAAGCCCAAGAAAGCAGAATTGGCTGAATTTCTACCATCCTTTCCATTGAAAGTATATATTTTAGGCCTTCCATGAATACTTGGTCTGGTGCTCAGAAGAATTACTTAGAAACTATAGTAGAGGGTGCATCTTGGAAATTACCTAACAGGGGAGAATACTAGGGCATGAATGACTAGAAGCCTGTAGTCAGGCCAATTTCCATAACAAGGCCATAATCAGATCTATAGGATATACATAAATGGATGGGGGTCTCTCTCCAGGAATTAAGATACTGATGTGAGTTAGCTTAGTAACTTACCAGAAGAAAAAAATGTAAAACACAATGGAAAACAGTAAATTCTCATTGTATGTGTTAGAAATACAGAAAGAAACATATAAAAGTAATTAAAACATCTAAGTAATGAGGTTTAATGATAAGCTCTAAACAAAACAGTTTTTGATATAAACATTCTTTGAATCCCATACAATAGGTAGTAAACCAACATACAAAGATGAAATAGAGAAACATTCAAAACAAACTTACTACCAATGTTTCATTCTTGAAAGGCTGTAAAAACACATAGGAAGTAAAATAACATTAACCAGTTTCTCTTCAGATATGTTAAACTCCTTTTACATGCATGTTAATAATACACCAGTCATTATTGTTATGCTTGCTAAGTTTTAAAATTCAAAGCACCTATAAAGTGACTGCTATTCTCTGGAGTAAACAGAAATTCATTTCCCAGTACTGTCAGTATTACAAATAAAAAATGTGTAAATCTTTTATAAAATTTCAATCACATTTGACTGAAAGCAACTGGAAACATTTTTATATTTCTCCTCTGTCACTGTCAGCATTTCTTTTACAGGATGGCAAGATGGGCTATAGCTGAAGTAGAAAGAATACAGATGAGAGCCTATTCAGTAATTCATTCTTTCTAATAAATAAGATTCTTGACCATAGCCAAAACCATTTCTCCAAAATAAAATCTCAAATAGTGCTAATCTCATCTCAGTTCTGATACAGTGGCTCGCAGTAATAGTCAACCATAAAACAACACACTATGGAAATGTTGCCTTCCTCTGTCTCCACACAGAGAGGATTGCATTGTCTATCCCATAGATAAAAGCATATGAGCAAACATAAATCACTTTACAGAGTATTTTAAAATAATGAAATTTCAAGTTTGTAAATCATAACATCCACATATTTCATCTACAACACAAGCATCATATTGAATAAATGCATTGAAAGGGTAAAATCATGATAAACAGCATTTTTAGGGATGGTCTAATTATATTCCTGGCACAAGGCTATGTGTATATACAATTAAGTAACTTTAGTCTTCACAACCCTACAGGAATTCCTCCATTATATACAAGAGAAAAATGAAGCTAAAAAAGGTTAAATGACTTGGTCTGATGTTACATACTAACTTTAATATATATTTGTATATATACTAAATACATAAGTAGTAGAGACAGGATATGAATCACTGAGTCATTCTAAATCACCAAGTCTGCCTCCAGCCTTTCCTATACATCACATAAAATAGTGTTTTCCAGCTGTGGAGACTAAATACCAACCTAAAACATGGGATTCATTATTTTGGGGAGTACATTATATTATGTTTCTTTTCTTAAGAGTTTACCTTAATATGTTGATTTAAGTAGCCACATTATAAGAAACCTACAAAAATTTGTAACAATTCATTAATTCAGAAGAACAGGAAAAGGTTCTTCTCTGAAAATACTAATGTTTAAAAGAAAAGTATTAATTTCACTTACACCACATACTATAAACAACAATATGCTGGTGAATTTCAATTATTATAAGAATTGAGTAGAATTAACAGAACTATGAATTCTCAATGAACTCACAGTGCGTATATAAGCATTACAGCCACCTTAATAGTATCCATAATTGTTTTGGTATCGGGAATTCTGACCACTGGATTTAAAAAAGAAAATAAAGGGTAAATACTAAGGCTTTTGAGTTAGACTCTAGTAACTAGTAAGACCTTGAAATGTGCTGGAAAAAAATAGAAAAGAAAACCTCTTTATACCATAAAGATCATGCTGTATTCTAAGCACAGGATTTTGAATGAAGTTTATTGTACTACAGGTAAGATAGCCAACATTCCACACTGTAACACAGGAATTTTCACTAACATGATGCTACTGCCAAGCATATCACAAATACATGTCACAATATTATCAAAGCAGGTTATTTTCTATTTCCACTATGGTATAGTGATATCTTACTCTCAGTACCTCAGCCAGGAAGTAGAGAGGTAAAGCTGAGAACAGTGAAAATGGATGTGAAACACCCATACCATTACTCTCTCACAACAACAACCAAAAAAAAGGCGGGGAGGGGAGAAACAGGCCCCTTCACAGTCTCACTCCGAATCTGTTTACTCTTACTAAGAATGTTTGAACAGCTTGTGTATTTTATTTTTCCAGTTCACAAATGGTGGAAAACAGCAAGTGGAAAAGGCTAGTTCACCAAAGCGAAAGATTATAATATGACAATCTGAAAGGCAGCAGAAAGCAGATGGAGGTCACCAGTGTCGGTCTCAACACTTCAGCTGCACTGGATGGGATCCTGTTGCATCCCCCAGTGTCACAGGAATGTGGCAAAGAATGTTGAAACAATGAACAACAAATATATAAAACATTTAAGTATACTACGTTCTGTATAAGTTGTAAAGATTGTAGTATACGGTTCATTTACCTAATGCTTACAATGTGCCATGCACACTGTCCTAAAGTCTTCAATGCATACCATTAATGTTCACAGCCTATCTGTAAGACAGGCAGGATCAACTTCACTTTACAGATTTTAAAAACTGCCTTGGGAAAAGTAAGAATGTGTTTGAGATCACACAGCTAGTAAGAGACAAAACAAGGATTCAAACCAGGTCTGTCTGATTCCAAGGCCCATACTCTATTCTAAACCACCAAACTATGTTTATCATGGTGATCCCGTGTCATCAAGAAGTAAATTATCTTTAGTCACCTGCTTAAGCAGAAAATGAAGACATTTTACAGGGATATCCATTTTTAAAAGATACTATTATATTAAAAGCAACTCTTAATTTACCATTACTTAGATCCAAGAATTCTAGATGACCTTGTTTGTACTATAATTTTTTACTAAGAATTAGATATGCAACTTAAGTAATCACTTTCTCTATAAAGCTGTCATTCACCCAATTAAATACACTAAAAATAATGCTTGGACTCCCAATTAATTCACTAATCTGTAAGGAGTCTAGAATCAATATCTAGCTAATAGCTAATCAAATGAGTGACTAAAGACAAAAAAATTCGTATTTATAATTAATAGTTGAAGACCCATCATAATATGGATAACAATACAAATTTGCACAACTTAAAATGATGACAATGTGCCTAGAATCAAATCTTACAAAACATACTTGGTGATTTGAGTCATATCATTGTTTTGTTTGATTGTCTTCTTGTCCAGACTGGACCCATCTCAGCATAAGCACACATGCAACACCTGTCCTCACTGGAAATTTCCATGACAAAACTGAAAGGCATAGGCAACATGGACACTCAAGATTTATATTAATACAAGTGTGCAAGTTACAAAGTATTTTTATATACAAAAGTTCAGCCCAAAGGTAGAGAGGATATGTCACTGTGGTTAACAACAACAACAACAAATCATATGATTTTTTTAACTCAAGATCATTATGGAATAATGATTAATAATGGAGTAGTGATTCTACTGCCCTAACCTTCACTTTCTTATGAACCAAAAGAAAGACAAAATATTTGCATTTTGGTCCCCCAAATGCGCCACTTTTATTTCATTAATAAAAATAATGAAAATATGTACTTAGGGGTTATGCACCAATACTGACCTTGCCTAAACATGGAAAATATTTTCTCTTTCCGAACTATGAAAATTTGTGAAGTCTGGTTTAAATATGCAAGAAAAAACAAACTGTTTCTAAAAAGGAACTAATCCTGCAGTCAATTCCAGCTTTTTCAAGTTTCAAAGACCAAGTAATTATCGAAAATATTTCCTAATCACTCTCACTGACTTGCTTGCCCCACTTATCACAAACTCTGAGTAACATTGTTTATGCTCCATGAACATGTATTCTCTGAGTGTAATTGTATTTTTGGCATCTACTATGTTTTAGGCAAGAGATACTTAAAAGTGAATAACAACAATCCATAACAAAAGCTGTGTACTGGATGCTTACTAGGATTTGGGCACTGTCCTGCTTGTACTTTGCATGTAGTACTCTACATAATCTTCACAAAACTCGTGTGCTTTAGACAATGTTATAGATGTGTCCATCACTAAACGAAGTGATTTAATTTATGATGTCTTTTAATTAGCTAACAACCCTACAAAACACATACTATTCCACTACACAGATGATGAAACTGTAACCTAGAAAAGTTAGGTCACTTGCTCACAATCACACAACTAGTACAAAATGGATCTAGGATTGGTAAGAATTTTGCCTCCAAATTTCAAGCTGTTATCCACTGTCTCAATGAAATTCCATTGCACCGAGTGGCATGTTAAATGAGAGCTATTACAATGTAGAAGGCAAGGCAACAAATTTCTCCTGGCTTGATCAAGACTTTCCTGGTTTTAAAAATGAATATCCAGCATCCTGGGAACCCCCCTGTCCTGGGAAAAGCAAGAGAGATGGTCATTCTCATGACAGATATTATATCAGTGGCATGGAAACAAGTACAATGAGAGTATGTACAGGTGACGGAGCCATTCTTTATGCCTCAATAGTATTGAAAGAGGCTTAACTTAGTGATACTTGAGTTGAGCATTGTGCAAACTGTAATAAACACAGTAGACAAGGACAGTAAGAGGAGGCCAAAGAGAGAGGCAATGTAAACAGTCATGAAAAAAAAAAAAAAAAAAGAAAAGGCACATGAAAAGTTCCAGGATGGGTGATTAGATTGTTACAGTTGGTCTGCAAGCCTGGGGGAGGATAGGAACAGGGAAGTGATGCTGGAAAAGAAAGCATCATCCAGGAGGGACCACAGGCAATCTTGAAAGAGGGAATTAAGCCTGAGGATGTGATTTCACCTCCATTTCCCTTCCATAACTCTGTAAGGAGAGATCAGCTTTGAGAAGAATTAACAGCTTCGGGTTTATAATTTAGTGAGAGCTCTATGTGCCTGGGTAGGGGTATGCCAAATGGTTCTTGACTGGAAGTCTGATGTATTACAAGGGAGTGAAACTGTTAGGCACACAACCAAAGTGACATAAGATGAGCTCAGGAAAACAAACAAACAAATAAAACCCCCACTCCCTTCCTTATCCAGTATTCTTTCCTCTTTTTTGCTTGGTCTAATAAATCAGTATTCACTTTAAGTCATACAAATCCAACCCAAATCAGCTTACGTCAAAGGGTAATTTATGAATCTGAAGAGCTGCAAAATCACCAGCTGATATGGTTTGGTTCTGTGTCCCCACCCAAATCTTATCTCAAATTGTAATCCCCATAATTCCCAAGTGTTAAGGGTGGTGATTGGGAGGTGACTGGATCATGGGAGCAGTTCCCTCATGCTGTTTTCGTGATAGTGAATGATTCTCACGAGATCTGATCGTTTTATAAGGGGATTTTCCTCCTTTGCTCATTCACTCTCTCTTGCTTGCTGCCATGTAAGATATACCTTTGCTTCTCTCTCCCCTTCCACCATGATTTTAAGTTTCCTGTTGCCTCCCAAGCCATACAGAACTGTGAGTCCATTAAACCTCTCTCCTTTATAAATCACCCAGTCTTGGGTAGTTCTTTATAACAATGTGAGAACAGACTAATGCAGTAAATTGGTACTGCAGAGAGTGGGGTACTGCTATAAAGATACCCGAAAATGTGGAAGCAACTTTGTAATTGGGTAACAGATAGAGCTGGAACAGTTTGGAGGGCTCAGAAGAAAACAGGAAGATGTCAGAAAGTTTGGAACTTACTAGAGACTTGGAGGACTCAGAAGAAAGATGTGGGAAACTCTGGAACTTCCTAGAGACTTGTTGAATGGTTTTGGCCAAAATGCTAATAATGATTTGGACAATGAAGTCCAGGTCAGATGGAGATGAGGAACTTATCGAGAACTGAAGCAAAGGTCACTCTTGCTATGCTTTAGCAAAGAGACTAGCAGAATTTTGCCCCTGCCCTAGAGATCTGTGGAACTTTAAACTTGAGTGTGATGATCTGAAATTAGAAATTATGTTTAAAAGGGAAGCAGAGCAAAAAGGTTTGAAAAATTTGCAGCCTGATGATGCTGTAGAAAAGAAAAACCCATTTTCTGGGGAGAAATTCAAGCCAGCTGCAGAAATTTGCAGAAGTAAGGAGGAGCCAGGACAATGGGGAAAACGTCTTCAGGGCATGACAGAGATCTTGGCGGCAGCCCCTCCCATCACAGGCCCAGAGGTCTAGGAGGGAAAAACGGTTTCTTGGACAAGGCACTGGGCTCCCTGCTGTGTACAGCCTAGGGACTTGGTGCCCTGCGTCCCAGCCACTCCAGCTGTAGCTAAAAGGGGCCAAGGTATAGCTCAAGCTGTTGCTTCGGAAGGTGTAAGCCCCAAGCCTTGGCAGCTTCCACATGGTGTTCGTCCTGTGGGTGTGCAGAAGACAAAAATGAAGGTTTGGGAACCTCTGCCTAGATTTCAGTAGATGTACGGAAATGCCTGGATGTCCAGGCAAGAGGTGTGATGAAGGGGCAGAGCCCTCATGAAGAACCTCTGTTAGGGCAGTGCGGAAGGGAAATGGGGGTTGGAGCTCCCAACACAGAGTCACCACTGGGACACTGCCTAATGGAGCTGTGAGAAGAGGGCTATGGTCCTCTAGACTTCAGAATGGTAGATCCACTGACAGCTTGCACTGTGTGCCATGAAAGCAGACACTCAACTCCAGCCATGAAAGCAGTTGGGAGGGGAGCTGTAGCCTGCAAAGCCAGAGGGGCAGAACTGCCCCAGACAGTGGGAGCCCACCTCCTGCATCAGCATGACCTGAACTTGAGACATAGAGTTAAAGAAGATGATTTCGGAGCTTTAAGATTTAATAACTGCCCCGCCTGGTTTCAGACTGGCATGGGGCCTGTAGCCCCTTTGTTTTGGCCAATTTCTCCCATTTGGAATAGGAACATTGACCCAGTGCCTGTACTCCCACTGCAACTTGGAATTAACTAACTTGCTTTTTATTTTACAGGCTCATAGGTAGAAGGGACTTGCCTTGTCTCAGATGAGACTTTGGACTGTGGACTTTTGAGCTAATGCCAAAATGGGTTAAGATTCTGGGCGACTGTTGGGAAGGCATGTTGAAATGTGAAAAGACATGATATTTGGGAGGGGCCAGGGGCAGAATGATATGGTTTGGCTCTGTGTCTCCACGCAAATCTCATCAATTGAAAGGTAATCCCCATAATTTGCATGTGTCAAGGGTGGGACCTGGTAGGAGGTGATTGCATTGTGGAAGCAGTTTCCCCCATGCTGGTCTCATGATTGTGAGTTCTCATGAGATCTGATGGTTTTATAAGGGGCTCTTCCTCCTTCACTGTCTCTTGCCTGCCGCCATGTAAGACCTGCCTTTGCTTCTCTCGTGCCTTCTGCCATGGTTGTAAATTTCCTGAGGCCATGCGGAACTGAGTGAATTGAACCTCTTTCCTTTACAAATTACCCAGTCTCAGGCAGTTCTTTCTAGCAGTGTGAGAATAGACTAATATACCAGGTTAACTCACTTTAGGCATAGCCAGATTAACGGGCTCACATGATGCAAGAGGAGCTGGTTTTGCTCCATCATGCCCCTTGCTACTGTTCTGTTGGCTTCATTCTCAAGTAGTATGTGGTGACCTCAGCAGGTCTAGGTTCTCTTTTTGGTGTTAAGACAGCTGCAGCAGTGGCAGGCCCACATGCTCCCTGGTTCTAATCTCCTTATCTACAGGAATTAGTTCAAAGGCATACATGGAGCCCAACTAGAGCCACTGAGAAAAAGCAAAGCATCTCACTGCAGTGGTTCTCACTGGGTCCATGCCTGTTCTGTTCTAGAAGCAATTACTGTGGACAGGAAAAGTCAATGCTCTTCCCGACAAGACCTGGTTCCCATGCTCCAATCCTTAAATGGGAAACGGAATCCCACCCAGACCATATGCACTAAGAATGGGATAGTAATAGAGGTCAAAATTAAAAGGAAGCAAGGCAATGGGCATTTATTTGGCAAATAACCAAAATCCATGCTCTCTTTTCCCCATACCTAGAGAATTAGCTGATTTTCTCACATGCTTTCATTGGAAACCTGTGACAAAGACTGGCTAGTTATTTACCAAACCTGTTTTCCTTTCACCCTTCTCCCCCAGGCACTCAGCTAGACACCACTTCTCAGCTTCCCTTGCAGCAAAGGATGTCGAAGTGACTGAGGTCCACCCCAGAGGAATGTGGGCAGAAGTCATGACAACCACTTCCAGGCTGTGCCTACAACAACCTCCAATAAGACTTCTCTGGATTATTTATCTCCTCACACTCTGTATCTTGACTGAATGATGAGGACTCTAGGTACTTAAAGATGAACAAAGCCATAAAACTCTAAGGAACCTGATTCCCTGAATGACCCCATGGACAGCCACTCAGTCAGGATCTATTCTATGAGTACTGAACTACCACACATGAGCAAGAAGTAAAAAGTTAAAATAAGTCACTGAAAATTAAGAGCTTATCTGCTCATGTTAGCCTGTTACAAGGCCCTGTGGAATTTGGCTGAAAACATGACAGTAAGCACATGAAAACCTCTCCAGCCCTCCAACCCCATTAAATCATAAGAAGGGACTTGAAACGCACACACACACACACACACACACACACGTAGACATAAATGGCACAGAAGTGGAAAAAATTGGAAGAAAGAGGAGTTCAGAAAAAAAAGCAAAATTCTCAGGATGTGAGGCTCAGGGAAAGTAAAGAGGAAATGAACAGGGGCTTCTGGGAAAGAAATGACTGGTAGGTATACAGTATTTATGCCTACCTACATGGTAAGAAGATACATATCATTACCTAATTGTGAAGATGCAACAAATACATACTGAACAAGAGGAAAAAAATCACTCTTTAATGTTGAAACAATAACTATCTTAGCAAAAAGTATACGCTTACTATTGACCACTACACATTTCCACTGCAGCCACTGGGAACCAAAACTCTAACAGGCATTTTTATGAAAGACAAATACATAGGAAACATAAGATGAGGCAGATTCTCTAATGGAAATGGGACAACAGGATGAGAACAAGAGGGACCATTTTCTTTTAGACGGTACCTGGGATATATATACAGTCCCCTTAGTCATATAGAAAATAAAGATAAATAAATAGATAAATAAAAAATAATTTTGCAAAGCTCATAGGAAAAGAAGAGGGTTTCCTTTCTTGGAGGATGGGGATATTGATAAAGAGCAATACCTTTGATCAAAAGTTAGGAGAGGCTATTTTAGCTGAAAAACCTGCCAGGGAAGATATTTGTTTCTGCTGAGAAGTGAAGAGGAATTTATCCTCACATACTGAAGCATGAAAGTGGTAGCGCAAGACTCCCACAATAGAATCTTCAGAGGAAGGTTATAATTCAAGGCACAGACCCTGAAAATGTGTTTATCACAAATGAAAGAGCAGTTGTAGTGGTGAAGGGTGTGTAAGTGGGGGGAGTTACTTTAAATATCTGCTCCTGATCCTGGTAGGTATTCAAGATAAAGCTGTATCATATCTAATTCCATTCCAGTATGTTTTGGATTATATCCTTTTTTTCTACTTTAGTATTTTAAAAAATTCTCTTGGCAACTTTTTTATATATAGGCAAAAGTAAAAAGCGGTCCAGTGGCTTAAATAAGAAAAGTATTGAGGCAAAAGCAAAAAAAAAAAAAGCTGTTAAAAAATCAATTCTGGAGTGAGAGAACCTGGTTCAGATCCCAGCTCTGCTACTTACTAGCTATGATGAACAAATAACTTAATTTCTCTATGCCTAGTTTTCCTCATCTGTACAATAGAGATAATATTAGAAGGGCAAAGTAGGGCAATGTGCTTTAAAAAGTATCTCAATAATAGTAAGCATTATGTATGTATTAACTGCTTCTATTATTATTTATTGTATCCATTCCAGTTTTTCTACCAGAAAAAAAAAAAAGCAAGGGTTAGGAGAAGAAAAGGAAGTAACAGTTATTGAACATGGAAGAAATATCACATATAGTAATAAAACATCAGAGAATGCTAGTTGTTCCCCCAACAATTTCTTCTACTTCCTGGATAACATTTCTAGACTATATTTCCCAGCCTCCTTAATAGTAACGTACATCCACAAAGAACTGGGTTCTGGCCAGCACAATGCAAGGAAAAGTAATATGCACTCATTCCAGTTCTGGGCAATTAACATCCTCCCAAGTCTTCCTCTTTCCAATGGCTTGATGCAAGTAAGCACAGTGACCCTGCTGAAGACGGCAAGGGCACAGAACAGATGAAGGCTGGGTCTCTGAATCACACTTTGAAGGAGTACTGCCATGATCACCCATTCTGGGACTTCACACAACCGAGAAATAAATATATTTCACATCTGAGGCAGTATCCCTTTTGGATCTGTTATATCTGCTAAAGAGCCAATCTAAAAGAGCCAAGCTCTTGACCCATGTTGACTCATGCTCTCATGTTTAATCCCTATCGTGATGCCGTGAAATAGATGTTATCCCAATTTTATACCTAAAGAAACTAAGGCTCACAGAAATTAAGGAACTACATTGCCCAGGACTGTAAATGTAATAAATGATGGTGCCAGACTTAGATTCAGGTTAATCTGCTTCAAGGTTTATGAACTTTCCAGCCTCCACACAACACTGCAATGTGGAAAGTGTCCTTCCAATCCTCCCTCATTTACTCCTTGGATTCTTCACTTCCTGACCATTGGTACTTAGTCTTTAAACTAAAACTCCATTTTTTAAAATTCACCTGTATGTCTACTTTGGGAGATCTAAGATGACATCTCCAAAACACATTCATCCTTTACACCTCATTCTATCCACATATGAGTCCATGAGAGGAAAACAAGTGTGCTTAATCTATTTGTTACAGAAGATATAGAAGTGTAGCAGTTTTACAACTGGCTAGAGTATCAGAGATGATGAACAGCAGAGCAGAGATAAGGAGAGAAAGATTTTAAAAATATCAAACCAGCAGTGATCTTTAAAGTGTGCTACACACCCCAGGGGCTGTACAAAATGATCCACCGGGATACATAACAGCAACATGAGACCTTCTATTTCATAATTTTTGCTTTATTCATCTTTTTTGTTTCTTTGTGTGTTTTATAAGTAGTGTATCATATAACAGCATGTCTTCAGTTTATAAATAAATTTTATTGATATGTTGTCAGATTTCTTCTGATAGTAAATAATAATAATAATGAAGATCAATAAATCTAGGCAGTAAATCCTGCCTCCTTGCCTCCTTCACTAGGCTTAAAACATAGCATTACAGGGAAAAATGAACAAAAAGGAACAAAAAAAATCAGTGTGTAGAGACTTCCCCCTGCCTATCATATGAAATAGACTTATTCAACTAAAATAATATAAAAGCAAGTTTTTACAAAATATTAATTTTTAAGATAAGAGAGATTGAAGCTAATGCATATTATGTCTGTCCTCAAATATAACAAAGAAGAAACAACAAGTTAAAATCATGATCAGACAAACTTGTAGAAAAGTCAGTACCATGCATGGGAATTTTCTGCTGAGCAGCTTTATTTTTTTAAGACCTAAATTGAAGGAACGGATGCCCTGTATACATTTCAGAAGAAAAACTGCAGCCAAAAGATTTAGTGCTTAGATCGGAAAAGAA
Organism: Homo sapiens; assembly: GCF_000001405.40. Lineage (NCBI taxonomy): Eukaryota > Metazoa > Chordata > Mammalia > Primates > Hominidae > Homo > Homo sapiens. Next base: position 2,101,221 of record NC_000003.12, on the reverse strand, counting down.
ATCAGAAGACCTACTTTTGAACAAAAAGGAGAGAGAAGTAGGTAAAATAAGTGAATGATAAAAAATCCAACATCATTTGAAAGGTTTGTTCTCTAATCACTCTTAATTACCTGCCAATATGAAATGACCATGGAAAAAGGTACTGCATTGACTCCCAATTGACTTGAAAAGTTTTACAACTCAAAGAAACTGAAAAGTGTTGTTTAAAAAACTGCAAATAGGAAAATCTACCTCTGTTGAAACTTACATGTGGCTCTGACATGCACCCTTATCCAAGTCACTTCTCTTAGACTCTTAGTCTTTAATTGAAAAGGTCAGTTTTTCCATCCTTGCCAGCTACCTCCCAGGGTTCAGATGGAAAAATAATGACGTTTATCAGCATCATCTCTCCTCAACAAGACAGAGCAGTTGAAACCAGCTTCAACAAACAAATCAATAGCTATTTTATAAGGTAGCAAAAATAATATTCTCATGAAACTTGTTTTTGATCCTTAGCAATCTTACCTACTCCTGCGACCCACTGCAGATATTCCCACAAAATCTTTAAAGAAATCAAGATAAAAATAGCAAGAATAAACTTACGGGTAACGTGAATTTTCTCATGAATGCCACCCAAATCACCTCCAGGTGCCTGTCTTCATGACACACTGTTCTTTTTCACCCACTTGGGTAGAGAGAGAGAAAGAGAGAACAAACTTGCTATTAGGCAGACTTGGGAACGCTATTGTATGGACCTGCTCATAGGCAACCTATACAGTCTTTACGCTCCTACCCCACTCTCTAAAGGACATAAACCAGAAATCTCAAAAAACAAAAAAATACAAGCGCGTTCCAAATTATCTTGTGTGGGTATCCAAACGACTCAGTTATGTGGAGTTACTCCTTGAACTATCCAGCTCCCACTACAGAAAATTGAAAGAGCTTCCCATGCAGTTAAATGCCACTGTTATTCTGACAAACATGTGCCCGCCCCTATGTTGATTCCAGCAGGAAAACTAGAAAAAGTTCCACGACATTCCTTTCAGGAACTCCTCTTACAAATAAACCTCCAACACACCTCAAGATCCGGCCCACTCTCCTCCACGCAGACCACACACCCAGGGTGCTCAGTCACACTGACTCGCCCTACACAACCTCCGCCAGCTTCTTCGCACCGAATCTGCAGACCCTGGCCAGCAAGCAACCGCCTGATCTTCCCGACGCGCGAAGCCGCCTCCTCGCAGGAGCTTCGCTGCGAAATGTTTCCATGCAGCCGACTCTCTGGCTGGTTCAGAGGGATTCAGGAGCCCACGTCCTCCTACCCTCACCTCCACACCCTTCATAAATAGTAAAACATATACACGAAGCACAAGAGAGAAAATGCACGAAGATTTTGAGCCCCGCGTTCCAGAAGGAGAGTGAGTGGATTGGGGTCTGTGGGGCGCCCGGCGCACAGTTCGCCGCCGTCTGGGCCCGGGGAGGGGACGGGGCGGTTGTCTTGCCTCTCGAAAGAAACTGGAAACCCCCCAGAAGTTGCTGGAAACGAATGCCACCCAACAGGCTCCCGCGGCAGAGACTGGGGAAGCCAGGTACCTTCCCTAAGAGCAGGCACCTGGCCTGTCGCTCGCCGCCGCAGCCTCAGCGCTCAGCAGCCAGCCCGGCACCCAGCGGGCGCCACAGACATCAGCCTCCGTCTCCACGCGGCTCCTTCCACCACGGCTACGGGCTCCTGTTCCTTTAGTCCCAGGTCCCTCCACTCCCCAGGTTCGCGTCCCTCTGCTGCGGGCTGTGACTGGGCTGTCAGAAGAAAAGCCCCGCCGGGAACCCGGCGCCAGAGGCCAGGGCGCACGGAGAGGGGGCAGTAGCCCGAACCAGTCGGAGGAGCTGACTTGAAGGCTTCCCGCAGCATTCCGGGCTCTCGGTTCCTTGTTTTGTGGCTGCCTCGCAGCGCAACAAACTTATTTTCCGGCTGAGAAGGAGAAGAAGGGTCGCTGTGGGGTGACGGTGGCGTCGTCGGGGCCCTGAGTCCTCCGCGCTCAGGCGTTCAGCTCCCGCTCCCCGACCCTGCAGGGCTTCCGGGCTCTGAGCTGGACGGCCCCGCAGACGCTGCCCGGCCCCGCGGGAGTCAGAGCCCCGGGAAGCGCCCCTGTCCTTCGGGCAACCCGCGCGGACCCTGCCCTTTCCCCCCCACACCCGCGACCGCGTCCCCGGGGCATCGCGCGCCCACGCAGGAGCCGGACCCGCACAGCTGCCGCCTCACTTACCTCAGCACCGGGGCGCCGGGCTGGCGAGAGCCTCGGGTGCGGCGCCGGCACAGTCCGAGGGGCCCGGGGCGGCGGCGAAAGCTCCCTACTTGCAGCCAATCCTGGCGTCGAACCCCGGGCTCCGTCTGGCGCGGCGCTGCCCTCCCTCCCGGCGCTCGCGGCGGCTGGAAAAACCTGGCGCGCCGGAGTTCGGGCTGCCGGCTCCTTAGCCGCGGGGCGGGGGAGACGCTCGGGGAAGGGGAGAGGCGCGGGCGGGTGGGAACGGGCGGGAGACGAGCGGGGACGGGGAGACGCGCCGGAGGCCCGGAGCCCGCGCATGCTCAGTGCGCGGCCGGAGGAGGCGAGCGCTGGGGACGCAGCACCTGCCCCGCGCGGCCGAGAGGCGGCAGCCCCAGGTCCCCAGCGCGCGAAATTAGTAAAGGGCGCCTGGCCCGATTCTCAGGCAAGAGGAGATTATCAGCCGGATTCCCGTGCGGGGACGTAGGGGTTGCGTTGTTCAGCGGCCAGGGATGCGCCGAGGCGATGTCTCCTCCCTTTACAACCCGAGTATCGGGGCACGAGGAGGCGCGACCTTCCTGGGTACCCAAACCTCTGGCCTCCGGGAGACGCGGAATTCGGGGGATCGTTAAGGCGCCCTGGCCAGGGAAACAGATGCTTCTGCGTCTGGGCTGAAAATTGCTGAACCGGGGAATGTGGGTGGGCGGGTGGCATTGAACTTAGGCCAGAAGAGGGGGCTTTGGTAGGTTTTTACCTGCCTGTCCTTAGGCGGAGGACACTGGCTGGACAGGCTGCGTTACACACCTGAAGTCTCATCCACGCAAAGTGCTTTCAGGTTGGAATGTGGGGCGGGGGCGGGGGGAGGTCAGAGGGAACAGTTGCTGTAAATTAGGTACAAGGATCAATTTGTGGTGTGTTGTGCGCGGGGGTGGGGCATGTCGAAAGCCTTGTTATTCGAAAGAATGTGCTTTGAACGACGTTGCCACGGTCATTCTACATTATGAATCTACTGTTTCCTTGCAGAAGTGGCTCCCTTCGCCGCAACTCCACACCTCGGGGTAACCGTAGAGATTGGCAGCAATGCCCCAGCCCCTCACCAGCACTGTGCAAAGTGACTTTGACAGGCAGAGAAAAGCCAACCCAGTCGAATTCGTCTGGAAAGCATTCCAGCAACCCAGAGAGGAGCCTCTGTTTCTCTCTCTGGGAAAAAGCCCCAAGGGTTTTGCTGAACCCAGGTCTTCCTGCTCATCTCTCAGCAGTTCAGAGCTACATAAACAACTTCTGACCATTTACGCAATCATGTAAACCTACCCTGACATCTCCACTATGTGGAAAAGATGTTAACTGGAAAACTATTTTTAAACTACTGCAGTAAGCAAATAAACATCCAACTCCAACATATATATGCAGCAGCCTTATTAGTTCATTCAGTGTTGGTTTGGTTTGTTTGTTTTGTCTTCTGCTTTTTAGAATTAATTATTATCTTTATAATTCCTGTTCGAGAAGTGGGCAAAACCAGGCTAGTGATAGGTATTGTTGTGGTCAAATTTTTCATCACTTGAAATTCCATGACTTTCATGATTGCTGAGATTAATGCTAAATAAAGAAGTTACCCCCCCGCCCCCACCCCACCCCAACCTCCCCACCAAAGTTTCCTGATTACTTAAACTTGGAGAGAAATTTTCAGGCTTTTTCCTCCCTCCTTGCCTGGTATGTGTCTGTAATAGAGGTACTTTTGCAAAACTGGAATGTTGGTGATGCAGGTGTTTTCCATGGTAAACAGCCACTGAGGATCAATGGTTCCCAGGTTCCCACTCACTTTGAAGGCTTTTGTGCTTCTGCCGGAACTGTGACTTTTACTACCTGTACTATGTATGATTTTTTTTTACATTGATTATTTCTCTGCAACTAGTCAATTAAAAGTACATATATATAACTTTTAGTAAGACTGTTTATCAAAATATGCTTCACCAGAAGTTCTCCAGAAAATATTCCTGTGTAGTCATGCATACTCCTAACACATTAAAGGGAAATGTCGTGTTTTAGACTGGACACAGAATTTCAGAAAAGAACAAAGAATAAAATATGCTGTCACATTCTCCCACTGGGACTATACATTGAAGCAATTTTCAAAGTTTTATGACAATTTCAGGCAAAGTCCCTTAACTGTGTTTCTAAATTTCAAATGTACATATTTTGTTTCCATTCTCCCCTTTGGCCCTTATTCTGTGCCTGCTATATGCTAGGCATTGTCTTCTAGTAGATTCTGGGAAACAAACTAAACATGACCAAGACTTGCTCCACAGTTCACCATGTAGTTAGGAAAACAGACATTGTGTATCTGGAGAGACAGATTTGGGTCGTGTTGAGGGGATATCAGTTAAACGTTAAGTTAGGAGGAGGCATTTTTTCTTTTCACCAACACACCCCCACACTGATCCAGTGCTAAGCTTGTTCAGTCCCTCCCCAACATTTTCTCTAGAACAGCAGCTAGTTTAAAATGCAGCCAATAATCCAGTCCCTTTTTTCCATCCTGCAGCAAAGAAGCGATGCTCAGCTGCCACCTCTGCCAAGATAGAAAGCCTCTTGCGGAAGCTCCCAGGATTGGGGAGTGTTCCTAATAGACTCAACCCCTGTCAGGGGACAGAAATGGTTTATTTTGATGACAACAGCCTCACACGTGTGTCTCTACATATCCAGGACCCCGACTGCGTGTCCGTTTCTTGATCAGGGGACCTGTGATTGGGATTCTCTGGAGGGGAATGTTCCAAACGAATCAATTAACGCCCCCAGCAGCAAGTTCAATACCACTGCACTGAGACCCAGCTCTGTATCATTGCATGAATGAATTACTGGTGCTCATGTAATTTGCAAATAATCATCATTCTAACACAGTGGAAAATTTCTCCTGCCCGTTTAGCCTGAGTAGCAGCTGAGCAGAGAGCTGCAATAACCCTCACAACACCCTCCAAAATAACTATTTACACATATGTGAAGTTTTACATCCAGGTCTTTTAATATGGGAGTATCTACATAGACACAAGGTCACCTCTTACACTCATTAAACCAATTGAATGAGGACTGATAACTCTTAAGGGAAATCAACGCTGAAACCGCTTTTGACTTTTTGGAGACATGAATGGAATACATCATCAGGTTTTACTCAGCATGCAACCGTTGTGCAAACTCCAGAAAGGGCATCTCTCTGTCCCACTCCCCCATTACCCCTGCCTTATTCCTTCTCTACACATCTGAAGATTTGATAAGTGGGGATTTACTGTAAGAGGAGGAAAGAGGAAAAGCATCACAGGAAAAGAAATACCTCTTTTCTGACCACATCTGATTTGATGCTATTTTCTCCTTACTCCTGGCATCCAGTGGGATTTTAAAAAACTCATATATGCCACCTTTCTTTGTTCTAAATGACTTGAATAAGGTCGTTCAATGGCAGGAGCGACTCAATCAGATAAAAATGTGCAGGTTTTATAATTACGGTTTTACTTGTTTAATGTATAGCTACCTGAATAGATCTTCAAGCATAAAGTAGCAATTATCCCATCCCTGATTTTAAAATATAAACTCAAGTTTGCTTTAATTAAGTAGATAAATCAGTATTTAAATAAACAATTGTATCAAGAAGAGCTTTGTGTTCAGTTTCGAACTGGAGTATAATAAAGTAGAACTCAGCTAAGGACTTTCAAACCAGCCTTGCAAAGCTTCCTTCTATGCAATTGTTTTAGGTGACTGATTGACACTTAAGCTTTAAACTAAGGACATTGGACTAATAATGGGCCCATACTGGGATAATGATAATTAGCACACAAAAGCACAGTTAATTGCCATGAAGGTTGGACACAGACTGACAGATAGAGTCAAAGTAAACTAGAAACCTGACACCCCAGCCAAGATTCCTTTATAAACGTGGCTGTGAGACACCCACTGAATTTAAACATAATAAGGTGGAATTAGGGACCAATCAACTGTTTTCTTAGCCACACGTTTTCCAGATTTTTTTGGATTCTTTATACAAAATCCAAAAATAATTGTTCCAAAGGTCTATTAGTTGCAAAAGTATTTATAGTTGATTTCTGATGTCCTCAGTAATTATGTTCTATAAAGTCACTGCAAACACTGGAGACAATAAAGGGTTATGTTCCTGACAGCCTCTGGTAACAAGATTTTCATCAACTGATAAAGATACCTTCTTTAATATATACTGTTGATTCATTAACATAGAACTCATGGCCTGCAGCACTGTAATTCTTGCCTGAACAAAACTTATCTAACACATGTATTTTCTCTGTGAGGCACATCACAGCTTTCTTTTGCTTAGGAATGCTAGACAGCACTCCAGCACTGTGCTCGAGGCCATTTTAAGCAGCAAAATCACCAACAGAAAAACCCAAAATTTGAGAAACATGCACTAAATATACTGCAAAAAGGAGACTTTTTTAGAATATGAGAGCTGAAACAAGAACACAGAGCATCACTTTGTTTGATCTAAGCTGGGAATGTGTGCATTGGGCAACTACAATTTTTATTCTCTGTGCATCTACAAATACCTCTGTGCGTCTACAAGTGTCTACTCAAGTGCCTTAAGTATTGACTTTGGAGTTATAAGTAAATTTCAGTAAGTGGGCAAATTCACAAATATGTTATCTGTGAATAATGAGGGTCAACTGTACCAAATGTCTCCTTTAAACGGCCACATCCGCCCATATGGTATGCGATTCAATTTAGAGACATTCAATTTATACAGAATTCATCAAATCATTTATCTTTTCATCTTATCCTAAACAATTTACATTGTATTCACATAACTGTAATTACATATTTTCTTAAATATTTTCATTTTGTTCATGTTTTTAATATCAGTTTCTTCATATTCAATGTGTCCTGAACTTTTCTCTATCATTCAATAGTTATATATCCCCTCACTTTTAAAAGCTGCTTAATATTCCATTTCAGAATATACTACAGATAATCAGTTCTCTATTGTTGAGCATTCAAGTTGTTTGTGTTCTGCTATGATAAATAACTCATTGATAAATACACTGATGTTAAATTTTACACACATTTTAAATTATTAACTCAGAATAAATTCCCAGAACTTGATCTACTAGGTCAGAAAGGGTATTAGTCCATTTTCACACTTCTAATAAAGACATACCAGAGACTGGGTAATTTACAAAAGAAAGAGGTTTAATTGGACTCACAGTTCCACGTGGCTTGGGAAGCCTCACAAGCATGGCGGAAGGCAAGGAGGAGCAAGTCACATCTTACATGGAGGGCAGCAAAGACAGGAGAGAGCTTGTGCAGAGAAACTCTGGTTTTCAAAACCATCAGATCTGGTGAGACACATTCACTATCACAAGAACAGCATGGGAAAGACCTGCCTCCGTGATTCGATTGTCTCCCACTGGGCAGCTCCCGCAACACATGAGAATTATGGGTGCAGACAGGGAGTCAAACCATATCAAAAAGTCTTGTGACTTTCCTCATTCATAATTATTAGATTCTTTCTGGTAGATATCCATGATCAACAATTAGAGGTAATGAGGGCTCTAGGCCTCATCCTCATCACCCTCAAAATAATGTAGTAAATTGTAAGAAGAGATAATTCAAGGCTAAATTCTGCACACATAACAACATAGCAGACATTAAAAAGCAGCTATTCAAACTGTAAGCTCAATAAAGTCCCAACTCCTCTGTCCTTACAGTTTCTCCAATAGCCTTTTGAATCAAAGATTCACCAGAGGCAAATGCGACAATATTGCAAGGGCAGGATTCAATTAAAGTCTTACTTGGAGTCAGGCAAAAAAATCCTCTGAAAACTGCTCAACACAGAACTGATCGGAATCAAAATCACAAAACATCATTCCTAAGATTATAAGTTATTCGGCTCACCAGATTTTCCTTCTGTGCTATGCAAGGGCAAAACTCACTGTGCAGTATTTCTAGCCAGACCCATATCTTAAACACCAATCTTTTCACCAGAGAAAATAATCATTCACCAGTGATAATAATCATTGCTATGTTCAATTGTGCCAATTAGCAAGGCTTGTATTGTTGATAGTAAATGCTGTTAATTGAATCTCAAGAGAGTTTCAGATAAGACGTTTACAGATGCTACCTGCCCTCTGCAATATGTATTCCTGATTAGGGCTCTGCAAATGTTAACAGCAGTACCCTTACAGGTTAAAAACAATACACACGAAAACACATGCACGCACACAGCCATCAGCCATACATCACACTATATATACCGTCTTTAAATAAATTAAATGCAACATGGAAAGGTTATATATGTTTTTAATATGATATTTATTCATTTCGCCAAAGTTTGTGTCAATTTACTCTCTCATCATAGTGTATTTTTTCAGTTCTTTGCTGAGTATTGTAAGTTTATTTATATATTTTCTAATTTGTGGACATAAAGTGTTTCTTGTTTTCCTTTTTTAAAAAATTCTAGTGAGGTTAAAGATTTTTTTATGTTTATGTGTTATATGCATTTTATGAATTGCCTCTGTGTTCCTTATTCATTTATTTGAGTTTTCATCTTTATCCTAGAGATTAGTCAAAGATTTCAGAATATTTAAGGTAGTAAACTTTTATCCGTTGAAAATATTTCTTTCTATTTGCCTTTTAACTTTAGAAATCTGTACTCCCAGCACTTTGGGAGGCTGAGGCAGGTGGATCACCTGAGGTCAGGAGTTTGAAACCAGCCTGGCCAACATGGCGAAACCCCCTTCTCTACTAAATATACAAAAATTAGCTGGGTGCGGTGGTAGGCACCTGTAATCCCAGCTACTCAGGAAGCTGAGACAGGAGAATCTCTTGAACCCGGGAGGTGGAGGTTGCAGTGAGCCGAGATCATGCCATTGCACTCCAGCCTGGACAACAGAGCGAGACTCCATCTCAAGAGAAAAGAAGAAAGAAAGAGAGAGAGAGAGAAAGATTTTTTACATTTTTATATAATCAATTTAGTAGTTTTTCTTTACATTTCTATCTTTGGTGTCATATATTTAAAGTATATTCTTGGGTTCTGACATATGGAATCAAAATGTAAGGAGTCCAGTGGACCCACTCCCAAGGAAAACAAGCTAAGTGGAGGTGAAAATTATTTAAACACACACACATTTAAAAACTCTGGAAGTGGTTTTAAGGACATATATATCAATGAAGAAATATTTATTCAAGAAAATCTAGTAAAACTCATCAAGAACGGTGAGAGTCTGTGGCATTTGTTCCACAACCTTCTCCCTGCCAGCTCAGCACGGCAGAAACTCCACTCCAGGTGAGCACAGCCAATAACATAGTAGTACCCTTCACTCCCCAGGCAACCCCAGAACCCAGTAAAGGGAATGTGGCATCTTTCTGGGAAGGACATGCCTTTAGCATTTCCTGTCCTCCCCACAATTACCTGTTGCAGAGGCTAAATATCAGGAGAGTGTGGCCAGGAGGTCAAGGCTACCTTCTTTCACTCAGCCCTCATTCATAGAACAGGGAGATTCTTTCTAGCCAATTGCCCTAAACATAGCTAATTTGTAAGGAGAAGGTTCTGTGTCAAGAGGTACGCCTAGAATACCAGAGGCTGCTGCCCCCACCAAGATTCCTTCTAAATCTAGGTTGTCATCAGAGAGAAGCATATGACTGTCCCCACAACTAATTCCAAAGCCATGGCTCAGAGATTTGGTCCAGGGGAAGAGATAGGCCATAAGAAAACAAAAAAATAAACAAAAAAACTGACTTGACTTTCAACGGAGTGTAGAGAAGTTCAATTTTAAGGATCTCAAAATCAAAGGAGGTTTTGGTAGAAAGCAATTAGGAAGAGGATGGTACCTTCATGAGGGATTTAAGTTAAACCACAAACCAGTAAGCTTATGAGAGAAAAAAAAGAGAGCTAAGAAGAGCCTTCTTTGGGTCCAAGCAAACCTCAGACATTCATCTCAAAATTACCCCATAAAGGAACCCAAGTTTAATTGAATTGTTTTCAGTCTAGGGAGCAATTTATGCTCCAGGGCATTGTATAAACAATAGATCAATCAGTTGGGAATTAGTAGAGCTTAACAGCTGGGTATGATCATGGAAAAAGAGCCTGGAAGACAGCCCTTCTAAAAGCACTGTATTGGAGGCTGACTGTGCACATGTCAGCCTGCACCCTCTGAGGAGCAAAATCAGAGTCTTCATACTGTGAGGGAAATAGACCCTATTCTAACAGCCCAGCAAGTGACTATACAACTAAACATGCAAACTACAATAAACATGTGAGGCAGAAGGGGGCCCTCCAGAGTTGTAACAATATATTATCTAAAATTAAGTTTTCAACAACAAATTATGAGACACGCAAAGAAACAGGAAAGTGTGACTCATACAAGAGAAAAATAAAAGCAGGCAACAGAAACTACCTGTGAGAGAAACCAGATGTCAGATTCAGCAGAAAAAAGAAAAGAAAACCTTCAAAGTAACTATTATAAATATGTTCACAGAACTAAAGGAAAGAATGATTAAAAAAGTAAAAGAAGACATGATAACCATGTTGCTTCAAATACAGAATGTCAGCTGTATTTGACATTCATATCAGAATGTGGCTCACACCTGATATCCCAGCACTTTGGGAGGCTGAGGTGGAAGGATTGCTGAGCCCAGGAGTTCAAGACCAGCCTGAGCAATACAGTGAGACCACTATCAGTACAAAAGTAAAAACTAAAAATAAACATAAAAAATTAGCCAGGGTTGGTGGCGCGCCTGTAGTCCTAGCTACTCGGGAGGCTGAGGTGGGAGGATCACCTGAGCCTGGGAGGTCAAGGCTTCAGTGAGCCATGATGGTCCGTCCCACTGCACTCCAGCCTGGATAACAGAGCAAGACCCTGTTTCAAAAACAAAAAAGAACCCCACCAACAAAAACAAATAGAGAATGTCCATAAAGTGATAGAAATTATTTTCAAAACAACCAGTGATTTTTCTGGAGTTTAAAAGTAGAGTAACCAAAATGAAACTTGTACATAATATTCAAAGCAACATTATTCACAATAGCCAAAAAGTAGAAGCAACCCCAATATCCATCAAATGATGAATAAGTATGGCATATTCATACCATGGAATATTATTTGGCTATAAAAAGTAATAAATTAATGATACATGATACAATGTGTCTGAACCTTGAAAACTTTATGCTAACTCAAATAAGGCAGTAAAAAGACCACATCTTACATGATTCCATTTATATAAAATATCCAGAACAGGGAAATCTGAGACAGAAAGTAGATTAGTGGTCACTTACGGCTGGGGGTTTGGGGAAGACAAGGAGCTAGGAGAATGATAGCTGAAGGGTACAAGTTTTATTTTGAGTGATGAAAGAATTCTGCAATTGATTTTAGTGATGGTTGCACAACCTTGAGAATATACTAAAAACCGTGTGTGTGGTGTGTGTTTTATCTTAACAGAGCTGTTACCAAAAAAACTATTCTCAATTCAAGGAGCATAAATAGCCACTTATCTTTTCTCCTACCATATTTATGCTTTTATTTTTTAAATAGTCATCTTTAATTCTTCTGGCAATAACTTTTGCTTTATTGGTGATTTTTGTTTTTTTTTAACTAAGCAATTAACTGGTTGTACCAATATCATTGTATATGGTGGTTTAGCCATAACAATATCAATTCTACTTTTGCAAAAGAAATAAAGGTGTTTTTGAATTTTATGAAAAAAGTGCTAATTAAAAGGAACACAAGATACTAAAAGGAATAACTTCAAGAAATAGCACTTGCGGATGTGAGGGCAATCTGGTTGCAACATCTGTCACCCCATTATCACCAGGGTTGATTCAGCTGATATGGCTGGCTAGGCGGGTGTCCCCTTCCTCACGGCTCCATGTGTGTCCCTCCAGAAGCTGTGCACTTGGTGGAAGAGGATGACCATACCACGTAGAGGAGGACCGGTCTTCCGTCAAGGGTATACGAGTAGCTGCATTCCCCTGCTAGAACCTCCAAACAAGCTCTCAAGAAATAGCACTTGCCTGGAAACATTTTACTTAAAAATCCTGCTTTGAGGAGGAATAAGTATGAAATAAACGGGTGACTTAACTCTTCAAAGAAAAGAGTCTTGCGAATAAGTTGAGAGTCACATTACTCTCATTAAAGTACCGTGAGAGCAAACTGATGAGACAGTAGTAAGGGCAAGAGAGGGGTTGGGGGATCAGGTAACAAGGCATTTGCTGCTGAAATTAAAACGACATCAAGTCATGTATATTCTATTTTTCTAAGTAATTTGCTTTTCAACGAATCTGAAATGCTAATTTCTTATTTGATAAAATATAACATGCATTTAATATATATCCAAGTTATTATATTCTTGTAGACATATGTTAGTGTCATGTTTACTAATTATATATATATATTTAAAATATTTGTTAGGACAAGAAACCTTTTGATTCTTCTTTCACTGTAAATTATTGGCTATTTTTGTCAATTGATTCTTTGGAATAAATATTAGACTAATTTTGTAAAGTTAACAATTATTATTGATATTTTTATTTGAATTGCTCAAGATACAGAAAACTAATAATGATAGTAATAGCAAATATACATTTATTTAGTGTTTTTGATGTGTCAGATGATAAGTTTAATCTTTATATACTCTGTATCAATTTATCTTTTTAAGACCCCTATAGGGTAGGTAGGTTGTTTGGGCATGTTTGTGTGCGTGTGTGTGTTTAACTTTTTAAATTGTGAAATAAACACATATAGGAAAGTGCATAAGCATTAATTGGCTGGGTGCGGTGGCTCATGCCTGTAGTCCCAGCACTTTGGGAGGCTGAGGTGTGTGGATAACCTGAGGTCAGGAACTCGAGACCAGCCTGGCCAACACAGTGAAACCCCATCTCTACTAAAAATACAAAAATTAGCTGGGTGTGGTGGCATGAGCCTGTAGTCCCAGCAACTCAAGAGCCTGAGGCAGGAGAATTGCTTGAACCCAGGAGGCACAGGTTGCAGTGAGTCTAGATCGCGCCACTACACTCCAGCCTGGGCAACAGAGTAAGACTCCGTCTCAAAAATATAAATAAATAAATTAAAAATAAAAATGAAAAAAACAAAGAAAAGAAAATTGCATAAACATAAATGTAGAGATCAACAAATTGTTACAAATTGAACATTTGTGCAACTAGTAAGTTTATCAACAAATAGAACATTTTCAAGACCCTGAAAGCTTCTTCATACCCTCTTCCACTTGCTAGTCCATCCTAAACAATGTACTCCACCACATTATTATTTGTCCTGCCTGCTGTATGTTCTTTTCTTTCCCTCTTTGTCTTTTCTTGGAATAGTTGTTTTTATCAATCAATTTCTCCCTTTATTAGTTTGATAGTTGTGTCTTCTTTTATTCCTCTTTTAAAGTCACCCTAGAGATTACAAATGCATCCTTGATAAATTAAGTTTAATGTTCCCTGGAACTTTTACGCTTTCTCCAGTAACTCAAGACACTTAGAATATTTTAACTCCATATATACTCCTTCAAACTTACTGCTTTTAGAATTGTGATTCTAATATCTCTCTTCTTTCTCCCTCTCTCTATCTATCTAACTGGTACCTATTTATTTTCCTATGTATCTATCAGATACACTGAAGAACTATTGCTACTGTTTTATGTAGTTATTACGCATTTATATTTACCCACCTATTCACCCTTTGATTCTCTTCATCTTTCCTGCATCTCTTATATTTTAATCTAGATTTATTTAGAATTGTCAGTGTTAAGAATATTCTGTTGATTCGTTCTTGCTTACATTACTTTTCTGAAAATTTTTAAATTTTTCCTTTGTTTATAAATTATATATTGGCTGCACTTGGGGTTGTATCAGTTCTCTATTACTCTAGCAAAAAAATTCAAAACTTACAGGTTTAAACAACACTTTTATTTGCTGAGATTCTGTATGTCAGCAGTTTGGCTTGATTCTTCTGCAAGTCCTGCCCATATTACTAATGTAGTGGTAGTCATCTGGAAGCTTAACTTGGGCTGTTTTAAGATGCCTTTTCTTTCTTTTTTTTTTTTTTTCACATTTTGTGCTACATGCAAGACAAGACATTGGTTGGACATTCTTTTTTTTTCTTCTTTTTTTCTTTTTTTTGAGATGAAGCCTCCCTCTGTTGCCCAGGCTGGAGTGCAATAGCGTGATCTCAACTCACTGCAACCTCTGCCTCCTGGGTTCAAGCGAATCTCCTGCTTCAGCCAAGCGAATCTCCTGCTTCAGCCTTGCGAGTAGCTGGGATTACAGGCGTGCGCCAGCTGCCTGGCTAATTTTTGTATTTTTAGCAGGGACGGGGTTTCACCATGTTGCTCAGGCTGGTCTCGAACTCCTGACCTCAGGATCCGCCTGCCTCAGCCTCCCAAAGTACTGGAATTACAGGCGTGAGCCACCGTGCCTGGCCTGGTTGGACATTCTTTATGTGGTTTTGCATTCTTAAGGAGGCTAGCTCCGGATTCTTCACTAACTCTTGGGCAGTGCAGCTGCAAAGCCTCTTAATACCGTACACATGATTCCCTAAATATAACTTCCATTACATTTTGTTGGTTAAAGAAGTTCTAAGACAAACTCTGATTGTAAGTGAGGAAGAAATACACTCCATCTCTTGAAGAAAGAAAAAAAAAGTTATAGTGTCAATGGGTGTGCGTATATGAATGGGAGGAATTTGTGGCTATTTTTGTTAATAGCACAATATGTCATCTGGTTACAAATTATTCACATTTTCTTCACGTGCAAAATATGCTCGTGAGTCCTGAGGACTCTCAAAACTCTCATTCGATTGCAGCATCAGGCTCATGGTTTTGGATCTTTTGATCTGCATCCAGGCCTGATAATGACAAGGCTTTTAGAGTACAGCTCTTCCTCTACGGCATCTCTTCTGAACTCAAAAAAAGACTTTTGAACTTAAAAGACACGTAAAATGCCTCCATACATCCAGAATACAAATGGTGAGACAGGGATAGGATAACTTAATAGAAACTCCATTTAAAAGAGGAAGATTGAGAAGCATATAACAATCATCAGTCCATAGATTTTTTTGAAATGTAGGCACACACTTATTGTTAGTTTCTCCTCCTCCAGATGCAGAGAATGCTCCTTGCTTATGATCTGTTTACATTACCTAGGAGTAGTGTTTTAGTCCAATGTTGTCTGAGTGTCTGGCTTTACTCTCTCAGTAGGCCCTTTCTATATGAAAGGGTCTATTTTGCAGCTACATATGTTTCTCATCGTTCCTCTTCCCATAGTTATGAGCTCAGGGGCCATCTTTTACATTGAAGAGCCTGGAGAGTCTCAGCCTCTTTTAGACCAAACTAGCAGTGTTTTGTTTCATAAATACAATTCTCCTTAAAACTTTGTGGATTTCCTTTAAATCTTATTGGGTGACACTCTAAATCCTCAAAGCCATGTGTGCAATTATTCTCAAGACAGATCTGTCTCTACTTTGGTCATGTCAGGCAGCTGGGAGGCAATAGTCTTAAAATTCTTTTGTCAAGCTGTGAGGGTCTACCAGCCTTCTTCTGAAATCTGTCTGAGGTCTTACTAAAGTATCATAGAGCCACACCCATGATTTGACCTTTACTGACACTAATTCTTACGTTGAGAATATTTTGCTAGCTGGAAGAATAGGGGACGAGAAATAGTTGTATTTTACAAGCCAGAAAGTCCTAGGCCCTCTATATTTCCTCTAAACTCTGCTTGGAAACCAACATTGTCAATATTCTATTCCAGATTGCCTTGTTTAGATCCACACATGCATTAAATGCATTTCTGTCTTTTAAGTAACTTCAGGTTATCGTTTCACCTGCCACTGCATTACATAAGTCACCATTTTCTAGTCTCCGGTAGATGTTTCCCCCTTGCTTTTCCTGCTTATGTGTCCAGAATTGGTGGGTTCTTGGTCTCACTGACTCCAAGAATGAAGCCATGGACCCTCGCGGTGAGTGTTACAGCTCTTAAGGTGGCGTGTCTGGAGTTTGTTCCTTCTGATATTTGGATGTGTTCCGAGTTTCTTCCTTCTGGTGGGTTCGTGCTCTCGCTGGCTCAGGAGTGAAGATGCAGACCTTCGCGGTGAGCGTTACAGCTCATAAAAGCAATGTGGACCCAAAGACTGAGCAGTAGCAAGATTTATTGCAAAGAGCGAAAGAACAAAGCTTCCACAGTGTGGAAGAGGACCCGAGCGGGTTGCCACTGCTGGTTTGGGCAGCCTGCTTTTATTCTCTTATCTGGCCCCACCCACATCCTGCTGATCTGTTTTGACAGGGCGCTGATTGGTGCGTTTACAATCCCTGAGCTAGACACAAAGGTTCTCCAGGTCCCCACCAGAGTAGCTAGATACAGAGGGTGGACATAAAGGTTCTCCAAGGCCCCACCAGAGTAGCTAGATATAGAGTGTCCATTGGTGCATTCACAAACCCTGAGTAGACACAGGGTGCTGATTGGTGTGTTTACAAACCTTCCTTGAGCTAGATGCAGAGTGCCGATTGGTGTATTTACAATCCCTGAGCTAGGCATAAAGGTTCTCCAAGGTCCCTCCAGAGTAGCTAGATACAGAGTGTCCATTGGTGCATTCACAAACCCTGAGCAGACACAGGGTGCTGATTGGTGTGTTTACAAACCTTCCTTGAGCTAGATGCAGAGTGCCGATTGGTGTATTTACAATCCCTGAACTAGGCATAAAGGTTCTCCAAGGTCCCTCCAGAGTAGCTAGATACAGAGTGTCCATTGGTGCATTCACAAACCCTGAGCAGACACAGGGTGCTGATTGGTGTGTTTACAAACCTTCCTTGAGCTAGATGCAGAGTGCCGATTGGTGTATTTACAATCCCTGAGCTAGGCATAAAGGTTCTCCACATCCCCACCAGACTCAGGAGCCCAGCTGGCTTCACCCAGTGGATCCCGCACCGGGGCTGCAGGTGGAGCTGCCTGCCAGTCCCGCGCCCTGCGCCCGCACTGCTCAGCCCTTGGGCGGTCGATGGGACTGGGCGCCGTGGAGCAGGGGGCGGCGCTCGTCGGGGAGGCCCGGGCCGCACAGGAGCCCACGGAGGGGGTGTGAGGCTCAGGCATGGCGGGCTTCAGGTCCCGAGCCCTGCCCCGCGGGAAGGCAGCTAAGGCCCGGTGAGAAATGGAGCGCAGCGCAGGTGAGCCGGCACTGCTGAGGGACCCCGTACACCATCCGCAGCCGCTGGCCGGGGTGCTAAGCCCCTCATCGCCCGGGGCCGGCAGGGCAGCTGCTCCGAGTGGGAGGCCCGCCAAGCCCACGCCCACCACGAACTCCAGCTGGCTCGCAAGCGCCACGCGCAGCCGCGGTTCCCGCTCGCGCCTCTCCCGCCACACCTCCCCGCAAGCTGAGGGAGCCGGCTCCGGCCTCGGCCAGCCCAGAAAGGGGCTCCCACAGGGCAGCGGCGGGCTGAAGGGCTCCTCAAGTGCCGCCAAAGTGGGAGCCCGGGCAGAGGAGGCGCCCAGAGCGAGCGAGGGCTGTGAGGACTGCCACACGCTGTCACCTCTCACTTACAGTGAGTTTCCTCCACAATTTTCCAGGCTTCACTCAACACCAAATCCCAGGGTCAGTGGCATATGTTTTATGTTTTTATTACAGCAGCAACATAATCTTAGATATCAATTTTTGTGTGAGTTGTTGCTGCTGTTTAATACATGATTCTAATGTTTGAATGCCTTAAAGCAATGCATTTGTTTATTTATTTAAAACAGTGCATTCAATTTATTTGCTCACAATTCTATGGTTTAGCAATTTGGGCTGGATTCAGCTGGCTCGTTCTTCTGTTTGTCCTCGCTGCAGTGACTTATGCAGCTGCAGTCATTTAATTGCTCACTCTGGGCTAGTCATATGTCTTATAGTTGGTGTTGGCTCTTCATTGGTCCTGTCTCTTCATATGGCCTCTCATCTTTAAGAAGGCTAGTCTCAGTTTCCTCACGTGGCAGTCTATAGCAGCACGAGAGTGGGAGCTAAAGTTCCAAAGCTTCTTGAGGTCTGTGCTCAGAAATCCCATATCCAAACTTCTTCCACATTCTCATTCCCACTAGCCAAAACAAATCACAAGGCTAGACCAAATTCAAGGAGATGAAGTATTACACTTTACTTCCCAATACAATAAGCAACAAAATCACATTGCAAAATGATTTTCATTCAGGAATGAGAGAAATTTCTGGCCATTTTATTTTGCAATGTATCATATCATTGGTAGAACTTCTTAAATATATGACTTATCATCTCTTTTACATTTTGTAAAACTTCTATGCATTATATTTTCAGATACTGCTCCTGCCTGATTCTATAGTTTCCTTTTGAACTCCAATGACTTATCTGTTAGAACTTCTTAATTTATTTCCTAGGTTTATGGCTATCTCCTTCATATTTTTCTCTTTCCTTTTTCTTTTGCTCCTTAATATTCAATCTGGATAATTTCTTCTGATTCACATATTAGTTTACTATTTTTCTCTCCAGCTATGCCTAATTCTGCTTTCTTAATATACAAAGAGTGTGTAACTCCAATTTTTGTGCTTTCAATTCTATTTGATACTAAAACAAAGATCCTAATCTTTTTTGAGTGTAATAATCTTAATTATTTTAAAGTCTGGTTTTAATAGCTCCTTTATTCAGAACCCTTATGAATCAGTTCTTATTTCTATTGTCTGTTCTCTAACGCTCCATGTGGTCTTTCTTCCTCATGTGACTGGTTATTTTTGATTCAGTGTGAGACATTTTGTCTGAAAAGTTGTAGAAATGATTTGAGACCTAGGATGATATGGCATTTTTCCAGACAGCATTTATAGTTGATTCTGACAGGTGGCCAGGTGAAATAGCAATCTCAGTTTACCTTAATCCTGTTGTAAGGATTACAGGTCATACTCTTCCTAAAGAGTAGCCTGACATGATCCTAACCTACAGAATGGTGGGTTTACCAACCTACTCTTTTTAGAAGTCCTAGACTCCCCTTACTCCATGAAACTGTTAAAAGCACTGATAATTTTCCCTGTCTTTCAGCACCTCTACCAGAATCAGAAATGGCCTTGAGAAACAACAGCCTCCAAGTCCATTCTAACCTTCCTGACTTTCCTACTTAAAGCTGTTCATTGTCTTGTTAGCTCTCCAATGCCTGCAAATGATGTAGGGTTTTTCTTTTCGGTCACTTTGCAAGCCAAGAATCCCCAGCTGGCAGTGATACCCTGCCCGGACCTCACTCGGCCACACTGATGTGTCTCAGCTCACCTGTGTTATAGTTTATAACTGTGTTTAGTGGTTCCCGAGTTCTTGTACCATCCCCCAAAAGAATGAGAATATGCGGGACATTGAAGAGTGAGGAGGGCAGAGAAGCATTTACTTGAGCAATGAAAATGGCTTTCAGTGGAGAGGAGACACAAGGAGATTGATCCCCTACCAGAAGGTGAGAGAGTTCCCCATGTGACTAGTTCTGGGGCCTTTTATGGACTCAGAATGGGGAGTGTGTGCTGATTGGTTTGTGAGTATGCAAAAAAGGTTAAAGGGAAGACACCATTCAAAGCTGGGCAAGACAGTGTAGAAAAACCAATTAGCAAAGGGTAGGTATATGTAAAATAGGTGAAGGGTGGAGACCAGTCAGGGGAAAGCATGCCAAACAGAAAGACAAGTTCTCAGTCGGGTCCAAGGATGTAACTTGTAGCTTGGCTTTCAGGCTTTAAACTGTCTTCGTCTTGCAGGTGGGGTTTCACCAAGGACCCACCCCTGTCTGCCTAGAATTTCTCTGCCTCCTGCCTCTATCACAAGCATATTTTTAAAAAGATTTTATTCAGTTTGTCGTCAAGGAGATGGGTGGTGTTAATTACCTACTCTGCCCTTAACTGCATGGATGTCTCAGCAGTTTCTGTTATTATCCTGTTTTACTGATTAGGAAACTTAACCGTGTTCACACATGTAATGAATGAGAGACTGAGGGAAATTGATATGTTTACAGTATTAGGCTTTCTAATTCGATAATGCTCTTTTTTTTTGCTATTATAGGTATTTATTTTAAAAGAAAAGAAAAGCAAAATCTACCAATAATTTTATTCATACAATTCAGCTCAATTAATATATATTAAGCATTTATGTACCAAGCACTCAGTAAAGTACTAGGGAGCAATAATGTAGAGACAAAGCATGTAAGATGCTTTCTCTTTCTCAATTCTCAATCTAGTGCTTAGGATAAAGCTACTATAGTTCATAAATATAGATGGTTATTATTTTTATTTAGCCTGTGACATGCAAGAGTAATTATTTTGGATCAAATGCAAATTCTATTCAACAAACATATATTTATGTCCAAACATATCTATTTATTCATCTATCTTTGTAACGAGAAATGTCTGCTATTAAGCCTATACTTCAGTGTCCCTCCGATTGTGGTTAAGGATCCCTTATATCAGAATCACATGCAGTGCTTGTTAAAAATTAGACTCCGGGATCCAGCCCAATTTAAGAAACTATGAATTTCTTTTGATAAGGCCCTTGGAAACTGCAGAAACACCCAGATGATTTTCATGCACATTAAATATGGATATCGACTACCTTAAATATATTTGGGTTATTTATATCCCCTAAAATAACTTCTCTCACAGCTTATTTTTTCTTGGACATTTTATCCTTTTTGGGGACCTTAATTACCATCTGGATGTGGATAAATGTTAAATTTCTATCCTCATTCTAAACCTTTTTCCTGAGAACTGGACTTATATGTCCATTTGCCTTCAGAACAAATCTGTGTGAATGTGTCATAGGCAAGAATGTCTAAAATGTGCCAATTTTCTGGACTATTCTCTTAACTCATTCCCCTTTTGGTCATACTCCTTAGTTGCTGTCAGAGTAAAAGGCTTTACTGTCCATCCATCTTCCCAAGCAAAGAACATGATCTTCACCCTAAATTCCTCTATCCTTGTTCAACATATTGATGAAATTGAAAGTCTGGTTTAGTAGATTTCATAGATATATCCCAAGTCAATCAAATTCTCTCCATGTCTATTGATATAATATAGGCTTTAGATTTCTCTAGGCTGGATAATAGAACTTACTTTAAAATATAAAGCATTTTATATTTTAAAAGTCCTAGACTCCCCTTACTCCATGAAGCTGTTAAAAATACTGATAATTTTCCCTGTCTTTCAGCACCTCTTCCAGAATCAGAAATGGCCTTAGAGAAATAGAGCTCTTTATTGCCTTGTTACTCTCTGATGCTTGTAAATGATGTAGGATATTTCTTCTCAGTCACTTTGCAAGCTGGGGACCCTTGGCCAGCAGCGACACCCCACCTGGGCCTCGGCCACCATAGCATTCCCCAGCTTGCCTGTGTTATAGCTTGTACCTGTGTTCAGCGGTTCTCAAGCTGTTGTACCACGTCCCAAAAGAATGAGGATATGCGGGACATTGAAGGGTGAGGAGGGCAGAGAAGGATTGTATTGAGCTATGAAAATGGCTTTCAGTGGAAAGGGGACGGGGTGGGATGGATACCCTACCTGTCCTACCCTACTCATCCTACCCTTACCCTTAAAATACAAAGCATTTTATATTGTAGGCTCTTGTACCTGTAAGCACCAAATCAGAATCACCTGCCATGATGGTTAAAAATTCATGTAACTGGGCCCTACTTCATACTTACTAAATTGTAGCTATAGGACTGCGGCCCAGGAATCTGTTGTTTAATAAATATCTCTGGGTAATTCTAATGCAAATTTAATCTTCTTCTTATAAAACTGGATGCTTTCACTAGAGACAGCAAAAAGGGGTTAAATATAGAATAAGGCAATTGAATAGCGTGCATAAAGAATGTCGGATATGAAAGAAACCAGAGAGATAACATAATCCAAACTCTTAACTGCACAGAGGAAAAGCTGAGACATAGAGGGTCACCCAGCTAGTTAGTGATAGACTCAGAAAAAGAAGCCAGATCAGGTGACTTTCAGTCAAGCACTTTATTATACTGTGCTGCTTCCCTCTTTTCAGTATGTTCCAAACTAGAGATTATTTTAGGAAACTTATTTAGACCAACTAGAATTTGGTAATGATGTTATAAATACCCCAATGTTACCTCGCATGTAAAATATGTAACTTGTTCATGTTTTTGTTAAAAAGAAATCAGCTATTTGCTTTTATGGTCAAGATTTTGAAATGCTTTTAAAGAAAACCAGTGCATACTTTTTATAAAGGAAAAAAATGTACTTCATAGGTTTTTAAATGTAAACCACAAATGTAATTGAAATCATTTTAATTGTAAGGCAAGACTGAATTTACAGCCTAGGAAAAGTCAATGTAAGCAATTATAAGAAACTCCTAAAGCTTATGCCCTCAAAGTATGCGAAGATATTTTAATTTAGATTTAAAGACACCATCTACCTAGAAAACTTAAAGGAAGAATATACTTGTTTAACTTCATTATCTAGCTCTGAACTCGACATTGTGTTAAAAAAGTAATGGTTTCCTTCCAATTATTAAAGAGGCATGTATTTTAGAAAAGGGAAGAGATGTTTAAATGCCTTATTAAAACTTGTTCAAAATGTCTTGCATAAACCAAAAAAAAGTTTCAAATTTGGGGGAAAAACTAGCAGTTTCAAGATTTGTGAAACTGAAACTATATTAGCACTCTAAATTTTCTTGAAAATATCTTACAAACCTTTGCCCATGGATGAAAGGAAATAAAATATCATTTGGCTCTGTGTCCCCACCGAAATCTCATCTCAAATTGGAATCCCACACGTGTCAAGGGCTGTAATCCCCACTTGTTGAGGGATGGAAGTGATTGGATTATGGGGCAGTTTCCCCACTGCTGTTCTCATGATAGTGAGTGAGTCTCATGAGATCTGGTGGTTCTAAAAGTGTCACTTTTTCCTGTGCCCGCTTTTATTCTCTCTCCTGCCGCCTTGTGAAGAAGGTGCTTGCTTCCCTTCACCTTCCACCATGGTTCTATCTCTCCCGAGGCCTCCCCAGCCAAGTGGAACTGTGAGTCAATTAAACCTCTTTCCTTTACAAATTACCCAGTCTATGATATTTCTTTATAGCAGTGTGAAAATGGACTAATACAATCATCATCCTCAAGTAGTCACTTATTGGGCAGATCCTGTGAGCCCAGGGCTCAGATTAGGGCTTTCTCAGTGTTCCTGCTTAGTAGCCCTGTTGTAGTCAGACAAGATTCTCTGTGTGAGAAGGTTTCTTGCCCCTTTCCCTGGGGAGGTGGATTTTGCTACTATCACTTTCCCCTGAAGTAGTGAATCTTTGCTTGGGTCTTGGGAACTGGAGGATTTCATACTCTTCCTCCAGTAGATTAAGCGTCTAAAACATTCTCTGTTTTTCTTTCTTTCATTTGTTTTTTCCGTTTTGAGACAAATTCTCACTGTCACCCAGGCTGGAGTGCAGTGGTGTAATCATGGCTGTAGCCTTGACCTCCCAGTTCAACTTATCCTCCCACCTCAGCCTCTCAAATAGGTGGGACTATAGACATGTGCCACCATGCCCAGGTTGGCTCATTTTAAAATTTTTTGCAGAGATGGGGTCTGGCTATGTTGCCCAAGCTGGTCTCAAACTCCTGGGCTCAAGTGATCATCCTGCTTCAGCCTCCCAAAGTGCTGGGATTGCATCTGTCTTTCAATTAGAGTGTAGTCCATTTGGATTGTATGTGGTTATACATTTGTTAAACTTAAATACACCATCTTGTCCTTTGTTTTCTATTGGACTCATCTTTCTTTGTTCCTTTTTTTCTGCCTTATTTTGGATTGAATATTTTTAGAGAGAATTTTATTCTTTATTCTACTGGCTTTTTAGTGATGCTCTTTTGTCATATATTTCATTTCTTTGCATGTTTTAAAACAATATTTAAAATATTTAATAAAACAGGCAATAGTCTTCTAAATATTATTTTTAAAGTGTAACATTTAGCAATGTATCTTCCTGAAGACATCAGGAAGTTGTTATTACTTCAGCCTGAACTAAACACCTTTTAGTGTGAGTCTCTTGGGGACAAAGCCCACCAAATTTTATTTTTCCAGAATTTTTTTATATGCTATTATTGCTGAAGATTTAGAATTCTAGGATGGCTTCTAGGATGACTTTTTCACATGATTAAGAATAATTCCTTGTCTTCTATTTTTGCTGTTTCTAGTAAGTCAGTTATAACTCATCCTGGTCCTCTGAAAGTAGTATTCCTTCTTTGCTTTGTTTTCCTGCTGGCTGCTTTTGAAGATTTGTTTTTTTATCCTTGGATTTTAGCAATTTGACTATCATGCACCTAATAGTTCATAGAACATATTATTTGCAATTATTCTGCTTGTTGTTTTCTGAACTTCTTGGGTTTGGGGTTGATGATTTTCTTCAAATTTGGAAAACTTTCAGCTATCATCTCTTCAAATATTTCCATTGCCCCATTCTCTTTCCTAGGACTCCTTTTACATGTATATTAGATTATGTGATATAGGCCCATAGTTTAGATAGTCTGTTCTACTTTTTAAAATTAATAGACTTTATTTTTTAGAGCAGCCTTAGGTTTACAGAAAAATTGAGTAGAAAATCCATAGCCAGGTGCAGTGGCTCACACCTGTAATCCCAAAACTTTGGGAGGTTGAGGCAGGCAGATCACCTGAGGTCAGGAGTTTGAGACCAGCCTGGCCAACATGATGTAAATCCGTCTCTACTAAAAATACAAAAATTATCTGGGCATGGGGACATGTGACTGTTGTCCTAGCCACTTTGGAGGCTGAGGTAGAGGAATAACTTGAACCCAGGAGGTGGAGGTTGCAGTGAGTGGAGATTGCACAACTGCACTCCAGCTTAGGGGACAGAGAGAGACTCCATCTCAAAACAAAAACAAAAACAAACAAAAAAAAACAAAAACAAAAAACAAATACAGAGAGTTCTCATGCTACCACCCCCACCCCCAGCACACACGCATAATTTCTGCTGTGATTAAGTCTTATCTTAGTATGGTACCTTTATCTCAACTGATGAGCCAATATTGATACATTATAACGAACCAAAATCCATGGTTTACATTAGGGTTCACTTGTAGTGTACATTCTGTGGATTTTGAGAAATGTATATGGTATACATACACTATTACAGCATCATACACTACAGTTTTACTGCCCTAAAAATACCTTTTGCTCCGTCTTTCCTGGAGCACCTATTTATCCTTCCCTGGAAGCCACTGATACTTTTACTGTCTCCATAGTTTGGTCTTTTTCCAGAATGTCATATAGTCAGAACCATATAGGATGTAGCCTTTCAGATTGGCTTCTTTCAATTAGCGATATGCATTTAAGATTATTCCTTGTCTTTTCATAGCTTGATAGGTCATTTCTTTTTAATCACCAAATAGTATCACATAGGCTGGATATACCAGTTTGTTTATTCATTCAACTACTAAAGCACATCTTGGTTGCTTCCAAATTTTGGCAGTAATGAACAAAGCTGCTATAATCATTTGTGGTTTTTGATGGGCATAAAATTTTGGCTCATTTGGGTAAATACCAAGGGGCATGATTGCTGTATCTTATGCTAACAGTATGTTTAGTTTTGTAAAAAACTGCCAAAGTGTCTTCCAATTTGGCTGTGCCGTTTTGCATTCCTACCAGCAGTGAATTAGAGTTCCTATTGCTCCACATTCTCACTAGTATTTGGTGCTGTCAGTGTTCTGAACTTTAGCCATTCAAATAGGTGTGTGGTAGTATCTCGTGGATGTTTTATCAGGTTGGCATGAAAGGGATTGCACCAACCTAATAGTTTGCTATTTCCTAAAGGCATACAATATTTAGCATCTTTTTTTTTTTTTTTTTTTTTTTTTTTTTTTTAAAGCAAGATGAAATCTCGCTATGTTGCCCAGACTGGTCTCAAATTCATGGGCTCAAACAATTCTCCCACCTCAGCCTCTCAAGTAGCTGGAACTATAGGCACACAGCACCATGCCTGGCTCGGGAGCAGGTTTAATATGTTCATTTGTCATCAGTTTATCTTCGGTGAGGTGTCTGTTCAGATCTTTTAATCATTTTTGGACTGTGTTGTGTGTTTGCTTTTCTGGAGTTTTAAGACTTCTTTGTATATTTTTAATAAAAGTCCTTTATCAGATATGTGTTTTGTTAATATTTTCTTTGTCTTTTGCTTACCTTTTCATTCTCTTAACAGTATCTTTTGCAGAGCAAAAGTTTTTATCTTTGATGAAGTCCAACTTTAAGTTTTTCTTCATGAATTGCACTTCTGATGTTTTATCTAAACAGTCATTGGCAAACTCAGGATCACCTAGTTTTTCTCCTATCCTATCTAGGAGTTTTACTGTTTTGCATTTTACATTTAGTTCTATAATACATTTTGAGTTAATTTTTGTGAAAGGTGTAAAGTCAGTGTTTGCATTCCTTTTTGACCTGTGAATGTCAGTTTTTGCAGCACCATTTGTTGAAAAGCTATTTTTTAAATTAGTTTTTTTCTCTGAAATCAATTTAAATAGTTTATATTGGCCTCTCTTTGAGTTCATTGATCTTTTCTTTTTCTGTGTCCGGTGTTCTGTTAAGCACATCCCACGAATTTTCATTTTTATTATTGCCCTTTTTAGTTGTAGAGTTTCTATTATATCCATTTTTAAACTTCCCATTTTGTCTTGAAGTTCTCCATCTCTTTCCTCATTCTGTTCATCCATTATTGTGTATGATTTAAACTGTTTTTAGTCGTTGTTTTGAAGTTCTTGTCTACTAATTCTAACATATAGTAGAATTACATATTAGAAGTAATGGCAGAAACTGCAATAACTTTTGCACCAGCCTAATAGATTATCTGTGTACATGTCTCTGTTGATTCCTTTAGCTCTAGGTTATGGGTGATAGTTCTGTGCTTTCTTGCACACCTAGAAAATTATATTCTGTGCTGTACAGTATTGGTGGTATATTTTAGACATTTCCGATTTTGTTATTTTCCTTTAAAGAATGTTGAGTTTTCTTCTGGAAGGAAGTAATTTATTGGCAGTTCACTTCAGTCATATTGACGCTCAGTTTTAGACTTGCTAAGATGGGTTTACTTCAGTTTGCCCTTAGTTCCAAGGTGATGTTGGTTGTCCTTCTATGTGTTCCTTACTCTTAATTACTAGACTTTGGGGCATTTCAGTGGAAAAGTCAATGTATTTATCAAGTACCTCTAAGTTGATAGGATTTTACCTCAACTCTCCCTAGCATTGGGCAACTGTTGGAAGCTCTGCTTAGCTATTTCGCTACCCAGATGTTGCTTTATGATTTAAAATTCTTACCTTGTATATTTGCAGTTTAAGACTCAGCCAAGTATATGAGGTAAATCTGCATTCATGTTTAAAATGTTCCCATCTGAAGTTGACTTATTTTAGAGGGCTTTTCAATGTTAAACCATTCTGGTGGTCCTGAACTCCAGTCTCTGTCTCCGCAGCCCTACCTCTTTATACGTATTTCCCTGTGTCATAGTGAACCAGGATGTTACCTCAGAGAGAGAATTTAGGTAAATATAGGGTCCACCTATTGTGATTCCCTTCTTTTACAGATTTATAATTGTTATCTGAAGGAGAATTGAGCTGATACAAGATACTGTTTCCCTATTGGAAGTAGAATACCTCCCTTGGCATTTGGTGATTTGGTTTTCTTCCTTAATGTAATTTTCAGTGCTGGGCATTCTGTATGAAAAATTGTAGTCTTGTCTTACTCTTTAAGGACTCAATTTTCTTCTAGAAACATTTAAAGCACAGGCCTAGTACTTTAATACAATTAAGTATTAAGAAGCTCCAAGCCATATTTCATGTGTTTACACAGAATCTGAAATGGGCATTCAGCAAAGATCTTAAGTCATGATTAGAAAGAAAGGGGAGTTCATTGGGAAATCATTTGGATCTTATATGATTATCAATAGGATCATTTTATCAACCACTATGATATCCTACACTAGACAGGTTTTATTACTCCCTGCAATTATTGAAGATATATTGAAAGCATTTATTATCTATAAAATATGTTAGAATTCATCTTCTAATAGAGATTAAAATGTCCCACATACTAATCTTAGATAACTTTTAGTTTCTCAGATCTTAGATGTCAGGAGACTCAGGGAGCTGAAATCTCAAGAGGAAGAATATAGTATAGCAGAACAAGTCTGAATTGGATTTTTAAAAAAATAGCCCAAGTAATTTAGCTAACTAACCTTCAAATCCCAAAGATAATTTACACATATAGAAGCACAGGCCATTGACTGCGTTATATTTGAATAAATGAAATGTCCAGGTGATAGCTTTATGATTTTCCCCCAAAATAATCATTTTCCTAAAAAGAGGGGTGTATGTTGTTATGTTTTCACATTTGGTAGGCTAAAAAGTTCTGTATCAGTGGTTTGCCAACTCCAAAAATTATATATTTTTTTAGCAGATGTCCAATGTGTAAGATGGTTCAAATTCGATCTGCTCTAGTTAAAGTAGGTGTGAAAATGGAACTGTTTCATACTTTGGACCCTCCAGTTTTTAGGGCTTGTAAGTTTTTCAGCACCTTCAGAGGACTTGAGATGTGGTCTCCAAAAAATGAAAAAGAAGCCTCAAAATATACATTAATAAATATTTGATTGAATATGTTAAAAACATATTCTGTCAACTTCACTTTCCAAAATAGTTCATCACTTATGGGAACGCTGTGAGGGTTAGACTTTTCTCGCTTTGCAGAATCCTTGAATATGCCTCATGTTTGCTGAGAAATCATGGGCAATAAGTTAAATGAGTTTCTCACAGCCACACAATTTTAAAAACAAAGTTATAGAATTATTTTTAACATTGTATTTACTGTGTAATGTGGGTTTATTTTAATGCTTCATAAAATCTTTACAGGAAGGGGTCAAAAATCACAACTGCTTGGCAGCTCCTCTGATGTGTTCACTTTTGCAGAGATTCAAGAGGGTACGGTTAGACAACCGAAGGAGTTAGTGAACTCCTAAGTCTTTAACCCCGTATCATTTATGTTACGCACTCAGTCTATATCAGGAATTACATGTGGTTGTTACATAGTGAGTAAGATGGAACCAGGTTTCCATCTTATCTTATAATTGGTTAGGATTATTAATGGCAATATGTAATGGTTATCTAAGTTAGGAAACAGTTTAGTACAGAGGTGAAAATAATTATTGAATAACATGCAACTTGTCCTTCAATAACATTAGCTTAGACATTAAAAATAACTAGGCTGAGGTTAGAGAAGATGACTGAAACTCTGGACTCCACCTCTATGTCAGACCATTCTGTGGTTTCAGCTTACTTATCACCTATGTGACGAACCAAAGTGCATACAGATACAATCTAAACTCCTCAGGTAAAAGATATTCTTATAATTAACGCACTAGGGAAATAACAACACATGGCATCTGATTTTATGCTATGGCCCTGAGTTCTGAAAAAAATACAATCTCTTTGCATTTTTAGTTGAATGCCCTAAAACGTGTTAAATTAAGGTAATTCTAGATATCTATGTCAAGAGCAATACATTTTATTAGCTAGCTTTAAAGGTAATTAATTAAAGGTCAATGAGAAAAAGTACACTATTGCAAAAGAAATAAGAAAAGAGAAAGAAGAAGAAAACAAGCTTATTAAAATAGAAACATTCTTTTTGAGAAATTTACAACCCAATGTATCATGAAACAGCCTTAGCTAGAAGCATTTGCGCTTAGTCTTGGTAATTTAAGCTCTGAAAACAATTTAAGGATAATATTTTTGTTGGAAAGTTGTATCAGCTCAGGAGAATTTTGCATTTTTAACTAATGTTATTGCTGTGCATGGCTCTTTTATGTACCTTAGTGGTTGACTTATTGTTAAAAATTTGACCCTGATTGGGACCATAGAACCTTGACTTGTGTACCAGGTGCACCCTTTTATTCTTTTGGAGGAGTGACAAAAATACATATGTGGATTTATTCTTCAAATAGCTAAGCATGAATGTATTTATCCTTCTCCTTAATATTGATGGAATACTATATTCCAGCAACTTTGCTGTAACCTGTTATTACCTGAATAAGCCTTATTTGTTATTCATAAGCTTTCAAGTACTTACTACTTCATCTTTTTTTTTACCCCTCATTGCCTATAATTGCTTCTTAAATGCTTTCAAATAAAACTTCTTTACTTATCATTTCTATTCTTTATAAAATCATTCCCTGTAGTCAAGGTGAATCATTGCCACCTCCTTTCTTACTGTTTTGTGCTAAACAAGCATATTTTCCTGCAGCCTATGTAACTAATTTCTTTAGTGCTGTTGTAAGAGAAGTCTCTAAGCCCACTGAAACCAGTCTTACAAGAATTGCTTAAAGACTACTTCTCAGTATGTACAGAATTTTGCAATATTTGTATCTCCATGTACTTACTATGGACCATTAACTAAATGAAGGTATATAGTTTCATTTATATGTTGAAGACCCTACTGTGACAGAGGTCACTGTTTAATTGATTACATTTTCCTCAAAGTATAAGGGCCTTTTGTGGAGAAAATATGATAGAACTGGCTTTAATTTTTCTGCTTATTTTATTACTATTGAATATATTCAAACACAAAAGCTCAAAGAAATAGGCATTTGATTGGCTTGGTTCTAAGGTATGAAGGACCAGAGTTGTTAGTATCTAATTTGCATAGGAGAAAGAGAAAGTAAAAAGTCTAATTCAGTCAAGCAATAAAAGAGTTTGGTCTCAGTTATTCAAATCTGTCAAAAGAGTAGATGGATGTATCGATGCTTTATGTCAGGGCTGCTTCTCGAATCTACTCTTCCTCTAGACCGTTTCGGCAGAGGAGCGCTAGAGTAAACGCACTTCCTTCTTGACTAAATTACCTCAGATTGTATGCATCTGCAGCTAGTCATTTAAACATGTCAAGAATAAAGGAAATAAATCTTCAGGGACTATTGGATCCGTCCCTGAATAATAGCTGGGCCATCACTGAAGCCAGTGAGATACTGCAAAGATGTGGTCTTGGCTCACTGTGTCTTGAAAGTTGAATAGTGTTCGCAGAGCATTGGATTCAAGTAGAGGGTTCATGCAATACATGCCTTTAGCAAGAGTTCATGCACTGGATGCAAGATTGATTACATATTTCATGGAAGCCACACTCTCAAACTACTAATGAAAGATTCCTCTTACTTAAGGCCAGCCAAACCAAATATTGCCTGCTAAGCAGAATGTAGGTATATTAAGAAATAAAGCACCAGAGATGCACTTTGTATTGGAGATTCTCCAACTTGATTAAGAAAAGGAAAATAAGTCATGGGCTGCAAAATACTACAACCAAAATCGACCTGCTACCTAACATTGCAACAAGACAAGTATTCATTCATTTATATAAAAATATTTTTTGAGCATTGACAACATACCAGGCAACACTAGGACAATGTTATGGGGTGATGCTGTTTTGCTCACTTTTTAAAGTCCAGTACTTGTTTGTTTTATGTGCTTAACACACTGTCCTTGCCTTCTAGTAACAGAAAATGTATTCCAATGACTAGAATATAAGATACTCTTTTAGAGAATAATTATAAGTGAGAAGTCATGTTCAAATATTATGCTTTTTTTTTTTTTGATGAAGTCTCGCTCTGTGGCCAGGCTGGAGTGCGGTGGCGCAATCTTGGCTCCCTGCAACCTCCACCTCACGGGTTCAAGTGATTCTCCTGCCTCAGCCTCCCGAGTAGCTGGGAATACAGGTGTGCACCACCATGCCCAACTAAATTTTGTTTTTTTAGTAGAGATGGGGGGTTTCACCATGTTGGCCAGGATGGTCTCAATCTCCTGACCTCATGAACCGCCCGCCTCAACCTCCCAAAGTGCTGGTATTACAGGCGTGAGCCACCACGCCTGGCTCAAATATTATGCTTTTGATATGTTAAATATTTATTCCTCCTCTCCATCCTTGACGTTTTTTGAGTTTCAAACAGTATTTTCTATTTGTCTACCATTCCTTCCAATATAATGATATTTGTATAAAGTAATTGCCTATTATTCTTCCCCCCGCACACACACTCATATTTGAAAATCAAATCCCATGTTACAGGGGAAGCCTGGCAATCACAATAGGGCAGTGGCTCAAATTTAAATTTTTGATCTCATCTTCAAATAAGGGAGTATATGTAGTCCCAGAAATACTGGCAGAATTGAAAAAAGACATTCGTCAGACATTAATTTGTTAAATGTAAACATTTGAAACATTTAATAATTTTTGTTTAGTAGTTCCTATTTTTTTTTTTTCTTTTTTGAGATGGAGTTTCGCTCTTGTTGCCCAGGCTGGAGTGAAATGGTGTGATCTTGGGTCACCGCAACCTTCACCTCCCAGGTTCAAGCGATTCTCCTGCCTCAGCCTCCCAAGTAGCTGGGATCGCAGGCATGCACCACCATGCCTGGTGTGAGCATCAGTGGATAATATATACCTACCACGTTTGCATATGATTATGACTGTGTTGATTTCTGTAATCAAGTCAATGACTTATTTATTTGTTGATGATGGTTGTTTTTACTAGAGCCCATTATCATAACAAAAATATTTTTAAAACTCTCACAATCTTGAGAACCCTGACAAGAAAAAGTACTACTTTCTAGCCTAAACAGCACCAACATTAATAAGCTCGGAGGCCCTACTATGCTCTGGAGAGTTAGCAGGAAATTCTTTAGAAATATTTTTGATCTATTTAATATCAATTCTAATCTTTGGTTAATCTATCCATCGGTCAGCAGGCTTCACTTTTAGTGTCTATCCATATAGAAAGTGGACTTACAAGAATAGGTAAATTTGGCACACATTACAGTTCTTAGCTGAGACCTCAGACTCAGTAATTTTTTGTTTTTAGAAATCTTTTTTTTTTTGGCAACCATTACCAAACTATAAATGAGCTTCATTGATTTGCCATGTGGTTGTTCACAAGACAAATGTCCAAGTGGATCAGATTTCTGCAATTGCTAGGATTCTTGAGAGGTACCCTAGCCTCCATTCACGACTAGCTGTCTCTTTATTTAGGGATGTGTCTTTTCATGGTACTCTGTTTTAGCATTAGGCATTTTTTGAAGGGCTAAGGGTCATGTTTGTTAACAGAGTGTGTGGGGAGCACTTCTATAGCACTTTCACTTTTTAAGTATCAATAACAGAAATGTGAGAAAATCACAGGTGGAAATCTCATGCTTCTAGCAACATTCACAGTCCTTCCATCTGCATTATTTTCAAGTATTTAACTCAGATTATCTAGTTGCAAACTGAATGCTTTAAGGCATTCTGGCTCCATTTGAGAGAAACACTTTGTTTTGACCTTTTGGTTTCCTCTCCACCTCTTGCATTGCTTCTCTATGCAACATGCTTGGGTAATTTTTGGAGACATCAATTTATAATTCCTTGGCAAACATCAGATGGTGTGAAAATGTGAATATGTTAATGATGCTAATACACAGATTATATATTCAAATGACTGCAACTTATGTGTATAATGTATTTTAGTTATTTTATTCCCTAAGCTGTTCATCATAACATTCAGGTACAAAATCTTTCCCTCTTTTGACCTTTGGAAATAAAACCAACATTATATACGAAGTTTTTTAAGGTAGCATTTTGGGCTTGCAAATATAGCAGATTTAGTTGCTTTTAAGTCTGTATTTGATTGTTTTAACAACTTTAATATTACTGAGGTTGCTAAATTGCTGATAAGTCTCCATTTATGTTTTGTTCTAAATAACTCAGAGTGGCACACATTTATCCTGAAATACTTGCAAAATGAGGTGATGAGAAAGTCAGATCATTGCATATCTGTGTGAATAATATTAACATCACTGATAATGGTAATCTATGATTATTGATGACAACTTAGTTCTCTTCAACATTGCTTTAATTTTTATAGAGATGTACAGTTTAGAAAATGATTATTCATACATTAACTTATTTTTATTTGATAGTCATCATGATTATTACCATTATCTTCTTCATGATTATCTTCATCAAAGATTTACTTATTGTTTACACAATACAAAGCACTGCATGAGGAATTGATAGATGCAAAATGTTGTCTCTGATCTTAAAGATAATGGGAGAAATTCTCCTTTTTAACTAGTAAATGTATAGGTGACTTGAAATTTTATTATGCTAAATTTTCATGTGATTGCAGTGAATTAGGGAGATACCTTCATGATCAAAAAGGGAAAATGAGGCCTAAAATGAGTAAAAGCAGCTTAATCAAGGAAAAAAAAAAAGCATTAAAAGTATTAACCTAATTCTGCTAGTAGTCTAGAATGTTCCTTATCAGAATACCCTCTTTTGGGAAAAAAAGGACTAAAACATTAGAATATTTTAATAATTGAGAGGCAATTTTTTGAAAACAAAGCAAAATAAAGTTCTTTTGTGGATGGATAAGAATGCAGATATTATTTAAAATTAATTTCAATCTTTCCTTCAAGGTTAACAACAAAACAGGCAAACAAAGGACACCAAACTACCACCTTGCTTTCCTCTGATTATTTATAAAAGAAAGTGGCACTAAGTAAAGATGCCTGAAATCTCAGTGTTCTCTACTGACTCCAAAATTAGCTATAGATACTGTTTTAGTTTGTGTCATTAGACTATGTCTCCGGAAAATAATTTCACAAGAGATCTATTTGGATTAAAAATGCATCCTGATGACTCCTTTCATTGCAACAAACAACCAAATTAGTCTGTATGTGTTCCTTTCCAGAAAGCATGTAATAGGATAAATGATATTTACAACTGCCTCTGAAGAACTCAAATACACTGTAAATCTACTGTTCTTTTGGCAAAGATTAATATTGATAATTTACTTCCATGTCTACCAGTGTCCTGGAAACATGTGATTGTACCTTCAGCCTTTCACTCTCCTGATTAGATATTACTGCATCAGGTTGCTTAATTTCAATCTGAAGGTCACAGTCAGTGCTTTTGATCACTAGTGCCCCTACTCACATCCTTCCCTTGTCAGCCCTGTCAGAATTTGAGGCTTTCTCAACATTCTCTTGGTTAGGGGCTGTCTACAGTAAGACGGCTATTGTATATAAGCGATAAACCTTGAATGATGTTATACTGTACCAGATAACTCACAAAGTTGTGCTCATATCTTGGGATCTGATGCTAAACATCCTCTGGCAACCACTTGAAGAGCATCGAGATTTGCCCAGGCCTAATGCAGTGGCTCATACCTCTAATCCCAACACTTTGAGAGGCTGAGGCAGAAGTATCACTTGAGGCTAGGAGTTTGAGCTTAGCCTGAGCAACATAGCAAGACCCTGTCTCTACTGGGGGAAAAAAATTAGCCAGGCATGGTAGCCTACTCCTGTAGTCCCAGCTACTAGAGAGGCTAAAGTGGGAGGATGGCTTGATCCCAAGACTTCTAGGTTACAATGATCTATCATTGCACCACTGCACTCCAGACTGGGCAATAGAGTGAGACTCTCATCTCTAAAACAAACAAACAAAAGAAAGACTTGGCCACCTCCATCTGTTACCTTAGGTAAGTGCAGTAGTGTGGTATTCAGTAACCCAAAAGGCACTCCTCCTTACCAGCACTGTACCAAAACCCATATTCTGGACAGCCTAATACTTTGGCAACCTTTCAAACCAATATCCAGTAAATATGTTTTCTTTTCTTCTTTCTTTCCTTCTTTTCTTTTCTTTTTTCTTTTCCTTTCCTTTCTTTCCTTCCTTCCTTCCTTCCTTCCTTCCTTCCTTCCTTCCTTCCTTCCTTCCTTCCTTCTTTCTTTCTTTTCTCTTTTCTTTCTTTCGCAGGGTCTCAATCTGTCACCCAGGCTGGAGTATGGTGGCAAAATCACAGCTCACTGCTGCATTGATCTCCTGGGCTCAAGGGATTCTCCCACCTCAGCATCCTGAGTAGCTGGGACTATAGGCACACTGCCCCATGCCTGGCTAATTTTTTACGTGTTATAGAGGTGGGATCTCACTATGTTTCCAAGGCTGGTTTCAAACTTTGGGGCTCAAGCAATCCTCCTGCCTCAGCCTCCCAAACTGCTAGGTTTACAGGCATGAGCCACTGCACCCAGGCAGTAAATATGTTTTCAGTTTTAGAAGATGGAATAGTCTGAGATTTGTATAGAAAATAGATGGAGATGGAGGACCACGGCTGGTTAGCATTTTTCATCCTCTACTTTGTTTTCCTAAACAATTCACTTTGATGACAAATTAGTAGACCCTAATCAGAAAAACAAAACTACTCAGTTACCCAGCCTGATTTTCCTTAGAAGATAGCTCAGAGGTTCCTCTTCCATGAGCATGTCACTTGGTGGTCTTATCCCCAACCTGGGTGACTTATCCAAGTAGTCCTTTTAAATGAACCTTTCCTGTCAATGACTCTATTAAATATATATTTTTTTCATCTCATTGTATTTTCATGTAGTTTTTTATCACCCTGGTAAAGTTTTAGTGCCGTTCATCATATGACACTCCATGGGGCTAATGCTTAATCCCATTCTGTCCTTACCCCAAATTAATGTCAAATCTTGCTGGTCTCAAAGCTTACATCATTTGCATGAGGCACAGACTATTAGGAATGATGTCTTAGTCCAATCCAATCTCCTTCATATAAAGATGAGAAAATGGAGTGCCCAGAGGAAAATGCTTGACAGGGAAAAATGCTTGATTTGCTTGAGGTCATCCAGTATATGGAGTGTCAGAAGCAGGTCTTCTGATCCTAGCCCTGTGCTTGTTCTGTAAGTGTAACTGGATTAAGAAAAGATGTTAATGAAGTGAATAAAATATTAGCTCTCATACACCCTTAGAAGTTAAAAAAAATCTTATTAAAGGTTATCCAAGATCCCTTTTGATGTTTTAACCTTCTAATTTTTACTCTGTAAAGCATATTTTTGGGCCTTCATTATACTTTCCATTTTTCCTCTTTTCCCCTCTGCCTGGGAACGTCTCACACCCTTCATCTAGTTAACTACTATGCTCTCTTAGGCATCACTTTCTTGGAAGAATCCTTTTCTGACTATCCATATTATGTTTTCTAAAATATCCTTCTTCTAATTAACACTCATCTCGATTGTAATTAATATGAATTTATGTGTTTCACATTTTGTCCTGCACGTTATACCGAAAGCTCTGATGATGGCAGGGATCACATCTGTTTTGATGATTTCTTCTACATTTCTTTTGAAAATTATACTAACTTTGGCCAAAGTTTTTGTCTTGTGACCGGGTTTAACTCATGAGCCCCCAACACCTGTGTGGTTGAGGTTGGGCGTGGCATATGTCTCACAGTGAAGTCCTTAAAGTGAACATGGTGAGGAAGGTACTGTTTTCCTCTTGGTTAGTAGGTCATGTGGATATAATTCCAGAATTGTCTAATGCCCTGGATCCACCTTCATCAGAGCAGCTGGCCCAAGGGAATAAGATCAACATGCGTAATCAGGGATAAGATAAAGTATAAAAGAGAAAAAGAGAGAGACAGGCAGAAAGAAAGAAGTCCAAAGTATTAGAGTCCCTGGTGCTGTGGTATCCAAAGACTGGTTCCATTTCTGCCCCATCTACAGTTTGGTTAAATTAGTCAAAATGTTGCATTTTTAATTTTTTTTTATTTTGTTTAAGCTAGTATGGGTTCTGTTTATTTCGGCAACAACCAAATTTCTAATTAATTCATTGTATTAATAGCATCAATTACAGTGCTACACACACTCAACTAGCTCTTGAATAAAGAATGAATAAATATCTTTGAGTCAGAACTGAAAATTAAATATCTCTTAAGAAGGGGTGTTCATGTTGGCTCTAATTCATGCCTTGTGGATCAGCTGAGATTTAAATATGCTAAATATTTGATAATTTTATTGATTAAATTTCTCTTATGACTTTAGAAGTACCTTATAAAGCAAGATATATGGAAACCTGAAACTAAGGGTAACTAATTATCAATAATTTTTGTATGAATCCAGCTGAATTCTTACATGATGGCTAAAACTTATAGGAATTAAAAACTAGAACAAAATACAGCAGGATACCAAACAAAAATCAATCCTATATCCCAGGAATTCATATACATCATAAACGTCTCTCACCATGGTACAACTGGTGACTTGTTAACTCTTAGAGAGTATGAAAATAAAGAATTCATGACTCATCTTGTCTGAAGTCCTGTTTCTTTATCTGTAAGTAGAGATGATAATTTTGGTGTGGACATTTATCAGACTTCGGCTGTCTTGCCTGCAAATCCTTTTATTACTAGTACTCCTTCCTAGTTCACCTTGTAGACATTTTTTGTGGGACACTCAATGCAGAGTTTGGACCATGGGCCCACTGTTAAAACCTAGTGAGTAACAT
Source organism: Homo sapiens (assembly GCF_000001405.40). Lineage (NCBI taxonomy): Eukaryota > Metazoa > Chordata > Mammalia > Primates > Hominidae > Homo > Homo sapiens. The sequence continues at coordinate 2,062,680 of NC_000003.12, read as the reverse complement.
GGCTTCTGGCATGCAGTGAGACTACTAAATACTTGTGAAATGAATACATAAATTACGGAGAGAACTGAAAATGTGAAACCATAATGTAGCCTCAAACAATTTTGCATGCTTTATGGAGGCAAATCCCATGTTTTGTGGTTAATGTGGACATTGAACTATACACGTTTATGTTTATACCAAAAATGCTAAGTTTAACAGAAATATTCCTTCCTGGAAACAGCTTGGCTTCACTATATACAGAGAGTTTCATTCACCTTCAAGTTGTATCCATCAAAATTAATTAATCCAGATTTTACATATGACTTTGGAGAGCGACCTCTGAAATGCAGGCAAGGCCACCTGGTTCAACAGGCCCCATCCCATTCTTTTTTCAACACAACTTTCTTCATTGAAGTCCTTCCACATGTACTTCACAACCTGGAGAGCTGTGGAAAGTAATCAGTTTGGCACAAAAATGCAGCCCACAGACTTAGGGCCCATGTAATAATTTTTATTCAGATACAATCTGCTGTAATTGTTTGGCCACTTGATGCTGTCTGTAACATTTGTAATTTTTCACAGTTCAGTATCCGACTCCCTCATCCTCTTAGCGATAGTATCCTGATTGTGGCTGTGATGTTCACTCCTTCTCTCCCCTTACTTAGCGTTTGTGCTTCTGGTGAAGCTAAACCCAGTCCCAATTTAAGCAGATTAGCACATTCAGTTCCCAGGGCCACAGGTAGGGTTTCAAGGCACAGGAACCAAGGAGGGCCAATTAGTTATGAGCAGACATTTAATGAGGGCGTCTAAGAAAGAAGTTTTCTTACACTTTTAAGAGAGCTGTCAGAAATAATGTTCTCTTGACTTGTAGGAAGAGAACAAAGTGGTTTGTAACTCTTGTAACTGCTGGTGGCCATTTTGCGACAGCATTAAGATGAAACAGCCATTGCAAAAGATGACACAGAAATATAGAAATAAATTGGATCTTTGTAATATCGTTGGTCTGCTTGATCTTGATGAACCTTTAGTCCTTACAGTTACTTGTGTCATTAACTACCTCTATTGTTTAATCCTATTTGAAAGAGACATTCTTTCATGTATATCCGAAAGCTTTCTAATGAGTCGTCTGCTTTGCCGGAGCTCAGATTAAATTAAGTCCTTTGTCACAAAGGCATCCATGACCTAAACCCATAATAATCACCCATTGTTTCTTTTCTATCACCCAATGTTCTATCTTTTAAATCACCCAAATGTTTCTGTGTTTTCCAATAAAGGATGTGCTTGGGGTGTAAGTACTGGCTAGAAATTTTTCAGTTCCAAGTGACAGAAAATCAAACCAAGTTGACTTAAACAGAAAAAGGAAATTTATGTCCTTCGCCCACTTTTTGATGGGGTTGTTTTTTTCTTGTAAATTTGTTTGAGTTCATTGTAGATTCTGGATATTAGCCCTTTGTCAGAAGACATTTATGCAGCCAAAAAACACATGAAAAAATGCTCACCATCACTGGCCATCAGAGAAATGCAAATCAAAACCACAATGAGATACCATCTCACACCAGTTAGAATGGCAATCATTAAAAAGTCAGGAAACAACAGGTGCTGGAGAGGATGTGGAGAAATAGGAACACTTTTACACTGTTGGTGGGACTGTAAACTAGTTCAACCATTGTGGAAGTCAGTGTGGCGATTCCTCAGGGATCTAGAACTAGAAATACCATTTGACCCAGCCATCCTATTACTGGGTATATACCCAAAGGACTATAAATCATGCTGCTATAAAGACACATGCACACATATGTTTATTGTGGCACTATTCACAATAGCAAAGACTTGGAACCAACCCAAATGTCCAACAATGATAGACTGGATTAAGAAAATGTGGCACATATACACCATGGAATACTATGCAGCCATAAAAAAGGATGAGTTCATGTCCTTTGTAGGGACGTGGATGAAATTGGAAATCATCATTCTCAGTAAACTATCGCAAGAACAAAAAACCAAACACCGCATATTCTCACTCATAGGTGGGAATTGAACAATGAGAACACATGGACACAGGAAGGGGAACATCACACTCTGGGGACTGTGGTGGGGTGGGGGGAGGGGGGAGGGATAGCATTGGGAGATATACCTAATGCTAAATGATGAGTTAATGGGTGCAGCACACCAGCATGGCACATGTATACATATGTAACTAACCTGCACAATGTGCACATGTACCCTAAAACTTAAATTAAAATAATAATTAAAAAAAAAAGAAAAAGGAAATTTATTACTCATACCACTGAAAAATTGTAGAAAACTTTTGATTTAGGGATTCAAACAATATTGACAGGTCATCTTTTACGTCCATCCCTTGGCTGTGCAATGAAACTGGTTTAATTCTCAGGTTCCACCAAGAGCCATCAGCAGCTCCAGGCCTATGTCATTCGGCCTCCGGGTTCAGCAAGAAAGAAAACAAACTTTCCTTAGACTAATTTGGAAAAATAACTCTTAACCCTGATCTCTTTGATCGGAATTGGGTTACCTCCCATCCCTGAATTACCATGGTGAAGAGTATATAACCAATGAGGCTGAAGTCACATGTCAGTTCAGGAAATCAGAGGTGGAAACAGTTCTGCCTGAAGTTCTTGCACTATGACTGGGAAAAGGAAGGTGGTTCACTGGAGGAAAATAGAGGTCTTTGGATTAGACTAAGTTAAAACATATGAGCGGTGCAGACAGTAAATACCTGCTGCATTTTACAAACAGAAGCTAAATTCTAAGCATTTTAGAGTTGCATTTTGAACTATGGCCCCTATACTTACGCAAGTTTAGAGTTAGATGAGGCCTTAAGACTTGACCTTCTGAGAAGTGGAGAATATTTTTGTGGGATGAGGATCATATAAGAAGTTGGTGACAGAACCAAGAATAGAACTCATGACTACTCATCCTCAAGAGAGTTAATTTTCTTTTTTTTTTTTTTTTTTTTGGTATGCCTCTAGACTTATGGAAAGAGTATGCACACCAAAGTTACACAAATCTCTGAATCCTAGTTCCTTCCTTGTTAAAGGGCGATACGCTTATTTAAGGGATTAAATCAGATATTAAATGCCATTAATATACCATATACACAGTCTAGAACAAAGGTGATCCTATTATAACTCTAATTGCAGTTATTTTTTTTCTTTAAGAAAGTTACCTCTCTCTATACTCAAAAGATCATGGAAGTGGTACTATCCTGTTTTCATGGAGGACATAGTCATCTTTTCTGTACATTCAACCACAGCATCTTCATCTTATTCTCAGAAAGCTTTCAAGAGAGTTGTTATTAGACACATAAATGCCCCTAAGTTCTGGGGTCATATTATCTAAAAAGTGAAGAGCTTTCAAAACAAGAAATGGCTGGTTTAAGAAATCAACGTTTATCCACGGAGACATTGGACTGTCTTTCTGGGCCTAACCTCAAGCAAGTGTTACCTTTGGCATGCCCCTTAAGTTTTCTGTAAAATGAAGATATCTTCCCACTCTTCCATGTTGAGATATTGGGATAATCAAATAAGACATTAAGTATTAAAGTATTTGGGAAACTGTAAAGTAATATAAAATTTTAAGAAAAAGATATTTTTTACACATGAGTAAACCTGATTGATACATAGTAATTTCCTTTATATTGTTAAACATTTTACCATTGTTTAATATATCTATATTTGTCAGCCAATTGTGGCATAGGTTGAACAATATGAAATTGCTATTTTTGTTTGATATGTCATTAAATCTAATAAAGAATTTAGTGCAAAGTATAAATGTTTTCTATTGTTTATCTCTTCTATGGAGAACAAAATTACTTCTTCCCTCTTTTCTATATGTGTGATGACTTGTTTCAGAAAGAAAAGAGGGACTCTGATTTCTCTCCTTAATATTACTTCTTTATATGTTCTCCTTCTATTTTTATAGTTAAAATAATTTCCTCTTTTTAGTAGTTTACAAACTTGGTTGAAATCTGAATCACTTGGGAGCTTAAAAAAGTTTTGATGTCCAGGCTGTTCCCCAGATCAATGACATGGCAATATCTGTGGTTGGGACCCAGACATCGGCACTTTTTAAGTCCCTATGTGATTTCAATATCCAGCCAAGTGTGAGAACCATTGCTATTCCAAGGTCACTCAACAATGGTACTTAACTAAGAAATGGGCAGGATAGTACAAATGTTTTTCTAAGACAGTTCTGAGATTTAATTTTAACAAAAACTTTAAAGGTTGATATCAAATTTATTTGTTATGATAAGGTCTTATTTTCAATTTTCTAATCTTTTTAGTGAGAAATAAAAGGAATAACAAAATTTCAGTGATATTTTCTGTGTGCTCTGTAGAAACTATTATCACATTCCTGAAAATCATATTTTCACCTCTGAAGGTGTATTTCCATGGTTTTTTTGGTGGCATCACGGTTCCAGTGTGTGATTCACACTTTCAAAATAAGCCACGTCACCCTTTCCTCATGTGTCTTTTCCCTCCTAAAAACTTTCACTTGCAATTGCTTCTTTTAAAAGCATGTTTTCTGTCTTTTGTGGTGCAAAACATAAATGCCATGAAAAAAAAGTTAAGAAGGGAAAATAAGGCCTGAAATTTTGTAAGTAAGACTACAGAAATTCTTGATAAAGGGCCTGCTCCTGCATTCTCTTCTGCTTTCTAATTCAACTCAATGAAGAGTTGACAAGCCACCATACCAGAAGCACACAAAATGAGAAATTTTGAGGGCCAATGCACAAAGACAGTTTCCTAAATAGACTGAGGAAAAGAAGTGTACTGTAACAGGTATATGTGACTGTGATTCACAGTGGGAACTTCTGAGGTCAGGAAGCTTGAAATTTAAAATCCCCAAACTTTTCTGTCTAGTGGTCTGTATGGAGAAAGGATTGTGTCTGCCTGTGGTTTTTTATTTAAATGCACAGTTCGAGCATCAGGCGTGTCATCTTACTGGGTTTGAGGTTTGGTCTTACTTGATAAACATTGCCCAAAATTGTGTTTCTCTCCTGGAGGCTAGAAGGGATAAAGGAAAGTAAAATAAAAGAGAGAAAGAAAATTACTGAAGAGTGGTATTAAAATTTTGTGTATGAAAAGTGAAAATAGTAGGAACTATGATTTTTAACTGATTTTTAAATTTTCAACTAATTTGCTTCAAAATTGAGTGGTGTCCTACCTTGAAAAAAAAAAAGAAAAAACACCCTCAAATCAAACAGAGTGCTTTAAAAAAAAGAAAATTAACTAAAATATACTTGGAGGAAAAGGAAAGAAAGGGAGAGATCTGAGCTTTTTTTTTTTTTTTAACTGCTATTTATTTGACAAAAATAATTTTGAATTTAATAATTGTACATACATTATTTCAAAATATTTTCACTAAGCACCAAATAGAATAGTCCCGCAGTATTTTCACTGAGAAAAGATTGCCTTTGAAAGAATGCCTAAAACAATGGGTTTATTTAGGTTTTTAAGAAATAAATCTAAGCTGTCAATTAGGGTTTCTAATTACCATGAAATGATTAGGTTAACAACCTTGAAGTCATATAATATGAGCTTTTAAAAATTTTGTTTGACCTATACATCCTAATCAAGAGTATTTGTTGGCCTTAGGCTAGTAATCACATGTCCATGTGCAGGTATCTCTCTCTCACACACACACCCACACCCACACTGAGAAATAAGTGTCATGTATGAATGATAAAGACTATATGGTCCCTGTATATTTAAGGGGAATAATATCTAATTCTCATGGATGCACTATTAGTGAATACACGAATGAAACTGAGAGCCTGCTCTGAGCTATTCTTTTTATTCTCTACTAAATGGGACCATTAGCTTCTGGACAGGGAAAATAATGGTATGTTCATTTCACATGTCCGATAACATCTTGCTCCCAGTAATGATAAGGAAGCAATGTACATTAGCACATTTGACTACATAAGCCAGGAGAGCAGAATATCTGAGTGAGTTAGGCTCCTTCTAAGAGACATTAGAGAGCAGTGGTGATTATGGTAAATTGGAGAGTAAATACTAACCTAAGACATGTAAACGGTACTTAGATCCAGCTGACTGTGATCATATGAAAATGTGAAGCAAGAGCTTCTAGATCTTCTAATTTTTTGTTTTATACGAGGAGCCAGAAATCTGGTATTTTATGTGAAGTCTGCTGATTATTCAATTTTGGGAGATAATTAAATGCATCAAAATGTGAGCTACATAATATACATTTGACTATGGCCAAGTATGGTACATAGGTCACGACTTTACAGATATCTGATTTCTTTGTATTTTAATCACTCAGTTGTGTGATTTATTTTTGCAACTCTCATAAGTCTTTAATTGATTCTCAATCCTACTTTGACATTTATCAAGAGTTGTTGGTTGTACTTACACTAATAACCTATGCCTTCGAATTAACATTGAGTTCTTAAAATCTAATGACTGTTTCTTCATCTATATAGAGGGAATGATAATAGGACCTACTTCAATGATTATCTTTTGTGTTAAATTAGTTAATGTATGCCAGCTCCTGATACTTTGTAAGTAGTAAATGTATTTACTATCATTGTAAGTCTGTGTTAGAGTACCCAACACATCTCTCCAAAGATTGTCACAAAGGAGATGCTTTGAAAATATGAGTTGATTGATTGATTGATCAATAAGTTTATGACAACAAATATCCATTAAAGAACTTTTCTCACCCTTTGCCACTTGGACATGACCTAGCATTAGGAGGATATGATTGAGAATAATTAGATTTTAGTTTAAGCCTCTGATAGCATGTGAAAGCTTAATTCTTGAAATAATTATAGTATAAACATTTTTACAATAAATAAAATATGTCTAAATAGCTTCATAAATATTTAAACAGCTAATCCACAAATCCACCTGTGCTCTCCAGGCAGCATAGTTTGAAAGCAGGAGCATTTTTTTAGCAGCATGAACACCATTAGTGCACATTATTTATACAAATGTAACCCTTTTCTCAGGTCACCCAAGCCACTCCCCATTTAGAGGGAAGCTCAGTGGTCAGATTTACAAAACATACAACTCTTTCCTCCCTGGATCTGTAGCTCAAATGACTGAAGGACAAACCTAGGAAGTTATCCTTATGCAGGGATAATATAAATGATGAGTAGAAATATTGTTTGAAGAAATAGGCTACTGAACAATGATAGAGTTGTTTTAGGTATTAAGAGAATCATTTCCCCCCTTTGTGGATCAGCTTCGTTAACTTTAACATACATGGATTTGACTCAATGATATTTCTTTTCTAGTTTCAAAATCTGTGATTAGAATATTAATAGCTGATACATGTAACTGTAGAAACATAGTTTTTTTTTTCTTTTTTCAGTTTCACTGGAATAAAAGAATGTTCTAGTCATTTTGCTGAAGTGCATGTTCCTTTTCTTCAAGGAGTTTAACATTTATTATATGACTGTCTAAATATGAGGAACTATCACACAGGAAGGAGATGAAAACATGAGGAGAATAATTAATAGAATGTAAAGCTCTTTGATATTTCTTCGGAGAAGACTTGTTATTAATGCTAAAATCTGAAGATATGAAGAAAGACTTCGTGGGTCAGGTTTACTTAGAAAAAAAGAAAGAAAAAATACAGCTTGAAAAAGGAGGTAACAGATTGAGTGGCTGAGGGCTCTGAAGAAGGAGCAAGTAATTTAGAGATCTAGAATACACGTTAGTTTGATTTGGGGGAAGAGTAGCAAGCAGATAATAATAAGAAAAAGAAACTCTGCTTAGGCACTTTTTATTCAAAGATGGACCAGGCAGAACAGTGTGACAAGGCACTGAATTCTTTAGAACAATTCACGCCCACAGTCCAGTGGCTACTTCGTTTTTCAGGTCAGGAGAGACTGGTTTCTCTCTGTTTCCTTCTCTGTAGAAGTCATGTGAGGAGTTTAAGCCCACTTTTCACACACCAAGAAAACATGAAAATGTGGGTGAACTTAGTATTTAAATTACTGATGTAAAAGCCAGTTTTCTTGTGAAAAAGCTATTAAAAAGACCAGGTCTTATGAAAATCTGCTCCTGGTTGCATAGAAATGTTTAAAAGGTACTCACAGGATTTTTCTAATATGATAGGGGCAGATAAGGTTTGTTGTCTATTAGAGAATCAGTAGAGTAATGAGAATGACATGATTTTATTTTATTCAGTTTCTTTACCTCATAATATACACACTGCAATTTGGAGAAAATAAAGTTAAATTTAGAAACAACGTACCCTATCATGAACATGGCACATAACATTAATATGTAGATGCATCTGTACATATACCTTACAAACCTCAAATGGCCAATAGCTCATGATCTCAAAGTTGTACTAGAGAAAATTATAAAAATATAAAGATAAATGGAAACAATAGTAGCTGGCTAATATACTCAGATTGTGACAAATGAAGTTGACAAACTGTAAGTGTTGGCAGCTGGCTTAGTCAGTTAGGGTTGTTATAACAGAATATCATAGACTTGGTGGCTTACAAACAACAGAGCTTTATTTCTCACTGTTTCACTGTTTGGGAGGCTGGGAAGTCCAAGAACAAGGTGCTGCAGATCTGGCGTTTGGTGAGGGACGCTTCCTGTTATCTCTACAGCTGTACTTTTACTGTGTCCTCACATGGTGGAAAGGGGAAGGGAGCTCTCTGTGGTCTCTTTTATAAGGGTACTATTCCCATTTATTAGCCACCCTTCCCCCAAGAGCTAACCACTTCCCACAGGCCCCACCTCCAAATACCATCAGCCATCATCTTGAAGATTAGTTTCAACATACAAATTTTGGGTGGGACACAAACATTCAGTCTATAGCAACTACCCAAAAAAAATAATTTAAGAGGCTGATCTAACTAATAGTGTATAAATAATGTTCAATTTCCTACAAATGTAAATATATCTTCTTTTTAAGAGCAGATGGAACATTCATAAAAATTAACCAAATATTACGCCAGAAGTAATTTCAATAAATTTATGAAAGTGAAAAAATACAGATAATATTCCCATGATGGTGCAGAAAATCTATGCATACAAACAAAATCAGTCCCCCACAAAAGATTCTTCCACTGAGGGATTTAAATGCTCTCTTTCGAACAGCTCTTAGTTCAAAGAGGAAAAACCAAAACTGGAGAATAAGATTTACAGAGAAAAATAAAAATAATATCTATCAGAACCCAAGGGACATAATGCTCTAAGGGAAACTCAAAACCTTAAAACTTATATTCATTTTTTTAAGAAAGAAAGAATAAGGACAAATAAATTAAGTGTCAGATGCAAAATAATTAGAAAAAATAAAATACACTAATAAAAGGTCTAAGTAAGGAATTTATAATAAAGATAAATGCAAAAATAAATTATTGTGAAAACTTAAAAACAGTAAAAGCAATATGCAAATAGATTTTGGGAGTAGAACAGTAAAATAAACGGTTGACTAATCACAAAAAGAAAAATGTGGGATGCTGTGGTGAGAGGATCACTTGAGCCCTGGCATTTGGGCAACATAGCTAGATTACATCTCTAAAAATAAATAATTTAAAAAGAGAGAAAAGAAAATTAATATTATTATTTGTATGAATACATTTAGACACCTGAATGAAATGTATAATTTTATAGGAAAATATAATTATCAAAACAGACTTTTAAAAAATAATTCAAATTAATCTATTTTCATTTAAGAAATATTGAATGCTATCAAGAAGATCCCACTCAAAAACCTCAGGCTCAGATGGTTACGTAGGGGGTTTAATCAAATTTTTAAATAATTGTAATGCTCTTTAATTTATTACAGCATGTAAAAAATAAAGGTACATTTACAAACTATCTTAAGGGACTGAGTGTATTATTGATATAAAAACCTGACAAAGATTGTACTAAACACAAGAATCTTATGTATTATTTTATTATTTATTAAAAATCTAAAATAAAATATTTATAACTCAAATTAAGCAGTTCTTGCAAATCATGCCACATTATAATCTAGTATGGGTTATTTCAGGAATGCAAGAATGGCTTAATATTAGGAACTTATTAGTATGATTCTGTTTGATAAGAAATCTATGGAAAAAATAATTTAATCACCTGTGCAGATGCTAAATAAGCATTTGAAAAATATTAAAAATTATTGTTGATAAGTGCACAACAACAAAAGTGATGGATTCCTCCTTCAACACAATGAAAAAGATTAGATTCCGCTAAAACATGATTATTTGATAATTACTTTGTGTGTAATTGATAAACATAATGACTACAATTTAATATGGAATTTGTATTAGTTTGTGTGGATTCTTTTTTTTTTAGATTTTTAATTTTTTGAAACAAGAAGGGGCAAGTTTTCTCACAACTAAAGAAAAGCTTTAGCCATATATGAAGAATATAATTTAAAAAATGAAGGTCTACAGAAGTATCTTTTCTTTGGGCACATAATTGCTGGTTTAGAGGCTTTAATACTTGCTATGCTTTCCTCTGTGTCAAGGTAACACAGCAGAGCTATAAGTGCTCTGTAGAGAAGTAGTGAAAATATTTCTTCTCTGTATAATCCTTGAAGGAATAATTGTGCTCTGATTCAGCCTTGAGGCCTGCCTCCCACTCCCACTTGGCAATAATCCTCATATTCTCTCTAAACAAAATGAACATACACATAGGGATAGTTAGAGAATTAATAGAAAATGGAAACAGAGTCTGGAAACTTTGGTTATTTACCAAACACTGAATCAAAAGCTTTTATATGCCAGGGAGGAATTCAGGAGCAAATCAATGCAGTGTACTGGTTCCACAACTTGCTCGTTGTATGGGGCTGCTAGATTTAGCAGATAGAAATACAGGATGCCCTGTTAAATTTGAATTTCAGATTAGCAAATTTTTTTTTAGTATAATTATATTTTGTATAATATTTGGGACACATGACCAGGATGACCTCAACATTCTCTAGCTTGACTAAACTTTAGTTTTCTTCCTGACTCTTGGCCCTTGACCTTCATTTTCTTAAGAGCATTTACTTTAGAAAGCTTGAAATTGCACATTAGTTTTCTACCCCTTTGATATATGAATCTTCTATATCCCAGAAATGTCGTTCTCAAGGACCTGAGAGCTATCCCTTTGAAATGTGATTATTAGGAAAGTTAGGGTCTATATCTCCCAGTCTCTGTGAGGGGGCAGAGGCCTAATTTTAATAAGCACCAATTAGCAAACACAAATGGCCTAGTCACATTGAACAACCTGCTCCCAGCATTCTCTAGTACCTTTCTGCTAGCTCACCCAGCAATTAAAAACTCTTCTTTTGTTTCATCCCAATTCTGTTCAGTCTCTTTTCCCTATTGAAATAGTCTCTCTCCCCATTGCAATAGTCATGAATAGTATTTCTTGCCTGTTTAAATGGTCCAGGGCAAATTTTCTTTTATGCATACTTATACTACATATTTGGGACATTATATTTAAAATTTATTTGTCATTTGTCTGAATTCTAATGTAGCTGTTTTTTTTTTTTTTTTTTTTGATGTTTTGTCGGACAACCCTATAGCTGGGATAACATGGGGTAATTTTGGGCAGGCCAGGAACCCTCTCTACATCACTGTTTCCTTATCTGCAAAATTATATGATCCTATTATTGCATATGGTTTGTTGGGATTAAATTATATACTCCCTACGAGTCTCTTAGCATAATCTTTGGCACACAGGAAACACATAATCAATGATTGCTGATGCTGTTCTTGTATTGATTACCAGGAAAAGAAGTTGACAATACCTGATGTGGCTTCTGTCTCATTAGCTTTCTTATCAAGATGATCAGTTCACAGAGTGGGTGCCTATTTCTCTCCCCTAAAGTAGCAGTTAATGAAGCAAATAAAAATTGTGTGTTTTAAAAAATTTATATTCACAAAATAGTTTTTGCCATCTCTTTCTTAAGCAGGCTCACAATTATTTAGCATCTGTGGCAGAGAGTTTCAGTTAACAGGAATGACAGATTAACTACTTCCTTTCAGGATAATAGGAATTATACCTGAAATATATGACTGTAACTGTACATTCCTGATCAATGCGCAATTCAACAACTGCAAACTACATCTTGGTTCTATGAAGGACCTAGCTTCATTCTCAGCCTTGCTTTTTCATCAGTCATTTTTCAACAACTTGTGTTGACTGAGGTAAGGGATGGCAAGGAAAGATTAAGCCCATTCTTTATCTAGTCATTGTGGTATAGATGTTTTACTCACTCCAAAGTAAAGTAATTGGTAACAGTTTGAATGTTTTGGAGCATTGACCTCTGCTATACTACTTATTTTAGAAAAGGAAAAGGCAAGTAGTGAACTGACCTAAAAGACTGAAGGGACCAAGAGAATGAGGACAAACAGGAATCATGCCTAGATAAAAAATAAATTGCTCCCACCTAGTTGAGAGTTGCACAAAACTTAGTCAGTACCTCCATGTGTGGACTCTGTACCTCAGTGGGAAGATACACACACATCTTAATAATGCTGGTGGTACTAAAACTATCTTAATATATTTCCAGTAGAATACCTACTAGTTTACAATTTCACATACTGTGTCAAGTTTTTTTTTTTTTTTTTTTTTTTTTTTTTGAGACGGAGTCTCGCTCTGTCGCCCAGGCTGGAGGGCGGTGGCGCGATCTCGGCTCACTGCAAGCTCCGCCTCCCGGGTTCACGCCATTCTCCTGCCTCAGCCTCCCGAGTAGCTGGGACTACAGGCGCCCGCCACTACGCCCGGCTAATTTTTTGTATTTTTAGTAGAGACGGGGTTTCACCGTGTTAGCCAGGATGGTCTCGATCTCCTGACCTCGTGATCCACCCGCCTCGGCCTCCCAAAGTGCTGGGATTACAGGCGTGAGCCACCGCGCCCGGCCGTCAAGTTTAATCTTACAGTTTCATCATGAAGTATGGAGACACAAAGTACTATTTGCTTTTTTTTTTTTAACATGGGGTAAATGCATTCATAAGTGTTTAATGATTTACACAGTGAGGCTGTCTGACTAATGTAGTTCATATCCCATGTCTAGTATTGTGCAAAGTATATAACTTCATGATGACATATTTAGTCATAAAATAAGACATTTTGAATGGGTATTATGGTGTAAGTGTGTGTGTGCATGCAAGTTTGTATGTGTATCTTAATAGTTTTGTCTAATTTTACATTCATAATTCTCTATGAAGAGGACAAAGCACGTTTTTTTTCCTTTTAATCCTTATTTCATTGGAAAATTCAGAGCATTCTTACTCAAGTCTGCAAGTTAAGTGTTAGGGCTGGGATTGGAACATAAATCTTCTAACTCCCTGTCTGAATTTACTGTCGCTGATAATTTTTTATAATGTTAAAATTAAAAAATAGATTTTTAGTTCCATACCACTGATTAGAAACTAGGATCAACAAACAAACAAACAAGCAACAAAAAAGCCAGCTTCTGCCATGAGATGGCACGGTGCATATTCTATTTGGTTCTCAATATCTGAGACTACTCTAGTGGAGAAGTCATGGTTCTATTAGAGAAGCAGAACTCACTAGGAGTGATATGGGGTACACTGTAGTCAAATCTGGAATAATCATGAAAGTTGGTTGGGCACTCTATACAAGCTGTTCCCTCTGCATCCACTATTGAGACTTAAGACATCACAGATCTGCCACACTGGCAGTGGAGAAGTAAAGCCACATGTAGATGAGAGCAAAGAGAAGCTGGGACCCATGAGAACAATTAGAATTCTCAAGTACACACTTGAACCCATATCTGCCCTCCCTACCATCTCCAACCTCAAAGGCCTGGGTGACTTGCAAGAGAACCTGATATTCCTCATGATGAAGCTATGACACATTTGGCCCAGTATTAGAAGTTGAAGGAAGACATCTGGCTAGAAGAGCTGTGGATCTGGGTGTTGCTCCATCCCAAGGAGGTGAGCTGGCACATCAGTGCCAACACCTGTAAGCAGCCATGGTACATGGAGCCCAGCAACGATCTCCAAAACATAAAATATATATATGTAAATTCTGTCTCACTTTCACCTTCCAAATCTTGTGTAAAATGTCTTTTGTGTCCAATGATATCCTGGAGACACACAGGGAAAGGAATTCTGAAAAAGTAATCTAAGTGTAGCTACATTTGCACCACATAAAAGTGCCATCTGCCCAGTGTGGTGGCTCATACTTGTAATCCCAGCACTTTGGAAGGCTGAGGTGGGAAGATAGCTTGATGTCAGGAGTTCCAGACCAGCCTGGGCCACATAATGAGACCCCATCTCTACAAAAAATAAAATAATTAGCTGGGCATAGTGGTGCACACCTATAGTCCTAGCTACACAGGAGGCTGAGGCGGGAGGATTGCTTGAGCCCAGGAGTTCCAGGCTATAGTAATCTATGATCATACCACTGCACTGCAGCCTGGGTGACAGCATGAGACCCTGTCTCTAAAATAAGTAAACCAAAAAAAAAATTTAAAAGGTACTGGAAAAAAGACATTGAAGAAAACCAATTTAAAATGCACGTCAATACATTATTGGTTTTTAGGGGTAAAAAATAAAGTGTAATTGAGATTTTTTTCTTGAAAAATAAAACTAAAATTTATGAAAATAAATATTTTCTTTCATTTAGTAAAATGTATGTTCTAATTTCAATTATGTGTTTATTGCTTAGGAAGGACACACACGTTATCAAATGTTGATTTCTGTTTTTCTCATATTAGTTTTTCAACAACAATATAGATAACACAGTATGATACTATTTACTTCTCATTTAATTTTCCCAGAAAGATCACAATCGGCTAATTTTTGAAAAAAAGAAATTTGTGGGCATCTCAAGATTTTGATAAATTTCCTCAAGGACTCCTTTTAATTCTTTGAGGTTGAAAGCATTCTTATTTGAGTTGTCTATCTTGTCTATATCTGCATTAATTTTCTTTTCATTTTTAACTGGCCTAACTCGCCATCATCAATGGATTTGTCTGTAATTGGTTAATTCTCTAAAATTATCTTCAGTGACTTCAAGATATCCTGCATCTTGTACAAGATTTGGCATTGTTTACTACATGTTAGTAGGCTGACCTACAAAGTCATTGATAATAGTCATAGACACACAGTAATAAGCTGTAAAGAATGGTTAAGTGGGAATATTTAAATAAATGTTTAGTTCATTAGTGAATACTGTGTCATAATCACTTAACTCCTCCATAGTAGATATACAGCCTAGGCTCAGATAAACTCTCCGATAATGAGGACTCTCTGAAGACTTTTTAGTAAATAGAAATAATCGATTTCCTATAAACAAGAAACTTCAAGGAAAGACAATGTGATCCTTTTACAAGTTGACAGTGCATTTTATATGAAATCTCTCAAATCCAGAGAAACGTGTAACTCTTTATTTCCCACAGTTCAATGACATCATTTTAAAGGCCTCCCTATTTTGTCTTCCAGTGATGGTAAAAACCTATCTCCTAAGTCTAAGTGTAAAAATGTCATCATTCTGACAATGGTTTTCTTCATTGTTGACCCATTTTTTAAAAACAGACTCTGAAATCATTCATCTATGATATCTATAACTTAATTCATAATATAGTTCTTAAATAAATATGAAATGGATTTTTTTATCATTACAATACTCATTTTCCAAAGTAACCAGCTAATCATATATAAATGCTTATATTTTCCAAATCATTATCCATTTGTTTTTTTTTTCGGGAATGATGTAAATATATGGCTTTTCAAGACAGGCATCTAATCTATTAACATTTAATTAGACTCATTAGAAATTTTAAAGCCCATTTGACTTGAAAGCATTGGGCTTTGAAGAGAAAGAAAAAAGGTTTATCTCAGAATTCCAAAATGTAAAGTTTACGACTATCATAAGGCTTACAACTATCACTACAGCAAGAAGGTTGTAAGAGTGAGCCAAAAATTTGACTGTAAGGCTACAGGACAGGGAAAATGCATAGTGAAATCACTTTCTTCCTACCCAATATGAGTAAGATTTTGACTAGAATAAATGGAAGATCCAGAGAGGATGAGATAAGAGCATAGATGCTCATGGGTGCCTAATAAGGGCAACACTAGTCTAACTCTTTCATGAATAGTTTGGGGGGCATCCCAGTGCATAAGAGCTTATATGATGGAAGATGGCCAACCTCTTATAAACTAGAGACCTGCATCCAGGATGACACTGAAGCATCATGACACCTAAGTAGTAGTAAAATGGCAATGGCTGTGGGAGATTTCTTGACCTGAAGGCAGTTTAACAAATCTCAGTCAGGTGTTGAAAAAGCCGCTGGGAGTCTGTGAGCTACACAACCATCAGTATAGCAATGGTAAGAAGGACATTGGATAAAAAAGAGGCCTCGAGTTCAGACAAGATGTGCAGAGGGCCTCAACTATGCAGGTGGGAGGTAGGAAGAACGGAGGCTGACAACCTAAGACTAAGCATCAACAGGCATCTCAACAGAGGCAACAAGGATCAAAGGCAGCACATGGAGCTGAGGCCAGGATATGCAGTATTCCCTTGCCTCATCCCTAAGAATGTAGATGATCTATGGCACAGTGTGAAAGCAGGGGGAGTGGGGAAGGAGGAAGAATCCCATAATTATGGAATACGTCCCCAAAAGTGACTGAATTTTAAACAAGAGGTGACCAATACACTTTGAACTGACAAATGTAATTATTTTCAGTGATCTATTGAAATGGTAACTCCTGAGCTATAATGAATTTAGTTACTAAAACTCAAGTTACATATTTTCTCACCAATGTTGTCTATACATTTCAACATTACTACATGTTGATTTGACCCAGTAAGTTACCATCTAAGAATTTATCCAGGATAAATATATGGTCACACCAATAAGCAAAGATATGTGTATAAGAATGTTAACTTAGCTTTTCATTTAATAGCAAATTACTGGAAGAAATCTACATGGCCATGAAAAGGGATCTGTGAAAATGAATTGTGTTACATCCATACAATGGAATAATAGTCAGCTGTCAAACAGATGCTTAGGAATTTGCATTTTGTGATGGGCTTTATTAAAATTTAATTAAGATAATTTAGTAGGTTACAATAAAAATGTAAAAGTTTGGTGACAAATTCCCACAGTATTTAGCTTATCCTTGGTATTCATTTTAAAGTTCATCTTTGTCTCCTGTATCATGGATAGGGCAAATTTTTATCATGCAACCTTTTTATTACATTTGTAATGCCCTGTTTAAATAAGATTTCTTTCAAATATGTACTGCATTGAAGAGTGTTTATTATAAATGTATTAACCTATTTAAAATATTGTGAACAATGAAGATATAACCTTAGCAAGTCATTGTTTCATTATTTTGAATACTAGAGAGAACAGTATTAAAATGTTCTTACTTCTTAGGGTTGCTGTAAAATACCAGTAGGACTTATATAACTAAATTACAAGTAAATCCCCTAATGCTTGGGGAAGGAGGGGTTCTGTTTAATTAAATATTCTGTTTTACTCAGTTATCACATACGTCTTACATGGTTTTCAGCTTTAAAGTATTTGAAAATAAATTAAAAAATGAAATACAGTAAAAATAAAACCCAGACTAGAACATAATTTAATTTTGATTCGTTTGCAAGGTCTTATGACTTTTAGCATCATGGAAGAAACTGTTAGATATATCAACCTGAGAGTTACAGGACATAAACAAAACCATTTAGCTTTTTTGAATTTACCCACTGTATTAGTCAGCTTGGGCTGCTATAACAGAATACTGTAGACTGGTTTAAACGATAGGAATTTATTTCTAACAGTTCAGGAGGCTGGGAAGTCCAACATGGAGACGCTGATGACTGATTTGGTTGCCTGGTGAGGGCCTTCTTTCTGGCTTGCAGACAACTGACTGTCTTCCTGCTGTGTCTTCCCATGACAGGGAGAGAGAGACAGGAGAGAGATAGAGGAGTAGAGAGCAGGAATGAGAGAGAGAGAGAGAGAGAGAGAGAGAGAGAGAGAGAGAGAGAGAATAAGCTCTGGTCTCTCTTCCCTTTCTTATAAAATCACTGATTCCCATCATGGGGGTCCTACCTTCATCTAAGCCTAATTGCTTCCCAAAGATCCCACCTCCAAATACTGCCACATTAAGGGTTAGTGCTTCAACAAATAAATGTTTGAGGAGGACACATTCAGTCCATAGCACCCACCTACTTCAGGAAGCAGAACATTTTAGCCCATAGAGGGAAAACATTCACAAGCCTAGAATCACACATAGTTATTGGCAGAACTCAGCTGGGCCCTCAGTTTCCCAATTCTTAGTTGATAAACCCCCACAGTACTCTCTCATAGCACACATTTCCCTTCCTTATGTTACAGTCACAACACTGCATAAGGATGTTTCCATCAATGATGGACCATATGTATATGATGGTGACCCCTTAAGATTATAATGGAGCTGAAAAATTCCTACTGCATAGTAACATCATAGATGCCATAATATCATAGAGCAACCCATTCATCACCTGTTCGTGGTGATGCTGGTGGAAACAAACTTACTGCACTGCCAGTTGTATAGACATATAGCAAGTACAATTATGTGCAGTACCTAATACTTCATCAAAAATAACTATGCTACTGGTTTATGTATTTACTATACTGTATTTTTTATTGGTTATTTTAGAGTGCACTTCTTCCAGTTATATAAAAAAAAGTTAGTTGTAAAACAGCCACAGGCAGCTCCCTCAGGAGAAATTCCAGAAGAAGGCATTGCTGTCTTAGGGGGTGACAGCTCCATGCCTGTTATTGTCCCCGAAGACCTTCCAGTAGGACAAGATGTGGAAGTGGAAGACAGTGATATTAATGATCCTGACTCCCTGTAGGTCTAGGTTAATATGTGTGTTTATGTTCTACTTTTAAATAAAGTTTAAAAAGTAAATAAATAGCATTTTAAATAGAAAAAAGCTCATGGTATAAGGATATAAAGAATGAAAATATTTTTGTACAGCTGTACAAATGTGTTTGTTTTAAGCTAAGTGTTATTACAAAAGGGTAAAAATTTAAAAAATTAAGTTTATATAGTAAAATAGTTAAAGTAAGCTAAGATTTTTATTTAATTTTAATTATTTTGAGACAGAGTCTT
The DNA here is from genome assembly GCF_000001405.40 of Homo sapiens. Classification (NCBI taxonomy): domain Eukaryota; kingdom Metazoa; phylum Chordata; class Mammalia; order Primates; family Hominidae; genus Homo; species Homo sapiens. The sequence continues at coordinate 2,043,620 of NC_000003.12, read as the reverse complement.
GCTTTGTCACCCATGATAGAGTGCAGAGGCATGGTCACGGCCCACTGCAGCCTCTACTTCCCGGTCTCCAGAGATCCTTTCACCTCAGCCTCCCAGGTAGCCGGGACTTTAGGCACCACCACCATACCTGGCTAATTTTTAGTTTTTTTAATTTTGTAGAGATGGGATCTTGCCATGTTGCCCAGGCTGGAGGTTAATTTATTACTGAAGAAGGAAAACATATGTAAAAAAATTAGTTTAACATAGCCTAAATCACCAGAGAAATGCAAATCAAAATCACAACGAGATACCACCTCACATCAGTCAGAATGGCTGTTATTAAAAAGTCCAAAAACAACAGATGCTGGTGAGGCTGCAGAGAAAAGGAAATGCTTATATACTGTTGGTGGGAATGCAAATTAGTTCAGTTACTCTGGAAAGCAGTTTGGAGATTTCTCAAATAATTTAAAATAGAACTACCATTTGACCCAGTAAGCCCGTTAGTGAGTATATATGCAAAATAAAATAAATTGTTTTGCCAAAAAGACACATGTACCTGCAGGTTTATTGCAGTAGTATTCACAATAGCAAAGACATGGGCTCTACCTAGGTACCCACTGAGGATGGATTGAAAAAAAATGTGGCACATATATACTATGGAATACTACATAGCCGTAAAAAGAATGAAATCATGTCTGCTACAGCAACATGGATGCAACTAGTGGCCATTATCCTAAGCAAACTAACACCGAAACAGAAAACCAAGTTCTGTTTGGTTTTATAAAGGAGAACATAAAGCATATTCTCCTTTACAAGTGGGAGCTAAATCTTGGGTTCATATGGACATAAAGATTGGAACAGCAGACACGGGAGACTCAAAAGAAGAGAGAGTGGGAGAGGGGTAAGGGCTGAGAAACTTCCTATTGGGTATTATGTTCACTATCTGGGTGACGGGATCAACGGAAGACCAAACCTCAGCACCACACAATATACCATGTAACAGACCTGCACATGTATCCCCCAAATCTAACATAAAAATGGAAAATTTAAAAAAGTAGATTCAAGAGAGCTCTTGTGTTTCTGAATTGTATAGTTGCTAAGAATTTAATAGACAGAAATTCATTACAGTATTTTAATATTTTATTTTTATTACTTTTATATATTTTATGTTTATTACTTTTATAACTTTACATAGTCTCTATTAATTAAAATGTGAGCAATAGCATTTATTATACATTGTATATATTTTTATTGTTGCCAATTACTAGCGTTATAACTAAGAAACTGAACTTTTTCTTACACACATCTGATTGTATTATTTTTTATTAAATTTTAACCCATATAGAAGACATATGGAACATGACAGTGCCATAGACTATGTCTCTTTGGTTTACTCATTGGACATATGCTTTACATACAAAAAGTTATTTTGATTCACCATATGTGATCCATATTTAAATGTGGAAATGGAGCCTCACAGGAGATGTATCAAATAGCACATGCAAACATTTACTATTTGTGCCAGTAAGTGGATCTTTAGCAGAAAACTCAAAAACTACCATATGCAGCAGCTGTTATTCAGTGCACTAAAAATAACGGCCTAGAACAATGCCGGCTGCAGTTTCAGCATATTTGAACTCCATCCACCTAGCAAATACTTATTTCTCAAAATTCATTCAGATGCCTAAAAGGCCCTTCATTCGCAATTAACCGTTGTAATTGTTCTAACCCAGACATGCTATTTAGGGAGAAGTACTCTGGAGAAGTAGTTCCCTGAGCTATCAGGTAATTGTGAGTGGGGGCAGGGGTGACAGAAAACATATTGTCTATTCCCCAGGACAATTTTTGAAACTCCACACAAAATATTTTTTAATAAGTCTCTGGATGGCAAATATGACTGAGACAATACCATGTACTATACAAGAATATTAACTAGTTTATTAATAGTTGGATGCCTCTCTGAAATAAAAGGGCTGTTTCCCATGTTGAGTATTTTTTATGCTCAGATATTTTGGTCTGCTGAGATATTCAACATGGGCATGTGTTATTATTTGTTGGAATGCGTGCTGGAAGTTAATTTCTAGTGCAGCGTCACAATGATGTAGAAAACGCTGACCATTGTCACAGTGGTAGTGGGAAAAACAGTGCTCAGGAAACAGGCACTGGCTTTGAACTCCAGGCCTATCACATGCTTATATGTAAGGCCCTTAGAAGGAACGAGCCCTAATTTCATCTCTTACAAAGTTTGATAGTAATATCTACTTGTGATTATTTCAAAGGGTCATTCTGGGGCTGATTGTACAATGTCGACTACTACTACTGCTACTATCTGGTATCACCTATTCAATTCATACTGTGTTAGAAGTTGTGACACTACATCATATCACTCTGTTATTTAATCCTCAAACCAACCCACAGGATTGTTTATTTCTGTGCAGCATCAACACACACACATATGTATATATACCCCCAAGTCTCAGTGACTTAACACAACACACTCTGATATGGGAGCAGGTGAACCTTCAGAGAAACTCTCTAGTGTGTTGTGACTCAGAGATTCAGGCTGCCTCAATTTTGTGATGCCACCATGTCCATATGTCCTTAAGTCTAGAGAAGAAAGATCTGGAGACCTGCTCTCTGCTATTAAATGGTTTTACCCAGGGGTGACCCAGAAGAGCCCATTGTCCATAAGTATCACACGGCCCCGCCAAATTGCAGGGTGCACAAATTATGGAAGAGCTCATGGCTATTAGAGGAACAGTCAGCATATCTGCCACAGATCATGTGATTTTCCTGTTTTATAAGTGATAGAACTAAAGCTCAGAGATTTTAGGTAAATTACCTAGGAAAGTCATACAGCTGTTTAGTATGGAGACTTCATTTTCATACCAAGTCTCTTTGGTTTCAGGGTCTTTCTCTTAACTATAATATTTATTAATATTTTGATAATTTATTACCACATATTAGTGAATGACAATAGGCCTATAAAAGGTATGATTTAAAAAATAATTCTTCCTTAGCTAATGACCTTCCCAGATAGTGAGAAAAGAATTATTTCATTTAGGTTCTTCTTTCATATCATGAAAAATGTTCTTATTGTTTAATTAAAAAAATGTGGATGTTAAGACTTAAATTACTCAGATACTTTTGTAACAAATTATTTAAAATAAGAAAACAAAATTTGGAAAATAAACTTTGGATATTTTAGGTAAACACATGTATATTGTTCAAAGTAGAAGAAATAAATGTCTACCTTGGATGTAGGAAAGAAGAACTATTTTTGGTACCTTTATACGGAAGTTAGAAATCCAACAGTTCTTGCCATCTTGATTGCAACTTTTTCTTCACTGAGTTTCTGGGAAGTGCATATGAGAAAGTAGGTAAAAAAATTATCATATTATTAAATAGCAAAATAAATAAACAATAATATACTAATGTAATAAAAATTGTAAAGTGGAACAATAGATAAGTCATCCATAGCCATAACCAAAATATGTTATGTACTACTAGAACACAACATATAGTTTAATAATTGGATGTTGTATATGGTAAATGTTTGTTTGACATATTTGTACTCTTATTTATGGCTTTTCAAAGAACTGCAAGAACAGTGAGATCAATCAAATAGACTTTGATAAGAAAAAATAGACTATGATAGACTATGATTATGTTACTTTTGCAGATGGCCACAGGTAAATAAAATTGTATCTGAGAACAAGAATGCTGATTTTATTGGACGTATGGGTCATCTCCTAAAGTAGCATGGAATTCTGAAAAAAAATGAGTATCGCATAATTCTGGGAAGTGCTTTTATTGTAACTGTTGATAAGATTAGTTTATATAATAGCACAGTCTTTCTCCATCTTCCATGAACTATACTCAAGAATCACAATGTTTGCTCTATTTGCAAGAATTTAGACGACACCCCAGTTCCTTCTTTCAAATCAATATTTAGATAGAGCCCACTCTTCTATTTGTTTTCCTTTTCTTTCTCTCTCTCTCTCTCTCTTTTTTTTGTGACAGGATCTTGGTGTCATCCCAGGCTGGAGGCGGTGGTGTGATCACAGCTTACTGTAACCTTGAGCACCTAGGCTCTAGTGATCCTCCTACCTGAGCTTCCCAAGTAGCTGGTACTACAGGCACCAGCCACCATGCCTGTCTTGTTTTATTTTTAGTTTTTGTAGAGATGAAGGTCTTGCTATGCTGCCCAGGCTGGTCTAGAACTCCTGGCCTCAAGCAATCCTCCTGCCTCAGCCTTCCAAAGCACTGAGATTACAGGCATGAGCCACCTTCTCCAGCCTGGTTTTATTATACATTAAAAAAACATTTGGTATGATTTGGAGATATACTATTTATGTATAAAGATACATTATGGAAACAGATACATGTGGTTATACATGGCCAAGTGAAAGAAGGAATGGCATCAAAGGCGGTTAACATCTGTTTAGTCATAAAATGTTCCAAGCACTCTGCTAAGCTTTCACATGTTTTACATAATAATAAATTAATAACAACAATGATAGCTTATCTTTATTGTGTGACTTTTTATTTACTGAGCCTTGTGCAGTGTTGTTTATGTGCATGAACTCTTTTGGTTCTTACAGTCTATGAGGATTGGGTTATTACTGATAAAACCTGGTGCTTGAAACAGTGAAGTAAGTTGTCAAAAGTCACACAACTGTCGTGGGACAGGGGTGAATTTCGAGCCCATGGCTCTGTGATTTCAAAATATACTTGGAATGTTTTTCTCTTTATGCTAGAATGCTCCTTTGCCTGCTTTGTTCTTCAGCTGCAGGCTGTGAGCACTCGTGTCACTCTCTTCTTACACGGTGGTTGGAGTTAGGGTTAGGAAACAGTGTTTCTTTATGCTAACAGACTTGTCAATGGCATAGTTGGAAACAGTTGCTTCCAGGATGGTGTCCATGATAAATCTCTCCAAATGAGGCTCAAGGAGATTCATTTGCTTCTCGCTTTCAAGTGAAAAGCATTAGAGCATTTCATTCTCTTTAGAGAAGAGATTAGAGAAGAACAATTAAGGGACAAGGGTATTCTCCAAGGCTGACAGAGCCACCATAAAATATTGTACATCCTCTTTAAAATGGGGATCTTGGCTCTTACTAATGAAGGAAAAACTTTTCTCAAATTACTACTTAATGTCATGTGAAATATATGAAAAGCACTATTAAATTGATTTTAAGGGTCTTGTTGAAAGCACTGTCTGTTATACCATTTCACAGTTCCTATTCAAGTTTCCACATTAGGAAGAAAGTTCTTTTTGGAATTTATTTCCAGGAAAGCCTTCTTCTCCCCTAAGGAACTGTATGTCTTGTCTTATTAACATGCTTCATTTTTACCCTGGTAGTTGGGAAGCTCAGACACAACGTGAATGGTCTATCAAAGCAATCATTTAGCTTCTGTGGCCGAGGCTCTATCTTTTTCCTGTTTCCCCTTCCCACTGAGAACACAATTAGGCCATACTTTCCAGCCTCCCTTGAAGGTAGTTGGGTCCACATAACTGATTCTAATCAATGAAATGTAGGTACAAGTGATGTGTGTTATATTCAGGCCTGGCTACATACTGCTGATCTTCTCTCCCTTCCCCAAAATTCCCCTCTGATTGACAAGGGCTAGGGTCACCTTGGAATGTATGTATCGAAGACAGCAGAGCCCCTTTCAACCCCAATATCCCACTCCCTGCCAATAGTAATAACTTACATGAGCAAGAAATAAACTTTTAATGCACAAAGCCACCAAGGCTTTGGAGTGTATCGGTTACAGCAACAACTACCCTATTGATTAGCAGACTGGAAACAGACTTTGAGTGTTGCTATAACAAAAATTATAGCACAGTGGGTTCTGCTTAACACAGACATCTGAGATTCCAGGTTGATAGAGGCTCTGCCATCCTTAAAACGTCCCTTCCAAGGTTTCCCTTTGCTTTGTAGTTCATAAGTAGGTGACAAAAAGACTGATGTCAGAGGCAAAAAAAAAAGTATAGAAATTTCAGGTTTCTTGGCTGGGCGCGGTGGCTCACGCCTGTAATCCCAGCACTTCTGGAGGCCGAGGTGGGCGGATCATGAGGTCAGGAGTTCGAGACCACCCTGGCCAATATGATGAAACCCCATCTCTACTAAAAATACAAAAATTAGCTGGGCGTGGTGGCAGGCGCCTGTAGTCCCAGCTACTCGGGAGGCTGAGGCAGGACAATCACTTGAACCCGGGAGGTTGGAGGTTGCAGTGAGCCGAGATCACGCCATTGCACTCCAGCCTGGGCGACTGAGCGAGACTCTCAAAAAAAGAAAAAAAAAAAAAAGAAATGCAAGTTTCTCAGAGGCAAAATATTTGTTTGCCTGTTAATAACCTGGTCTGGGCATGGTAGCTCACGCCTGTAGTCTCAGCACTTTGGGAGGTCGAAGAGGGCAGATCACCTGAGGTCAGGAGTTCGAGACCAGCCTGGCCAATGTGGTGAAACCTCATCTCTACTAAAAATACAAAAAATTAGCTGGGCGTGGTGGAGCATGCCTGTAGTCCCAGGAACTTGGGAGGCTGAGGCAGGAGAGTTGCTTGAACCTGGGAGGTGGAAGTTTCAGTGAGCCGAGATTGCACCACTGCACTCCAGCCTAGGTGACAGAGTGAGACTCCATCTCAAATAATAATAATAATAGTAATAATTTAGAAGGCAGATAACATATATAAAGAGTTTTTGGCTATAAGAAAAAGGATTGAAAAAGAATATTGGTGAGCACTGGTTGTCACTGGTTGAGCAAAACATAGTATCAGAAGACAGAGATCAGTTTGAAAAATAATTAACTGCTGTGCACAGAGAATAAAAGGAAGTAAAATGTGTTTAGAAATTTGAGGTCCTGCAGGATTTGAGAAAGTTGTGCTTCTGGATGACAAACAGGAAATAAAATAGGAAAAGCCTCTGAGTAACAAAGTTCTGTTTTGATTTAACCTTGTAGCAAAGTCCAGTTGGGATGGGACTTTCCAGTTAAATTGGAAGCTTCAAGATAGCTGATGCAAAATAGGCAAGCCTCTGAATTGGGGCTTAGCTTGGGAGGCTTCTTGGCTTCACCCAGGAAAGAATTCAAGGATGAGCTGGTGGTGTTAAACAGCAACTTGTATTGAAGCAGCAGTGCACAGCAGCAGCAGAGGTGCTTCTCCTTGTGGAGCAGGGCTACCTCCCAGGCAGTGTGCCTAGAGTAGCCGCTCAGAGGCAGTTCTGCATTCACATTTATACCCACTTTTAATTATATGCAAATTAAGGGGCAGTATATGCAGACATTTCTAGGAAAAGGGTGGTAACTTCCGGGTTGTTGGGTCATTGCCATGGAAAGGAATGGTAACTTCTGGGTGTGGCCATGGCCATGATAAGCTGAAGTGACACACTGGTGGGTGTGTCTTTATGGAAAGCTGCTTCCGCCTGGGCCCTGTTTTAACTAGTTCTCAATTTGGTCCAGTATCTGAGCCCTGCCTCTCAAGTCAAGTCCCACCTCCTACATCATAGCCACCATTTATTTGCGAGAGAGAGGCATGTGAAAGAACAAGCAAACAAAACAAAGCCAAAAAACAAAGCACACACATACTTGTAAACTATGTCTCAGAAAAACCTTGGCTATCAGAATATGAAATTGGCTGAAAGCAAACAAATAAGATGCCTACTCAGATTTTTAAGGTATTGCATTTGTAAAAACTCCATTCACCTAGATTAAAAAATATAAATTTGATTTCTTGAGGCTTAAGGTGGGCAGAAAGCCCCTTGTGGAAGTGAGCCACCCCTGAGAAATCCCCCTTCTCGTCACCCACTTCAGATGTGCCCAAAAAACAATAAGCATGAAAAAACCAACTAGAGGTAGAGTCAGAGGATATAGAAAACGACAACTCCCCTGGCTCCAAGAAGACAAAATAAAAATTTAATTAAGAAACTCACCCCACTGCCAAGTCAGAGGTGTCCACAAGGAGTTCATAATTCTATGGATCAGTGACGTAACCGTTGCCTGTTTTTCCCTTTTCTAAAGGGATTTTTTTTGAGGTTACTGCTTCTCCTTTTGCTACTGTGTGTGTGTGTGTGTGTGCGTGTGTGCACACATGTGCTGAGGTGGGAGCAGATTACTTTGCCCTTTCAATCACAGGTGGCTGATCTATGAGGAGCCATATGGGGTTCTTATGGAACCATGTGTACTTCACCCACAGATCTCAGAAGCTGAGCTACCTGCAAGACACTAGGTGGGGCTTGGGATGGAGATAGATGAATTCTATGTGTGAGATGAAGAGTAAACCAGATATTTGATGATCAGCCAGGTGAACCGTGGCAGAGACTGGCTAGCTATTTACCAAATGAATTCCATTTTGTTTTCTCTTGAGGCATATAGTGAGATCTTATTTTCCAGCATCCGTTGCAGTTAGTTGTGGCCATATGACTGAGTTTATGCCAAAGGAATGCAAGCTGAAGTGATGTTTATTATTTTCAGGCTTGGCCCATAAAAATTTCCTGTGCATTTCTATCTTTCTTGTCCCCTAGCTGCTGATAGGGGACTCCACGTTCTGGGAAAATCTGTAAAGAATATGCGGGAGATGGAAAAGCCCTGGCAGCATTGGTCCTTGAATAATTGCATGGAGTAGGTTCCCACTCCTGCTCTAAATGACCTTTGCTTGAGAGAAGAATAAATTTTGATTTTTGTTAATCCATTGAGATTTCAGGCTTTCATTTATAATAGCAGCTGGCATTACCTCGCCCCATTTCCTTATTTTGAATTAACTACAATTTTTAATTATATATTTTAAAAGTCTTGAATCTGTTCCATAGAGAGAAGCAGGTGTAAATATAAAAAAAGTCCAAGTAAAGTGGATGGCTGTGAATTCATGTCCCCAGGAGATAGTTTAATTTACTTCCATGAAATTAGGAAATTCAGTTCTTATTGCAATTTTAGTGTGTTAAGAAAAGTAAATAAAGGTAACTGTTACAGGTGTAACTGTATATTTTTAATAATCATCTATTTGCCTAAATATTATATTCTTAATACTAACAGATATTCTAAAGGAGTAATTACTTTGATAAACTCTGCAGTGTCCAACAGACTTTTCTAGTTAGATACTATTATTATTTATTTTTATGCTATGCATGGTCAGGTCAATCCTAAAGAATAATGCAGAGCTGTCTCAATACTCAATGCTTTTGTCTCCACTAATGGAGATTTTTTTTTTCTGTCCTCAATTCAGACCACATGAAGCTACAAACTATAAAACTTCAGAAATGATTTCCAACCATCCCTGGCTGGAGCACAGTAGCCAACCTTTTCGACAAATTCCTGCCCAAATTTCTTTTGACCATCACCATGGTCTCCTAAATCCCTATCCGCTAATGATTAAGGCACTTCTTATAATGACAATTTTGCTTCACTCAGCTTGGCTTAACCATTGCAATATTCCCTCTACTCTTGACTCTCTCACTTCAGCTAATATCTGACTCCCTTATTTCAGCTAATACTAGTCTTATAATTACCGTGACTTGAAACGTTATAGTCAATTTAATACCATCTTCTCTCAAACCCTGTGCATCCATCCAATCAATTTCCAAATTACATATATTCTACCTCCACAAAGGCTCCACATCTTTAACCTTCTTTCTATTCCTGCTGCCTACACATCAGCTCAGATCCTCATTACTTTCCCACCTTCCTTACTATAAAAACCTAGTAATTGGCTTCTGCACTTCCATCTCTCTCCATTGCAATCCACCCTACACACTGCTGCAAGACTTATCTCTCTAAGCTGTATTTCTGATCACAAAACCAGACTCTACAGATAAAAGAAGCCTTAAAGATTAACTGATCCAACCTCTTTTTTCTTTTAACATCTTAATAAATATTAGATTGGATATATGCACTGTTTGTTTTATTGAAGAAATAATAAATGGTTAAAAAATTAAACAGTATGAAAGAGCACAAAATAAAAAGTTAAAATTTCACTCCTCCCCTTCACCTCCAGTTTTACTACTCAGAAGCAACGGCTGTTTTCACTTTTTAATTTTAGTTTTTTTCTGATTCTGGTGGTTACCATTACAGCTCCTTATAGTATAGGATTTCATTTCTAAATGTAATAACTTTTCACACAATATCTATTGACCTCCCACTATGAAACAGGAGTAAATTAGTGCACTTACCCTTTTTACCCACGTTTTAACTTTTGTTCGTTATATTACTGTCTTCTTTTTCATGTTTCCAAGGCTTCTGTGTTTTAAATTCTGTTCTATAATTATGTCTTCAATGCTTTGAATATAGCTTAAGTCTAAAAATTGGGGAAGAAACCCTTGCATTTAAAATATTATGATTATTAACTTACATCACTGTAGAATCAAGTACTGTAGTTAGAAATTTGCAAAGGGAAATGAGAATGAGCTAAAAGAGGTAGAAGAAGAGGGCCACCACACGCAGTTGAACAGGTTGAGTATTGTACACAGGCATTTGGCTAAAGGCATGAGTGAAGCCTAAAATCCCATGCACTATGCTTTGTGCCTTAGCATGCTGTTATTATATTTTCCCAATTTTTGTGAAAGCTCTATATGTGCTAGTTGGGGCCCTAAGTGGAAAGAAAATAAGATGAATTCAAGGTCACTAAAACCAATTAAAATTTTAAGAGAGAGGGTATGGTAACTATTACAAGAGATTAAATAAGAAGAATATTGTGGTATTTTTCATTGATTACCAGTAGATTATTGGATATTGGTGGCCTTAGCAAGAGCAGTTATATTGAATTTGTTGGGGTGGAAGTCGGGTTTTAGCGCCTTAATGAGAGAGTACAGAGTTTGTAAAGCCTGAAAATATAGGCAATTCTTTCAAAAAATTTGGATTTCCAAGGAAGAGAGATTGTTTGATAATTGGTTAGTCAAACCTAATAACTTTTTTGTTTTTAATTTCTTTTGTTGCTTTTGTGTTTAAATATGCCCTCAACATATAACAGGAGTATTAACATATTTTTGTTAGTGCATATATGATTTCATTTTTAATAATTAACTTCTAAATCCATCTGCTATATGTTTTTGTATGTGGTAGTATATGCTGTAGACTGAATGTTTGTTTCTCCTCCAAATTCAATTGTTAAATTCTGATACTCGATGTGATGGTATTTGAAGGTGGGGGTCTGTGGGAGGTGATTAGATCATGAGGATGGAGCTCTCAGGAATGGGATTAGTGTCCTTATAGAAGAAACCCTTGACAGCTCCTTCATCCCTTCTGCCATAAAAGGTTATGGCTAAGAAGCAGCTGTATATGAACCAGGAAACAGGCCTTCATCAGACACCAAATCTACTAATGCTTTGATCTAGGACTTTGCAGACTCCAGAGCTGTGAGAAATGAATTTCTGTTGTTTGTAAGCTACCCAATCTATGGTATTTTCATTATAGCAGCCCAAACAAAGACATTATAAGTCCATAACTTGAACTTTTTATAAACAGCTAGTTGTGGCAATAATCCATCTTTCCGCACTGAGCCATAATATAACTTTTATCTCATAATCAATTTTTATTTTGGGGGTGGGGGGCATTTCTCAGATTTTTTATTTCCCTAATCTTACTCTCTGAGTCAATACCAACCTAACTGAATTAAACTCTACTATTTGTTGATGGCTTTTAATCAGAAACGCCACGACAAGGCTAAGGAATGAATTCTTTGCTTAGATCTTTGAATTATGTTTGAATCCATTTGCATGGGTTAGAAACATTCATTATCTGAAAGTTGAATCCTAATTTTTAGTCCTGGCTTTCTACAATTTTTCTGTCATCATTTTCAGTTCTTTATCCTTTTTATCTGTTCTGGAATAGCATCTCACAGTCTTCTTCCAATGATTATATTTTCTGCAAAGCCAGTTCAACTCATTACTGCCAACAGTTTTGCCACTCCATATTTAGTTTTCTTATAATTTTTCTTATCTCACCCAGCAAAGTATACCTCTAAATTGTGACTGCACGTCTCCTATTATCTTTTGTTTTTGTTATTCCATAATCGTTAAAGTCTATTTAGAACATAAAGCTACTTTTTGACATTTTATCTTCCTTTATGAAATACTTTTAGAATATATTTTTATTTATATTATGAATACAAAATTAACATTCTTAATGGCAGAGAATCTTGAATTCCCTTTTTTCCTCTTTATAATGTGTTTAACTTTGAGTGGAATGTTGTTTATCTTACTCTGTTTTACTTAGAAATGGGACGGTGGATTCCTTGTTGTTTCACCCCACATGGCTGCTGCTCAATTTTCCTTTCAAATGGAAGCCATAATGGTTTTGTAGAATCTCTAGTTAAATAACAGGTATTCAGTCATTGTTTATCAAATATGGCTGTCTTTTATAGCCATATTTGGTGCTGTCTTGAGGAAGATACATCTGATGTTACCTGATTATAGGACAATTCAGAAGTCACTTTATTCCTTGTTAATTTGAAGATGTGCTAGTTTTTGTTTTGTTAAATGAGTGGAAGGAAAAGGAAAACTTCCCAGGATTCCCTTCTCTCTGTTTGCGCCTCTCTTGCTTCCTTCCTACCACCAGCTCCTCATCCTAGAACACAATGTACACCACCACTGCCTGTCTTCCACGCCCTCTGCCATTTTGTATCCATGGATATTGAAGAGGTGTAGGAAGAAAGGTTTCAAGGTGAGAGACTCAGTAGTAAAGTAGCCTTAATTGCTGAAAAAGCAGGTGGCTTATGCCTGTAATCCCAACACGTTGGGAGGCCGAGGCAGACGAATCACTAGAGGTCAGGAGTGTGAGGCCAGCCTGACCAACCTGAAGAAACCTCGTCACTACTAAAAATACAGAAATTGGCCGGATGTGGTGGTGCATGCCTGTAGTCCCACCTACTTGGGAGGCCGAGGCAGGAGAATCACTTAAACCTGGGAGCTGGAGGTTGTAGTGAGCCAAGATGGCACCATTGCATTCCAGCCTGGGCAACAGAGCGAGACTCCATCTCAAAAAAAAAAAAAAAAAAAGTAGCTGATGTAGAGAGGTAGGAAGAGAGAGGAGAGAAGGGTGGATGGTGATGGTCATCCTTCAAGAAGGTGAAAGTTATTCATTTTTGAAACTTTGGAAATCTGTAACTTGGAAAAAGGACTTTGGAAAGAGGACTTTGGAAATCTCCCTGTAACTTTTGTTATGGGAATGCTATATGGCCCTATTTCCACTTATGATAGAGAAAATTCCTTCCAATTTCTGTGTGAATTTTGTGCTCATAAAGGTTTATGTCTCCTTAGATTGGTAGTTGGTGGTTAATTTGATGTTTCATGCGTACCACACAACTGTCTCAAAACTGTCAATAACTCGTCCATCGCTTAGTGAATAGAATACAGTAAGGCCTTGCCCCCACAGCCTTCTATGACATTGCCTCCACCTACCATCTTATCTCTTTGACAAACCCTTCATACGTCATATTCTACTGTCAAATTGCTTTCATCTTTTTATGTGTATCCTTTCACTCCCTGCCTCCATCCCTTTTTGCATCTCATTCCGTCCACTTGTTGCAATTGTATCCATCTTTGAAGGGAACTCTCCATTCACTGGCCATCTTCACATGGCTGCCACATGACTGTTGATATGAATGTCAGGTATTTATACGCACTTTTTTTTTCTTTTGATACATAATCTCCCTCTGTCACCCAGGCTGTAGTGCAGTGGCATGATCTCATCTCACTGCAACCTTGACCTCCCTGGCTCAAGCAATCTTCCCGCCTCAACCTCCCAAGTAGCTGAGGCTATGGTAGTATACCGCCATTCCAGGCTGATTCTTTACTTTTTTATAGAGACGAGGTCCCACTATGTTGCTCAGGCTGGTCTCAAACTCTTGGGCTCAAGCAATATTCTCACATTAGCCTCCCAAAGTGCTGAGGTCAGCACTGTGCCTTGCCCACAGGTTGTTTGTTAACCATGGCCTGTACATAGTGTTAGATGCTACTTCTGAAATCTATGTAAATCTATGTTCTTAGGCCCCAAATATTTTTAACATTTAAAATGTCTGAAATAATAGTAATAACTAAATTAATAAAAACAGTTACAACAATAGTCACAATCATTCTAATCAGTAGAAGAATCAGATTTGAACCTCATCTCTGTTCACTGGGCTGGTGCCCCAGCAGTTTCCTTTAACATGTACGGCTGGTATTATTTTTCCTTTACAGGTGTGTCAGCCACAGAATGGCTGCTTTTTAACAGGCAGCTTGCAGCAGATCTTCTCTGTATTTTATTCTTCTCTTAACTGCTTCTGCTTCTACAAAAGCAGCAGATGTACTGCAGCTGTCCTTTTGTACAAGGAAGTAGATGAGTTTCCCTTGTAGTCTTCATTGCAAGCATATATGTGCTTTGCCCAGCAACTTTATTGGTTTATTTGGTTTCCTACTCTGGGCTTCTTTTCCTTTTTTAGTGCCTTCTCTTTCTCTCTCAATCTCTCTCTGTACATGTGTTTCCCGTCATTTCCATTTATCTCATTATCTGAGAACTTTGCTACATAAGTAGCCATTTATGACACATCCTGATCTCATGTGCCCCGTCCATTACCAAGAGAAGTAATGCTTCAAGTTGGTCCCAAGCTTCCAGTTGCTCTGCAAATCTGCTAATCATCTAAATGACAGCAGTGACATTTGGAAGCACAGAATTTCCTTGACTGGCTTATAAACTCATCTTATATTTTTCATTTGCTGACTTCTAGTAGCTTGGCAATAAAGTGTTTCTTGAAGCCTTGGTGAAGCCCAATTTGGGATACAAAACCAATTCAACATCAAGAGTTTCACTGAAGAAGAGGCACTAAACCAGTTTAGTGGAAATTGAAAGTGTGAGAGCAGGATGGTACAGGAAAAGTTAGACCTGGGTCTAAGCATCATGATTCTGATATAATGGTTTAGATCTCAGCTTCTCTATATACTAGATATGTGATTTTAGGCAATCACTCTAAAATCTTAACCGCTTTGAAATTTATTTTCCTCATTGCTAATGGAAGTTTAATAAGCTAATGGAATATAAAGTACTTAGCATCATGTTTGAATTAAAGTTGATATTATGATTACTGCCCCAGATCTGCCACTGTATTTTTATGTGACTCTGTATATATTATTATATATTATTTGACTTTGTAGGGCCTTTGTTTCCTTCTCTATAAAGTTAAGGAATTTGTCAGGTAAGTTTTAAGGCTCATTTTACTTTTTAAGCTTTATTTTTTCAATTGGTAGAATAATGATTGGTTTGTTCTCATTCTGGTATGATTATAAGTCTAATGAATCTTAAATCTTCGGGCCATACCTGCAACTGTTCAATATCAGTTCTATACCAGACAGGTAATTGAAATGTGGCCTGGCAAACGTTCACAACATTATCCCTCTTGGCCTGTTAGTCAATCAATGGAAAAGTGATCTTATTGTCTAGATTTGGGAAAGCCTGATATCAATCATTAAGACAAGCAGAGTTGCAGGCAACTGACTGATTTTACTTATTATTTCCATAGTCAACTATAATCATGGCTTATTGTACTTAAATGTCATTTAGTAACAAGTCCTTGAGGAAGGCACTGTTCTACCCACAGCCTAACTCACAGCTTAGTTTGATAGAACATTAAGGCAGAGCTCAGAAGTGAGTAAGAGCATGGCAAGCTTCACTGTGGTTGTATCCTAACATGAAAATCTACTAATTTTTCATCTCCCTGGAACACTTAACCTAGTTTCTGATTCATCTTCTCATGCTGGGTAGAAAAAAGTTTTTAGGATCTTTCAAATGATAAAACCCATAAAAATTCTGGAAGATATATGGAAAGGTGAATAGGAAAAGTAGCTGTGTGACCTTTGGAAAGTAGCTAAACCAACATGGGTTTGTTTCTCCATCCATAAAAACAAGGGGTTGAGCTAGATGACCAGTTTCTGAGGCAGAAGTTCTATCTCTAAAAAGTTCTTAAACTCAAGATTGCATTAAAATCATGTGTGCGGTGTGTCAAAGGTGGAGGTTTCTGTATCCCAAGTTCATTAATTCTGATTACATTAAACAAGAGTAAGACCTGAAAATATACATTTTTAACATGCACTCAGATGATTCTGTTGCCCATACTTATGGCTCATGCTTTGGGAACCATTACAAAGTCTCCCGCACTTCAATAAGTTGATGACATATTGACATTGTTTGATTTGTAACTTTTATGATTATGGATGAAACAACTATTAGTGATTCATGCTAAAATTACAATTATAATTACATTGATATACTTATTATTTAAAATGGATTGGATGACAAAAGACTTACAAACAATTTACCTCTGCTTTCATAAAGTTCACCTATCCTAAGAATTGATAGGATACCATTTCCCTGAAAAGACAGGACTTTGGAAGGACTTTTCTGTAAAATAATATCATATTTTTCCCCACTAAGAAGTCTCTCAGTGCATTTCATATTTCTCCCAGGTAAATTGCTCGTAAATCCATATCCAGGAAAAACTTGTGAAAACAGAAACACATTCATGGAGACATTTTTGTTTTTTTTTTAATATATCTTAGAAGATTGTTTTTGAAAATCATTTGAATAACCATATAGAGAAAACTATCTAGTTAACTTTGAACATTATAATATTCTCTTTTTTTCAGTCTGTATACAATAGAGTAGTGGTTAAGGGTAGAGAAGTTGGAGTCAGATAAACTTTGGTCAAATTTTTGCTTTACGACTTAGCAGCTGTTTTTCTTTAGAAAGTTGTATGGTCTTTCTAAGCTTCAGTTTGTAAAATGGGGGTAAAACTGTGCCTAACTCAGGGTTGTTTTGGAAGTTAAATGAGGTAATGTATCTGTATTGCTGCACAACGCCTTACATATAAGTGCTTAAAAATGATTAATTTTGATTATTTTTTATGGGCAGGAAGGTAAATATTGTATATACTCTTTATATTTTTATGTTTATATTTCTATATCTTTACAGAAGGAAATACTTTATATTTGCATAAACCTGTATGGCCTGCAAATTTCTTTAGTACATAAAGTCTTACTTGATGTACACAATGAAATTATGATGTAGGCAAGCCAGGTATTACTTCACTTGAGCTACTTACAATTCAGGATTAAAGTGTGTATTACATATGCAAATGATAACAGTAGGAGGATAACTTGAGTTTTTTAATGCCTATTTCAAACATTCAGTTATTCAGAAAATATTTATTGAATATACACTGTATTCAAAGTTTATGACAGAAGCTGGAGACATGAACAGCCCTACCTTCAAGGAGCTAACAATGAAACTTTCCTCTGAAGGAAATTAGAGTTCATATATGGGATTTAAGACTCAGGACTGCAATAATGACTATAATGATGATAATCATCATGATGCTGGCACAATAATCACCCATGATGGGGCACCTAAATGCACATTATGAATTGTCACAGAACAGTGCTTTTTTTTCTTTTCTTTTCTTTTCTTTTTTTTTTTTTTTTTTTTGCTAATTTTACCTAGAAAGAGAGAGGGACATAAAGAGTATGTAGTAAACGGTTATATACATACAGCTAGCAGTTTGAACAGAGCACTGTGGACTGGCTGAATCCAAATTCTATGGTCTTAACTACTACTTTTTATTGCCTTTCAGGGCCATGCAAAAGTTTGCTGTAGCTGTGGCATTTTGTCAACATTTCAGTCTTCATTCCTTCACTTTTGATAGACTGTCATAGTGAATCTGGAATTTCAAAATTACCTAATTTAACCTCACTTGTTCAGCCTTTTCTGTGTGTGTTTCTGAATTAACTGGATTGGTACCATGATGGTTCATCTTGGAAGTGGAAAGAATCACAAAAGCAGCTTTCGCTTCTTTCTTTCAGAGTAACCTGGCCACTGCTAGGACCATATGATGTCTCTGTGTGAAAGAGAAAAAAAGACGACTTCTCTGCATTTCCCACCTGAATCCCATCAGGGGTGGGACTAACTTGAAAACTTCCTAGTACAGACCGATATAGCACTCACCAACCTGAGTTTGGATTGGGGAACTGAACTCAGATTGGATTTAAGTCCCTATTTACACCCTTGGGCTGGCGCCTTGTTCAGGATACAAACTGTACAACTGCACCCTGCATCCCTTTGGGGCTGTAGCATTTAGCATCTCTGCCCTTCCATTTCCCCCTCAAGGTCTTATACTTGAAGTTATCTGACAAAGTTCTATAAACAAAAAAGCACATAGAAAATAGAGTATTGGACATAAAAAAATTATATGTTTAACTTAGATCCCTGTATGTGGACATCCACACATAAAGGGCAAGAATATGCATGAAAACTGAAACCTGTCCTGGACATAATTTATCTTTGTCAGCTGTCAATGGATATGGCCTTTATTTGAAAGCAATTAATGAGATTAGTGCCCCTGAAATTTTCACGATGAAATAAAGGAATCCATATATACTGATGTCTTACAAGGATGTTTCCCCCAGTTTAATATATTCAAATACCAATTATTGATCATTCACTCATCTCAATTAAAAGGATAAATCCTAAAATTAGCTGTGAATTTCAAGAGAAATAAAACAAAAGCAAACATATTTGATGGTGATTTAGAGTAAAACCATATCGAGGTTTGTGTTCCAAGAGATTTGTTTGTCAAACAGGAAAAATAAAAAATACAACTTCCTCTGATGCTGTTCAAAAGCCCGAGGCAGTTTCTACCCCATTTGTATTTCTGGATTTTTTTCAGCCCCATCTGTTTATTTTCTATTGAGCAATCATAGCAAAACAGAAAGCCAGCTTCTGAGGATCTGAAAGCAGGTGGGATTTGGAGATAACTTGAAAGGCGTAATGACAAATTCTCAGAATAGAGGATCGCAGATTGGCTGATAACTATTGTTATTTGGCATTTAATATTTCCTTTAAGTTTGTGTATTTGTATGAGGGAAAATTTACTTGTGGCCAGAACATGTGAGTTGCTTAGAAATCTTCTGAATTGAGACACTTAATTTTAAAAAAATTTCTTTTAACTGTGAGATATGATTTTGGGTCTTTAAAGACAAGGGAAGGGGGCTTGGCTTTCTCAGATTACTCTAATAAATTCCCAGATTATAACACAAAACCCAGGAGATCTACTTTAAACTTTCTTCCTTAAATATCTACACATTTGATTCTGATGTAGTACATCTCAGGAGATTAGATAGTACATAATTTTGTTTAAATATTAACTTTATTTCAGATCAGGGAAAGTAGTATCTAGAATATCATGTATTTAAAAGGACACATATTTTCCCAAAAAGAAGAAAAAAAGATGGCAACATTACCTTGCCTTTCATTTGACCTTTTTGGTTATGGCAAGATTTTGATATAAACTCATCCTTGCCGAAGAGTCTGAACAAATGTCTGTGGTTTTCCTGGCATTCTGCCAAAGAGCAGTGCAGTTTTTTCTGACTTGCCTCAACACACAGGAACAATGGTGACCACCATGGAAAATTTACACACCCCTTTCATTATGGGTGAGCAGAGTGACTTCTGCCCAGCCACAAGCTGAAGGCTACCAGTGACAATGAGTCCAGTTTCTAATTAGGCACGCATCATCATTTCCAATTTCTATGTTCTAAGCTCACAGAGGGCTGTTCATGCTGTTAGTTCACTCTGGATGAGGGCCGGTATTGGGCATCCTGCTAATGGTTAGCACACAAAACACTTTCTGCCTTCCAAGGAAGGGTGTCTCCAAGGTGACCAGAAAGACATGCATAGATGGATACATAGCTGCATTTTTAACTCACTGACAAACTTTAGTCAGTCAGATTCGGTTAGGCTACAATGCAGCAACAATGATTCCCAAATCTTAGTCACTTAATACAATCAGAGTTTTACATAAACTCTAATTTCAGTGCATATGGAGGCAGCACTTCTATATCTTACAGCTCTGTCATCTGAAGTGGATTCTAAGGATACCACTGGAAAAAGAGGAACTCACTGTCCCAGCCCAGACATAAAACATGTATTTTCTGTCAGTATCGATTGGCAAAGCTAGATCCATGGCTCCAGCATACAGGCAAAGAAGGCTGGAAGTGTAGGGAGGTGTATGGAATAATTGGTGGGCAGTAAATATTCTGTAACAACTACTCTGTAAAAATCTGGGGTCTTTGACTAAAACAGATAAAGATTTTTAAAAAAGAGAAAAACTTTGGTTTTGCATCTCACCTGAGGTTAGGCTTGGAAGCTGTTTTCTTCTGGTGAAATCTTTAAAAATGTAAGGACAGATGGAATTTATTGAGCTTATTTCTCTACTTTGAGCAGAGCAATCAGCCATTAATTTACTTTAGCCATCTGACTCAAATGAATCTGTTTACTTATACTAATACCAAGAGTTCCAATGGAATAGCATTAGGAGCTTAAGCTCTAGAGACAAACTGCTTAGCTTCAAAACGTCTCTCTACTTGTTAGCTGCTTCTTAGGCAAGCCATATCATCTCTCTGAGACCAAGTTTCCACACCTGTGAAAAAGAAGAAATGGTCCTAATAAGAGATCAGCTACCTGGGCTAATCTAAGAAGTAGTGCATAGTACAGCATTTGACACATAGTCCATACTCCATAATGCGTAGATATTTCAGATACAGACAGTCAAGACACTCATTTATTTGTTTTTATGGGGTTTCTTATGATCATGTGTCAGTTCACGAGTCATGACAAATAGCAATAGTTGTTGTGGGTGGACTATTCATAAGTTTGTACTCTATGAATTTGTAGCAAGAGACAGAGTGCTGAAATAAATGAAGAATCATAGAGGGGCTCCGCAAAGGAACTTATTAAATCCCTGAAGACTCAATGTTAAGAACTACATCTCAAAACCTCATCATATCCTCAAAACTGCTAACTCATTCTTAGCAACAAACTTTTCTTAATTGAGTTTTTAATGCATGAATGATTTAGGTAATATCTTTTTAAAAACAATGTCTGCTGTTGTGTTTGAGAGGCAGCCCACAAGATCTAAATTAATTTTCTTGTGCTGTAGCCACACTGAATCCTGAACCAAAACCCATGCTTCTTAATGCTGTAAGCTTTCTCTATATGTTTTTACATTAACCACCAAACCTCAAAAAATGACTATTACATTATTTTTTGCCAAATAATTAACTAGTTACTCTTTCCAAACAGTATTTTCTAAAGATGTTATATTTAATATTTTTTATTTATTTTTGTTTGACTTTCACCTTGGAAGCTTTCAGTGGGAGACAGTATATCAACTCTAAACTACTAATTCCAATATAATCCCAATTGCATTAAAATGACTGAGATTTATTTGTGAATGGCTGAGATATTAGATTGGCAATGAGCTATAGAATTTAAGTACCTCCTTTTTGTGTATCTTAATTATATCTAATGAGATATTTTCTGGAACAAACAAGCTTCATGCATTGTGTTTACGATTCTCCATCAAAGCCACATTGTGTCAGCCAAAAGGGTTCTTCTCATTAATTGGATGATTGCGAGTGTAGTAGTCAGTGAAAAGGTTTAAAAAGGCGCCAGAAGTCAGTTTCTCTTGTGTCACTGGGGGCTAGCAATTTGAGTTTCATTTATTCATTTATTTATGTGAGAAGAGTTGATACCAATTAAGCCAAAATGATTCCAAATGCTAAGAATATATCCTGTAATGCAAAAATAAATTAGCATTTATATTCTTTAAAAACATTCACAAATGAGTGTATTCCACTCTAACTAATGGCACTCATATTAATATTTACGGGCTGTGGGATATCACTGTCCATTAAGTAGCTCTTTATTTTAGAGTATGCATAAGAAATGACATGGAAGAAACTTTCTTCAAACTACAGAATAAGTTAACACAGTCTAGGTTTGAAAATAAACGGTGTAGAGGGTTAAAGTCTTAATTATATAAGATTTTCACATGATACATAAACAGCTGTTAGATATTAATCTAGAGGAACTCAGGAAGCAAGAAATCATTGGGGATCAAATAAAGAGCAAAATTTTCAACAAACAAAGTGTCAGAAGAGCCTGGTATGAAATTGAAGCAAAAAGCTGGCATCTGCCAAGGTAAGAATCTTGATTAAAGTTGCTCAAATTATAAAGTTGTTACAGTCTGGAAAATCAGCTCCCAGAAGCATCTGCTGAAGCTGTTTAACAGGTGGGCTGTAAAGCTCTTAACTATACTGATGATGCAAAAAAAAAAAAAAAAAAAAGTTCAGTATTTTAATGATGAATTAACTTCATATACCCTTTGGAGACTGCTCCCCAGTATGTCTTGAAAATAAAAATGTTTATCATGTCAAAGACTGATACAAGCTACAGACACTTGGGAAGCCCCCTGGAATTGGACTACCTAGCTATTATATAGAAGTTGTCATACAGAAGTTATGGACAAGATAGAGCAGGGGTCCTGGCATGGTGTGAGGGTTTGCTGTGACCAGGGACTGGCATGGGCAGTGAGTCAGGAAGGCAGATAAATAAAACAAAGTTAAGGAATATGCAATTATAATTCAGAAAAGTCAGTACTAAATACTAGGAAAATGGTAACCTTGAAACCAAGCCTCTGTCTGATCCAACCAAATGTTTCAGATAGAAATGCATGAACCATCCTGATCAACACTGAGGCAAAAACAGATAAGTGATTGCACCTAAGTAGAAAAAGCAACTAGAGGTAGACCAGGTAGATCTTGATGATAGGTTGAATGACATAGCACCCAGGGATGTCTGTTGTCTCACCCGAGGGAGTCCAGAACTGTGGTTTTTCATTTCCATGGCCACCTCTCACTTTAATGTGATATATTTTTAATATTTCCATTTTGTTTTCTGTGGCATGAATTGAGACTGTCAGATTTTATTCGAGACTTTAATTCCAGAAGAGAAATATGATCAAATTTACTGTACTCGCTTTAGTCTGTTCACTACTTTCTTGTCTCACTAGGCTGCATTGGATACTGGGAAAATGAGGGCTTTATAGCCGATTGTTGTGAGTTTGAAACTTGACATCACCTTCTTCCTTTCTCAATATTAGTAAAAAATTTGGATGTTCAGAGACGTTTAACTTCCCTGAGCTCCAAATCCCTCTTACCTGAAATGGGAACAAAAGATATAACCCCAGCATTAAGAGTTACATGATAATGGCTGGACGTGTTGGCTCATGCCTGTAATCCCAGGACTTTGGGAGGCCAAGGCAGGTGGATCACCTGAGGTCAGGAGCTTGAGACCAGCCTGGCCAGCATGGTGAAACCCCGTTTCTATTAAAAACACACACACCAAATTAGGCCAGGCAAGTTGGCTCACCCCTGTAATGCCAGCACTTCAGGAGGCTGAGCCCGGTGGATCACCTGAGGTCAGGAGTTTGAGACAAGCCTGGCCAACATGGTGAAACCCCATCTCTACTACAAATACAAAAATTAGCCAGGTGTGGTAGTATGTGGTGGTGCACACTTGTAGTCCCAACTGTTCGGGAGGCTGAGGCATGATAATTGCTTGAACCTGGGAGGTGGAGGTTGCAGTGAGCCGAGATCGTCCCACGGCACTCCAGCCTGGGTGACAGAGCAAAACTCTTGTCTCCAAAGAGAAAAAAAAATAGAGTTATATGATAATGTATGAAAAGTACCTAGAATGGAAGATAGAACACATGAACAGCTTAATCATAATTATTGTTTTCATCTTTCTGAATCCTCTCTCAATTATTGCAAAGAAGAGTATATAGCATGATACCCACATAACTAACAATTGGGAGGAAATGATAGTGACCCCCTTGTTTAGATAGAACATGTGCTCTCCAGATTGCCAGTCACTATGCAATTTTGTTTATTCATTTACATTATGTCTTAGTACATTTATGTTGCTATAAAGGAATATCCGAGGCTAGATGATTTATAAAGAAAAGAGGTTTATTTGGCTCATGGTTCTGCACACGGTACAAGAGGCATGGTGCCAGTGTCTGCTTCAGGAAGCTTCCGCCCATGTCAGAAGGCAAAGGGGAGCTGGCATGTAGAGATCACATGGCCAGAGAAGAAACAAAAGAGAGGGAAAGGAGATGCCAGGTCCTTTTTAACAATCAGTTATTGTGGGGATTAATAGAGTGAGAATTTACCATCACTATGAAGACAGCACCAAGTCATTTATAAGGAATCCATCCCCATGTCTCAAATGCCTCCCATTAGGCCCCTCCTCCAGCACTGGGAATTAAATTTCAACAAGACACTTGGCAGGGCTGAGCAAACCACATCCGAACCATAGCACATTACCTGCCTGTTTTTTATAGGCATATGAATGGGTCACTCTTATGTAAAGTCACATGTAAGTATTTGTCAGGACCTCACATTTTACAAAATTCACATGTATGAAAATGAAGTGACCTGGCATAATTCCTTGAACATAGCATTCAACAATTGAATGATCCTAGTATCTTTATTTATTTATTTTTTGAGACAGGATCTCACTCTGTTACCCGAGCTGGAGTGCAGTGGCATGTTCATGGCTCAATGCAGCCTCGACCTCCCAGGCGCAAGTGATCCTCTCACATCAGCCTCCCTAGTATCTAGGACTACAGGCATGCAACTGGAGAGGCATTAACCACACCCAGCTAATTAAAAGAAAATTTTGTTGTTGTTGTAGAGATGGGGTCTCACTGTGTTGCCCAGGCTGGTCTCAAACTCCTGAACTCAAGTGATCCTCCAACCTCAGCCTCTAAAAGTGCTGAGATTACAGGCATGAGCCACCACGCCCAGCCCTAGTATCTTTGTGCTAAAGCCTCAATGCCTAACAATCATTTCCCACCCATTTTCATTGTGATATTAGATCATTTTTCCTGTGTTGATATTTTCACATAGAATTTGGAGTAGGATGAAGCTTTAGGACTTCCCATGACATACCAGTTACTTGCCAAATGATAAAACTGAGTCCTAGAAAAGGAAAGATCTTAGTGTGACAACATAGTGGCAGAACCAGGAATAAAACCTGGGCCATCTTATTTACTGTTTAAAGCTTTTCCCACTACATTTCTAGTTTTATCCTGAATGAGTTTACGCATAAAGCACTTAGTACTGTGCCTGGCACAGGGTCAATATTCAATGAAAGTTAGATGTCAGAATTATTTTCATCTCTTTCCTTTATTCATACTGTTTCCTGTGCCTACACTATTCTATTCTTTTTAATTAATCATGGACTGACCTGTACTTCAAACTTGGTACTCATTTCTTGTTGCCACATATGCAATACTGGCTCTTTCTCCTATGAAATCCAACAGCAGTTTCCCTGTCATTGGCTAACAATCTATTGCCTAGTGTTGTTACTGAGTTTCTTTTTGTATTTCCCCCCAAAAAATCCATTGCATCTGGGGATAAGGGGATCTTTACATTGTGCATATACTGCAGTGTGCTCAATGTTTTACTGGTGGATTGAGAGACATGGACACATGCTCTTTGGGATTTCTAAGTGACACATCCATAAAACTGGTGCCAACTCGGTACACCCATATCCTGTGTTATCTATAGTTGAGGACACCAGAGCACCACAGCAATGTTATGACAAACAAAAATTTAAGTTGGCTGCATAGAAAATACTTTTTTTCTTTTCTAGAACAACTAAGCTTGAAATTTACAAGTGCAGTGCCTAAGCAAACCCTTAATAAAGATAATATGAATACTTTGCTCCAGTCATAATATTTCAGAAACTAGATGATCAATTACAGTGACAAAAGCACACTGGCTACACATCTGTCGATCAATAAATGGGTCATATTGCTAATGTAGAAGGTGAGTGTGAGAACCAGAAGTAGAAATTGTTAAGGAATAATTGAGAAACAAGTGCTTGCTTATTCAGCAGTGCATGCCTAAAGTGGTTTCTCTTATTTTTACCTCAATGATGACAGCTCTCCCCAAAATGGACTTGCCACATTTAGGGTAAAGACATACACTTTGATGAAACTGCATGCAAATCAGTTAATCATGAATAATATTACATCCTTGAGATTCAGCCATAGTTTTGCAATACAGAGTTCTTTTTCTTTGTGCTTTAACAATTCTAATCTGAAGCAAATGTGAATTTTAATACTTTTAATACAGCAGGTATGTGTGTCATAATGGGGCATATAATGTGATGCCATGAAAATGGAACCAGTGTTTGTCAAGAATGTAGGAGCTCAATAAGATCTTGGTCTGAGTAGAAAGGAATAGGACTGTGCTATAAGAACTTCAACATTCCAAAAAAAAAAAAAAAAAGCACAAAGTATTTTAGAAGTTAGCTCAATGTGAAACTTTCTGATTTCTTTCCTTCTTCTTCTGTTCTTGACTTCCATTTGACTTATGGATCTGAGCAAGATCAAGGTAATTTTGGATTAATGGAAAATGTGGCAGCAGATTGCAGAGTGCTTTCCTCCGAGTGTTAAGACTTGCAGTGTGTTTTAAGTAGAAAGCAAGATCAAGCTCCTAAGTGTAACTGATAAACTTATACAGTAAATCAGTGAGTAAGAGTAAATGATACAGCAGGTAAATCTTGAGAATAAGTCACATCTCTGACACAAACAAAATTACTTTAAGTCTTACTGCATACTCCAAATCTTTCTGATATTGGTTACCCAAGAGATTGTGAACTAAGTGTCATTTTTAAAGTACAGTAGTTGCTAGGTTTTTCCCTCTCATTGAATCTTATATAATTTTATTTATTGGATTTCCCCAAATGCTATTTTAATCACAGCAGAATACTGGCAGAAGGATACCATGAAGTTTACAATATCTTTTTTAAACTATGTAAGTTGCTTATTATGTAAAATAAACTTTGACACACTCATGACACACTCATTACACACCTGTGTCTGTTGAGTGAATCAAAAATTAGTGCTGAGACACAAGAATTAATGCTAAGACTAGGAAGTCTTTACAAATATTCATCCCTTGGGTATCGAGAATCTACCATGCTGTATGACAAACTATAAAAAGTCTCTATTCACGTTATTCCTTTGGTGAACATTCATTGAGACTCACTACATGCAAGGCACTGTGGGTGTGGCCGGACATACAGAAGAACTTGTCCCTGCACTCCAAGTGTTGTGGTGTTATGGGAGGTAACACATAACAGAGGTTATTAGCCTCCCCTAATAGATATGAAGTTTTGTTGTTATTACAAAAGTAGGCAGGTCAGGATGGAGAATAAGCATTGTACTTGGTGATTTGTTATCACTGATAATTTTCAAGATTTCATCTTCTGTAGAAGGGTAGACTCAGAGAGTTGGTTGGAAGGGGGATACTAAGAGAGAATCAGGAAAAAAACACAGGCACTGAATAAACTGGATAAGAAGACTTCAGATTGAGCCTGGTTATGCTACTCTTGGGTTATTCACTTCAAACTTCTGTGTATTTTTTTTTCTGGAGATTAAAAATAGAGCCTACCTCTTAGGGATGTTGTGAAAATTAAATGATACACTGAGCTAATCCTTGTAGAAAATTAGCATAGTGCCTAGCACCTGTGTTTTATCCATGTCAGTTGTTGTTATTGTAACTGTTGTTACAACGTTACATGATCTCGGAGATGAAGGTGCTATACTTAGGTTATTTCAATCAGTGTTAATAAGACTGAAGCCTCAGTAGAATAAGTGGGCCCAAAAGCCAGACCATAAGGTTGATTTTTTTAAATGAATGAAGTCAGAGGTAACGAATACACTGAGGGCAGACTATCTCTAAAGAAGTTTGATTGTGTGGGAATAAGAAAAAAAAAGGTGAGCTTATGAAGAAGCAGAGCTGAATTGCAGCCCATTCACACATGACAACGACTCAAGAAAATCTGTAAGCTTGCAGAGCAGAGTCTAGGTAAAGAGTGTGTTTGGAAATAAATGAAGGAAGAGATCAGGAGAGGAAGACATGCATACAAATGTAAAGCAATTTCCACACATAACACGTGTTCGGGGGAAATGTTTACACATGCAAAGATTCTATGTACACACACATTCATTCTTGGAAGAGCACTGAGGAAGCAAGTGATGGAAAGTGAATTAGACCAAGTGAAAAGTTCAATAAATTTACTGAGCTCTTTCAAGTGCTACCATATATACCCACTGTTCTTAACAGGCACTCTGAGAAGAATTGAAATGCATTATATATATGATCTATATGCATATTAGAGAAACAGAGTACAGAAGGATGGAGAGAAAGACTAATTCACATGAGTTATTTGCTCTTTTTAGTCAATAGAGCAGGGCAACTAAGGTTTCAAAAGATATAATTCATACTCAATATGAAAAGGTAACTGAAGGGAAACTGAATTTCTGAAATTTTGAGATATGAAAAGTTTCTGTGGATAGTTGATGATGTCTCTTCTTATTTTATTGGCTCCATTTGGCATTTCAGAAGGAAAATCTTTGTAAAAACAGAATATCCATCTGCAGTATATTTTATTTCATGTGAGTATAGTGTGCACATTTGTGACCAGCCTGCATCTCTCCCTTCTTCTGGTGACAGCCCCGTAGTTTCTGTGTGTGAGACTCCTCTTTTACTCTCAGTCCTCCAGTTCAGATGGGGCTGATCAAATCTCCACCTCCTTAGATACTCCTGTGATCCAACATTAGCCCGTCAGAGTCTTAGTTTGGGTGTCCCAAGTTTGGAGAATAAGAATCAATCCTGCAACTTCCGCTGAAACTTTTGGGAAAGAGGATTTCTTTCTACTGGGATTGTTAAGCTGGTTGAATGTAGGCCTTGGGTTGTAGTGGCTATGACCAGGACAAAAGCCTTGCTGAGAATGAAGCCCACACATAATTTTCGATAACATTGTTTGAGCATCTGGATTCAGCCAAGCCTAAAGACTGTCCCTAGGCATTATATAAGATAGCCAAGTCAGTTTGAACTAAGTTTCTGTCATTTGCACCCAGAAAGTCTTGGCTGTAAGTGAAAGCACAGTGTCTGGTCTTCAAACAGTACAAACGCATTGTATTCTTCCTATCAACCATCTTCCTATTGTGTAGCCCCATTGTCAATCATTTCAACTATATTCTTATCATCTTTAGCAACCTAGAGTGTCCAACTTGACTTTTGACCCAACTATTTATTTGATGTTATCAACCCTGTATGCAAAGATTGAGACAAAAGCTTTTTTTTTTTAATTCTGTATGTTTTAGAAATATAATTTTCCTTTTGACATTTCTTCAGGAGACTGAGTAGAGAAGTGAATTAATTTTAATTATTTTTACAAGTAAGATTATGTTTTGAATAGAACGATTATTGAGACAACACAATGAGACTGTGGCTTTTCTAAAGGTTAAGCTTGTAAATATATAAATGCAATACAAAGATATTTTGATATAGATGAAAACAAGATACACTGGGGAAACAAAATAGGAGGCAGTCAATTGCACAGGGGGAAAGTATCAGAAGAAGTTTCATAGGGCAAAGCATCTATTTTCCAGCTATTAGGTTGTTTTCTGTGGATGGGTTGGAGCTAGGAAAGCAGAGAGAGATGCTGGTGAACGGATGACGCAGCATGACAAGCCAGTACATATTTAAAGTACATATTGAAGAAATACTTCAAAAACAGAAAACAAAAACGAAACAAAACAAACAAAAAAAAATTAGCCAGGTGTGGTGGTGGGTGCCTGTTATCCCAGTTACTCGGGAGGCTGAGGCAGGAGAATCGCTTAAACCCAGGAGGCAGAGGTTGCAGTGAGCCGAGATCGCGCTGGATGACAAGAGCAAAAACTCTGTCTCAAAAAAACAAAGAAGGAAATACTTAATAAGTAAAGTTAAACAGAGTAGCTATAAAAATGCCTTAATAAACTATGTTTTCAACTGGTTTCAAAAAAATTTGAACATCCAAATTACTTTAAAAATGAAGAAACTTCTTTTTACTCTTTTGATTCAACCAAAAAAAACTACGAGGGTTTTCGTGCACCCAGCATGTGTTGTCTTGTCCCAGGTGGTGAAATTACAAAAGATGGTTGGATTATAAAAGCCATAAGCCACACAAGATTTAAACCTTTGTTAGATCTTGTGTGGCCTATGGCTTTCATAATCCAACCACCAGTAGACCATGGAACTACTACCATGTTGGTAATAGTTCCAGAAGTAACACACTTGTTTTATGTTATTGTCATTCACACTCCTGTTGCAAGGAAAAAATATGAAGTACTCAGACTATGAAGAACATCTTCCCAATGCAGAAAGACATGACTATACTTGTGAAATATATGTATTTATACCTACAAATGTGAGACTGTATACTACTGTACCTGTAGCACACAGCGCTATGTCTGACACAAGAGACGCTAGATAAATACTTGCTGAATGAATAAATAAATAATATGATTTTGTCATTCTTGGAGTTATGCCATGGAACCATTAGATATGCAAATATGTCTGCGATGAACTATTTTAGGTGCTTCTGTAATTAAAGGCATGTTGGATGCACTTTAAGGAGGCACTTAATGTCGAATTATGCTTAATGATGGGTTGTATTTCAACAAAGTAGTAATATACTTCAGAACATAACTTAGTGGTACCTAATTGACCCTGAATCTCCTGAATAAAATCTAAAGAGTTCAATGAAGAATACATACGTTGAATTTGCTAACACCAGACATATCCAGATCTGGATAGGTCTAAATAGTTGATGGCCTTAAAAAAATTTGCCTAGATGCTTTGCTGAGTGTATGCAGAACTAATCAGTACTTTCTTTGTCTTAAAAAAAAAAAAGCAGTAGATTTAGATGGCTGCCATGGCTCAGTGATCAAATACTAGGATGTAGGACTTCAGCATATAATAGGTATAAATACATTTTTCAAGAATGACAGTTGGTGACTGTGATGATGTTGGTGAGGATAATAGTAATGGTGATGATGATGGTGGTGATAAGGCAATAGTGAATCAACTGCAATCACTGTGCTGTATTCTGAGTCTTGTCTTGCAGAGTCAGGAAACGGCACAGACATTAAAATCAATTTTCTTGTTGACTAGATCCTAGGAAAAAGAGCTCCAGATGAATTTTAACTGTCTAATGACAGATTTTTATGGCTAAGGCATTATGAAAACTGCTATCAAGGTACAGGACCAATGAGAAAATGTGTGGTATAGAAAGCCAAATGACTCCATGCCCAATCTGTTACAGGTACCTGGGAAAATTTAGCTTCTGCTTCAGGCTGGTGTCCTGAGGTGTATGAGAATTCCAGGCTCTCTGACTTTAGTTAACCTCTTTCACAGATGAAGCCCGAAAGGAAGAAACATGCATAGTAACTGTTGCAAAGACATATTTCAAAGTCATTAAATGCACATTAATAATCTTCAGAATGTATAATTTTGTAGGTGACAGACACTATTTTTACAGCTGTTCTTTAGAGAAAGAATACGTTTCTCTTCATTAAAGACTAATGAGTGACATTACATTTAAGTGTTCACATTAGATATGCTTCTTTGAATTTAATGATGGGGCAATGAGGCCTTTAATTAAATACTCAAAAATCTCCACTGGGAGAAACAAAACAAATTTATCTGCAATTTAAAAAAACAATGGAATCCATCTGTTATATAATCAAATTTTAAATTTTTTAATATTCAGGCATATTGTCATTGTACTTCTGAAAGCTTAGTTCTAGATATTCTAAAATGTATTGGCACAACAAAGTAAGTAATATGGTGATTTGTGCTTTATTGTACTCTTTTTGTTTTGTTTCTATAACTTGAGTATTCACTATGGAGTAATGAAGAATTCCCTGTAACCCTTGGGTTGTTTCTAAGTTACTGTTATGGTCTCAATATCCCACAATAATGGCAAATCTTCAAGCAATAATTGAAAGAAAAATAATTATAAGATTAAAGATTGCTATCTAGAAATTGGATTATAACTAGTTTCCTAAATTATCATCTTCCTAAATTAGTTTTCCCCCATTTTAGACAATAATATGTCCATTTACCCTATGCTAGAATCCATTATGTATTTATTAAAAATATAAAATGTAATTAAAGTTATTAAATTTTAAAAAATATTAAAATATTAAAATAGAAGCATAATAACATTACTGGATTTTTGTAATAAGTCATACTTAAATGAAATCATTTTCTCCACAGAAAATATTATTATAAAGATTTTATAGTTTCTGGAAAACCTGCAAGGGAAAAGCGGTAGATAGATGCAGAATAATTAAGACTACAATAAATCAATATATCACCTGGGATATGTACTGAGCACACGGTTTTGTTTTTAGCTCTTGCTATTGTCTAGTTTGGCTAATGGTCATCGTTTCCACAAACGTCAAGGAACACAGCAAAATGTCATTTTTAAAAAGGATGAAGAGTTAAAATGATTTGGAAGGATGAGAAAGAAAACAATAACTCTCACAGTCCATTTTGATGGACTTATGATAAAATCTTTCATTAGGTAAAGGCTTGAGAACCCTGCTGATGTGGGATTAGATACAATTAGATGAGCCTCAAAGCAGATACTACAAAGCTTGTGTGAGGCTGCTAATTATTGGTGGTTGATTTTTGTATTTTTCATGGAGCTCAAATCTAATCTATAGGCTACCTTCACTTAACAGTTGTGCTGAGAATTTCTACTAAAAAAAAGGCACTTTTTTCAGCAGACCAACCAATGAAGGGGCTTGGGGGTGGGGGGAAGTACACATTTTCCTGAATTAAGTTGGGAAAAGTAATTTCTGAAGCTTCTATAAATTAGGTACCATTTGAGATAAATAAGGAATCTTACAGCTCCATGCCTTTGTGAATTAAAAAGAATTATCTTAATATATTTTGATGTTGTACTAGGGGTTGTAAAACATTGAGGATTATTCAAGAGCGAGGCAGTAGTTCACTTCATATCAGATGTAACGTTACCAATCCAACTCCGATGTTAGATGCAGAATCAGGCCTATTTTTATATGATTTTTACCCAATGCAATATGAAAAACTCTCTTTTGCTCAGGTACATTGCAGTAAAGAGAAGATCAATATGAAATAGTCTGTGATACTATTATAAATAAATATTATTTCATATATATTTATTATATAAAAGTCATATTTTAATTTTAGAAAGTTCATTTGAATTTTTAAAAATCAGTCTTTGCCAATTATCAAAGTTTTAAACCCCCAAGATTCTACTTTTCACTAAACACATATTTCAGTCACAGACCCCATATGATCTCTACTGATATCACAAGGGTTGGGGAGCAGTAGGCCTTTTTACTTCATGGTGGGGATGAAAGTCCAAGCTTTCAGCCTTCTCTGATACCACCCTGGTGATGGTATGGGGATGGGTGTTGGGGTGCTTTCTCACAGTCTGGCAGGAAGACCCACTTCATCTTTGCTGGTGGTGTGTGGGTGGGCTCACAGTTGTTTTCTATGGAAAAAATTTTCTATGACTGGAGTAAAGCAGTTATGGTATAAAAGTTTTCTGTCTTGTTAAGCTGCCCCTTTCCTGGTTCTCTGGCTAGAGAGAACAAAAAATCTTGGCTTTACAGGTTTTATTTTTTTGTCTGCACCTCTTGGTGTTTCCAGCTTGCCAAATTCTTCAGCCCAAAGTCTAGAATAGATGAGGCAAAAAGAAAATCCAGAAAACTCGTGTTTGTTCCCTGGGTCTTGAGGCCCCTATTGCATCTGCCTTCTCTCCACCCTTGAGAGTCTCCTGTTATTGTTATATACATAACTAACATGATATTAATTATACTTAGTGAGAGGAATAGGGAGGTGTATATTTTTTCCATCTTCCTGGAAGATTGTTTTTAATAAATGCTGTAAGTACTCTGGTTGCTGCAAGGAGATAAAACAGGATACATTAATATATTTAGTTTTTCGGCCTGGTGCAATGGCTCATGCCTGTAATTCCAGCACTTTGGGAGGCAGAGGCGAGTGGATCACCTAAGGTCAGGAGTTCGAGACCAGACTGAACAACATGGTGAAACCCTGTCTCTACTAAAAATACAAAATTAGCCGGGCATGGTGGCGCATGCCTGTAATCCCAGCTACTTGGGAGGCTGAGGCAGGATAATTGCTTCAACCCGGGAGGTAGAGGTTGGAGTGAGCCCAGATCGCACCATTGCACTCCAGCCTGGGCAACAAGAGTGAAACTCTTGTTTTTTCTTCAGATACATTTAAAAATATATTTTTAAATAATATATAACCATTATTTTTCTTTTAAGTTTGAGGTGTATTGTTCTACAGAAATTCTTAAGCCTCCATATAGCTACAAACTATAGTAGTATATGTGTGTGTCTATGTGTGTTGGTGTGTGCACAGACATGCAGTTTTATTTGGGGATATTTCCTTTCTTGTTATCTTTCTCCCACAGAATTGTTCACAAGTGCTCATGTGAATGTCTTGAATTTTCAAAAAAAGAGACACTTTAGTACTATTACGTGGATCATGAATTCTTTTACAGTTTCCCTTCTCCTATCAGATTGATTTTCTACGTCATTTCCCTTTTGGCATATATAAGGCATACTCCTTAACTGAAACACTGCTATTTATATTCTGTTGTTATTCTTTCTATACTTTGCAGTTAGGAATTTTCTAATTACATTTATATTTTCCTAGTAAATAGTTTACATCTAATAATATTTTGTCTAGTTTATCCTGGTAACAAAGAAATATTTTTTTTCACCTAACAAAAATATGGAAAATTAAAATAAATGCTGTGCATGCAAATATTACTTATATGCAATAAAAAAGTGAAAAATGGTTCAGAGTCTGTCCTAGAGCAAATCCGGAAGCTCTCGTGTGTTCAGATTCTCTGGTTTGCTGCTTATTTTTTGTAAATAAAGTTTTATTGGGAGACAACTATCCTCATTATTTAAGTATTGTCTATGGCTGGTTTCATGCTACCATGGAAAAGTTGAGTACTTGTGACAGAGACCTCATGGTCCCCAACACCTGGAATACTTACTCTCTGGCCCTTTGTGGAAAACATTTGCAGATCTCTAGTTTAGAGGATAACAATGACTAAAATCTCTAGATAAATAATGTGAACATCTGTAATACTCGTTTATTCTGAAAGATCTCTATGTCTACATGTGGTAATATATGTAAGAATGTGTGCTAAATTTAATATTTAATGCTAGGAGAAGAATGCCAGACTAATATGATGTTATTACATGTAGAGATGATCTTCAAAGCTGCAAATATAGGAGAATAAAAAAATCCTCTCTTGGTCTTTTGCTTTGGCTTTTGTGGGAATATATCTTCTTGGGTTTTCTTTTTCCATTCTGACAATCCTTCTATGTTTCTTTTTTTTTTTTTTTTTTTTATTATACTCTAAGTTTTAGGGTACATGTGCACATTGTGCAGGTTAGTTACATATGTATACATGTGCCATGCTGGTGCGCTGCACCCACTAATGTGTCATCTAGCATTAGGTATATCTCCCAATGCTATCCCTCCCCCCTCCCCCGACCCCACCACAGTCCCCAGAGTGTGATATTCCCCTTCCTGTGTCCATGTGATCTCATTGTTCAATTCCCACCTATGAGTGAGAATATGCGGTGTTTGGTTTTTTGTTCTTGCGATAGTTTACTGAGAATGATGGTTTCCAATTTCATCCATGTCCCTACAAAGGATATGAACTCATCATTTTTTATGGCTGCATAGTATTCCATGGTGTATATGTGCCACATTTTCTTAATCCAGTCTATCATTGTTGGACATTTGGGTTGGTTCCAAGTCTTTGCTATTGTGAATAGTGCCGCAATAAACATACGTGTGCATGTGTCTTTATAGCAGCATGATTTATAGTCCTTTGGGTATATACCCAGTAATGGGATGGCTGGGTCAAATGGTATTTCTAGTTCTAGATCCCTGAGGAATCGCCACACTGACTTCCACAATGGTTGAACTAGTTTACAGTCCCACCAACAGTGTAAAAGTGTTCCTATTTCTCCACATCCTCTCCAGCACCTGTTGTTTCCTGACTTTTTAATGATTGCCATTCTAACTGGTGTGAGATGATATCTCATAGTGGTTTTGATTTGCATTTCTCTGATGGCCAGTGATGATGAGCATTTCTTCATGTGTTTTTTGGCTGCATAAATGTCTTCTTTTGAGAAGTGTCTGTTCATGTCCTTCGCCCACTTTTTGATGGGGTTGTTTGTTTTTTTCTTGTAAATTTGTTTGAGTTCATTGTAGATTCTGGATATTAGCCCTTTCTCAGATGAGTAGGTTGCGAAAATTTTCTCCCATTTTGTAGGTTGCCTGTTCACTCTGATGGTAGTTTCTTTTGCTGTGCAGAAGCTCTTTAGTTTAATTAGATCCCACTTGTCAATTTTGGCTTTTGTTGCCATTGCTTTTGGTGTTTTGGACATGAAGTCCTTGCCCACGCCTATGTCCTGAATGGTAATGCCTAGGTTTTCTTCTAGGGTTTTTATGGTTTTAGGTCTAACGTTTAAATCTTTAATCCATCTTGAATTGATTTTTGTATAAGGTGTAAGGAAGGGATCCAGTTTCAGCTTTCTACATATGGCTAGCCAGTTTTCCCAGCACCATTTATTAAATAGGGAATCCTTTCCCCATTGCTTGTTTTTCTCAGGTTTGTCAAAGATCAGATAGTTGTAGATATGCGGCATTATTTCTGAGGGCTCTGTTCTGTTCCATTGATCTATATCTCTGTTTTGATACCAGTACCATGCTGTTTTGGTTACTGTAGCCTTGTAGTATAGTTTGAAGTCAGGTAGTGTGATGCCTCCAGCTTTGTTCTTTTGGCTTAGGATTGACTTGGCGATGCGGGCTCTTTTTTGGTTCCATATGAACTTTAAAGTAGTTTTTTCCAATTCTGTGAAGAAAGTCATTGGTAGCTTGATGGGGATGGCATTGAATCTGTAAATTACCTTGGGCAGTATGGCCTTCTATGTTTCTTTTGCAGGTGTGTCTACTTTTATCAGGCATTATATGTAGTTCCAGAAAGCCCTTAACTTTATCTAAATCCATCTCTTAGGCAGCCTTGCCCATATGAACAACTTTATTTGACATCTACTCATGTGACAGCCAATATCTCTAGCACAGACTTCTGCTTTCAGATCCATGCTGTATATTCATTTGCCTACTAGACTTTACCACATGACTGTCTGTAAGGCCAAAAAAAATCTAGCAGATTCAAGACTGACCTTACCAGCCCTAATCTCCTCTGTTTCCATTGTCCTGTGTTTCTGAATGGTTCCACCATCTGCCACATTGAGCAAGCCAAAAACCACAGAGTCATCTTTTGTCTTTAGTCTTCTTCAGTTTCCCTATATTTGTTATGTTATTGATTTTTATCTGTTTTAATCTGGCTTTGGTGTTCTTTGTCAAGTAAGTATCCTTTTTTATACATTCTAGAAATTTCACTGCAATTATCTCTTCAAATATTTTTCTTTTCCTTCTCTCTTTATTTTCTATTTGGTATCTCTACTTATTCTATTCTTTGTCTTTGTCATATTTTCCATTTCACATTCTTCCTTTGATACATGTAGATCTGCTGATATATTTTCTAGTTCAAAATCCTCTCTTCTACAATGTATAATTTGCTGAAGACGTTAAATTTTTAATTGAATTTTTTAATTTTAGAAGTTATATTTCATTCATTTTTAAATCTGTTATATCTTCATGATGATCTATTGTTTTGCCATAATTTTGAGTCTGTAACCTATAATTTTGTTTTTTTTTTTTTTAATTTTTAATTTTCAAGTTTTTTTTTGAGACAGAGTCTCTCTTTGTTGCCCAGGCTGGAGTATAGTGGCAAGACCTTGGCTCACTGCAACCTCTGCCTCCTGGTTTTGAGCAACTCCCCTGTCTCAGCTTCTCTAGTAGCTGGGATTACAGGTGCCCACCACCACGCCTGGCTATTTTTTGTATTTTTAGTAGAAATGGGGTTACCATGTTGGCCAGACTGGTCTCGAACTCCTGACCTCAGCCTGTAACTTATAATTTTAAACACTCTCATTTTACTATCTTTTCCAAATTATTCTGTTATTAAAGTTATTTTCTGAGCTACTTTTCCTTTTATGAGTCTATCAGGAAATCTTTCTTCTTTATTGGCGCTCAGACACGTTTTTTTATTTTTATTTTTTAGAAGTTTGTGTTGTAAATTTACCCAACATTTTTCATCTGTTTGTATTTTTAGAGATGGGGTTTCACTGTGTTGCCCAGGCTAGACTCAAACTTGTGGACTCAAGAAATCTTCTTGCCTTAGTTTCCAGAGTAGCTGGGACTACCGGCATGGGTCACAGTGCCCGACATATTTGCTGAACATTTTAATAGGTTTGTAGTGATAGGCATTATCAGCTTAGCTCAATTTGCATGTTGAAATCAACTAAGTTATCTTTTCACAAGCAATCATGGTAATATTATCCCTCTGTTAAAATACTCTAATAGCTTTGCTATACTCTTTAGATAATGCTAAAATTTTTACTCTTAGTGGAAATGTCTGGCTATTTCAGTCTCTCAAGCCCTACCTCATAGAATTCTTCCCCTTACTTTCTCTGCTTCAGCCACTCTGGCCTTGCTTTATTTACCGTGTGCTCTTGCAGTATATTCTCCACATGTGCTGTGCCTTCTGTGTCTAGAACATTCTTTCTCTTCTTCTTCACTAATTGAGTTTATTGATTTCACTACCCAAGTCTCGGCTTAAAGGCTGCTCGTTGAAGAAGTCTTCTCTGACCCTCAATTACTGCTTAGGCTTCTTTGCTCATGCGATTATACTTTTTTCCTTCAGACCCTTTATTATAGTTTGTAATTATGTCATCAGCAGCGTGATGATTAGTTTAACATCCACCTTCACCCCGATAGACTATAAGCTCCTTGAGAGCAAAGGAGAAAGGGAACTTTGTTTGTTTTTAGAATCAGGGGGACTCACTCTGTTGCCCAGGCTGATCTCTAACTCCTGGCCTCAAGTGATCCTGTCATCTCAGCCTCCTGAGTAGCTGGGACTATAGGCATTTGCCCCGCATCACTGTTTATTTTGATTCATGATTTAGCCCCAGAGTCCAGCATCCATTAGGTGCTTACCAAAATTTGTTAGGAAATTGTTTTATTTTATAATATTGGTGGAGATAAGATTCCTTTTGTACTGAGTTAATGTTTATTAGGTGTGCATAATCATAATTTATGAATCTAAATATATCAAAATTAAAGCTGTCATATTTGATTCCGAATTTGGCCAAGATTATAACAATTTGATAAAATTCATGTTTATTTCACATTATCCTTGACACAAATTGAAAAAAAGTGAGAAACTAAGAGTGCTGTTTAAATGAGAATATTTAGAAAAGAAGAGTCACTCCATTAGACAGAACCAAAGTATATTATCACATAGATACAGCACCAATGGATTCACAGACCATCTGTTCTGCCATCTAAAACTAATTAAACTTAAAAAAATTTGAGCAATTAAGAAACAACTATCAGCCTAAAGTCTGAATCCAGAATGATTTGATAATAAAAACTATAGCTATTACAAATACACTTAATTAGGAAGTACCTGAGTAAAAGTCTACAAGTCATTAAAGTAGTATTGAAAGACTGAAATACAGTGCATGAATATTAGTGGAAAAATTACCAAGGGGTAACTGTTACCTGTAGCACTCTATTAGACTAATGAATTTATCCTATCTGAGAAACAGCAGCACTCAATTTTAATGGTTTTAGAAAAACTCATCATATACTTTTGAACTATTAAATACCAATATATTTAACTGCAAAGTAGAAAAGCAAAGACATTTCTTTCTTATATATTGGATACCTAGTTTTAATTCTTGGTATAATCTTCAGTAAATCTATGTTGATTATTTGGTTTTCAGTGAAATGACAGAACTGCTGAAACTTTCGCTGATGCTGTGTAGGTGTGGAGATAAAGTACTTTTCATTTAGCATTATATGTGTATATATATATATATATATTTTTTTTTTTTTTTTTTTTTTTTTTTTTTTGAGATGGAGTCTTTCTCTGTGCCTAGGCTGGAATGCAGTGGAGGGATCTCAGCTCGCTGCAACCTCCCAGGTTCAGGTGATTCTTGCGCCTCAACCTCCCAAGTAGCTGGGATTATAGGAGTGCTCCACCATGCCTGGCCAAGCACAGTATTTTTAATGTTTGCAGTGCTAACAGCTCACAAAGCATTTACACATGTATGTATGTATCATTTGACCTTTCTAAAACCTGTTGAGTTAGTCAAGAGGATGGGATTAGCCTTATTAGACAGAGGAAGAAATGGAGACTTTGATCGGATAATGGGTTCAAGGTTACATAGATGGATCTTAACTTAGTTATTCTAACTCTAAAATTCCTACCCTTCCTACCTAATTATGCATTTTCTGTTTGCCAGATAATTAACATATTTATATGCTTAATCTTGATAGTTAATAATACTCATTTGGGGAATATTATGTAAAGATTTTTTTTCTATTAGAACAAATTGCATTAAATCTCTTAGCCAACCAGTAGATAGCTGAGCATGTTTTCACAAATTCTTGAAGCGATAGTCATATTGTTCTTACATGTGGTAACAACAATAAAAATCTAGTTTAAAGGCAGAAAGTCTTCACTGTTTAAGGCAGAAAGTCTTCACTGTAGGAGATATATAATTACATGTCTCTGAGACTATAGTATACGAACACCAATAAAAATAGAAAAGTCCTAACCACTCTCCTGAAACTCATCAACATTTTTCAAAGTATGACTGGACCACTGCTTTAGTATCATTTGCGTGTACTCATTGCAAACAAAAATCTCTGGTCCTACTCAGTCTATACATGCAGAGGCATTGCCTGGGGATCTGAATATTTTTATGAGCTCCTCCTGAGAAAATTATTCACAGTATGGTTTTAGAACCACTACCTTGGTGAATCTTTAAATGTGTGGAAGATAATTCTAAAGTGGAACGAAATCAAGTGTTTTGACATAATGAGCTTTAAAAAAATCAATATCTAAGCAAGTAACATGAGTTTTTACAATCTTAATTTAGTAAACAAAAATATCAAGTTCCAGTCAGTATTATTCTAGCCAACATAACAGACAAAAGTATCTTAAATCCATGCAAAAGTTGATTTTTAGAAATTTATATTCAGAATAAAGTTGTTAGCGTAATTCCTGTTGCTCAGTATTTGACCCTGAAAACAAACAGAACTTTTATGGCTCACATCAACCCAGAATGGATAGAATCAACAATGATGTTATATTATGGCATGGACAATTGTTTTCTCTGTGTTTATAACTAATCCATAGGCTCCAGTTTAAAATGGCATCTGGCTAGTTGTCCCTAAGGCAGTCTCTACCATCTTCCCTCTAAAATAGCTATTAAGGCACAGGAAAACTCACAACATCACAAAAATTTAAGACCAACAGAGCCTATTGCTAGAAAATGGGAGGAATTTCCACTAACTATAAGCTGATGGAATTGGATTGAGAGAAAAAAAATGGAGGTTTCATGAAAGAGAGTAGCCTCATACTACTGAAAAAAGATAGGAAGGCACTTTGTTTTCCGTAGGTCCCTGTTCTCTTCTTTTACGCCTTTTCTTTTTCTTTCCTACGCAGTCTGTTCCCTGTACCTAAATCCTAGGGTCTTAGAGAGCCACCATCCCTTTTCTCTCTCATTATAACATATACTTGTTGCTTTTATATGTAATCCCAGTCTCCTTTCCTGTAGCAAGGAAGTAGAAAAGACACGGGAGCAATACATGCAGTAGATTTTCCTGTACTGCATTAATTTCCAGGGTAAGAACTCCAGAGTGTGGGAGGAAAGGCATCTCTTTTAATTCCAACAGAAAAGACCCTGGGAATTGGGCCAAGAACTATGCACATCAATTTGCTTTTCAAATATAGATCTGAGACGAAGATTAAATTTATAATCAAATGGACAGTAGCTAGGGCCAAGGGCATCCTGCTAATTGATAAATGCTGTAAATAGGATGGGTCTCCACTTATACAAGAGGGAAAATAAAACAACATGTGTCCGATTAAAATTTAATTGCCATACAGGGAAAGGGAAACTAGAAAATCATTTTGAAGGATCTTTTAAAAAGCATTTAAAACAATGATTTATTAAAGGAACCAGAAGAAAACGTTAAAATATTCCATCTTGAGTTAAACACTATATGCAACAAAAGATGGTATCTATGCATATGTGAGCAGCAAGTATGGAAAACAAATGGGATCAGATACAAAACAAAGGGAGAATGGGCCGACAATAAAACAAGACATATAGACCAAAGGCGGAGAAGTTAAAAAGCCGATCAAGGTAAGATAGTAGATATAGTAAATCAAATTGCAAAAGCGTAATTAAAATTTGCAATGGAGGCAGTAAAGATAAGAACGACTATTGCAGCAAATAAAACCATTCATGTGTAGCACAAAATTGAGATGTCATTCCTGAAAACAAAGGAGAAAGGCAAAGTGATTAAAACAAAAAAACACTCTTCCAGAAAAAGTGAAGTATACGGCAGGTGGAGAATGGAAATCTAAAATGAGTGTCTGTGGTTTTCCCAAAGAAGAAACCAGAACAATTGGAATGGAAGCTATCATTTAACAAAGAACTGATTAAAACTTCCACAATTGATTAAACTATGAGCCTAAAAATAAAAATGCTCCAGAATATCTGCAGAAAGTAAAACTAAAAGGACCCAACCAGGGCAAGAATCTAATTAGGAAAATTAATGGAAGCATTCTTAAAAGCATTCAGGCAAAGAAGCAGGTTACCAATAGAGGAACAACCTGAATTGGCCTCAGACTTCTCCACTGCATTATTAATTGAATGAAGACAATTGAACAGTATCTTTAGAATTTTCATGTGGTGAATTTGAGACCTAAAAATTGTAAGCCAAATATTCCTCCATGTATGAAGGCAACAGGGGGACAGTCTCAGATATGGAAGTACTTAAAAATGTATGCTGTGTATGTCTAGCTTTAAAATAAATTTAAATACATAATACGGCTGAGAAATGAGTAAAATTTTAGAACTCTAGAATGAGGAAAATTACAATCTAAGAGATTTAATGAATTTTGAAATTACTTAAATAATTATTTCAAATGTTCTGTCAAAACTAGTAGATGAAATGAAATTTTTAGTGTAATAATTTAGGCCTAAAACCAAATGTCAGATGAACAGGAGTAGGTTTTAAGCAGGCAAAGAAATACAAGTTGGTTGAATTGGTTGCCTTTTGTTCACAGATAATAATATAATGAAAATACAAACAGCAACTATTTAAAATTTTAAAACTGGAGAAATTACTTCCAAATCCCTAAAGATTAGAAAGTCTTTTTCTATAGAAAAAGACAGAAACAGGCAAATTCCAGAACGTATGAAACAAAAGTCACTTATGAAAATAAGTACGAAAGGATGAAAGGATTAAACTCTTCTATTAGAAGATAAATACAACTGGATTTGGCTTGCAATCCCATATATAAGTATATAAACCACAACAGAGAAAAATAATGAAGATACAATTATGATAAAATATTAAAAATTAAAGAATAAAAACAATTTAGCAACACAGACAAAAACAAGGTGGCGGTAAACTGTTTCAGATAAAGTAGAATTCGAAAGCGTTAGATGAGATGAAAAAAGATAAATAAACTTCTGAAAAATCTATAGAAAAGAAAAAAGAATAAAAATGTAAATAAAATAAATCTAAACTGACAAGAAATAATAAAAGAAACTTTGTCCCACCAAGTATTAAAGCATTATGTATTTCGATGAATAGAAGAATCATGGATTGTAATATAAACCATTGTTTTATCAACCACTGAAAAGAAAAAAAAAACTGTAATTTTCTGTCATGCTAAGAATCATTCCCTTTCAGAAAATGTTAGTATATGAAAAATTGTGCATCTTAGAATTGATGAAATACAGTTTTATAAAGCTTTCATAATTAAAATGGCATTGTGCTAGGCACATGTTATAAAAACAAATGCAATGGCACATAAATGAAATAAGCGTTTATATGAATATGACCTTAATAAGCTATATAAGATTTTAATTCATAATATTATGTCCTAAAGCAAGTATAACAAACTGGAAATATATAGAATACTCAATAAATGATGGGAAGGAAAAAATACATTTTGATAAAACTGTCAAGTTAATGTTCACTGGATGGATGTATTTGGCAAGGTATTAAAGTGATATAATAAAACAAAGAACAAAAACATGAACATTTAAATGA
Organism: Homo sapiens; assembly: GCF_000001405.40. NCBI lineage: Eukaryota > Metazoa > Chordata > Mammalia > Primates > Hominidae > Homo > Homo sapiens. The sequence goes on along the minus strand of NC_000003.12, from coordinate 1,999,618 downwards.
CCTTGGATGGTTAGACTAATTACTGAAACACTGGGGGAAAATAACAAAGAAAAAATTAGAGGTATTTAACTCTGTGAAAATTGAAGATTTCTGAACATTACAAGCAGAATTAAAAGCTAAAAATTATATCACTTTTTTTGCAAGTCAACATGGTTGCGTATTGGCAAATTGTAAGTAAGTTGGATAATTTACCTAATTTAATTTTTAAATTAGGGTAAATACAGTAATACCCTAATGGAAAAAATTAGTTGAAAATAATGGAAAAATATTGAAAGACAACAAAGAGCAATTTCTGGAAGAAATGGAAATGACCAATAAACATAAAAACATTTCAATTTAACATATATTTCAGATAAAAAACAATTAGAAGTGAATACACCAAAATGTTAATTGTGATTATTTCTGGCTTTGGGAATAGGGATGATTTTAATTTGTGAGTTTATGTTTTGGTTTGCTTGTACTCTTCGGTATTTTAAAAATATTCTTAAGTGAGGAAGAGTTGTTCTTTAACATCAGGAATATATATATATGGTCATGTACTGCATAGTAATGTTTCAGTCAATATATAGCATATATCATGGTAGTCTCCTAAGATTATAATGGGACTGAAAAATTCCTATTGCCTAGTGACATTATAGCTGTCCTATGATGTCACAACACAACACAACACATTACTGACATGTGTGTGGTGATGCTGTTTACAAACCTATTGTGCTGCCAGTCATATAAAAACAGCACATACAATTAGGTGCGGTACATAATTCTTGATATGATTATAAATGACTAAGTTATTGTTTAGGTATTTACTATACTATACATTTTAACCTTATTTTAGAGTATACTCTTTCTACTTACAGAAAATAAATAAGGTAAGTGTAAAACAGCCTCAAGCAGGTCCTCAGGAGGTATTCTAGAAGAAGGCATTGTTCTAATAGGAGATGACAGCTCCATGTGTGTTACTGTCCCTGAAGACCTTCCAGTGGGATAGGATGTGGAAGTGGAAGACACTGATATTGACGATCCTGACCCTGGGTAGGCCTAGGCTGGCGTGTGTTTGTGTTTTAGTTTTTTTTTAATCAAAAAGTTTAAAAAGTATAAAGTAAAAATTTAAAAATTTAAAAATAGAAAAAAGCTTATAGAGTAAGGATTATAAAGAAAATATCTTTGTACAGCTGTACAGAGTGTTTGTTTTAAGCTAAGTGTTTTACAAAAGAGTCAAAAAGTTAAAAACATTCAAAAGTTTATAAAGTCAAAAAGTTACAGTAAGCTAAGGTTAATTTATTATGGAAGAAAGAAAAATATTTTAGAAATAAACGATGCAGACTAGTGTACAGTGTTTATAAAATCTGCAAGAGTGCACCATAATGTCCTAGGCTGCACATTCAGTCAGCCACTCACTCTCTCACTCACTCTCCCAGAGCAACCTCCATTCCTGCAAGCTTCATTCTTGGTAAGTGCCCTGTACATGTGTACCATCTACAAAGTCTTTTATACTGTATTGTTACTGTACCTTTTCTATCTTTAGATATGTTTAGATATATGGATACTTACCATTGTGTTACAGTTGCCTACAGTATTTAGTCCAGTAACATGCTGTACAGGTTTGCAGCCTAGGAACCATGGGCTATACTGTACAGCCTAGGTGTGCATAGTCTATACCAACCAGATTTATGTAAGTATTGTATGTAAGTATTTATGTAAGTATTATGTAAGTATTTATGTAAGTATTGTTCATACAATGACAAAATTGCCTAATGAGGCATTTCTCAGAAAGTATCCTCATTGTTAGGCAATGTATGACTGTATATGTATATACATATGTATAAGTATATGATGTGTGTGTGTATATATGTGTGTATAAGTGTGTGTGTGTGTGTGTGTGTATATATATATATATATATATATATATATATATATATATATATAAAATGATTGGGATAGCAGCAGATGGTAACTCAGCACAAAGAACAGAATAAGAGAAAATGAGCCTGACTGCTGAACGCTTCTGTTGGCTGGGGTTGGGGTGATGGGGCAAAAAGCCACTTTCCTCTCTGAACTCCAGCAGCACAGTGTGTGTTCTACAGGTGAGGGTGGCTGGGCAGGACTTGACATCACCTTTACCTGTAGTAACACTGAAGGCCTCAATGGACCATAAGTGAAGATGTCTAAGGAAAAAAAAAAATGAGTGAGATTGTGTACCTGATGTGAGGGTGCTGGCCCTTTAATGTCACTGGCCGCCTCTGTTTTCGTGTGCGTCTTTCACACTACCTCTCATATGGTTAATTTAAAGCAACAAATGCATACTCTGGTCATTAACATTTTATATAGGGAAATGAAACTCTTACTAAAGAAATTGAGATGCTGAAATTGTTAACGCATCACAACTCCTAGTAATTCCTGTTACTTTCAATTGTGTATATTACTAGGACCCAAAAAAATTGAAATGAACATCTAGATCAGTGGTCCTCAAAGTGTAGTCCCCGAGCAGCAGCATGGGGGGGATTTGTTAGAAACACAGATTCTCAGCCCCCACCCACAGCTACTGAGTCAGAAACGCCAGGAGTAGAGTCCAAGGATCAGTGTTTTTTAAGAAGCCTTCCTGGTGACTTTCCCCCTTTTTTTGCACATTAAAGGAACAGGTTTATTTTAGCAAATAAGTTATCTCAAATTTTATATGATACTGTATATAACATATTTGATGATATATATATCACCAAATATATTTCTATAACACACACCCACACCCACGTACACACACACACACACACACACACACACACACATATGTATAAAACCAAAGTAAGAAGAATATCAGAATTCATTTGATTATCCAAAGCAGCAAATTATGTCTCAAAAGCAAGAGTATTCTCCAGGGCCCTTGCCCATTAGGTGTTTCCTATGCCTTAAAAGCTTCAGCTTGTCACTTCACAATTTATGTTCACTTACGAAGGCCCCTCAGACATCCTATAGTAAAGAAGCTTCATTTGAACATAATAATTTTTCCACATACACCTAATAACATCATTTAGAACTACTGTCTGACAGATAATACTCTGGGACATTCTAGCTTCTTCCTCTCCATGTCCAGTGGTGAAAGAGAACAGATTCTAAGTTGGTATATTAGTAGTCAAATGTCCCCCTTCCCCAGCTTTATTAAAGTATAATTGATGTACAAAAAACTGCACATGGGAAGTTATTGTTTAATGAGTATAAAGTTGCAGTTATAGAGATAAGAAAGTTCCAGAGATATTTTGTTACAACATAGTCATATATGTCATATATGTTACAACATAGTCATATATGTTACAACTTAGTCATGCTTTTGAAGCTTTTTGCCATGTTGACCAGGCTAATCTTGAACTCCTGGGCCCAAGTGATCTGCCTGCCTTGACCTCCCAAAGTGCTGGGATTACAGGCATGAGCCCCAGTGCCTGGCCTTGAAGCTTCTTTTCTTTAGCACAAATAGGGAGGACATTGTTTTAAGACTTAAAAGGAAACATAACATACCATATAATCTTGTGATAAATGAGAATTAGTGCTGCCCTTTTCCCATGGGGAATGTACTTAAAATAATAACCAATTTTATTAGCAAAGTCCCAATGGAATATGAAGATCTTGGTTATTCCCTTTGAAAAAACTCTCAAAAACTTTGCAGCAATAAATAAATACATACATACATAGGAATAAGAGATGTGGATTTTTTTTTTATATATTTAATTTTGGAAGTTTAGAAAAGTCTTACGATTTTCTTGATCTAGGCTGGGCATGGTGGCTTACGCCTGTAATTCCAACACTTTGGGAGTCCAAGGTGGACGAATCACTAAAAATACAAAAATTAGCGGGGCGCGGTGGTGCGTGCCTGTAGTCCCAGCTATTCGGGAGGCTGATGCAGGAGGATTGCTTGAACCCAGGAGGCAGAGGTTTCAGCGAGCCAAGATTGCACCACTGCACTCCAGCCTGGGCAACAGAGTGAGACTCTGTCTCAAAAAAAAAAAAAAAAAAATGTCCTGGATTTAGCCTTGAAATCGGTTTCTGTCTTATGACTTCTGTGCTGTGCTTCTAGGCCGTCTACCTGGAATGTTGTTCCCTTTATCTTTACATAGTGGATTCATTCTCATCATTTAGGATTCATCTCAGAGAGGCCTTACTTGTGTGCCAACTCTAAGCCGCCTTAGCTCCCAGTATCACTCTCTATTATCAATTATGTTCCTTTTATTTTCTTTGTAGTGTTTAGAGCTATTGGATACAATCTTGCATGATTCATTGATGGAACTGCTTATTTCTATGATCTCATTTTTCTTGAAGGCAAGTTGCAGAGCAGGCAGAGTCTTTGTCTTGATGACCACTATCACCACCACATAGAATAATGCTGGGCACATGGTAGGCACTCGGTTAGTAGCTGTTGAAGGAAAACAGAAAATGTGATGTTGTATACAAGTGTTCAGCAAACTTCTCTGTAAAGGTTTGGATAGCAAATGTTTTAGGCTTCTCTTATAATTACCTCTGCTAGTGGTAGTGCAAAAGCAGCCAGGGATAATATGTAAATGAATGAGCATGGCTGTGTTCCAATACAATTTCATTTATAAAAAAAGGAGCTGGGCTGAATTTGGCCCGCAGGTCATAGTTTGACACATCTCTTCTACAGTATCATCAAACAAGCATCATACATTGGGCTGGAAACTCCCCATCATCAAAACAGTGAGCCAACTGCAACAGAGCAACACGAGGCACTGTAAACCTTGAGGGATCTGGGATATTCCTCCTCCTAACTGTGTTTTAAAATAAACTTGTTATTTTTAAAAAAAATAATGGCAAAAACCACAATGACTTTTGCACCAATCTAATAGAAGAGTTTTAGATTGACATAAAAAAATTTGCAAAGGTAGTACTGAGAGTTCCCACATATCCTACACCCAGTTTTCCCTATTATTAACATCTTACATCATATAGTTCACTTGTTATTATTCATTAACCAATATTAACACATACTTATTAACTAAAACCTATAGTTTATTAGATTTCCTTAATTTTTACCTAATGCCCTTTTCTCCATTTCAGGAACCCATCCAGGGTAACGTGTTACATTTGGTACTAATGACTCAGTGCCAATTATTTTTAAGGACATAAATTGTCTCTTGTCTGTCATTTTCCCCCATTTCCTCTCTTCTTTCTCTTTTCCCTTCCTCTTTACTCTCCTTCCCAGTCTGGTATGAAATCTGGTGGTAGCAACTGGAGCAGGTTACAAGATGCTCAGGAAGGCAGCAGAGCATAGCGGAAATAACACTAAATTAAGACTTGATTTCCGCTCGCCACTGTGAGTCTTTGGGACGCATTACTTAATTCCATAAACACCAGTTTCCCTGTTTCTAAGTTAAGAATGTTAAAAACTCCCCTGTCTGTTTCAAGTGACTGTTTCAAGAGCAAGTGAGCTATTTTATGTGAAAACACTTTGCCTGAAAGCATTTTGCATTCTAAAACACAATTCAGATATAAGGATTATCATTATTGTCAAAGATTAGAGTTGTGAGGGCAAAATACCAATTCTTCCTTCCTGACTTCAAAGTTGGAAACTACTGGTATTAATTAGTTCAATCCATGGCAAAGAGCAGTTGGCAGTGTTAAGATTAAATTTTAAAGCACTTTATGCAGGCAGGGTTCCTAATGATATTTTATACTTCAGATAAAATTGAATAATCATTAGATATTTTACTGCCAAAATAAAATCTAAGTAGATAAAAATGTATCTTCTGTTTAAAATTCATCATGGTGAATGATAGAATTTTTTATATCAACATGGACGTTTTCCATGAATAGACTCAGTCTTGAGCCAACGCAATCTTCTTCCATATATATCAGCATTTGAAAGTGTTACCTGTTTTCCAAGTGTAATGTAAGTAACATAAATATTGATTGGAAAAGCCCCTGTTGTGACTCTGAAAGTGAAAAACACTTCAAAGATGCTTATAAATAAATTAGAAAATCAGGTGAGCCTCCATCAGAATTATTTGAATGTTTAGTCTTTTTCCCCCCGCTTTAAAGTCTGCAGGGTTTTTTTTTTCCCTTCTTGGAGATCTTTCCCACGTCACAAATTATAGACTCTTCATTGCATAGTAAATGCCTTGGATTTGACTAAATTCTCTAAAGAGTCTAGGCCAATTTCTTATCATCCGTGCAAGCACATCTTTGCATTTCATGAAAATACTTTCCATGGTACTTGTGGCCATTGTGCAGCCTACACTACTAACTATAATTGTGAGGATTTCTCAAATGATCTACAGTAGCACCCTTCCAAAAGGACTTTCTGTAAAGATGGGAATGTCCATCTGCCCTGTCCAGCATGGCAGCCACTAGCCACGTGTGGATAGTGAATACTGGAAATGTGGCTAGTACACTGAGGAATTTACTTGCTAATTTTAAAAAATTTAATTCATTTAAAGTTAAATTTAAATGAGCACACATGGCTAGTAGCTTCCATATTGGACAGCATAGATCTAGAGTGTTCTTTTGCTCCATCCTTTTAAAATTTAAAGGCAGTGTAGAAAATCTAAATTTTCTTTTCATTAAAGTCTAGTTACGGAATCTTGGAACCTTCCACCAACTATCCATGCATGACAACCCTATTTTGACTCTTGCAGTTTTTGGAAACTCATCATAGAAATGAACGTACACAAAATCTGGGGACAAGTTTCTGATTTTTGAAATCAGAAAGACAACTATATTGGAAATTCAGATCTCTCTTCTCTTATGTTCTTCAGTTAGTTTTTGTCTAATATTTGTTCACTCCCATAATCTAGGCCCTGCATGGCAGTCTAAGTCAGCTTAACATAAATCAGTACTGGTGCATCACACATACACAACCTGCATGTGTTCACGCAAACAACACTGTAATGGAATAGGTGGGAATCCTTTCACTTGTGGTCAAACTACAATCACTGCAGTCCTTGGGCGACTCATCTCAGTTCTTAAGACTTTTTTTTTCCTTTTTTAAATCTATAAACGAATTTGATGATAGAATGTCTCAAGGCCATCCCATCTCTCCAGCACAGTGATCTGGTGTATTCCACTAATTGTGAATCATTGGTTCTCACCGAGATTTAGTACAGTATAAGCATTCTTTACATAACCAGAGCCACCAAATGTTGATGACTTGCTATATTCTAGGTCCCATGCTAGGTGCTTTTCTCACACCCCGCCCTCACAATAACCCTGAAGAGAGGTAACTGCTACTGTTATCCCAATTTTCCAGATGAGAAAACTGAGGTGACTCAGTTGGAAAGCAGAAAAGCCAAGGTTTGAACCCAGGTAGCTGGATACCAGAGCTTTTGCAATCAGTGCAGTCATTTATGCCACACTGTGCTGGCAAAAACTGAGTGAAGAAATTCATGCTTTTCCAGCAGCTGAAGTACTTTCCATCTCGTAATGAACTTGACCCATTAAATTGATGGTGTTTGCACAAAATTCTCCTTAATATTTGAGTAGACAGTTTAAAAGAAAATAAAAATGTGAAAACAAATAGATTTTCACAGAATGCCTCCTTCCCTGGCAGCAGTGCCCTAGAGGTAGCAGGTTTTGAAAATGAGTCTCCTGTGAAGGGGCTGACATATCTTCAGAGGTCTAATTTATTCTGAATTGTTCTCAATTGCTTTCTATTTGAGAAGATGGCAGCACTCCCAGTGGTGCCAAAATAGGCCATATCATGGATGGTTTCGAAAATAAAGTTATTAAAACCAGAAAATTCAGCAGTAGAAAAGTGATGATGATAGTATTACTCGCTAACATTAATTAAATACTTAGTATGTGCGAGATATTTGTTCTAAGCACTGTATGTAACTAGTGATGTGTTTTTTGTTTTACATTTTATCTGAGAGTCATTTCTATAAAGTAAATGTTATTGTTGTATTCTTGCTATTGATGACAAAATGGAAGTACAGAGGGTTTAAAATATCGGGCCCAAGGTCACTCGGATGGTGAGTGGTGCAGCAGGGAATGAAACCCAGGCAGCTCACATCCATTAGGCTAGGCTGTCTCTGTGTCAGGAGTTCTTAGTTTGGGACACAGAAGGCCTGCCCTCACATGGCCTTTATTAGCAACTGTATTCCCATTTTTTTGTTTGTTTTTTTTCCACAAGAGATTGCCCAAGGAAAAAGAGAGAGAGAGAAAAAAATCCAATTATAAGGATGAATGAGATTGAGATTCAAATAACATGAGGAAATAAAGAAACTTGGGCTCTGAGAGGTGAAGCCATTTGCTGTATATAACAACATGCTTCCCAAGTTATTAGAAGTCTGAATATTAACTGTCTTTTTACATTTCTAAATGAAATCCTTTTATTTTCTTGTTGGTAGGCAGTCAGGTAATGAGAGAAAAGGATAAGTTGAGAAATTATTCAGGTTTCTACCTGATTTAAAAAAAAACAAAAAAGTTTCAGTTAAACAGTGGACTTCAGGGACACTCTTTTTTGTGATCCATCTTTTAAGAGACTTCATAGCTATATGAAAAGCGTTAAAAACCTCTAGGAATAAAATAGTAGATATAACTATTTATTAACAGGAGAAAAACAGCATTTTGATACATTAAAACAAATATTTCTATAGGCGATGAGTGGAATTGGCACACATAATAGTGTTTTAGACATTTCATTATGTTATTCCTCATGACCTTAGCATAAAGGTTCTACACCAGTAGACACACAGAACACTCTCATTAAAAACAAATACTCCCATATTTAACAAAGGTTAATCTCACAGGTAAAAACATCCAAAGAGTGATGTATTTTTTTTTATCAATAGTACCCATTTTTTTCCAGCTGAACAATCATCAGATGACAGTTGCAGGGTCATGTATTATTCTATACACAGAATAATAAATACAACTTTGATGGTTTGACTTATTAAATTATTTGTAGTCATATCTATACTTTTAACTCTACCAATGTAAACAGAATTTACATAGAAGTAATATTATTAAGCCAGAAAATCATCCAGTCCACTCAGAAACAGAACAGAGTCTCGCATTGAAATAAGGGACGATAATTTCTTTCTTTAATGAATACAACGAGCTGGAATTATGGCTAGCTCCACAGCAACATGAGCATACAAGTCCTGAAGGTATTTCAACACCAGTTCACACGTAATGGATCAAGAACCCTGGGGCAGATTCAGAAAACTTCAATAGAAGACCGAGTTCTGCCATGTAGGCAACTCAAACAGTTACTTAGTTTCCTCTTAGAAATTAGCAACTTTATAATCTTTTGACTGTCCTCATTAGATGACTATGAAAAGCAAGTCAGATTATCCAGATTAAAGGACTTTACAAATTGTAAGATAGATAAAAGATATTCTTACGTTGTATATCCAAGTAAGAATAGGACACTGTTGACTTTTTCTGTAAGGTCAGTGAAATCCTAGCTCTCTGTCCATTTAAATGTTCCATCTACTCCTTGCATGATATCATGTTTATAACAGTCTTCTCAAGGCAGGGATAGTTTAATCATCTGGTCACAGTGGGGTAACAAAAACTCTCGAGATCAGCATTTATGCATGACCCTTAGGGCATTGTTCATAGTGTAGAACACTGATATGTCTAGATCCTTATACCATGTTCATACAAGGGTGAGAATATCTCTACAATGTTCCAGACAATCCACTTAAGTTGAATTCTACCAGTTTAACCAACGAAAGGCCACCACTGACACCCTTAATGCTAATTAATATGGTGAGGGGATGTAAAATACTGCTTATAGCTGTCTACCTCTGGTGTGTAACTTTTGACTGGATGAGGCCTTTTAAATATTAGCTAAACACCTGGTGACTATATTTCTCATTTGGATAACTACCTCTAGGTTCAGAAGAAAACACACACACACACACACACACACACACACACACACACACACACACGCACAGCCTGTGCTGAAGTATGTTAAAGTAAGTTATAGGCAACAAAGAATAAATCAATTAGAAGGTTCAGTGATTCACATAGTGTAACCTAAAATCTAATAAATATCTTAATTGCTGTCACATTTATCTCTTGGTCTTGTTTTATGGAAAGCACATGGATTGTTGGCAGACAGCAGTTATTTACGTTGAAGCCTAGAACTTCTATTTTGAAATTATCTGCCTATCTCTGAATATGATTTTGTATGAAATAATAAAGTAATTCTTATAACTTATCAAATGAATTTGCCCCTGAAATCTCATCAGTTTAACAGGCTAGAATATTGTATAGTATAATTTAATTTAAAACAAAGCAAAAGGAAAAAACCCTATAAGCTAAGCGCACATGAAATTCAAGCAAAAAATATTATTTAGGTCATCCAGTTTGACTTCAGTGTTTGAAAAGAAGAAGCACTCCTGTGCAAGAAGTTTTTGGGAAACTAATACTTTAGTTTCCTATTAAATCATGTTAATTTTTGACCACATAAAATAAACATGTTAAATGATGAATAGTTTCTCCAACTTGATTGATAACATATCTGCAAAGTTTTTATGCAAAAGTTATTCCCTTTAATATTAATAACTTTTTATGTAATGTAGAGAAAAGATTTTAAAATTTTATTCTATTTCCAAAACTGAATTATACTTGAATTTGACTTTCAGTTGTCCAGCTATTTAGCTCTGTGCTCGTAAGAATTTCTTCAGGGTTATTTTTCATAACTTTTAATAATAATAAATGTTAGTGGCAACTTATATTTATTGAGCATTTACTTATGGTACTTGCATATTGCTTTATCATCTCATTTTTCTCAAAATAATTCTATGATCTTACCATCTATATTTCACCACTTAGCACACCAAGGTACAAATAACCATTTAAGGCCACATAGCTAGTAAAGGGCAAATATTTGATATTAACCCATGCAATAGTTCCATAATCTGTGATCTTGAAAGATATTTTAACCTATCTTTGATATATATTGAAGCAGATTTTTAGGCAAGGCATTTTTTGTGCTAAATCCTACAAATTAATTCAATTAATGATTTGAAAGATTTGAGAGGCTGAATTGGTTAAATTTGAATAGAAAATTAAAAAAAAAACCAACCTGGTTGGAGAGACTAGGTCATTTTGCAATTTTGAATAAAATAACAATGATTTCATATTTCTAAGGTGCTTTCTCTCAGCTTGCTTCTACAGATTCAGAAGAACTTGATCACAGTTTTTGTCTTTCATATAGTCTTAGATTCAATAGATGGGGCATCCCAATATCCCTGTGTAATTATAACTCATAAATACTCTAAAATGATTTGAAGACATGGACAAATTAGAGTCCTTTAGTTTTGAAAGGTCTAGATCCAACTGACAATTTCTTCTGGGCGTTTTGTTCTTCCTGCCTTATGGATAGATTTACACCTTTTTTTTTTTTTCAAGGTGCTAAGAAGGTTAAGTCAGGGCGGCCACGCTGTGTCCACTGTGCTGGAGTAAGCACTGGGCTTCCTCAGCAGGTGGCACTCTTTCCTTCTATCTACAAATCTTAAAACAAAGCCCTAACATAACATTGGGGAATTGGTGCCATTTTCCAGGAAAAATGTGAAATAGATGCCAGGGCCAACTGTTTGTTATTCAGAGTATTGATTTTTCCTTTTCTTTTGAAAAAAGCATTGTTAAATTCTAAAAACTACCACATTGACCAAATTGTCAGTAAAATCTGGCCGAAGTTCTGACTCTCTACTTCTAGTTTATACCATCATAGAGGATGTGTGACATGTTCTGCCTCCAGATAGCTATTGCAGTTATTAAATACTTAATGACACACATTAAAAGTGTGTGGGTAGAAAAACTTAATCTCAGTAACATCAGATTCTCAAATGAGAACTGGCCTACGTTCTTTCTGGTTCTTACTATTTTATGCACCAATAAATAATTATCTTTTACTTTTGGGTTACACAGTACTAGTATTTTTATTTATCTATCTATCTATTTATTTATTTTTTATTTATTTGAGACGGAGTCTGGCTCTGTCGCCCAGGCTGGAGGGCGGTGGCGCCATCTTGGCTCACTGCAAGCTCCGCCCCCCGGGTTCCCGCCATTCTCCCGCCTCAGCCTCCCGAGTAGCTGGGACTGCAGGCGCCGCCACCACGCCCGGCTAATTTTTTGTATTTTTAGTAGAGACGGGGTTTCACCGTGTTAGCCAGGATAGTCTTCATCTCCTGAGCTCGTGATCCGCCCGCCTCGGCCTCCCGAAGTGCTGGGATGACAGGCGGGAGCCACCGCGCCCGGCCGGTACTAGTATCGTGGATAACAGCAATCACTAGTAAGTAATCACCATCTTGCTCTGCATGGCCAAGGCTTTTCGTGTTTCTTACATAACATCTATGTTTTATGACATCTTGCTTGTCAGCGGACTTGAAATGCTACTTATGTCTGGTCCTTTGATGAGAAGCATCAGCATCACCTGGGAACTCGTTAGAAGGGCACATTTGGGTCCCCACCTAAGACCTTCTCAATTTCTGGGGCTGAAACTCAGGGATCTGTATTTACAAGATGTCCAAGTGATTCTCAAACATACCAGAGTTTGAGAAACGCTACAATGAAGGATTTTAATGAAGCCAATAAGCATTCATTGGTAAAACACGCCAGAGTAGAAATGAACTTCTTCTTTACTTTCTCTCATTTTCATTTAAAGATAAAAACTAACCTGAAGACCTTATGATGTCTCAGCTACCCACTTTGTGAGTGAATAAACGTATGAACCACTTCTCTTTTACTCCAAGTCCTAAGTAGGTCTATGACTTTGGCACGTGTAAAACCAGGGATTTTATTTATTTTTTTATTTTTATGTTTTGGAGATGGAGTCTCGCTGTCGCCCAGGCTGGAGTGCGGTGCTGTGATCTCTGCTCACCGCAAGCTCCGCCTCCCGGGTTCCCGCCATTCTCCTGCCTCAGCCTCCCGAGTAGCTGGGACTACAGGCGCCCGCCACCACGCCCGGCTAATTTTTGTATTTTTAGTAGAGACGGGGTTTCACCGTGTTAGCCAGGATGGTCTCGATCTCCTGACCTCGTGATCCGCCCGCCTCAGCCTCCCGAAGTGCTGGGATTACAGGCGTGAGCCACCGCGCCCGGCCAGATTTTATGTTTTAAATATGAAGCTTTTTCTTCTTGTAAAATACTCTGCCTAAATCTCTTAGGATATACATATAGTATAAATTTAGAATATATAAATAATCTTAACGGTGCAAATAAAGATGACTGAAACAATTGTTACTTCTCATTTCTATGGAGAAAATTAAACTGCTACATTTATTTGCCATATCTCACCTAACCAAAAATGTCTATCAAAATTTAGTTTTACCATAAAAGTGCATTTGTAACTGTAAAAAAACTTTACTTGATTCTCAGTCTTTCAAACTAGAATTCATTTATTAATAGAAATAATACATGGACAGGTGCTGTTTCAATGTGTGGGATCAAACTGAATCTCCAACACCATTCCATGGAGAACCTAATGAGATCCAGGGTATGTTTTTCGATATTATAGGGAAAGCAAATTATGCTTAGTCCCTGACCTAAAGTATAGTCACTTCTGGTAGTTTGGTATACAGGGCTTTCGAACTTTTTCAGTCATTTCCACCTTAGAACAGAAGATCTTTCGTGCTTTCTAGTGAAAAATAGGCCTATGGGCAGTGGAGTATTGAAGAAGAACAAATTGTTGTACATTTGTTGCTATAAATATATAGGAATCTTTTTTATATCTTGATGAGAAAAGCAAGTGTGCTTACATGCATGTTTTATATATAAATTAGGCCTAAAAATTATACATAGCCCAATATTTTCATTATGCTCACTTTGACAGTATATTGGAAGATATTAGAACAGTACACATTCACAGGATATACGATCAGTGTCTCCATCCCAAAAAAATTTGGAAAAGGAGATGGCATTACGTGTACACTTGTTCCAGAAACTGAGTATGAATAATTTAGAGGTGTGAGTAATTAAAGTCCTGTTAATAGAAATACATAACACAACTTTTTGTGAGATTAATTAATTTTAAAGTCATAAAAATCTAAATAGGTAGTGATGTATTTATAATGATATATAATGAATAATTTAAAGTAGCAGAAAAAACATTTACTTAAGACAACATTAATAACATAATAACAAAGCTTTCTCTAGAATCATTGAAATTCTCATACTTGTTGAAAATATTGCCAACTGCCACGTGGCAGTCAATGTTTTTAAAAGAATGTTGAATTAGAGTCTTCGATAAGTCCAACAATATACCAATTTTGGTTTATGAATACAAAATCTTAGTTACACTTAATATATTTAGTAGGTTACTAATAAGAACTGCTTAATAGTGTAAAAGTGAAAGCCAATGGAATTATACATCATTTACCTAAGGAACTGAGAGAAAGACATAACTTTTTTCCAGTTCAGAGCCAATTAAGAAGACTATGCATTTCAGAATCATGTGTATTGAGGAAGATGAGATATGAACACTAAAATTAAAACCCACCAGAATTATATAGTAGTTGAAGATGACAGCAGAAAGGGTATCTCTATGCAGCACATGCCTAAGACCAAATGTGTAATAGTTGTAATACATACTAATTAGCCTTCTGATCACAAAAAGGTTATTTCAGTCTGAGGTGGGTGTGGGGACTTGGACCAGGCCTTGCATCATGTGGAGCACCTGGAGAGTAAAAGAAGAGAGAAGAATCCGGATGTGGAGGGGTACGTCAATGTACGAAGGTCAAGGAATATCCAATTACTACATTTAAACTATTTGGTTATCCTCAAAGTTAAAAAATATGGAGAAGATATATTAATTGCAAGTATACTTATATTTAAAGGAGGAGAATCTCCAATTTAAAAAGTTACATTTTTAAGCAAACTATTTTCAATCATTTTGGATACTAATATTGCAAAATGCTGATATATTCATACGACAATGCAAAACTTTTTCTCAATGTGTCCAATGTAGTTATTTCATTATGCCTTAAAGAATGGGACACATGAAATTACTGAGTTGATAAAGGCAACAAACTCTTTTGTACTAAAATATAAGCAAATACTGTTGGAATATTTAGGGAGCAGGGAATGATACTGAGGGAATTTTAGAGAGGAGATGGATAAATGTTTATACCGTTCAGTTTTCTAGGTGGAACTGTCTTTTATTAATCATTTTATTACATTGGTTGTAAAAACCCACTGAAGGGGTTCTTTGCTGTTAATTGTTAGGAAACCAAGACACATAACTGGATTATAAAGCAGTTACGATTACTAAGAGTCAGGTCACTATAAAATATCTCTCAGCCTTCACCTGAACTTTACTTTTCTTATCAGTAGACATCTCATCATTTCTGTTTCTTTCTCCATCTGATATCATCCTCTCCTTCCTCCCTTCCTCCCTTCATCCCTTCCTGTCTTCCTTCCTTCCCAGGCATGTATGCACGTAACCTAGAAGTTAGAGTTCTAGCACCCGCTTTTCCAAAAACTTCAGAGGTAACCACTACCTTAAAAATTGTATTATTCTCATGCATAATTTTATGATCTCTAATACGTATACACTTTGCTACACATATTTTTACTTTCAAGTTTATTAAGTTATATTTGGAGACTAGTTAGATCACAATATGTTTAATTAATAAGGGGACGTCCCCATCTCTTTTTAAGAAGATGTAGTCTTGTGAAACTGTAGATTTCAAGCTTCTCAACATCACAGAGTATTTTCTTTTTTCTTTTTTTTGAGACATGCTCTTCCTGTTGCCCGGGCTGGAGTGCAGTGGTATGATCATAGCTCACTGCAGCCTTGACCTCCCACACTCAAGTGATCCTCCCACCTCAGCCTCCCCAGTAGCTGGGACTACAGGCAGACACTACCATGCCTGGTTGACTTTTGTAGTTTTTGTGGAAACTGGGTTTAGCCATGTTGCCCAGGCTGGTCTCAAACTCCCGGGCTGAAGCCATCTGCCTGCCTTGGCCTCCCAAAATGCTGGGATTACAGGTGTGAGCCACTGTGCTGGGCCTGTTTTCTTTTGTAAAATAAGGTCAGAGGCAGGGAAAAAAAAAGCCCTGGTCACCTGGCTCCATTGCTTTCACGTGGTTTGGGAATGATGCATAATGCTGCTACTTACTTCCCCACTTCTCCTCACTTCAAGCAATACCTCTAGCAGACACTGTCCCATCCTCTCTCCTCTTTCCTCATCTCTTCTTCGAGATAATAAGCGTTATTATGCCCTCAAGAAGCTAAAATTAAACTTAGTTGGGTTGTTCACTGGCTGCTCCGAGATCTCTGGAGCCACTGTGAATATCATGAAACTTAAAATTTTCACTTTTCCCCCAATATCTTAACTCACTCTCTCTCCTTCACATGTACATTTTATGGGATAATTTCTTTTAACATAATGTTGTATTTTTTTAAATGTAAAAGTTGAATTGCAAAGGTACTAAGCTGACAACTCCAGAAAGTTTAGCTTTCTGTTTATCCAGTATGAGGATATAGGGTCCTATGGGGGAGAGCAAATAAAGATGTCCCTTATCTGTGCAAATAATAGACTAGAATATTTTCCCAGTCACTGCTTTACTTAAATGTACCACAAAATATTTGCATTCTTAGAGATTGTCATCCAAGACAAAACCTTTGGTGCCTTTTTTCACCTAATGATGCGATGAATTCTTCTCATAATCCCTGTAATAATCTCTAATGAAATGCCTCATGGTATGAATAGTCTCCTGGTGCACATGAGCGCAAATTCCTCTTCAGGATAGATCAATGAGTGAAATTGCTGGAAGGAATGTCAATGTTCTATATCATAATAAGACCAAATTGTTTTAAAATATGATTCTGCCAATTTACTCTCTCTCCAGCAATAGAGTTGCTACTGATTAATATCCTTGCCCACACTTTCTATTGTCAAGCTTCTTCACCTCTGCCAGCATAATTCATACAAAGTGATTTCTCACTGTGGGCTTGATTTGCATCTCCATAATTATGAGTGAGACTGGGAATGCTTTCCTCTGCTCACTTATCATTCATGTGTATCCCTCTCTGTGTCTTCTGCTTGCTGGTGGCATTTGCCTGTTTTCCTATCGGGTTGTGTTTTTCTTACTGACTTGTAGGAGTTCTTTATGTATTCTGGATACCAAT
Source organism: Homo sapiens (assembly GCF_000001405.40). Lineage (NCBI taxonomy): Eukaryota > Metazoa > Chordata > Mammalia > Primates > Hominidae > Homo > Homo sapiens. The sequence continues at coordinate 1,982,530 of NC_000003.12, read as the reverse complement.
CCTCTGTGTCTTCGATGTGTTTCCCAGTTGTTCGATCTTTTCCCAGTTGTTACACTTATGGTGTGTTTTTGTTTTAAAGAGGTATGATGTGTTTTAATGAAGTAAAATAGTTTCAAATTTATTCTTAATCTTTACTGCTTTTTGCATCACTCAGATAATCTTTCCCTGGACCAAGCTCATCAAGATTTTCTTCATGTTTTGCTCTGAGGCTTTTATAGTTGGCCTTTTAAATCTAAGAGATGTACATTATCTGAGATTGGTTTTGCATATGGTTGAAGTGGGAATTCAATCCCCCTTCTCCCCTACTCCCCTTTTTGTTCTCAGTACCATCATTACCCCTTGATATGCCACGTTATTTCTGTCATTGCAAAGTTTCCAGATATGCGTTGATCTACTTCTGGAGTGTTTAGTTTGCTCAGTTGGTTAATTTGTATTTCCTTGCATGAATACCATGCATCTTTAATTGATTATAGCTTTATAATAAATCTTGATTTTATTGGGCAAGTCTCTTCACCGTGTATGCTTGCTTCAAAATTGTCTCAGTTATTTTTGGCTCTTTACTGCTTCACATAACTTTATCAAATTTTTCATTAAAAATTCATCTTGATTTTAACTGCTGTTACCTTGATATAGAATTTAATTTAAAGATATTGAATATCAGGATTACTAAAGACATTATTCTCAATTTTTATTTAGGTCTTCTTTTTTTGTTTAATTTTCCTGTTTATTGATGCATAATAGATGTACATATTTTGGGGTTACATGTGATGATTTAATATATTTATATAATTTTTAAAGATCAAATCAGTGTAATTGGGATATCCATTATTTAATTTGTCTTTTCTTTATGCTAAAATTATTTAAATTATTTTCCTCTAGCTATTTAGAAATACACAATAGATTATTGTAAACTATTGTCCCCTGCTGATCTATTGACCACTGTCTTATTTTTTCTATCAACTGTATATTTGTATCCATTAATCAATCTCTATTTGTCTCCCTACTTCCCTGCCTCTAGTATCCACCATCTACTCTTCATCTTCTTAAGATCCACTTTTTTAGCTCCTATGTATGAATGAGAACATGTGATATTTGTCTTTGTGTGCCTGGCTTATTTTTCTTGACATTATGACTTGCAGTTCCACCCATGTTGCTGAAAATGACAGGATTTCATTCTTTTTTATGGCCGAATAACGTTTTGTTGTGTATATATTCCAAATTGTCTTTATTCATCCATTGATGAACACTTAGGTTGATTTCATATTTTGGCTATTGTGAATAGTGCTGCAGTAAACATGGGGGTGCAAATATTTCTGAGAGGTATTGACTTCTTTTCTTTTGGATATTACACCTAGAAGTGGAATTGCTGGATCATACAGTAGTTTTATTTGTAGTTTCTTAGAGAACCTCCATACACTTTTCCATAGTGGCTGTACTAATTTACATTCCCACCAACAGGGTACAAGTGTTCCCCTTTCTCCATATCCTTGCCAGTATCCATTATTGCTGGTATTTTTGATAAAAGCCATTTTAACTGGGGTGAGATGGTATCTCATTGTGGTTTTAATTTGCATTTCCCTGATGATCATTAGTGATATTGAGCACCTTTTCATATATCTGTTGGCCATTCGTATGTCTTCTGAGAAATGTTTAATTAACTCTTTTGCCCATTTAAAAATCAGATTATTATTATTATTTGCTATAGAGTTGTCTGAGCTTTTTATGTATTCTGATTATTAATCCCTTTTTGGATGAATAGTTTGTGGTATTTTCCCCCATTCTTTGGGTTGTCTCTTCATTTTGTTAATTGTTTCTTTGTTGTACAGGAGCTTTTTAGCTTGACACAATACCATTTGTCCATTTTTGCTTTTGGTTGACTGTGCTTTTGAGGTCTTACTCAAAGAATCTTTGCCTAGATCAGTGTCCTTGAGAATTTCCCCAAACTTTGTTGTAATAGTCTCATAGTTTCAGGTCCTATATTTAAGTCTTTAATCCATTTTGATTTGATTTTTTGTGTATGGTGAGAGATAGGGGTCTAGATCTCTAGTTCCATTCTTCCACATATGGATAGCCAGTTTACCCAATGCTATTTATTGAAGTGACTGTCTTTTCTCCATTATATATTCTTGGAGCCTTGGTCTAAAATGATTTGGCTGTATATGTGTGGATTGATATGTGGGTTTCCTATTATGTTCCATGGTCTATGTCTCTGCTTCCTTCCTTCCTTCCTTCCTTCCTTCCTTCCTTCCTTCCTTCCTTCCTTCCTTCCTTCTTTCCTTCCTCTCTGTCACCCTCCCTCCCTCCGTCTCTCCCTTCCTTCTTTTCTTTCTTTCTCTCTCTCTTAAGTTTTCTTTTCTTCTCTTTTTTCTTTCCAGTACCATGCCGATTTGGTTACTGTAGCGTTGTAGCATATTGTGAAATCAGGAAGTCAGGTAGTATAATGCCTCCAGCTTTGTTCTTTTTTCTTAGGATTTCCTTGGCTATTATGGGTCTTTTGACGTTTCAAATAAATTTTTGAATTTATTTTTTCTATTTCTGTGAAGAATCTCATTGGTATTTCGATAGGAATTGCATTGAATTTGTAAATTACTTTGGGTAGAATTGTCATTTTAACAATATTAATTCTTTCAATCCACATGGAATATTTTTCCATTTTTTTGTGTCCCCCTAGATTGCTTTCAACAGTGTTTTATAGTTTTCCTGTAGAGATATTTTACTTCTTTTTTAATTTCAATTTTATTTTATTTTATTTTCGAGATGGAGTCTAGCTCTGTCACCCTGGCTGGAGTGCAGTGGTGCAATTTTGGCTCACTGCAACCTCTGCCTCTCAGGTTCAAGTGATTCTCCTGCCTCAGCCTCCCTAGTAGCTGGCATTACAGGCACCTGCCATCATACCCAGCTAATTTTTGTATTTTTAATAGAGACGGGGTTTCACTGTGTTGGCCAGGCTGGTTTCGAACTCCTGACCTCATGATCCACCTACCTCAGCCTCCCAAAGTGCTGGGATTACAAGCGTGAGCCACCCCACCTGGCCTATTTTTATTTTTTTAAATTTTATTTTATTTTAGATTCTGGGATACATGTGCAGAATGTGCAGGTTTGTTACATAAGTAAACATGTGCCATGGTGGTTTGCTGCACCTATCAACCCATCACCTAGGTATTAGGCTCCACATGAATTAACTACTTGTTCTGATGCTCTCCCTCCCCCACCCACCAACAGGCCCTGGTTTGTGTTGTTTTCCTCCCTGTTTCCATGTGTTCTCATTGTTCAGCTCCCACTTATGAGTGAGAACATGCGGTGTTTGGTTTCCTCTTCCTGTGTTAGTTTGTTGAGGATGATGGCTTCCAGCTTCACCCATGTCTCTGGAAAGGTCATGATTTCGTTTCTTTTTATGGCTGCATACTATTCCATAGGGTATATGTACTACATTTTCTTTATCCAGTCTATCATTGATGGGCATTTGGGTTTATTCCATGTCTTTGCTATTGTGGATAGTGCTGCAATGAACATATGTGTGCATGTATCTTTACAATAGAATGATTTACATTCCTTTGGATACATATCCAGCAAAGGGATTGCTGGGTCAAATGGTATTTCTGGTTCTGGATCCTTGAGGAACTGCCACACTGTCTTTCACAGTGGTTGAACTAATTCGCATTCCCAACAACAGTCTAAAAGCATTCCAATTTTACCACAGCCTCGCCAGCATCTTTTGTTTCTTGACTTTTTAATAATTGACATCCTGACTGGCATGAGATAGTATTTCATTGTGGTTTTGATTTGCATTTCTCCAATGCTTGGTGATGGTAAGCTTTTTTTTCATGTTTGTTTGGCCGCATACATGTTTTCTCTTGAGAAGTTTCTGTTCGTGTCCTTTGCCCACTTTTGATGGATTTGTTGTTTGTTTTTTTTCTTGTAAATTTATTTAAGTTCCTTGTAGACTCTGGATATTAGACCTTTGTCAGATGGGTAGATTGCAAAAGTTTTCTCCCATTCTGTAGGTTGTCTGTTCACAGCAATGATAGTTTCTTTTGCTATGCAGAAGCTCTTTAGTTTAATTAGATTTCATTAGACAACTTTAGCTTGTGTTGCAATTGCTTTTGGTGATTTCATCATAAAATCTTTGCCCATGCCTATTTCCTGAATGTTATTGCCGAAATTTTCTTCTAGGGGTTTCATAGTTTGGGGTTTTAGATTTAAGTGTTTAATCCATCTTGAGTTAATTTTTGTGTAAGGTGTAAGGAAGGGGGTCCAGTTTCAGTTTTCTGCATATGGCTAGCCCAGTTTTCCCAGCACCATTTATTAAATAGGAAGTCCTTTCTTCATTGCTTGTCCTTGTCGGGTTTATTGAAGATCAGATGGTTGTAGATGTGTGGTCTTATTTTTGAGATCTCTAGTCTGTTCCATTGGTCTATGTGTCTGTTTTTGTACCAGTACCATGCTGTTTTGGTTACTGTAGCCTTGCAGTATACTTTGAAGTCAGGTAGCATGACTCCAGCTTTGTTCTTTTGGTTAGAATTGTCTTGGCTATATGGGCTTTTTTTGTTGTTGTTCCATATGAATTTTAAAGTAGCTTTTTTTTTCTAATTTGGTGAAGAATGTCAATGGTAGTTTGATGGGAATAGCATTGAATCTACAAATTTTATAAATTACTTTGGGCAGTATGGCCATTTTCATGATATTGATTCTTCCTATCCACAAGGATGGAATGTTTTTCCATTTGTTTGTGTCATCTCTTATTTCCTTGAGCAGTGGTTAGTAGTTCTCCTTGAAGAGGTCCTTCACCTCTCTTGTGAGCTGTATTCCTAGGTATTTTATTCTCCTTGTAGCAGTTGTGAATGGAAGTTCATTTATTATTTGACTCTCTGCTTGTCTATTATTAGTGTATAGGAATGCTTGTGATTTTTGCACATTGATTTTGTGTCCTGAGACTGCTGAAGTTGCTTATCAGCTTAAGGAGCTTTTGGGCTGAGATGATGGGGTTTTCTAGATATAGGATCATGTCGTCTGCAAACAGAGGCAATTTGACTTCCTCTCTTCCTATGTGAATACCTTTATTTCTTTCTCTTGCCTAATTTCCCTGGCCAGAACTTCCAATACTAAGTTGAATAGAAGTGGTAAGAGAGGGCATCCTTGTCTTGCGCCGGTTTTCAGAGGGAATGCTTCCAGCTTTTGCCCATTCAGTATGATATTGGCTGTGAGTTTGTCATAAAGAGATCTGATTGTTTTGAGATATGTTCTGTCAATAATTTGTTTATTGAGAGTTTTTAACATAAAGGGATGATTATCTGTCTAATATTGACAGTGGAGTGTTAAAGTCTCCCACTATTACTGTGTGGGAGTCTAAGTCTCTTTGTAGGTCTCTAAGAACTTGCTTTATGAATCTGGGTTCTCCTGTATTGGGTGCATATATATTTAGGATAGTTAGCTCTTCTAAGTTTCATTGATCCCTTTACCATTATGTAATGCCCTTCTTTGTCTTTTTTGATCTTTGTTGGTTTAAAATCTGTTTTGTCAGAAACTAGGATTGAAACTCCTGCTTTTTTCTGCTTTCCATTTGCTTGGTAAATTTTCTTCCATCCCTTTATTTTGAGCCTATGTGTCTTTGTACATGAGATGAGTCTCTTTAATATAGAACACCAATGGGTCTTGACTGTTTATCCAATTTATCAGTCTGTGTCTTTTAATTGCAGCATTTAGCCCATTTACATTTAAGGTAAATATTGTTATGTGTCAATTTGATCTTGTCATCATGACATTAGCCAGTTAATTTGCATAGTAGTTGTTTCTTCACAGTGTCATTGGCCTTTGTATTTCAGTGTGCTTTTGTAGTGGCTGCTACTGGTTTTTCCTTTCTATATTTAAGACTTCCTTCAGGAGCTCTTGCAAGGCAGGTCTGGTGGTGATGAATTCCTTCAGCATTTTGTTGTCTGAAAAGGATTTTATTTCTCCTTTGCTTATGAAGTTTAGTTTTCCTGGATATGAAATTCTGGATTGAAAATTCTTCTTTTTAGGAATACTGAATATTGGCCACCACTCTCTTCTGGCTTGTAGGGTTTTTGCTGAGAGGTTCGTTGTTAGTCTGATGGACCTCCCTTTGTAGGTGACCTGGCCTTTCTCTCTGGCTGCCCTTAGTTTTTTCCTTCATTTCGATCTTGGAGAATCTGATGATTATGTGACTTGGAGTTGATCTTCTTGTGGAGTATCTTTTACTGGAGTTCTCTGTATTTCCTGAATTTGCATGTTGGCCTGTCTTGTTAGGTTAGGGAAGTTCTCCTGGATGATATCCTGAAGTGTGTTTTCCAACTTGGTTCCATTAGCCCCATCTCTTTCAGGTACTCCAATCAGTCATAGGTTCAGTCTTTTTACATAGTCCCATAGTTCTCAGAGGTTTTATTCATTCCTTTTTATTATTCTTTCTCCAGTCTTTTCTGCCTGCCTTATTTCAGCAAGATAGTCTTCAAGCTCTGATATTCTTTCTTCCACTTGATTATTTCAGTTACTGATAGTTGTGCTGTGTTTTTCAGCTCCATCAGGTTATTTATGTTCCTCTCTAAACTGGTTATTCTAGTTAGCAGCTCCTGTAAACTTTTATCATGGTTCTTAGCATCTTTGCATTGAGTTAGGACGTGGTCCTTTACCTCAGCCAAGTGTATTAAGTTTATTACTACCCACCGTCTGAAGCCTACTTCTGTCAATTCGTCCATCTCATCCTCCTTCCAGTTCTGTGCACTTGCTGGAGAGGTGTTGTGATCATTTGGAGGAAAAGAGGCACTCTGGCCTTTTGAGGTCTCAGCATTTTTTTTATTGATTCTTTATCATCTTCAAGAGTTTGTCTAGTTTCGATCTTTGAGGCTGCTGGCCCTTGGATGAGGTTTTGGTGGGGACTTTTTTGTTGATGCTCTTGTTGTTGCTTTAGGTTTGTTTGTTTTTCTTTAAATAGTCAGGTCCCTCTTTCTTTTACTTCTTTTATTAAATTGTTTTATCAGTGTTTCATATGTTTTTAGCTATTGTAAATGATGCTGTATTGATTTATTTTTCAGACTGTTTGCTGTTGGCATATATCATGCTACTGATTTTGTATGTTGATTTTTTTATCCTGCAACTTTGTTTGTTTATTAGTTCTAATAGTTTTTTGGTGAAATTTTTAGTTTTTTCTAAGTACAAGATCATGTCATTGGCAAACTATGCTAATTTGACTTCTTCCTTTCCAATTTGATGCCTTTTATTTCTTTCGTCTAATAGCTTTTGCCAGTGCTTCCAATATTATGTTGAATAAAGTGGTGAAAGTAGGTATCCTTTTCTTGTTCCAGATCTTAGAAGAAAGGCTCTCCATTTCTCACCATTTATTACGACGTTAGCTTTGGGTTTGTCATATGTGGTCTTTATTATTTTGAGGTATGTTTCTTCTATACCCAATTTCTTGAGGGTTTTTATCATAACAGGATTTGAATTTTATCAAATGCTTTTTTAGCACCTATTGAAAAGATCATATCGTTTTTGTTCTTGGGTTTGTTAATGTGATATATATCACCTTCTAACATTTGTACATGTTGGAGCATCCTTGCATCCCTGGGATTAATCCCACTCAGTCATGGTGAATGAACTTTTTAATGTGTTGTTGAATTTGGTTTGTTATTATTTTGTTGATGATCTTTGCATCTGTGATCATCAGTTATGTTCATTAACCTGTAGTTTTCTTTTTCTGTTGTGTCTTTGTCTGGTTGTGGTATCAGGGTAATGCGAGCCTCATAGGAGTGAGTTTGGAAGTATTCCTTCCTATTCAGTTTATTTGGTGTTCTCTGACCTTCTGTTATCTCAGTATTTCTTTTTTTTTTTTCTCAAGTTTTGAAAAGTTTTCTGTTATTATTTCTTTGAATAATCTTTCTACCCTTTGCTCTTGCTCAAATTCCTCTTGAACACCAATAATTCTTAGATTTGGTATTTTTAAGTAATTTTCTTTACCTTGTAGGCAATCTTCATTCTTTTTATTTTTTTTCATTTTTTCTGCTCCGATTGTGCATATTCTTTCTTTCTTGTTTTTTGTTTGTTTGTTTGCTTTTGTTTTTTGTTTGTTTCATAGGGCCTCACTCTGTCACTTAGGTTGGAGTACAGTGTCAGGATCATGGCTCACTGCACCCTTGCTTTCCCAGGCTCAGGTGATTCTCTCACCTCAGCATCCCAAGTAGCTGGGACTACAGGTGCATGCCACCACACCCAGCTAATTTTAGTATTTTTTGGTAGTAATGGGGCTTCACCATGTTGCCCAGGCTGGTCTGGAACTCTTGGGCTCAAGTGATCTGCCTGCTTAGTCTCCCAAAGTGTTGGGATTACAGGCATGAGCCACTGCACCTGGCCTGACTGTGCGTTTTCAAATAAACTGTATTCAAGCTCATTTATTATTTTCTCTGCTTGATTCATTTTGATGTTGGGAGCCTCTAATGGATTTTTCAGTTCAGCAAATGTATTTCTCAATGCCAAGATTTATTTTTTTATTCTTTCATTCTTTTTTTAAATTTGAGACGGGGTGTCACTCTGTAACCCAGCTTGAACTGCAGTAGTACCATCACAGCTCACTGCAGCCTCAATCATCCAGGCTCAAGAGATCTTCCCACCTCAGCCACCCAAGTACCTGGGACTACAACCACATACCACCATGTCCGGCCATTTTTTTGTTATTTTTTTGTAGAGACAGAGTCTCACCATACTGCTCAGACTGGTCTTGAACTCCTGGGCTCAAGTAATCCTGCTGCCTTGGCCTCCAAAAGTGCTGGGATTATAGGCAGGAGCCACCATTCCCAGCCTGTGCCAAGGTATCTGTCTGATTTTTAAAAATTATTTCAATCTATTAAATTTATCTGGTACATTTCTGAAAAGCTTTTCTGTGTTTCCCTCTTGGAGATCACTGAATTTCCCTAAAACTACTATTTTGAATTATTGGTCAGAGTTCACATACTGCTGTCTCATTAGAGTTTCATCACTGGTTCCTTGCCTTTTTCTGTTTGCAGAGGTCACAGTTCCCTGTTTGCTGTTGTTTCTTGTGGACTTATGTCTATTATTTATTCCAGTCTTCTCTGTGTGGCTTGTTTTGGTTTTTACTGGATATGTTTGCTTAGAAATTCTTTGTAATTTACCTGTTGATTTTCTTTCCCTCTCTCCCTCCCCTTCCTTCCTTTCCCTTTCTTTCTCTTTCTTTCTTTCTCTCTTTTTCTTTCTTTCTCTTTCTTTTTCTTTTCTTTCTTCTTTCTTTTTCTTTCTCTCTTTGGTCTCTTTCTTTCTCTCTTTCTTTCTCTCCCTCCTCCTCTCCCTCCTCCTCCTCCTCCTTCTTCTTCTTCTCACCCATCCCCCCTCCCTCCTCCTCTCCCTCCTCCTCCTCCTTCTTCTTCTTTCTTCTTCTTCTTCCTTTCTTCTTCTTCTCACCCATCCCCCTCTTTTTCTTCCTTCTTTCTTTATTTTTTTTCCTGCTAGGTCACTACCTCCTTTTCAGAGCTAAATGATACCTTAAGCTCAAGTTTGCCTTGGTTCTAGTAATCAGAGTACCACTAGTCCAGAAGCAAGGAGATCCCAAAGGGGACATCCCAGTAGTGTGGGAAGACTGGTTAGGGATTCATGACCAGAAGGCCTGTGGAACAAACCTCCTACAGGATAGCGCAGCTGAATAGTCACTGTGATGTGGCATCTTTTTGGCATAGTTACAGGACAGAATTTCCAGTGATGGGAATGGTAGTCCTGCTTCCCCCTTCTGTCGTTGGCTGTCCTTGATGTTTCTCCCTTCTGGTACCCCCAGTGCTTCCTGTGGGTTCACGCCGGAATAGGTCTCCTGCTAAGGAACTTAAGATGGTGGGGAAGCTGGTTGTCTACCTTAATCCGACTTTTTCCAGTGTTGAAACTGTGAGTTTCAACATGCTTGGGGCCAGACATGTTGCAGGGAGGGGTGTCACAGAAACAGAAGTCCAATTCTCTCTGCCCAGAGTTTTTTCACTTAATCTATGGCCCTAGGAACTGTCTCATCTTTATATGTGAGTTCTGGGGTATTGCTGGTGATAAATTCAGTGTTGTATATTTGGTTCTGGTTTTCTGGTGGGAGAGGGGGAGTAAAGGTAGCTTTCTTCTGTGCTTCCATTTTGGAATCATGTGTCTTTTTAATGTATTTAAAGAAAGTTTAAAAAATAAGTTTCTCCTTTAAGTTGCTGGGAATTAAAACAAAATATATTTGTAGCCTGGATACCTTGTTTTCTTGTTGGTGGTGTTGCTATTGTAACTGACATTTTAATTTTAATTATGTATTTTTTCTAAAAATTATTGTCTGTATAGCTAAAAATTCAATGCCTGTAGTCTTAGTAGGTCTAATTCTGATGTTTGCTGTTTCTGCTGATTCTTGCTGGTGTGGCTGGTGTTTTTCTTTCTTTCTTTTCTTAGTTTTTTAAGTTGTGAATTCATAGTCAATGAATCATATGTATGGGAAATGTTTGAGGCCTTTTTTTTTAAAGTATGTTGCTCCATTGTATCAGTTTCCTTTAGGCACTAACAACCTATCACCACATTAGCCTGAATTATTCTGCTTAGGATTTTGAGGCCACGTGGGATGATATGAATTCTTAGCCTAAAACTCATCAGGTCTTTCCTTTGTTTGTGAAATTTCAGGAAAGACTCCCCATCCTCCCAGAGCTGTCCCTAAACTAGGATAAGCAAGTTTTCCTAGCATGTATTTATTAATGGTGGGCTTTGGTTGGTTCACCCTTTCACAGCGGGCCTTGCCTTTCTGGGTTACTAATTTTGAGCTCCAATTCTAGACCCCACTTTGAACCTTGCATAGACCCTGGAGTTTGACTCTAGTGCCCACTTTGGAGGCATTTTAAAAGCAGTCATCCCAAAAGGGTAGATACACTGCAAAATATTCTTCCCATCAACTCCCCTGGGGATCCTGTTCAAATGCAGATTCTGATTCCATAGGTATCTAGTAGGGTCTAAGTTTTCATTGTGTGTGTGTGTGTGTGTGTGTGTGTGTGTGTATGTTTTAATTTCTAACAAGCTGCCAGTTGATGTACTGCTGCTATTCTGCAGACCACACTTTTCGTAGCACAGCACTGGATCACTATGGATTGTCATATGTTACTAGCACAGTTGTCCCTCCTGATGCTTACCAGCCACTGCTGTTGTGTGCTTTTGTCTTTTTGAGCGTCAAGAAACTGTCCCTACATTCTTGCCAAGTCATACGTGCACTTGAAAGATGTTTCATAATCTTTTTAAATTGAGAAAGTTTAAGTGTTTTGAACTAAAAAGCATTTTAACAAGTTAAGTCCTAAAAAATGCTCATGTTTTCAGACTTTGAGTATATGTGTATATTTACTGAGTTTATGTGTTTCTTTATGTCTAGACCTATGGATCATCTTATTAGAAAAGAGCAGTAGCTACTATTTACATGTTACCTCACCTTAGTGTCAATAAAAACATTTTTTTGATATTATTTCTATTCTGTTGATGGTCTACAAAGCAATGTCTGGGACATAGCAGGCAGTTAAAAATGTGTGTTAGACTTGTTAAGATCTTGTAACTTGGAATCAGAAATATATGGATTCTAAACAGGTACTACCGTATTATAGCTGTGTGACTTCAGGAAAATTACTTTTCTAAGCTTTTGTTACCTTAGCTGTAATATAAGTTTAAAGGAATACTTAACTTAGAGGGTTCCTGTGAGAATTTGATGATATAATCCAGCTCTGATATTACAGATGTTTAAACATTCATTTTTTAAAAGAAACAGGAATGTTTACAATAAAGGGACTATTGTGATTACATTAAATAATTATTAAAATAATGCTCCTTTGTAAGACAAGCCATAATTTTCCTCAAAACTATAATTTAGTTAATAAATCCCTTCAGAATTACCCTTTATATTTATATTTTAGACTTGTGTTGTCCAATATAGTAGACACTGGCCACATGTTGCTATTTAAATTTAAATTAATTAAAATCAAATGAGGCTGGGTGCAGTGGCTCATGCCTGTAATCCTAGCACTTTGAGCCCAGGAATTTGAGACCAGCCTGGGCAATATGGCAAAATTCTGTCTCTACAAAGAAAAAAAAAATTAAAAATTAGCCAGGTGTGGTGGTAGATGCCTTTAGTCCCAGCTACTCAGGAGACTGAGTTGGGGGTTGGCTTGAGCCTGGGGTGTCAAAGCTTCAGTGAGCCATGATTGTGCCACTGCACTCCAGCCTGGGTGACAGAGCAAGACCCTGTCTTAAAACAAAAAAACAAAAAAAAAAACGAAACCACAAACTGAGTGCGTCAGTCCCACTAGCCACACTTCGAGTGCTCAATAGCCACATCTGGGGAGGGGTCATGGCATTGAACAGTGAACATCTAGAGTGTTTTCATCATTGAATTTTGTTTGGTTTGCATTTTTCTAGACTAAATAAAAAGTCTATGAATATAGGACAAAAAATATTTTATCGTAGTTACATATAACTTAACTAATGCTTCATCCCATTTTTCCCCTGAGATTACTGATTTTAGTTTTTGTTGTTGCTGTTTATTTTTAACTGAACTCAATAATTAGGTTTATGTAAATAAAATTTAAGAAATACAGAGTCCAGAAACAGATAAACAAACACACTACCCTGTCATTCCTTCAGAAATGACACTAACACTCTGCTATCCTATGCTGTCATCTAATTTTGCTCAGGTCATTCTTTTTTCTTAGTGAGAAAAATGACTTCAAGGGAACCAGGAACTTGTATCACTTGGTTACTGGAAAAAGATATAAGAAGTATATTTATAACACAGTGTAAACAAGCTTAGAGCAAGACGTGTGTATAACCAAAAGTTAAAAAAAAAAAAAAGAAAAGGTAACCTACAACCAGACTGTGACAAATTTGCAAAGTGAAAAAGCAATATGAGATGGCACTGAATAAAGAAAGGAGGGTTCTTGGTTTGTTTCTAGCAGAAAAGGTAATAAATCTAGGAAGCTGTGCTGTTCACAATTTGACCTCACCCACAGGAAGTATTGGATGGGTCATTATGGAATTCCTCAAGGAAACGAAAATAGATTTGGAAAAAGTGCAGTTTAGGAAATGCCAAGAAGGTGGCTTTTTCAGAGATTTACTATGTTGAAGAGAAAGGCTAAGGAAATGGATCTTTATCCTCACAGGAAAACAGTACGTTTTATGATGATTTAATTAAGCTGTTAAAATGAAAAAGGGCTAGATTAATAAAGTTGATCCTTAGATGATATTCACACTGGGACAAAACATAGCTTCTGAAATAGAGGAACAGACACATTATAGTATATTAAGGGAAAATATTGGGTAGTAGGTAGGTCTGGATACACTGAAGTTTGTAAGACAGCAGCATTGGAATAATTCCAAATGCCTGATGTAATCATCACAACTATTTGATCAGAAAACATATCAATAATTTATTCAAATATTCTTGATTCTCCCACTGCAAACAGATGCATTCCTCAACTTAATGTCATTCACATCCCTGCTCCGCAAGGTTGCTTTATCAAAAGATATAATTTGCAATAGCACAAGAACGAGAATTTATTATTTCAGTGAAATCTAGCTATATTCAAATGTTCATTAATTTGAAGAGAATAAAGCTAGCAACAACAGGATAGCCTGTGTGTGCTGATGTATTTTTAATTTCAAACAGTTAATTAGTGATAGAGGGATTCCAAGTTGCAAAGGACTTAATTGAAACTGAACATCATGTTCCTGGAACACAGTAGGTGCTCACTAAATGTGTGTTGAATCAATCGATCAGCACCGTCGCTGTATTAATACTTTTACTCCACAGTTCATGAGAAACATAGATGAGAATAAAGAGCACAGATGTTCTTCTGACAAAGTCTTCATTTCAAGAAAGTCAGCTAACAAGCTATAGAAATAGCAGGGTGCTTCACAAATTGTTAAGCATACATGGGGCTTATAGGAAATTGAATTTACATTTTGAAATGTGATTTGATTAGAATAATTGACTTTGCAGCCATTGTGATTCTTCTTAGAATTATCTCATTTTAAAAACATTCTTTATGTTGGGTCCAATGCTGGGTCTTCCTCATCTTTGTGGCTATTCCTCCCTTCCGCCCATTTTTATCACATGGTTAGATACATGTTTGCTTATTGGAAAAAAATGCCATTAAAAATACTCCTGAAATGTTATTGCACAACAAGCCCAATCTTTGAACATGTTCATTCATTTTAAGTATGGAAATATATTATTAAATAATCTTTGTGTGTCTTTTAAGAAAAGTATCTCATGCTTAAACATAATTATGCATAAACTTCCCTTGACAAATTATTTTCCACTGATTAAATTCAGTAAGATGACAGCAAGAATGAGAGAAAAAGATAAATTCAATCAGAAGATGTTGTGGAAAAAGAAAATCATTTTACATAGGTCAGTTGTCTTGGGCTGTGATACATTAGTTTTACTTTATTTTGTATACTTCTATCTACTTTATGGGAAAACGGAAATATAAGCTGTAAAGGATGCCCTGGCAATTTTAATCAGTGGATGCCCAAAGTAAATATTCTCATTTTAGCAGGAGCTCTAAATTTTAAGGAAATTGTCTGATTTCTCAGCTTGATTCAAAATGAAGGTATTTAGTTTAATTCCCTACTACTTCATGAGAAATTTTTAACAAAGACAATCTGTTTTTTGTTTGTAACAAATATTTATTGCTACTTTCAGTAACCTAGTCAAATCAAAGGAATGTAATGGGTTTCATTTTCTGAGTCACTTTGCTCATTAATAGTGATATTATCTTGTATAAATACAAAGATGAAGTGATTTACAATTCTTCTTTACATTAAGAGCAATAATATTATCATTGCTGTCGAGACAATTTAGTATAGTTGAAGAGGAAATGCTATCGCTTAATGTTCTGATTTTTTTTTAAAACAAATGAAATGAAATACCCTATTAATACTCTGTAAATCTTAGAAATAAATATTCAAAAGGATTTACTGTCATTTTCTTACAAGTAGTATGGTCCTGATAGTTTACATCATAATATTAAAGGGATATCTTTTCTTGGGGTCTTACACCATCAAATGTTAAGGGCCTTTTAATAATTTATTCAACTTGTCATTTTTCACAGGTTATAAAGCTTTTTCTCTACCAAAACAACAAGAATAAAAAAGATTCAAACCATTTGAAAAATTACTGTGGAGATTTTTGTGGGAAAAGTATTAGTTACAAGAAAATGTGTAAAGTGAATAATGTTTCCTGTGGCTAATAGAGTGGGCTCTATGATGGGTGTTTGTGTATAAATGACCTGAAATCTGATCTAGAACAAGAAGGCAAATCGAGCCACCAAGAGGTGTTTTAATGGAGTATTCCAGGCTGTTACAATGATGCACTGCTGTGGTTTGCTAGTCTATTTTGATCGTGCACCCATGCATCTGCATTTCTGATATAAGCAACACACATACGAGATCTTCCAGTTCTCTTATCTCATCTACTTATGTGTGGCTGGCAGGAAGCTCATTAAATTGCTGGAGCTGATAATGTGAATAAAAAATATTAGGAGACACCTGCATGTCTGACAACATGTTACTGGTAAATAATTTACTTGTATTCTTGGAACAGTGAAGAACAACTGAGAGGACTACATGAAGAATTAAATAATGTTTTAAAATTTGGCATTCCTTCCATAAAGCCCCAATCAATTTTGACACTGCACTTAACAAGTATTTAAACTGCCACTTACTGCTATTTTTCAACATTCTCAAGTAACTTTTAAATGCTTTCCTTTTAATCTTCCAATTGTCTGTATACTGTATGTGAGCAACTATTATAAAAACAGTTTTTTAAAAATGGTGTTAGTTTTATCTAACAGCCCAAAAAACAGTCTCTCAAAAATTATCAAAAAATGTAAACGTGGCCTGGCGCGGCAGCAGCACTTTGGGAGGCCGAGGTGGGCAGATCACGAGGTCAGGAGATTGAGACCATCCTGGCTAATACAGTGGAACTCTGTCTCTACTAAAAATACAAAAAATTAGCCGGGTGTGGTGGCAGGTGCCTGTAATCCCAGCTACTCAGGAGGTTGAGGCAGGGGAGTCGCTTGAACCCGGGAGGTGGAGGTTGCCGTGAGCCAAGATTGTGCCACTGCACTCCAGCCTGGACAACAGAGCGAGACCCCATCTCAAAAAAAAAAAAAATTAAATGTGCCTATGATAATAGTTGATGGATGGGAGTATATAGAAGTTTTTGACCCCTGTAAAGGCAATTTAGTAAGGTGGCAAAATAGTAACTTTGAGTTTTAGGCAACAGTTCAAATATCTTTGTTTTGGGAAAAGACAACTAGGATCATGTTATATTTGGTGTATTTATGTAAAGCCCTCCTTATGTACAGAGTAACTTCACTTACCAATTACAGAGCTCCGTTTCCTGGGTGGGCCTCGTAAAACAGACAGATAACTTTCTACCAGGGTCCTGAGACAAACCTGCCTACCTATAAAGAGACAATTCCACTGCATACATCAAGGCAGCTAGTTCCAGATACAGACCACGCCCCTGCTGGAAAGAGTTCTGTATTAATTAGGCCCAGAGGAAGCTTACCATTGCCACCTGATATTTTACCCTATGCTTCTCCCCAATTATTCCAAAACAAAAGGTCAAAAGGGAATTCAATCATAAGCCAGAAGTCCAGAGGTTTTCTCTTCCAATGCGGACATGAAGGTGTTTTCACACGTGGCAGAGTCTAGCAATATCATCTATGTGATTGGCATGGGTTTTCATTTGTCAACTTACTTTTGTACTGGGCTATTTATTGGTTGCACCTGCACACTTCCACCCTCTTGCCAGGCCCTGCAAGAGTCTTTCAGAAGCCCATCAGAGTCAGAATTGATGCACTTTCCAGACACCATCTGCCTTCATTTTTTTTTTTTTAATTTTTAAGGCTGGATATGTGACTTGGCAGCTCCAACATTTATATTTTCACTATCCCACGGTGAGCCCTGATATATAGTAATTTGTCATTTTGTTGAGCTACAAATCTGAATTATTCTTATCACTCCTTACAAGACTGATGTGTGAAGCCAGTTATTTATTCAGCAGTGAAACAAACTAACAGCCAAACAACTGCATCTCTGCTTAGCTTTGCCAGTTGCCTTTCTCACGCCTGGATTGTCACTCTTTCAAGGTGACAGTCTTTCTTGTTCATTTTGTTTTTCTTAAAGTCCAGTAACCGATATATAAAACAATGAAAATGAAATAACATCAAACTAGGGATATGATTTTACACACTGTGGGTCGCTCATGTGACTCTCCACGGATCCATGATTCAAGGGAAAATTAACTGTGTTGGCAAATTCGGGGATTGTGAGCAGTCTCAGGACATATTCCTTGTAAACTGTGATAAGATGCTAGCAGTGACTTTTTCTTTCAACTCTTGTTCAAATTGTTCTCCACATACAAAATGCCTCCCTTCACTACCTTCTTGCTCCTACTTTACTCTCCAGAAGCAAACACTCAGCTACGTGGTGTGCATCCTTCGAGGCCTCTTTCTACTCAGTTACATAGATTTATGTGTCTGTACATAGATCACTTTATTATTTTTTAAAAATGTAAATTGGGATTATATCAGAATGCATGAGAGCGGGGACTTTGTGGATTCTGCTATAACCAGAAGTGAGAGGAGTGTTTGAAACATACTAAAGCAATCCTGAAATATTTGTTGGGTTAATATAACTTGCCATTTTAAATTTAATTTGTTTTGGTGATGATCCCATGTCAGTACTTGGGTTTTGGTCTACCTCATTTTTTTTCACAGATCTGCATGGGATTCTAAAATGTGACTATATGGTAAAGAAATTAAGCACTTTACATCCTAGTTTTTATTAATTCATTCAAGTATCTCCTTTAAATAAATCCTTTTCTGTGCACAATGACTTCTTGTTGGAGCTGATAATACAGTCATTCACATTCTCACTTTCAGGGTTATTACACCCTTGAAAGTGTTTGCTTTAGATCGTGTGTTCCTTGAAGGGCAGAGATTGTGTCACTTTAAAAATGAAAATGAATTAAGTGTTGCGTTTAGGCAATGAAGCATATTAACAGATGCCTATGTAGCTGGTGACTAATAATGTCTGGAGGAACAATTTTGCACAGAATATATTTGGTGGGGAAGATTACAAACTATGACTTACCTTTCAAATAAAAAAACAAGTAGCTTGTTAAAAAGAGTTAAGGAGTGGAGTCATTGAATGTGCCTGCAGAAGCAAGGTGGACAGAAAATTGGAATTGCCTCTTTAAAAGGCTGTTCTCTTTAAATATTAATTAACAGTCTCCACCTCCCACTTTCCTCTTTTAGTAAAGTTGACAAGAAGATATGAACTTTTTCAGGTGATGAAAGTTGGTCTTATATTTGTAACTTGCTTACTGGACATTTTTAGAACACCCCAAATGATGCTCAACCGTATCTGTTAAAATGTGCAAAAATCAGCATTTTGTCTCAGATTGCGTTCAAATTAAACAGAAAGTAAAATGACGAAACATGGAGAAAAGTGTGAACCTTTGTTACACTGACACAACAAATGTTAAGCCAAGCAACAATTTTTTATTCCCAGATGAGCTTAAATAATGATACAGGCACACCAGAAACAATATTTTTATCCCCAGGTAAGAGGTTGTTTCTGTCTAATAATCTCAAAATATTGCCTTGGTAGTAATTGTTTTTGTGACATAAAAATGATTGAGAACAAGCCAGTAAAATTTGTTGCTGAAAAAGGAAAACATTAAATTAGGCCCCAGCTTTCCGTAAAATAGAACCATATGGTACATTTAATTATAAGTTGAGGAGATATTTGAAGTTTTAATTTAAGTGTTTTACTTACAACATTAGCTCAACTCTTCTGCCCAGATGTCTAACAACAAGCCACAGCACCACATACAGAAAAAGAAAAACAAGCATGCTAAAGATAAAAAACAAAAACTGATGAATCATGTGCTTGCTCTGCACAACAAAAAGGCGTAAAACTCTGAAAGCTCATCCTACAGGGTTAACTCAAAATGCAGCTGCACTCGGTGGGGTGGGGGGACAAGACAAGGTTAGGGGAACCCTGATTCTGAGGCTTATTTCTGAGCCCTTTCAATTTACAGAAGCACTCAGCATGCCCCAGTGCCACATTTTGGGGAATCATTTTCTGTACTCCGACACTAGGAACTGATTAGCCTTTGGCGAATTGTGTATTATTTCTGAACCTCAGTTTCTTTATCTGTAAAACGGGAAAAAAATGATACCTACTCCACAGAATTATCATAAGGCTAAATAGTATGGTAATATATGTGAAAAAAATTAGCACAGTGCCTTTCACAAAGCAGATACTAAAAAATGTCAGCAACTTCCCCTCATCCTCCTTCACTTCATGCTTTACATGAACCAGGGGGATATTTAACCAATCACAGTAAGCTGGCCATTTTGGAAAGCATGATCGTATTATGTATTGTACAGCTTGGGGGTGGCATGTACTGCCGCAGACATTACCTTCTTGCCAGGACAATGGAGATTGATGAGTAGAGGAGGGGGAAGGCCCGAATGTGGGGCTCCATCAGGCAGCTGATGGACCCTATGATCCATGCCCCTCTCAGTTGCTTGGTTTGAGGCAAGATGAGCAGAGCCAGGAACAGCTGAGCAAACAAAGTAATCCAGACCATACTTGTGGTAATGGTGACAAACTGTAAGAAATAACATCAATCATTTGAAACAATGACGGTCTTCTCAGCCCTGTTCACCTGGATTGGAGGAGGAAAAAAAGGTAAGTGTGCTATTCAATACTCTTGAGTAAAAGCTCTTTTCAACAGCGATAGCTTTGTTGTTCTCTTATTACTCACTCTATTTTGTCCTCAATACTCACTCTTCTTGTTCCATCTTTGCTTTCAGCATCATAAAGCTGACAGAGTGGACTGTGAAACCAATTCATCGTGTGGCCTGTCCAATGAATTACATTTACTCCCAATTCTGAAAGGTGCTTTAAAACAAACACAAGAGGAGCCAGCACTTCTCTCATTAGATTACCAGTAGGCGGAAACCTTGGGCTTTATGTGAAAAAGTCCCACTTTACCAACCTGAAGAGCATCTTACCTCGAAAGCATTCATCAGGACAGTGGCTCCCAATTGTGAGTTATTATTATTTTCCTGCTGATTTTGTTTTAATGTCCAGTGGAAATGCTCACCTTCCCCTTCTAGCTAGTTGACAGATATTCCGGTAAGCTGGAACAGTTGCTGCCTTTGCCTACCTACTGCTTTTTGCCTGGTTTAACAACACCAGTACTTTATTATTCACAGCACCATTAATTAATTAATAAGGTATTTGGTGATGATATTAAGGAAGCTGGCACCATTTCAGTTTAGATTGACGGTACTTAAGACATTGGCACAATTGATGTTTGCTCAGAAATAGAAGAATATTGCAGGGAATCTGGGAGAGAATAATGGATGGTGAATTTGGAACCAAGTAATTAGAATATCATTGTAATTTGGGTGGGGAACAAGCTAGTATTTACCTTTTTACGAGTATAAAAATGATTTCTGAAGTGGTGCCACAAAACTGTGATTCCAGTGGAGATGAGGAACTATTGCAGAATCTGTCACCCAGAAGCATGCCAGGTTTGGGAAAGCCTATTTACTACACCTATTTCTTACATAAGCCAGAAAGTAAAGCTGGACAAAACTTCTTGACTGGAGGAGAGGGAATACATAGAGAGTGAGAAATCAATGTAGGAGGCATCTAGAGTGGGAACAAAAAGTCAAGAAACTACTTTGAAAGTAAAAATTAAATATTTGGAAGAGTATTTTACTTATTCATGAGAACAAAGTATTTCCAAGAACTTTAGCAGCATATATTACATATATTTAAAGTCCTGGTTACCATGGATTTTAATAGCTGGGATAGCAAAATCTCCTTTTTATTTTTTATTACGTCGAAGCGTAATTGGAGAAAACTTGGTGCTGCAGCAGACAGGGTGCTGCTGAGATTGTAATACTGGCTTTGTTGCTATGCAGCAGTCAAATTCAGTGAATATTTTTGAGAGCATCTTGAGTATAAGTTCTAGGACCTTTGAGAGCTCACTTCTTCTTTGAACCTTTTTCCTCCCTGTAAGTTCCAGTTACTATTGCTATGTGACAAGCCATGCAAAAACACAGTGGCATGAAACACTCATAGTGTTGTGCTCATGGATTCTGTGGATCAGGAGTTTGGACAGGGCAGAACCTGTATTGCTTGTCTCTGCACCATGATGTCAGGGGCCCTCGGCTAGGAAGTCTCATGTGGAGGCGTCTTTACATACATGTATCTGGTTGTTAACTTGGCTGTTGGCTGGACTCTTGGCTAGAGCACCTACACATGACCTCCGAGTGGGCTAGCTTGGGTTTCTTCACAGACTAGTAGCTGGCTTTGAAGAGTGAATAGCCCAAGAGAGCCAGGTAGGAACTAGCCTTCAAAGACATATAGCCTTACATTCACCCTAGTCAAAAGCCCACCTAGATTGAGTGGAGGGAGCATAAACCCTATCTCTTAATGGGAGGCATGTCAAAGTCATAGTGTAGCAGTAGCTTGTGGGACGGGGGATGTTTTTGTGAATATCTTTGGAATATGCAATCTGCCATATTATAACTCAGCTCAACAAATAGTTGTGATGACTTGCTGGAGAAATGTTTTGGCTTTCAAAAATGTGAGCATCAGAAGATCTAGTGGTTTTCAAACAGCTGTAACATTACAATGAATATTGTATTTTCTTCAGGAAGCATTATAATCTTCTTCTCCACCACGCAGGAGGCAACTGGTTTTGTTTGGTGAATACTTTTGAGTTGGTGGAGCATGAGGTATTTCAAAGCTCTGACTGAATAACAATACTGCGTCCTTGCTATCTTTCTTAGGAAGACCTCAGCCTGGGATTTGTTGCCTGCCTCTACCACTTATTACCTGATTGACTTTAGACAAATTAGTTAACATTTCTTTGCCGTAGTTTCTTTATCTATAAAACAGGAGATAATAGTAGCTATCTACTGGAGTTGTTTTGGGACAAAAAAGGGCCAATGCATGTAACACAATTTGCACACTTCTTGAAACATACTAAGCACTCTGTAAATGAGAGTTTTTATTATTTAGGAGGGTAGTTTAAATTATCTAAATGTATTTCTTTCACTGAGTTATGTAATTGTTGTTATTCAGACAAAAAGGAAATTTCAGGAAGTGGTACCTTGGTGATGGGGAAAGAAGCGCATGGCTGAAGGAACCTGGAAAAAACATGTTTAGAAGAGTATTTTAATGCAATTTTGCCACATGGTATGGGCAACAGGGTTAACATTCTTCCCTGTCTTTACTCAAGAGTCTTCAATGAAAGTTCAATTTCCCATTTATGTGCTGTGTAGTTGCATTTATCTTGGGGCTACAATAGACGCATGGAATCTTTCTTCAAAGAGGAAGAGAATGAGACAGAGCCAGCCTCAAGAGGCCTCTTAGGTTGGTGTTCTGTTTTATTTCCTAGAATTCTTTCAGTGACTACAGAAGGTAAAATGACAGGTGCTACTGAATCTCTTACTCCTGCCTCAGTCAAAGCTATTGGTAGCCTTTTTCACATCCTTTATTTTAATGCTCTGCATAAAGGAATTCTTTGATCTCTAATGACAAACAATATTTGAAAACCCCTGGGTCTATAGATTCCTCCAGCTCTGAGAATCTTCTAGAATATATTTCTGGGTGTTCTTGAATATCAGGCAATTATGAATGTATACATAGTCTTCCACAATTTACATTTTTAATTTTAGCATCTGTTTCTTGGGGTTGTATGTGGTTCAAAATAAAGTTATTATAAAAGCAAAATTTTAGATTATTAACAGTGTCACAGATTATCAAAGCAAAGTTTATATGGATATGAGAATTTGTCTTCCAGTAAAATAAGAGGAGAGAACAAAGATCATGTGAGAATCATGTCTCTTTTTTATCAATACAAATTCCTCAAAATGCACACGCTCACCATAACAACATCCCAAACTACCAACACCAAAAGATTAAGCCATGTCACTATAAGTGGTTTTCATAGTTTTCGTTGTTGTCATTACCTTCCATGCAATGGTTTTGTTCTGTGTCAACTTACCTATAGTAGCTACACTCCCCAAATTCCTTTTCTTCTGTGGTTCCAGGTTAGATCAAGGGACATGTATGGGAGATTTGGGTGGTGCAAGTGGAGTAGCAGCTGTCGATATGCTCCAAGGGTCAGACACAAGAGCCGTCCATGGATATTGTTGCTGAGATGCCAGCTCACCTAGTTGTTGTAGAGTGCACCCAGACCCTCAGCTCCTCCAGCTCCTCCCAGGTCTCTTCCTTTGCCTTTTCAGAGTTCTAGGCCAGATATGCACACAACTCTGTGGCAGTCATCACCCGTCCGACAGGTTATCATCATCATCAAGGTTGGAGGTAATGAGGAGCCAGTGAGAGGTTCCAATTTGTCTTTCCTCTCCCTCAGTTTAAGCTCAACACCAGCCCCAAAGGCAACAACCTTGCAGAGCTTTTTAAATCAGTTCTCATCATTGCATTAGGTCTAACTTCTATAGTAACTCCCTCATTCCATATCATCCTAGTCGTGTACCTTCTTCAATAGAACTGATACAACCAATTGAAAAACCTAGTATTATCTTTCTTAGCTTTAAAAAAACTCACACCTCTACAACCTCTTCTTACTTTATCTTCTACATATTTCCAACAGTTAAGAAGGTTTTATATACAGTTGACCCTTAAACAACTCAGGGATTAGGGGCATTGACCCCCTGTGTAGTTGAAAATCCATGTATAATTTTTGACCCCTGTGAACTTAACTATTAATAGCCTACCATTGACTGCAAGCCTTACTGATACCATAAACCATTGGTTAACACATATTTTGTATGTTACATATATTATATACTGTATTCTTAAAGTAAGTTAGAGAAAAGAAAATGTTATCAAGAAAATCATAAGACAGAGAAAATATATTTACTATTCATTAAGTGGAAGTGGATCATCGTAAACTCTTCATCCTCCTGGTTTTCACATTGAACAAGGTGAGGAGGTTAACATTTGAACGTAACCTTGTCCTGCAAACTATCACAAGGATTAGCTGGGTGTGGTAGCGAGAGCCTGTGGTCCCAGCTGCTCGGGAGGCTGAGGCAGGAGAATGGTGTGAACCTGGGAGGCGGAGGTTGCAGTGAGCTGAGATTGCGCCACTGCACTCGAGCCTGGGCAAAAAAGCGAGACTCCATCTCAAAAAAAATAAATAAATAAATAAAAGAGAAACTACCATCAGAGTGAACAGGCAACCTACAGGATGGGAGAAAATTTTTGCAATCTACTCATCTGACAAAGGGCTAATATCCAGAATCTACAAAAAACTCAAACAAATGTACAAGAAAAAAACAAACAACTCCATCAAAAAGTGGGCGAAGGATATGAACAGACACTTCTCAGAAGAAGACATTTATGCAGCCAACAGACACATGAAAAAATGCTCATCACCACTGGCAATCAGAGAAATGCAAATCAAAACCACAATGAGATACCATCTCACACCACTTAGAATGGCGATCATTAAAAAGTCAGGAAACAACAGGTGCTGGAGAGGATGTGGAGAAATAGGAACACTTTTACACTGTTGGTGGGACTGTAAACTAGTTCAACCATTGTGAAAGACAGTGTGGCGATTCCTCAAGGATCGAGAACTAGAAATACCGTTTGACCCAGTCATCCCATTACTGGGTATATACCCAAAGGACTATAAATCATGCTGCTATAAAGACACATGTACACATATGTTTATGGCGGCACTATTCACAATAGCAAAGACTTGGAACCAACCCAAATGTCCATCAGTGATAGACTGGATTAAGAAAATGTGGCACATATACACCATGGAATACTATGCAGCCATAAAAAAGGATGGATTCATGTCCTTTGTAGGGACATGGATGAAGCTGGAAGCCATCATTCTCAGCAAACTATCACAAGGACAAAAAACCAAACACCGCATGTTCTCACTCATAGGTGGGAATTGAACAATGAGAACACTTGGACACAGGAAGGGGAACATCACACACCGGGGCCTGTCCTGGGGTGGGGGAATAGTATTAGGAGATATATCTAATGTAAATGAGGAGTTAATGGGTGCAGCACACCAACATGGCGCATGTATTCATATGTAACAAACCTGCACGTTGTGAACATGTACCCTAGAACTTAAAGTATTAAAAAAAAAAATTATCACAAGGAAGGGGAAGAGGGATAATAGGAGAAGGAGGAGGCGGAGATGGTTTTGCAGTCTCATGGGTGGGAGAGGTGAAA
Source organism: Homo sapiens (assembly GCF_000001405.40). Classification (NCBI taxonomy): domain Eukaryota; kingdom Metazoa; phylum Chordata; class Mammalia; order Primates; family Hominidae; genus Homo; species Homo sapiens. Next base: position 1,957,204 of record NC_000003.12, on the reverse strand, counting down.
GAAAATCCATGTATAAGTGGATCAGAGTAGTTCAAACTCACGTTGTTCAAAGGTCAACTATAGTTTATTTTCAGTAAATTGTATAAAATTAAGAGGCACTAAATGATCTGGTTTCCAGGCACTTCTCCACTTCATCTTCTTCTTCCACTCTCATCTACACTTCAAACACACTAATCTCCTCAATGAGCCTCAAACCCAGGGAGGTCCTGTCTCATTATCTTGGCAAATGGATGTGACACTTTTCCCATTATTTACATGGCTGGAATATATTTTCACTTTTGAAATATTTAATTAAATACCACCACCTATAAGGACCTTACCTAACATTTCTTTCTATGTGATCCCTCCATACCAATGGCATCTATTGCTGAACTGTCTTTGTTTCCTCTATAATAAGCACTGCATGATTGTAATATATGTATTTCTTTTTTAGTGTATTATTGCCCATCTCTGAGCGGAATATAAGTTCTGTCATGGCAGAAACTTGAGTTTGTTTTTATTCTCAATTGTATTCACATTTCCTAGCACAGTGCTAGGAACACATGGCAGCCTTCACTTGGTGAATCAATGTATTTAACAGCTATGCTAATGCAGTAATGTAACAGTCTGGGTATATATACACTTGAAGCACTCTGTTCTCTGACAGGATGTAAAAGGAGTTTTCAGGTCATCTTTCTTCTTCTGCCGTTGATAGGTGGTAGCTGTGTAAGTTTGAACTTGACCTTGTCCTGAAAATGATCACAAGCTTCCAGGTCCATGTCCACTTCCTAAATCATGCTGGAGTTTTGCCTTTGGAAATTAAATTCGGTATAAAGGACATACATTTCTTTCCCCTAACCCAAAGAATTGTGTTTGGATATAGGTTTCTTCTGATGGAGGTGGTAGTTAAAAAATACAATCCTGACCAGTCTTATTAGTTATTAAAAAAACATGCATAGATCTTGGATGTGATATATGGCCTCCAACACAACCTGAAAAAATGGACGCAATGACCATAGGACATGAGAAAATACTCACGAGATTTTATTTCTTCCTGGATATTACTGATAGACATATACTTTTATAGATGCACTGCAACTAGTTGGAAAGGTAAAAAATGTAATTTATTTCCCTGGGCTCACATAGAAACAGAAATGGTACTGTCTGATCAACTATGCTATTTCTGATGTTCTCTAGAGTCACGTATCTTGAACAGAGCCAATAAAAATGAAAAAAAAAAATCACACATACGCCTACCTAGACATAGTCATTCTCTTTTTTTTAAGTTTTCATATCTATTTCTATTGTCTATCTGCAAAGAAGCTAACTGCAGTTGGGTACTTGTTTCAAAACAGGAGGAAGAAAAGAGCTGGCTTTGCTAACAATTGTTGTAGCAGAATCACAGTGACACTCAAAGTATTTTGGCTTTGAAAGTTGTCCTTGTACATTAATTGACATATCTCCGAGAGAATCAAATCACAGCATATAACTGCAAACCTCTGTTTTTCAAAAATTTCCTTTTGTGAAAAAATGTAATCTATTCATTTATTTGATTGAAAAGTACAAATCAGAGGAAAAATATATGAGCTAACTATCATTTCCATGGAGAACCTTAACTGACTTCTAAACTTGCTTATTTTCCTCCATTAACATCTCGTCATTTTACCTTGAACTTCTCCTTAATGTAACTTACCACAATGATATTGAAAAGTATGTTAACTTAAAGAAAGTATCTCTTCTGTCCTAGACTGTGAATTTTATTATGAAGTCTAGTAAGAACAGGATTATATGTTTTTCTTATTTACTGCTGTGAAACCATAGCCTTACACAGTGCCTTGTACATAGCATGTGCTTAATAAATGTCAAATGGAAGAGTTGTACATCATGTCCTTCACAAAACGATACCAACATGACTCATCTTTACCTAGGTTTGCCCCTTTTTTCCACTTTTCATTTCTACATAAAAATGTGGAGACAAAAAATGTCAGACACAAAATTTTGAGAACATCATCACAAATGCTGCAAGACTGGATACTAATACACAACACCATTGTGTAGATGTAGGTATAATGGTGGTAACATTGTGGTCTTCAAACCTGAGAAAATTGGATACAATAAATACTCGGTAATATGCTGAACCAACTAAGTGGGTTTGTATCAGTTTTCTTTCTTAGAACTAAAATCATCAAAGACTTCTACTGCTGCCTATCATGGCTCTTACTCCATTGAAGGTGAAAAACCACACAAGTTCCTCAAGAAAATGATTTCCCTTTAGCTTTGACTATCATTGAAAATTATCTTAAATGGTTTCTCTGACCTCTTTTCAAACTTTCAGTCTTGAAAACAAAAGTAGGATGCCTGCTAGACCTAGTCAGAAAGGGAGGTGAGGAAGTGGGACAAGTGAGGAGATGGTAATTAATCATAACAGTAATTAATCATACCACCTAGGGCACTGCTTCCAAATTTGGCTGAAGATAAGAATCACTGAAACTTGATAGAACAAAAAAAAAAAAAAAAGAAAGATTATTGCTGTAACTGAGACCTACTGAACAAGAATTGACAGGGTGATCTATATATTTAATACATATCCCTTAAGGATTCTTGTCACGCTGGCCAACCTAGAAAGGACTGCTCAAGGTAGCACAGGCTTCGGGGCAAACCCAAGTATAGGTTACAGGAAGTTGTTCAGTAAATTGTGAAGGGCAGAGCAGACTGAGTACGTCTGTAATATCAAGAAGCCAAGAAGAAACAGAAAAGGTTTCCCAGTAAGTTACCATGGCAGCTGCAGTAATTATGATATAAGAAAATATGGAATCTCATCATCTAAGGTAGTTCCCTTTTTAAAATAATTGAGGTCTAACTTATATCCAGGAAAGTGTACAAGCCTGAATTCTAGGGTTTGAAAATATTTTACATATGTATACACCCTTTGAACTCCTTTCCAGACCATAATATTAAACATGTCAGTTATCCCAGAATGTTTCCTCATGCCACCTCCACAGCGATTTCTAGTGTGTTCTTACTCTTTTTAAAGTCAGTAGGCTCTATGGTAATGTTTTGTTTCTTTTTCGTTGCAGATGTGTGTAATTTATATTATCTCTCTTATCCTTGCTTGGAGTATGGCAATTTTATAATATTTTCAAAGAACTAACTTTTAGGTTTGTTGCTTTTTCCTGTTATACATGTATATTCTATTTCATGGATTTATGCTCTTAAATATAGATCATATTTCCTCTTTCTACTTTCTTTAGGTTTAATTTGCTATTCTTTTCTAGCTATATATGAGTTAGAACCTAACATTCCTGAATTTAACTCTTCTTCATTTTGAATACAAACAGCCCTCAACTTAGGATATTTTGACTTACGATTTTTCAAATTTAAGAAAGTGCGAAGGCAATACGCATGAAACCATACTTGGAATTTTGAATTTGGATCTTTTCCCAGGTTGGTGATACATGGTTCAGTGCTGTCTTGTGGTGCTGCACAGCGGCAGAGAGCTGCAGCTGCCAGTCAGCCACAGCATCACGAGAGTGAACAATAGACACTGTCCAGTGTACTGTGTTGCCCAGTGGTTTTGTCCAAATGACGGCTGTTAGAGTTCTGAGCACAGCCCAGCCAGAGTAGGTTGGGCTCAGCTATGACGTTCAGGAGGTTAGATGTATTCAATGCATTTTTAATTTATGATATTTTCAACCTAAATTGGGTTTATCTGGATGTAACCCCACTGTAAGTTGAGGCACTTAATAGAGTAGACAAGTTACAGTAAGCTAAGGTTAATTTATTATTAAAGAAAAATTTTTTAAAAAATAAATGTAGTATATTCTAAGTGTATAGTGCATCAATTCTATCATAGTGTACAGTAATGTGTTAGGCCTTCATGCTTACTCTTCACTCACTCCCTGAGTCACCCAGTGACTTCCAGTCCTGCAAGCCCCATTCATGGTAAGTGCCCTATATATGTGTACCATTTTTTATCTTTTATACCATATTTTTAACTGCACCTTTTCTATGTTAAGATGTACAAACACTTATCATGGTGTTGCAAATCCCTACAGCATTCAGTATGGTGTCATACTGTACTGGTTTGTAGCCTAGGAGCAATAGACTATACCTTACCGCCTAAGTGTGTATCAAGCTACACCATCTAGGTTTGTGTAAGTACGCTCAGTGATTTTTGCACAATGACAAAATCGCCTAAGGATGCATTTCTCAGAATATATGCCCATCGTGAAATAATGAATGACTGTACGTTGTTATTAATTATAGTCCCCATGCTGTGCAATAGATCTTGATCTCAATATAATTCTTATCTAAAGGTCTATCATGGCATTTGCAAATAGAGATTCATTTTATTATTTTTATTTTCTAATTCTTATGCCTCTAATTGTTACCTATTTTATAATTGCTTTGGATACCACCTCCAGAATAATATTATATAGTAGTGGACACAGTGCCCTCATCTTTTCCCTGTCCCTGGCCTTAGTGGGAATGACTTTAGTGTTTTCAGATTAAATACGATGTTTAGTGTTCAGGTACTAACAGTCCTCAACTGTTAGTTTTTAACCATGTTGTACGTATTTAACCATGTTTTAGATATATTCAACCATTCATATTTTCTGCAGAGGTTTATTAATAACAGGCATTTTATGTTACTGAAATATTTTTCAGCATTCATGGAGATAAGCCTACATTTTCCCAGAAGGTCAATTAATATGGTAAATCATATTGATAAATTCCCTAACTTGGAACCTTCCTTTCATTTCTGATATAAAACCAACTTGGCCATTTGTATTGTTTTCCTAATGTGTGATAATGCTGAGATACTGATATTTCATTTAAGATTTTGACTTTGCTATTTTATTCATAACTGGTTGTCATCTATAGTTTCTTTTTCTGTGCTTTCTTTATCAGGTTTACCTATTAATGTTATAACATTTTCATACAAACAATTTGGATGTTTTCCTTTCTATTCTGTATTCTCTAAGAATTTATCTACTATGGGTACTATCTTTTTCTTCTATGGAAAGTTGTTAAACTGTATTTTTCTAAGAAATATTGTATTTCATCTAGATTTTCAAATATATTTGCACAAAGGTGTACAAAATAGTCTTTTCATGATTTAAAAATTTCCTCTGTATTCATAGTTATTTCTCTTTGCCATTTCTTATTTTGTATATTTTTGGGTCCTCTTTTTTTCTAAAACTGCTTAGCCTCAATTCTGTCTATATTCTGTCTTATGTTGGTAATAACTGTGTGTATTATTGTGGTGTTATATATATTGGATTTTGTCCCTAGCTCCTCACTCATAACTCCCATAGCCCTGGTTACAGTCTTTTATTAGAATGTTGGGTGCGTTAGGCCTCAGGGATAGCCTCTGACCTTCTTCCTGTCTTTCTTTCACCTGCTCCAATGCAGGACTCTAATGTACTCCTGCCTTTCTTTCACCTGCTCCAATGCAGGACTCTAATGTTCTCCTGCCTTTCTCTTTGTGGAGTTTAAGACCCTGCCATGAGAGGGTCCCACCCTTACCCTGGGGAAAGGAATGTTAAAGTCATGAAGCTTCCATTAAAAATCCATGAGGACAAGGTTCAGAGAGCTGAACACATGGAGGATCCTGAACTAATACAACCACTTTCTTACTTTAGTCTTAGCCCTACAACTAAATATATAAAATACTCAGTATCACTCCATCTGCTGTAATTTCCTCAGTCATTTCTTGGTTGGATAAAGCTTATACTTTAGTAATGTGACTACTGGTGCAGTATGGTTTAAGACTATTCTATGTTGGCATTTTTTGCTTTCATTATTTTGAATTGTCATTATCTTATTTTTGTGTTTTTATAATTCGTGTTGAGAAGCAGTCATTATCATTGCGGTTGCCTGAAAGTAATGTGTCCTCCTTTATTCCTTAGGATTCTTTCAGGACTTTTCTCTTTATATTTGCTTTTCAGCAATTTGACTATGATGTGCCTATATGGGGTTTTCTTTGTATTTATCCTGCTTGTGTTTTACTGAGCTTTTTGGAACTTGTGCTGCTGATTTTAATTAAATTTGGGATATTCTCAGCTATTATTTTCAATCATGGTTAATTCAGCTATTAAACATTATTTGTATTCTTTTTGTCAAATATAATCTATTTTTAAAATATTATTTAAAAAATTCTTTTTGCTTTGGCCATTGAGAATATAGCAAATTTTATCTAGCAGAGACTTTAAAAGTCTCATTTGAATCTTGAGACTGCTGTGTGAAGAAGTGGACTAGCCTCCTGGGAATCAGAGACCACATAGAGCAGAGAGGTGCCACCTTAGTGAGGCTTCCTCTAAACCAGCTTGGCCACCAGCCACACATGTGAGTTGAGGACAATCTGTGTCATAAAGACCTAGCAAATTCATCAGATGATGACAGTCAATGAGAGATCCCAGCAGCTACCAGCTTAGGCAGTCCAGACCAGATGGCCACACAAGCCAAACCAAAGAAATCATAAGCTAAATAAAACAGTTGTTTTAAGCCACTGAAGTTTGTACAAAGTTAACTAATACAACCTTCTATGTTGCATTGTTTTATAGTAGTCGATCTTTTTTGTTATTTTATCACTTCTGATAGAATGTTTGTTAACATTTTTGTATGACCGTAGAAATTACAAAATGCCTTTATTATAATCTACTTGAAATTTATGTTTTCCACATGCCAATCAGTGTTTGAACATTATAGCAATTTATTCCATTTATCCTCTCTCACCTTTTTTTTTGCTATTTTTGTTATAGATTTTATCTCTACTTGTCAACAGCTCAACAAAACATTGTTACTTTAAATGAGGAATTGGCAAACAAGAGGCTTGCCAGCCTGCTTTTTATTAGTAAAGTTTTATTGGAACACAGCTGCTGTGATTTAAATGTGTCCTCACCAAAAATTCAGGTGTTGCCAATGTGATATATTAACAGCTGGGGCCTTTAAGAGGTGATTAGGCCATGAGGGCGCCTCTCTCCTGAATGGGATTAAGGCCCTTATTTTAAAAGGCTGTGTGCATTTGGTTAGCTTGCCCTTCCACCTTCTGCCGTGTTAGGATTTGGTGTTCCTCCCTTCCAGAAGATGCATTCCCTCATCAGACAACCGAACGTGTGGGTGCCTTGATTTTGGACTTCCAAACCTCCAGAACTGTGAGAAAATACATTTCTATTCTTAATTAATTACCCAGTGTCAGATATTTGTTGTAGCCGCCCAAATGGACTAAGAAAACACCCATGCCTGTTTATTTCTGCGTCGTCCATGGCTGTTTTCACACTACAGTGGCAGTGGTTGAGTAGTTGTGACAGAGACTGTGTAGTCTGTGAAGCTTGAAGTATTTGCTATAAAAAAATCTTGCAGACCTCCATTTTAGACAGTCTAAGAACTTGTATATTTACCCCAATATGTACATTTCTAGGGCTTTTCTGCACTTTCAGCTTTTGTTTGATAGAGTTTTATTTCACCTTCATTTTTGATTGATGTTTTTATTCTATGTTGGCATTTTTTGCTTTTGTTATTTTGAATTGTAGTTTTTTTTGTCTTTTTTTCGCCATAATTGTGTTGAGAAGCTGTAATTATCATTGTGGTTCCCTGAAAGTAATGTGTTCTCCTTTATTCCTTCGGATACTTTTAGGACTTTTCCCTTTATGTTTGGTTTTCAGCAATTTCACTATGAGGTGCCTATGTATGGTTTCCTTTGGTTTTATCTTGCATGTGTTTTACTGAGCTTTTTGCAACTTGCGCTGCCAATATTGTGTTTGGAATATTTTCAGCTATTATTTTCAAATACTTCTGTTATTCTTTTTCTTCTCGTTTTTGCATTCTGATTATATGTTTGAAAATTACACTGTGTCCCACGTCTCTTGTATTGTTTCTTTCACATTTTTCCAATTTTTTTTCTCATCAGGTTTCAGTTGGTATATTTCTAGTGACCTGTCATTGAGCTGACTAATCTTCTCTTCTGCTGTCTCATATAAAACCTATTGACTCATGCTTCATTGCACATACAGTAAGTTTTATTGTTTTTCACATTGTGAATGCTGTGTCTTTTGAGAATCTTCCACTGTACATATATACTTCCGGAGTTAATTAAAACAAAGTGAATTTTAGTTTTGTTTTGCTTTTTGTTTTTTGGAGCCGGGGTCTCACTCTGTGCTCCAGGCTGGAATGCAGTGGTGCAATCTCAGCTCACTGCAACCTCTGCCCCACTGGCCTTAAGCGATCCTACCACCTCAGCCTCCCGAGTAGCTGGTAGTGTGCACCACCATAACCAGCTAATATTTGTGTTTTTTGTGGAGAGAAGTTTCACCATGTTGCCCAGGCTGGCCTCATACTCCTGGGCTCAAGCAATCTGCCCACCTCGGCCTCCCAAAGTGCTGGAATTACAGGTGTGAGCCACCATGATCAGCCTCAAAGTGAAACTTTACAAATGTTTTCGTTAATCCTTCTTTGTCCTATTTTCCCCACTAGTAGCATGCCTTCCCAGCTGCTAGTCACTCTAGCTCTCCTAATTCTAATCTGTTTCCTCCACTCAACAAGACTGCTTCTTTTTGTGTTCTATCTGCTGTGGTTTGGTTTCAGAAAATATCTGCAGAAGAAAGCTATGTTTCTCTTCGCTCAAGAATTTATAACCTTGTGTTGTTTGCTGTCCTATGCCTTCAAACAGTCATTTGATGTATGACTTCAGTTTTTAAATTTGTTCACAATGGGATGATGAGTCTGAATTAGCTGCTTTGGTGAAAGCCAGCCATAAAGTCTATAAGCTAGTTCTTGGCCTCTGAGATGTTCAGCAGTAGGTAGCAGGGCTGGGGTTGAATGGCAGGATTCCATTCCTATGGCTAAACTGGTAAATAGATGGAGTGGACACACACACACACACACCCAGATCACACACACACACACACACACACACACACACATACTTATTTCTAGGTAGGTTAGCAAAACTGTGATTCCTGAATGAAAGAAACATCAAAAATGAGACAGTTTTTTGAACTCTTTATGAGGTGGAGCTTTGGTCTGAGGAATAAGACCAAAACTTAGTTATCTGATTGAGATCATAACCATATTATCAGCATATTTCAATTGATTGTGGGTTATTTGTATATTTAGCTAGGGTTTTTGTTGTTGTTTGTTTTTGAGCCAGTGTCTCACTCTGTCACCCAGGCTGGAGCACAGTGGCATAATCATAGGTCACTGCATCCTTGAACACCTGGGCTCAAACAATCCTTCTACCTCAGCCTCCCAAGTAGCTGGGACTGCAGGCACAAGCCACCCTGTTCAGCTAATATTTTCAATGTTTTGTAGAGATGGAGTCTTGCTTTGTTGCCCAGGCCATTCTCAAACTCCCGGCCTCAAGTTATCCTCCTGCCTTGGCCTCCCAGAGTGCTAGGATTACAGGTATGACCCACCATGTATGGCCCTAGCTAGGGGTTCTTAAATTTCCCTTAGGTACAAGGATGATCCTAATGCCTGGCATTATGTTGTTTCCACAGATGAGAATCACGTGGCCTCAATTCTGAATGAAAAAGGGAGACATGGCCTTGGAAAATTACAGATTTGTTTTTAGTTGATGACACTGGATAATCTAATTTTATTAAAAGAGTGAGATTTGAATAATAAGCCCATCACGTAGTGACAGACGACTGTTTTGCTTAACTGGAATTTACAATGAAAAATAGTGAAGGAGAATTCCCCTGCTCTTCGATATCAAAGATTCACTCAAGTTAAGGAAGGGGAACCTCTAAGATTGAAGTGCCCTAATTAATATAGTGCTTATTAATTATAGACTTCAAAAAGCTTTTATTTTCAAAGTTTAGAAGCTCTGCTGATGACCTTAATATGTCTTATTATGTACATTTTTACCTCACCTTGCCACTGGGGAAGAACAAATTTTAAGTCTGATCTGCTAGCTAAAGTTATTAAATAAATGAGCATTTTAAATGGCTTGTTCCTAGGCCTTTTTTTATTTTTTCCTTTGAGTGTGTTACAGGAACAAAACAATAACAGTCTCTAAAGTTTGCTTTGCTCTTCCTAGTAAAGGAGGACCTTTAGGACTCTGTGCCAGATCCTATAACTTCTAGGCCTTACTGGGCATGGTGGTAAAGAATGAGGGGTGAACCAGGGAAACAGATTAGGGGGCAGGTCTATATTTAGAAGAGTAGAAAATTACTTATGGTAGAAAACTAAGTGTAACTGAAAGCAGGTAAAGAAGAGGATATTTAACATTTGCCAGGCATTCTGATAAATACTCAGCATGAGAATTAGCTCGTTTGCCTTCATGACAATACTGAAGGTAGTATGGGAGACACTACTAGTTGTCTATCTAATATCCCATTGGCCCCTGTTTCCACATTAAGAACAACTAGTTTTGTTTTGGGTGGTGTTCCAGTGGTTGTTCACCTTCTGAGTTTCCCATGCAGTGGTTTTGGACAATGAGTGCCAGTGGGCATCAGTAGGGGGATTCGGGGAAAGCTTTCACATTAGTTACCCATGCAACTGCATCCTCTGCTTCCCCTTCCCTGGCCTTAAATATGGACATGGTGACTGAAGCTGAAGCAGCCCCCTGTGAAAATGAGTGAATGGCCCAGAAAATTACAGAGCAGAGGCCCTGGCATTATTGAGTCCCCAAACCAAGGCCAGCTACCATCTACCATCAGACTTGTTACATGAGAAATTGATACCCAGACTTGTTTAAGCAATAGATTATCTTTTTAGCAGCTGAGTTCATTGCTAAATACCATTGGTAGCCATTCTCACTCCACAGATGAGAAAATTGTGTCACAGTGGGTTTAAATAACTTGCACAAGATCACACAGGTAGGGAATAAAGATAAAACTGATGAGGGAGCTTGCTTGGGTTGACTGGAAGGGATGGATGTTAGAGCTTATACTGGGGGAGGAAAATATTTGGGGAGCAACTTCAGGGGTTATGTTAGATACTAAGAGTGAAATTGTGGGAAAAAAGGAATTTTTTAGTTTTCATTATAAATATACTTCAGCATTTCTTTCAGAGACACTGTGGCAAAGTTATAGATAGCTTTTATTTATTTCTTGGTTATCGAACTATCATTCATATTTTAATGATGTAAATATGAAAAGCACTTAGTGCATACCTGGCACATTTTAAGCACTCAATAAAGATTATTTGTTCCAAATATAACAATGATAATGATGAAAGTGCCATCCAGGCTTCAAAAATAATATAAGTTAATTAACTTGCAAGCATATTTGTTTCATGTTTTTCTTGCTCTTAGAAACACAAGACAGGTACTATTTGAATTCCATATTACCATTTTTGAAAATGTATAAAATATTAATGATTCAGCAGATATTTACTGAGTGCCTAAATGTGCAATGTTTTGTGGATAATAGCTTGGTGAATGAGTCAGGATTACTTCTCCTAAGAAGCTTAGAACCAAGTAGGAAATATAAATAGTATATTTCATATTACAGTATAATATATATTTTAATTTTATATAACATTAGCTTCTGTTTAACTTAATATTAGACTTAAATAAAGGTATATTTGATACATTATGAGAATACAGAAAAATGAGTGATCACCTGTGCTCAAAGGTAGAAAAAGTTATAGTGGAGTTATCTTTTGAGCTGGAGGTTGAAGGATACATACACACAGATAGATGAGATGTCAACAGAGCAGGGGTTGGAATGAAAGACATTCTAGATGGAACAAGAAAATTGATAGGAAAGATGCTCAGCAAGCTAGTTATTTGTTGAACCTGAAGTGCAGAATGCTTGGAAAGATTAACTAGATTATGCTTGGATTAGTCCATTCTCACACTGTTAGAAAAGACATACTTAAGACTGGGTAATTTATGAAGGAAAGAGATTTAATTGACTTACAGTTCAGCATGGCTAGGGAGGCCCTAGGACACTTAAAGTCATGGTGGAAGGGGACACAAACGTGTCTTTCTTCACATGGCAGCAGCAAGGAGAACTGCCGAGCAAAAGGGGGAAAGCCTCCTACAGAACCATCAGATATCAAGAGAACATACTCACTATCATGAGAACAGCATGAGGGTAACCACCCCCATGATTAAATTACCTCCCTCCACGTCCCTCCCACGACACATGAGGATTATGGGAACTACAATTCAAGATGAGATTTGGGTGGGGACACAGCCAAACCCTATCAATGCTGTGGAAAAGCATGGTGTGGTCTGTCCTTAGCATGAAATTAGGATTCTTTTGACAATTGGGGGAAAAAAAGCATATTAGTCCTTTAGGGAAAACAAACCTCTCAACTATATGAAGGATGATTTGGCAACTGGGAGATGAGTTGTGGGAACAACTAACTCCACAATTGCATAAGCAAATGGCTTTCTTGAATCTGATTGCATTTATATGTAATATAGAGAGTTACTATGAAGCCCATTTCAGTGATGAAAAGATTGTGGCCTGGAAAATCTGAAAACCTTGACTACAACACAAGTTGTAGGTAGAAATAAGTTAGAGAAGATAGTAAGTACTCTTGATTGAGATGATTAAGACTTGGGGCAAGAAGAGTGGAAATCATCTAAAAAGGCTGCAGAAAGAGTTTTGGAAAATTTTATAGAAATTGACAGGAGATGTATGGAAAATAAAACTTAAGCTAGAGGTCTCCATTCTTGGTGAATATAGAAAAAGATGCACTTTCCTGAAGGGAACTTACATTGGGTATGTTTGGACTCAAAAAAGAAGCCACTGTAATTCAGAAATAAGCAATGTGCAGTTGAAACCCAATAAATGGAAGTGAGCTCAACTGTGAGACAAGAGAGGCAGAGTGGCAGAAAGAAACCAAGAGGTAGAGAAAAGCATATGAGATCTCTGGGAATGCCTACATATAAAGAGATAGGCGAAAAAGATCTCTGAAAATGTTATTGAATGAATTATTATTGCTTTTCTTTTGTGCCATGTCTTATATGAGGAAGTAGATTACACGTGGCTGTTTCTGTTGGATGCAGTTAGAAAAGAATTATGCATAATCATTCAGATTCTTGGTTTTTGTATTTTTTCTCATTATTTTGTCATACATATATATTTTTGAATTAGATTTCAAGGTATCTCATTTGAAAATGACCAGAATTCCAGTGAAAATTGTGGTCTGATTTTCTAGGAGGCATTAGCTAAAAACAACAAAATATCTCCAGAATAAAAAGAAGACATATTTGCAATCAACCTCATTTTCTCAGAAAAGCAAAACAAATAACAGACAGAAACCATGTTTGTTCTATACATTTACTAATGTATCATGGTAGAACTATCAATACAAAGAGGCAGGTGTTTTGTCTCAACACAGTCTGCCAAGGTTTCACTGTGACTGAAAACAAAACTAGATGAAAAACTCTGTCCTAGCCCCATTCCTCGCTCTCCTGAGCCCCCCTCCATCCCCCCATAAAAGTAATTCCTGTAAGATTATTTTAGCAACTAAAGCTACCTCTTCCACTTCTATACCAGGCACAGAGAATTTCTCCTGGTCTGGCTTGGAATACTTAATTTCTGGACACATCTGTTTCTCTTTAGGAGTTAACTTTTAAAAGTAACCTTTCAGAAGATAAAACGGAGGCATGAAACATTTTCATTTTCTTGAAGAATCTCGTTTCTCCTCTCTCAGGAGACAATCGCACTGGGGAACTGTCTGGTTCACTTTAAACGAGAGCTACTTATTTCATTTAAAAAACTAAGAAAGAGGGAAAACAGGTGGTTTGTAAGTAGACACACACCTCAAACGGATTTTCTTTTAATTTGTGCTAATTAGTTGACCAAGAGTGTCTAAGGTTCCTATTTGTTTCAAAAAACAAAACAAAACTGTACTACCTATTTACCCCCTAAACATTGTAAATCCCAAACCCATTTTCGAAGCCTAACTTTCATGTTTACCACTTTACTTTCTGACAGTTGTGCTTTCTCACTTAAAATCAAAGAGCAAGAGGAATAATTGCAAACATAATTATGTAATGAAGGGCCCTTTATGTGGTGTGTAGTTAATTATAGCTGCCCAATTATGGCTCTAAAGGGAACCCCTTGTACTCTCCCTTCCCCCTGTTGTTGCTAGATGTAATTGAAAACCATTGGAACAAATTGATTTTCATGTAATTAGTATATTCAAATCAGATGATTTGCCAGATTATAATAAATTTGGATGTAATTTACCCTCCCCCACCATTTGTGCTCTTAAGCATTTTGAGGACTCTTGGGAGAATGATATGCTTTATTTCTATATTAGTCATCCCACACAAAGCTCCTTACAGAGCCTACATGGCAAAAAAGGAACTATTGACTTTGAATTGTTTACTAGGAAATGTCTGTGGTGGGACAGATTAGCAGTCAGAGAGGTTTGACTCTTAGGTTTTTTGTGTGCATAACTGGAAACAGTATTAATATTCTTTTTTAAATCAATGGCGTTGTTCCATATCTCCCTCCTCCTTCTTTCTTTTGTTCCCTTCCTAGAAGGCAGCCGGATTTGGGCCTATCGAAAACCTTTGGCCCCCATTGAGGTGGGGGTTATCAAATTAGGGCAGTGGCCATCTGGTGTCAAGTCCCCTGTGAAGAGGGTGTCCCACCTGTGCAGCAGTTTAGTGGGGTCAGGGGCTTGAGCTGATACACACATCTATTGAAACATAAGGGGGGCTGGTTTTCTTATTCTTGGAGAATGGAAATGCAAATATGAAAATGGAAAAGTTAGAATGAACCCTCTTTTGGGATTGGGATGAAAGTGTTGATGTGAATGCCTCTTTTCAAAACATACATAGACATAGAAGTAAATATAAATATAATATAGAAGTAAATATGTAGATATAATATTACATTTGTAGTTATATTTACTAACATCTACATTAGTGTCCATAGGGAGGGGAGTGCTCAGGTACAGCGATACCCCAGTAGCAATGAACCTAACTGCTGCCTATCTTAGTTTCCAAAAACATTATCCACCGAAAGGAAGCAGGGATCCTTGGAGGAACGGCTGATTTTAGGGCTGCCACAGGGAAAGAAAAGGGAACCCGGATCATCGTGTTGTGCCGGAGAGTAAGGACTTGTCCAAAGCATGATGGGGCCATGTCAGCCGTATTGAAAGTGCTGTCACTGGCCAAATCAGGGAAAATTTGAGCAACTGCCACAGCAACAACACAAAAATGGCAGCAATGGATTATAATCTGTTGAATAAATGGTTCTACATGAGATAAATAAATGGATAAATGGAGTGGATAGGATGTTCTTTCTTAGGGTAGAATGTTAACTACTAAAGGTAGAAGAAATGACAGAATTAAAAAATCCCCATGTGAACCTTCACAATAAACATTAATTTATAAAAGAACTTGCAATGGATGTCAAAACCAGTAAGTGAAATTGGTACGAGGAATGGGATTTCATGTAATCTCAAAGCTTCTACCAGAAAAATATTTATTCGCTGTAAATAGAGGGCATAATTTTACAAAGGTGAAGTCTGGAAGAATTTTTTCTTTTTTGAGACAGGGTCTTGCTCTGTTACTCATCCTAGAGTGCAGTTGGGCTCAAGCAATCCTCCTCCCTCTGTCACCGGAGCAGCTCAGACTGCAGGCATGTACCACCATGCCCAGCTAATTTTTTTTTTTTTAGTAGCATCAAGATCTTGCTCTATTGCCCAGGCTTGTCTCGAGCTCTTGGGCTCAAGAGATCCTCCTACTTCAGCCTCCCAAAGTGCTGAGTTTACAGGTGTGAGCCACTCTGCCTGCTTTGGTAGATACCATCTCAATCAAGTGAACAAAAATTAACATTATCACTTATGGAACAAGCCAATATCTTGTGCCACCCAGTAAGACTCAATGAGAGAAAACTGGTGTTACTTCTGTAATATTCCAACCAAAATGTACAGCTTAGGTCTAGTGATGTAAAATCATCAAATAAACCCAGTTTGAGAGGCATTCTTCAAAAGTACTGACCTGTAATCTTCACGAATGCCATATTCAAGATAGTCAAGTCAAAACTAAGGATTGTTCCGGATTGAAGGAGACTATAGAGACATGACAATAGGGTGCAACTGTGATCTGGGTTTGGACTCTCTCTATAAAGGGCATCACTGGGATAATTACTGACACCTGTATGTGTTTTGGGAGTCAAGGTTTTTTGTTATTCATTTGTATTATTCTTAGATATCTTTTGAAAACTTGATATCTTTTCTTCAAAATTAAGGAAATAAATGTTAGCATAGCACATCATTACAACACTGTTCTTTATATATGAAAAGGATACTTATAAATGGCTATCAATGACACCATATTGCCAACTACAGCATAAGCTCTGTGAAGAGAAAAACCCTGTATATTGTGTACATTTCTAGCAGGATTCAATAAATATCTATTAAACTTAAATAGATCTGTGAATGACTAGATAAACAGTATTTCCTCATGATATGCTCAGTGAAGAAATGGCTTGACAGTAGGTAGACTCTTAGAGGGCTTTTGTTTGGTAGCAAAAAGCAATTTCCATTCTGTGGATGCCCTCATGCAGGGAGATAATATTGCATCTTTCTTTGCATAGTACTTAAGGACACATCCTGAAGAGAGGCTTTCTGTGTTAGAATCCTGGTTGTGAACCTCAGTGAGGTGTAAGCCTAGGCAAAACACTTTCATTTCCATGCCTCGGTTTCTTTACATGTGAAATGGGATGATGACCTATTAAGGTCATCCTCTTAGGGCTCTGGGTGGTTACGAGGGAGATAAAAGTAACTGCAGTGAAGGAGTAAGAAGAACAGAGAAGAACTCACCTCTGCTGGTTTTAAGATGGAATATACATGACGCACACACAAGGGATGTCTGAATTCTTGTGGTCTAGCAAACTGCATTGGAGCAGTCACAAACAAGGAGAAGGGAACTACTAATACCAATGTTCACCAATTTTTTTTTTTTTTTTTGAGGCAAAGTCTCACTCTGTCGCCCAGGCTGTAGTACAGTGGCGCGGTCACAGCTCACTGCAACCTCTGCCTCCTGAGTTCAAGCAATTCTCCTGCCTCATCCTCATGAGTAGCTGGGCTTACAGGTGCCCATCACCATGCCTGGCTATTTTGTGTGTGTGTGTATTTTTAGTAAATACAGGGTTTCACCATGTTGGCCAGGCTGTTCTGGAACTCCTGACCTGAAGAGTGATCCGCCTGCCTCAGCCTTCCAAAGTGCTGGGATGACAGGCGTGAGCCACTGTGCCCGGCCGAATGTTCACCAATTAATTAATTTAGTTATTTATCCATTAGGTACTGAGTACCTACTGTATGCTAAGAATTATTCTAAGTATGGAAGATATGCCAGTGAACAAAATATGTTTAAAAAGTTTGCCTCAAATGTAAATGTGCATAGAAATCACAGCACTCTTGATTCTTTTGCCTGGACACAGTTCTGGAAGATGCAGTATTAACAAGCACTTCTAATAGTCACTAATATACATTACTAGTAATAATACAAAGATACTTGCCATTATCTCAATTAATCCTTACGAGAACTCTATGAATCAGGTGCTATTATTATTATTTCATTTCGTAGGTGAGCAACCTAGACTTAGAGAAATTCGTGTCCTGCTCTTGGCTACATGGCTAGCAAGAGGCAGATTCAGGACACTAACTCAGGTCTGTCCAACACTAAAACCAGCTCAATGGGAGCCTGTTGTCTTAATAGTTTCAGAAAGCAGAGCTCTGGACTTAGGAAGACCATGGTGCAGACACAGCATCAACCTGGCTGCAATGAACAGCAGGGTATGATGGCTGGGGCTGGGTGCCTGCTTTTAGTCTAAGGGTACAGTTACACACTGACTCCAGTTAGGGACAGTGCTCAGCTGAGTTCAGGAACACTCAAAAGTCACTGATGGAGACCCAAAAATAAATGTGTCAGTAAAGGATGATTAAATGACAAACTGATGTTAGCTGCAGTGATATTAATAGAAAAAGAAAAAAGTAAAACCTTTACCCAAACACTAGATGACACCAAAATACTTCAGTCTTGCGTGTGTATGCATACGATATTCATCCTCAATACACTGTGGTGTGGGAGAGGGACACACTGCAAGAAACTGGGGCTCCACCACCCCTTATTGTGGTTTATACAAAGTAAACTGGAGCCATGACTGCCTTTTGCCATGGTGAAACCTTATTGTATTCACGTCAAGTCCATTTCTATTTGCAGTTCTTTCCTCTCGCAGGCATTCTTGTTACCAATAAACAAAGAATAGCCCAAAGCTGCATGGGTGAAGAACACATGAAGCTGAGATTCATTATTTTTGGTCTCTTTCTCTTTTTCTTTAAACAAAACTTTCGTGCAAATATATGTCCCTCTTGGCTTCTCTCCCAGTCCCCTTTGTCAAAGAGCCATCACTTTTTACCTTCTAATGAATCAGAGGCCTGGTCTTCAGAGAATTTCAAAAAGCTTTCAAGTTGTTCGGTTTTGTGCTTCAGTCGTGATAGCCACAAGCTAAAAATGTGCAAGAATTGCAGAAACAAGTTCCAGATGAAGTTTCTGGAGTTAATAGTGAG
Source organism: Homo sapiens (assembly GCF_000001405.40). Classification (NCBI taxonomy): domain Eukaryota; kingdom Metazoa; phylum Chordata; class Mammalia; order Primates; family Hominidae; genus Homo; species Homo sapiens. The sequence goes on along the minus strand of NC_000003.12, from coordinate 1,938,727 downwards.
AGTGCCAATCACGCTCAACACTAGGTGCCAAACTGTTTCTCTGAAATACATTCTTATGGGGAGAAGTCAGCTTCAGAAGACTTATGAAGGATGTAGGAAATGGATTTTGACATTCAAGACGTTATTTCCTAAACACTGGAATCACTCATAATATGTATTAAAAATGAAGATTCTTGGGCTCCCCCAAACAAATCAGGACTTGGGGGAATTTTTGCATTTGTAAATGAACACTCGAATTTGAGCTATCCTGCACTAAAAGTTGATGCATGTTATTAATAAATAATGCCTTTTTTTGAGGAGCTGAATAATGCTTTGTGTGAGCAGCTGAAGCCGGCCACCAGGATGCTCTGCCTTAAGACTCCAGATAACAACAACAACAACAAGTTGCAAGCCTTTCCATTACATAAAATAGGCCAGGCACATATGTGCTAGGTGCTATATATTCTATTAAATTTTTACAACCGTGGTTCCTGTATCATTTTTTATTTCATTTTCTTTTCTCTTTTAAAAAATTGTACTTTACGTTTTGGGATACATGTGCAGACAGTGCAGGTTTGTTACACAGGCATACATGTGCCATGGTGGTTTGCGGCATCCATCAGCCTGTCATCTACATTAGATAATTCTCCTAATACTATCCCTCCCCTTGCCCCACACTCCCCCAACAGGCCCTGGTGTGTGATGTTCCCCTCTCTGTGCCCAAATATTCTCATTGTTCAACTCTCACTTATGAGTGAGAACATGTGGTGTTGGTTTTCTGTTCCTGTGTTAGTTTGCTGAGAAAGACGGTTTCCAGCTTCATCCATGTGCCTGCAAAGGACATGAACTCATGCTTTTTATGGCTGCATAGTATACTATGGTTTATATGTGCCACATTTTCTTTATCCAGTCTATCATTGATGGGCATTTGGGTTGGTTCCAAGTCTTTGCTATTGTGGATAGTGCTGCAGTAAACATACGTGTGCATGTGTCTTTATAGCAGCATGATTTATAATCCTTTGGGTATATACCCAGTAATAGGATTGCTGGGTCAAATGGTATTTTTAGTTCTAGATCCTTGAGGAATCGCCACACTGTCTTCCAAAATGATTGAACTAATTTACACTCCCACCAACAGTGTAAAAGCGTTCCTATTTCTTCACATCCTCTGCAGCATCTGTTGTTTCCTGACTTTTTAATGATCACCATATTAGCTGGTGCGAGATGGTATCTCATTGTGGTTTTGATTTACATTTCTCCAGTGACCAGTGATGATGAGCTTTTTTTCATATGTTTGGTCACCTAAATATCTTCTTTTGAAAAGTGTCTGTTCATGTCATTCACCCACTTTTTGATGGTTTTTTTTTTTTTCTTGTAAATGTGTTTAAGTTCCTTGTAGATTCTGGATATTAGCCCTTTGTCACATGGATAGATCATAAAAATTTTCTCCCATTATATAGATTGCCTGTTAACTCTGATGATAGTTTCTTTTGCTGTGCAGAAGCTTTTTAGTTTAATTAGATCCCATTTGTCCATCTTGGCTTTTATTGCCATTGCTTTTGATGTTTTAGTCATGAAGTCTTTGCCCATGCCTATGTCCTGAATGGTATTGCCTAGGTTTTCTTCTAGGGTTTTTATGGTTTTAGGTCTTATGTTTAAGTGTTTAATCCATTTTGAGTCAATTTTTGTATAGGGTGTAAGAAAGGGGTCCAGTTTCAGTTGTCTGCGTATGGCTAGCCAGTTTTCCCAACACCGTTTATTAAATAGGGAATCCTTTCCCCACTGCTTGTTTTTGTCAGTTTTGTCAAAGATCAGATACTTGTAGATGTGTAGTGTTATTTCTGAAGCCTCTGTTGTGTTCCATTGGTCTATATATCTGTTTTGGTCCAGTACCATGATGTTTTTCTTACTGTAGCCTTATAGTATAGTTTGAAGTCAGGTAGCGTGATGCCTCCAGTTTTGTTCTATTGCTTAAGATTTTCTTGGCTATATGGGATCTTTCTTGGTTCCATATGAAATTTAAGGTAGTTTTTTCTAATTTAATTCTGTGAGAAAGTCAATGGTAGCCTGATGGGAATGGCATTGAATCTATAAATTACTTTGGCCAGTATGGCCATTTTCATGGTAATTGATTCTTCCTATCCACAAGGATGGAATGTTTTTCCATTTGTTTGTGTCAGCTCTTATTTTCTTGAGCAGTGGTTTGTAGTTCTCCTTGAAGAGGTCCTTCACATCCCTTGTGAGTTGTATTCCTAGGTATTTTATTCTCTTTGTAGCAATTGTGAATGGGAATTCAGTCATGATTTGGCTCTCTGTTTGTCTGTTATTTGTGTATAGGAATGCTTGTGATTTTTGCACATTGATTTTTGTATCCTGAGACTTTGCTGAAGTTGTTTATCAGCTTAAGGAGATTTTGGGCTGAGACGATGGGTTTTTCTAAATATAAAATCATGTCATCTGCAAACAGAGACAATGTGACTTTCTTCCTAATTGAATACTCTTTATTGCTTTTTGTTGCCTGATTGCCCTGGCCAGAACTTCCAATACTACGTTGAATAGGAGTGGTGAGAGAGGGCATCATTGTCTTGTGCTGGTTTTCAAAGGAAATGCTTCTAGATTTTGCCCCTGCAGGATGATATTGGCTGTGGGTTTGTCATAAATAGCTCTTATTATTTTGAGATACGTTCCATCAATACCTAGTTTATTGAGTTTTTAGCATGAAAGGGTGTTGAATTTTATCAAAGGTCCTTTCTGCATCTATTGAGATAATCATGTGATTTTTGTCATTGGTTCTTTTTATATGATGGATTATGTTTATTGATTTGCATATGTTCAACAACCCTTGCATCCATTTCATCTAGATTTTCTAGTTTATTTGTGCAGAGGTGTTTATAGTATTCTCTGATGCTAGTTTGTATTTCTGTAAGATCAGTGGTAATATCCCCTTTATCATTTTTATTGTGTCTATTTGATTCTTCTATCTTTCCTTCTTTATTAATCTGGCTAGTGGTCTATCTATTTTGTTAATCTTTTCAAAAAACCAGCTCCTGGACTCATTGATTGTTGAAGGCTTTTTCGTGTCTCTGCCTCCTTCAGTTCTGCTCTAATCTTCGTTATTTCTTGTCTTCTGCCATATTTTGAATTTGTTTACTCTTGCTTCTCTAATTCATTTAATGATGATATTAGGGTGTCAACTTTTAGAACTTTCCCACTTTCTCATGTGGGCATTTAGTGCTAACAATTTCCCTCTAAACACTACTTTAGCTGCGTTCCAGAGATTCTGGTACATTGTGTCTTTGTTCTCATTGGTTTCTAAGAACTTATTTATTTCTTCTTTAATTTTGTTATTTACCCAGTAGTCATTCAGGAGCAGGTTGTTCAGTTTCCATGTAGTTGTGCAGTTTTGAGTGAGTTTCTTAATCCTGAGTTGTAATTTGATTGCACCGTGGTCTGAGAGACTGTTACAATTTCTGTTCTTTTGCATTTGCTGAGGAGTGTTTTACTTCCAATTTTGTGATCAATTTTAGAATAAGTGCAATGTGGTGCTTAGAAGAATGTATATTCTGTTGATTTGGGGTGGAGAGTTCTGCAGATGTCTATTAGGTCTGCTTGGTCCAGAGCTGAGTTCAAGTCCTGAATATCCTTGTTAATTTTCTTTCTCATTGATCTGCCTGATATTGACAGTGGAGTGTTAAAGTCTCCCATTATTATTGTGTGGGAGTCTAAGTCTCCTTGTAGGTCTCTAAGAACTTGCTTTATGAATCTGGGTACTTCTGTATTGGGCGCATATACATTTAAGATAGTTAGCTCTTCTTGTTGCATTGATCCCTTTATCTGCTATGTAATGCCCTTCTTTGTCTTTTTGAGTCTTTGTTGGTTTAGTCTGTTTTTTTTTCTTTTTTTTATTATACTTTAAGTTCTGGGGTACATGTACGGAATGTGCAGGTTTGTTACATAGGTATATGCGTGCCATGGTGGTTTGCTGCACCCATCAACCCGTCATCTACATTAGTTATTTCTCCTAAGGCTATCCCTTCTTAAGCAGCCCACCCCCCGAAAGGCCCTGGTGTGTGATGTTCCCCTCCCTATGTCCATGTGTTCTCATTTATCAATTCCCACTTATGAATGAGAACATGTGGTGTTTGGTTTTCTGTTCCTGTGATAGTTTGCTGAGAATGATGGTTTCCAGCTTCATCCATATCCCTGCAAAGGACATGAACTCATCCTTTTTTATGTCTGCATAGTATTCCATGGTGTATATGTGGTACATTTTCTTTACCCAGTTTATCATCGATGGGCATTTGGGTTGGTTCCAAGTCTTTGCTATTGTGAACAGTGCTGCAATAAACATGCCTGTGCATGTGTCATTATGGTAAAATGATTTATAATACTTTCTGTATATACCCAGCAATGGGATTGCTGGATCATATGGTATTTCTAGTTCTAGATCCTTGAGGAAGTGCTACACTGTTTTCCACATGGTTGAACTAATTTACACTCCCACCAACAGTATAAAAGCATTGCTATTTCTCCGCATCCTCCCCCATATCCGCTGATTCCTTTTGGATGATCGCCATTCTAACTGGTGTGAGATGATATCTCATTGTGGTTTTGATTTGCATGTCTCTAATGACCAGTGATGATGAGCTTTTTTTCATATGTTTGTTGGCTGCATAAATGTCTTCTTTGGAGAAGTATCTGTTTATATCGTTTGCCCACTTTTTGTTTGGGTTGTTTTTTTCTTGTAAATTTAAGTTCCTTGTAGATATTAGCCCTTTGTCAGATGAATAAATTATAAAAATTTTCTCCCATTCTATAGATTGCCTGTTCACTCTGATGATAATTTCTTTTGCTGTGCAAAATCTCTTTAGTTTAATTGGATCTTATTTGTCAATGTTGGCTTTTGTTGCCATTGCTTTTGGTGTTTTAGTCATGAAGTCTTTCGCCATGCCTACGTCCTGAATGGTATTGCCTCAGTTTTCTTCTAGGGTTTTTATGGTTTTAGGTCTTACTTTTAAGTGCTTAATCCATTTTGAGTCAATTTTTATATAAGGTTTAAGAACGCGGTCCAGTTTCACTTTTCTGCATATGGCTAGCCAGTTTTCCCAACACCATTTGTTAAATAGGCAATCATTTCCCCATTGCTTGTTTTTGTCAGTTTTGCCAAAGATCAGCTGGTTGTAGATGTGTAGTGTTACTTCTGAGGCCTCTGTTCTGTTGCATTGGTCTACATATCTGTTTTGGTACCACTACCATGTTGTTTTGGTTACTGTAGCCTTATAGTATAGTTTGAAGTCAGGTAGCATGATGCCTCCAGATTTGTTCTTTTTGCTTAGGGTTGTGTTGGCTATGTGGGCTCTTTTTTGGTTCCATAGGAAATTTAAAGTAGTTTTTTCAAATTCTGTGAAGAAAATCAATGGTAGCTTAATGGAGATAGCAGTGAATCTATAAATTACTTTTGGCAGTATGGCCACAATATTGATTCTTCCTACCCATTAGCATACAATGTTTTTCCATTTGTTCATATCCTCTCATTTCCTTGGTGGTTTGTAGTTCTCCTTGAAGTCCTTCACATCCCTAATAAGTTGTATTCCTAGGTATTTTATTCAATTAGTAGCAATTGTGAATGGGAGTTCACTCATGATTTGGCTATTTTTCTATTATTGGTGTATAGGAATGCTTATGATTTTTGCACAAGCTTTGATTTTGCACTCTGCTTTGATTTTGTATCCTGAGACTTTGCTAAAGTTGCTTATCAGCTTAAGGAGATTTGGGGCTGAGATGATGGGGTTTTCTAAATATACAGTCATGTCATCTGCAAACAGAGACAATTTGACTTCCTCTCTTCCTATCTGAATACACTTCATTCCTTTCTCTTGCCTGATTGTCCTGGCCAGAACTTCCATTACTATGTTGAATAGGAGTGGTTATAGAGGGCAACCTTGTCTTGTGCCGGTTTTCAAAGGGAATGCTTCCAGTTTTTGCCTATTCAGTATGATAGTGTCTGTTGGTTTGTCATAAATAGCTTTTATTATTTTGAGATATGTTCCATCAAAACCTAGTTTATTGAGAGTTTTTAGCATGAAGGAGTGTTGAATTTTGTCGAAGTCCTTTTCTGCATCTGTTGAGGTAATCATGTGGTTTTTGTCATTGGTTCTGTTTATGTGATGAATTACGTTTATTGATTTATGTATGTTGAAGGAGCCTTCCATCCCAGGGATCAAGCAGACTTGATTGTAGTGGGTAAGCTTTTTGATGTGCTGCTGGATTTGGTTTGCCAATATTTTATTGAGGATTTTCACATTGATGTTCATCAGGGATATTAGCCTGAAATTTTCTTTTTTTTGTTGTGTCTCTGCCAGGTTTTGGCATCAGGATGATGCTGGCTTCATAAAATGAGTTAGAGAAGAGTCCCTTTTTTCTATTGTTTGGAATAGTTTTAGAAGGAAATGGTACCAGCTCTTCTTTGTACCTCTAGTAGAATAGAATTTGGCTGTGAATCCATCTGGTCCTGGACGTTTTTTAGTTGGTAGGCTATTAATTACTGCCTCAATTTCAGACGTTGTTATTTGTCTGTTAGGGATTCGACTTCTTCCTGATTTAGACATGGGAGGATGTATGTGTTTAGGAATTTATCCATTTATTCTAGATTTTCTAGTGTGTTTGCATAGAGGTGTTTATACTGTTCTCTGATGTTAGTTTGTATTTCTGTGGGATCAGTGGTGGTATACCCTTTATCGTTTTTTATTGCATCTATTTGATTCTTCTCTCTTTTCATCTTTATTAGTCTTGCTAGAGGTCTATCTGTTTTGTTAGTCTTTTCAAAAAAACCAGCTCCTGGATTCATTGATTTTTTTTTTAAGTGTTTTTCATGTCTCTGTCTCCTTCAGTTCTGCTCTGATCTTAATTATTTCTTGCCTTCTGCTAGCTTTTGAATTAGTTTGCTCTTGCTTCTGTAGTTCATATAACTTTGATGTTAGCGTGTCAATTTTATCTTTCCTGCATTCTCTTGTGGGCATTTAGTGCTATAAATTTCCCTCTACACACTGCTTTAGATGCGTCCCAGAGATTCTAGTATGTTGTGTCTTTGGTCTCAGTGGTTTTAAAGAACATCTTTATTTCTGCTCTACTTTAATTATTTATCCAGTAGTCATTCAGGAGCAAGTTGTTCAGTTTTCATGTAGTTGTGTGGTTTTGAGTGAGTTTCTGAATCCTGAATTCTAATTTGATTGCATTGTGGTCTGAGAGACTGTTATGATTTCCGTTCTTTTGTGTTTGCTGAGGAGTGTTTTACCTCCTATTATGTGGTCAGTTTTAGAATAAGTGTAATGTGGTGCTGAGAAGAATGTATATTCTGCTGATTTGGGGTGGAGAGTTCTGTAGATGTATAATAGGTCCACTTGGTACAGAGGTGAGTTCAAGTCCTGAATACCCTTGTTAATTTTCTGTCTCATTGATCTGTCTAATATTGACAGTGGGGTGTTAAAGTTTTCCACTATTACTGTGTGGGAGTCTAAGTCTCTTTGTAGGTCTCTAAGAACTTGCTTTACGAATCTGGGTGCTTCTGCATTGGGTGCATATACATTGAGGATAGTTAGCTCTTCTTGTTGCATTGATCCCTTTACTACTATATAATGCCCTTCTTTGTCTCTTTTGATCTTTGTTGGTTTAAAGTCTGTTTTATCAGAGACTAGGATTGCAACTTCTGCTTTTTTGGGCTTTCCATTTGCTTGGTAAATATTCCTCCATCCCTTTATTTTGAGCCTATGTGTATCTCTGCATGTGAGATGGGTTTCCTGAATACAGCACACTGATGGGTCTTGACTATTTACCCAATTTGCCTGTCTGTGTCTTTTAATTGGGGCATTTAGCCCATTTACATTTAAGGTTAATATTGTTATGTGTGAATTTGATCCTGTCATTATGATGCTAGCTGGTTATTTTGCCCATCAGTTGATGTAGTTTCTTCATAGTGTTGATGGTCTTTACAATTTTGCAGTGACTGGTACCAGTTGTTCCTTTCCATGTTTAGTGCTTCCTTCAGGAGCTCTTGTAAGGCAGGCCTGGTGGTGACAAAATCTCTCAGCATTTGCTTGTCTGTAAAGGATTTTATTTCTCCTTCACTTATGAAGCTTTGTTTGGCTGGATTTGAAATTCTGGGTGGAAAATGATTTTCTTTATGAATGTTGAATATTGGCCCCCACTTCTTCTGGCTTGTGTACGGTTTCTGCAGAGATCTGCTGTTAGTCTGATAGGTTTTCCTTTGTGGAGTTTCCTGTTGGAGTTTGCTGGAGGTCCACTCCAGACCCTGATTGTCTGGGTATCACCAGCAGAGGCCAAAGAACAGCGAAGATTGCTGCCTCATCCTTCCTCTGGAACCTTCATCCCAGAGGGGCACCCGCCAAATGCCAGCCAGAGCTTTCCTGTATGAGGTATCTATTGTTCCCTGCTGGGAGGTGTCTCCCTGTCAAGAGGCATGGGGGTCAGGGACCCACGTGAGGTGGCATTCTGTCCGTTAGCAGAGCTCAAGTGCTATGTTGGGAGATCTCTTTTCAGAGCTGGCAGGCAGGAACGTTTAAGTGTGCTGAAGCTGTGCCCACAGCCACCCCTTCCCTCAGGTGCTCCTTCCCAAGGAGATGAGAGTTTTATCTATAAGCCCCTGACTGGGGCTGCTGCCGTTTTTTCAGAGATGCCCTGCCCAGAGAGGAGGAATCTAGAGAGGCAGACTGGCTACAGTGGCTTTGCGGTACTACGATGGGCTCCACCCAGTCTGAACTCTTTCATTTTCTTTTAAGAAGATTGAGACAGAGAAGTTATGTGACCTATGCAATGTCACAGAGCTAATCCATGGAGCAAGTTGGCATTGGAACCATGGACTGCAAGACTCCTGAAATAATATTCCCAAATGCTGTATTCCATATGAACAATCAATATTTTAAAACACTTGGCAATTTACTAGTTGAGAAAAGCTTTTATATGCATAACTTCTTTTAAGTTTCATTAGAACTGCATGGTTTTTGTAGGTATTACTAGTTTCATTTTATAGAGCTTTAGAGTGTTTCCATAACTAGGAATTAGTTTTGCTTATAGCAAATATCCAGATTATCAGTGTCACAGTCTCTCACAGTTTACTTAATTCCCATATCTAGCAGGTAAAGAGGTTTTTGCTACTGTCTCTAAATCAGGCACGATTATGCTTTACCTTTAGTAACGGGCTGCCAAGCTGGTAGGTGTGGGCATATCTAAAAGCATTTGGTGACGACACCTTGGCCGCACTGTTTGCAAGTGAGAAGAAATGATGAAGATGGTAAGAATAGCCAGGGAAACATAATAAAAGGCATCGTTGAGGTTGAGAATGGCACATCTTCTCACTTATCCCTAGGAAAATGATTCCCATTTCATTTTTGAAAGTGGGTCTAGTAACACTGATATTTGAAACAAAACTTGAGGGAGGGCTGGGACCCAGGGCCCCCAGTGCCACTTTCAAAGCTAATGTTGCTTTCTTCTTATCTGGCTGACACCCGTTGTTTCACAGAGAACGTGCAACACCTACCTTGCCATTTGTAATAATTTTGTACCACCTGAAATATTTGAAAAGGGCTTTATGATCATTTTAGCTCATTACTTCTGACTAACCCTGCGGTAATTCAGCATTGAAGTCATCAGGTAGATGTTATTAGAGCTATTAATACCAATAATAGCAATAAGTTTAATGCTATTGTCATTTTGGTAAATGGCCTGCACCCTGAGGGGCTGAAAATGATGATTGTCGATCTATATGTCTGAAAAAAGAGTTTAAATCACATTCAGATAATGGTGTCTTAAGATGCTGAGAGAATTTTCTGCAGGAGATTCAGCTTTACATGTAAAGAACCATTGGCAGTTTCCCTAGATGGCTCACTCCAAGACATGCCACAACCTAGAAGCAAAAAGCAATACTATACAGGACTACCATTGTCACGGGATCACTGTGACATGTAGATATATAACAGCTCTATAGTTGTGCTTTATGATTTTTAAATATGCTTCTCCCTTTTCCTGGATTGCTTTTGACCAGGTTTTTATATGACTGATTTTTAATTTTAAAAATTTTTAATTTTTTATTGAGATGTAATAATTGTACATATTCATGGGGTACCTGTGATATTTTGATACATGTATACAATGTGTAATGATCAAATCAGAGTAATTGGTATATCCATCACTCAAACATTTATTATCTACTATGTCTTCAGACGTTCCAAAATCTAGCTATTTTGAAATATACAATGAATGATTGATAACAATGTTCACCCTTGCCCTACTGTGGTATTGAAACTGTAACTTATTCCTTCTCATTGTATTTTTGAACCCATTAACCAAACCCTATTCATCCTCTTTCTCCCTGCTAACCTTCCTAGCCTCTGGTAACCATAATTCTACTCTCTACCTCTGTAACATCAACTTTCTTACTTTTTAGTTATCACATATTAGCAAGAACATGCTATGTTTCTTTTACTCCAAGGGACATACAATGAGGAAAGGAGAGTCTCTTCAATAAATGGTGCTGGGGAAACTGGGTGTCTATATGCAGAAGAATGAAACCAGACACTTCTCTCCCACTGTATTAGGGCTGTCTTAGAGGGACAGAACTAATAGGAGATATATATAGATATAGATATATAGACATATATGTATATGTAGATATCTATATAAATATATAGATATATATGTATATGTAGATATATCTATATCTCCATATGACCAGCTGCAGAAACGAGGACTGTAATTGTCATGAGTATTTCCTCCTCCTTTGGTTAAAAACATGTTTGTGCATGTGTACACCTGTACTAAGAAAATATCTTCATTTTATTTCCTTTCTCCTTTTTCATGTGACATAAGATTTATTGACTTCATATCAGCATTTAAATATTGGTAACTTTGTGTAATAATACTTGGGTTGAGGATTGGTACGTTTCTGGCTGTATGAAGGATGGTTGTATTATGTTAGGCATAATTTTGACCTTATTATTGTCTCTATTTGAAGATTATCTATGATCTCAGGGGATGTGTATGGGTTCAAGTTGACAAGGAGTGGACTTGTGATGGTTAATACTGAGTGTCAACTTGATTGGATTGAAAGATACGAAGTATTGATCCTGGGTGAATCTCTGAGGGTGTTGCCGAAAGAGATTAACATTTGAGCCAGTGGGCTGGGGAAGACAGATCTACCCTTAATCTAGTGGGCGCAATCTAATCAGCTGCCAGTGAATGTAAAGCAGGCAGAAAAGCATGAAAAGGAGATGATGGGCCTAACCTCCCAGCCTACATCTTTTTCCCGTGTTGGATGCTTCCTGCCCTGGAACATTGGACTCGAAGTTCTTCAGTTTGGGGAGTCAGGCTGGCTCTCCTTGCTCCTCAGCTTACAGACAGCCTATTGTGGGAGCTTTGGATTGTGTAAGTTAATACTTAATAAACTCCCCTTCATATATTATATATGGGAACACTTCATATATATATACACACATATACGTATATATACATATACAATATATACATCTATACATATCTATACATTGGTGAGCACTCGTATGAGATATACATTATATGTGTGTATATATGTATATTTATATGTATGCATATATGTATATATGTACATGTATGTATATATGTATATACGTATCTATATTAGGATACTAATAGGATATATATATATAGTCACTCAGTAAAAAGTAATACTATACAGGACCACCATTGTCACGGGATCACTGTGACATGTAGATATACAACAGATTTATAGTTGTTGCTTTATTATTTTCAAATATGCTTCCTATGATTTTTAAATAAGCTGGTCATGTGGTTGTAGCTGGTATTGATGCCTACCTTCTTCTACTACCCATTCTGTGTTCCCTTTGCCTTCAGCAAGCACCTCAGCAGGTCGTGTTTCTTTCCTAGTGGAGTGACCCAAACCTTCATTCCTGAGCGGTCTGGGTCATTTGTAGTCCTGCCTGGATTGGGCTGTTGTAGTTTTCCATTGACCTTAATCACAGGCAATGGTAATACTAAGACACCCCAATGGATCTCCTGTATTCCATGCATACTCTTCCTTACCTCCGTTGTGGAGTAGTAGACTGATTTCATCTTGATAGTCTGGGTCAGTCACCCCAGCCAACACTGTAACTCCCTTCTTAGCCTGCTGACTTAAAGGTAGGAGGACCCCAAAGTGTCCAGGTGGCAATCTTCCAGTTTAGTGGAATCATTGTCATGTCTCCTGGTGGCAGTGTTCCTCCCTCTGGAACTAAGATCTCTAGGCCAGCAGAACGTGATGTCGTGGGAACATGAAGCAAAAGTTTTGCTAGTGGATCACTAGGGGTGATGGTGAGTGGTGCCACTTCCACTTTCACCTCTTGATCCCTGGACCCATGATTCTTTGCTATGGGAAAAACAGTACCATATATTGGATGCTGTTTCAGAGCATACACAGCCTTCTGGAGAACTTTGCCCCAGCCCTGCAAAGTATTGTCACCTAGTTGGTATTACAATTGTGACTTCAAAAGGCCATTCCACCGTTCTATCAATCCAGCTGTTTTAGGATGATGGGGACCATGGTAAGACCAGTGAATTCCATGAGCATGAGCCCACTGCTGCACTTCTTTAGCCATAAAGTGAGTGCCTTGGTCAGAGGCTATGCTGTGTGGAATACCATGATGGTGGATAAGGCGTTCTGTGGGTCCACGGATGGTAGTCTTGGCAGAAGCATTGCATGCAGGATAGGCAAACTGATATCCAGAGTGAGTGTCTATCCCTGTGAGGACAAACTTCTGCCCTTTCCTGTCACCGGGTAGCTAGCTGGCTGATCACCCCGAGGAATGGTGCCATATCAAGGGCTCAGTGTTGGTCTCTGCTGCTGGCAAATTGGGCACTCAGCAGTGGCCGTAGCCGAGTCAGCCTTGGAGAATGGAAGTCCATGTTGCCGAGCCCATGCATAACTTCCATCCCTGCCACTACAGCCATTTTGTTCATGGGCCCATTGGGCATTGACAGGGGTGGCTGGGGAAAGAGGCTGAGTGGTGTCCACAGAACAGGCCATCCTACCACTTGATTAATTAACTCCTGCTCTGCTGAAGTCAGTCATTGGTGAGTACTCACATGGGATACAAATATCTTCATAGTTTTTGACCATTCAGAGAGGTCCATCCACATACCTCTTCCCCAAATTTTTTTGTCAGCAATTTTCCAATTATGCTTCTTCCAAGTCCCTGACCATCCAGCCAAACCATTGGCTACAGCCCATGAATCAGTATATAATTGCACATGTGGCCATTTCTCCTTCCATGCAAAGTGCACAACCAGGTGCACTGCTCAAAGTTCTGCCCACTGGGAAGATTTCCCTTCACCACTCTCTTTCAGGGACGTCCTACGAAGGGGCTGTAGTGCTGCAACTGTCCCCTTTGGGTGGTGCCTGCATATCATGCAGAACCATCTGTGAACCAGGCCCTAGTCTTCTCTTCCTCTGTCAACCTAATATAGGGAAAACTCCCCAAGAGGCCATCAGTGCAGGCTTGGGGAGAGAAGGCAGGGTGGCAGGAGTGGAGACCATGGGCATTTGAGCCACTTCCTCATGTAACTTACTTGTGCCTTCAGGACCTGCTTGAGCCCGATCACGTATATACCACTTCCATTTGATGATGGAATGCTGCTGTGCATGACCCACTTTATGGCTTGATGGATCAGAAAGCACCCAGTTTATGATACACAGTTCAGGTTGCATAGTGACTTAATGACCCATAGTCAAACGTTCAGTTTCCACCAAAGCCCAGTAACAGACCAAGAGCTGTCTCTCAAAAGGAGAGTAGTTATCTGCAGAAGGTGGCGGGGCCTTGTTCTAAAATCCTAGAGGCCTCCACTGTGATTCACCTGTGGGAGCCTGCCAAAGGCTCTAAACAGCATCCCTGTCTGCCACTGACACCTCAAGCCTAATTGGATCTGCTGGGTCATATGGCCCAAGTGGCAGAGCAGCTTACACAGCAGCCTGTTGCAGAGCCTGCTTCTGTTCTGGACCCCACTCAAAACTAGCAGCCTTTCAGGTTACTCAGTAAATTGGACAGAGTAACACATCCAAAATGAGGAATGTGTTGCCTCCAAAATCCAAATAGGCCCACTAGGTGTTGTGCCTCTTTCTTGGTTATAGTGGGGCCAAATGCAGCAATTTATCCTTGACTTTAAAGGGAATATCTTGACCAGCTGCATGCAACTGGACCCATAGAAATTTTACTGAGGTAGAAGGTCCATGATATTTAGTCAGATTTATTTCCCATTCTCTGGCATACAAATGTCTCAACAATAAGTCCAGTGTGTCTGCTACTTCTTGCCCACTGGATCCAATCAGTATAATGTCATCAATGTAATGGACCAGTGTGGTATCTTGCAGAAGCAAAAACGTATCAAGTTCTCTCCGAATAAGATTATGACACAAAGCAGGAGAGTTGAGATACCCCTAAGGTAGAACAGTAAAGGTATGTTGCTGACCTTGCCAGCTGAAGGCAAATTGCTTCTGGTGGGCCTTATGGACAGGAATGGAATAAAAGGCATTTGCCAAGTCAATGGCTGCATACCAGATACGAGGAGATGTGTTCATTTGCTCAAGCAATGAAACTGCATCTGGTACAGCAGCTGAAATTGGAGTCACCACTTGGTTAAGATTACAATAATTCACTGTCATTCGCCAAGATCCATCTATCTTCTGCGCAGGCTAAATGGGAGAGTTGAACGGGGATGTGGTGGGAATCACCACCCCTGTATCTTTTAAGTCCTTCATGGTGGCACTAATCTCTGCAATCCCTCCAGGGATGAGATATTGTTTTTGATTTACTCTTTTTCTAGGTAGAGGCAGCTCTAATGGCTTCCATTTGGCCTTTCCCGCCATAATAGCCCTCACACTACCAGTCAGGGAGCCAATGTGAGGGTTCTGCCAGCTGCTAAGTATCTCTATGCCAATTATGCATTCTGGCACTGGGGAAATGACCACAGGGTGAGTTCGGGTACTTACTGGACCCACTGTAAGTCAGACCTGAACTAAAACTCCATTAATTACATGACCTTAATAAACACCTACTTTAATTGGAGGATCTCAGTGACATTTTGGGTCCCCTGGAATGAATGTCAACTCAGAGCCAGTGTCCAGTAGTCCTTGAAATGTCTGATAATTTCTCTTTCCCCAGTGCACAGTTTCCCTGGGTCTTCTTAGGAAAAGGCTGAAGGTCTCCTAGGGGAAAGATGGGAGAAAGATTCACTGCATAAATTGTTGGTAATGTAGTGGGGTCCCTCCTCAAGGGGACCTGGCCTTCCCATCATTCAAGGGGTTCTGGGTCTGTAAACTGGCTCAAGTCTGGAAATTGATGGAGGGGCCATGATTCTGTTTTTATAATTCAAATCAGTCTTTTGTCTATTCGACCTAGAACTTTTCTGTTTGTATAATTTAAGCAGGAATGCAGTAGGCTTGCTATCAATTTCACTTCTTTTGTACACCGTGATTAATTAGCCAGTGCCAGAGCTCTACAGGAGTCACACTATTCTGATTGCTGCTTTGCCTCTGCTGTCAATTACGGTAGCTATGCCCACCTTGCCTTTGATGGTTGAGGGCTGCCAGTTGGCCCCTGCTACCTCAGGATCCAATTATCCCCATTGTATTTAAATGTTGGAGTTGAGTGACTGTGGTTCCCAGTGTTAGATCTGACCTACAGAGAAGAATTACAGAGCTCTTCTAAGAGGCAGGTGCTGTCCTCACAAATCTATTTAGCAAGGCATTGGTCAAGGGTGTATCTTCTGGACCCTCCCAGCTGGGATGGGTATGTCTAACGTGACTAATTCACTCCACCATCCCAATCTCCCTAAGCCTTTGGATCCTTTCCTCTACATTAAACCAAGGGATATCAGGCATTTCTGGATCATTCACAGTGGGCTATCTTTTAATCCATATTTCAGCTAGCTAAGCAAATAAACTATTAAAACCTTTAACTCCCCAAGCTGCAACATTAAATGCAGAGTCCCTACTTAGTGGGTTCAAATCAATAAATTCAGCCTGATCCAACTCTATGTTCCTTCCACCATTATCCTATACCCTTAATATCCATTCCCATGCTTGTTCTCCAGATTGCTGTTTATATAAATTAGAGAACTCAAACAGTTCCTTTCGAGCGTAGCACACCTCCTCATGGGTCACACTCTCAACCTCACCTTCAGAGGCCCACGGGGGCTTTAGTTATAGGCCTAGAGGCAAACAGAGGTGTTGGGGGTGGCTTCTGAGGAAAATCAATGTTATCTTGCCTGGCAACTGCCTCAGGGGAGGCCATCACTGTTGCCTCAGGCAGTGCATGGTTTATCTCCTCAGACAATGGTGGAAAGGCTGATGGCAGCATGGGTCAGGGAGGTGATGTTGCTACTACTGGGGATGGGGAAGCTGTTCCTTCTGGCAAAAAAGTTTAATCAGTGTTTACAAACTCAGTGTCTCCTGCTTCATCAGGGTCCTCCCACACATTCCCATTCCAAGTTGCAGGGTCCCATTCTTTTCCAGTCATTGCCCTCAGTGTAACAGTAGACACCTGCTGAGGCTGTGCGTGCACCTTTCATTGCAGGTCAGCCACTCGCATGATAAGAGCTTGTGTCTGGCCGGGCATGGTGGCTCATGCCTATAATCCTAGCACTTTGGGAGGCCAAGGTGGGTGGATCACTTGAGGTCAGGAGTTCAAGACCAGCCTGACCAGTATGGTGAAACCCCATCTTTACTAAAAATACAAAAAACTAGCTGGGTGTGGTGGCGGGCATCCCCAGCTACTTGGGAGGCTGAGGTAGGAGAAACAGTTGAATCCAGGAGATGGAGGTTGCAGTGAGCTGAGATTGTGCCATTGCACTCCAGCCTGGGTAACAAGAGAAAAACTCTGTCAAAACAAAAAACAAACAAACAAAAAAAACTTGTCTGTTTTTCCACAATTTCAGCTCTTTCTCTACAGGAGATAACACTTTCTCAGGGTAATCTCAGCACATTTGAGGCTCACTATCTGCCTCTGAAGCTGGGACACAGAATCCCTGAGTTCATCATTTTCTTTCATCACTTTGTCCACTGAACTTAGAAGCAACCAAACAGCTTCATTGTGTTCCCTGGTTCTCCACATATGGTCAAAAGTATTAAGTATAGAGTCATTAAACTCCTTGCCTCTCAGGAGTGGTGAATCAGGAGTATCAAATTCATTTATTTTGCATAACTCTCCAAACAGTTTACTCCAAGTACTATCAGTGTTCTCCATACTATTAGAAGTAGAGTCCTTAGCATTTTTGGGTCTAATCATATTAAGCAGCCAACTCCAGAAACCCTAAAGCCAATGAAAGAACTTCATCCTTTAATATTTTCTTCCTCTGGAACCACTCCTGGTACCAAAATCTGTATTAGTCAGGGTTCTCTTGGAGGAACAGAACTAATAGGATATAGATACATGCACATATATACAATATGTGCATTCAGTGTATACATACATACATTGCATTTCTAGAAGTTAAAACAGATTGTGCTGATGCAGGCATATGTTGCATACTTTTTCAGGCCATCTGATTGGAGTATGCATATTCACTAAGTGGAAGGAACTAAAGAAAGACATATCTATCAATATATAAATATTAACTATGTGGTCATGAAGCCTAATATAGCAGAAAAGATACGTAAGTGCTCCAAAGATGTTGTATTTAGATGGAGTTACTTATAAAGTGCAAACTAATGACCCTAAATAAATGTGAATTTGAAGAAAACAGTTGACCCGTTTTAAAAATAAATTTCCAAGAATAGCAAGCTTTATAAAATAATATAAACTTTCAAGAATTATAGATTTTGAATTAATTACTTTAAAACTCATCTGATAATGACTCAAATATTTGCATTATTTATACTTTTCAGAGCATTTTCATGTACACACTATATACATAGAAAAGTATATATATTTTTCCACTGCCATTTGACCCTGACATCACATAAAATGGCATATAATATTATCATTTTACCAATAAACAAATTGAGGTACAAAGAAAGTTTGGGAAATTTAGCCAAGATACACATGACTAACAAACATGGTAAGGGGAGAGGGCTTGGAAGAGAAAAGGATTAACATTATTTTGAATGACTGCTATGTGCAAGCAACTCTTCTGGATGGTTCACCCATGCTATTTTATCTAGTTCTGGCAGTGGGCGTTAAGTTGGATATCATTGTCACCATTCCCAGGACATGAGTACAGCTTTTGAAAAAGAGAATGCATTGCCACTGCAGCACATCTGGTTAACGGGGAGTAAGGATTCAATCCTAACCCTTCTGACTTCAATAGGATGAATAATTGAAAGGGTGACTTAGCGTTCATATGTATACTCTGCACTTGGCTGTTACACATGAAAAAATTGTATATTCAAAGGGGTGAGTCTCAGTAATAGAAATGTATTAAATAAAATATGATATCTGGTAAGAAGACTATGTTTTAAGTGGTTTTAATCAGTGAAAACCAAGTATGGTCAAATGTTTTTGAAAATCATCTGCAAACCTGAATTCTAAATATGTAGCAGGTCGTATTTATTTGGTACCAAGCCAATTCTGATTTTTAAAACTTATTAGCTAAAGAAAAGTTAGATTAAGACAAAAAATAAGCAACCATTTTATAATAGGTTTTTATAATAACGTATATAAATTACAAAATAATTGAATAATATGGGTTATTATATGGAAATGTTTGAGAAAAATTATGCTAATTTAAAACTTGAACTCACGCAGTTCTGACTCTTTAATATAAAATAAAGCGTGATAATTTGCATTTAACTCTCGCTATAGAGCTTCAGTTATTTACTTAGGCAAAGTACAGTATGAAATCATTTAGTTTACAATCTAGCTATATCAAACATTCACATATAGTCATATAATTTCCCCATACCTCCTTTCTAGCACTTATTCACTATATTCTAATGACTGAACTTGTAATATTTTGTGACATTCGATTGAGATAATGAAGAAAAAAGTCCTACTGTAATTCTTGTATGAGTTAATCAGTTTGTTTTCTTAGAAATCTAATTTGGGATTAAAACATCTTACTCAGGCTCTGTTTTAAGATGGCTGAATAGGAACAGCTCTGGTCTGTAGCTCTCAGTGTGATCAATGCGGAAGATGGGTGATTTCTGCATTTCCAACTGAAGTATGTGGTTCATCTCATTGGGACTTGTTGGACAGTGAGTTCAGCCCATGGAGGGCAAGCCAAAGCAGGGCAGGGCATCGCCTCACCTGGGAAAGTGCAAGGGGTTGGGGGATTTCCCTTTTCTAGCCAAGGGAAGTTGTGACAGACTATACCTGGAAAAACGGGAAACTCCTGCCCAAATACTGCACTTTTCCCACATTCTTAGCAACCGGCAGACCAGGTGATTCTCTCCTGTGCCTGGCTCAGCGGGCCCCATGCCCACAGAGCCTTATTCACTGCTAACGCAGCAGTCTGAGATCAACCTGCCAGGCTAAAGCCTGGCTGGGGGAGGGTCATCTGCCATTGCTGAGGCTTGAGTAGATAAACAAAGAGGCCAGGAAGCTCGAACTGGGTGGAGGCTACCACAGCTCAGCAAAGCCTACTGCCTCTATAGACTCCATCTCTGTAGGCAGGGCATGCCTGAACAAAAGGCAGCAGAAACTTCTGTGGGCTTAAACATCCCTGTCTGACAGCTCTGAAGAGAGCAGTGGTTCTCCCAGCATGGCATTTGAGCTCTGAGAACAGATAGACTGCCTCCTCAAATGGGTCCCTGACCCCTGTGTAGCCTAACTGGGAGACACCTCCCAGTAGGGGCTGAGAGACACCTCATATAGGAGGGTGCCCCGCTGGGACGAAGCTACCAGGGAAAGGATCAGGCAGCAATATTTGCTATTCTGCAATATTTGCTCTTCTGCAGCCACTGCTGGTGATACCCAGGCAAACAGGGTCTGGAGTGGTCCTCTAGCAAACTCCAACAGACCTGCAGTTGAGGGACCTGACTGTTAGAAGGAAAACTAAGAAACAGAAAGGAATAGCATCAACATCAACACAAAGGATATCTACACCAAAACCCCATCTGTAGGTCACCAACGTCAGAGACCAAAGGTAGATACAGCCACAAAGATGGGGAGAAACCAGAGCAGAAAAGCTGAAAACTATCAAAACCAGAGCGCCTCTTCTCCTCCAAAGGATCGCAGCTCCTCACCAGCAATGGAACAAAGCAGGACAAAGAATGACTTTGACGAGTTGACAGAAGTAGGCATCAGAAGGTCGGTAAAAACAAACTTCTGTGAGCTAAAGGAGGATGCTCTAACCCATCAGAAGGAAGCTAAAAACCTTGAAATCTTGAAAAAAGGTTAGACAAATGGCTAACTAAGATAAACAGTGTAGAGAAGACCTTAAATGACCTGATGGAGCTGAAAATGGTGTCATGAAAACTTCGTGATGCATGCACAAGCTTCAATAGCCAATTCAATCAAGCGGAAGAAAGTATATCAGTGATTGAAGATTAAATTAATGAAACACAGCGAGAAAACAAGTTTAGAGAAAAAAGTAAAAAGAAACGAGCAAAGCCTACAAGAAATATAGGACTATGTGA
This sequence comes from Homo sapiens, assembly GCF_000001405.40. Taxonomy (NCBI): domain Eukaryota; kingdom Metazoa; phylum Chordata; class Mammalia; order Primates; family Hominidae; genus Homo; species Homo sapiens. The sequence continues at coordinate 1,918,134 of NC_000003.12, read as the reverse complement.
AAAGACCAAATCTGCCTTTGATTGGTGCACCTGAAAGTGCTGGGGAGAACGGAACCAAGTTGGAAAACACTCTGCAGGATATTATCCAGGAAAACTTCACCAATCTAGCAAGGCAGGCCAACATTCAAATTCAGGAAATACAGAGAACACCACAAAGATAATCCTCAAGAAGAGCAACCCCAAGACAAATAATTGTCAGATTCGCCAAGGTTGAAATGAAGGAAAATATTTTAAGGGCAGCCAGAGAGAAAGGTTGGGTTACCCACCAAGAGAAGCCTATCAGATTAACAGTGGATCTCTTGGCAGAAACCCTATGAGCCACAGAGTGGGAGTCAATATTCAGCATTCTTAAGGAAAAGAATTTTCAACCCAGAATTTCATATCCAGCCAAACTAAGCTTCATAAGAGAAGGAAAAATCCTTTACAGACAAGCTAATGCTGAGAGATTTTGTCACGACCAAGCCTGCCTTACAAGAGGTCCTGAAGGAAGCACTAAACATGGAAAGGAAAACTGGTACCAGCCACTGCAAAAACATGCCAAATTGTAAAGACCATCAATGCTATGAAGAAACTGCATCAATTAATGGGTAAAATAACCAGCTAACATTATAATGACAGGATCAAATTTACATATAACAATATTAATGTAAATGGGCTAAATGCCCCAATTAAAAGACACAGACTGGAAAATTGGATAAAGACTAAAGACCTATCAGTGTGCTGTATTCAGGAGACCCATCTCACGTGCAGAGACATACATAGGCTCAAAATAAAGGGATGGAGGAAGATCTACCAAGCAAGTGGAAAGCAAAAAAAAAAGCAAGGGTTGCAATCCTAGTCTCTGATAAAGCAGATTTTAAACCAAGAAAGATCAAAAGAGACAAAGAAGGGCATTACATAATGGTAAAGGGATCGATTCAACAAGAAGGGCTAACTATCCTAAATATATATGCACCCAATACAGGAGCACCCAGATTCATAAAGCAAGTCCTTAGAGACCTACAGAGACTTAGACTCCCGCACAATAATAATGTGAGACTTTAACACCTCACTGTCAATATTAGACAGATCAACAAGAAAGAAGGTTAACAAGGATATCCAGGACTTGAACTCAGCCCTGGACCAAGCTGACTTAATAGACATCTACAGAACTCTCCACCCCAAATCAACAGAATATACATTCTTCTCAGCACCACATCACACTTATTCTAAAATTGACCACATAATTGGAAGTAAAGCACTCGTCAGCAAATGTAAAGAATAGAAATCACAACAAACTGTCTCTGAGACCACAGTGCAATCAAATTACAACGCAGGATTAAGAAACTCAGTCAAAACCACACAACTACATGGAAACTGAACAACTTGCTCCTGAATGACTACTGGGTAAATAATGAAATGAAGGCAGAAATAAAGATGTTCTTTGAAACCGGTGAGAACAAAGACACAACGTACCAGAATCTCTGGGACACATTTAAAGCAGTGTGTGAAGGGAAATTTTTAGCAGTAAATGCCCACAAGAGAAAGCAGGAAAGATCTAAAATCGACACCCTAACATCACAATTAAGAGAATTGGAGAAGCAAGAGCAAAAAAATTCAAAAGCTAGCAGAAGGCAAGAAATGACTAAGATCAGAGCAGAACTGAAGGAGATACAGACACAAACAAACTGTTAAAAAAAAAATCAATGAATCCAGGAGCTGGTTTTTTGAAAAGATCAACAAAATTGGTAGACCACTAGCAAGACTAAGAAGAAAAGAGAGAAAAATCAAATAGATGCAATAAGAAATGGTAGAGGGAGTATCACCACTGATCCCACAGAAATACAAACTACCATCAGAGAATACTATAAACACCTCTACACAAATAAACTGGAAAATGTAGAAGAAATGGATAAATTCCTGGACACATACACCCTCCCAAGACTAAACCAGGAAGAAGTTGAATCTCTGAATAGACCAATAACAGGCTCTGAAATTGAGGCAATAATTAATAGCCTACCAACCAAAAAAAGTCCAGGAACAGACGGATTCACAGCTGGATTCTACCAGAGATACAAAGAGGAGCTGGTAGCATTCTTTATGAAACTATTCCAAAAAATAGAATAAGAGGGAATCCTCACTAACCCATTTTATGAGGCTAGCATCATCCTGATACCAAAGCCTGACAGAGATACAACAAAAAGAATTTTGGACCAATATCCTTGATAAACATTCATGCAAAAATTCTCAATAAAATATAGGCAAACCGAATCCAGCAGCACATCAAAAAGCTTATCCACCACAATCAAGTCGGCTTCATCCCTGGGATGCATGGCTGGTTCAACATATGCAAATCAATAAACGCAGTCCATCACATAAACAGAACCAATGACAAAAACCACATGATTATCTCAATAGATGCAGAAAAGGCCTTCAACAAAATTCAACAGCCCTTCATGCTAAAAACTCTCAATAATCTAGGTATGGATGGAAGGTATCTTAAAATAATAAGAGCTATTTATGACAAACCTACAGCCAATATCATACTGAATGGGGAAAAACTGGAAGCATTCCCTTTAGAAACTGGCAGGAGACCAGGATGCCCTCTCTCACCACTCCTATTCAACATAGTTTTGGAAGTTCTGGTCAGGGCAATCAGGCAGCAGAAAGAAATAAAGGGTATTCAATTAGGAAAAGAGGAAGTCAAATTGTCTCTGTTTGTGGATGACATGATTGTATATTTAGAAAACCCCAACATCTCAGCCCAAAATCTCCTTAAGCTGATCAGCTACTTCAGCAAAATCTCAGGATACAAAATCAATGTGCAAAAATCACAAGCATTCCTATACACCAATAACAGACAGAGAGCCAAATGATGAGTGAACTCCATTCACAATTGCTACAAAGAGAATAAAATACCTAGGAATACAACTTACAAGGGATCTGAAGGACCTCATCAAGGAGAACTACAAACCACTGCTCAGCGAAGTAAAACAGGACACAAACAAATGGAAGAACATTCCATGCTCATGGATAGAACGAATCAATATTGTGAAAATGGCCGTACTGCCTATGGTAATTTACAGATTCAATGTCATCCCCATCAAGCTACCAATGACTTTCTTCACAGAATTGGAAAAAACTACTTTAAAGTTCATATGGAACCAAAAAAGAGCCCGCATAGCCAAGACAATTCTAAGCAAAAAGAACAAAGGTGGAGGCATCATGCTACCTGACTTCCAGCTATACTACAAGGCTACCATAACCAGAACAGCATGGTACTGGTACTAAAACAGATATAGATTAATGGAACAGAACAGAGCCCTCAGAAATAACACCGCACATCTACCACCATCTGATATTTGACAAACCTGACAAAAATAAGAAATGGGGAACTGATTCCCTATTTAAAAAATGGTGCTGGGAAAACTGGCTAGCCATATGTAGAAAGCTGAAACTGGATTCCTTCCTTATACCGTATACAAAAATTAATTCAAGATGGATTAAAGACTTAAATGTTAGACCTAAAACCATAAAAACCCTAGAAGAAAACCTAGGCCATACCATTCAAGACATAGGCACGGGCAAAGACTTCATGAGTAAAACACCAAAAGCAATGGCAACAAAAGCCAATGCTGACAAATGGGATCTAATTAAACTAAAGAGCTTCTGCACAGCAAAAGAAATTACCATCAGAGTGAACAGGCAACCTGCAGAATGGGAGAAAAATTTTGCAATCTACTCATCTGACAAAGGGCTAATATCCAGAATCTACAAAGAACTTAAATTTACAAGAAAAAAACAACCCCATCAAAAAGTGGGCGAAGGATATGAACAGACACTTCTCAAAAGAAGACATTTATGCAGCCAAAAAACACATGAAAAAATGCTCATCATCACTGGTCATCAGAGAAATGCAAATCAAAACCACAATGAGATACCATCTCACACCAGTTAGAATGGCGATCATTATAATGTCAGGAAACAACAGATGTGGGAGAGGATGTGGAGAAATAGGAATGCTTTTACACTGTTGGTGGGAGTGTAAATTAGTTCAACCATTGTGGAAGACAGTGTGGCGATTCCTCAGGGATCTAGTGCTAGAAATACCATTTGACCCAGCCATCCCATTACTGGGTATATACCCAAAGGATTATAAATCATTGTACTATAAAGACACATGCACACATATGTTTATTGTGGCACTATTCACAGTAGCAAAGACTTGGAACCAACCCAAATGCCCATCAATGATAGACTGGATTAAGAAAATGTGGCACATATACAGCATGGAATACTGTGCAGCCATAAAAAAGGATGAGTTCATGTCCTTTGTAGGGACATGGGTGAAGCTGGAAACCACCATTCTTAGCAAACTATCACAAGGACAGAAAACCAAACACTGCATGTTCTCACTCATAGGTGGGAATTGAACAATGAGAACACTTACACAGGAAGGGGAATATCACACACCAGGGCTTGTCCCATGGTGGGGGCCTGGGGGAAGGATAGCATTAGGAGAAATACCTAATGTAAATGACGAGTTGATGGGTGCAGCAAACTAACATGGCACATGTATACTTACGTAACAAACTTGCACATTGTGCACATGTACCCTAGCTAGAACTTAAAAAGTATAATAAAAAATTTAATTTGTGTTTTATATATCTATATTTATCTAAATAGGTTGATATAGATATGTGGATGTAGAGATTCACCAATATATAGATTTTGTCAATTTCTTTTTATAAGCTATTAAAATCAACTGGATGTGTGTGTGCAGGTGTGTGTGTATGTGTGCGTTTGTGTGTGTATTATTCATGCTTTCTATCATAGTAGTTTGGCATTCTATGAGGAATAGACCAGCTAAAATGAAATTCTTACATTAAGGGATAAAAAAGGATATAATTTCTCTGCATAATATTTTGTTGCTTCAGAAAAGTAAGTGGTGAAAACATGGTAATTGCATAATTAACTAATATTTCTTTTCTGCTTGAAATAAAATAGTATTATGAATAATTATCATTATCTTCCTTAAAAATAGAGACAGAGATACAGCCATCATCTTTTTTTATTTTATAAATATACGTGTTTGTGCTGTCAAGTAAATTCTGTAAGTTTCATCTACAAAAATATGGACCAGTTCTTAGACATGTGAGGAAGTCTAACAACTTCTTACTCATTAGTTCCTGGAACTGGGGAAAAAAAAAAAAAAAAAACTTGGCGTAGTATATGTATACTTTCATTTGAATTAAAACTTTTTTTTCTTTGCCTTTGGGCACACCCTTTCCTACTATGGATGATACGGTTTTCACACGCGCACATCTCATTCTATTTATATTTTTTGGAGTAAATTGTTGGCATCTTGTGATGGAATTGTTTCTATTGCCAAAGATAAAAAAAAAAAAAAAAAAAAAAAAAAAACAGACTACGTGGAAAATAAAACAGAGAAAATTAACATGAGCTAAAAAAAGAATTTCCTTATAACAAGAGATGTCAAATTCTGGAATGGGTCACTTTGGTGGAAAAGTTGAAATTATTTTCTCTGAAAATGATTAGAAATTGGACAAGTGTGAATCTTTAGTGACAATAAATGACAATTCTTTGTCATTTTATTTCATGGCAGGGCAGCAATCCTTATTCTTTTTTAAACAAAAATACTTGTAAAATTAGATTGCAGAAATAAAATATGCCTATTATAAAAGTACAAAATAGTTTAAAAATAAACTCGGAGTAGGCTATTTCTTTGAATAATTTAGTGCATGTCATCCATGCCAGGAAATACACATATATTCATTCATCCATCCATCCATCCATCCATTTACTTCTTCAGCAAAAATTTATAATGCAATTTCTGAGTATTAATTACTATCCTAGTAACTGAAGATAGGGAACAAAACAAAAGTTCGCCAGCTCATAGGATTTATATTTTAGGAGGAGGAAACAGAAAAGAAGTGAACAATAAAATTCTGTTTGTTTGATGGTAATAGAGTAACGAGTTTTGCTAATTTATGTAGAGTGGTCAAGGTAAACCTCTTTAAGCAGGTGATTGTGTGAAGAGGCTTGAAGGGATTGGCCTACCTGCTGCAAATGACTTGATAATTTAGAGAAAGTTAACAAAAACCTATGTGACAGCCTCATGTATCAATAATCCAAAGAAGGCAGTATTGTTCATATCAAGGTTAGTTTGAAAAGATCTCAGGAAACCTTGACTTGAATAGCTATTGTTCTTTTCTACTAGACTCTAAGCTTCTCCAAACCTGTTTCTTTGGTGTCAACGTATTATTCTTCCTATTATAGTGCTTTGCACAAAGCAGGTTTGCAATCCGACATCGGAGATTTTAACCTCAGATGAAATGCTTCTGTGACACAGGATAAGCTTTCTGTGCAATGATGCCATTAAATGTACCTGATATTTATGCACTGTTTTTGAAGTGTCCTATAGTATATATGTATACATAATCACTTTTCTTTTTGTACAAAGAATGAAAGTTAGGTTTTCCTAACTGATTTTAGTGAGTATACATAATTACCATCTTTAAATTCTTCAGGAGACTTTTATCTGTACACTGAGAATTGAGCAACTTTAACTTTTTTGTTATTACCAAAAACACCTGCCTTCCCAAGATATGAGTTTTGCCATGTTGCATTTCTTCTTCACTGTGAGGATAAAAAAGAGGTAAGAGATATGATGACAGCTTTAGACATGCACAATTTGGATAGATCTGATCATCTGTTGAGCAGTGAATCCATTAAATACATGTGCTTGTCTGCATCTACTACTGTTTTCAACTGTGTTAATAGTTTTCATTGAATTATTTCACATATATAATAAGGAAAATTTTGAGTTTCTAATGATTTATAATAGCAATGGAAGGATAGTAGCCCAAAATAATTTAAAATACAGAAGTCAGAGCAGATAAACAGCTCTCTATATAAAGAAAATCTTATTGGGATCTCAAGTGTTGATCTAATTTAGTTACCTGCTTTTCAGGATAGATGACTATTTTCATATAATATTTTGGGATGGTGATTATGTGATTTGCCTTATAACCTTAACTTCAGTACCTCTAGATGCTTCTTAAAAATTAAGCCCGTCCTTTGCTCTGATCTAATACTCCTTGTGATAGTTCAAGTCTAAAATATCATACTTCTAAGTGAGGGATTCATATTATATGAGATGACAGACTGTTCCTGCTTCAATTCATTTGACTGAAAGGGATCTTTGATGACATTGTTTCCCTCTGACCATTCATTAAGCAAATGAAGTAATTGAGACTAAGAAAGATGAAGTGATATAACCCGGGGTCATAAAATTATTCCATGAGAGAATCCGGAGAGAATGCAGGGCTGTGTTCCTGACTTCAGAGTGTATGTCTAAGTCCTGTTGAAGTTTAGCCAATTTGAAATCATGGGCAGAAAATTTCCAATGGATAACATTTGCAAAGGGAAATTTCATGTAAAGGAGAAAATAGATATAACATGCAAATCCTGCAGTGAGCTTTTTCATTTGTCCTTTAAGCTGAGGTGATGACACTGCACCATTTCTTATTATCTGGGGGTCTGGATATGACTGAAAAAATCAATATTGAACTTCATTATCTTCCACAGTTATTGAGCATCCAGCATACATGCAGTGCTGAAGTCAGCCGTCTGCACTGCGGTCTCTTTCACACAGGAGTCTGGACCCAGGGCTGGGGCGGAGGTTTCAGCATGTAATTCTTGCCTCAGACAAGATTGGGGGTTCTGTCCTTAACCAAATAACATTGTATTTTCTAGCTAAAATTCTCATCAAAATTTCTGTTGAATTTAATGTTTCCTTATCACAACACAATGTTCCCAAGTCTTCTGATACACATGCTTTTCCAATACTGCTGGCTGATTCAGATATTTCCTGCTCAAAAGATTTTCTTACTCAAGAGACTCTCTGTGATTTCAACCAGTATATACACTCCGACCTATTTGTGCCTGGGTAAGATTTCTGCTACTTACGAAAACGTTGTTAATCATGATTCATTGAAAATATTTAAGTGCACAGTGTCACTTAACCAGGTTGTACTCAGGGAGTTGAACCCAATTATAACATTCGCAGAAGAAAACATAAGAACAAATAGATATTGCAGAAATTACATCGTGTATCCACTAATCAAATATGAATTCATTTTACATTAGCTCATGCTTTGCATTATCCATGTCTTATTTGTTCCTGCTGTTACCTTTCACTATTCACAGATATAAGATTAATGAGGATTGTTTTTGTTAACATTTGACAAATGTCAAAACATAGCTTCTCACATTCCACTAGTGACCTCTCTCTGATTTTCAGCCCATGTGCTCTTGTCTCTGTGTGAGCTTTTCAGATCTGATCTCAGTGGGAGTCAGATATATTCACCAGGGTTTTGCAAAATAATGAAATGGAACATCGTAATGAAAGTGCACATCCCTGGTATCAGGTTTCTTTATGAGTTCCCAAATCATTTAGGTTCAGTTAGTGAGACTTGGAAGTGCCTTGGATATGATCAAAACGGGGTCAGCACACTTGACAGACACCAACCCCTCTGTCAGCACTCTTTGGAAAATGTCCCTGTCTTAAAGATGTCAATGTTGTAAAGGCACCCCTAAGGCCTAGGAAACGTTTCTTAACAATCTCCTGTGCTATATACAACTTTCTCTTTTTTTTTCTTTCTTTCTACAACTCTGATGGCTTAGCTGAGAGGCTGTGGGCAAATTGAAGCAGGCCAGAAGTATTATGTGGTTGGTTAGAAAAGGTTGATTTGTTTCTGACATGAACATATGGTCAGGTTTGGAGAAGTTGTAAACAAAGCTTTTAACCATCCAATTGAACTAATAATAGGTTCTCAGTCATGTCAAGATATGTTCTAAGTACCTCCTTGTTATGAATTTGTAATTGTGTTGGGCTTATCCAATGGTAGATAATGAAAATATGTCATTTTTTGGCTGACCAGCATCTGAACTCTTTATCTTGGAGAAATTCATCAAATCCTGGGAGTCCTGGTGAATCAAGCCAGTGATCATTTGGTCTCTTTGCTGCAAGGGCCTGCCTGAGCATGTTGCATTACCTGGCCAGGAATGTGTACCTACTCCAGAATTGTACTCTCCAGATCTTGAAGACACAGAGGCATTAGAAAAACCATTTTTCTGACTGGTGGCAGCCTTAGTGGCAGTCACGTTACATTTCTAGGTTGGTTGTAGATGAATGTGCATTGTGGGCTGGGAAGTTTAATGTTCAATGAAAATACTGTCTTTGTTTAAATGATTTTATGTTTGAAACCACTGATGTCAGTCCTAACCACTACAAACATTCTTTGTTCCCGCCCAGCTTTTGAAGTTGAGTTACTGGATAATTTTGTGAATTAACCTAACATCCTTTGAATCCATTTGATGTCTGCTTAAATCATCCAAAGTTGGTTTCTATTTTTTGGAACTTACAGCTTTGACTACTGTGGCTACACTGTGCAATACATACTGGTAGATAATTTTGCATATTGTGCCGTATTAATAATTTAACTCCCTACAGAAAGTTTATCAATTCTTACATTCAAAAGAATCTTTGGTGAATGAAAATTAATAGTTGTCTATATGACATCTTATGATTACATTTTCATTCTGATTCCATTGCAGATAGACTATTTAGTTTTAGGGAGGCACTGTGGGTTCAACTTGCATCAAGGAGGATATAGTTTTAAAGATTTATAGTTTGGTTCGATTCGTTCATGTCTTTGTTTACTGAGCTAAACAGTCAAATGAGCTATCGAATTCAGTGCTGTGGTATCTGCAACTACCAAGATCAAACACTTCAAATCTTGGTTCGTAATGAAAATGCCCCCCTTGAGAACCTTTATGTGTAATCCAGAGAGAAACACCAGACCTGAGGCAAAGATTTAGCTTTCAGGGTTATATAACTTTATTCTGTGTTTGTTGTGGGGCTTAAAGCTCATGCTATCGGACAAGAGGTTTTAGACTTCTGAGCAAGAATGTGCTGTACTTTTGAAATGAAGAGCAGTGAGAATACTATTCCCTCTCCCATCACATTAGCAGCAAGACTTGCTCTTCAAATGTTTCCTGCTGGTTCCCACCGAGCACAGGAAGCAATGTTCTGGTGATTAAGCAGCAATATCATTATAAAAGCCAAATGAATAATCATTGTGTTAATGAACTTTATCTCAAAAGAGATTAGTTTTTTAATGTTAAGCCTCTTCCAATATGAAAGAGAAAATGTATTTCAATTCCATTTAATCAACCAGAGATGTTCATAGTCTACACAATTTCATATCCTGTCTGTGCTTATCTTTCTAGATCTGCATGCACAATGACTTCAATGGATGTTGTCTCAGCATTTTGCTAGATCTCAGCCTCTCCTTTCCTCCCTCCCCAACACACATCTCCAGAAATTTAGCCATAGTTTTTCATGAATTAGATAAATTAGATTTGTTGGTAACAAGCAACATGTGGTTCACAAATTAGTAATAACAATAAAATTCCTGAGAAACAAAGTTTGTCACTTAGAAAAAAATTGGAGTACCTCTTTAGGAAAAAAAACCACCAAAAACCAAATATTAATTCCCCTTTATAAAGTGCTTTTATAAGCTTTCGGTCCTGAGTTGTATTTTGAGGAATAGTGTCTTTTCAAATACAAAACACCCCCTCCAAAAACACAAAGTTTTGCTACAAATCGGCAGAAGATAACTAGTCCTTTGACTATGAACCCAAAGTATTGCATTCTTTCTGTTTGCATCTTATATATTCTTAACGAATTTTCATAGACATAAAATGAGTGCCAGTTACTACTATTACCACCCCCATCTATTTCTCACTTTTGGTGCCATTGTACTGGATGCTAATATGAAAGAAACCTGCCAGGTAGGGTTCCTGCTGGGTAGAAACTCATAACTCAAAATGGACATTGTCAATCCAGACAAAAGTCATCTAACAAGAAAAGTGCAATTCTCCAACACCCCAAGGGCAGTGTCTAGTAAAAAATTTGATAGATTTTTACCTTAACAATCCTTAACTGTGGGGTCATGGGCTGGTGACAGAGAAAGCATGCATGTGTCTTATCTACACTATATAGCTCAGTGTTTTGCAAAACATGAAATATAACATTTCATGTAACACATAAGCAAACATTAAAAATATAACTTTATATATTAGGAAAAGTGTATGGCTATCAATGTGATTTCAGGTATAATTTTACCATATTTGAGAGTAAAGTCAATCCATTTTAAAGTGACTTAGAAAAGTTATGAGCTAAATCATAGTCAGAAGCTAATGCTGGTATGGAAAAATTGACATTGTATGTGAATAAATGGCGCCAAGAAAGCACTATTTTAACCATAGTCAATTGCCATTTCTCATGGGAATTAATTAAAACAGTTGTGCATCATTGTCAATGTTTGAGGTCCCCTTAAAGCATATCTTGAGACAAGAACTTGAATTCTGATAGTTTATTTGGGAAGTAACTTCAGAGAGTACAGTGGGGGAGTGGGAAAGAGGGATATGGTAGGAGGGAAAGGCAGTTAAGACACGTTGAGGTTGTAATTCCAAACTCAATCACACAGAGGACACACTGATAAACTGTAGCACATACTACAGCACTGCTCACTGAGGGCAAGCAAGCTCAAGTGTTTATCCACATCTTCCCACATATTACTCGTTAATGGTTGCTCCTGGGGACATTCATTTCCTGGCACTTCTATCCTATCTTGAAGAGTACACATGAGCTTTCTGGACAGATTGTGTCCTCATGCAGAAAGAGATGGGAAACATTCAGTGGTGTAGGAAATGGGAGACACCCTGACAGCATCTTCTGTAACCTTTGCTCTAGATGCTATTGAATTGCTTTAAAATGGGTTGTAAATGACCAATGATGCATGATTTATTTTCCAGAGGTTTTACTTTAAAAGTTGCATTCGAATTCTGGGGAAATTATACCAATGTCATATAAATTAGACAATTTTTTTTTAACAGCCCAGAGGTCTTTTGTTTATTTATTTATTTTAATACCTATTATGCCATGAGTTCATAGGGAATAGGTTCCAGCAGCTTGGGCTCTTTCCCATTGGTTCTCACAAAGTGTGCTTCTCTGGGTGGAGCAGGCTGGTGCTTCAGTTGAACCCAGGTCCCTTTCTCGTTGGCTTCTTTCTTTTTCTGATCATTTTCCTTCACGCGTTTCAGGAAGCTATCTCTGCTCTTAGACTGCTTCGTGTGCTCAATACGCACCTTAATTCTCTCGGCAAGAATCTTGCCCTTGTTTGTTTACAACAATGCCAACAGCATGCTGGGTAACATTATAGACTCTTCCAGTTTTGCCATGGTAACACTTGTGGGGCGTTCCTTTTTGAACAGTGCCCATTCCCTTGATGTCTGTAATATCACCTTTCTTATAGATTCACATATATGTGGCCAAAGGAACAACTCCATGTTTTCTAAAAGGCCTAGAGAACATATATCGGGTTCCTCTCCTCTTTCCCTTTGTGTTCATCATTTTTTTGTTAACTGGACTATCTATTCTCAACTAGGTTGAATCAACAAGAATTGAATCCTATTTATTTTGTGTTTTGTATTATAAATGTTTGAGGAGCTGGTAGATAATGAGTTAATACTCACATATTTGATATGGTTATGCATATATTGACATCTTGGGCTAAAATTTAATTCTGGAAATGAGGAACAAGAGACAAAGTTAGGTATTTGGGAGGAAAAACAAAAGAAAGACCAACAAAGGATACATAGTTCCATTAGTATCCAAAGGGGTTTTTAGTTCATCCCCTTTTCAATTACCCTTCTACCACGAAATACTTGTTTTTTTCCAGATCTCTTGTTCAAGTCCATTAGTATTTACTTTCCTAGGCTTAATCCCAAATCATTTTTTGCCAGCCATCTCTAAGCAGCTCTGGTGCCTATTTTTTTGCTGTGCACTTCCTAGAATACGCACCACCTCCCCATTTTTGTCACTGGCAGGTTAGTCTATCTCTATTTTTACCCTCCAGCCAACTGACAATAAATAAAAGTCATGGCTTGAAGCTTTAATTTTTCAGAAATCTCTGTATTACTTGGAATATAAGTACATATCTCAGACCCTCAGTTGAGAAAGCTAAAGTGCTACTTGGAGTTTAAAAATTTATCCTACTTTAGTGGAACAGAAGCTTGCAGCTGGAGTATGGGAGGCCACTGGAGGAGTGCCCTGTCACTTTAAAATATGCCCCATTTTGTACCACTACTACGAGGTTCTCACTGAGAGCAATGACTGGAGAGAGAAAACATGTTTAAAAACAGTAACTTGACTCTTTAGCCATGCTTTGGCAGGGTGCTTCACTATTGATCAGAAATGGAATTGTAGTCTTTCTTCTCAGAGTGCAAATGTATTTTTACCCCTGCACTGTCCTGTAGCAAGCTCCAATTTAGAATTGCCACTTGTAGCTCAGCTCTTTCCTCTGAGGCACCAGTACTGATGACCACTCTAGGAACATATTTTCTTTTGCCTTTCATACTACTATTGTTTGTGCAAAAACAAAACTGGAGTTAATTAAAATGCACTAGAAAACTGCTGCATGCGCACAGATCCAAAAGGAACCATATCCATTCTTATCTAAAAGCACACCGTGATTCAAAGAGCAATGCTTAACCGGTGATTGTATAGGAGCCTGTGGAAAACTAGAATCTACACATGAGGGGGAAAGAATGCTAGCTTTGATCATTTCTATGGCCTTTCTCTTTAATCCTTAAGTCTGTAAATGAGAACTGACATTCATTTTAATTTTTATCAACAACAGAAAACATTCATTGAGAGTATACTCTGTGATGGAAAGTGTTTTAGGAGCTGGAGATAGGAGATCAATTAAGAATGGTTACTGCCTTCAAGTTGTGTACAATATCCTCATTTGGGAAGGAAAACACAAAGTGATTTATTCAGTGAATTATGAGAGGTTGAGAGGCTTGAAGGGAGCACAGAGAACGGCTTCACGTGCCACAGGTTGGTGAGCACGCGTGAATGGGCCTGCTTCATTTTTAAAGGTTGTAGAACAGTGAAGGAACCCAATGAGAGGCTACAGGTAGGTGAAAGGGAAAGACAAAAAGGTGATCGTTCTAGAAATGACTGTTCCAACCACAAGCAGGGCAGTGGAAGATATTCTTTCTCTGTCCTTTATTCTATAAATATTTACTAATCCTCACTATGTGCCAGGAACTCTGCTTTATTTTAGAACCAGTAATAAGGATCTTTCACAGGGAAGCAGAAACAGTTGGAAAAGTAACCTATAGATTAAAATGCATGGCAAAGACTTAGAAACCTGTCATATGGGATAATTTTTGGATCCCAAATCAAACACATTTTTAAAGTTCATTAGACAATTGGGAATATTTTAATACTGACTAGCTATTTGAAATATTGTTGATGAAGTGTCATTTCATTTGTGTTCGATAACACTATTATGGCTGTGTTTTCAAAAAATCCTTCTCTTTCAGAAATATACCCCAAAATATTTATAAATAGAATGAGGTCAAAAAATAAAATAAAAAAATTTAAAAGTTAGAATCTTATCCATGTTTAGGTATCTCTCCAATGATATAGTGTTTATTGTGATGCGGCTGGTTCTGGTTTGAAAGCCATAAGCAGTTAATCATTTATTCTGGCTTGTCATAAATGTTTATGGGCTTTTACTATAGGACTGGAGTAAACATGCAAAAAGACCCTCCCTGTCTCTCCTCACACTACTTTCTTCCAAGTTCTTTGTGTCCTTTTCCCTTTTTGTGGGGCTCAGTCATGTCACTTCCCACTTCCAGTCTCCCGCTCTTACTATCTGAATTTCAAAGCAATGTCCATTTTGCACAAGGGCTCTCTCCCTGGCTACCCGCCCAAGTGGAATCAGTATGATGTGACCTATACACAAACACAGTAAAGTGTTTACCCTCTTTCCAAACAAATCACAAGCCCCTTTAAACCGTTTCTGTCTTTCTAAAACATGGAAAAAGGAAGTGCTGTCTTAGATGGATGTCTAAGGAGGTGAAAGTCTTCCACCAATCAGAGGAATGGATTTTAAAAGATGCAAGATCATCCTTGAAAGCCATTATGAATGGAACATAAGAATTCCATTTTTCAGCATTTCTCCTCTATAAATGCAAGAAAATGGATTCAGAAAATAAACCTAAGCAAACACTTGTCACTGATAAATCTCCCACTGCTTGGGAAAAAAGTGGTCATTGTCTTGTAGCCTGAACATTTTTTTTCCCCTCGGATGAACTAGAATTCATTTGCTTTATCAGTAGGGCCTAATCGCCTCTTTCTCTTCTCTGCTGGGATTATGCTTTAGTTCTGTCTGATTATACTGTCATTCAGATCTGAAGTGAGGATGGCAGAAAGAATAAGCAAAATATTAAACAGAGCTAGTTATAAAGAACTATTTCGTAGCCTTCCTATCAGGAGATGAACAGAGGCATCACCCATACAGTTATGAGCCAACCATATTTATACCACAAGCCCTTTCTCAAAGTGCCCTTTCTTTCCTGTTGAAATCATGCCAAATGGCTTAGTGTCGCTTGAATAAATATTATGTACTTACCAGGTTGGCTTGAAAATAGTTTGAGAATTAGCTCTTGATCCATCAATGGGCAACAAGAAAACTGTAGCTACCGAAAGGTCTGTTAACATTCTCGCCTGCAAGCAGTCCCAGAAGTCAGAGTCATTTTCTACTGTAAGAGTTGATGAAAGGGAAGAGACCTCTTGTGCTGAAGTAAAATGTCAATAGTTCCGACATATAACAGTGTAGCTAGACCAGTTTAAAGAGGCTTGCTCTGTGTTCTTTGCTTTTCTTTCTCTCTCTTTTTTCTCTTTCTCTTTCTTTCTCTCCTTCCTTCCTTCCTTCCTTCCTTCCTTCCTTCCTTCCTTCCTTCCTTCCTTCCTTCCTAATGGGCTCCAGGTTAAGGATAGGTAATGCAAAATGAATATAATACACTCTTTACCCTTGCAAACTTTGTAGTGTAGATAGACAGATAATACTATGCAAGATGTGTTCAAATCATGTATGATTCAAACGACTTTATGATAGTATTTAGGACACTATATTTTATTTGTACACATTTATATATTCCCCATGGAGTTATGTATGAATGCCCAAGGCAGGTATCATTTTGAATGCCCAGTGCCTTGGACTGTGTTCAGCACATAGGTTTTCAATACATGTATTCTGAATATATAAATGACTGATATTCCATCAAGTGTAAATAGAGTGAGATTTCCAGGAAAACAGAACAATATTGAACAAGGCTCATAGATATGGATGTAAATATGCTGTTTGAGGAAAAGTGAATATTCCTCCAGTTAAATATAGCGTACCAGGATTATAACCAGGGAAGTCAAGGAAAGGAAGAGATAAGAGTAGAAAGGCAAGTTGGAGTCTAATTATGAATGAGTTTGGCCTTCTATGCAAAGGCAGTGGGATATAGGATGAATATATGGCCTAAGTTGTGCTGGTAGAAAGATAATTGTCAAGCCAGAGATGAGTTAGGAAGGGGACCAGTTCCAGCCTGAAATGAAGTTGACTGAAAAGCCTAATGGAAGGAGACTTACAGAGTGAAATCAAAAGTATTATTGATTCATAGGATGAAAGAGATGCTTCAGAGAAAGAAACAGACTAGAAGAGTGACCTTGGACTTTGAAGGATGCCTGGAAAAAAATTCTAGTAATTAATGGGATAAGTATTTCAGATTTGAAAAAAAAAAAAGAAAAATTTAGGTCGCCCAGAACAAAACAAGAAAAAAAAATTGTCCCCAAATTTCTCAGGTGTTCTGACTATTAAATGTCTGAGACTTTTTCTGAGCCACTGAGTCTGAAATTCTACAGCATTTTTTTTTTTACCTTAAAGATGGCCTATCTTGTGTCGTACGTCCTGAATATGCAAGCATAGCCAATTATGTTCTTTTAATATATATTTTCTATGAAAGACCACTGGAATTTAAGGGAACTACGGAAGAAACCCCCAAAGTCATTATGGGGTCTAAATACCCTAGAGGGAGCACTCAGACATTCTGTGTCCTTGCCACAGTCTTGTAGTGCTGCCCAGCATGTCAATCTGCTGAGTTATCTAGATTCAGGAATTTCTTCCTAGACATTCCATTTCATAGATTATGGTTGTGTCAGCAATCAGAAAATAATAGAAATCCCTTCCCGCAGGGACTTAAAAATAAAGACATTTATGGCTTCCCATTACTGGGAGTCCAGAAGTAGGGTGTGTATCGGGGTGACAAAATATACTTGCCCAAGTATATTTTTCTAGCGGTCTTTTGACCCTGCTGTCCTCTGTTGGGATTGAAATCTCCGGGAGGGTGATTAAAATAGCTGTAGGAACTGAACACGGGAGATTGTTAAGAGAGAAAGAGAGAAGCTACTGTAAACTGTCCCAGAAAATAAAAGCAAAATAATCCCAGACTTTACCAGCAAATGTTTCCTGCATTCTCGTTGGCTCAAATCATACAATATACCTATGCTTGAAGCTATCACTGGTAGTAGGATGAGATTAATTTTAGAATCAGTCAGTTCCCTGGAAAGAAAAAGAAATACAGAGATTCGGTAACAAAATTATTACAAGAGTGGAATGATCAAGGAGTCAGACAAATTAGCCAGAGGCCAGTAACTGCCATAAGCCACTATTGCCCCTATCCTTGCAAAGAAAGAAAGAGGGCAGGTGGTACAATGCCTGGTGTAGGAATTGGTGCTGCTTCTGATGAAACTCCTGCTCTGTCACTAGGTAAGAAAGCAAAAGGCCTCTGTCCCACTTTGTGTGCTAGAATCTATAGTCATCTACAGGTTCTTTCAGCTACTGAATCATTTGCCAGAACTGGAAGCAGGAAGACAATAGCTTTTCCCTCCCTACCCCTTCTTATTTCCCATCCAATGCTTCTTATTGGCAATACCCAGCTGGCAAAATGCTCCAAGAAATGTCATTTGTAGGCTACCATTCCCCTGCTGGAGCACATAGAAAAAAGACTTTGGGGCTAAGTGCCTACATACAAACAATTGGCACCACCTTAGACCACACAGGTCTGCACAGGGAGCTCAGGAGTGTGGTGGATGAGGATAGGGTTATAGCAGGTAGTAGTTTTTCTGAAGCACATAGGTTAAGTGGGTAAGAGAAATACCTAAACAAAAATGGGTTCTGTTAACAGCGAGGAGGGGGTCACGAATACTGGACAGCATATGTGAGAGAGGCTGACAACCAATCCCAAAATTCATTTTCAGTAACTAATCCAAATTGGTAGAGACTTTGGAAAATATCCCTTGAATTCAAATTGCTTAAATAGTGTTGTATATCTCTTGATAGTCTAAGAAGACTGCTGTTATTATTTCTGCTTCTATCAGAGAAATACCCCACATGGACTAAGAAGAAGCATTTCTATGGGAGATATTGTTATCACTGCAACACAGGAGCTAAAAGGAGTAATTAATGCATTAACCGAGATCACCTTGTTAAGATGGAATGTGTTAGACATGCTCACACACATTATCAGTAAGTTTGACTGTTTTATCGCTTAATTGATGCTAACAGCTTTTCTTCTCAAAGTTTTCACTTCATATTGGCTCAGTGGGAGTCCAAGCATCATTACCACAGGGCTGGGAATGAAAGATTTTGTCAACTCTTTTCCCTGATGAATACGTCATTTAGGAGGACTTCTGGAGGGCAAGACAATCTAGGTTTCCAGTGCGGCTGGAGTCCCATGCTGCAGTCTCACCAGACCTATTTTGAGTTGCTTGGCAAGATATAAAAGATTGCTCCATTAACTTACTTCTATCCTCCTTGACTTCTAGAAATTTCTAAACGTCGTTTCTTGTCCAACAGACATTCTACTTAATGATTCTTCTTTCTTTTTGACCATCAGTACAACACAAATGACTAGTCAGCCTTTTATGAAATGTACACCTATGTGCATATTACACATCTACCTGCGATACCACAACATCTATCTCCTTTTTAATACTAATCTTGCAGTCCTCTAATTTCTTTCAGACAATAGGGTCTGGCCATGTCTGCTTTATTTTACGATTTTCTTACGGAATGTGCTCCTTGTCTTAATTTGGATGCTCAAACACTCAATGATACTTATCATAATTATATTTACGTTACTGTTTAAAATGTTTTTAAACTACAAAGAAATGTAAGCTAACTTTAACACTTAAAAATAATAGCAGTGTTGAAAATAAAAATTATAATCTACTTACTCTCAAATTCCTGCCCATTTTATAAAATCATGCTTGGTATCTCCCTCTAGATTTTTTTATTTAATTCAACAGGAATGTTTATGTGTGAAATATTTCATCATGGAGAGAAACATAATGAAGATTATTAATTTATGTTAAGTGCCCAGTAAAGTGCCTGGCATATAGTAAGTGCTATTAAAGTTTTATTCAATTAAAATATAAGTCCATTTATTCACTGTCAAGATATTAAGTATGTTCACATTTTTCTGTATTTGCTTCAGATCACTTTGTGCTTAAAAAGAAATAAAGCCTTATAGATTCATTAAAACCTCAGGCCCATAACTTTCCTCCCTGATTCTTCTCTGAATGGACCTGTTAGGGAACAAGGGTTGGCAGAAATCTTAGTATCTGGTTCTTGGTGTGTAGAATTTCCGTATATCTTTTGGCAACATTAGTATATGTCTACATGTCCATAAGCATATACTGATTATATGTGCATTTTTGGTGCATTTTAAAAAAAATTTACAAAACTAGGATTATATTGAACACATTTTAAAAAGTTACATTTCCCCTTCTCATTATGGTTTTGTGATTTATCCATTTTAATTCATCTTGTTCACTCAATTTCTGCATATTTTTCAATTGTGTGACTAATGGATATTTACTTACCTCTTATTGGTAGGCTTTCAGGTTGTATAAACTATTGTATTACAAAGGGTGCTAATATAAACAGCCTTGTTTGTGCTGCCTCAAGCTCTCCTGCAAGAGTGGCTCTAGGGGAAAGACCTAAACCTACAAGCGTCCTGGATGGTACTATAAAGGCATCTTCAATTCACTTGGTATTAATAAATTATTTTCTAAATTAGCCACATCAGCTGACAATATTACTAACAAAGCAGGAGTATTTCCCTCTTTCCTACATTCTCACTAACAAGTGGCATGCTCAGACATTTTAATTTTTACCAATCTGGGCATAAAGTGACATCTAATTTTTATTTTGGATCTTTTGAATATTATTGAGAATATACATCTTTTTATATGTTGTTGGGTGATTCTTCCTTTTCATGAAATATCCTTTGCTCATTTTTCTTTTGGGTCATTCACATTTTTTATTGTTTTCACTATTCTTGATATAAACTGTTTATGGGTTATTTACATTAAAAGTATCTCCTCTAGGATGTAGCTTATATATCTTATCTCTGTTTACGGTATCTTTAATTTTAATGTAGTGAAATTTCTCATCTTTTTCATCTTTGGTTTGTTTTGCCTGTTGTAAATTTTTTTTATATTCTCTTTTGAAAGTTTTAAAGCTTCTCTTTTAATATTTAGGCCTTTAATCTGTCTAGAATTCATATTTGTGTAGGTTATAGTAGTTTTTCTATTTTCCATATTAGTAGCCAATTGTCCCAGCATCATTTATTAAGAGTTCTATTCTTTTGCAACTTTTACACATTTTGTTACACATCAGATTTGTGTTATCCCAAATTATCATATGTTCAGCACATTTGACTCAGCTCATTGTTCAAGTTATCTCTTCTATTTTTCTATACCTCTCTTCTATTTTCTTTCTCTAATACCACTAGGTGCTAATTGAAGAATTATTGTCTAGACTGCATGATACCAAGACTTTCCTATTAAAGGTGGCTTTGTGTTTTGTTTCTAGCATGTCTACTTGTTTATAGTGGAATGATATTTTGCCTACAGACCCTTGGCAGAACTAGACTTCTTTTTGATGTTTATAAAATACTATATATTAGAAAAAAAATTGTAGTATATAACCCTAAGAATTTTTGGCCCACTCGATCCTCACTGTTGAAGCAGCTGATGATTTCTACATTTGCTGTCCAGGAGAAGGGGTGACACAGAGAAAGAAGGTCAAAGCAGGTTCTACAAACAGTAGAATCAAAGATTTAGCCTAGACCCAGAGGAAACAGAAGGCATAAGGGGAAAATTTTATTGTATATATTATTAAGCCTATGGATGGAACTGCTTAAGAAAATTTGGAAATGGCAATACTTATAAATAAAGTATATATTTATTAGGCAGTAGCTTCAGCAATCTGGTCAAAGTTATTACGCAGACTCTTGACTATGATTGCTGTCTGTCAATGAGTAACATTCAAAACATTTTGGCTTTACAGCATGATCTAAGAAACATAAGCCACATGAAAACCACCATTCTGTTTGTACTCAACGAGGTTAATTTGCCCAGGTTACTTCTTAGTAAACTATGAGATATGATTGTGCCACTGCACTCTAGCCTGGGTGACAGAGCGAGACCCTGTCTCAGAAATAAATAAACTGGAAAATACTTTGTAATTCTACAGTAGCTAGCTTATAGGAACAGAACCTATAATCATAAAGGGCTTTGTATTCTGGAAACTACACGATACACACAGTGGCCCTCTCTGCTTTTCTTTGCGTTGTTTGTGTTAGCCTTGGCCTGAAGTGCATCCAAGAGCCCGAAGCCTGCCTGCTTTTGTCATTTTTAGCTGGAAATTGATGGGAAACCTTCACCTCTCCCTGGCAGCGGCAGTGGAGCCAACAGCAGTCACTTTAGCCTCCCAGCAGCTCTGAACCCTGCTTGGGGCTGGGGCCGGGCTGGGACAGGTAGTTCTTGGTCTGCTCCAGTGGTGGCACCACAGTGTTGAGCATTTTCTCTGTCTTTACACTTGCAATTCCATAAAACAATTTAAAGTGGTAGTCTTCTATTTTAAACCAGTAACAATTCTACTTCAGCTGAGGGTGCTTTTGCATCCTTAAAATACTTGCCGGTCTCTGGAGGCATTTCTGGTTATAACAACTAGTAGCTTCTACTGACATCTTGCCAATAAGCATGGCTATGATGCACAGGACTGCCACCCTTCCCAGTCAAAAAAGAATTTTCTGGCCCCTAAATGTAGAACCTAAATTATCAGTAAAAACCTCTCCCTTATGTAAACATACAGGGAGGGTCTCCAAGGACTATAGGAATTTAGTAAATTTGAACAATAAGCCTGTTTTACAGACTCTTGCCTTGCAGCCTGTTTTTTTCCCAAATGCTATATGGAATGAGGTCACCTAGTTGGTTGGAAGCAGTTCTTGACAGACCATGGCATCTTACAGAAGAACCTGAGTGAACTTTCCTCAACACCATGCTAAAATCTCCAGCCTGGGAGGAACTAGAGCTTCTTCTTCTTTTTGTTTTTTTTTTCTTTTTTCGAGATAGGGTCTTACTCTGTCACCCAGGCTGGAGTGCTGTGGCATGATCTCGGCTCATGGCAACCTTTGCCTCCTGGGTTCAAGTGATTCTCATGCCTCAGCCTCCCGAGGAGCTGGGACTACAGGTGTGCACCACCATGCTTGGCTAATTTTTCTGTGTTTAGTAGAGACAGGGTTTCATCCTGTTGGCCAGGCTGGTCTTGAACTCCTGACCTCAAGTGATCCACCTGCCGCGGCCTCTCAAAGTGTTGGGATTACACGTAGGAGCCACTGCCCCAGCTGAGCTATAGCTTCATTACCATCTCATGCCACCCATGTGCTGGCATAATGACTCAGTGGGCCTGCACCACTGGGACCCCTCCTCTACATGCAGTGTTGTGCCCTCTCCCCTCTCCATCTGCCCCATAGCACCTTTCTGTCACTTTCCCTTAGGGAGACACTGCTGTGAAGAATCCTTTCAGGGCTCTCCTTACCTGCGATAATACAACTCTTATTGATCAAAACGTGCTTCCTTGTGGAGAGTTGTTTGTTACTCACCAGGTGAAAGAATCCTTGTCTTTTCAGGTAACGTTTCCTCCATAGACTCCTGTCTCCACAATAAAATTATGTGGATTCTGGAAGCTGGGATGGGAGGAGAGTTAGAGATGAAGTGAAGATTGTTTAGTGGTGGGGCCCCAGAGAAGGGCCATTGCACTGCAGTTTCTTTTAGCCCTCTACCTAGTAGGGGGCCATGGTAAGAGATGGAAGGAACACCAGGTTGACTTGGAGTACCCAAGGGAATCTTCAAGCTGACTCTGTGGTGGTATGAGTATTCCAACTTCCCTTTATTCCCAGTGTGTCACTGGAGTGGAACAGCAGAAATGATTCTGTGCTAGATCTCTGAGACAATGAAACCTACACCCCTTACGAAGTTTCCCAAGGCCCCAGAATCGAGCGTGAACAGTAAAGTGATTTCCAATGTGCCTACAACTGCAGGAAAAGATTGAAAAACTTAGAAGAATGAAGCAGGTTTTCCGTTGCCTATTTGTGGCTCTGGAACTGCAGAAATGTTGTCGGTGGTAACCATAAGCACCTTCTGGATATGTAGTAATCAATGAAATGGTAGAAACTGGCATGGGCTAAGACACAAAAACAAAAGTAAGTTCTTTGTGCTTTGAACCACCCAGTGCTCCTCCTGGTATTGAAAAAAATGGCATCCTGCACCTCAACCTCCTTTCTGGGAGTTCTACATGTCAAACACATTGGGATTGAATAGAAGCCCCAACAGGGGATCATGGTTATTTTTGTAACTCAGTAGTGTGGCAAAGGAGGTGGATTCAGAAATTAACTTCAGGCTGCCAATGACCTTGGATCTCCTGCTGCTTTCCTTCTTATGAATTTAATTAGATTATTTTTATGTGTGATTTTTAAAAAATAACTAATTCCCCAAAAGATCGAAAACACCTTGAAAGGAAGGGATATGAGTACCGGTTCACTGCTCTGTCCCTAAGTATTGTGCCTGGTGCATAAAGAATGTTTACCAAATACTTGTTGAATGAATGAACAAATCATATATACACACAAATATACAGCTTATATGTGGTTATCGTGGGAAAAACTCTAGTATGGGGTTTAGATTATTTGGATTGATCCCGACCCATTCACTAATCATGGGTCATGTTGGCAAGTCATAACCTTTCCGGAGCCTCAGTTTCTTCATGGGAAAAATGGGAAGGTTAGAGTTGAGCAGTGGTTTATGAACTGTGTTTACTCTGGGAATACGTCTGAGAATGGAATAGGATTTGTGTAGTTGGCCTGCTCAGTACTACTTGCCTTTACTTCAATGAGAACAAAATTAATTTGTTTTAAATATTAGGCTTAGCATTTAAAGCATGTGTCTTTGGCTTATACACTCTCCAAACTCTGCCCACCCACTGCCACCCCCCCACCAACCCATACATACACACATACACTTGGGGAAAATACTTCTAAGTTCCCTTACATGTTCTTTTTTAAAATTTTTTGTTTTAAAATTTCAATGCTTATGGGTACATAAGTGTATATTTTTAATGGGGTACATAAGATATTTTGATACAGGCATGCAATGTGAAATATGCATATCGTGGTGAATGGGGTGTCTGTCCCCTCAAGCATTTATCCTTGGTTTTACAAACAATCTAATTATACTTCTAGTTATTTAAAAATGTACAATTATTATTGACTATAGTCATTCTGTTGTGCTATCAAGTAGTAGTTCTTATAATTATATATTCTAATTCATTAGCTATCCCCACTTTACCCCTACATTACCCCCATTCCCACTATTCTTCCCAGCCTCTGAAAACCATCCTTCTGTTCTTTTTCTTTTCTTTTTTTTTTTTTTTGAGATGGAATCTTGCTCTTGTTGTCCAGGCTGGAGTGCAATGGCGTTATCTCGGCTCACTGCAACCCCTGCCTCCCGGATTCAAGTGATTCTCCTGCCTCAGCCTCCGATGTAGCTGGGATTACAGGCATGTAATCCTGTTAATTTTGTATTTTTAGTAGAGACGGGGTTTCTCCATGTTGGTCAGGCTGGTCTCGAACTCCTGACCTCAGGTGATCCACCTGCTTTGGCCTCCTGAAGTGCTGGGATTACAGGCATGAGCCATGGTGCCCAGCCATCCTTCTATTCTTTATGTCCATGATTTTCATTGTTTTGATTTTTAGATTCCACAAATAAGTGAAAGCATGCACAGTTTGTCTTTCTATGCCTGGTTTATTTCACTTAACATGATGACCTCTAGCTCCTTTCATGCTATTGTAAATGACAGGATCTCATTCTTTTAATGGCTGAATAATACTCCATTGTGTATATGTACCACATTCTCTTTATTCATTTTTCTGTTATGGACACTTAGGTTGTTTCCAAATTTTGGCTATTGTGAGCAGTGCTGCAACAAACATGGGAGTGCAGATACCTCTTTGATATACTGACTTCCTTTCTTTTGTGTATATGCCCAGCAGTGGCATTGCTGGATCATATGGTAGCTCTATTTTTAGTTTTTTGAGGAACTTTCTGTTAGAAACAGGTACTTGGTGCTGCAAAGAAGAACCAACACTTAAATGGAAAATTTCTCAGCAAGGCAACTTTACTTCTGCAGAAGGGTGCTGCCTATGTCTGATGGCAATCGTAAGAGCACACTGAGCAGGGTAGGGCAGGGGTTTTTATCCCTAACACAGCTCCTGTTTCTGTGTCCTTTCCCCATTGGACCAGAGTTGGACCACACAATCTAAACTGAACTGATTGGTTATTGTTTGAAATCGAATAGGGTCAATTAGATGGGAAGGGAGAGTCTGTGCATTACCAATTAGGTGGGAATGGTGGTTTACAGAACCAGAAAGAACCAGGATATTTGAAGAGGAACTTATTGTTTCTGGCAATTTCCCCACTCTTGTTTTTATAGTTCTTCCTCTTAAAATTTTTCTGAGATAATTTGGCCTTGTTGTTCTTCTTGGTGGTCCAGAAGTAGGAGTTTATCTGAATAGGGTGGAGGAGAATTGAGGGAGATTTTGGTAAGAGCTGTTTCTATAAGCCTTTGAACTAACCCACAAATACAAGGTATGATACAACAACTTACAATAATAAGTACACCTTTAACAATTGCAAGAGAAGTAAATATTGAGGTCATGAGTCCTTTCCACTTTGCAAACCATCTCTCCATGAGACCTGAAAAGGGGCCATCTATTCCAGAACTTTCAGCTAATTCATTTGCTAGGGTGGTAAGATCCTGTAATGCTTTGGTAATTGTTCCATCAGGGGCTGTGTTGCTAGGGATAAAAGTACAACATTGGACTCCAATTGTGACACAAACTCCACCTTATTTGGCCAGTATCATGTCAAGGGCTATCCTATTTTCCCAAGCCATTTGGCTGGTAGGGCCTAATTGTTCAGCTATTCCTTTAATGGCATCTCTTGTGTAACTGACAAACTGCTGTTGATTATAGTAAATGTAATTTTTCAAGTCTACATTTTTGTTTGTAGTTGACCACCAGAATAATAGAGATTCAAATCCTGCGGCTATTTAATTTCAGGCTTTAAATTTATTTGGCACCCCTTGGGGAACTCTGGTAGCATCTATATAAACGTGAGGGTCAAAAGACCCATGAGGGGCACTTCTTTTTCTGTGACCATCCTTTTTTATTTGGTTGGTGAAATGCCAGAGTGAAAGGGATGGCCAATTGGATTAGAGGGCTCCAGTTACTTGGTAGAGTACCCAGTAGTGGTCCATCGCAATACCACCATACATCTGCTTGGGAATGAACAAGGGTAGACTGATTGGTTACCTTCTGAAAAGGCTTAGATTCATTGCATTCTGTTAGGCTTCCAAGGAATGCCAAGTTTTCCCCTTGTCTTGAGAGACACAAGATGAAATTGACATCGATAGCTGGAGGTCAGATGGCCCTCAGGGGCTGACCAACAGGGCTTTTAACTTCTGGGAATAGCAACGAAAGGGTTTGATATGCCTTACTGCCCTAGGCTTTGTGGTTTTGGAAGAAGGCTACCATATAGTCCATGCCCAGTTGGTCAGAGGACCATCCAAGTGGAAAGGGGAGAGTTTGGGTTTCTGGCCTGCCCATTGCACAAGCATAACAATCAATTTTGTTCAGTGTGCAGACAGAATATTTAATCCATTCCAGCCAAGCATTTGCATCTTGGTACCCTGTTTCAATGGCTAAAGTTTGCTTTAAATATTTAACTTCTACAATGTCCACTTTGGCGTTGCTATTGGGTAGGGAAAGGGTAGTAGTTTGGTTAGAAGGTTTAGAAGGAGAAGAAGATGGAGAAGGAGGAGGGGAATGAGGAGGCCATGAAATGCATTTCAAAATATCTTGTAGGGTCTGCTCCTGTGACTTCTGCTCCCATACCATAAAAACGACTTAATGAAGGGGAAGAATCTTGTGAACTTGAGATAGTAATGGAAATTTGTATTGGATTACATTGGTTTTATTGGCAGTTGGTGGTGCATGCTTCCTTTAGTGAAATGAATGTATGGTTTTAGGGATACACAGCTACTTGTTGGGGAGGTCCAACCTTGAATTTTGGTAGTCCATAGAACATTGGATCAGCTACAGCAGAGAAGCTCTGTTCTTGGAGGACAAGATTCCCAGTTAACAGAATCTTCTCCAGAATCTTCCCAGTCTAAGGGAGTCCCGTTAACAGAATCTGCCCAGTCTCAGAAGCTCCAAGAAGGGCAAAGATACTTTTCTAGAGTAGAGAGCTGTCTTTGACTTCGCAAGTCTCCCCAAGGTGTAACAAGACAAGCATCAAAAGTAATGGTTTGAGGTGAGTTTGACTTAGTTACATTAATAATAAGATGTAGGGCAGCTAGAGGAAAGAAAAGAGGAAAAAGGGACAGACAGATTAGGCTTTTCTCTTTAATGTTACTCTGGCGAGGGTTGGTCTGGGGGTGACAGTCCATGACTTTGGAGATGGTGATGCCTTCTCGACTCAGGTATGATGGGTCCACCCCTTCTCAGCAGTCCAGACTGCCGTCTCAGTTGTTAGGAGCACCAGATAAGGTCCTTCACAGGTAGGTTCAAGCTTTCCCTCTCTCCAACTTCTGATAAGGATGTGATCTCTGGATTGGTGTTGCTGAATTGGGAATTTGAAGGGTGGAGTTTGTGCTAGAAGGCCTTGGGTCCTGAGGGAGGAAAGGATGGAAGACAGACCAAGTATATAGTTTTTAACAAACTGATCCTTTGTTTCAAATGTAGGAAGGTCAGTTGCAGAATTTAGTTAAGGCAGCTCATAGAGCATTTCATAAGGAGACAGGCCAAGGTCTTTCCAAGGGGCAGTTAAGATTCTTAGTAAGGCAATGGGAAGGCATTTTGTTCATGGTAACCGGGTTTCCAAGATTAATCTGGTGAGGTGGTTTTTTTAGAGTCTGGTTCATTATTTCTACCCTTCAATGATGAGGGTTGATGTCAGGGAGTATGGTATTCCCACTTTATTTCTAGTGCTTGGGTTAACTTTTTAATAATGAGCATGGTAAAGTGGGTCCCATTATCTGAATCAATATTCTCTATTAGTCCAAACCTGGGTATGATATGTTCCAACAGAGCTTTAACTACATTACTTGCTGTTGCACTTGGGAAGGGTGTGGCTTCTACCCAGTAGGTAAGATGGTCTACTATTACTAATAAACATCTGAGTGTGACCTATTGGAGGCATTTCAGTGTAGTCCACTTGGGTGCTTTGGAATGGCCTTAGCCTTGGGTTTCTTCCTCCGAAAGGTGGCTTCTTTAAGGTTTGCTTATTAGTTTTTCTGCACACTATGCAACTATGTATAACTTGCTTAGTGAGGGTATAGATCCCCATATACCCATAAACCCTAAGGACTGTGTCACACATAGCTTGGGGACCCCAGTGGGTTCCTTGATGAAGCTGTGACAGTATTTTTCTCATGAGGGGTTTAGACAACATTTCCCTTCCATCTGGTAATAACCATTTTCCCTCTGGGCTTTCCTCAGCTCCTATTTTTTTTTTGCTTTTTCTTGGTCTGCGTGGGAAAAGATGGGGATTGCAGCTGGAGGGGGAAGACAGGGGGTTAGATGGAAAATTGGAAGAGGCAGCTTGCTTAGCTATTTGATCTGCAAGGTTATTTCCCTGGCTTTCAGAGGATGTCCCAACCACCAAAGAAATACTTCACACCCCGTGGCTTTTCTTACCTTGGTTTGTGCACAGAGTTACCTGGTTACCATGGTACCTATTTGTAGGCCTTTTCTTCCCATGTTACTGAGAGTCCAAGTTTATTTGTCATGCTTGGTGGGTCTCGATCTCTTACTCCTGAGGCCACCACAATATGGCAGCGGGACGCATCTCGTCATGAGAGATTATTGAAGACCCTTCCCCAGAGGAGAATGGGATCCCAGACAAGCCTCCAAATTGTTAGCAACAAGCGCTTGGTGCTGCAAAGAAGAACTAGCACTTAAACTGAAAATTTCTCAGCAAGGCAACTTTACTTCTGCAGGAGGGTGCTGCCTGCATTTGATGCAATTGCAAGAGCACACCAAGCAGGGTAGGGCAAGGGTTTTTCTCCCTAATGGAGGTCCTGTTTCTGTGTCCTTTCCCCATTGGCCAGAGTTGGATCGCACAATCTAAGCTGACCCGATTGGCTATTGTTTGAAATTGAATAGGGCCAATTTGGCGGGAAGGGAGAGGCTGTCCATTACCAATTAGACACAAAGGGTTGTTTACACAACCAGAAAGAACAAGGAAGTTTGAAGAGGAACTTATTGTTTCTGGCACTCCAAACCGTTTTCCATAGTAGTTGTATTAATTTACATTCCTAACAACAGTCTGTAAGAGTTCCCTTTTTTCCACATTCTCACCAGCATTTATTGCCTATCTTTTGGATAAAAGCCATTTTAACTGGGGTGACTTGATATCTCATTGTAGTTTTGATTTGAATTTCTCTGATGATCAGTGATGTTGAGTACCTTTTCATATGCCTTTTTGCCATTTGCGTTATCCTTTGATAAGTGTCTATAAAAATCGTTCACCTATTTTTTATTGGATTATTAGATTTTTTTCCTATAGAATTGTTTCACCTCATATATTCTGGTTATTCATCCTTTGTCAGATGCATAGTTTGCAAATATTTTCTCCCAGCCTGTGGGTTGTGTCTTCACTTTGTTGATTGTTTCCTTCCCCATGCAGAAGCTTTTTAACTTGACGTGATTCTGTTTGTCCATATTTGCCATGGGTGCCTGTGTTTGTGGGATATTGCTCACGAAATTTTTGCACAGACCAAACCCTTACATATTCTTAGAATAGACGTGCCAGTATATAACCAGAAAAAGCAAGCCAGTGTATTTCTCCATCTTAACTTTGTGGTGAGTTAAAAGCCTGCAAGCATTGTTAAGAATCTGGATTGTTTAGCTAAGAATTGGTAGGAAAATAGGTATACCTGGGAAATCACATTAACATGCTTGTCATCTGTTGTTCAGTACCCAGGAATCTCATATATGTATCCGACTAATCAGAAAAAAAAAATGTGTATGTATAAATACTTTGAGTGTGTGAGCCCCCCAAATTTGAGACAGGTCTTAGTTAATTTAGCAAGTTTGTTTTGCCTCAGGAAGTCCTAATGACCTGTGCCCAAGGTGGTCAGGGCACAGCTTGGTTTATACATTTAGGGAGACGTGAGACGTCAATCAGTACATGTAAGAAGTACACTGGTTCGGTCTGGAAAGGCGGGACAACTTGAAGCGAAGGCAGGAAGACTTGAAGCAGAAGTGGGGAGGGAGCTTCCAGGTCAGAGATAGGTGATACCCAAATGGTTACATTCTTTTGAGTTTCTGATTAGTCTTTCCAATCCTTTGGAAAAGATTGGATGTCAGATATGCCTCCATCTCAGTGAGCAGAGGAGTGACTTTGAAAAGAATGGGAAGCAGCTTTGCCCTAAGCAGTTCCCTGCTGGCTTGAGTTTTCCTAGTGATTTTGGTGGCAAGATATTTTCCTTTCACACGTGTTTGGTGTGTGTATCTGTGCATGCCCACAGGCTGACATTTTTGCAAGTACTAAATGTGTACCCGGTATTTTACTGATAGATAAAAAAAAAAAAAAGCTAATGAAATACAGCAGTACTATAAAGTAGGTAAAAATTATCATCCAATTTTATCTTTCTTCACTCAAAATGTTTATTCAGGGTGAGCACGGTGGCTCACACATGTAATCCCAACACTTTGGGAGGCCGAGGCAGGTGGATCACCTGAGGTCAGAAGTTTGAGACCAGCTTGGCCAACATGGTGAAACCCCGTCTCTACTAAAAATACAAAAAATTAGCTGGTCGTGGTGGTGTGCACCTGTAATTCCAGCTACTCAAGAGGCTGAGGCAGGAAAATCACTTGAACTCATGAGGCGGAGGCTGCAATGAGCTGAGATTGTACCACTGCACTCCAGCCTGGGTGACAGAGCAAGACTTTGCCTCCTCCCCACGCGCCCCCCCTCAAAGAAAGGTTATTCAGTGTCTACTATATCCCTAATAACATTCAATGTAATGGGCAAGGGATATCAGTGTAAAAACGACACACAAGGTCCCTGCTTTCATGGTGCTTATATGAAAAGTGAATGGGAAGGGCAGAAAATAAACAAATTCATAGCAGTCTTTGAGATAACAATGCGTTTCTCATCCTTATTAGAGATTTTCAGGTGTCTCTGAAGAAAATAAAGAGGACAGTTGTGATGGTTAATTTCTGTGTGTCAGCTTGGAAGGTGTTTTTGGATGAGATTAAAATTTAAATCAAAGAACTTTTAAAAGTAAAACATGTTGCCCCCATAATGTGGGTGGGCCTTGAGCAATCAGTTGGAGGCCTGAATAGAATGCAAAGACCAGCCTCCTTGAGCAAGAGAGAATTCTCCAGCAGATTACTTTTGAACATCAACTGTACTACTGGCTCTCCTGGGTGTCCACACTGCTGGCCCATGCTGTAGATTATTGTGAGTCAACTCCTTATAATCAATCTCTCTTTCTATTTATATTGGTTGTGTTCCTAGGGAGAACTCTGATGAAGTCAGCAATAGAACATAGCATAATGAGGGTGGAGTGGGGTGAGAAGAGAAGCTATATTTGAGGGTATTCTTGGGCAGAGGTCTCTCTGAGAAGGAGATATTTGAGCTGTGATCTCAGTAATGCCGGAGAAACAGTTATCTGGAGAACAGCACCTTGAAAGGCCTTAGGGCATAAAATAATTTGGCATTTGGAAGGAACAGAAAGGATAAAGAACCTGTGGTGCAGAGAGGTTAACTAATATTCAGAGAGAAGAGGCGTGGTGGGAGGTGATGGGCTCATGGGGGAGGATTTCTGCCTTGCTGTTCTCATACTAGTGAGTGAGTTCTCAGGAGATCTGGGTGTTTAAAAGTGTGTAGCACCTCCCACTTTATCCCCTCCCTCCTACTCCAGCCATGTAGGATGTGCCTGCTTCCCCTTGGCCTTCCACCAATGATTGTAAGTTTCCTGAGGACTCCCCAGCCATGCTTTCTGTACGTCCTGTGAAACTGTGTGCCAATTAAACTTCTTTATAAATTACCCAGTCTCAGGTGGTTCTTTATAGCAATGCAAGAATAGACTAATACACAGATATACAGTTAATATCCACAAAACAGACCAGAAAGCTTCTCAAGACAGTTAATATCCATAAAACAGGCCAGAAAGCTTCTCAGGATAAAAAGATATGTGTTTTTTGTTATGTTGTGAAAACATTTAATGACTTGAAAGGAACTCTTGAACAACTGAGGGTGTCATAGTGATATGAAAAGTAGTAGTCAATTGTCCTTTTGTATTTATATTAAGAAAAATCCTGTAAAATTTCCCCTCCCTGCCAACTTCACAGTTGCCAGTGAGATGAGGTACCTTAAGGCAAGATATGACCAGGTAATTGGAACTGCAAATTGATGACAATTAGATCATTTGTACTTAAACAGCAGCAAGCAATAATTGTAATTGGCAGTGGGGTAGGCTATAATTGATATCAATGATTCCCAGGAAGAAGGGACTGGAAGACTAGAGGGAAGGCTTAGATTGTGTTTGTGGGCCCAACAAAAATTAGCAACAATGTGTATTTAGAAAATAGGGTTAGAAAATTGGGCATAAACTACAAACCTTATAATACTTACTAGATAATAAACTCCCAGGGATAAGGAGTGTTCCATTGGATGCTCCTTGTGATACAGCACAAATTTACCCTTGCTTTTGAGACTTTAGAAAATAATTTTAAAAACAGAAAATTCCTACAATGCTGGGACTTTTGCCATAGTTTTGCTGTGTTTGTTCATACAGTTTTTCCCCCATTTTCAAGCTCTAAGGGTTTCATGAATCTTAGGCTCATTAATTTTTATAACATGCCTATGTTGTTTATATCAAAGTTTATATTTTTACCCAAATATGAGAAATGTCACTCAGAGTGGTTACAGAATTTACTCTTTATCACAAAGCAATTGAGAAAAGCCTAGAATGTTTCAGTCACTAGTTCTCACTGATTATTTTGTGTCACATTGAGCCATTTGTGTACTCTGCCTTTGGGCTAGAAAGGAAGTAGCATCTAAGGCAGAGTGATAGAATCTGCATGAAGTAAATGGCTTGATGAAACACATTCACAAAAATGGCCCTCTGCAATTCTCCATTGATAACATTTCTTTGGTTACTCAAAATGTATTTATCCTTATTTCAAAATGCATTCATATTTGGAAAGTATATGTAAATGAGTGGGGAACACATCACTATCCAGTGTCAACAGTATTTACATCTGATATTTTTTATGATTATTTTTTATTCGGGCATTGAGATGTTATTGCATCTACTCTTCTGTTTCCTGCATTACAGTTCAGAATGACATAGTAAACATTTTACCATATCATTATTATAAACTTCATCACTAAACATTCAATGACTGTACATCCTTTTTCCTAGTGCTAGTCTCATCTTTTTCTATTTTTGTGATAATTATTTTGTATCAAGGAATATCTTCGTGATGCTCTTTGCATTTAGATTATGTTGTTGTGACTTCTAAATTGGGTTAAAGAAATGATAATATTTTAAAAGTGTGATTTGGCATTGACATCCTAGAAATCCTAGAATGCTGAATCTCAGATGGCTAAAGAAGTGCTTCTCAAATTTAAAATACACATTAAGTATTTTTAAAATTGGAATTCTGATTCACTAGGTCTGGAGTGGGGGCTAATATTCTGCACTCTAATAACCTTCCAACTGATGTTGATGATGCTGGCCCTTGCCTCACACTTTGATAGGAAAATGCTAGTGTTTTTTTTTTTTTCCCTAAAGGTGTCAGTGATCATTATGTTTCAGTGTCCATGTATCTCTAAGAACCCTTTAACCTCACCACCATGCAGGGAAGATATCATGACTGCATGTACATTTTTAGGTTTATGTATTATTCGCCAAAAATTCAGTAGTTAAATCCCTTTCCTTTCTGGCATTTGTTTTGTAGAAGAGTAGCCTGAGGACACCTCACTCTGTTTTCCTTTGTGGTTAGATAACCTCTTACATTCCCCACCCTGTGTGTTTATAGGGTCATAATTCAAAAATGAAATTCAAGCAGCAGGGCTAAGTGAGCTCCAGCAGGACAAATCTTCCTGCTAATCATGAACTCTAGACACAATACAAACAACTGTGTGAAAACACTGGGGAGTGAAGAAGAGCAGTGAGATTTTAGAGGGGAATTGACATGCAGAAAAAGGAAAGAGCACAGAGTGAGTTTCTGGAGTTTATAATTTTTAGTTTGAGGGCAGGTCATAGTCAGTGTCACACTGCCAATTAAAACTCCCACAGAAAACCTGCAGCCTTTTTTGGCAAGAACTGGAGGTTAGAACTTGAAGCAAACACTTCCTCTCAGAAGACTAAGGGTAGTCCTGGAAAGGAGAGGGAAAGGGAGAGCCCCTAAATCGGTGTATTAACTCTCCCCATATCTCAAGGCTACACCATGAACCGTGAGTGTATAGAGTACACTGCTAGCAGCTCAGCTAAGGGTGAAAGATATGAAGTGACATTTTTGATACCACCTATAGGGGAACATGTTTAACCAAAGATGTATAGTGTCCAGTTTAGTTACCTACTGAAAGGAATTAAGAAGACTTGAAGAAATAGAGAAATATGCCATGTTGATAGAAGACTAAATGTTAAGATGTCAATTTTACCTCAAATTGATCTATAGGTTCCATGTAATTTCTATCAAAATCCAACAACCCTGCTTTTAAAATTCATACAGAAATATTAAGGACCTAGACTATCCAAAGCAAACTTGAGAAAGATGAACAAACTTGGGAGACATACACTACATAACCTCAAGATTAACTATAATATGCTGTAATCAAATTATTATTTTACTGGCACAGAACCAATAAATAGATTAAAGTAATAGAATAAAGGGCTAAAAACTAGAGACACACTTAGATGTCCATTTGATTTGTTTGGTCAAAAATTCATTAGGAAAATGAATAATCTTAACAAATCGTGTTAGGAAAACTAGCTGTCCTTTGGGAAAGCAATATACCTAGACCCTACTTCACACAAAACACAAAAATTAATTTGAGATGTATTATAGACTGAAATATAAAAACAAAACTATAAAGCTTTTAGATAAAAAATATAGGAGAAAATCTTTGTGACTTGTGTGTAGGCAAATGTGTCTCAGGACACAGAAATTAAAACCACAAAAAAAATGAATTAGATTTTCTCAAAATTAAAAACTTCTTCATATTAAAAATGTCACAACTTTGGCAGGAAGGTATGCATAAAACTTTTAAAATGCAAGTAGTGAAAGAGCAAAGAGGTAGCCTGAAAGGGCTCCCACTGGCCTAAGCTAGGACAATGTGAACATCAAAATAAGAATAATGGATGATCATCTTTAAATTAAAATGATCTGTGAAACTGCTGATCAATAAATACATAAATAAGTAAACAAAGTAAATGGAGGTGTGGAGGACCTATTTCCTACAGTAGAGTGACAACCAGTAAATGTAGAAGCAATGATAAAATTGTGAATCACTATTTGGCAGCCATCATAGTAACAATTATTGCAGAAAACACTTACCAATAGATGCCCAAACCAGTGAGTGAATTTTAATGAATTCAAATAAAAAAGAATGTATGTATACTGTCTGAAATATCTGTGCACAGATTACTTATAAATCACAAAGGCAAAATGGTAACTTTACAGCTGAGAAATCTGGCAGACTCTACCTTGGATCTAACCGAAAGATCAAAGTTAACATTAGTAGTAATGGGAAAAATTGATAATATTTTCTTCTTGATGTGACACACTGAGAAGAACATACATCATTTACAGTATTCCTGTCAAAAGTGCATAGCCTGACACTGATCATGACGAAACCACCAGACAAAGTCAAATTGAGGAACATTTTACAAAACGATGGACCTGTACTCTTCAAATGTCTGTGCTATGGAATTTTTCAAAAAAGAGTGAGAAGCTATTCCGGATTAAAGCCTAAAGAACCATGACAACGAAATACCATGCATGATCCTAGATTAGGTCACAAATGGGTCAAAGAAATCCTATTAAGGACAGTTGGTGAAATTAAATAAAAATTTCATAATTAGTATTATCAATGTTAAATTTTCTGAATTTGATCATTTCACTTTGGTTATGTAAGAAAATGAATAACCTTATTTTTGGAGGAAGAAAGAGAGAACACAGCATATAGTAATATTGTAAAAGGTAACAATTGCTGAGAGGTGTATATGGCAATTAATTGTTTTCTTGTGAATTTTAAGTTTAAATTTTTTTTTAAA
Organism: Homo sapiens; assembly: GCF_000001405.40. Taxonomy (NCBI): domain Eukaryota; kingdom Metazoa; phylum Chordata; class Mammalia; order Primates; family Hominidae; genus Homo; species Homo sapiens. Next base: position 1,881,457 of record NC_000003.12, on the reverse strand, counting down.
TGCAAAGTTTAAAAACCAAGGTAAAAATACAATTCAAACATTTTGCTGCTGCTTATTGGGGGGATTTTTGGATTCATCTTTATCTGTGATTTAGGGCCTTAGGACATGCAGGTTTTCTTGATTGGTATCATTTATCAATTATCATTTAATAATTTTTTCAAATGTTCTTCTTTTTCATCCTCCTTGAGACCAGGTATATCTTTTATACTTTTATACTTTTAAGAGGTGCATGTTGCCAGGACCTCCTGAGGTCCATGGGCATGTCCTTGACCTTGGTAAAATAAACTTTCTAAATTGATTGAGACCTGTCTCAGATACCTTTTGGTTTACAATCTGTGCTTAGAATCTTTCTCTTTTATTTTTAATGAGTATTTGTTTTAAATCTCTTTATCTAAATATGTGGTGACCTTTTCAAGAGGATTTTCCAAATTGCTAATTTTATTTTCCACAATGTTAATTTCATTTTGTTCAGCTTCCAATTCAGATTCTACTATTGTGTAGACTCTTTCCCTGAAAACTTTCCCCTATCATTTAACATTTCATCTCATTCTGTTTTCTGAAAATCCTTTCTGCTATTTTTTTTTTCATAGAATGCAAACAGACTCTACCTAGAGCCAAAAGAAGATGCCATTTTTGTCTAATACTACTTCTGTTCCTTTGGTAAATCATTATCAGGGGGCTTTCTTTCTGTGAGTTTTGAGGTCAAGCTTCTGTTTTTGTATACTGCAGTATTTTGTTTTCATAGATACCATGTCAGCCTTTTTTACTGCGGACTCATCCACAAACAATGGAAGGGCAAGGGAGCCTGTCATTTGCTGATAGACGTCTAAAGCGGAGCTTCAAATCATTCAAATGCCTCTAAATTAGACTGAGATGAGATTTCCTCCTCCCGCTTCCCAGTCTGGCTCCCTGATATATTATACATGAGGAGTGGGGAGGAGGGTGGGGTGGGGGGAATAGGGTTGGAAGAGAATTTTCTTCTTCTTTTTCTTTTCTTTTCTTTTTTGAGATGGAGTCTCACTCTGTCACCCAGGCTGGAGTGCGGTGGCGCCATCTTGGCTCACTGCAAACTCCGCCCCCCGGGTTCCCGCCATTCTCCCGCCTCAGCCTCCCGAGCAGCTGGGACTGCAGGCGCCGCCACCACGCCTGGCTAATTTTTTGTATTTTTGGTAGAGACGGGGTTTCACCGTGTTAGCCAGGGTGGTCTCGATCTCCTGACCTCGTGATCCGCCCGCCTGGGCCTCCCAAAGTGCTGGGATGACAGGCGTGAGCCACCGCGCCCGGCCTGGAAGATAATTTTCTAACTCTCTCTCTACAAGCTGCCCAGTTGTAAGGTTACACTTCCCAGTATTCAAAACACCAGCACAAATTCCTTCTCCTTACACAGTTATTTGTAGTTTTTTGATGTTATTCAAAGTCTAATCATTTTAACTAAGTTCCCTTGTTACTTTGGTCTGTAAAAAATACGTTTTCACTAACGGTACAATCAACTTTTGGACAAAGCAAAGTTTCAACTTAGAGGAAATAAGATACATAATTTTAATCCCAGTGATGAATGTCTATTTTTCCTTCTTGAATTGAATCCTTTTTGTTTCTTAGATATGTTTTTCAAAATTCATGTTTTGTGTTGTGCAGTAACTGCTATGAACAAGAATAGCATGTTTTTTTATTTTGAAAATTGCTTTGAAGGTCTATGTCTTAAAATAAATCTAGTTAAGATATTACGGCCGAGCGCGGTGGCTCACGCCTATCATCCCAGCACTTTGGAAAGCCGAGGTGGGTGGATCTCCTGAGGTCAGGAGTTCAAGAGCAGCCTGACCAATATGGTGAAACTCCATCTCTATAGAAAAAAAATACAAAAATTAGCCGGGCATGGTGGCAGGCGCCTGTAGTCCCAGCTACTTGCATAGCCGAGAGACTGAGGCAGGAGAATTGCTAGAACCTGGGAGGCAGAGGTTGCAGTGAGCCGAGATTGTGTCACAGCACTCCAGCCTGGGCGACAGATTGACACTCCATCTCAAAAACAAAACAAAACAAATAGTACTTTTGTTATTAGTTTGTTGTTTTATAGTAGTAAATTGAAGCGAATGAGGATGGATTTATTTCTACTTTTAGGAATTTATTGGTGTTTTCTTTATGGCTTGATATATGAGCAATCATTTTAAATGTTCCATTGGCTCTTCAATAGAAGGTGCAATACTTAATATAGGATTTAGGATTTGAAATACAGTTACACATAAAGTACACCCTATTAATACATTACTCAGGCCCATTTTTTGTTTACTCGTTGTATTAAAGACTATGTTTAAAATGTTCAATTAAATTTATGTTTCTGGCTATCTTTAAATTTCTAAGTATGCATTTAAAAATATTTAAATCCACAGTTAAATGCTTAAAGATTTGCTACTATCTCTACATTTCATATGCTATGGGTTGTGCTTTTGGTATATATATTTATACATGAATGACATATATATGCACAAATATATTCTATTTCCATTTATTTCATTTGTCAAAGGCTGAAAGATTGTGTTAAAAACTTTTAGGAAATTATTTCTGACTTTATGTCTAAATGTTTAATTTATATATTTACATATTAGGTTATCAAGTGCCTAAAAATCTCACCACAGTTTGGTTTGTTGTTAGTTGCATGTTTCACCACAGAGAGCAACTTTATCTACTGAAAAGCTTATCTTGAACTCTCCTTTGATATTATTATTAGAATCTTTGCTTTATTTTTATTGTATTTTTATTGCTCTGTTTGCCCATCTTTTTCCTTCTAGTCTCTCCAGGCCACTTTGTTCCATGTATCTTGTTGATAGCATGTAATTTGTACATATAGTGTGTGTGTGTGTGTGTGTGTGTGTGTGTGTACTTATTTATTTATTCCAGACTATAAAAATAAATAATAAAAGTAATTGTTGAAATTAAGAACTGTATTGAAGTATGACTTACGTACAGTGAAATACATGCTTCTTAAGAGTACTGTTTGGTGAGTTTGGTGTATAATCAATATGCCCGTCAAGCTAGAGAACATTTCTTTTACCACAGAAACTTTTGGCTCATGTCCTTTCCCAGTCAACACACTTCCTAGAAGAACCTCTCTTCTCATTTCATAACCACAGGTCAAGTCTTCCTGTCCTTGACCTTTACATAAACATAACCATACCTAACATATCTATTTGTAGCCTGACTTATTTCCCTCAAATTAACGTTTTGAAGATTCACTTATTTTGTTGCTTTTATCAGTAATTCACTGTATTGATTTTTGAGAAGGATTGTATTGTACAGATATAACGTAATTTTAACGTGTTTACTTGATGCTGGACATTATTTGCTTCTAATTTTCAGTTATAATGGATAAGAAGCTATTATGAATATCTGTGGACAAATCTTTTATGGACATATTCCCTCATTTCTCTTGATATATTAGTCAGAGTAGATTTGCTGAGTCCTAAGGTAGGTAGGTAGTTAAAGTTTATCAAAATACCACATAGGCTGGGTGTGGTGGTTCACGCCTGTAATCTCAGCACTTTGGGAGGCCGATGTGGGCAGATCACAAAGTCAGGAGATCAAAACCATCCTGGCTACAATGGCGAAAGCCCGTCTCTACTAAAAATACAAAAAAAAAAAAAAAAAAAAAAGCCGGGCATGGTGGCAGGCACCTGTAGTCCCAGCTACTCTGGAGGCTGAGTCAGGAGAATGGCATGAACCTGGGAGGCGGAGCTTGCAGTGAGCCGAGATTGCACCACTGCACTCCAGCCATGGTGACAGAGTGAGACTCCATCTCAAAAAAAAAAAAAAAAAAAAAAAGCAAAGCCGCATAATTTTCCAAAGTGGTTCTACCATCTTAAATCCCATTTGCAATGGAACAATTTGCTTTACATCAGTATCGAAGTGGAACACATGTACTCCTGGGAGGTGGGGGGAGCTCCTGAAACCCTTTGGGGGGTCAAAAAGACCAGAAATATTTTTATAATAATGCTAAGGTGTTATTTGTCTTTTCCTTCATGTGAACATTTGCACGGATGCAACAAAAGCAATGGTGGGAAAAATAAATCAGCTGGCATTTTGGCATAATCAAAACAGTGGCAACAAACTGCACTAATAGTTATTGTTTTTTTCTCTGCTGTGTACTCACAGTCAAAAACAAAAGGAAGAAACAGTAAACATAACAGCATCATATAAAAATGTCCTTGATGAAACAGTAAAAATTGCTAATTGTACTAAATTTTGACCCTTGAGTACACTCATTTTTAATATTCTTTGTGAAAAAATGGGCAGTCCACATAAATCACTACAGGTGCATTCTGAAGTTCAGTGGCTATCCTGACAAATAGAATACTTAAATTGTAAGTGAAGTTGGCTGCATTTTCCATGGAACAACATTTTTTACTTAATAAAAATGACTGTCTATGGTTATTCAGATTGGGTTTTTTTTAGACACTTTTCAAAAATCAAGTGTGTCTGTCACTTCAAGGAAAACAACTTGACAGTATGTTTTACCAGGGATAAAAGGTGAACCTTCAGGCAAATATTTGAATTTTAAAAATCTTGTAACCACCAGCTTCTCAATATTTAAAGATGTGTTTGATAAGATTGGTGTTGATAATATATGTGGCTTTTGATATTACACAATGAAATGTGTCAACATTGGAACATCTGAATAACTTAGTTAACCAATGTTTTGCACATAAACAATGAATGATGTTACAAAATCACGCTTGAGTGAAAGATCTATTCAAAGTTCAAGATAGACCAATGGATTTTAATGTAACAGAATGTGAAAAGTTTATTGATATGTCTCTTTGTTTCTGAGTGCTGCTGCTACAAATTACCATAAACTTGGTGACTGGGAATAACAAATGTATTCTCTGTTATTTCTGGAGGCCTGATATTTGAAACTAAGGGGTCAGCAGGCCCTTGCTCCCCCTGAAGACTTTAGGAAAGAAACTTATTTTCCCAGCATCTGGTGGTTCCAGCAATTCGTTCATTGGTGACCACATCACTCCAATCTCTGCCCCCGTGGCCACATTGCCTCCTTCTTTCTGTCTGAAAACTTTCTCCATTTCTGTCTTATAAAGATATATGCAGTTGCATTTAGGGTCCTCTTGGATGATCCAGGGTAAGCTCCTCCTCTCAAAATCTTTAACATAATCATATCTTTGGGTATGTAAAGTAATATTCACAAGTTCCAGGGATCAAGGTATGCATATATATTATTGGAGGCCAACATTCAGTGTGCTGCAGTATGATTTTGAATGTGGCATAATTAGCCCATAAAACTGATTTTTGCAGGTTTTTTGAATAAACATAGAAATTGACCTTTGGTTTTAAAATTTGAAACTTACATTTGTCTTATCTGTGTTCCTTCCTCAGGAAACCAACCCTCAGGCAAGAGATTAAAACTCACTAGATCCCTGCATCCAGACAATGAGGGTCTAGATCCTTCATCCATCATGATTGCTTTCTTACCCTTCCTTAGTTCCTGTTTTCCCACCTTCCTCCCTGTATAAGTGCCCTAGTTTTATTCAGTCAGGGAGATGAGCCTGAGGCTGACCTACCATTCTCCTTGGTGGCAGCATGTGTTGTCTCAGTGATTGGCATTCTGTACAGTGAGCAGCATAACTTAGAATTAAACCCTGGTGTTTTGCTAACAGTTTCATAATCTGTATTGTAACTAACTTCTCAGGTTTCATCAGTTTTTGAGTTTTGATATAAAAGAACAATATCTACATTAGCTGAAAGGGTTTTCAAAAGAACACCTTCCTTTTCCAGCTATATATCTGTATGAGGCTGTTTTATTCAGCTGTCTCAACCAACACAACTTGTCACAATGAACTGAATGAAGAAACAATATGAGAATCCAGTTTCTATTAAGTGATACATTAAGACATGTGATACTGAGTAGCTTATTAGTTTATTTATATATCTTTTTTAAAAGTTTAATTTTCCTTGTAATATTTGGTCTAATGGATATTTAGAAGAATTGAAATATTTAATTTAATTTGGAAATTAAATTCCAAATATTTAGACTATATATATCTTCATTATTTAATTTATTTGTGTTGTCATTAGAGAACAGACTGTATGATTTCATCATTTGAAATGTATTGACATTTGTTTAATGGCTCTATCTCTGGTCTTTTCACATCTTTATAAATGGTCCATATTTGGCCCATGTATTATGTTTATTTTTTTTAAATAGTCCCATATTTCCTTCCTCTATACTTTCCTAAAAAGGATCTGATCATGATCCTCCCCTTCCTTAAAAATTGCCAAAAGTTCTTTAGTGCCAAATTCCATGGGCATCTTTACCAACTTTTCCAGATTTATCTCTAGAATTATTAACTGTACATTTGAGGTTCTCTGAACATGCCATCATATTCACACTTCCGTAACTTTTCAGTTCTACTCACTGTATTTTTATTACCCTATCTTCATTATAGACCTTGTAAAGTCTCACACCCAAGACCTTCAAATGTCATTCCTTGTCTATGAGTAATATAAATACCAATTTGGTCACTGGTTGAAAATATTGTTTAAATGTTTTCTATTCTTTCTTATGTTCATGTCTTCTTGTTTTATCAGTAAAAAATAGGAGTGTGAAAATCCCTATGTGTAATTATGGATTTGTTCATTATGTTTCCCTCTAGTTCTGCCAGTTTGCGTAACACCTTTAGAATTTCCGTTTTGAATTGCATGTGCATTTCACATTGTTAGGCCTTCTTACTAAATTTAACCATTTATCATTATGAAAATATTTTCTTTTTCTCAAAAAATTTCTTGTCCTAAAGTTGACATTTTCTTGTATGAATAAAACCATACCATATTTATTTATTTCTTTTTCTTTTTTTTTTTTTTTTTTTTCCTGAAGAGGCAGGGTCTTGCTTCGTCAACTAGGCTAGAGTGTAGTGGCCCAGTCATAACTCACTGGAAACTTGAACTTCTGGGCTCAAATAATCTTCCTGCCTCAGCCTCGCAAGTAGCTGGGACTAGAGGCATGTGCCACAATGCATGGCTAACTTTTTGTATTTTTTGTAAAGAATGGGTCTTACTATGTTGCCCAGGTTGGTCTTGAACTACAAGCCTCAACCAATCCTCTCAGTGCAGCCTCCCAAAGCACTGAGATTACAGGAGTGAGCCACCAAACTATGCTCATACTGTTTTCTTAGTGTTTTCATGGTATATACTCTTCCGTTGTTTTACTTCCAACATTTTTGCCTCTATATATTTAAATTGCATATCTTGTAAATAGCTTGTGGATAGATCCTGCTATTTCTACCCAGTGTGACAATTTCTGTGTTTTGATAAGAATGTTTTGTCCAGTTATATTAAGTGCAATTTTGAAGAATAGAACGTTTTTCTATTTGTCCCTTTTTTCTTTGTTATTTCCTGCCTTTGGATATATGGAGCACTTTTATGATTATATTTTATTTTTTTGAATCTCACTCTGTAGCCCAGGCAAGAGTGCAGTGGTGTGATCTTGGCTCACTGCAACCTCTGCCTCCCAGGTTCAAGTGATTCTCCCGCCTCAGACTCCTGAGTAGCTGGGATTACAGGCATGCACCACCATGCCCAGCTAATTTTTGTATTTTTAGTAGAGACGGGGTTTCGCCATATTGGCCAGGTTGGCCTCAAACTCCTTACCTCAAGTGATCCACCCACCTTGGCCTCCCAAAATGCTGGGATTACAGGTATGAGCCACCACACCCAGCCTTAAGTGGCTTTTTAACTTTGCATGTTATTTTGGGGGATATGGCTTAGCTTATGAAAGGCTACCATGAATTAGCATTATATGACTTCATACACAATTGAATGATTTTATATGATTATTCTCTTTATTGCTCCTTCTTCCTTTGTGCTATTATTGTCATATATATTACTTCTACATGTTACAAAATCCCAGAATCTCATATTATATATATGTGTATATATGTATATGTGTATATATGTAAATATGTATATATGTGTATATGTGTATATATGTGTATATGTGTATATATGTATATATGTGTATATATGTATATATGTGTATATGTATATGTGTATATATATGTATATGTATGTGTATATATATGTATATATATAATGTCAAAATAAGAAATAAGTCATTTAAATTTCTACATATATGTATTTCTGGTGCTATTCACTTCTTCCTATAGACATGATTTTTTAATCTGGTATCATTTTTTCAGCTTAAATTTTTCTTAGTGTTTCTTTTATGTTGGTGAAAATTCTCCTAGGTTTTATTTATCTTACAATATATCCATTTCACCTTTTGTTGAAGGTTATTTTTTTGCTACATACAGAGCTGTAGGTTGACATTTTAAAATTTCTGTCAGCCATTTAAAGATCTTATTGTATTGTCTTTCTGACTCTTTTGTTTCTGATGAAAAGACAACCATTATTTTTAACCATGTTCCAAAAGGAACAGAATAATATGTAATATTTCTTTTATTGCTGGCTGCTTTTAACATTTTTCTCCTTAACATTGGTGTTCAGCATTTTCACTTTTGATGAGCTTTCATTTGTTTTCCTTTCTATTTTCCATACTCGGGATTTGCTTAATTTCTTGAATCTTTAAATTTGTGTTTTTCACTGTATTTGGGTAATATGCAGCCATTATGTCTTCAAATATGTTTTTCTGTGTCATTTTTCTTTTCTCTTCTTCCGCTACTCCAATCACACATGTTAGGTTGTTTGATATTATTTTACATTTCACAGGTCCCGTTGATTTTCTTTCAATCTTTCTGGGTTTAATTTCTAATAACTTGTCTTAAAGTTTACTAATTCTTTCTTTTTTATGTGGACCAAGTCCATCTAATAATTTTTTTAAATTTTATTTTAAATCTGGAATATTATCTGACTTTTGATAGCATCATTTCTCTAATGTTTCTTATTGTTTTATAAATTTTGTCCTACTCTCTTGTAAAAAATTAAACCTATTTATAATAAGCACTCTACATCAGGGATATCTGTTGATCTGCTTCTACTGGCTACATTTTTCTTCAGATTATAGGCCATATTTTTCTCACGCTTCGTATGTGTAGTAATTTTTATTGCATATAGGGCATTGAGGAGCCTCTGGATCTTACCTGCCTAAAAGACACAAGTTTTATTTTTGCAGGCAGGCAATTAAATCACCAACAGATTACTTTGACTCTACAGAGACTTGGTTCTAGGCTTATTTATGATGGTTATATTTTAGTTTTATTCTTAACCATAAGGTTGTATAGTTCTTAGTCCTGGGCTCATTTGTAAGACAAGGCCCTGCTGCGATGTTAGGGGAAAGCCCAGTGTGTTCACCAAGCTATACTAGCTTGACAGAACTTGACATATCAACTGTCTTCTTAGCATCAGGCGACTGCTGAAATCTCTGCCTCCTAACTGCCTACTGCTTCCTTCTAGGTTTCTTGAATTTTTCCTCTGAATACATGTTATTTAATGTTGTCCAAGCACTTGAGGGACTTATATGCAGAATTTAAGGTTATTCCTATGTGTGCCCTTCTTTTCAGGAGCTTTCTCTGATTTCCAGGGTTACCCTAAACTCTTTCTGTCTCTTCAGCTCAGTAAAGCTGCTTTCTGTTTGGACTCTAATCTCATTCTGTTGCAGGAAACTAGGAAATCTCTTTCACTGTAAAGCTGTTTAAAGGAGGCATTCTTTCAAGAACTGTGTCCCCTACAGTTTTGCCTGTTTTTGTTGGCTTGTCAATAGCTTTAGGCAGTTTATTTTAATATCTTGTGGGGAAATTATACATGTTAATGGTCGCAGAATTAATCCAGCACAATCTTTTCTGCCATTTCGAGAACTGGAGTTCCCCTGCTGATCAGAATAATTTTCTTTTAATAAGAATGTTTATAACATTACCAATGAAAGTAACAAAAATATTTGAACTGTCATCTTATTTTTTCTGTTCATACAGTTTCTTAACATTTTATAGATTTTCAATTTAATTTGTTTTTTTCCCCCTTTGGTAACTTGGTAGTTATTGAAAATGGAAAGTTCCCACATACTTTAGGCAAAGATGGAATCTTTGGTAGTCATGCTACAGGGAGCATCAAAATCAGTTTAATTTTAATTTAATTTAATTTATTACCATTTTTTGAGACAGAGTCTCACTCTGTTGCCCAGGCTGGAGTTCAGTGCCATGATCTCAGCTCACTGCAACCTCTGCCTCCCGGGGTCGAACGGTTTTCCTGCCTCAGCCTCCCGAGTAGCTGGAATTATAGGCATGCACCACCGTGCTTGGCTAATTTTTTGTATTTTTAGTAGAGACGGGTTCACAATGTTGGCCAGGCTGGTCTTGAACTCCCGACCTCAGGTGATCCGCCCGCTTCGGCAAAATCAGTTTTAAAGCAGTTCAGTTGATCGATAACATTTATAGCCCATCAATGACAAACTATCAGTGACAGACTCTTGCTACCAAAAGTTAGCCACTCAGAAACAGATTCACTCCAATATATACGCCTTTGGGGTGCCAAGCAATCAAAGGCATTCTCACCCAAGTTACCATACTTTTACTGATGACGTCAACTCCTTATACCTCTGAAAACCTACCAATCTCGGAATATCATGCTTTCCAAAAACCCTATGTATGACTTGAAGTTTTTTCTGCTTGGAAAGACTGTGTTTGACTGTCAGTGTTCTTCTTTATGATAATAAGCAATAAATTCAGCTTTAGAAAATCTTGTCTATTCAGTGGTTGGTCTTGCCATCCTTTAACAGCACAAAGCCTGTTTTTAATTCTACTAATTATATATCTCCATCATCATCAGAATGATTTCCCTCCTCCCTTTGGTATGATGCGGGGTCCACTTTATATATGTATTTGATTTATCTTATTATATGCAAATATGATATTTTATAATTTCCTTAAGACAAGAGCTATTTTATATCCATATTTACAGAAGTCACTTACCTGTAATTTTCTCTTTAACTTGCTTTAATAACTTCTTTAATCTTTTATATTTTGCTGCTACATCTTTATTTGTGTGGTCTTTATTTTGAATTTTTTTAGATTACTTGAAATTTGCCCTTGAGTGATTTTTTTTCAGGAATGTTATCTAGTTTATTTCCTGAACTTTTGTACATTTCAGATATGTTTTTGTTTTGCCTTCAAATTTTATGGATAATATCTTTAAGTACAGAATTTGTCAATTACAACAACCTTTCACCCATAACACTCTGCAGACCTAGCCCCTTAATTTGTAGAGAGGCATTGGATAATGATAACCCATTCTTATTTTCTTATTTTTATAAACTTAATTTTTTTTCTGCCATACTTGATGCCTTTAGGATACCTTTAAAATTTTCTAACTTTTAAGTTCAGTGGTACATGTGCAGGATGTGCAGGTTTGTTACTTAGGTAAACGTTTGTCATGGTGGTTCGCTGTACAGATTATTTCATCTCCCAGGTATTAAGTCTAGCATCCGTTAATTATCTTTCCTGATCCTCTCCGTCCTCCCACCCTCCACCCTCCAATTGGCCCCAGTGGGTGTTGTTCCCCTCTGTGTGTCCATGTGTTCTCATGCTGTAGCTCCCACTTAGAAGTGAGAACACATGGTATTTAGTTTTCTGTTCCTGCATTGGTTTGCTAAGGATAATGGCCTCCAGCTCCATCCATGTCCCTACAAAGGACATGATCTCATTCTTTTTTATGGCTGCATAGTATTCTATGGTTTGTATGTGCCATATTTTGTTTAACCAGTCTGTCAGTGATGGGCATTTAGGTTAATTGCATGTCTTTGTTATTGTGAATAGTGCTGCAGTGAATATACACTTGCATGTGTCTTTATAATAGAATGATTTATATTCCTTTGGGTATATATCCAGTAATGGGATTGCTGGGTTGAATGGTACTTCTGTCTCTAGGTCTTTGAGGAATCACCACACTGTCTTCCACAATGGTTGAACTAATTTACACTCCCACCAACAGTGTAAAAGCATTTCTTTTTCTCCACAACCTCTCCAGCATATTTTATTTTTTGACTTTATAATAATAGTCATTCTGACTGGTGTAAAATAGTATCTCATCGTGGTTCTGATTTTCATTTCTCTAATGATGAGTGATGTTGAGCTTTTTTCATATGTTTGTTGGCCATGTGTATGTCTTCTTTCAAGAAGTGTCTGTTCGTATCCTTTGCCCACTTTTTAATGGGGTTGTTTTTTTTCTTGTAAATTTGTCTAAGGTCCTTATAGATGCTGGATATTAGACCTTTGTCAGACACATAGTTTGCACATTTTTTTCTACCAGTCTGTAGGTTGTCATTTTACTCTGTTGATAGTTTCTTTTGCTGTGCAGAAGCTCTTTAGTTTAGTTAGACCCCATTTGCCCATTTTTGCTTTTGTTGCAATTGCTTTTGGCATCTTTGTCATGAAACCTTTGCCCATGCTTATGGAGGACAGTTTTTAAGTGCATGAAACAAAATAATATTATGAAGGTTGTTTCTGATTTCCATCTTTGTTCACTCATTTTGCTTTGGGTATAGCAAATCTTTTTAATCTGAACTTCACTCTTCATGACATTGCTTCTTCTATGATATCTTTGGATAATCATTTCTTTTCCATTTAATTTATTTCCTTGTGAATAGTTTAGAAGTAAAATACAAAACTATATATCAGGGCATATGTAGTAGTCTGTTCTTAAGCTGTGAAGAAAAACATACCCGAGACTGGGTAATTTATAAAGAAAATGAGGGTTTAATGAACTCACAATTCCACATGGCTGGGGAGGCCTCACAATCATGGTGGAAGGCAAAGGAGGAGCAAAGGCACAGCTTACATAGCTGCAGGCAAGTGAGAGCTTGTGTGGGGGAATTCCCATTTATAAAACCATCAGCTCTCATGAGACTTATTCACTACCACTAGAACAGTATGGGGGAAAGTGCCCCCATGATTCAATCATATCCACCTGGTCCCGCCCTTGACACGTGGAGATTATTACAATTCAAGGTGAGATTAGGGTGGAGACGCAGCCAAACCATATCAGCATACAAAGCCTTTCACCATTTGGTCACTCACTGTCTTTTATATTTTTCTTTTAATGAATCCTTCCCCCTTCCTGTTTAATACTTCAGACACATAGACCTCTGTCTAAATACTTAGTCCACATTCATGATCAAGAGTTATATCTCGTGTAAGCCTTTCTACAATTTTTAGATAGATTTGTTCACTGACTTCATTGTACTATCACTCCCACATTGTACTACCACCAATTCATATTTTATCAGAGCACACATAACACTATGCATTTACATGTGCACCCCAATATAATGTGAACCTTTAGAGGATAAGTAACCCATCTGATTTGTCCAAGTGTCATTTGTATTTAGCAATAGTGCTTGCCATGGGAAGTGCTGTTTAATAAATATTTGTAGAATGAATGAGTGGACATGCAATTGGCATCTATTCTAAGAATGCTGGTCAGGAAGTCATAAAAGTGGGATTTTTTTTTTTTTTTTTTGAGATGAGGTATCTCTTGGTCACCCAGGCTGGAGTGCAGTGGCATGATCTTGGCTCGCTGCAACCTCTGCCTCTTGGGTTCAAGTGATTCTCCCATCTCAGCTTTCCAAGTAACTGGGATTACAAGTGTGCACCACCACACCTGGCTAATTCTTGTATTTTTAGTAGAGACAGGGTTTCACCATGTTGGCCAGGCTGGTCTCGAACTCCTGGCCTCAAGTGGTCCACCCGCCTCGGCCTCCCAAAGTGCTGGGATTACAGGCGTGAACCACTGCACGCAGCCCTAAAAGTGGGATTTAATCAAGCTTGGAAACTTACCAACTACTTGACTTTGTATCTCTGTGTTTTTGTGGTCTTACTTGTACAATGATGGGGTTGTTAGGTAATCAATAAATCCTCTTCCAGCTCTGAAATGTCATGACTTTCTAAATTCATTTATCCAATCACCAATATTTCTTCTGGAGAAAACAGTAGGTCTACTGATAATTTCAACAAAAATTTGAGTGTATCAGGGAAACCAAACACTGAAAACATAGCATTTTCTATATGTGACACATAATTGATCTCATTCATTGCAAATAACACCCCAACCATGTAGATAATATTATCCTCATTTTACTGATAACTACCTGAGACAGAGATTATGTAATTCTTCTAAGTTCACAAATCACCTATAAATGATGAAACTAATATTTGGAACTAGGTAAACTTACTTGAGTTCTGTGCCCTTAACTAGCACATTATATGGCTTCTTATTGTTCTGTGCAGCTAGAATTACCTTTAAATGTAAATTTTGTTTCCAGTAAAGGCCATTATTGTTTGCTCATAGTAGGTGTTCACTATATATATTTGTTGAATGAATGAATAAACTTTCATAATTTATCTGACAAGGTGTTGATATAGTGAGCAAACTAGAGCTGCAAGCACTCTGTAAATAAAACAGAACACATCTAATTGGCTTTCTCGCACTTTCCCATATTTACATGTAGTGAACATTAAAATGTAGTTGTGACCTTTATAAAGCACCAAAAGCAGCATTTAAGAAGAAGACAAATTTAAAATCTAAAATATTTTGCAAGTTCTTACATTTCTGCTAAGCATTACCACAAATAAGAGCATTATTTATAAAATACAGCAGTAATAATGCTTCCTGCAGATTAGCATGGAGAATGAATATCAGCAATAAAATCATAAATGTACTAGGCAGGTGTAATATCCTCACTGTGTTTAGTATTATCAGGATACAGTGGCATTCATATCTAAAGAGAAATTCTGATGTTAAGGTAGTCTTTAACATATTACTTTTGTATTTTAAAAATTAGCATAAAATATGCGGTAATCGTGGATAAAACTCTTTAAAACCTCTTGATTTGTATAGTTTAAAATTAAAAGTAGCATGTGTTACTATATAAAATACAGAACAGACTGACAAGCAAAAGTCTGAAACCTATATTGCCACCATTGAAAAAGAACCATTGGCAATATAGTGTATGGGTAGGATTGTGTGTGTGTGTGCACGCACGTGCATGTGTGTGAGAGGGAGAAAGACAGAGAAAGGGAGGTAAGACTGACAGAATCTGAATATATTCCAATATCGTAGGCAAGGATATGTTAGTGATGACAATAATATTCCCAATGCAATGTCTCCTGCTCCCTCATATTCTTGAAGGACACTCCACCTCTTGCACGTCCCCAGTAAGTATATTGGGAACTCCTAGTATTTATTTTGACTGATCTACTGTTTCTGTTTCCTATTTAAAAATACTTCATGTTCAAGGCCACTTGGTGCTGCCAGTTGACCTTTAAGTCTATGCCAAGAGTGTCCTTCTGTTGTTGGGTTCCATGCAGATACTCTGTAACTCACATTGTTATTTTGGGCTGACAGTCTGGGCTTTACTCCTCTATGTAATTTACATAGTAATTCATGGAGACACCTCCTTAAGGTTCTGTCCCTAACTGCCCTGGCTACAGAGACCCCAAACAAAACTAAAAGGTAAACAGGGTCAGATGAGGAATGAGGTGCTAACAAAACCAGTTTGTTTTCTTGACTCTTTTCTGTGTGCAACAATGTATTAGGTTTCACTATATGAAATCATCAATATTCAGGAATTTTTTGCATATAAAATCTGCATTTAAAAAAAATTTTACTTTAAGTTCTAGGATACATGTGCTGAACCTGCAGGTTTGCTACATAGGTATAGATGTGCCGTGGTGGTTTGCTGTACCTGTCAACCCATCATCTAGGTTTTAAGCTCTGCATGGATTAGGTATTTGTCCTAATGCTCTCCCTCTCCTTTCCCCCCAGCCCCTGACAGACCCCAGTATGTGATGTTCCCCTCCCTGTGTCCATGTGTTCTCATTGTTTAACTCCTACTTATGAGTGAGAACATGCGGTGTTTGGTTTTCTGTTCCTGTGTTACTTTGCTGAGGATGATGGTTTCCAGCTTCACCCATGTCCCTGCAAAGGACATGGACTCATTCTTTTTTATGGCTGCATAGTATTCCATGTTGTATATGTTCCACATTTTCTTTATCCAGTCTATCATCGATGGGCATTTGGGTTGGTTCCAAGTCTTGGCTATTGTAAATCATACAAAATCAGCATTCCCAAATGCTTTCACCTAATGACATTCGCTCGTGTTTTACTTTCAGCCAGAATTCTGTGGCCAACTCCTAATTTTTCTCCATTGACTATTTTCTTCTTATTTTTCCATGTGGTAATGAAACTTCCTTTAATTTAATAAATTGAAAAAAATTATTTTAGGATCTCACTCTGTCATCCAGGCTGGAGTACAGTAGTGTGATCATAGCTCACTGCAGCCTCAAACTCCTGGGGTCAATGGATTCTCCTGCCTCAGCCTCTCAAGTAGCTGGGATTACAGGCATGTGCCACCATACCTAGCTAAGATTTTTTTTCCAGAGATGGAGTCTTGCTGTGTTGCCAAGGTTGGTCTTGAACTCTTAGCCTCAAGTGATCTCACCTCAGCCTCCCAAAGCACTGGGATTAGAGTTGTAAGCCACAGCAACTGACCTCCCTTTAATTTTAGTTAGACATGGCCACACAGGTAAAGACTACCTTTCCTTCTACCTCCTCTAGCATGGCACCTAATATACATATGACACTAATATCCACCGTGCTCTGCTCAGCTACTCAGGAAATTACGTATTTATTCTGGATCCTGAGACAGAAGATGGATTTTGCTCTCTGGATCTGTCAGTTCCCAGTCAGAGGACATTGTGAATCTCAGTAAATTATCTTGAGCTCAGGATCCCTGTCTTAAAGTGTGGCAGCTAGACCAGATGACTTATGACTTGCCTTCACAAAGTGGCTGATTTCTAATATCTCTTCAAGCTTTAAAATTCTGTGACCCTGTAGAGCACAGAGAGCCTGTGTTTAAATTTTTCCAAAGTAGTCTATCTATATATGTAATTTCATTTACTATCTTTGGTTAATTTTGGCAAATCTTGATTCAGTGCCTATTGTAAGTATGAAACTATTTTATATGTTACATGTAGACATATGCCTCCTTTAAGAAGTTCATTAAGGGTGGAAAGTCTGTCCTATGTTTTGTAGTTCTTATAGCATCCAGCAACACAACTCATTAAATACTTGCCAAACTCTGTTTAATTCATGATAAGAAAATAAACCTTTGTCTCCCTGATACAGAGTAGAAGTTGCACATGAAAGTTAAGCTGTGTTAGTTCTCACTCATAAGTGGGAATTGAACAATGGGAACACATGGACACAGGGAGGGAAACATCATACACGGAGGCCTGTCGGGGGTGGGAGCAAGGGGAGGGAGTACATTAGGACAAATACCTAATGCATGCAGGGCTTAAAACCTAGATGAGGGGTGGGTGGGTGCAGTAAACCACTATGGCACATGTATACCTATGTAACAAACCTGCATTCTCTGCACATGTATCCCAGAACTTAAAGTAAAAAAAAAAAAAAAAAAATAGCCAGGCATGGTGGCTTACACCTGTAATCCCAGCACTTTGGGAGGCCGAGGTGGGTGGATCACAAGGTCTGGAGTTTGAGACCAGTCTAGCCAATATGGTGAAACCCCATCTCTACTAAAAAATACAAAAATTAGCCAGGTGTAGTGGTGGGCACCTTTAGTCCCAGCTACTTGGGAGGCTGAGGCAGGAGAAATGCTTGAATCCAGGAGGCGGAGGTTGCAGTGAGCCAAGATCAAGTCACTGCACTCCAGCCTGGGTGACACAGCGAGACTCCATCTCAAAAAAAAAAAAAAAAAAAAAAAAGAAATATTTCTATTTTCTCCTGGAAAAAATAAAGTCAAGCTGTGAATTCTAAGAAACATTGCATGAAAGTTTTAAATAACTGAAGTTTTATTAATAATATTCTGCATAATGGTTCTAATTAAGTCTCCTTGTAGCCTAAAATGAGTTTAATGTGGTTTCTAAGAAATGATAATATTAACACCATGGGTTGTAATATGTCATTTTATGTAATATTAAAATAGAAAAAGTTTCCAGAAAAAACTATGCTGTGCCATTGGCTATAAGAAGTATCTTGATTTTGGAGAGATAATAATATTAAAAACATGTCTTTATCACAAAAATATGTGATAAGTTACTGAAGTAATAGATACTAATAACCACAGCAGCAATGTGGTTATACTTTGTTAGATTAGGTAGAATAAATGCCTTATATGCATGACCTCATTTATATATCAGATTGATGCTGTTATTATTCCTGTTTTAGAGAAACATACTAATTTTCCCAAGATCGAATGTCTAACAAGTGGTAGATCCAGGAGATGAACCCATCTCTACCGACTCTATTGAATGACTTCTTAGCAACTGCATTAAGATCTAGGTGTTGTGTAGTTTCTTCAGAAGCAGGCACTTCTAACTGGAGAAATTATTGGGCTTGGATTCTAAGTTTACTAGCATTTATACATCTTAAACATTGGTTAATTACACTGAAGTCTCAAGAGGATCCTATTCCACTCATTTTTCTTATTTCCATGGATTATAATGTTTCTGTTACTAAATTGGCTTGTTTTCTTTCATTCTTGTAAACAATATGCCAGGGAGATGCAGTATTAACTGTGGGATGAAGTTCAAGTGTTGTAGGGATTGCCCATACAAAGTATATTTCTGTGGTTGTTAAGCAATGTGTAAAAGATTTACATCAGGGCTTCTGTACAGATGAAGATGAATAAAAATCCCACAATTTCACATTCTTGGAGAAATGAAATATAATTGGTGTGCTATATTAAAATAGCTAACAATTAGATCTTTCGGTTTTTGATCAAGGACATGGCTTTGTTTACAAATCAAAGACTGCAGGATTTTTTCCCCAGAGGGAGGAGAAGACAAATTTGTGTTGTCAATTCTATCTGGGTGCTGATTATTTAGTTTTCTGCTTCTCCCTTTCCTGGGGTGAAGCCCCATAGCACATTTGAGATCTTTAGTACCCTGACAATGCACAACTTGAAAAAGGAAAGATGCATCCAAAGTCACATAATTTCAGCTCGTTAGCATGTCTCGAAGAGTTTAGATGAATGGAAATGAAAAGCATGTGAGCATGAGCAGACTACACAGGTCTTCTACATGAGTCCCTAAGGTTGGTCATCAGCAAGCCAAGATGGTAGAATTTGTCATTTATTCGCTAGGTGACCTTTGATCACATATGAATGTAGCAACCTCACAAAGTTTGTGTGAGGATCAAAAATACATTTGCATTTTATAAACTGGAAAGTGTCTTATACATTTCAGAGCACCTTATAGAGAAGAATTTTCATTCCCACTAACCATTATCAACCTATGATTTGTCTGTCCAGCTTATTTCCAGTGTCAACGTCACCTAGAATGAATCAGGGTACTTTAGGGTAATGTTTTTCAAATGATTATGATACAAGATCATTTTAAAAAATCATGCATTGTTGACAGATAATTTGATAAATACAGAAAAATTACTGTAGAAAATGTTAGAGAAAAACAAAGATATGCAAAATACGAATTCTCATTGTCATTAAATTCAATGGACATAAAATTAGTGGGTCGAATTGCTATAAGAGATTCTAAAGCCTTCATCCACATGACTGAACTTATTTCATTTTATATTGGTTATCAATATTTCAGGATCCAGTGCTGTTCTGTGACCAAACTTTGAGTAGCACTGGATGGGGGAGTACATGATATGGTACTTACGGGATGACAAGACTCTGCAAGACTTGGGCCCTGCTTACTCTCAACACTGAACTTCTCACAGTTCTTTGAGGGTGTCACCCTCATTCCCTACATCAAGATCACCAAGAGTTTATTTTGCTACTCCCTCTGCCTGGCATGATTGTACCACCCCTCTTTGCATGGATAATACCATTTTATCCTTTAAATTTCAGATTAAGCTTTTCTTTCTCAGGAAAGTCTGGCTTGAACCCTCAGACTCAGTTATGTTACTTTGTTATAGGTCTTCATTACATCTTGAATTTCCTTTACCTGTGTATGCCATTTGTAATAACTTGTTGCCGGTTACCAACCACATACTGAAACCTCTGGGATAAGGACTGTATGAATGCATATCAATTTCAGAATCCCCAGCACTAGCAACTGCTCACCACACAGTAAGAACTCAACAGATACTGTTGGCTGATGGACTACTTTTCTGAGCTTGATAAATCTAAGAGTTGTTTACACAAAATAATTCTCTTTAAAAATAGTTAATATTTGCCCCCTTCCCTAACAGAGGTAGGTATGTCATTTTTAGCATTGTCAAAAACAGAACAAAATCTCAGGTTCATGCAGTGAATAATATAGAACAGTCATAGGTATTTTTAATATAGTCGTGACAACTATTCATTGAAGTACAACTTTAAAAAATCAATTGGTAAAAGATTTTATGTCATTTTCATGTAAGCAGTCGAAATTTTCTTGACAGAGCAATATACTGTGGGAATGACTTTTACTGTTATTTGGTATCTATTTTGCATCAACGTGGTATTAATGGTAAGAAGCCAGGAGGTTCAGTTTCGTGAGAGTACTGCTATTTATATAATCACAGATGAACCTCGGAAACCTAATTTTATATCTGTTAAATATCTATTCCAAAAAAATTATATATAGTAGCTTTATATTTACTCAAACAGGCAAATATTTCTATCCATGACTTTAAATTCCCATATAACACATATACATACCTTGATGCGGTTGGCTTAGGACAGTAGTTCATCATTTGCTTTGTATCCTAATAGATAAAAAGTATCTATTAATTTGTAATTTAAATCCATTAGTTAACCTATATGATCATTTCCCCAATTTTTCTTTTCTGTTAAATTTCCTGTCCATCAATTTTTCATCATTTATCCATTTACCAATCTATATTTATATGTGTGGAAAAAACCTATAAGAAATATGCTAAGCATTTTGCATAGTTTTTCTTTCTGTAGTTTAGAAGTGAGATATTTGGTGAATTGTGTATAAGTGAGTGATTATCTTCAACTTCATATTTATATACTTTAAAATCAAGCAGACTTCTATTGCATAAAATGTAAGTAGCTACAGAAAAATCAGGTACACTAAATATATAAATTATTATATGTATTTATATATTTATAAGGTATTAAGGAACTGAATAATTAAGGAAGATTAAATAAAGTAAAAGTAGTTTACTAAATAAGTAAAAATAGTTTACTATTGCTGTGTAACAAATTACTATCTTCTCCTTAGTGGTGTGAAACAACACCCATTAATAAGTCATAGTTTTATAGTTCAGAAGTCTGTGCCCAGCATGGCAAACTTCTTTGCTTGGGGTCTTACAAGACTAAAATCAGATTGTCAACTGGGGCTGTACTTCTTATGTGGGGCTTGGAATACTTTAACAGTCTCATTGGCTGTTCTGAGAATTAATTTTCTTGTGTTTGTAGAATGCAGGTCCTAGTTTTTCTGTAGCTGTTGGCTGGAAACCACTTTCACCTCCTTGAGGCATACCTGTCTGTTGGCTGTTTACAACATGGGTTTTTCCTGTTTTCCAGGTGTGGCCAAGTACTTGTCTCTGACTTTCCCTTCTGCAGCCAGCCAGGGAAAACTGTGCTTTTAAAGGACTCATGCGATTACATAAGGCCCACCTGGGTAGTCTCCCTTTCTCAAAGTTAACCATGCGATATAACATAACCTATGTATCAGTTCGTTTTCACACTGCTATGAAGAACTAACTTAGAGTAATTTATATAAAAAAAAGATTAATTGACTCACAGTTCTGCATAGCTGGGAGGCCTTAGGAAACTTACTATCATGGCAAAAGGCAAAGGAGAAGCAAGGCACGTTTTACATTGCAGGAGAAAGAGTGAAGGGGAAGTGGCACACACTTTCAAACAACCAGATTTCATGAGAACTCACTCACTATTGTGACAATAGCAAGGGGGAAGTCCGCCCCCATGATTCCATCACCTCTCACCAGGCCCCTCCCCTCATACATGAGGATTACAATTTGGGATGAGATTTGGGTGGGAACGTAGAGCCAAACCATATCAACCTAGTCCCAGGAGTAAAATCCTACATAATTAAGGGCCCAGAGATAGGCAAGACATGTGTACCAGGGGTAGGAAAGCTTGGAGGCCATCTTAAAATTCTACCTACCACAACTTCCAATGAGAGAAGACTTTCATATGAAAACTAACAATAACCAACTATTTTTACTTGTGGGAATCTGCTGTTTCTGAATTTTCAGTAAGTATAGTCTTGGTCCATGAAGAGGATTTATCATGGAATAGAGAAACCAGCAAGAGGCTGGCTTGATGAATGAGAAACTAAAGGAGAACCAAACATAGGACCAGTTATCTCTGCAAGATGTTTTCTGAGTTTTGGGTAGCTGGGGCACAGAAAAGCAGAGTAAAATCTGCTGTTGTGTCTTAATACTTAGGAAACAAAGTTCCTATAGAGGGTGAGACTTTCCTTAAACGAAAAGTTTGCATATTTTGACGCCCACATAGAGTAGGAGATAAAGGGCTAAGCTCCAATCTCTAAAGGCAATCTTGTCATTTTAGAACTGAGAAGATAGAGACATGCCAGGTTCACAAACAAAAGCACCACCACACCTGAGGAACAGAGACATACCAGTGTTGGACTAAGTCTTACTAAAATGACAGCCCACCCCAACCCAGCTCAATCCTTTAATGGATTAAAGTGACCACCCCCTCTCCTCTCTGCTTAATAGAGGAGAGTTGAACTACTAGTTGGTGGAAGGTAACATAAATCTCTGATTCATTTATATATAATACATGGCATTTAATTTTTATACATGAAAAGAGAGATGTAAATGTGAGTATCAAGAAATAACACAGGCTGGGCTTGGTGGCTCATGCCTGTAATCCCGGCACTTTGGGAGGCTGAGGCAGGCAGATCACCTGAGCTCAGGAGTTCTAGACCAGCCTGACCAACATGGCAAAACCCCATCTTTACTAAAAATACAAAATTAGCCGGGTGTATTGGCACATGCCTGTAATGCCAGCTACTCTGGAGGCTGAGGCAGGAGAATCACTTGAACCTGGGAGGCAGAGGTTGCAGTGAGCAGAGATGGCACCATTGCACTCCAGCCTGGGCAACAAGAGCGAAACCCTGTCTCAAAAAAAAAAAAGAAAAAGAAAAAAAGAGAAAAGAAATAACACAAACCTTGGATGCCCACAAATGAAACTGATATTAGAGTTAGCCAAAGAATTTAAAATAACGATGATTAATATGGTAAATAAAAGCATAGAAAAGAGGGACAAAATGAATGAAAAGGTAAGCAATGTAAACACATTTCATGAATATAAAATTATTTGAGATATTTCACATTCTTATTTCATACTGAGTCTTCTAAATTCAGTGTGTATTTTGCACTTAGCTTGCATCTCACTTTGGACTAGCCGTGTTTCAAGTACTCTGTAATCTCGCATGACTAGTGGACAGTACCATTGTAGTCAAATACATAAGGTAGGAGAGGAAAATATTTCTTAAGGTGCCAAAAGCTCAATCAAAATAAGATTGATAAATTGGAGCTCATCAAATTGAGAACTGTTGATCAAACGTAGCATTAAGAGGGTGAAAATGCAAGCCACAAAGCTGGATAATATTCCCAATACAAAAGACTTGTATTCAGAATCTATAAAGGCCTCTGAGAGATCACTGAAAAAAATTAAACAATAATAGAATGAGTGAACTGTGGGCATAGATAATTTGTATGTGTGTGTGTGTATTTTTTTAACTAAAATATGATTTTAGATTTTTGCCTCAAAAATATATTTATAAGGGCATTTTACTTATTACATTTTTCTAGGAAATAGTTTTAGATTCATTATTTTGATATTTATCATATCAAATTTTTTGATGTATGATGTGGTACATATGGTACATGTGGTCTTATTTTATATTTACTAGACATAAATATATATTTATGTCTATTTGCATATTTCTAGTTATCTCAATATATACTTTTCATAAATGTAAAATATGACTATGTTATAAAATCATTATAATATATTTATGCATGATCATTTTCAACCTAATTAAATTATTTAATGGTATTATGGATTGCATAGTTTAATAGTTAAAGAAAAAGTTTTGTATTCCCTAGTGGTGCATTCACTTTTAAAGTGACAGCAACCATTTTAATCTTACAGATAAAAGTTGGGAAGTGATAGAGAAAGCATACTGCAAACAGTCAATTGAAACTAAGAAAATAACCACTGGAGGGATAGTCCAAAATAGAATTTTGCTATTTTTATTTTTTAAAAAAACACATTGCCAAAAAACAAAAAAACCAAGTTTTCCTCTGAATAATATTCAAAATAAGAAGATTCATGTGATTTTGAGTGTGAGGTTATCTTAGCAACATCAAATAAAATGGAGACAATTGAATTTCACCCAGTAACAAATATCACTGGTCCCTAAGAATACTGCACTCAAGAAGATGGAAGTTTTATAAAGCTCTATAAAGTTCTGTAAAGCATTCAGGGAAAATAAAGTGCTATGAACTGCAAACAGAATGGTACGTGTTAATTGCGAGATGATTCAGTAAGTAGTGTTTAAAATACATTTTGGAATTTTGAAGGCTTACATATGGTTTTGCCATAAAGACCATTTTTTGGATGACCTCGTTAATCTGGTATTTTGGTACCTGGTACTAAGAAACTTGAGCCTAGATGAAGCAAGAAAAATAGCAGTGTTTTGTATTATCAACCAGGTAAGATTTTTATGGTAGGAAAAAGTGACCTGATGAATTGGTGTGAAGAAAGTCAGATCCCAGTTCTATACGTAATTAGTCGTGTGAACTTGGGCAAGCCGTACATGTTTATTTACATGGAAAAACTGAAATCACATGCAAACAGATGACAAAAATTTTACATTTCTTCTCATTTGTAATTTTCACACTGAATGTTATCTTATTAAAACCTACAATAATCTTTCCACTGAATCTACAAACCAAGAAATTTTTTTTTTGCTCTAACAAGCCTAATACTGGTGAATTTTACATTTTACAAAATTCTTGTATATCTTGTCTCACTAGATTATTCTAACAAGCCAGGGATTTAGGAAGGCATGAGATAATGAACAGTTTACACATATTTATGAGCAACATGAGCTAAGCTACGTCATAACTAGACCAAATCCGTGTTTGAATACACCACTTTAAAAATGGAGTTTTGTTATTCTGGTTAGAATTTAATTTAGTCAAATGATGCAAAACAAAACCTATATTCATATCACATGGGCTCATCTGTATTCAAACTACCTTTTTCAGATCACAAATATCAGCAGGGATAAATATGTAAGAATAGTTCCAGGAGTAATGGAATTATGCCTTGCTGTTTGGCACTGTTGGAAACTCCATCAGAAGTACAGGCTCCGGGCAAGGAGGAAGAAAGCTTTTTTCACATGGGGAGAATAATGATAATTGGAGTAAGGAGGTTCTCATTACTTCCTACAGACTGTATGCCGGAGTTTCACTCAAGTGAACAATGAACCTGCTTATATTTTTTATGGCATGTGAACCCCTTGACCTACTTGTTAGAGAGCTGGGATCAAGAAGGACTTCTGAAAGCCCAAGGGGAATACAGAAATGTTAGACAGGCTTCCTTTTTAGTTCTATCAGTCATGCTCCATGTGACCGGTCTCCTACTCTTTAAGTTAACTGTTTCTTGATTTGTTATCCTGGCATTCACAACCTTGAACCAGTCCTGGAAGTCTAATGTAACTTGGAATTTGTGCTTATTGGAAAATTTCTTATTCTAAAAAAAAAAATTCCCTTCATGTCCCATGTTTAGTTTCTTTTGCTATATCTTCCACCTGTAATGATCTTCTCCCGCCCCAACTGTCATCTGTTAAAATTCTATCTTATTTTCATGGCCCAGTAACAGTCAGTTCTTTTAAAATCCTAACCAGATTCCACAAGTGAATTTGATAGTTCATATAGCAGTGTTTGTAGCTCTCTTGCAACACTTGTCTTCTGCCTTGTTTAGATATACTGCCTTATTCCCCTGCTCCCTAACTTGATTGCATATTCCTTGAAACCTGGGATTGTGTCTCATCTGCCATTTTACCCTAAATTTCTTCCGTTTTTTTTTTCATTTTTTTGTTTGTTTTCATATAAAGTGGGTATTTGATATTTACCTCCTAATGAATGCCTGTTGTCTAAGCATTCAAATTTGGGCCTACTAAAATCAAGAAGATGATTAAAGATTAAAATGCATTCTCTTTCTTTAGAATTAGCTTTTTCTTCTATATATTTATGCAACATGGAAACTTTTCCAGCAAAACCAGCTCTAGCATCTATATTTTCTTCCTCAAGTGAAATCAAAATAAAAAACTCAGTTTTTCTTAAACTCATTTTCTATTATTGTGCTCCTTAGCTGATTTAATAGCTTTTATGGAATTTAATAATATATGAGTTCGCTTTTCCTTTTCTCAGCTTAAATCTATGGCTCACTAAGCAATTTAATGTATGGGCGGGCCATATTTATGACTCCCCCACCCCAAGTAGAAGAGAAGCAGAGGTGACTAAAATAAATCCTTAATATACGTTTGGAGCTGACTTCCTCATGATTGGCCTTACCAGCTATGCCATAAAGATTATAGTTGCCAAAACACAATCAAGCAAATAAATAGGACAGAACTCCATCTCATGTAAGGGAGGTCTTGCATATTTTATTTCACAATGTGGTTATCTGTGATTTATAACCTTCCATTTTTCATTCAGACAAAGTTGCATGTATTCCATGAGGTTATAAACTTTCATTTTTTTGATGCATAGTTCAATCAGCATTATTTACTACAGACAACAACACTTGAGGGACATGTAAATTTTGCTTTATCTTCACTGGCATAATAAATGATTTATCAAGCACACAATAAAAGGGGGAAGCACTCTAGCTATGTACAGTTGTTTGGATATTACTTTTTCTTCCCATAATAAATCTCTGGTTTATGATAACCTGTGCATAAACCTGGTAAGCCAGTACACTTTGACACCATGCTGATTCTATATATGCAAGGATTGCCTGCCACACTGTCGATACATACCTTCAATACTCTGATGAAATAATTGCAATTATTTCAATTCAATGGGTCTTGATAATCTGGGACCAATAATTTGGAAACATCAACTGAGAAAAGCTGATATCCACATGATTTAACGCCTCCATTGTGTTCAAAAGAAAAAGTAAAATAATTTTAGGCTTAGGGTGACAGTGTTGCCCAAGGTCAGTAATATTCCATATGTACCTATGATATAGAACTTCAATTATTGTCTAGATGTTTCATTGTTTTTTGGATCAGGTATGAATTGATAGGCTACTTATCCTTGTGAATTTGGCTAATAATTATACTAACAATAAAAACTATTTATTGAATGACTATTACTGTGCCAGTTTAAGATTAAGGATCATTTTGCTGTAAGAACTTTCTATGTTGAAACTGATTCATCCTGGCTCTTGAGGGCTGATTCTGTGCATCTCTTCCCAAGTCCTCATTCATTGATGTTACGTTGCTAGCTTGAAAATGGCCATTGTGTGAGTATTACACCATGGAACTGACAAATGCTGCAGATCATGGCTTTTCAAATTTTTGGTTTAACAGCACATGATTATATCCTTTGGTGGTATTATTTTCATTTCCTCAATGGAGTAATTAAGGCTCAAAGAGTTTATATATAAGTTTTGTTTACAGTTGAGGCTAACGGTATGTACATTTTAGGCCGAGGGTTTGAATCCTGGTCTATTATATTCCAGAAGCCATGCTCTTCCCATTATGAGTAACTCGCTGAGGCTGCATACGTACTCAACCAGGTTTAATTGTTGTGAATAAACTCTTCAATAAATTCAGCTTCCTTAATATTTTGGCTATATTGAATTTTTTGTAAATGTAAATAACCAATTATCTTAGTAGAGGTTTTGTATAATCAACTAGTTTGTTTTCAACAAAGTGTGTTTTTTTATGGGAATGATGACTGCTAGGATGAAATATTGGCACCTTTTTCTCTGAGTGATACTGACACATCAGTACTGATAATTTAGCCTTCACATTCCAACTGGCAAATTTAGCAAGAATCACAATGGGATGGAATGGCAGGAAGAAAAGATAGGTGGGAAAGGAACTTAAAAATGTGTAAGGATATCAGGAACAACATAACTTTTTAAAAAAAGCACAATAAGAGTAAATTTCAAAGTCATAGTGGTTTTTCCTTCAATGAATTATCAACAGTAAAAAGAAAAGATCAGTAGTTTTTCTCTCCACAAGCAGGGTACAATTCCATGTCTGTCTTCGTAGTGATCCAGAACTGTTTTTAAATTCAAACCATTTTACTTGTTTGACTGCTTGTCTTGTTTCTGTAATCTGCTGTTATGGAAATGACTGAGACGTCAAAACATTGTTCAGTATGATCCCACAGGGGAGAGGAGGTTCTAGGAGAAAAACTCTGAAAGAGGTTTAGAGACAAACTGAAAACAAATTTGGACTTTGCACTTAAAAATCAAAACACATTTTTTGCTTGGCTGTGCTTTTATTTTTTCAAACCACTTTCTCCCCTGTGGATGCTTAATTCTCTAGTTGGTGAAAGGGCCATGAAGCCCATTTTCAGTTGTTTACCGTACACTTGAGAACCCAAATAAGTCAATGACACCATTTTGTGCTTGCACACCAGCAGGAGTTTAACGATTTTGAATGAACTGACAAGCTAATATAAATGAAATGAATCAAACCAGTTATTACTTTTAATGGTAAAGCCGTAGTTACTTTTGCACCAACCTAATTATTTGGAATAATGGACAGGCTAAATGACTGTTTAAAGACATTTGCACTTAAACCAGGAAGAAGTTGAATCCCTGAATAGACTAGTAACAGGCTCTAAAATTGAGGGAATAATTAATAGCCTACCAACCAAAAAAAAGGCTAGGACCAGGCAGATTCATAGCTGAATTCTACCAGAGTACAAGGAGGAGCTGGTACCATTCCTTCTGAAACTATTCCAATCAATAGAAAAAGAGGGAAACCTCCCTAACTCATTTTATGAAGCCAGCATCATCCTGATACCAAAGCCTGGCAGAGACACAACAAAAAAAAAGAGAATTTTAGACCAGTATCCCTGATGAACATCAATGCAAAAATACTCAATAAAATACTGGCAAACCGAATCCAGCAGCACATCAAAAAGCTTATCCGCCATGATCAAGTGGGCTTCATCCCTGGGATGCAAGGCTGGTTCAACATACACAAATCAATAAATGTAATCCAGCGTATAAACAGAACCAAAGACAAAAAACACATGATTATCTCAATAGATGCAGAAAAGGCCTTTGACAAAATTCAACAGCCCTTCATCCTAAAAGCTCTCCATAAATTAGGTATTGATGGGATGTATCTCAAAATAATAAGAGCTATCAATGACAAACCCATAGCCAATATCATACTGAATGGGCAAAAACTGGAAGCATTCCCTTTGAAAACTGGCACAAGACAGGTATGCCCTCTCTCACCACTCCTATTCAACATAGTGTTGGTAGTTCTGGCCAGGGAAATCAGGCAGGAGAAAGAAATAAAGGGTATTCAATTAGGAAAATAGGAAGTCAAATTGTCCCTGTTGACAGATGACATGATTGTATATTTAGAAAACCCCATTGTCTCAGCCCAAAATCTCCTTAAGCTGATAAGCAACTTCAGCAAAGTCTCAGGAAACACAATCAATGTGCAAAAATCACAACCATTCCTATACACCAATAACAGACAGAGAGCCAAATCATGAGTGAACTCCCATTCACAATTGCTTCAAAGAGAATAAAATACTTAGGAATCCACCTTACAAGTGATGTGAAGGACCTCTTCAAGGAGAACTACAAAGCACTGCTCAACGAAATAAAAGAGGACACAAACAAATGGAAGAGCATTCCATGCTCATGGATAGGAAGAATCAGTATTGTGAAAATGGCCATACTGCCCAAGGTAATTTATAGATTTAATGCCATGCCCATCAAGCTACCAATGACTTTCTTCACAGAATTGGAAAAAACTACTTTAAAGTTCATATGGAACCAAAAAAGAGCCCGCATTGCCAAGACAATACTAAACCAAGAGAACAAAGCTGGAGGCATCACACTACCTGACTTCAAACTATACTACAAGGCTACCGTAACCAAAACAGCATGATACTGGTACCAAAACAGAGATATAGACCAATGGAACAGAACAGAGCCCTCAGAAATAATACTACACATCTACAACCATCTGATCTTTGACAAACCTGACAAAAACAAGAAATGGGGAAAGGATTCCCTATTTAATAAATGGTGCTGGGAAAACTGGCTAGCCATATGTAGAAAGCTGAAACTGGATCCCTTCCTTACACCTTATACAAAAATTAATTCAAGATAGATTAAAGACTTAAATGTTAGACCTAAAACCATAAAAACCCTAGAAGAAAACCTAGGCAATACCATTCAGGGCATAGGCATGGGCAAGGACTTCATGTCTAAAACACCAAAAGCAATGGCAACAAAAGCCAAAATTGACAAATGAGATCTAATTAAACTAAAGAGCTTCTGCACAGCAAAAGAACCTACCATCAGAGTGAATAGGCAACCTACAGAATGGGAGAAAATTTTTGCAATCTACCCATCTGACAAAGGGGTAATATCTAGAATCTACAAAGAACTCAAACATATTTAAAAGAAAAAACCCCATCAAAAAGTGGGCGAAGGGTATGAACAGACACTTCTCAAAAGAAGACATTTATACAGCCAACAGACATGTGAAAAAATGCTCATCATCACTGGCCATCAGAGAAATGCAAATCAAAACCACAATGAGATACCATCTCACACCAGTTAGAATGGCAATCATTAAAAAGTCAGGAAACAACAGGTGCTGGAGAGGATGTGGAGAAATAGGAACACTTTTACACTGTTGGTGGGACTGTAAACTAGTTCAACCATTGTGGAAGACAGTGTGGCGATTCCTCAAGGATCTAGAACTAGAAATACCATTTGACCCAGCCATCCCATTACTGGGTATATACCCAAAGGATTATAAATCATGCTGCTATAAAGACACATGCACACGTATGTATATTGCGGCATTATTCACAATAGCAAAGACTTGGAACCAACCCAAATGTCCATCAATGATAGACTGGATTAACAAATGCGGCACATATACACCATGGAATACTGTGCAGCCGTGAAAACGGATGAGTTCATGTCCTTTGTAGGGACATGGATGAAGCTGGAAACCATCATTCTCAGCAAACTATTGCAAGGACAAAAACCAAACAGCGCATCTTCTCACTCACAGGTGGGAATTGAACAATGAGAACACTTGCACACAGGAAGGGAAACATCACATACTGGGGCCTGTCGTGGGGTGGGGGGAGGGGGGAGGGATAGCATTAGGAGATATACGTAATGTAAATGACGAGTTAATGGGTGCAGCACACCAACATGGCACATGTATACATATGTAACAAACCTGCACATTGTGCACATGTACCCTAGAACTTAAAGTATAATAAAAGAAAAAAGAAGAAAAGAAAAATGTTTGCACTGTGTCAATATCTTTCCATTTTTTTGTGAATGTCGATATGTACTGCAAAGGTCAGCTTTTCATCAAGTGTGCATCTATTGTCCTGAAATGTTTATTTCAAAGCTCAAATGACTAGCTCCAATTTTAATATATGCTTTAAAATAAAAAGTGTGAGCTTCAAACACCATAATAAAAAATTTGTTCATGTAAATAAATGCATTTGTTCTCCTTTGTCTTAAGGTTTAAGGGAATAATTGCATTACCACTTTCAACTTGCCATTGTCTGGCTTTTGAAAATATTGGTCAAGTTAGTTCTTCGTACATAATAGACCTAACCATTGACCAAAAGATAATCTTTCATTCCAAAATATATTAGAATTAAGGAAGATAAATTTACTACCATGTTAAACATTTGAGAAAGCTGGGTTATTTGGTGGGTGGTTTGCATGGTGGAAGAGAGAAGAAAATTTACTTTCTCCTTTTTCATCCTGAGCTTGAGCACTGCTGGTATCCCCTGTTTGAAGAGAAGAAAGATTAACAGGGAGCTGAGGCAACATTTTCTGGGGTGCAGTCATCAGTTTGCCACACACCTTTTAGAAGGGTCGAGCTTGACATGCCCAAGTCTTTGGGAGCAGCGTCGTCTTCTGGGGATCCTATCAGATGTGCAGCAGCCACTAATCTGGCAGTGCCACTAATCTGTCAGGGTGGTCTGTGACATGATAAAACAAAGTCATCTGGAGTTGAGTTTCCCAGTGGTGGGGACCATGTCAGTGTTATTTAGGAATGTACACCTGGCAGCTAGCATACTGCATTGGCGTTTAGTAGTTTCACAATAAATGCTTGTGTAATGAGGTTAGTTGAGGTTACATTCACTTATCTATAAAATGGGAGTGGAGCCAAATGTGACTCAAAATGAGGTTGTTGAGAAGAAACAAGTGATGTATGTGGAAGTGTTTTAAAACGTTAAGTTATTCTCACATATAATATATTGGTCACTTTACCAGTATAATTCCTTTTCTAATATTTTATGACATAAAATACATAACATATGTACATCTTCACTTGGAGACAGTTTGTTAAAGCAGGTGTTCGAAAGGTTTAACATCAAAATAAAAATGCATATTTCAACACCAGGCAATTTTTTTCAATTTTGGATATTCCTCATGCAAATTTGGTGGTTAATTTTGAAAAATGGAATTATTTCTGTAATACTATGAGCTTGCAGGCACTATTACCTTAGGCATTTCAAACTTATTTCTAGATAATTAGAGTGTTCTATTATTTAACTGTATCATGTTACTGCTCCCTTTGCTGAAACAATGTTCTGTGGTCTTACACCCTGAAATTCTCCAGGTAATGTTTAAATTTGCATCTTTGCATATTTTATATTGAAGCTGTCTCTGTAAATGTTGGGTCCTCATGTAATTCCTCCATGTCTTTCTTAGCTTAGTCAACTCTAAATAGGCCCTTACATCTTCCTGCTCCAGTCCCTAAAAAGGGAATCAATCATAGGCTTAATGTTGATGGCCTGATTTGATAAGCTATAACTTCAGTTATGCAATTAACAGTCCATTTTTTACTATAGACAATTTATCATAAAATAGAGACAGATTGTATTTGCTCCTTGCAATTATTATGTTATTGCGATATACTAGGAATCTCCAAAAACTAGTTTTTAAATTGTGCCACGATATTAAATATTCTTTTTGAGAAAATGATTTTATTTAAAATAGTAATGAACCCTTCTTTAAAAAGATAGAACAGATGTATTTTGAAATGCATAGTATTATGTGTGGAAAGAGAAGAAAAAGAACTAATGTTTATTAACATCTATGTGCTATGCACTGTGATAGGGAATTTACGTGTATTATAATCCTTGCAGCAGGATTATCCCAGCTTACAAATAGGAAAATGATTCTCAGAGAGTTTAAAGTAATACAGTTGATACCACAGTTATTAAGTGGTGGGAAGCATGTATATTTTTAAAATAAACTTTTAATTTTTGAATGGTTTTATATTTACAGAAAAGTTGTGAAAATCCATATACCCCACACCGAGGTTCCCCTATTTTTAACATCTTATATTAGTGTGGTACATTTGTCAACTCATGCACCAGTATTGAGGCACCAATAATCTTGGTGAAACTAATGCACCAATATCTTGGCTGTGACAGTTTCTCAGTCTTTCCTTGATTTTGATGACCTTGACAGTTTTGAGAAGTGCTGGTCAAGCATTGCATAGAATGACCTTCAATTTTGATTTAGCTAATGTTTTTCTTGTGGTTACATTGATGTTACTGTTTTATAGAGGAGTACTACAGAGGTAAAATGCCGTCTTCATCATATCACATTAGGGTATGTGCTATCAACATGACTTATCATTGTTAATGGTCAAGTTCATCATCGACTTGAACTTGATCACCTGGCTGAAGTAGTGTTTATCAGATTTCTTCCTTGTAAAGTTACTCTTCCAAGCCCTGTTTTCCATATTGTTCACTCTGGAATGAAGTCACTATACTCAAGCTGTACATAAAGGGTGGGGAGTTCTGCATCACCCCCTTGATGAGAGTTACACATAAAGCATTTGGGATTCTTCCGTATGGGAGAGGCGCCTTGTCTTCCCTATTTATTTGTTTATGCAATCATTTGTTTGTATCAGCATGGGCTTACAGATATTTTATACTTTGGGTTATAAAATAATGCCACATTATTTATTCTGTTGCTCAAATTGTCCCAGCTTTGGCCACTGGGATTTCTTTAGGTTGATTCCTGTGTCCCTTTGTTGTGTGTGTGCTTTAGTATTTCCTTGCTTTCTAGCACTACAAAAAACCTCCAGGTTCAGATTATATAGTCCATGTTCTGGCCCTAGAATCAGACATTTCTTCAAAGAGCCCTAGTCCCTTTAATTGATATTAGAAACAAAAACTTTAGGTTCATTGTTGCTGCTAGGGTGTGGTAGATTCCAGGCCCTTTCAATTGGCAAGTGTGTGTGTGTGTGTGTGTGTGTGTGTGTGTGTGTGTGTGTGTGTATGTTTCCATCTATACTTATATTAAGTCAATGTGAGTTCATACTGATGTCTCAAACTGATCTAGTATCACATGAATCATTCTAGCCTTCCCCCTTTGCTTCTCTATAGCCTTTCCTTCCAACAATGAGAAATTTATCTCCCACCACCTGCAGGCAATTTACTTAATTGTTCCATTTCAGCATACATGTATACTGGTTTCAGAATAGTTAACCTGAACCCCCATAGGAAACAATTTTACTACCCAGAGTACAGTACTTAAGAAAAGTTTTTTGCTTTTAGTCTTATGGTTTCTACTTATTTACAAAGTTACTTAAGTCAGTATCTTTTCTCCTACCCTCTTCAGTGAGGTTATTCCATACTTTTTTAATACAGTTAATTTTTTTCTGGTCAGTCTGCATTCCATCTTGGAGTCCCCTAGCCCCATAAATAATTTTTTCTTTAAATTTCATTCTTTGTGCTGTAGAGTTCCGTTGATTTTGACAAATGAACTGTTTCCTGTATCCACCATTATGGTATCATAGAGTACATTAATTTTCCTAAAAAATCTGCCTCCCTCGTGCTTAACCTGTTCAACCCTCCCTGTGACCCTGACAAGCACTGATCTGTTTACTTTGTCTACAGTTTTGGCTTTTCCAGAATGTCATATACATTAGACCGTGTAGTGTGTAGCTTTCCAGGCTGACTTGCACTTCACAATCGCGTTAATTCATTATATTTTTGCCTGGCTTGATAACTCATTCCACTGCATGCATAGAGCGTAGTTTGCTTATACATTCTCCTATTGAAGGACATCTTGGTTGCTGCAGTTTTTGGTGATTATAAATAAAGCTGCTATAAATATTGCATGCAGATTTTTGTATATACATAAATTTTCAAGTAGGTTGGATGAATACCTAGGAGTACAGTTGTTGGTAAGTCGATTTCAGCTTTGTAAGAAAATATCAAACCATCTTCCGAATTGCCTTTACCATTTTACATTCCTGCTAGCAATGATTGAGAATTCCTGCTGGTCTGCATGCCTGCCAACAATTGATAGTGTCAGTTTTTTGGATTTTAGCCATAACTTTTTTCTGTTGAGGTGTCTGTTCAGATCTTTTGACCATTTAAAAATTTGGATTGTTTGCTTTTTTATTATTAATTTTTGAGTTCTTTCTATATTTGGGATACAAGTGATTTTTAAATATTTTCTCACATTTGTGACTTGTTTTTATTATCTTTTATGGGCTCTGGATGTTTAATTTTAATAAAGTCCAACTTATGAATTGTTTCTTTCATGAAACCTAACTTTGGTATGGCATCTAAATACACATCACCACCAAGGTCATCAGTTTCTTCTCGAAGCTTTACAGCTTTGCATTATACATTTAAGTCTATGATTCATTTTGAGTTAATTTTTGTAAAAAGTGTATGGTCTGTGTCTAGGTTTTTTTTTTTTTTCATATAGATACCCAATACTTTCAGCAGCTTTTGTTGAAAAGACTGTCCTTTTTCTATCAGATTGCCTTTATGTCTTTGTCAAAGTTCAATTTATTATATTTATGTGGGTCTATTTCTAGGTGTTCTTTCTTCTGCTCTGTTTTTCTATGTGTTTATCTTTCACCAACAGCTTGCCCTGGGGAGGTCAGTCTTTGTTATATTAAAGCCTTCAAGTGATTGGAGGTAGCCCTCCCACATTGTGGACAATCTGCTTTACTCAAAGTCTACCTATTTAAATGTTACTCTCATCCAAAATCACCTTCATGATTACACCTGCTCTCTCTACTTCTTTGAAAGGTTTTCTTTTTTGTTATGAATGGGTTTGAATTTTGTCGAATTCCTTTACTGCATGTGTTGGTATGATTGTATGTTTTTCACTCTGTTAATATGATGAATTACATTGACTGATTTGTAAATGTTCAACCAACCTTACGTTACTTGCATGAACTCTACTTGGTTTTTGTTATCCTTTTAACATATTGCTGAGTTTGATTTGCTAACATTTTGTTCAGGATTTTT
The DNA here is from genome assembly GCF_000001405.40 of Homo sapiens. NCBI lineage: Eukaryota > Metazoa > Chordata > Mammalia > Primates > Hominidae > Homo > Homo sapiens. The sequence goes on along the minus strand of NC_000003.12, from coordinate 1,844,953 downwards.
GTGTCTGTATTCAATAAAGTTATTAGTCTGTAGTTTTCTTGTAATTTTTTTGTTATTGGGGCAATGCTGGCTTTACCAAATGAATTGGGAATTATTATTTCTGCCTGTAGTAAGTGACAGAGCTTGTGTCTTTTAGCTAAAAATGTAAATGTGCTTGTATCCTTCTGCCACTGACTCATTCTCCAAACCTGGTTGACTCATCTCATCTCTAGATAGATTTCTTGCACTGTGAAATTAAGGATTAAGTCTAGATAACCTAAAATGTCTCTTTCAGTTCCAGAAATAGGATATTTATTTTTACATGTAGTAAAAAAAAAAAAAAACCCTCAAATTAAATGACTACTTTATATTTCATAAAATACTTTCCTGGTCATTGTATTATTGTATTCTCCCACCCCTGTTGAATAGAGCAGGTAGTATTTTTCTCTTTACAGATGAAATTACTGAAACCCATAAAAGGTATTTAAGTTTTCTAAAATCACAGTTTCTAAGTAGTGTTGTAAAGATTCAAATTCAAGTTCTTTGGGCCAGCATGCCAAATATCTCCATTTTACAGGTTTAACGCATTGACCAATAAACTCATTCTCCTTACATTCTTCCAAAGATCATTCCTACTCTTTCTTAGAAACTTCCTCCATATCTAGAAGCCAACAAGGGAGCAGAAAGTTCCCAGTAGATCTCTTTTTATAAAAAATGGGATTTGCGCAGAAGCCTACCTATTTTCTTCTTTCTTTCTTTCTTTTTTTTCTGTGATTATTAAAGCTCAGTTTTTTGCTGTAGACAGAACTCAGATTACTATATTAAATTTTTTTTGACGAAATACAGCCTGGCCTAACCAGCAAAAGTATAATTGTTCTGCAGCCCAAATTTCACAATTGGTATGAGATGGATGTAATTAAATAGCAGGGGAGAGAAGGAAGCGCTCTTGGGCCCTGCCACAAGGAAAACCAGAATAAGTTCACAGCTCTCTAAATTTGCCATCACACTGATATCTTTGTCTCCTGTTAGCTACAAAGACTTTGCTAATCATTGCACTCCACAATGATAACAGACTTTTAATAAATGGATCACATCCTGAGACTGTCAAAGGAATCTGTTAATATGATTTTAAAACAGAAGTCAGGTCTAGAGAGTCTCTAACTCCTCACAGAAATGATGTTTGGCTTTTCCATGATAAAAATTTCCCATGCTGATCAAAGTGAGCAAAGTTGTCCTGAGTCTGGGATTTATTTGTCCCTGAGAGGAATCAGGCGTTTTTCCCATAAGTTTTTCAGGATGGTTGTAATTCTGTTGTAATGTTACAAGGGCCCTGGTTATCGTTTGTGGTCGAGATAACTGTACAAAATAGGAGAAAGACATCATAAGGGTTGTGTTAATAGAGGGTTCTGGTTTTACCTGCGTGGGTGGAGATTCACTAAGAAGTAGCAGTTCTTTGCAAGTCAATTATCAGATATTTAGGGTAAAGCACGGAATCTTTCAGAAACTGGGAACACAAGGTTTGTGATGGGAAAGGAGGATGGTGAACATAAAATAACTTGTGAGCACCCAGAGGGGGTGATCTGGAGACTCATAAAACGCTGATCAGACAGCATAAAAGGAAAAGCCGTTTTTGAAAAAGAGAATCCACACTGAGGCCACAAAACTGTGACTAATCAAAATGATCTTCCTTTTATTTGCTTACGTGTGAGACGTGACTCGAATCATAATGACATATAACCACCACCATAAAAACAATTAGCATTATTAAGTGCTGTGTGCTAAGAATTCTCAAAAGCATGTATTAAGGCAGTAATTCTCACACCCTACAAAACAGCTACAAATATTATTTTCACTTTACAGATGAAAAAACTGAAGTTCAGAGAAGTTGAGTGGCCAAATGACATAGAGATAGTAATTGGCAGAGCCAGAGTTCTAGAGGAATCTGCCACATTCAAAATCTCCTTCTCTTCACCTGAGCATTATGCTGCTTCGCTGTCTGATCAAATGTGTCAGATCTGGATGATGATGCTTAATTTATTGAAACCAATGCATGATTAATTTTGTATACCAAATGAGACACAACACGGTAAAGTAGGGAAAACAAAAACAAAAAGAAATAAACATAGGCTTTGGAATCTGGTAAACTGGAATCTCATCTTCTAAATAACTAACCAAAATAGATAACCCAAAGGACGATGTTTTCAAGATACAATAATAAGAACTCATTTGCACAGTTTTGGTGTATGTATTAGTTTTCTATTGCTGATGTAACAAATTACCACATACACAGTAGCCTAAGGCAGCACAGTTTTATCATGTTATCGTTTTGTAATTCAAAATCGCATATAGGCCTCACTGGTCTGAAATCAAGATGTCAGGGCTGGTTCCTTTTTGGAACCTCTAGGAAAAAATTTGTTTCCTTGCCAATTCCGCTTCCTACAAACCTCTCATATTCTTTCTCTCATGGCCTCCTCCCTCTGTCTCCAAGACAGCAATGTTGCCTGTCTCTGGCAGTTTTTCCGTAGTCAGATGACTCTCTCGCCATAGCCAGGAAAGATTCTGAAATTGTAAGGACCCGTGTGGTTAGACTGGAGCCAAGGAAATAATCCTGGATAATCTCTCCATGTCAAAGTCCTTAATTTTATCCTACCTGCTTAGTCCTACTTTTGCAAAGTAGCGTAACATATTAACAGTTTCCAGCATTAGGACTTGGACATCTTTGGGGAACCATTATTCTGCCTACTACAGTGTGTAAAGCTAAAAACATGGTAAATACAAACTGAGATCAAGTATGAGACTAGAGGAGAAATGCAGGAAACATTGTAAAGGTTAACCTCAGAGGAAGATCATTTTCTAAACATTAAAGGGATGTGTTTTCAGTCTTGCCCATCTTTCTCATCTTACAATTGTGAAAATACTTTCCATACCTGGAGCTTGATCAAGTCTTCTTTTTGTATTTTTTTCCTGTGAGGTGCCTGCAATGTTAGAAGCTGGGACGGAGGGAAACAAAGACAGCAAGGGTCTCGTCTTTCCAGATCCTGAACAATTCTCTCTTTGGGCTGTGAAGCTAGTATCTCCTGCAGGGATAAAAGTCCGTGTCAACTGATCTTTCTTGGGAATAGATGGCCTTTCAGAGTTTAGAGGGAGCAAGATTCTATGGATAATTTTACCTGGCTCAGATCAATGATAGGCATCATGTTCCTCTTCAAAGAACCTTTTCCAGTATTCACGTCTGCATACCCATACAAAAAATAATTATTATTATATTAAGTATCAATTTAGCCTTAGAAAAAAAGGAGAAAGAAGGTTGTCACTAGAAATTGCTAATAGGATCTAACTGAATCCCATTTCTTTTAAGCTATGATTAAACAACAACAACAACAGAAAACACCCAAAGAGTTCACAGAATAAATGCTGACATCCAGTTTTGAGTGTTCCCTGAGGGATCTAAAGCACAGGCACCCTCAAAAACACACAAACGTGTTCTCTCCAATCCATCCTCCATTCAAACAATGAATTGCTAACCTTTTCATTAGGGGTTTGTGTGTGAAATACGGATGAACTCGTTCAATTTATCATCCCAGAATAAACCTGTCATACTGTCACAGAAGCAGGGAATAGCCGATTGCTAATATCAAACGCTGTAAAGAGGGTTCAACTTAGAGTTCCTAGGGAGTGACCCATTTTTGCAGCAGAGCACAAGTAGGCAGAAAATTATGTTAGAACAATATCAGTAAAATGTTCAACTCAAAAATCCTACTTGGACAAAGGAAAAGACCCTCATGTCAGTATGTGAATAGAAATATTCAGAAATATTTCTGAAATATTCACATGTCACAGTTTAGGACCCAGATATGTCTTCCCCCTTCTGATTGTAATATTCTTCCAATTTGGGCAGGTTATCTCAACTGCTGAGAGCCTAGAAAAGAGGTCAGGGATGAAAGAGTTACCTTCATATAAGAGGAAATTTATGTTCTATCAAGACAGACTATTCTGGAAATCCCAGCAAGTTACTCTGCAGAAGTCTGTCATTATGGGAATAGATATAAGAATATAACATAGTAAAATAAAAGATTTGTATTACTGTTTTAGTCAGGAAAATCTAGGTTGCACTGGGGTAATCACCAAAATCTCAGTGGCTTAAGACAATTGAAAAATCTTTTTCACAGTCTGGGTCTGGGTAACTCTCCAGGGCGACTCTCTGCCATGTGGTACTCAACATTGTAGGTTTGTACCATCTCCATTTTGCAGGAGACTGTCACATTTTGCTGTGGCAGGAAAAGAGGACCTTGGAGAGACACATATTGACATCTACATACTGCCATTCCCAGCCAATTTTCTAGAATCAGGCACTGCAATGTTTCTGGGAAATGGACTTTTGATATACTGGAATTAAAAACATTGGTGAGAGCTAGCATTGTCTACCACATACAGGTAGGTAAACAGTCTGAGGTTCTGAAGGTCATGGCATAAGCATCTGTGTGAACATTAATCTGTGAGAGCATTATATTGGGTTATGGTGGGCATTCCATGGGATAAGGTACCAAGAGTGGACATCTGATTAACCAACTTCCAATAGTGTAGGTGATATTCGTTCATGCACAATTTAAATCTTTCCAATTCTGGTGACACGAAGTGGAAGAAATGACATTATAACAACTTTGATCATTAGTACATTGTTAAGAAAACACCGAGTCACTTAATAGTTGTGTATAATATGTTGATGAAGACCACGTCTGCAGAATTAAATTGCAAAAACCTGGCCTCTGTGCATAGCATGCTCGTAGCTCTAAATCGATGATTTGTTTTCATAAATGCTGAAAGGCTTTAAGTTACTGAGAAAGTATTATCATAAATACAAGAGGCAAGTTTTGTACTAGCCATGATAGAAATAAATGAGTGACTAAAAGCTAAGTAGAATTTTATGGTTATTCTTAGGTTTTACTACTTTTCAAAACTTAGTGTGTATTATTAAAGTTATTCATAAAAATAAGTAATCTAAAAAAGTTTACTTCTGCAAAAATGAACATTAGGTATGCATAGGTCAAGAACCTTCCCTTAATACATGACATTTCTACTTCTTTTTATTAACCTTGAGTTAGTATCCTTTGTTGGTTAATTTATTTGCTATTGATACGTTCTTCAGCCTTACAACATTTCATCTGTCTTTTTTTATGGTTAGAGTTACATAGAGTTACATTCCTTTAATTCAAGTTATTTTAAATGTGGGCTTCATTTTTGTAATTTTTAATTTATTTAACTTTTTTTTACTGGCTATGAGGATATGGAGGAGAACACAATATAACTTTCCTAATTCTAAGGAAATGGGAGTGCCCACATCCCTCTGGAGAATTTTGGAACCTTAATGGGGAGGTTCTGGGTAACATAAATATGCCAAGAAGACATAAAACAAAAAGATGAAGCTATCAAGTGAGACCATCAGGAAAAACATCCTGAACTCAGTGAAAAGTTCATTTTCGCAGTCGGGCTCATTCTGTATCCCACAATCATGGCTATTGATAGGGGCAGGAGGAAGTTGGCGGTTATGTGCAGAGCTTAAAGAAAATCGTGCAATGTGGTGAGAGGGTGATCTTCATCTCTATATGAAGCTTTTTATAACTTTGCTCCTTTGAGAGGATTTGAGATATTTCATTATTTTGCTCTTCAACCTCAGTGAGCTTCATGATATCAATAAGCTTTTCTACGATTCTCTGTCAATAGTCTCTATTAACTGTGAACAACTGAGAAAGTTGACAGTGTCTGGGAACAAGGACGGGTCTTGGAAGTAAAAATGAGATTCTCATATTACAAGGAACACTCCCATTTATTTAATAGAACATGTTAACCCCCTTCCTTGCTCATTCTTTCTTCTTCCTACAACAAAATATTATTCAAGCACTTACTATGCGCAAATCACAATGCTTTTCATGGAGTTTAATGAAGTTGGGTTAGATATGGTATCCAATGTGAGAGAACTTATATAGGGATCTTGTATCCACAGAACTGCTATCTATCTTCTACCCTAAAGCCCTGTTGTGATGTCGCAGATGGCCCTTGGAATTTTACCTGACACTTTTTCTTCAAGGCTAGATTCACTGACAATAATAAAAGGACAAGGATGTTGCCATGTGGCTGTTTTTGTTTTGGCAGTTCAAAGTGTAGTGTTTGCAAAAGTCTCTGATTTCTGTGCCTGTATTTTTGCAGAAAATCCATGGCACCTATATTTCTTGAACATTTTGAAATAATTTGCTTTACTCTGTAAGGACAGAAATAGCTTCAACTGCACACCACCTCTAGGTATTTTTCTTGTTTTCTTTTCCTTCTCTCAATACTTTTAAGCAACTTTAGCTTTTAACTCATACACCATAGAAGAACTTAGTCAGTTGAAATAAAAAGTGATTAATGACATAACTGGTCAATAAACATCCTACAGTCATCCCTAGGCAAAGAACACGTTCAGCTCACTTACCCTCCATTTTCTTCATTTGGAAAGACTGACATACTGTGAAAGTCTAGTCAATAGTTGTTAGCATTTCTGAAAGCTAACCAAGTGAATTAGAGAGACAAAGAATTCTTTGGCAGAATTTCTGAGTCCCAGATCCACTAAATAACACAGACGTTACTCTAGCAAAACCTTATTTAAGAATCATGTCATTTTCTCCTCTAGAAGACTTGCTTTCTTTAGCTATTATTTTCTCCCCTTTTTTAAGGACTTAAGAACTTATTAAAAATGAAACCAATGTTGTCACATATGTTGGATTAGTCACACAAAGCTTAGGAAAGCTGTACAGTGGAATATGACAACTTCAGAACTTGACATGAAATGCAAAATGAGAATCTTAAACTATTTTAGGAGAAATAAGAAAAAATGTACAAACATGGAACAATTGCGAATTGTCATCATTTTCTTGACACTGACAATGTTTTTATACCATAACTCGAAAGGGTAATGTAGTAGTCTGTTTTCACACTGCTCTAAAGAAATATGTGAGACTGGGTAATTTATAAAGGAAAGAAGTTTAATTGACTCACAGTTTCACATGGCTGAGGAGGCCTCAGGAAACTTACAATTATGATGGAAGGGGAAGTAAACATGGCCTTCTTCACAAAGCTTCAGGACAAAGAAGAGGTGAGCAAGAGAGGAACTACCAAACACTAATAAAACCATCAGATCTTGTGAGAACTCACTCACTATCATGAGAACAGCAGGGGGGAACTGCCCCTATGATCCAATCACCTCCTACCAGGTCTCTCCCTCAATACCTGGGGATTGCAATTCAAGATGAGATTTGGGTGGGGACCCAAAGCCTAACCATACCAGGTAACTAGAATGCAGGACCTGTTGCTAGGTATAAATGGCTGTTTGCATTTTCACTATTAAATAAGGGTTACTGCTATTTATTATTCACAAACCATGGTACTTACTATTGTCATAACATGGAGGTCACAGTAAGGTGCTCCTATGAATCTGAAACTAGGGATTTATGATTATTGTTTTGGATGTTAAACTATAAGATCAATTCGTTATGGAATAGTCAGTGTTTCTCAAACTTTACTGTGCAAATGAGTCACTTGAGAAAGTGGATTTGGATTCAGTAGATACGGGGTGGCACTTGACAGCTTAGCAAACTCCTAAATAATGTTGATGCTGCTGGTCAATAGATCATGTTTGAGTAGCAAGGGACTAAATCTTATGTGAGCAAAACCATACAAAGAGAAAACACTCACTGAAATAGCAAGACTGGGCTGTTTGATGAATGAACCCACTGGAAGTCTTACTTGACAAAGAAGCACAGATTTAATACCACAGCTAATATCACCAGTGCCCATCTAAGCATTCATTGTCTATTGTCCAGTGAACATTGTGCCACACACTCCAAGTATTCTCATTCCATCGCTTCGACCATCTGTATTGGGTAATGGATGCATCAAGGTAACTCTGATTCAATTCACCATTTTTATGTATTTATGTCATCATCATCTGATTCTCTGCTCACTAGGAAATTTTCCAATCATAATTTCCCATGTACTGCATAAAAGGAGAGAATGAAGTTAATGGAGTTTAAATAATTAAGATGAAAATTTCTCATTGAAAAGAAATCATTGACTTAACCATAGTAAGATAATCTGCTGATTAAAGAATGTGAATTATTCTAATACCTCTGACAATAACTTTTAATTAAAAATTAATAAAGTGGCATTTTGGTCAGTATCATAGTCTTGGTTGATGTAGGATCACGAGGCATAGTTCTACTTGAGGGTACTAATCAGAAGTTCTCATTCTGAAAAGTTGATGGTCAACTGTAGAACAAAATAGATACAAAAAATCTGGAAACAAGCAAAAAGACTTAGGAGAGATGGCATCCCATCTCTCACGGAGGTGAGGATATTTGCCCTATTAGATATTATAGTGTATTATAAAGATAAAATAACAACATTCCAGTATCTGTGCCACTATAAGTAACAGCTCTATTGATAGCTGACAAAGGGGCTAAATATATATTTTTAAACTAGAATGAGAAAGATTGGGTTAGTATAATAATAAATATGATGCAATTTGCTAATCATTTGGAGAGAAACAAAGATATATTCTCCCCTGCACTTTATACCAAAATGAATACTATATGGCTTAATCAGGGAAATCATAAGGAAAGTTGTTCTAAGGGTGGCATCAGGGCAAACCTTCAAGTGTAAGGTTAGCCGTGCATGGTAGCTCATGCCTGTAACCCCAGCACTTTGGGAGGCTAGGGTGGGAGGATTGCTTGAGCCCAGAAGTTGGAGAACAGCCTCGGCCACATGGCAAAACTCCATCTCCCCCACTCCCGCCCCCTCCCCCAAAAAAAGTTAGCTGAGCATGGTGATACGTGCCTGTAGTCCCAGCTGCCTGGAAGGCTGAGGTGGGAGGATTACATGAGCCTGGGAGGTCGAGGCTGTAGTGAACCTTGATCCCGCCACTGCATTCCAGACTGGGAGCAGTGAGACTGTCTCAAAAGAAAAAAAAATGTATAAGATTAGGAGATATAACTGGTTTGAAATTAAAGCACTTATATGACAACATATTTATCCATAGCTTTGCTATTAACAAATTAAGAGTCAAATGATAAACATATATGCAATAAAATGAATTAGTAATGACACTATAAGGAGCTTTTGTAAATCAAGTAGAAAAAGAGAATAACCCCTCTAAGAAAAAGCTATGCACAAGGATAAGCAATTATAAAAGGAAAGAAAAAAAAAAAACCCTGAAATGGTCAGTAAGCACATAACAATGTGTCCATCGTAAGCTACCAAGATTATTTAGATTAGTTGGGAAAGAAATAACCGATCAAATCTCTTAAAGAATCAAATCTCTATACTTTCATATTTCATCCTTCTAGTATGAGTGTTCAAGGTGTTTAGTGAAGTGTTTTAATAGCTGAATTTAAAGAAAAAGTTTTGAAAGGGAATATAAACCTCTTAAATGTTCGTTAATGGATAGATGAGTAATTAAATTGTGGGTTGTCATACACTGTAAGTGTGTGAACATGAAGATGCAGGTTTAAATGTATATACTGATAGGAGAATATGCTCCTAATATAGTTTATGTGAAAAAGGCAGGGTCCACATTAGCATGTACTGTTAGACCTCATTTATTTTTTAAAATATTTATGTATGTATTTGCAGAACAAATATCCTAGAAAGAGATATCAAATCTTCACAGTGATTATAGCAGCCTAGTGAGATTATAGATAATTTTCACTTCTATCTTCACATTTTAGGTATTTTCAGATTTTTATTTACAGTAAATAGGTAATAACTTGATAGTATATATCAGTAAGGCTATTTCCATTTTTAAAGATGATAGGAAATAGTACCGTTCCTCAGTGGGTCTCGGGAAATCCTTTTCTCTGCAGTAACACTTTAAGGTCATTGCCGTGTCGTTGAAAGTAGATTTATTTAGAAACTCCATAAGCAGTGTCATGGGTTCTGATTAGTTCAGCAAAGGTAGTTTCACTGGAAATTCAATTTTTTTTGGTCCTAGATATATTAGGACATCTTACCATTAATTATGGTCTCTGCCACATGAGAGTGGTAGCAATAGAAATAGACACTAATGATAAAAGCAAAAATATGAAATTTTTGGTGTAATCTTGGCATCAGGATTCTGATTTCTTGTACTTCTCATTTTGTGCCTTTTTCTTCATATATTCTTCCAAATCCATTAAATGAATTATTTTTCAAATGTAGGTGCATGGTTCTAGTCCAATTGAGTAGATGATATTATAATCTTAACATAGATTCTATAGATATTATTAATTTAAAAGGAAAGATGACTTGTAATTTAGGAAAATTATGAAAATCTTTATGGGAGGATACTATCTTTACTATAGTATACGTGGATAATTTTAATGAAGAGAGTAGGAAATCTGACATTCCAGCTTAGAGGAACAATGAAATTACTACAATTAGAAGTAGAATACATGGGCGCTTTATGGATAATAGGTGAGTAGTTTTATGTCACCAGATGGTGGAATATGGAAGTTGTGAGGAGAAGCCAGAAAGAGATCCTCCAGAGAAGGTCTTGATTGGAAGGCCAGACATTTATCTATTAAATCACAAGAAGCAGCTGAAGGCTTTTGAGAAGCCTGCGAAAATTATCAGACTATGATTCATTGTGCAAAAAGCATGGATTGGACTGGAAAAATGAACAATTTTAGATAGGAAAGTTACTCCGGAAAATATTAAATTAGTCAAAATGTGGCTAGAGAATGAAAATGAATTCTAATGTTATCACAGATACAGAACCAAAACTATGAGACATGATGAGATACGGCAGACAAGAGACAGAGTCCTCTTATACATGGGTATTTGGAAAGATAACAGAAATAGAAACTTTCTTTGCAAGAAGCTTAATTTATGGGGGAAAAGTTCAGTTTGGAACTCATTTCAGTTGAGTTACAGAGGTGCAGCTGTATCTAAACATTGGCACCATTTTGAACGTGGAGAATATTGAGAGATGAAGGACATATAGATGTAATTCTGAGTATCTTTTGCAGAAAGGAAACGTTGAGAAATGACAGAATGGAGGAATGAGGTGAAATTGGTAGATAGCACCAAGTGAAAAGAGGAGGCCAAGGGTAGAAACTTGGAGGGGCAAGTACATTGAAGATGTTTAAAAGGGCAAAACAGTGCTTGGGAAAGCTGAGATTTTTGCCTGTTTTGTTCACTGTTGTATTCCTAACACCTAACATTGTGCCTGGCACATAGAACATCTTGATATAGGACATTCTAGGAATGAACTAATGTATAAAAGAGAGGGTTTAAAGAGAAAGGGACTTGTAAACAGTATGCAGTACCATCTCAGAGGGAGAGAAAATGAGGTCTGAGGACAAAAGGGCATTTTGTGTTCAGGTCATTGCAGACCTTTGAGAGACGGATTCAGAAGAAATGGGAAGGGGTAGAAATCAGACCCTCTGGCAAAGCATCATTTTGGTTCCAGTCTCTTGTTTTGAGTATTTATTCTATCATTTTAAAACATTATTTTTCTGGTCTGTAACATCTAGGATCTAGGATAGGCATGAGAGTATTTTCATTTTGCCAGCAAATTGTTACTCTTGGAGCTTTATGCTTTACTAGAAAAAAACCTCAAAAACTCTAATTAAACCCAAGAAACTCTAGTCCAACACACAATTCAACGTACTAATTCAGTCCTTGCATAAAGTGGGCTTTGTCTCAAATGCTTAAATGTTGATTTCACAAGGAACAATAAAGCCACTATGAGTGATATGTAGAGCTAATTATTTTTACTTTCCCAAGCATTACATTGTGAGACTTAGGTATGTATGTGTGTGTGTATATCGGAAAGGTGGTGTTTGTGTAAGTAACAGATTTTGTTTATGTGTTAGATAACAAATAAGTTTTAGGTATCAATGCAACTAATCTCTTTAAATAGGAAAGAAGTTTATGGGGAGAATGCTTAGTCTTGTGGGGGAGGTAACTGTATTCTAGTACAAGACAATGCATGTGTACCACTTAGCAGTGTGCTTTGCATTTGTCATTTACTTGTGCATTTGGTTAGCATCATTGCATTAAAGTACATCAACCTTTGGGTTTACCGGAGAAAAGTAACAAAGACATAGCATTAAGAAAAACAATTTACTCAGCAGGTACCAACATTATGTTTACTTCATATCCCAAAATGAATGGTTGTGTGGTACTTATTTTAAAGCACATTTTATTACAAGGCCATGGGAGAGATTTTGTTAGACTGGATGCTTTGTCAATGCAAAAGATGAAAAATATGTGTAATTCTTATAGTTATTCACTCAAAGTTAAAGGATGACTAAGGTAGATGACCTATTGCAATTGTGTAACACTAAAAAGTAACAGGAAACTGCAGCAGCGGAGGGAAAAAAACAGCTCTGAATTCAGTCCTGAAATCAGCTCACTTCTCTCTAATCACTGTGTGTCCATTGGCAACCCACATAAACGCTCTGATTTTTTCCTCATCGATATAAAAGGTCAATATGATAGATGAGATAAAGTCTTATCAAATAAGTATATTTGGAAAGATGATGAAAATACCAATTTAGGAGGAAGGTTAGCTTATGGGATACATTAAGTTTAGATCTGTTGAGTCATAGAGGTATTGACATATCCAAGCAGCGGAATTGTTTTGGGACTGGCGATTATAAGGTTGAATGCAATAATAACAACAATAATGTATGCAGTTGCCATTGTCTGAAAGTTTGTGTCCTCCCACCTCAAAATTCATATGTTGAAACCTAAGCCCCACTGCAACTCAATAGAGGTGGAGACTTCAGGAGGTGATTAGGTCATAGGGCTCCATAAAGGTAAGAATATTCATTACAGTTGCCCTTATAAAAGAGGCCTAAGGGGCCTTGTTCATTTTTTCTGCCATGTGAGAATGCAGCAAGAAGGTACCATTTAGGAAGTAGAGAGCAAGCCTTCACCAGACACCAAATCTGCTGGCACCTAGGTTTTGGACTTCCCAGTCTCCAGAACTGTGAGCAATAAATTTCTTTGGTTTCTAAATTTCCCAGTCCAAGGCATTTTATGATAGCAGCCCGAACAGATAAAGACAACATACCACGATAAATACAGGTATTATGGTAAGCATTTCCTTTGTATCTTACAACTAGTATATAAAACAAGAATTGTTATAATCTTAATTTTACTTATTAGAAAACTGAGGTTCAGAGAAGTTGAATGACTTTACCCATGGTCATGAAGATAAATGGTATCAGGGTTCAAAACAGGACTGTTTGAGGTTAAACTGCTAACTAGATGCATCCTTGCCTCCCAAATTCAATAATGCATGTGAAAGTGCTCTTCAGAATAAAAGTACCACCAACAGATAAAGTGATATATTACATCAGTAGATATTGCACATGAAGACTGGGTTAGTACAATATTAATAAATTCTACCATTGATTGCATGCTTACTATGTGCCTTGCAGCTCACTCTACATAATTTCCGTTAGTCATTCATGTAATCCTGGTGGGAACTTGGTGACAGATTTGGCTTTAGAGCCAGTACTTTTACCCATGCCACCATGCTGCCTCACCTGTGCGTGGTGATGACAGAACTGATGGGAAGGGATTTTCTCAGTGGCTGAGGTGAAATATTTTGAGAAATGTAGCTTCATCAGCAGATCGTTGTCTTATAAGAGGAAAGGCTACAATCTGGAGTGAATTTTTTTTTTTATGGGAGAGAATGTTATGGTCATAACAAGCTAAGTGGTTTATTTATTTTGGTTTGGTCTTATTTTGAGCTAAGTGATCACCAATTGACACAAGATTTATAAAGGAAACCTGTAGCATATTCTATAAGAAGAAAGCAGCAGAAGTTTTGCCTCACATCTCGTCACCTTTCTGGACGCTGCAATTAAGGAGCTTAATGTCAGAATGTGGTAAATGGTTTTAATGTTTATGTTGGCTTCAAACCCTGGGGCAACAGCCCTCACATTCCTCATGTCTACCTTCACGTTCTCACTGGGATATTTATCCCTCTCTATCACCCTTCCTCCTCTCATTCTTATTTAATGAACAAAATATATACAAACTCTCTACTACAAATATCAACAGTTCTTGGTTTGTATGTTGTAGAAAACTTTAGGAAACACAGTGGAGTATATATTTTAAAAACATTATAAGCAAGTTTTTTTTGTTCTTAAGGCATAGAACTTATTAAAATAAATGATCTCTTTAGCTTAGGTTAGAAACATTCATTTATTTATTCATTCATGTGTCAATTTAACCCTTAACTATGAGTCATGCACTGAGCTAATTACTAGGCACATTAAAATAAATTGAATCAATTTATTTTAATTGATTTTAATTAAAATCAATTAAATGAATCTATTGCTTTGAAGTCTTATTTAGGTCTTTATTTCGATATGGTTAGTTTTGCTTCCGTTTTCCTGTTCACAACTCTTTTTAAATGTTACTATGGCATTTTTCAATCTATCTATCTATTTATCTAATTTTTTCTCTTTTATATCTTCTCACCATGATTTCTACTAAGTGAGTAGTGCCAATGGATTCTGTCTTATTTGTTGTTGGAGAAGTTTAGGTCCTTCCTTCCTAACTTTCAACTGTCCTTTAACTGCTCTTGCTTTATTTCACCCATATTTCTTTCTATTTATTTTTATAATAGATTCAAATCCCGTAGGTTCTAAAACTGGTCATTCCTTCCCCTCTGAGTACAGAGAAGAATGGTGCGTTCTCCAGTAGTCATAGTCCTCCTTGGTGATAATAGACAAGGAACTCATAAAATTAACTAGGCAGAGAAGAAATGAAACACCTGAAAATAATGTGCATCTCCAAAAACTGGAGTCTACCTTAAATTGCCCTATTAATGTTATAATTTTTAAAAAATTTTATTAAATTCAGTAGCATTTGAATTTTGAGCAGCTTAAAATCAACAGTGAGTCATGATGAGATTTAGGAGTTCCTTGTTCATATTTCATGGGAAAGGAGGGCATTGAGGGCTTTGACAAAGCATGTGCCAGCTCTGGAGGCACACGGTAGTGAGCCTTGAGAATCGTTTCCACTTGGATGTTCGGGTATTGTAAAATCCATAACTTCCATGATGATTTTCGGGTATCAGAATTAAGGAGCATCTGCAAAACTTGTCATGATTTACAGAGCTTTTAAAGGTAATGTTTCACAAACTAATCACTTCAGAGGTCCACATTTTCCTTTCCAGAGCACAAACTAATCATGGAAGATTTTGCATTTCTAGTGCCTCTTTCCTCTTTTCCAGCATGTGAAAGAAAAATTGCCTATGATGTACTAATGTAGCTGATGACCCAATTCTGTTCTTCAGGTAGAGACATTAGTGCTTCTTTTAAATGGCCTATAGATACGATGTTTGCCCAACTAATTTAGGAGTTAACTTGACCTTTGAGACAACTATCTCCAATAGCAGTGGGAAAAAAAAAATGAAGAGAAAGCTACAGCTCCTTTAATGCTGGTTTACCTGTAACATTAAAAAAGGCAAATGGAGCAATTAGAAAAGATGCAGGGTAGTGATTATTTTCTGAAAGGAGGTCAAATGAAAGGATGTGTTAGCAAAGGCTTAGTGGTACAGAAATAGCCTATAGACCTAAAAAATTTACACATGTGTGATTTTTTTTAAATTGCAGCTTGCTTTATAGAAACAGAGAGTGTTCAAAATAGAAGAGTCTTAGGGACCACTGAGGACAAACTTAGAAGAGGGAATGAGTCCTGAGTGTCAAAAGCCCTGCTCTCCCTCATGTAACCAAGTAGGAAGAAGAAGTTAAATCTTTGGATTCACAGTCTCTCCACCACCTATGGGTCTACAGTCCCAAGATCCAGGTTAAGAATCCTAACATCTAGCATAGGTCAAAATTAACCTATTTGTGTTATTTACAAAATGATAATAGTAATGTCCACCTCTTGGGCAGACAAAAGCTTACAAAATGAAAAACATCAAAAATTGTCAACCTTAAGAAGAAACAATAATGGGCTTTATGGCGACACGAGTGGCCATTGCATATGCATTAGAACAACAGACATAGTCAGACAGCCAGGAAATGAATGAGAGAAGGGATCATTTATGCAGTTTGTGTTCTGCTACCCAGTAGCAGTCTGAACACTTGCTGTTAATAAGTGTAGCCCTCCTGCCTGATCATATATTGCTTCCTTTCTGTAGCTCATCTGGGACTTATCTGGAGTTCACAGAATGGGTGAAGTGCCCCAGACTATATTAAATTATTTCCAGTGTTGCTGTTAACATGGGTAAAGATAGCCACAATTAAGTTAACCCAACTCAGCGCAAGGTGGGCTTGCTGTAATGAGACTTATCAGGAATTACTAAATTCAGTAGCATAAGCTCTACATGGAAGACAAAATGTATTTTTCCTCTGGACATGGAGGAATGAATATTTCACTAATGAAAAACAGTGAAATTCTGGCCTACATTTCAAACACAGATCAGAATATTGGGTTATTGTGAAATTTTATCTGTAAATTGTAACTTCCTTGTGAAATTATGGTAACATCATAATTTATTCTCTTTGCCAGTTTATGAATAAAACACTCATTTTATGAACCCTATAAGGAGGGAGGTAAGAAAAGAAAATGTCCCAAATGTCAAATAATTAAATGAGTACAGAATTTATGACTTGATTTAAAAGTACTTATCGCAAAAGGACCATATAAATAACATATATGGTCCATATAAATAAGGAGGATGGTATAAGATGCAGATAAAAACAGAGAAAACTAAATGACAACACAAGTTAACCTGTCTTATGCAACATGAATGTGAAACCCATAACAGCATTCCATTTGCTTCAAGGACTGCAAACCTAAAATCTGTTTAAAGCCCTATCTCTTCTGTTTATTCTTAGCCCAAACAAATATCTGCACTGCTTTCTAACCTAAGTCGGTTAATCATGCTCAAATAAATGTAACTCAACTAAAATATATATTAACTGAAAAGCATTGCAAATTCATACTGATCTATTTTTTAGACTCTTTATATTATTAAGAACAATATTTTGGCCTTTTATCTTCTTTACTATGGGACTACATACTTCAAAATGGATATGCTCATTGTTTCTTTTAAAAAAATCTCTATATAATATTTGCTAACACTGGAATTGGGCTAAATTGACAAGCCACATCTCTTAAAGCAAGATTATGTTTCTTAGAACTTCGTGTGTAATTAATACATAAAGGATTATTGACAAAATTCAAGCTTTGACTTTTGGGACAAAATAATCTTTTAATTAATATAGCTGCATAACTGTTTAAACTCCACTTAAGAGGGGACTCAATAAGAAAGACAATTAAAATAATAATTAAAAGAAATACACCAATATCTAAATACCATAAGACATATGTAAGTACCTCAGTTCATATCACTGACGTTCTTTAAGATGTAAATTAAGAATGTATCATGTTTCCCTAGGGTATAGAAATTTTCATTAAAAATTGCATGTGCTTACTATGTGTACCGAATTATGTTAGAATGAGAGGGAACAAAGCTAAAGGTTTTAAATTTTTAATGAGTCGCCAAATGTACCAAGGTAAAATTTATTAACTTTTAATGAAATGACTGAGAACCAACTATGTTCAAGTTACTATGCTAGGCTCTGGAATAGGACAGTGTACATGAGTCTACAGTGGTGTAGCTGAGCATGCATGTTATAGTCATATAAAAGCAAGATTGTAGCTGTGAAAACTGGTAGGACAGAGAAGTACGAGGTTCTTTGAGAGCACGTGATAAGAAGAAATGGGCCTACTTTGAATATGAAATTATTCTGAGGACATGATGATTGAGCAGAGATGTGAACCAAGAGTTCAGGTTAATTAGATGAAGGTGACTGGTGGGCAGTGTTTTAAGAGCAGGAACTGGATGTAAAAAGTTCCATGCAGAAGGAAAGAAAGTTATTTTAAATAATTGAAAGGAAACCTGTGTAGCTATGTCACAGAGTGGGGAAGAAGCGTGGTATGAGGGGAGGTGCTGGACCACTCAGGCCAGGTAGGTCATGTGAAAGGTTGCAGTGCTTGTCCTGGGACCATTGGGAATCTATGAAAAGCTTTTAATGTCCATGACCAGATTAGTGCTTTAGTCTGGTTTCAGTCTGGTAGGGGGTTAAGGCAAAAACAAGAGAGGAAGTAAGGAGACCAATAAATGGCTCTTGTAGAAGTCCAGGTAATTGGCAGAGAAAATGGAAACCAACCACATTTTTGGATGAAATAGATATAGGGAAGGGGTAGAGGGAAGGGTCATAAATGGTGCCTGGTTTTCTAGTTCCATCCTTCCAGGGAAAACACATAGAACAGGGGTGCCATGCCCTAGGCAATCTAGGCCTCTTCTCACTTGATTCTAAAGATTCTAGTGTCAAAGTGGATAAAAATCTGGTTCCTGTGCCTAGTCCTTTATGCTCATTAAAGCTTAATCTACTTTTAATACTTTGCTGCTATTAAACTCCAACTTATAAACTCATTTCTTTTTGAAATTTTGTTAAAATTGGTCAAATCCTTCCATTTTGCTTCTGATATTTAAACCAAACATACAAGTAGTTCTCAAATACTGATAACCTTTCCCCCTAAACTATCAAAAATAAGCTTTCTCATTTTAAAAAAAGGTCTCATTCTTTATGTAAGATGACACAACAGCAGCCAGCTCTAATGTATTTGGTTTGCCCCTGTTGGCAACTCCTGTCAGAGGTAAATAAGATATAAAAACTGGACAGAACTCTGCCTACTCAGAAAGTGGTGTTTCATCGCTGTCTGGGCCAAATTAAGTCTTTTTACAGTACAATTAAAAATGGCTCCATGAGCATTGTTATAAAAAATGAAAAGTGTCACAATGTATCAAATCATAAGCAAGTGGCTGGTCATCCAAAACAGAATTTAAATTACAATTTTTAACATACTCATTTTGAATATAATGAATACAAATACATCTAGAAGGCTGGAAGTAAATTAGTGCCGGCTTACAGTGATTGGTGTGTTCAACATATATCATGCGGCATTTTGTTTTACTCTGTTGCACCGATTGTTCTCAACTTTTATCTCCCTGTCTTGGATCCATTACAAAAGTTTGTCACTCTTCGTCTACTTTGTGGGGATTTAAATAAAAGACCTCTGTAATTCTCAGAGCACTCTTGAATCCTTGAAGTAAGGCCCTGTAACGTCATGGGGACAGGTATCTGCCATTATTTTAAGTCTACCTTATCAAAGCAGCATAGGAATGAAGATATTTTTCCAGTGCCAATAGTTCTATGTTATATCTGGGTGAAAAGAATCACATAGGGCCAAATAAAATCAGTCATTTTCTATGTAGATAAACAAGTGTACATGTGTATTTGAATGTGAGTTTCAAAATATGCAGTTAAAAGAAACCGTGTTGGATGATCAGGAACATCCATGAAGGATGCCTTTTTTTTTAATCTTTGCAGCTTCCAGTTAACAACTGACTCGTGCGAGTAATAACAGATAAATGGTTTTTCCTCTATATTCTCCTTTATAAAAGGAATTTGAGAACACATAGCCTGCCTACTCTTAGATCTGTCATTAGATTTCAAATGTAAGGTAATTTGCATAGTATTAAATAAAATCATTATGAATGTATATTTCATTAGTCTTATTTTCTCTCTGCATTAGTCTGCTAAGGCTGCCCTAACAAAATACCACAGACTGGGTAGCTTAAAAAATAGAAGCTTATTTCTCACAGTTCTAGAGGTTGGAAGTCAAAGGTCAAGGTGTCAGCCTGTTTGGTTTCTCCTGAGTCCTCTCTCCTTGGCTTGTAGGTGGTCATTTTCTCGCTATGCCCTCATGTGGCCTTTTCTCTGTCCTTCAGCTTTCCCAGTGTACATGTGTATTTAAATGTGTGTTTTGAAATATGCAGTTAAAAGAAACCACGTTGGAAGATCAGGAACATCCATGAAGGATGACTTTTTTTTTTTAATCTTTGCAGCTCCCAGTCAACAACTAACTCGTATGAGGAATAACAAAAACTACTGAATTAGGGCTCCACTCATGACCTTATTTAAAATTAATCAAAGGCCCTATCTCCAAATATAGTCAGATTGCAAGCTAGAGCTTCTTCATATAAATTTTGGAGGAACACAATTGAGTCCATAATGACTTCCTTCTTATTCATATTTTGCAGTGTGTACTTAACATTCAGGCATACTGCATCACATAGTTTCCCCAAAAACTGAATATAAGAAAGTCTCAAAACCTGTGTGTTGCCGAATGAAAGCAGGGATATAGCAAAGTTTACTTCTCTTTCTTTATCTAGCTGAAATTAGAAGTAGGGGGTAGCTATCCAAGGTAGACTTGCAATGGAAATGCTGGTGCTCATTTAGTCCTAGTCCAAAACCAAACACACTAGGAGATCCTGTTTCTGTGTATCTCTGAGAAATAAGGCAGGTGTGTTACAATTAAATGTCTGAGAAAAAATGTAACCAGGAAGAATAACACAGCAAGAACTCTTTGTTGAAATCATGCCAATGAATTGCTCTCATTTTCCCATATTTCAACAGTTGTATGTCTGGAGTAGACCAATGTGAAATTCTGTATTTAGTAATGGTACACAGAGTACAATGTAATAAATGTAGAATTATTCTTTTTGATCCAGGATAATTTCAGTAAAGTGGCACATTATAATTACAACCTATAGTGTTGTTATAGTTTAGAAAATGTTCTTTTTTTTTTAAATCATATAATTGTACAGTTTTTATTTAGGAGAAAAAATTACTTTTCATTTACTTTAACTAAAAAACGATGTGCAGATATTACAATTCAATGTGGGCTTCTTCCAGGTAGTTCCTATATTTCTACATTTGTATCCAACCTTAAGAACTCCACGTGACTGAATGTAGGCTTGGAAACCTACTAGCTATAAACACGTAGCGTGCAAACAGGATGATCTAATGAGACGGAATATATTTGTAGATTTTATTAATGGAATAGAGCAGCAAAAGAAAGTTTGAACAGTGATAGTGAATGAGATCAGACTGTTGAGTGATTGATTGGTTTATATAAGTAATTTTATTCCAGAAGATTTAAGGTGGCTTACAAGGATACCTAAAACATTACAAGATTTTAAAAAAAAAGGCAGAGGTGAAAGGAAAATTAAAAAAAGATGACAACAGGAAATGAGACCAAGAAAATGGCATATTTTGCTGATCTTTACATTTGCATCAGTATGCAAATTTGGGCTAAGCTTCCCAGCAACCTAACTTGAAGGTGGAAATAAAGTCAGTTGTACCCTCCATAGTCTACAAAAGATAAACCAAGCCAATTAATTGTTCAGGAGAAGTACAATTATTTTTGGTACTAAAATTAGAAATTTCTCCTTTGGATACACACAAAGGAGGCAATAGGATTTGGCAACATCCTGTTAATAATTTATTATACATCTTCAATTCCAGGTAAAATACAGTATTTTAAACAAAACCCACTGAAGAGAGAACTGCTTGCTTTTTCAGGGAGCCTAGGATACTTTTTATTACATGTACAACCTGGTTTATAACCCTTGTCCCATCATAATTATTCACAGTACCAAAAACATTCTCCAAAATATACCAGTTAGGATAATAGATTGTATGCTTACTCTAGTTAAAAATGCAATGCTTTCATTTTTTTTTTGGCAAAATTTATGTGACATTGACTAAGTCACATTTTCCAGGTCTTCAAACTCCTCATCCCTAATATGGATTGTGCAGAGGATAACTGTCACTTGTTTAGTTGCCCATTGTATTAGTTTGCTAGGGCTGCCATAACAAACCATGTCAGACTGGGTGGCCTAAACAATAGAAATTTATTTTCTCACAACTGTGGAGGCTGGAAGTGTGAGATCAAGATGTTAGCGAGGTTGATTTCTTCTGAGACCTCTTTGTGGTATGTTGATGGGTGGTTGTCTTCTCTCTGTCTCTCTACATGGTTTTTCCTTTGTGTGTGTCTGTGTCCTAATCTCCTCTTAGAAGACGTGAGTCATGTTGGATTAGGGCTCACTCTTATGACCTCATTTTAAGTCAATTAACTTTTTAAACACCTTATCTTCAAATAGAGACACGTTGTGAGATACTGGGGATTAGGACTTCATTACCAGAATTTTGAAGTGACAAAATTCAGCCCATAACACCCAGTATTGGAACACACTTCCTAGGTTTAGGAATTCCTCACTATGTTAATATTGAAGGAAAAAAGACTCCAGTCCTTTTGCAGAAACTGAGAAGTCCAGATACAACAATTTGCCCCATAACCACATAGCTGAAATCAAGGTGTCCACCTAGGCTGCCGCTTAATCTGAGGCTTGGGGTTCTCTTTCAACTTTACAGACTTTGGCAGGATTCACTTCCTTGTAGCTGTGTGACTGAGCTCCCCGGCTTCTTCTAGCTGTCAGCCACATTCTACATTCAGATCCCTGCTCCACGGCCCCCTTAGGCAACATGGATGTTTGCTTTTTCCTGGCTGGCAGCAGCACATCTCTCTGTCTTCCTTCTCTCTGGTGGGCTACAATAGAATCTTATGTAAGATAACATAATCACAGAAATGCCTATCCCCTCACCATTTGCCATGTAATGTAACAGAATCGAATGAGAGACTGTCCCATTATATTCACAACTTGGAGGCTCACTCAAGTGAAGACAATTATACAAGGTATGTATGCTGGAGAGTCGGAATCTTGGAGACCATATTAGAATTCTGCCTACCAAAGATACAGATTTAATTTGTCTCAGCTTGATAGTTGAATTAGAATCTTATGATAAGAGTTCATAATCTAAATTTGAGAATTCAAGTTATTAGAGAATCTTCAAAAACTGGCTCTTCATGGGCATAAAGTCTATGAAACTGAAGTCCCACTGACTTGTGTCCCAGAGAGCCTCCAGGTCTTAGAGAGCTAATTAGAATGGAGAACTGGTCCTCGATATTTCTTTGGTGTTTTCAAGCAAACCTCACATTCAGAGTTGGATTCTGTTGGGGAAATAAGAAATAAATGAGTGCTGCATCTGTTTTAATTAAAAAGCCATAAAACACATAGGTTCCAGCTTTAATGCCATTGTCTTTATATCCTACGTGTTTTCTCCAAATACCTTCTGATCTCCAATGCACAACTCCATTTCCCAGACACGCCTTGCTCATTCTTGTCTCTGGGCTTTGTTTCCCTTTGATTTAAATATTTTCTTACAACTATAGCAATCCTGCTTATACTTCAAATACTAGATTAAGAAACTTCTCTGATTTAAACCTCCATATTTAATTGAACTCTTCTCTGCCTTGTGTTATGGTTAGCTGAGTTTTTAGAAAATTCTTACTGGATTACAATTCCATAAAGAATAAAGGTGGTGTCTCTTATATTTTATATATCTCTTCTCAGATCCACTCCCCACCCCCAATTCTTCTCCTTTACTCTGAACAAATATCAGATTGTTAAATGCCCAGCCTCCTGCCCAGTAAATGGTTATTGAATAACTCTAGTTATTTAAATGGCGGGTAATCTCCATTTAAGCAAATGACAGGCATTTTTCTTTTACGTATCAGGTCCACCACTGTCTTCTCCAAGGTAAACTTCATGTTCTCCATGAGCCATAGTGGCCCTTTCTCTATCACTGGAAAATTCAATGTTCATTTGCACCTCAAAACTTTGCCTTGGTAATTTCCTCAGCCTGGAATGATTCTCTCTTAGGTGTCTCTTATGGTAATACACATCTCAGTTCAATTGTTACATTTTCAGTAGCCCTAGTAAAAATAGTTCACCTGTTGAGTCATTACCCTATTTTATTTTTTCATGGTATTTACTACCTGAATTTATTTATTTTTGTTTATTTCATTAGTTTGCATTTATTTACTGGAATATAAGCTCAATGGAGGTTGGAAATTTTCTGTCTTATAATCATAGTATATTTTAGGTACTCAAAAATATTTGATGCATGAATAAATAAAAGAATCTTATATTTTATATTATGTACCTTAGAGAGAGATACTATATATCCTTCTATCTTTATTTCATTTTGATTACAAGTATATGATAAAAGTAACAATGCTATAAATTTTTTCCAGTTAATGAAGACTATATTTAGGCAAAATAAAAACTGATTATATGCTTATGAATATGCATCCTGATACTCTGAAGGATTATCCTATTATCCCATTTTCAAGAATGACTGCCTGTTTTCCATTTGTATGAATGTGGTATGTGTGTTACTTAAAAAAAAAAACAACAAACTTATGCACCAAGAGAAAAAAAAGGATGAATTAGACTGCATCAAAATTTAAAACTTGTGTGCATCAAAGGACACTACAAAAAGAGTGAAAAGGGAACCTGTGGAATGGGAGTAAATATTTGTAAGTCTTGTATCTTACAAAGGTCTTATATCCAGATTATGTAAAGAACCCTTAGAACTCCAACAACAAAAAGACAACCCAATGGAAAAATAAGTAAATGACTTGAATAAACATTTATCCGAAGAAGGTATAAGAATGACCAACAAGCAAATGAAAAGGTGCTCAACATCATTATTCATCAGCAAGATGCATATCAAAATCACAGTGAGCGGCCACTTCTTACACACTGGGATCACTGTAATAACCATAAAAATAACAACAACAGACAGTAACACGTGTTGGCAAAGATGTGGGCCAATTGGAGCCCTCATTGCTATGGGAATGCAAAATGGGTCAGCTGCTGTGGAAAACAGTGTCAGTTCCTCAAAAAGTTAAACATAGAATTATCACATGATCTTAGGATTCTACTCTTATGTATGTACCCAAAGAACTGAGAATGGATACTTAAATAAGCACAGGTACACACGTTTCAGCAGCAGCACTTTCACAGTAGCAAGAAGGTGAAACAGCCCAAATGCTAGGCAGGGATGAATTTCAGAAACATTCTGTTACCTGAAAGAAACCACTCACCAAAGGTCACATATTGTGTGATTCCATTTTATATGAATATCCAGAATTCATAAACTGCTACAGACAGAATGTCGTTCTGGTGAAAGAAGGGGTTAGAGAGAAAGTGCTTAATGGATAAAGGGTTTAGCTTTGAGGTGAGGGAAATGTTTTAGAACTATTAATAGATTTAAGTGGTGGTTGAACAAGTTGTGAATATACTAAATACAATGAATTGTTCAAATAAAAATGGTTAATTTTATGTTATATGAATTTTACCTCAGTAACTCATTTCTTAAAACTGATAGTTCTCATGTTCCGGATAGCAATATTTAATTACTTGATATATGCATTATATAAGTCTCCTAAAAATAAGTAAAATGTAGGATATACATTTTATAAGTTACATATTCATGACTATGTAAATATAGATATTACTTAAATCCTATACCACCACCTAATGTCAGCTGTCTGTCTGTCTTTAGAGAATGAGGATATTCATTTCTTTTTAGGATGAGAAGATTTCTTGCATTACAAAGAAATTTGCCAATTTAATTTCTTACCTCAACCTCCAGTAACCACGGCATTCCCTTTTGGACAATATTCAAAACTCATAATAGGCATATTAGGATATTCAACATGATTTTCTTGATCAGTAAGTATTCAAATGAGGCATTTACAATTAATTATTGAATTCTTTTCACTAGGTATTCTTTGGATCATTAAAAAAGTAATCCCATATGTTCAGGAAGTACCTTATTCAGCTGTGCCAAGGTATCCCGTGGAGACCCACAGGGTCGAGTACATACAGAGGCTAGATGGCATTCAGAGGTAGGGCCCTGGAGAGCAGATTCAACTTGAATTCATGGGCTGTGGCCATCCTAACCCTTTATCCCAAATTGTCTATCATCATGCATGCTCTCAGAATAAGTGAAGAGTGTGGACAGCTCAGTCATTTCTGGGCCTGCGGTCTCCACAAGAAGATAGAATAAGGAACCCCACCTATCCACATTGACACTTCCTATTATGGGTTGAATTATGCCCCGAGAAAAATTCATTTGTTGATGTTCTAACCCCTGGTACCTCATCATGTGACCTCATTTATTACTTGATTTGCAGAGGTAATAAAGTTAAATGATGTCATTACAGAGGACCCTGGTCCATTTGACTGTTTTCTTTATGAAAGGGGGAAATTTGGACACAGAGATAAGCGTGGAACAAAGATGATGTTAAGAGACATGGAGAAAATATGGCTATCTACAAGCGGAGGAGAGAGGTGTGAAACACATCCTTCCCTCGCAGCCCTCAGGAGGAACCAACCCTGTCCACACCTTGATTTTGGACTACAATGCAGAACTGTGGTACTTTGTTACAGTAGCCCTAGCAAGGTGATAGAATTCCAAATCATTTGCTCCCTTGCTTATTTTCCCCAGACACACTGAAAACAACAACATTAACAGTAAATCCCTGAAGTTAATACTCATTTTCATAACCTTCATTTTGGTAGGGAAGACAGCATTGATTAGCAGTGATTGATGTCTAATAAAGATATAAGTGTAAATTTAACTTGATTTAGCAAAATGAAAGGAGAAACCTGTTGGGAAAGCTTTAAGGAAAACTTCTGATTTCCTGATAAAACTAACAGATGCCACTGGCCCGTGTTGTTTCTTGCGTCTTATTGCCTTAAGCCAAGTAGTAAGTCATGGGCTTCAGAAGTCACCTTGGCAGCATGGGGTGAGAAGTCAGCCCATTAAGGATGTTGGCATGGTAATATATAAATGTCCTTGATGAGAACATCATTGAGTAATCACATGAAATCTTTTCTACTACCACAATACCCTTATTAAGCAGGCAAAAATTCTTTTTTTTTTTTTTGAGATGGAGTCTCGCTCTGTCGCCCAGGCTGGAGTGTAGTGGTGCAATCTTGGCCCACTGCAACCTCCGCCTCCCAGGTTCAAGCAATTCTCCTGCCTCAGCCTCCTGAGTAGCTGGGATTACAGGCATGCGCCATCATGACTGGCCAATATTTTTTTTTTTTTTTAATTTTTAGTAGAGACGGGGCTTCACCATTTTGGCCAGGCTGGTCTCGAGCTCCTGACCTTGTGATCCACCCGCCTTGGCCTCCCAAAGTGCTGGGATTACAGGCATGAGCCATTATGCCTGGACAAATTAATTCTCAATATAAAAAAATCGGCCAGACACAGTGGTTCACGCCTGTAATCCCAGCACTTTGGGAGGCTGAGGTGAGTGGATCACCTGAGGTCAGGAATTCGAGACCAGCTTGGCCAACAGGGTGAAACCTGGTCTCTACTAAAATTAGAAAAATTAGCTGGGTTTTGAAGCATGTGCCTGTAATCTCAGCTACTGGGGAGGCTGAGGTAGGAGAATCGCTTGAACCCAGGAGGTGGAGGTTGCAGTGAGCTGAGATTGCGCCACTGCACTCCAGCCTGGGAGACAGCAAAACTTCATCTAAAAAAAATAAAATAAAATATATATATATATAAAATATATATAAATAAATCACTGTTAGTTTAAGCATGGGTTAGCTGCAGTCAGTAGTTCTGATACATCCTCTTAGAATCTTTCCCCAATGAAATAAGTAAATACAAACCTTATTCTGTTTTACTCTCTCTTTTCTTTCTTGTCAACCATATTTTCATCACATCTTCTTCTTTGTCATCCCTTCAGAATGCTCTTCACATCAAATAAATAAATCTAAATCAATAAATACATTTATCAAAGCTGGAAGGAAACGCCTCAAAATCTTGGCAAGAGTTACACTTGCGCATGGGAAATATTGGTGCTTTTTCTTCCTATGCATTCTGTATTTTCCAAGTTTTTTTATAAGTTTTTTTTAAAAGTTACATGTTACTTTAAAATCAGAAGAAAATAATGTTATGTAAAAAAAAACTGAGGCAATGTTTACGTTATTGGAATAGGGAGCCAATAACCATATATGGATGTTTGCTTAAATATTCATTTAATATTAGAGTGTTTCTTATCATGTTAAGAATTTATATTCAGTTAAGTATTTCCTCTTTTCCCACTCAATTTTGATGTGATTTTAGATGAGTATCCAGTTACCATGGCAATAAATGACATAGGAATGCATAGATTAAATTGGAACAGAATCAAATACAAGATAAATTCAGAATCTGTGCAACACCTTCATTACAGACAGGAACTTTTTCTATTCCTCCCATCCTCATAAATGGAAGCCAATCCAAACAGTCTGTCCTAAAAATAAGAAAGAAAGAAAAGGGAAGAAAGAAAAGGAAAGGAAGAAGAAAATGTGAACGTAAAATACTTGTTTCTGGTGGTTGGGATCCAACAAAGTCACTGCAAAGAGTTATGGTGGGATTTGATATGGATCTTTTCATCACAGTTTTTCTTTTTAATAAAATAATTTTAATACTAAAATTCTGGTTAAATAGTACCAGAATTCTGTGGCTGAGTGAGTTTTCCAGATTCTTGTAGGAGGAGTTAAAACCTTGTATCTCTATAGGGATAAGTAGAATGTGGAGTTCTACTTATCCATCAAAAATTTATTTATATATTATTGATAGTTTCTCTACCTAAAATGATTAGAAAACCTTAAGTATACCTTTGAGATAAGATGGTTCACAACCCCTTATAGAACTGGTTTTATTTCATCTATAGAAGTTATAATTCTTAGTTTAAAAGACTCCCAAGAGGAAAAAAAAATACAGTTTTGAGTGAAAATGAAACAATTTTCTCATATTTTATTATCTCAACACTAAGCATTTTTTGTTACCCATGTAGCTAGCAAATGATTTGGCAAAGTGCTGAACTTACGAGTTTCCCTGAGTAATTCACCAAAAACTGTCTATTTTAATTGACTGTAATTTGTTATAACAACACCCTTTTATCAAAAGCTATCGAAAAATACTTTGAAGTGATTTAAGGCTCAGTGGTCGACTAAACTATAGGTCTTTTTTTTCTCCCAAGAAAAGACTACAAGATACTGTTAAAAGTTCATATTCCCAAGGTGGTTTCCCCCGCCCATAAGCAAAGAGTATTTCCAGAGAATAGTTGAAATCTCCAGTGGTTTGACTGGTTGATCTTCTAGTCATCTTTTAGCTGCAAGTCATGGGAATATTGGCAAACATTGTTCAGTACAAAAAAAGTAATAATCTTTGTAAGAATGTCTATACATGACTAAACCTATAAGGTCTTAAGCACAAAGTGACTGTGAACACAGGTCTCCAGGGTTAATAGCTGGGAATCAAATGCATTATGAAGTCCAGCAGGAAGGGGATGATAAGAAACATTATTTGTTCCTTTGGATATAGCAATACTTAAGATAAAACTAGAATATATTTTAGAGTGTGTCTAAGTCTAACTGGAGAATAAAACACACAGCGAATATTGAAAAGAACAGCAGGAAGGCATTTAATTTTTTTTCTCAGTAAGCTAAATATTTTTAGTTCAAAAATAAATTATTTCCTAGTCCTATTAAGGACTCTTAGTTTTGAACTGGCATTCACATAGAAGAGCCATTGTTGGATGACTCCTAAAATAGCCACATGGAGCACCCAATATAACAAATATCTTTATAAATATCTGTAGTATTGGCTGGGCGTGGTGGCTGTAATCCCAGCACTTTGGGAGGCCAAGGCAGGCAGATCATGAGGTCAGTTCGAGATCAGCCTGGCTAGCATAGTGAACCCCCCCTCTCTACTAAAACTACAAAAATTAGCTGAGCGTGGTGGCACACGCCTGTTGTCTCAGCTACTTGGGAGGTTGAGGCAGGACAATTGATTGAACCTGGGAGGTGGGGGTTGTGGTGAGCTGAGATCAGGCCACTGCACTCCAGCCTGGGCAACAGAAGGAGACTCTGTCTCAAAAAAAAAAAAAAAATCTGTAGTATTAAGATTATTAGAATTAGTTGCTATGTGAAATAAACTATATGAATACGTAGATGAATGTATCATGTTATCTTTTTTATTTTAGTCATTTAAATAATAAAATACATGCTGTCCCATATCCCTAATGCATACATTCTTAACAAAATCACGTGTGGCCTTTTTATGTTGTTTATTTAAACATATGCAATTGTGTACATACTATTTGTTTTTACAAACAATATTGTTCTTTACAGAACGGGAAATAAATGAAGACCAACCAAATTAGAATAAGGAAATACTATTTATTCAGAACTTGTGATGGCAAGGGTGTCAGCCACAATCCTTTATGTTTTGGCAAACTCCAAGCCAGGCAGAGGAGTGGGCAAGCTTTCAGAGGTGTGGGCAAGCTTTATAATGGAAGAAGAATAAAAGGAGGGTTTCCAGTGTGCCTTTATCGGAGGCTGTTGGCATGCGCAAACTGTAGGCAAACTAATGAGAAGCAGGGTATTCTATATGATTAATTAGGGCTGCATATTTGGCTTTCTCTGAGTAGTCCTAATTTGGCAGTGAGGACAAAAACGAGGATAATTGTTAATTATTAGTCAACTCGTGGCTGCTTTGAGCCTATTGTTGCAGCGCTTATTGTTAACTTTCTGGACTAGTAACTACTAACTAGAAATTGCAGTTTGACTTCTTTAAGTCTGAAAGAGCTAGCAGCCTCACTGTCTATAGCTAAATAACGAGTTGGTTACCTGGGCTGCTTGCTGCAGGTTGTGGGGCAGTTATAACTGAACTTACTCAATAACTTGATATTTTTACCGAACGATACATTTTTGTCAGACCTAGAAGACAATGCACATGTTTTCTTCATTCTTTATAATAGTTGCATAATATTTTATAGTAAAAATAGACCAAAATGCATTTAACCATTTTAAAGAACATCCAGATGGCTTCTAATACTTTGCTATTTTAAATAATATTGCAATAAATGTCCTTAACTAAACATCTTAACTGAATGGTATCATTAACAATATTGGTCAAATTCCCAGAAGTGGATTTGCTGAGTCAAAAGTTATAATTATTTGAAATTTTTGTGCATACTACACTGCATCATTTTAAGTGCTTTAAATAAATTCCCTAGAAAAGCCATCGCTGCTAAAAGCTGAGACCCCTGTTGCTCTAGTTCTTGAACTCTGGCAATCAATAGAGATAAGATGATACATTCTCGTTTCAAGGTGGCAAAATAACCACACCTGGCAGCTCCATCGTACTCGATCCCTAAAAGTCACACTCTTTAAAACAAAAAACAAACAAAAAAAAGGCGGCTGGGCATGGTGGCTCACGCCTGTAATCCCAGCACTTTGGGAGGCTGAGGGGGCGGATCACGAGATCAGCTGTTCAAGACCAGCCTGGCCAACATAGTGAAACCCCGTCTCTACTAAAAATACATTAAAAAAAAATTAGCCAGGCATGGTGGTGCATGCCTGTAGTCCCAGCTACTCAGGAGGTTGAGGCAGTAGAATCGCTTGAACCCGGGAGGTGGAAGTTGCAGTGAACTGAGATCGCGCCACTACACTACAGCTTGGGCGACAGAGTAAGACTTTGTCTCAAAAAAATAAAAAATTAAAAAATTAAAAAAGCAAGAGAATTATGGCAATTATGAGCAATTATTGGTAAATAGAAACTGAGCAGTCATTAGGAAGTAGAAGCTGAAGAGGATAATTGCAGCACAAAAGATCAAGAAATATTGTTACTTTAGATGTGATATTTCTGCAGTATAGAAAAGTAGGAGGAGGTTTAAGAGCAATTAATTCCCTGGATCATTGAAGCAATTTGATAGTTCAACCTATGCTTCTTTGGACAGGCAGCAGAAATCTATGGACCTCGCCCCAGGATGAATAGTGAATATGTGAGTTTACATTAGATACTCCGGGACATGCCTTGGTTATCTGGTAATGAATGCCGGAGAGCAATGAAGAGCATTACAGGAAACTAGTGTTCAGTCAGTGGGGCTAATTCTATATCTTCTCACTTCTCAATGATAAATAGCAGAAGTTCAGGCCACAGTTGGAGCTGGTAAGTTACGCAAAGAATAAAAGAGACAGTCTTTTTTGTCTTTGGAGCCATGGTATTTTATTCCATAACATGACTAGGTGGATATAAAGAAGAACCAACTAGAACTATAAAAATAAAAAAACACAAATTGTGAAATTTATAGGCCAAAGTGCAAAATGTATGTGGCAGTAGAATTAATTATAAAGCTGAAACTAAAGACAGAGAAATAATAAAAGGGAAGAGAATTGGAGAACAGACCCAGAAGTTCCCAAAAATCATCTAAATAGAGTTTCAAAAGATTAGTCGTAATACGGAGCTGCCAATATTTTAAGAGATAACAGAGAATATTCCTTTATAGAGAAATAAAGTTAGGAGATTAGAAAAAAGACCCTACTCAGTGTTGAGCAGGATTTACAAAACCAAATTAAATCAAATGGAAAATAAAACAAATAAAAATCCAAAGCAATTTATTCCATATGTATATGAAATTTCAGAACATTAAAGTTAGAATAAAAATTCTAACAACTTCCAGAGAAATTATATTATAAAACCAGGATAAATAACTACAATTAACATATAATTAGCCTAGCTGATATGTGTGCTGAGAGGCTGCCCCACGGCATCCTATCCAGAACGGTGCATTTGTAAGTCACTCTGAATAGGCTGTAGTCTGTATCTTTATCTCCTTCTTTCTCTGCTCTATTCCATGTGGTTCCACCTCTCTGGCAACCTGTCACTTTCAGTTCATTCTTTTCTTTTTTATTTATTTATTTATTTTTTTATTATACTTTAAGTTTTAGGGTACATGTACACATTGTGCAGGTTAGTTACATATGTATACATGTGCCATGCTGGTGCACTGCACCCACTAACTCGTCATCTAGCATTAGGTATATCTCCCAATGCTATCCCTCCCCCCGCCCCCCACCCCACAACAGTCCCCAGAGTGTGATGTTCCCCTTCCTGTGTCTATGTGTTCTCATTGTTCAATTCCCACCTATGAGTGAGAATATGCAGTGTTTGGTTTTTTGTTCTTGTGATAGTTTACTGAGAATGATGTTTTCCAATTTCATCCATGTCCCTACAAAGGACCTGAACTCATCATTTTTTATGGCTGCATAGTATTCCATGTCTAAAACACCAAAAGCAATGGCAACAAAAGACAAAATTGACAAATGGGATCTAATTAAACTAAAGAGCTTCTGCACAGCAAAAGAAACTACCATCAGAGTGAACAGGCAACCTATAAAATGGGAGAAAATTTTCGCAACCTACTCATCTGACAAAGGGCTAATATCCAGAATCTACAATGAACTCAAAATAATTGACAAGAAAAAAACAAACAACTCCATCAAAAAGTGGACGAAGGATATGAACAGACACATCTCAAAAGAAGACATTTATGCAGCCAAAAAACACATGAAAAAATGCTCATCACCACTGGCCATCAGAGAAATGCAAATCGAAACCACAATGAGATACCATCTCACACCAGTTAGAATGGCAATCATTAAAAAGTCAGGAAACAACAGGTGCTGGAGAGGATGTGGAGAAATAGGAACACTTTTACACTGTTGGTGGGACTGTAAACTAGTTCAACCATTGTGGAAGTCAGTGTGGCGATTCCTCAGGGATCTAGAACTGGAAATACCATTTGACCCAGCCATCCCATTACTGGGTATATACCCAAAGGATTATAAATCATGCTGCTATAAAGACACATGCACATGTATGTTTATTGTGGCATTATTCACAATAGCAAAGACTTGGAACCAACCTAAATGTCCAATAATGATAGACTGGATTAAGAAAATGTGGCACATATACACCATGGAATACTATGCAGTTCATTCTTAACTTTCAGTTTACCTGCTCTTCTAACCTTTGACTCAGTGCACTATTTTCTGTCTTCTCTCCTTCCAAACAAATCCTTCGGCAAAGATGTATTGTTTCCTAATAACACTTTTCTAGGTTAGCCTCATGAACTGTGCCTATGGCAACCCCTACAGGCATAGCAGGGCCTTCCTGAAAATGACCTAGTCCCTGCCAGCAGTGTCCTAGTAGTCTGCTGTCAAGAAGTTTGTGTCCTGAAAACAAAGAGAGGAATTTAAAAATACTCAAAGTCAGATTTATACAGGCAACTCATATTTGAGATTTTAAAGATTGTTTGCAGCTCTTTAAAATTTGTATTATTTGAATACATTTAAAAACCATGTGTTTTGTACCTGAACACATTTTTAAAATATACAAACTATATATTAGTGTAATCTTCTAGCATAAATTAAATTATTAGCAATAAGGCAAAAAAAAAAAATCTATCTTTGGCTGCCATCTTTAATCTTGGTTTCTTTATCCATCCCTAGAGTTACTAAGCATCTCAGTTTGGGATGTATCATGACAGACCTCTTTCTATAAAACTATCTACATATATCTATAAAGAAATATATAATTTTTTTGTGTTTTAAAAATATAAATAGTATCTTAACTATATTTTGTCTTGCAATTTGTTTTATTCACTCCGATACCTTTCCATATTAGTGTTTATAGGTCTTCATCATTTTTAAAACCTATTATATATTATCCTGTAGTTCAGATATATCAATATTTAGTCACCATCCTATTCATGAACATTTAGGTTGTCTCAAAATGTTTGTTTTTATAAATCTTCGATGTACATATGTGAACACTGTAAACACTTGTTATTCTAGGATAGGTGAGCAGTAGATATGTTGGGTTATAGGACCTGCATGTTTGAAATTTTAATAGATACTAATAAATTCCCCTATGGGATAACTGTACTAACAGTGGAAGAGAGTAATGTTTCCCCAACTCACGTAGACACTGGTATTATCAGCGTTTTAAGTGTTTGCTAATTCATTGGGTAAAAATAAAAATCCCATTGTTTTAATCTCAATTAACTGTTTTATCACATTTTCTTCTGCATCATTGTACTTCTTCATGGGATTAAGACTAAAATAACTGAAGTATGTAGTCCTATATCCATCTATAAGAACCCTGAAACCTGAAAGCCATCATTTGTTTCTATATATTTGGAAATAAATTAAATTTTGTTATGACATTTTCCATCAAAAAGCTCTCACTCATGTCTAAATAAGGGAATGTTCTTACCATAATAAACAACACTTGTAAGTCACCAAAAATCATTTAAATCATAGAGCAAAATTGAAGCAAAATGCAAATTAAGACATTGATATGTTCCTAAAGCAGTTGCCCACATTTCAGGTTCTGTTTCATAAACAATTGCATTCTAAAAGCACATTTGCATTAAATTTGCATTACTGACATTTTATGATTTGTTTTCTGTCTATTTCTTCTGTTTCTCTTTCTTCTGTTTATCATATATTTCGTTCAAGTGCATTTTTGAGCAGTTTTTAGGCTTTGATCTTGATTTATTTGAGTGTATTGCTTTATATAGTTTTCTATAATTTCCTGAGTATAACAATAGACAAATGTGAGTTATGACAATCTCTGGTATCATCCTTTAACCACTTCAAGTGGAGCATCAAACTGCCCTTTAGGTCCCTTTAAATTCCAAACTTGAAAAAGAGAGTTGTTTCAAGTATTTTCTCTGCATACATTGAGTGACACAACAGATGTTATTTTAATTTTTATTTCTATCATCAAATATGATTTAGGAGACTCATCAAGAGAACAGTAGTGTATTATATTTGCCCCTGATTTTACCACTCCATTATTCTTTCCTTTCTGAAGTTCTTTGCCTCCTTCTGCTATGATTTCCTTCCTGTTTGGAGAGTTTCTTTTAGATATTCTTTAAAGGTATGTCTATTTGCAACAAATTCCTTAGTTTTCCTTCATCTGAAAATGCCTTTATTTTTCATTTATTTCTGAAAGCTATTTTTTCCAGATATAGAATTTACATATGACAATTCTTTCAGCACATGAAAATGTTATGCTAATTCCTTCTAGCCTCTATAGTTTCAGATGAGAAATCTGTTCATTTGATTTTTTCTGTTCCTGGTGGATTTAAATATTTTTTTCTTTATTTTTCAGAAGTTCAATTATAAGGTGTTTTGGTGTGGATTCCTTTGTGTTTACCCTATTTGTGTTTGCTCAGGTTTTGACTCTGTAATCTTATTTATTCCACAAATTTGGGAAGTTTCAGCCATTATTTCTTTGAATACCTTTCCAGCCCCAAATTCTTTGTCCTCTCTTTCTGAAACTCCAATAATATCTCTTTTCTTATTGTGCCAGTTTTCTGAGGCACTGTTCATTTTGGGGATGGTAATTGTGGTGGGAAATTATGTGTTTCTGTTTTCTCTTTGTTATTCAGATTTAGTGAATTCCATTGTTCTGTCCTCAAATTTCTTGATTCTATCTTCTTTTAACTTCACTTTGCTATTGAGCCTATCTAATGAGTTTTCTGTTTTGGTTAGTGTATTTTTTAGTTTTACATTCCTGTTTGGTTCTTTTTTTGTAATTCCTAGTTTTTGCTGATGTTTTATCTTTTTTTTCATTTCTCTCGGGAAATTTTAATTACTAGTTGAAAATCATTTCTTTAAAGTGTTCATCAGATTCTTTCAACATTTGATTCATCTCAGTATTGCCATCAGCTCATAGTCTTTTCTCATTCAGGCTTCACTTTTCTTGGTTGTTGGTATACTGAGTGATTTTTTTACTGTATCTTGGATATTTTAAATATTAAGTTAGGACATTTTGATCCTATTTAAATATTTTATTTTAATAGGAGGTTTCTGTTTAGGTTCAGTGTTGGGAGCAAGCCCCCCAAAATCTGGCCATAAACTGGCCCCAAAACTGGCCATAAATAAAATCTCTGCAGCAATGTAACATGTCCATAATGGCCATAACGCCCAAGCTGGAAGGTTGTGGATTTATGGGAATGAGGGCAAGGAACTCCTGGCCCACCCAGGGTGGAAAACTGCTTAAAGGCATTCTTAAGCCACAAACAAAAGCATGAGCAATCTGTGTCTTAAGGGCGTGTTCCTGCTGCAATTAATTTGGCCCATCCCTTCGTTTCCTTTAAGGGATACTTTTAGTTAATTTAATATCTATAGAAACAATGCTAATGACTGGTTTGCTGTTAATAAATATGTGGGTAAATCTCTGTTCAGGGCTCTCAGCTCTGAAGGCTGTGAGACCCCTGATTTCCCACTTTACACCTCTATATTTCTGTGTGTGTGTCTTTAATTCCTTTAGTGCTGCTGGGTTAGGGCCTCCCTGACTGAGCTGGACTCGACAGTTCAGCATATAGGTTGTGACCTACTTTTCTGGGTTATATCCCAGTAAGAACTTAGTTTTTGAATTCCTTGCAGTGCTAATCTGGTTGGCTTGGCTCTTCTGGCTCTGTTTGAATGCCCACTAAATATTTGCTGGTTTGCTTTGAGGATGGAGGGTTCTTCCATGGGCCATTGTGAGGGGGACGATTGGAGAGCATCTCCCTTGACCTATTCTCCACGTACCTAGTGCCAGTGGCTGTCATATTCTATCTCTGCTGGTGCCTCCATGGAAGGAAAGTTAGGCTTTTCCTTTCATAGTCCTTTTCCCAGAGAGAGCAAGCTTTGCTTCTTTCTTTCTCTTTCTTTCTTCCTTTCCTCTTTCATTTTCTTTTCTTTTGTTTTCATTTCTTTTCTTTTCTTTTTCTATGTCTTTTGGCAGTTCCAGATTGCAGCCCTCTCTGGTCCACAGTCTAAGATATATGAGATATAAAGAAAAAAAATCCAGGAAATTCACTGTGGTGTTACTCCTCAAGTCTCGAGCATCTTTTATAGTTTAATGTATCCTTTCCACATGTCAGAGTCTTTTTATGATTGGCTGTTAAATTATTTTCAGAGTATTTAGATGTATTTAGAGGGGAGGAACAGAGAAAATTAAGTCTATGTTATTTTGTCCCTAGAATTAATTTTTACAATTTTCAATACACTTTCATGTCTTATCATCTTAGTTTCTCACAAAGCCCTGTTGGAGGTTGTTTTTTAGAAGGTGTAACTTGGGAGGAGGCATAACAAGATGGCAGAATAAAAGACTCCACCGATCGTCCCCCCCTGCAAGAACACCAATTTAATAACTATCTACACGCATAAAAGCATCTTCATAAGAACCAAAAATCAGGTGTGCACTCACAGTACATTGTTTTAACTACATATTACTGAAAAGAGGCACTGAAGAGGTAGGAAAAACAGTCTTGAATCACTGATGCCACCCCTCTCTCACCTCTCAGCAGTGATATTTGGTGCAGAGAGAGAATTTGAGTGCTTCAGGGAGAGAGAGGGAAGTAATTGTGAGACATTGTATTGAATTTAGTGCTGCCCTGTTATAATAGAAAGCAAAACTGGAATGAACTCAGCTGATGCCTGCCCATGGAGGGGGTATTTAAGTCATCCCTAGCCAGAGGGGAATCACCCATCCTAGCAGTTGGAACTTGAGTTCTTGCAAGTCCTGCCACTGCAGGCTAAAGTGCTATGGGGCTCTAAATAAGCTTAAATGACAGTGTGGGCCACAACGACTGCCATTCCTAGGTGAGTCTTAGTGCTGACCTGGGCTCAGAGCCAGGGGACTTGGGGGGTATATAATCTACTGAGATCCCCATCTACCAGCTGGGATGTCTAGGGGAGTGCTTGGTGCCACACCTCCCCTGGCACACAGCTCATGGTACTAAAAGAGACCCATTCTTTCTACTTGAGAACAGGAGAGGGAAGAGTGAGGAGGACTTTGTTTTGCATCTCAGATATCAGCTCAGCCATAGCAGGACAGGGTACTGGTTAGAGTCATGAAGCCCACTTTCAAGGCCCTAACTCATGGACAATATTTCTAGACATACCCTGAAGCAGAAGAGAACCTGCTGCCTTGAAGGGAAGGACTCAGTCCTGGCCGATTTGATCACTGGATAACTGAAGAGACCTTGGGCCCTGAAAAACCAATAGTGATACCCAGGTAGTGTGCTGTGGGCCTTGGGGGGACTCTGAGACTTGCTGTCTTCAGGTGAGACTCAGCACATTCCCAGCTGTGGTGACTATGGGGAGAGACTCCTTCTGCTTGAGAAAAGTGGAGGGAAATGTAAAGGAGACTTTTTCTTTCATCTTACGTACCAGGTTGGCCACAGGGTGGTAGAGCACCAAGAGGCTCTTGGGTCTCTGATTCTAGGCTTTGGCTCTTGAAAGGCATTTCTGGACCTGTCCTAGGCCAGAGCGGAGCCCATTTCTCTGAAGGGTGAGTCCCAGGCCATGCAGCATTCACCACAAGCTGACTGAGGAGCCCCTGGCCCTTAAGGGAACATTGGTGGTAGCCTGGCAGTAGCCTGTGGACCTGTGATGGCAGTGGCCATGGGTTGAAGTTCCTCTGCCTTTAGAAAGGGGAAAGACTGCATTTTGAGGTTTGAGTGCCAGCTTAGCCCTGGTACAATGGAACACCAGGTAAATTTCTAAAGTTTTTGAGTGTAGTCTTTGGCTCCTGGATGGATGGTACCTCTGGACCTGCCCAGGGCCTGGGGAAACTTGCTGACCGGAAAGGAAGACAGAAGTGGCTGGCTTTGTCACTTGATGATTATAGAGCCCCAGGGCTTTCAGCAGACATAGGCAGTAGCCAGGGAGTGGTTACAACAAGCCTTGGGTGAAACCCAGTGCTGTGCTGTCTTCAGGTCTGACTCAGTGCAGTCCTAGTGGTGGTCACAGGTGTGCTTGCGTCACTCTGTTCCCAGCTCCAGGCAGCTCAGAGAGACTCTGTTTGGGAGAAAGGAAGGAAAGAGAACAAGAGTCTCTGCTAGGTAGGTAATACAGAGAATTCTCCCAGATCTTGTACGTGACCATCAAGGTGGTACCTCTAGTCTGTAAGAACCATGGCATTATTGGCCTGGGGTGCCCCCTAATGCACATACAGCTTAGATCACAACATCCAAGTCCTTTAGAATATCTGGAAAGCCTTCCCAAGAAGGAAGGGTACAAACAAGCCTAGACTGTGAAAACTACAATAGATACCTATGTTGTCAATGCCTAGACACAGGTGAACATCCACGAGTATCAAGATCGTCCAGTAAAACATGACCTCATCAAATGTATTAAATAAGGCACCAGAGACCAATCCTGGAGAAACAGAGATATGTGACCTTTCAGACAGAGGATTCAAAATACCTTTGTTGAGAAAACTCCAAGAAATTGAAGATAACACAGGGAAGGAATTCTGAATTCTGTCAGATAAATTTAACAAAGAAATTGAAGTAATTAAGAAGAATCAAGCATAAATTCTGGAGCTGAAAGATGCAATTGACATACTGAAGAATGTACCAGAGTCTTTTAAGAGCAAAATTGGTCCAGCAGAAAAAAAAAATAGTGAGTTTGAAGACGGGCTATTTGAAAATACATATCCAAAGAGACAAAAGAAAAAAGAATAAAAAGCAATGAAGCATACCTACAGGGTCTAGAAAATAGACTCAAAAAGGCAAATGTAAGTTATTGGCCTTAAGGAGGAAACGGAGAAAGAGGGGTAGAAAGTTTATTCAAAGTAATAATAACAGAGAACTTCCCAAACCAAGGTAAAGATATTAATATCCAAGAACAAGGAGGTTATAGAACACCAAGCAGATTTAACCCAATGAAGATTACCTCAAGGCATTTAATAATCAAACTCCCAAAGGGCAAGGATAAAGAAAAGATCCTAAATGCAGCAAGAGAAAAGAAACATCATACAATGGAGCTCCAATATGTCTGGCAGCAAACTTTTCAGTGCAAACTTATAGGCCAGAAGACAGTGGCATGATATAGTTAAAGTGCTGAAAGAAAAAAAAAATGTTTCCCCTAGAATAGTATACCTGGCAGAAATATTCTTCAAACATGAAGGAGAAATAAAGGCTTTCCCAAACAAAAAAAGCTGCAGGATTTCATCAAAACCAAATCTGTCCTACAAGAAATGCTAAAGGGATTACTACAATCAGAAAAAAAAAAGAACGTTCATGAGCAATAAGTAATTATCTGAAGGCCCTAAACTCACTGGTAGTAGTAAGCATACATAAGAACACAGAATATTAGAGCATTATAACTGTGGTGTTTAAACTACTCTTCAATAGAAAGACTAAATGATGAACCAATCAAAAGTGATAACTAAAACAACTTTTCAAGACAGGGTATAATAAGATATAAATAGAAACAACAAAAATTTAAAAAGTTGGGGGATGAAGTTAAGGTGTAGAGTTTTGGTTAGTTTTATTTTTGCTTGCTTGTTTTTTATGTAAATTATGTTAAGTTGTTATCAACTTTAAACAATGCGTTATAAGATAGTATTTGCAAGCCTCATGGTAACCTCAAATCAACAACCATACAATGGATGCCAACAAAATCAAAAGTAAGAAACTAAATCATATCACCAGAGAAAATTAGCTTCATTAGGAGAAAGACGGAAAAAAAGAAGGAAGAAAGACAAGACCATAAAAACAAAAAACAAAAAACAAAACAAATAACAAAATGGCAGGAATAAGTCCTTATTTAGCAATAATAACATTTAATGTAAATGGATTAAACTCTCTAATCAAAAGACATAGAATGGCTGAACAGATTACAAAAAGAGACCCAATGATCTGTTGGCTACAAGAAACACACTTCACTTATAAAGACACACATAAACTGAAAATAAAGAGATGGAAAAAGATATCCCATGCCAATAGGAACCAAAAAAGTGGAGAAGTAGCTATAC
Source organism: Homo sapiens (assembly GCF_000001405.40). NCBI lineage: Eukaryota > Metazoa > Chordata > Mammalia > Primates > Hominidae > Homo > Homo sapiens. The sequence continues at coordinate 1,803,488 of NC_000003.12, read as the reverse complement.
TTACATCAGGCAAAATCAATTTCGAGACAAAAACTGTAAGAAGAGACAAAGGTCATTATATAATGACAAAGGGGTCAGTCGAGCAAGAGAATTTAACAATTTTAAATATATATGGTCCCACCCAACACTGCAATACTCAGATGTATAAAGCAAATATTATTAGAGCTAAAGAGAGCAATAGACCCTAACACAGTAATGGCTGGAGATTTCAACACCCCACTTTCAGCACTGGACTGATCTTCTAGACAGAAAAACAACAAAGAAACAGATCAGACTTAATCTGCAATTCATTTCAAAATGCCAATGACATTCTTCACAGAAACAGAAAAAACAACTCTGAAATTTATTTAAAACCATGAAAGACCCAGAATAGACAAAGTTATGCTAAGCAAAATGAAGAAAACTGGAGGAATCCCATTACTTCAAATTATATTGCAGAACTATAGTAAAGAAAATGGCATAGTACTAGCATAAAAACAGACACATAGATCAATGGAATAGAATACAGAACCCAGAACTAAATCCATACATCTACAGTGAACTCAGTTTTGACCAAGATTCCAAGAACATACATTGGGGAAAGGACAGTTTCTTCAATAAATGGTGATGGGAAAACTGGATATACATAAGCAGAAGAATGAAACTAGACCCCTATCTCTTGCCATATACAAAAATCTAATCAAGATAGATTAAAAATTGAAATCTAAGACCTGAAACTATAAAACTACCACGAGAAAACACTGGAGAAACTCTCCAGGACATTGGAGTGGGCAAAGACTTCTTGAGTAATACCCCACAGGTACAAGAAACTGAAGTAAAAATAGACAAATGAGATCACGTTAAGTTAAAAATCTTCTGTACAGCAAAAGAAGCAATTAACAAAGTGAATAGAAAACCCACACAATTAGAGAAAATATTTGCAAACTACCCTTCTGACAAGGGATTAATAACCACAACATATAAAGATCTCAAACAACTCGAAAGGAAAAAAAGATCTAATAATCCAATTTTAAAAATGGACAAAATATCTGAATAGACATTTCTCAAAAAAGACATACAAATGGCAAACTGGTATATAAAAACTACTCAAAATTGGTCATTAGAGAAATGCAAACCAAAACTGCAATGAGATATTTCACCCCAGTTTAAATGGCTTTTATCCAAAAGGCAGGTGATCACAAATAATGGAGAGAAGAGAATTCTAGTAAACTCTTGATGGAAATGTAAATTAGTGCAACCACTATGGAGAACAGTTCGGAGGGTCCTCAAAAAACTAAAAATAGAACTACCATGTGATTCAGCAATCCCGTTCCACTCCTAGGTATATACTCCAAAGAAAGAATATCACTGGGCGTGGTGGCTCACTCCTGTAATCCCAGCACTTTGGGAGGCCGAGGCGGGCGGATCACGAGATCAGGAGATCGAGACCATCCTGGCTAACACGGTGAAACCCCGTCTCTACTAAAAATACAAAAAATTAGCCGGGCGTGGTGGCGGCGCCTGTAGTCCCAGCTACTCGGGAGGCTGAGGCAGGAGAATGGCGGGAACCCGGGGGGCGGAGCTTGCAGTGAGCCGAGATTGCACCACTGCCCTGCAGCCTGGGGTGACAGCGAGACTCTGTCTGAAAAAAAAAAAAAAAAAAAAAGGAAGAATATCAGTATATTGAAGAGATACCTGTGCTCCTATGTTTATTGCAGCACTATTCACAATTGCCAAGATCTGCAAACAACCTAAGAATCCATCAACAGACAAATGGATAAATAAAATGTGGTACATATACACAATGTAGTACTATTCAGCCATAAAGAGAATGAGATCCTGTTATTTGCAACAGCATGCTTGGAATTGGAGATCATTAAGTGCAATAAGGCAGGCACAGAAAGATAAACATTGCATTTCTCACTTATCTTTGGGGGCTAAAAATTAAAACAATTGAATTCATGAAGATAGAGAGTAGAAGAATGGTTATCAGAGGCTGGGAAGGGTAGTAAAGGTGGCAGGGGGTGGGGGAGGGAAGTGGAGGAAGGTTAATGGGTACAAAAAGATAGAATGGATAAGACGTAGTATGTGCTAGCACAACAGGGTGATTATAGTAAAAAAATAATTTCATTGTACATTCAAAAACAATTAAAAGTATAATTGAATTGTTTGAAACACGAAGGGCGAATGCTTGAGGTGATGGATACCCTATTTACTCTGATGTGATTATTACAGATTGCATGGCTGTATCAAAATATTTCATGTACCCCATAAATATATGGATCTACTATGTACCTATAAAAATTAAAAAGAAATAAAATATTAAGGAAGCTGTAATTCTTCTCCACAAGATAAAATTCAAAAGCTTTGAATTGTCTTTAAAGACACCTCACTTCCAGGTAGCAGGAAGTTTATAAAACAACTTTTACTGTAAAACAAAACAAAACTTACTAGCTTGCAAAAATCATCTATTCAGCTCCATGATTCTTTGGGCAAATTGGAACATTCTGATTTTGGTTTCCTTGACTGATGTCTACTGGATCTGCAAATGTGTCTATGATCACTTATTAGGTTTGGAAGATTTCACATGTTCTCACTCACATGTTTTACCATTGTTGGTTGTGGCTGGTATGATGAGGAGAGGAGCCACATGTCTTTTTTCAGCAGGCTAGCCCAGGCTTCTTAACATGGTAGTGGAAGAATTCCAAGCAGAACAAAAGAAGGCAAGCCTCAATGCAAAGTGCTTTCCAAGTCTCTATTTGCTATCGATCCATGGGTTAAAGCAAGTCACAAGGCCAAGCTCAGAGTCAGTGTAGGGGTGCCTCCTAAAGGGTGTGGATGTAGGGAGGGTAGAGAATAATTTGTGGTCATTGAATAATCTACCATAGTCAAAGTCAAGTTCTGACCCATAAGCAATCACAATTTAGCTCATATTTGCATTGCATTTTACAGTTTAGCCATGTATCACATCTATTATCTCATTTGTTTCTTATAAATATTTCATATTTACTTTGCAGGAAGGCATAATATTCTCTCTAATATAAAATTCAATGTGACCATGGCTAACAGTCTAATAAATGAATGAAAGAATAAATGTGTGTTTGATGTACATTGAATTAGGGCATTTTCCAGCCTGCACAATATGTTAGGTATAATGTCAGATCTGGTATTGTTTTCCTCTGTTACCTCTTCCAAGCTATAATGAGTATCTGCAAGTTCTTTTATTCTAGGCCTTATTGAAAAATTCATATCTATTTTTATCATATTTTCTATGACTTTATAAATGGTGAATAAATCCTTCCATGCAGATGGAAAGAATTCTCATTTGCAGTCTATTCATATGTAAATATTCTTAAATTTCTTGATCATATTTATTGCTTATTGCAAAAATATTATAAATTTCATTATGCCTTTTACAAGAGACAATCATAGGAACAAAATCTTACAGGTTTAGATTTAACATAATTCTGTTGGAGGTTAAGAGAATTTTTTTTTTTGGTATTGTTGTTATTATCTGTATTTTATTCCATTTAAAAATATCCTTCTTGATATTTTCTGTCTTTGGAAATCATTGGCCCAATAATTTCAAATTTTAAAAATCACATTAGCTCATCTCCATAGTGAAAATGGATAGCTTAGTATTATTTCATAAGAATCATTTCAATTTTTCTTTAAACGTACCACTTAACAACTGCAGTAACAGAGGCGTATATGTTGTTTCTAAACTCTCCCTTATATCCTTGCGAGTTCTTTCCACAGCCTATCCTCATTCGCTTGTTACTATCCAGAAGAATTTAATATCGTCTGTAAACTTGCATATTCCATTTTACATGATTTCTTTTAGATCAGTTATTATGTGAGAACCTGAATTATTTTATCAAAATGTGAAGCAAATCTAGACACAGCACTTATTCCCAGGTACCTTACTACAGCACTTCTCCATCCTTCATATTGATAAGCTATCCCTTCCCTTTGTTTTCCTTCTCTGCCTCAAGTATGTATTCATGAAAATCTCTGCCCTCTAATGTTTAGTTCTTGAGTGGAGGGAGATTATGTTTAGTAAATGTACGACAGAGTTTAATACATTGCCAAAGACTCACAAAATCCAATAATTGACAGCTATCCCTTTGTTTCTTATCTGTACCTTTATTCATCCTGTTGGAGGAATCTGGTGAGGAAAGATTTATACTATTTATCCTTACAGTAACAATGTGGCATGCCCCTCATCCCCCTCCTATATAGGTTACGCTTCCTTAAGCGTGCAATGAACCGCTCTGTATTATATATTGCGCCAATCGGCTAGGTATGCAAGTGAGAGTTACGGGTCTGAAATTCTAAGGCTTTTTACTGTGCATTTTAATGGATGGTGTCACAACAAAGGCAAGTTCAAAATAAATAAAACCACCACTCTCATTTATAATGTTGGAGCTCAGGACAAGGAGCAACAGAAACAAATAAACCAGCATATTTCAATATACGCTTCCTTAGTCATTAGTGTTAGTGGCAGCCCCAGTGTCAGATTAGCCACATCTCATTGCCTAATTGACACATATGATGCAGGAAGCTTCCTCTTAGGGGTGATTACCTCAGTTCTCTGGAATCCTTGTTCATGCCAGTGGTTCCCACCTAGGGGCGATTTTGCCCTCTTCAAGACATTTGCCAATGTCTGTAGATAGTTTTGGTTTTCACGACTTAGAGGTAGTGGTGCTATTTTCATGTAATGGCTAGGGGCCAGGGATGCTGCTGAACATCCAGCATCGCACAAAACAGTATCTGGCCCAAAGTGTCAATAGTGCCAAGATTGAGAAATGCTGGTTTATGCCATTTTATTTTGCATATGTTCACTCATTTGGCTGGGAAGTTTCTGTAGAGTGTTGACAAATGTTCACCGTAATCATAAACATTGACATTGGTTTTGCTAAGTATCATGCAGGGCATAATTAATATTTCATTTATATATATGATTTTACTTTTAATTTTAATCTGATTATTGTTACATATCATTACTTTGTGGTGTATTATCTTTGGACAGCTTCCGCAAATGCCTTTAGTTTTCCACTGACTACTGGATTCCATTATAATTAAAAGCCTTCTCATCATACCTAAAAGAATTGCAACACTTCTTAGTAGTGGTATGAATATCCAGGTTCCGGATAAACCTGATTCTGAAATTATCCCCACGAATGCAATAGTGTTCTTGACTCCTTGGGTTTCTTAGTGAGTGTCACACTTGAAATCCACAGTCCATAGCTTCTCCAGCTGCAAAAATACAGCACAGAGATAGATCCAACCAGAATATCAACATTTCAAAATGAATAATTTCTTCCAAGAAAACCTGACCAAAGGAAAAATAATTGAGAGGTAGAAATGATCAGATGTGTCAGGTCCACTGCTTTAATTTATTTAGGCCAAATTTAATTTCTTGCAAGCTAAGGCATGTGGGGAAACGCTAATTTGCTTGGGTGCCTTAACAGTAATGTTCATTAAGACTCATATAGTTCATTGCAATGTCAAAAGAAACTCCTTTTTCTTTCCTTTTACAAGCTTATATATATGAATGTGAAACTTACTGACCCCTCTTTTTGCTGTGTGTGACCCATACAAGAATCACTGGGATAAAATCAGCAATTTCACAGTCCTTGTTCTGTGTCAAACAACTGCACACTGACAGATCCTTCAAGTTTGATTCATTAGTCAAGTTTTTTTTTCATATGTAAGGCTAATATGCAATGATTTTTAGCTCTGAGTAAATTTAATCACCGTACCATTTCCGTGTGCTTATTCACTTTATTTCACTTCACAGGAGGCGTATGTGCTTTAAAATATAGTGCCATATGTGTGCAGAATAGAGAATTTTTAGAGCTAGAGGGAAACCTTGGGATCATTTACTCTCAATCTTGTCATTTTACAGAGTGGAAACTGAGGCATATGATGAATGCCAGGCTGTGAATTAATGAATCAGACTGTGAATTTGTAAGCTCTTAGCTCAATGTTGAATGCTCTTTGTGCTACCATTTAACTTCCATTTTAAGACTTCAAAATTAAATTCAGCCCTGATTTTATAATGTGATTATTATTTTCCTACCAAGAACATCCAAATAATCATTTTACATTACCTGTTACCGTTGGTAACTAAATATTCCCACTAGTAAATATAAAGTTAAGTTAAACATTTTTTTAAAAAATTATTTTATACAAATCATCCCTTACTGTCAAAAGCACCCTAGGAATAATTGCAATCTTAGGCTTTTGAGCTTGTCTTCTATCTGCTATCTTGTATAGTAAAAAGGTAATGAACATATTGTAAAGATTTTTCAATTCTTCTATTTATTATCTTTGCATTTTGGGCAAGTCACTGAGCCTCAGTTTCTTTACCTTGAAATAAACAAACAACATTCGATTATCTTTGTAGCTCATATATAGTGTTAATGAAGTAAGGTTAAAGTGAAATCACCTTTATCAACTGCAAACATGAGACTTACATATAAGTTAACTGTCTTTATTGTTAAAATATTTTTCTTGCTCAGATGCCAAAACCAATAGATACATGGCTCTTTTATTTTCCTATTTCTTAGTTTTGTTATTTGAACAATTAACACTGATACATCCTAACTGACTTATTTATAAATACATTTTAAAAGATAATAGTTGATTAAATCTTATACAAGACTTTTTAAATAGACTTTATTTTTTAGAGGAGTTTTAAGTTCACAGCAAGATTGCATGAGAAGTATAAGGTGTTCCCATGTACTGTCTGTCCCCTCCCTCCCACACACAGCCTCTTCCATATCATCATCCTACACTGGAGTGGTTGGTTCATTTGTTACAATCAATGAACCTACATTGACACATCATTCTCACCCAAAGTCCATAGTTCACATTAAGTTTTCACTCTCAGTGTTATAAAATCTATGAGTTAAAAAAAATCTATGGCTTTTGACATGTATCCACCATTATAGTTTCAAACAGTGTATTTTCACTTCACTAAAAATACTCTGTGTTCTTCCATATTCATTCCTGCTTCCCTCTAACTCCTGGCAGCAGCTGACCTTTTTACTATCTTCATAGTTTTGTCTTTTCCAGACTGGCATACAGTTGGAATCATATAGTATGTAGCCTTTTTACATTAACTTCCATTACTTAGCAATATGCATCCACGGTTTCTCCATGTCTTTTCATAGCTTGATAGTTTATTTATTTTTTAGCACTGTATGATATTCCCTTGTCTGGATATACCAAGTTTATTTTTCCACTCACCTACCAAAGGACATCTTGGTTGCTTCCAAGTTTTGTCAATTCTGTATACACCTCCTGTAAACATTCATGTGTAGGCTTGTGTGTGAATGTAAGTTTTCATCTCATTTGGGTAAATACCAAGGAGTGCCATTACTGGATTATATAGTAAGAGTATGTTTATTTCTGTAAGAAACTGCCAAACTACCTTCAAAGTGGCAGTACCTTTTTGCATTTTCACCAGCAATGAATGAGAATTGCTGTTGCTCCATATCCTTACCAGCAGTTAGTGTTGTCAGTGTTTTGGATTTTGGCCATTCTAATAGCTGTGTAGTGTTATTTCATTGTTGTTTTAATTTGCAATTCTCTGATGACATATAATGTTGAGTATCTTTTTAGATGCTTCTTTGCTATCTATGTATTTTCTTTAGTAAGTTGTCTGGGTCTTTTGCCTGTTTTAAAGTGAGGTTTGTCCATTTGGGCTGCTGTAACAAAATACCGTAGACTGGGTGACTTATAAACGACAGAAATTTATTTCTCACCATTTTTAAGGTTGGGAAGTTCAACATTAAGGGTATAGCAGATTTGGTGTTTGGTGAGGGCCCACTTCCTGGCCTGCAGCTTCTCACTGTTTCACATTGTGGACGAGACTGGGTAGCTCTCTGTGGTCTCTTTTTTGAGGGTACCAATCTAGTCATGTAGTCTCTGCCCACATGACTTAATCACCCCCCGAAGATTTCACCTCCTATTATCACATTGGTGATTAGTTTTTCAACATACGTATTTAGGGGGATGGGAGTGGGGGCCACACAAGCACTCAGACTACAGCAGCATTGTTCTTTTTCTTATGGCTAAGTTTTAAGACTTCTTGTATATATTAGATAACAATTTTGTATCCACACTGAACCTCCAGCAGTTTGTCAGTTGCAGTTCAGATTTTCCTGTCATGTTACTAGCTCTTGCAAAAGTTTTTGTTCATGGGTCTCCACTCTGATAAGTTGTGAGTACCTGAGTCTGCCTGTCTGCTCCTCCAGCTATGGGGAGAGGCAGTGGTTTGCCCTTCCAGAGATCCTCCTCAGAGATCACAGTTCTCTGCTTGATGTAAAAAGAGTTGTTGAGTTTTAGTTAGTTCAGCTTTTTATTTGTTAGGGTGAAGTGATAACTTCCAAACTCCTTACATGTGGGAGGGAAAATCAGAAGTCTTACATAAGATTTTACAGGTAAAAATAAAGTGAAAAAAAACCAGTTACTCAGAGGAAGAAAAATAATTTTAAAAAATAGCATGTGACAGATAATTGCTTCCCAAGTATTTATGTGCATATAATCTGATTCAGGAAATCTAGGGCAAGTGTGAAATCTATAGTTCTAGCAAGCTCATAGGTGATGCTAATGTTCCTGCTCTGTGAACTACACTTGGAAGTAGTGAGGTAGTATACAGTATCCTCTGACAATAACAATTATTATCTGGGCTTTACAGGCATATTCCAAAAAAATTATATATACAGACATATATCTGTGTGTTTGTGTATATGTGTGTGTATTTATATGTATGTATATATATATATATATATATATATAAAACATTTATTAAGTCTTTTTATATTTTGAAGCTATCTTACTAGGGGCATAGATGTTTAGTTGTTTTTCTAGTTAACTATTAACTTTCTATAATCCTGTAAAATTTCTCTCTTAACTTTTAGTCTTATATTGATACATACCTGAGTTTTCTTTTGGATAATACTTGCCTGCCTGGTGTGTGTATATGTATATGTGTATATATATATGTATTTTTTTTCCTTCATTCTTTTACCATTAACTGCTCCATACCTTTATACTTTTTTTTTTTTTAAGACGGACTCTTGTTCTCTTGCCCAGGCTGGAGTGCAGTGGCACGATCTTGGCTCACTGCAGCCTCCACCTGCCGGGTTCAAGGGCTCCTCCTGCCTCAGCCTCCCGAGTAGCTGGGATTACAGGCATGCACCACCACACCTGGCTGACCCTTATACTTTTGATCTACTTTTGCAAAGAGCACATAGCTAGATTTACTTTTCTTTTATCCAATTTGTCTTCTTTTAACTAGAAGATTTATTCATTTATTATGATTGTGAATGTATCTGGATTTGTTTCTAGAGTCTGATTTTTTTTGCTTTTTTATTTTTATTATTTCCTTTTGTTTTAAAATGTAGGTCTTACCATTACTTATGTATGGTTTACCCAAGAGATCAGGAGAGATGACTGCTATTGAAAAGATAGTTTGTTACTCAGATCCCAAGAGGAAGGGCTGTGCTGTGCCATGAGAGGCCAAGCAGGGATGTACTAGGATTGGTGAAGAGGCAGAGAGGGAAAATTGTTGGCAAGAGCCTTTAATGTGGTGTCCATAAGAAGGAACAGGTGAGGCAGGTTAATTGAGTTTAAGACTGGCTATTCTGAATAATTTCAGTGGGCTTAGGGGCTCTAGCTAATTGTCTGATCCTTGGGTGATTATGGCAGGTGGATGGTGACCCATAATGTGGAAGCCCAATAAAGGAGGTGGTTGGGTTTTAGATTCTAGACTGGTTGGTTTGCATTTGAAGAGCACATTCATGGGTGAATTATTTACTGTCTCTGGGGATTGGCTAACACTGGAAGGGGCAGTCCCTTCAGGGGTAGAAAAGCCTCAGATGTCAAAGCATCAAATTACAGAAAATAAAAGACATGGGGAATATACCCCATTAGATATTCATTGGTTTTGATTTATTAAGTTACTGTTTGCTTGTTTTATTTTTCCGTTTTCCTCCCTACCCCTAAAGTTTTAGAAATTACATTTTGTATGTCTATTTTTTTTTTTTTTTTTTTTGAGATGGAGTCTCACTCTGTTACCCAGACTGGAGTGCAGTGGTGCAATCTTGGCTCAATGCAACCTCTGCCTCCCGGGTTCAAGCGATTCTCCTGCCTCAGCCTCCCAAGTAGCTGGGACTACAGGCGTGTGCCACCACACCCGGCTATTTTTTTGTATTTTTAGCAGAGATGGAGTTTCACCGTGTTAGCCAGGATGGTCTCAATCTCCTGACCTTGTGATCTGCCCATCTCAGCCTCCCAAAGTGCTGGATTACAGGCGTGAGCCACCGCGCTTGGCCTAGAGCAGGGCGAGGCCCCAAGGCTGAGGCCTTGTGACCATGGGCCCAGCGTCCCAGACGGGTGTATTATTTTAGTAGTTACCATCACAATCTTTACCATGCTTCTTAATTAAAATGTTAATCGAATACCTTAATTATCTCCTGAACTTCCATAGCCGTTTCACTTTCACCTTCACCTTGATGCTTGTCTGAGTTTTGTTCTCCCGATAGTTTGCACTCTTGATATTACCATTTTCCTTGTTTCCATCTCAAGCTTGCTATTTGCTTGCTGCTCACAATTTTTCACTTTGGTTTCAGCATACCGTTCTTACATATTGTGAACCCAGAAATGATTAAAGAGACTCTTTTATTAAGGATTTAATGTTTTTGAAGAAGAAATATCTTTCAGAATAACTAAGCCACTCTATTGTTGAAATCCCAGCCATTAAAATTCACAAATTTCTTTCAGCTCAAAGAGCAAGGGTTACTGGAGTAAATTATTTCCTAATCCAGAAAATCGACAGTTTCTAATATGGTGCTGTGTCAACAGCATGTGAACTGGCAGGGATAAGACTCCACATCTCTTATCAAGAGGTCAAGAGGGAGCTCAGAACTCTGCAAATCTTGGCAAATTTCTTACACTTTCCCATTTTGACCCCTCCCCCATTTTCTGCTTTGAAATAAGTGTAACTATCTACAATTTTCCCCTCTTTATTATATAAGTCACAAAAAGAAATCCAGCACTCCCAAATCATCCTTCATGTCCTTTCCTCTCCACACTGCGTTGCACATTCCACTTTTGACCCTATCTTTATTTTCCTAACTTCTGAAACCTTACAATCAATCGTTAGTAAAATCCTCTATATTGTCTTTCATAATGTTTGCTTTTCACTCCTTTACTCAAACTTCCTAGTCCCCCATTCCCCAGAATCCCTTTTCCCCTGAAGCCTTATGATAATAGTGGCTACATTCTTTCTGCACCCATTATTCTTAAGCTTAAAAGTGTGGTTGCCGAGTGGGGAGGATCGCTTAAAGACAGGATTTGCGAACAGCTTGGCCAATAAAGCAAGACTTCATCTCTACAAAAATAAAAGTAGAATTGATGATCTTCTTGTTCTTCACTGCTACTTCCATGTAATTTTTCTCTCTAAACTTTCCAGCTTTTAATATGTTACCTTCTAATTCAACCACCCTTGTCAGTCATCTGGAAGTTCCTGGGTTATTTCCTTATTTCCTCAAGATTTCACCGCTGACTCACCGTCAATGTCTCCCACGCTTTCTCTGTTATTATTCTCCATGAAGTCAATATCCACAAAAGTGGTCCCTCCTCTACCCTTGCTTCTTATTTCCTTGTTGTTCTCTATTTTAATCATATTGTCTTCCACCCTACTTTAGTCACTTGGTGATATTGTCATCACCAATATGTACATTTTCTATATAAACTCAATTTCAAGTATTCTATTCTTTGGCTACAAAACTATTCTACTTGCAGTTTACTCGTTTTACTAACCCAAGTCCAGCAGTTCTTCTGTCTCACCAGGATCTACTTCATTTGTCCTTCTCCTGATATCCTCATTTCCTTTTTCTTTGCTCAAGGTTTCTCATCCTTGCAACACTTACATGTGGACTGAGCATTTCTTTGTTGTAGGGACTGACTTGTGTGTTATAAGATGTTTAAGCAGTATCCCCAAAAGCTACCCATTAAATATCAGTACCACGCCCACCCGGTTGTGACAACCAAGGATGTCTCCAGACATTACCAAATGACCACTGCAATGAAAATTAGACCCACACTGAGAGCCTATTACTTGGAATAAAACCCATGGTGAATTTTTATAACATTCTATTACATGCATCCTCAACTTTCTTGGCTTTTCCCACTTTACCACACATAATAAATCCAATCTGCCATTTACTCCCACTTACATCTTACAGCTGAACATAACCAGAAAACACAGAACCATCCTAAATCTTATCACTTTAAGTTCATGATTATTAACCTTAAATGAGTCTTCAAGACTGATAATTATAGCACATTTCCTGACTCCATCCATGCTTACACTCTTTTGTATCATAATTTCTACCCTCTCTCATTTACCTTTTGTCACCTCATCCTCCATCTTCAACCTCCATCTAATTACCTTGTTCTTTAACAATGAGAAAATAAAAACCATCAGAGGGAACTTCCACAGTCTCCACTCCACATCTGCAACTTTACCAACAGCGGTGTCTATATATTATGCTTCCTTTCCTTTTATAGTGGATGAGCTGTCCCTGCTCCTAGCCAAGGCTAATCCACTTGACATTAGTTTCTAAACCCTCTTGCTTACTTAAGTTATGTTGACAGAAAATCTTACCATTCTCTCCTATATCTTCAAATGTCATTTTTTTATTTGAGGACACATATGCTTTTATTGCTACAGACTTTAAAGATAACTTCTTTTTAAAAAGTAAACTTATAAAGAAAACCATCTGGCCCTTCTTTTACCCCTCCGTGGCTGCCTCATTTCTTTACTCCCTCTTTTTAAGGAAACTTTTGACAAAAAAAAATTGCTTCCATTCCTGCCTATCCATTCTCTCTTAAACCCATTGCAATTGACCTTTGCTCCCACCACTTAATCAAAATGCTTCTTGTCCTGTTCACCAATGCATGTCGCATGGATAAATCCCATGGAATGTTTTTATGTCAGTTTAGCATTTGAGACAGTTGATTACACTACCCTGTATGTGAAACATCCTTTACTTCCTCCTAATTCTTTGGCTGATTCTCCTCTGCCTTCGTTGCTGGTTCCTCCTCAACATCAAAAACAGAGCCTTGGAGCTAAATAACACACTTCGGCAGGAAGATACCCTACTGCATGGCTTTTAATACCAACTCTTTACAGAAAGTGACAATGCCAAATGTGTATCTTAAGTCTGGACCCTTTCCCTTGAACTTGTGACTCATATATCTCAATGCCTACTTGATATGTCAACTTAGATGTGTAATGGGCATCTCAAAATTAACGTCTCCCAAAGTTGAGCTCATGCTTGTCCCATCCAACATCTGTGCCACCTATTGCCTTCCTCATTTACATAGACACATAGACATATAGTAAATCCTCTCAGTTTCTGCAACCCCAATTCTGTTTTTTTTTTTTTTTTTTTTTTTTTTTTTTGGAGACAGAGTCTTGCTCTGTCACCTAGGCTGGAGTGCAGTGGCATGATCTCGGCTCGCTGCAACCTCCACCTCCTGGGTTCAAGTGATTCTCCTGCCTCAGCCTCCTGAGTAGCTGAGATTACAGACACATGCCACCATGCCTGACTAATTTTTGTATTTTTAGTAGAGATCAGGTTTCACCATGTTGGCCAGGATGGTCTCAATCTCCTGATCTCATGATCCGCCCGCCTTGGCCTCCCAAAGTGCTGGGATTACAGGCGTGAGCCACCGCGCCTGGCCTGAAACCCCAATTCTTGAAGTCATCCTTCACCATTTATTTTATCTCATGCTTCATCTCCAAATGCATAAAAAAAATCACATGGGCTCTAACCTTAAATCTACACTTAAGTCAAAAACTCTCACCACTTCCACCACTGTCAGCTTGATTTATGCCATCATGGTTTCTTCCCTAGATTATGGCAGCCCCTGATCCCACCCTGTTCTCCCATTCAGCTATGGTGATATTGTTAATATATAAGTCATAAAGTTCATTCCCTAATCAAAATATTCCAGTGAATTTTATCTTACATAGGCTAAAAGCCAAAGTCCTTGCAAATATCTACAAAGTCTTACGTGATCCAACCCATCAACCTAACCGCTTCCTTTCAGATCTCATTCTTTGTTCCAGCCACACTTGTCTTCTTGCTTTTCTTTGAAGACCTCAGGCACACACCCACTCAGTGGCATTTCTACTTACTATTCTTTCTCCCCAGTTATTCACATGGTATAACCCCTCAGCTCCTTTAGGTCTTTGCTCAAATGCTTTCTTTTCAGGAAGGCTTTTCCAGGTCACCCTTTCAAAAACTGATTCCTTCAATCTATACTTCCTTCCCGTATTTCCTGTTTTTTGTTTTTTTCTTAACACTTAATACCATCTACTATGTAATAAGATATATTTTACTTGTTTTCTTCAACTTACTAGACTGTGCTTTTCATAATGAGAGAAAAATTGTATCCCTAAAAAACAATTCATTTAAATCCTCGGTATACCTAGCATAGTACCTGGCACACAGCAGGTACTCAATAACTATGTTTAAATAAACCACTGAATGAAATGCAGAGTATTTATTCAAATGTTACAAGAGGAAAGACTTGAACTGATTTTTGGAAGCTGTGTGCTTCTTTCACTGAATTATATCATCACTGGCTTTAAATTTGTGTCCTTTCATGATATAGAGCTTCGATGTCAGAGACCACATTTATGCTCCCTTTTGATTTCTACATGCCTAGAGCCAAATTATATATACTGAGGGTTAGGACCACCCCCTTACTGCCTCCATTTTTTTTTATACATCAAAGAAAATAAATTATTGGCAAAAATATTTCCCACAATTCTCTTTCTGCTAAGGAAAGAGGATCAGAAGGCAAATCTCCCTCCTAATTTCCAGGTTTGTTACAATCTTAAGAATCTACACGAGATATTTCAGGCATAAGAATAAAACAAATGTGTTTTGTCTTACTAGGGAGTAAGAGTTATTAAAAAAAATACCCACATGTTTTATTTCTGCTCTTAAGAAACTGAGTAGAGCTAGTTAAGATGAATTGCTTCTAAGTGCAGGTGAGTTTTGGCAAAAATTAATTATGCTAGTAACATTTTAAGATCTAATATTTATTTTGAATTTGACTCTTTGATAAAGTTCTGTATATAGGCTTGTATATGTTAGCCAAATTCAGCATTAAAAATGTTGTGACTGAAATAATTTGCATAAGATTGTTGTTAAAAAGGATAATTATGCTTCAACATAGTTAATGTAAATGCTGAACTGTTTAGAGATATATATATTTTTTCTCCTTGCCCACTCCATGAACCCTTGGTTTTATAGAGAAGTATAATATCATTTCTCCTAGCAGAACTGTTTTTGAGCAGACCAAGTCTCTATTTCTATGTTTCTGCTGTTCAAAATTCAGTGGTTCGTTGACCTATTTCTAGGACAAAATTGTTTCATACATTGCAGAGAAAATGTCTGAGACATGACATTGAGTGCTAGGAACTATAATTTTAGAGAAGCACTGTCAAAATAGGATATATCCCTTAGTATAGCATATGGTTAAATGAGCAACTTCTATAGTAAGGCAGACCTGAGCTCAAGTTGCACCTCTGATTTCTTCTGTCTTTGTAATCTTGGGTGAGTGACATTGACCCTCTGAATCTCACAGGGCTTGCATTTATACAATGCAGACAATAGGAGCACAAAATCCATTGTGGTTTTGTGATAGTTCAATGTGAAAATCTTGCAAATGAGTAACTGTATGTCTACATTTACTCAATCTAGCACATTGCTCAATAAATTTTACGTATTGTTTTTGTTGTAGTTATTTATTTCTGGACAGAGAAAAGATGCAAAACTGCATGATCCACAAAGTGATTAAAATACCTGATATACTTGGAGGCTAAGGAAACATGGGAGATGTCTTTACCTATTCCAGAGTGCCTTGTGGAAGATGAATTACACCTCTTCCATGTGGTTCCAGGGAGAATAATAAGCAGTATTGGGTGAAGTTTAACTGAGAGAAACACTGGGCTTAACATCTGGAATAGTGCAGCAGACAGAATAATGGTTTCTCAAGGTTGTCCACACCTCAGTCCCTATCACCTGTGACTGTGCTGTATTACACGGCTGGGAATTTACGTAGCAGATGGAATTAAAGTTGCTAATTAGCTGACCTCAAGATGGGGCAATTATCCTGCATTATCCAGATGGGCCCAGTGGAATCCCAAGGGTCCTTAAATGTGGAAGAATAAAGGGAACAATCAGTGTGAGAGTTATGTGATGTGAGATAGACTTGAACAGCCATTGCAGGCCCTGACCATGGAACAGGATCACGAACCAAAAAATGAGAATGGCCTCTAGAAGCTGGGAAAGCAAAGAAAATAGATTTTCCTCCAAAATCTCCAGAAAAAAATGCAGCTCAGCCAACATCTTTATTTTAGTCCAGTGAACTCCAGTGCATACTCTGACTGCCAGAACTAGAGGATAATAAATTTATGTTGTTTTAACCCACTAAGTTTATGGAAACTAAAACAAACAGCCTATTAAAAACATGAGCTGGCTGGGCAAGGCGGCTGATGCCAGTAATCCTAGCACTTTGGGAGGCCAAGGTGGGTGGATCACCTGAGGTCAGGGGTTCAACACCAGCCTGGCCAACATGGTGAAATCCCGTCTCTATTGAAAATACAAAAATTAGCAGGGCATGGTGATGGGTGCCTGTAATCCCAGCTACTTGGGAGGTTGAGCCAAGCAAATTGCTTGAACCCGGGAGGCTGAGGTGGCAGTGAGCCGAAATTGCGCCATTGCACTTCAGCCTGGGTGACAAGAATGAGACTCTGTCTCAAAAACAAAAACAAAAAAAAAGAAAAAAGAAAAGAAAACAAACAAAGAAATACATGAGCTATACAAAATACAACATAATTATTTCCCCAAAACTGGAGGTTCAGAGAGGAGGTATCTATTTTTCGGGAAAGTGTCCTAAAAAAGCATCCCCATGTGATGGAGAGAGTTTGATTACATGAAGCTGAGGGTGTTTAATGGAAAATATAGTAAGAAAATCCAGAATGAGTCATTCTTTGATATATGGATTCAGCTGCTATTTTTTTCTTGGTAATTCAAATGAAGCTATTATTGTTGATATGCCATATACTGTGGACATTAAAAATTATTCAGCATGTCTCCCAAGGTCACATACTCAGACTCACCCTTCGCCTTTTAAATGGAGATAAATGCGTCACTCTTGAGATAGAGAACTTATTTTTCAAGGACAGGTTAAAATCTATCCCCATCCTCTTACTTTTTCTCCTACTACCTTGGATTCTAAGTTTGCCTCTTATGCAACAATACAGACTGTTAAGGTGCTAGTTTATGTGACTCCATCCCCATACGTTCCGTGAATAAATAAGCCAGCAAGGGCCATTTTATCTTACCTTTCTGCTTTACTTTTCTCCAAAAGATGGATGTCACACGTATTTCTTTGAAAAGGAAACAGATAAATTTCACCTTAGTATGAAAGCATCTTATTTATTTTCAACAATTTTTGTATTCCTCAGGATAAAACAGATACATGAAGTTAAAGCTACGTATATTTTGCTGATGAGTATATTTTTAGCTCATTGCAGAAGTAAAACAAAAATTCTGTACATGCAATGTGGCAGAGGACATCAAAAGTGGTATGAACATTTGTTAAAGAAAAAAAGAAAATATCAAAGACTGTGAAGTCTAAAAAAAATCAGCAAAATAAATTCCTCTGTTAGTGATAGAAAAGAGAGTAATAGTATTTGAAAAATCAACCATTGGATTATATAGAAACAATCCAGCATTTTTGCTGGATTCATTTTGTTGGATGACAGATAACAGTATTAAATTAACATTTTTAATTTGTATACATTATGTGTGTTTGTGGTCCAATCTGACATCAAAATTATACTCCTTGTTCCTGTTATTTATGACACAGTGGTTGCAGAGGAACATGCTTCTGGTACCTGGTGGATTGGCTGGCCTGTGGCAGAAGGCACTGATGGTTCTGGCTTTCCCAGTCTACTGGCTGCTGCAGGATATAGTCTTTTATGTTGCTGTCGTTTCCTAGAGGCAAGGCAATTTGGCAGCCCTTAAGCTCAACCTTGTAATTTGTCATCTTCCTATGTATTTTTGGCTGGGTTGTTCCACTTTTAATTCTGGATCCTACAAATGCAACATGAAAGTAGCTTACTACATCCTGCAAGAAAATGTTTCTACCTTTTCCTCCTCCTTCAACTGCTGCTACTGCTGCTGCTACTATTACTACTACTGCCACTACTACTAATGGCAGTTACCATTGATGGAGAGCCTAAAAAGTACAAGCACTTTAAGAAAGCTTTACATATCTCGTTTAATCTTTGCAAAACATGATTGTTATCACCATTTTACAGACAAGAAGGTTGAGGCTCAAAGAACATAAAGAACTTGTTACCAATCAAACTTACATATAATGATGAATCCAGTATTCAAGTTAGGGTAGTGAGACTCCATAGCAGGTGCACTTTGGCTAAACGTTATTCTGTCTCTCTGCACCTGTTAACCCTATACCTTCAGTGACACCGCAATGTGTTATTATGTTTATTATTGTGCATACTCTCATATTTCTTCATCCTATATTTCTCTCGTTTCATACTCTCTGTATGAACAATGTGTATAAACCAAACTCCCATAGCTGAAAGCCAATGCAAACTTCTCTTTTAGGCCAGACTATGTACTGAAATGAGTAGATACATGGGTATAGGAGACTAATATGGTTAAGAAGAGAAAGCAATACCAGAATTCTGAAAAGAGGAAGAAATTTCTGGAGAGTTATTTGTTCAACTGTTTTCATTCTTTCTTCTCCCCTCATCTCTAAACAGTTTGCCCTAAAATGGGGAATGATTTTGTCTATGCTCTTGACCTGGTCATACCACCCATATTCCTTTCCCTTCTTCCCATTCAACATCAAAGCTGTCTATCAGGGCCCAACACTAGGACAATCTATGGTCAATTGATCCCAGTAACTTCTCTTCATGCTTTTTAATGTCGTCTACGAGAGAAGTCGCCTGCCTCATTTTCAACATGTTTTATTTGGTCATTTTCATAGTGGCTTTATTTTTGCAGTTCTTCAGTCAAAGTGTAACAGGAGACCTCGGCTTTATGTAATTATCAAAGCCTTGTCATTGGTGTACTGTGTCATTAACAGTTTTACATTGGTTTGCCAGAAACGAGCTGACCACTGTGTTGCATTTTCCCATTGTTCATGGAGAGACATTATTGAAAGTCTAAATCACTTGGCAAAGGCAGTTAGAATTCTCAGGGGACCAGAGGTGGCAGGGATGGCTGAATAGGCTAATGTCCCTATGTAGTTTTTTCTCACCACATTCTAAAGCATATAATGCATACACTACCCGTCTTGTTTTCCCACAGAATCCTGCTTCCTGCTCAATAGGCCCTCAAATCAAAGAGATTTATACCATAAATTCATCACCTTTATTGCAGAATTTGGTTATCTCTCTTTCTTTTTGTATTTTGATCTTGTTCATATTGCCTTCTCTCCCTCGTTTGCATATAGAGCAGCCTATATTCTGTTTTGAAGAATTGAACTCAGGATGTGTTTGTCAATATGACTGGCTAGCAAATCTTTGATTAAAAGTTATGTTACTCATTACCATGGAAAATCAAAGTGGGAACAATGCTAACTGACCATTTTTGGAAACAATTTCTTGCTCATTGCTTTCTGTGATCTTTCTTAAAAACAAAGCTGTAAATTGCTACATTTCACTGAGATGGCAACACACAGAGCAATTTTTATTTACGCAAAAAGATCCCATTACTCATTTTTCTTTCAAATTAGTTTCTAAGAGTTTCTACCTGAAGGAGTGCTAATATTGGCAATTATTTTAAGATGAGTTAGTCAGTATTTGATAGAGTAAAACCTCCATGTTCTTTGGTTGACAGGTAACTATCAATGCTGTATATTTTCCCAAGGATAATGGTCAGAACCTGTGAGCTACAAAATCAATAATATGAATGATTATTTTCCAGTGAAATCAATGGATCTAACTCCTATGAAATGTGTCCAACATGAATGAAAAACATTATGATAATGAACTCATGCTGGCAGAGTAGAATGAAGCCCTGAGAGACCCTCAGTTTGTTTACCTGCAGATGAGAGCTGGTCTCAATGATACAGACAGTCTCAACCTAATGAAACAAAGCTAGGGAAACAAGTAAAATAGGTTTGAAATGTTAAAAGGTCTCTGAGAGGGCAAAGGATTGCCACACAGTCTACATAAAGTCTAGAAACCCTTACCCCTTCCCTCTCAACAGATATTATGATATAGTGACAGCAGAGTATGTTACCATCTTGGGTTATCAGTGAAATTAAATGTCATTGGGTTCAATCCTGCATCCAGTGCTTGAGCTTCTTCTACTGTGATTTCACCAAGTATTAAAAAATGCCTCCAGGGATGAGGAATTCACTATCTTTCCAAGTATCTCACAATAGAACAAGACAGCAGAACTGGATAAACAGTATAGGAGTCCATAGGCATAGTTGTATCAAAAGTGTGCTCAACAGGAACATCGTAGTAAAATCATTATACTTGAAGAAAGAAAGATCTTATTTATGGACTCCATTTAAAAATGCTATTTATAAAAAAGTTTTTGACATTTAAAATCACATTTTATGGGCCATGGACTTAGTGTTATAGAAAATCTTACCATATGCATCAGTTCCTCACTTGTATGAGGTAAAAATAAAGCATAACTACATTGCTTTTCAAAGCAAAATCAAGGTTCATCATTGCAAAGCATCTGCTTACTTGTTGTAAGGTGAGTGAAAGAGACATTATGTTTATGAATGAGCAATATGGTATTAGACCTTTCAGGATTGAGATCAAGAAAGCAGGAAAAAAAGATGGAAAATGTCCTTTTCAAGTGTACTGTCATGAACTGGGTTGACCTACCATCATTTTAGCCTTGATGTTATTGGCATCAAAAGGTATTTGACACATAATGAGGATAGTTGGAATTGACCTACTGAGAATTATAATGGAATATGAACCAGAGGCAAATAAGAGCTGCAGCTTAATTTGGTGAACGACCTACTTCTCAAGTATCCCATACTGCTTGCCAGAGAGTCCAGGAATAGTAATGACAGCAGGTAGCATATATTATCAGCTTTAGGAATGTCACTAACCTAAGGGTGAGCATTCCTTACCTAGCTCACCAGAGTTATATTTGTATAAATCCAAAGGGTAGACGTTCTCTCTACTTTTAAGAGAACTAAATATCAGTTCAATTAAAGGGATAATATTCTATTTAATGAAGCTGTTGAAAAACTAAGTAGATTATTTTATGATATAAATTCATGGTTCCTGGACAATTAAAATAAATTTTTTTTAAAAAAGCACTGAGGCCAGGTGAAGCAGCTCACGCCTGTAATCCCAACACTTTGGGAGGCTGAGATGGGCAGATCGCTTGAGGTCAAGAGTTTGAGACCCGCCTGGCCAACATGGTGAAACCCCGTCTCTACTAAAAACACAAAAATAGCTGGGTATGGTGGCCCATGTCTGTAGTCCCAGCTACTTGAGAGGCTGAGACAGGAGAATTGCTTGAACCTGGGAGGCAGAGCTTGCAATGAGCTGAGATTACACCACTGCACTCCAGCCTGGGTGACAGAGCGAGACTCTGTCTCAAAAAAAGAAAAAAAAAATTGAATGATCACTGTTACTGAAGAGTTTGTATGATTCTTACATAATTCCTTATAGGCCCTTCCAACTCTGGTATCTAGTAATTAACTCATATCCATTCATTCATTTAACAATATTCAATTAATTATGATGCAAAATGACATTTTTACTGTTTCATTATATTTTTAATCTGAAATAACTATATATTTTAAAAATGTTAACGAATCAAGGAGGTGAAATATATGTAAGGACCCAACCTCATTTTCCAACTTACAGAATCTCATAATAGTGAATCAATTCATTCATCCTATTGATCAACAAAAATTAATTTTTACTAATTACTGAGTGTAATTTAGAGAATATATTAAGCTGATTAGAGGATTAGCAGCATTATACCAAAAAAATGCAGTTTTGTTATAGCCTGTGCTCTCATTTCATCTGGGTCTCTTTTCAAGTATCATCTTATCAGAAATGCCCTCTTTTGCCTCGCTATGAAAAATAGCACAACCCCACTATATCACTCCCTCTGCTCTTATTCTGCTTTAGTTATATTGACAAAGTTTATTACCTCATGATACTCTTGTTTATTTTCTGTCTTCTTCCACTAGATTGTAAATTCCATAAGAATAAGGATTTTGACTTTTGTTCACTCCTACCTTTCTGTTTAGGATAAAATCTGACACATAGTTGATGCTTATAAATACTTATTAGATAATTGAACAAATAAATGAATCAATGAAAGAATGAATAAAACTGAATGAATTAATAAATGGTTTTGCATAATATGAATGAATTTTAATTGCAAGCAGATACTATTTTCATGTCATAAATAATATAGTCAATATAAAATAAAGCTATTTTTCATTTTATATTTGATACTAAGTTGCACTAACAGGGATAAACTAAAAATGATGAAAGGAATATATGAAATCATTTTAAAGAATTGTAAAAACCCTTTCATTACAATTTCACTTTATTTAATGACTTAGGAGAAGTAAATAAAACTCACTTCAAAAACAACTTAAATGTGGCTAAATTAACACATGTTTTGGTCAAATTTAAAGTTCCTTCTCCATATGAAATAAGACTTTTGTAAGTAATTTCTATCATGTTTAACTCTCAAAAGCATTCCATTTGTCTATATGAATTCATGTTGGATGATTGCTAGAGAGGATAGAGATGCTGAAAAATAACATTGGTCAGAGGTTTTTCCATGCATTTGGGTTTCTGAAATACACCAAAATGGCATGTTCTTGTAGACATCTTTAAATAGCTGTGATCTGTGTAATATTTTTCTGACTGTTGAACCACCATGTTTTTTAAGTCGGAATATTTAACAATGAATAGTAATTTTCAGAATAACATATGGTTTTTCGTATAAATGGCAAATATTTTCACTAGTTATGATCTGTCAAGTTATTCATTGCAGATACTGCATTATGAAAACAAAAGGTAGCCAATGAATCTTTGTGATTATTGATTATATCAATTCAGCAATGCAGCTTACTCATAAAATGACAAACTATGCATCACTGTGAATATAGAAAAATCAATTTGCCTATGCACAGCAGCAAATTGCATGCATACACGAATGGATTTCTGAACAATCTTTGAAGGGATTTTGTGATTGCCTGCTAGAAAACTAAATATAAACCATTATATTTAAGTCCAAAATATCTTATTTCATTTTTTAAAATGCCATTGTAGCTCAACCTCTTGCCCCAAACAAGAGGAATAATATTTTTCTAATTTAACCTCAAGTTTGAAAAAAATGCAAAAATAAAGAATATTCAGGTAGTGCTTGGTGCTTGTTTTCTTTCATGGAGGAAGAAGCAGTGTGGTCTAGTAGAAATAGCACTAGGTCACAGAATCTTGGAATAACATCCCTTTCAATCTATATCTGTGTAAACCTGAACCAATCTTTATTAATGGAACTTACTTGATTTTTACTAGTTTCAAAATGCTATGTAAATATCAATTCATGATATTGATTATTGTGCCTGGAAAAATATTAGCTTAGAATTTATGTTCCTAAAGTCTCTAAGAAGTTGCTAGAATGACACAAGAATTGAAGAGTCAGCTTTAATAAGGTAGCAGAAAGACTGATCAATATATCCAGGTAATGTTAGAGCTTCAAGAATGCTGGTGATCATCGTATTTGGCCTCTTCATTTTAGGTATGAGGAAACTGAGCCCCAAGAGGTTAAGTTGCATACACTCATACAACTAAGTAGTGAGACAACACCCATTACTACAAAAACAATCTAGTCTTCAACGAGCATCTCAATACTCTTTTGTTCTCTTCTCTATAGTGCTTGCTACCCCAACTATAGGAAAATGTTAGGCAGTGAAACATTTTGAGACTCTTTAGATAAATAATTAAGTCCAAGCCTGCCTTTATATTGCTATTTCATTAACTGAAAGCTGGCCAGTAGCATTTGTGTAGTATTTATCTTTGGTCTTACCTAATTCATATCAATTGGCATGAACAATTAGACACATGGAAGAACTGAAATCTGTCAACTCACTTTAGTTTGCTGAAAACTGTCATATAAAATATGGTATTGTCCACAAATTTGGACAAGGCTAAAATGAAATATTTGGGGAGCACCTTATTGGTTATATGAAATCAGAAACCAGCCTTGTTTTGTTTTTTTTCCCTTTTTAAATCATTTTTTGGGGTGGAGAAAGATTATTTTAGGGATGGAGTTTAGGGATAGAGGGATTATTTGTTTCTTTAGTACTGCATAGATGTGGCCTATATGCCATTGGTTTGAGACCGTATTCAATTTTAAATGTACTCTTGTGTCAAATGCAAGTATGAAGGCATTTCCATTTCTTCCACAAATAACAATAGATAGGAAATGAGCAATTGGATAGGGTTATATGCATGTAGATAAGTTTCTCATTAGAGCCAAATTTACCAATGGTAGTGTTGTCAGTTGAGATACCATGACACATACACAATAAAATCATATATAATTCAAACTGTTCTCACTTTACAAAATAGACAACTGAACAACTGTAATTGAGTCATGTATTGCAATATTCCATTAGTTAGAATATATATCCAAAATTGGGGCTGTCAATCAGAGAAAATGAATGCATTTTTTTGTATTTCATAATATTAATTGGAGGAGGAAACATTATTCTTTGTACTCAGACTCAACAGGGCTACACACATTTTAGGTTATACAACAGTAAATATACATTTTTCCTCTAGTTATGTAATTAGTTTGAGCACTTTGGTAAATTTATGAAAATCGGTTAGTATGAAGCTCTGTGATATAAATGTGGTTTCATTCATTTACATTTACTGTATCATTTGGATTACTTTTGAAGACTCATTATATTGACATGTATTTACTTTTCTATTTTGGAGAACTCTGTCTATATATTCAGAGTCTATATAACTATAGTGAATTACTAACCCAATAAGACCATCTCATATCTCTGAGGATCAGTGGACTGAAGGATCTCTTAATGCAATGTGGAATAATACACACATAATTACATAAATTTAAATATTCATGTTATTGAATTCAAAGATATGAAGCTCTCCTTGAATTCTCCATACTGACTTTTTCTGAATATCCTTTTTAGGATATTAATTCTTGAGTTTGGCTCTAATGAAGCATTGTCGTTCATCTAGATAATACCTGAGGTTCGTTGGCAAGGAAATCAAGGACTTGGGCACACAAGGAATGAGGTTAAGAGCAGAGGTTTAATAGGCGAAAGGAAAAGAAAAAGCTCTCTCTCTTGCAGAAAGAGAGGGGCTCCCAAGTGGGTCTTCTGGTTCTGTGGTGAAATGGATGGGGGTTTATAGATGAGCTTGGAGAGGCAGTGTCTGATTTACACAGGGGACGAGAGATTGGTCAGACCAGTTGTGCCATTTTGCATAGCGTGCAGAGAAGCTGGTCGCCCCATCTTAAGCTTTTATTAAGCAGATGGGTTATCTACCTGTTGTGTGTTCCTTACTGTACACCTGGTGATGAAGAAAAGGAAAGATGGAGCCTCCATGTTGAACACACCTGGCCCCCAGGTCATCTTTTCCTATTGGCACAGCTGCTGGCATTCACCCGTGCAAGCTTCTAGCTTGCTTTTCTATGTCTGCATCTTGATTTTTCAGGGTGTTCTTTGTTAGAAAAAAATGATTTGGGGGCTGCTTTTTATTAAAAGGGAAACCTTACCGAGGACTCTCTTACCGTCACTATCTGCCTACATAATTTCTTTTCAGCTCCTGTATCACTAACACTTTATGTCTTTTCCACATCTTTGAATTTCAGAGTCTTCCAATAAGCATCTTTGACCATCATTTCAAGAATGCCCTAAATACACCAAGTGGCCAATAAACATATTTTATGTGTTCAATAGCAGTGAGCATAGACCTAGAGCACCCCAAGAGAGGACAAATAAGCACAACTCTGTGGAAGGCATCAAGTCTGACTCATCAAATAATGAGTCTTAATTATGATTAAATCAAACTTCTTATAGAGATGGAGTTTCACCATGTTGGTCAGGCTGGTCTTAACTCCTGAAGTTTTCTAAATTTTACATATGAGAGATGGGACCTGATTATAATAAGTTAGTTGAATCATAAAAGGATTAATGGGAAAATTACTATTCAATCACAAATTCTTTTACTTTGAATAAGGTCAATTAGGCCTTGATTCAATCTGAGAAAAAAGAAAGGAGTAAGTAACAGCAGTGTCCTAAAGGTATATCCCACTCCACATATACTCCAGTTATTACTGGGCGTTCTGGTTCAAATCCTGGACAATGAGCATGGCGTGTGCCATCATCCACACGCACATATTCACACAGTCATTGAAATATGTATGTTCCTTATAGAAATTATTTGGCTTCTGTAAATACAACAGTGATTCAGGTCTTTTATTTTATCTCACATAATGAACATTTCAAATCTAGGGGCAGATTTAATATAATGTTTTGATTTATCCAGAACTTTAAGTAACCTTAACTCTAGTATATGGTGTCTATATTTCACACGTTCCCTATTTTTCTCATCAATACCTTTATTAATCATATGATTATCAAACTCCAGAGGAATTTCACATGTTCAAAGTCCAGTTATTTCAGAGTAAAAAATAAACAACTTGACCTTTCTAATAGTTACCATAGGTGTCCCCAAAAAGAATATGTCCTGATCCTAATCCTCAAAATCTGTGACTATTAACGTAAGTAATTAGACTAAGAATCCTGAGATAAGGAACTCATTCTGGATTATCTACGTGGGTCCTAACTCAAAGATAAGTGCCTTTATAAGGGGAAACAGAGGGAGACTTGACATAGACAGAAGAGAGGATAACACAGGCAGAATAAGAGGAGGCAACGTGATTGTGGAGGCAGAGATTGGAGGAATGTGGAGAGCCAGGGTAACTACCGGGAGCTGAGAGAGGTAAAGAGTGGATTCTCTCCTAGATCCCCCAGAAAATTGTGGGTCCACTGATACCTTGATTTAGGATTTCTGGCCTCCTGAATCATGCAACCATAAATTTCTGTTGTTTTTAAGCTACCAAGTTGGTGGTAATTTATTACCAATAGCAGCCTTAGGAAACTAGCAGATCTTGGTATTGGGAAGTAGGGTGCAACTGTACTAAATGCCTATAAATGTGGAGGTGGTATTGGAATTGAAGAATGGGTAAAGAATGGAAGAATTTGGGGAAGCAACATAGACAAAAACTAGATTGCCTTGAAGAGATGGTTAGCAGAAATACAGATGCTAAAGGAGATTCTGGTGAGGGCTATGAAGGAAGTGAGAAGAATGGTAGAGAAAATTTCTGTTGTCGTAGAGAATACATATATTGTCATGAGCACAATGTTGGTAGAAATATGAATATTAAAGACCTTGCTGGTAAGGATTGAGAAAGAAATGAGGAACACATGATTGGAAACTGGAGGAAAGGCAATCTTTATTACAGGTAATACCTCAGAGATGTGACAGATTTCCTTCAAGACTGCCACAAAATTTAAAGCTAATATCGCAATAAAGCAAGTCACATGAATTTTTTGGTTTTCCAGTACATACACAAGTTATGTTTATACTATAGTCTATAAGGTATGCAATAGCATTATGTCGATAAAAACAATGTACGTATCTTAATAAAAACTTATTGCTAAAAAATGCTAATGATCACCTGAGCCTTCAGTGAATTGGAATCAAAGATCACTGATCACAGATCACCATAACACATATGAAAATAAGGAGAAGTTTCGAATATTGTTGCAAGAATTACGAAAATGTGACACGTGACACAGTGACACAAAGTGAGCACGTGCTTTTGGAAAAATAGTGCTGATAGACTTGTTTGACCCATCCTTGCCACAAACCCTCAATTTAAGACAAGGTGTGTCTGTATAGTGTGATGGAAAACTTGGTTGAATTGTAATTTACTTGCCTAAATTTAATTTTTTATGGAAAATAGAATTTATAGTAATGAATGTGGATATTTAGGCAAGGAGATTTCCAAGCAAAATGTTGAAGGTTGTGCCTTGCTTTCTTGTTGCCGCTTATAGTAAAATATGAGAGGAAAGAGATAAATTGAGGGAAAAACTATTAAGCAAAAAGAAAGCAACACTTGATGTTTGGAGAGGTTTTTGTCCTATCCAGATTAAAACGATATTAAAATTAGAAAATTTACTCTTGCGAAAGCATGTTCTAGAATTAGTGCCCAAGGGTGTGGCTGGACAGTGTTTTGCTGAAGAAATTAGGAATGAAATTCATGGCTTCACTGATCCATCTCAGCAGAAGCCAAGAATTGAAATGAGGTTACCTAGAAATGAGCTGTGGAGAACTCTCTTGTCTAATGGAGTGGATCCTCTTGCCATGTATAGAAGAACCACATGGCTTTTGAAAATGTGATATCAGGAGAAACCTGCCAGCCTGGAGGGAACAGTAGCACAGGGGATGAAATGAAGAAAAGCTGTTGGCCTTTTGGAATACCACAGGCCAGAAATTGGCTAATACAGCTACTTGGTTACAAACATGTGATACTCCTCAAGACAAAGAATGACTCTGAGTGTAAAGCTGTCAGAGCAGAGACAGAGGGTGGCAGAGTCATGGGCCCAGAACGTAGAAAAGCCACAGAGAAATATTATTGGCCTTGAAATCCAATAGAATTTATCTTGCTGGATTTCAAACTTAGACTGACCATCTCTTTATTCATTCGAATTTCTCCGTTTAAGAAGGGGATGTCTATTCTATGCCTATCCCACAACTGTATTTTTTAAGGAGATAATTTATTTTCCAGTTTCTTAAGTCCACAGATGGAGAGAAAACTTGTCCCAATCTTGACCCATACCCCAAACATACTTTGGGTATGGACCATACCCAAAGTCTCGCTCATAGATTATTTGGATGATTTAGATAATGAGATTTGGGACTTTCTAGCTGATGATATTTTGATGAGATTTTAAACTTAAGGTAGATGCTTTAATGGGTTGAGGCTTTTGAGGATGATGGGATAGGGTGAATGTGTTTTGCAGATAGAATGAATGTGATTTTTTTGAGAGACAGAGAGAGGCAGACTATAGTAGGTTGAATAGAGGCCCCCAAAACACATATGTTCATACCCTAATGTTAGATACCTGTGAATGTTACCTGATTTGGATAAAGGGTCTTGCAGATGTAATTAAGAATCTTGAGATGAGGAGATCATTCTGGGCTATCTGGGTGAGTGCTAAATCCAAAAATGTTTCTTTATAAAAGAAAGGCAAAAGGATAATTGAAACACATAAAAGGAGAAGACACAGAAGGAAGAGACTGGATGAGTCAGAAGGCTGGGGCAGCCATTGGAAGTTGGAAGAGGCAAAGAACAGATTCTCTCTTAGAGGCACCAGAGAATGCAAGGTTCTGCCAGCACCTTGACTTAGAACTTCTGGTCTCCTGAATCATGACACAGCAATTTTCTATTGTCTTATGCCTCCAAATTTGTGATAAATTATTTTGGCATCCACAGTAAAGTGATATCAACCTCCTCGTATAATACCATAGTTTTTAATACTGATATCTAAAAATAATATTTTTCCCCAAGTCAGAATCTGTAGTCATGAAATTAAACTTGTGTTCAACACAGTGATGAAGACTTCTGGGAATATATATTCAAGCAAACACATACAGATAATCCCCTTTAGGGAATGAGAGATAACAAGCCAACTGTTTGGGGACTAAGAGACTGCCTCCTTCTCTGCAGGCACTAGGTCTGGAGGGGGCATTAAGATGCCCTTTGTGACAAGAACCGCAACATACAAGATAGTCTCTTGAATCTGGTTTGTACACAAACAAGGTGACTCTGTCATGGGAAAAAACCTTACCAGAAAATTCCCTGTCATTTATTTGTATAAGCTCCAGACCTATTAAAAAAATTGTTGGGTGATTGATAGAATAAAATATCATGCACTATATGTTTTTAATGTTCCCTCTAAATGAAGATTCTTTATTCTATATCCTTTAAGATAAACAAATATGAATTAGCATTTTAGGAAATAGAAGGAGTATTTTGGAGGTATTTAATTCATATCTAATAAATTCAAACCAGCAACTTGAAAAATATGGTTTGTAAAGATCTTGAGATTCCATTTGTTGGGGGAGGAGTTAGGGCAGAGGAAGAGTGAATGGGCCAAGCAGCTTACAGACCAGATTCTGTCCCTCTGATACAGTTTGGCTGTGCTCCCACCCAAATCTCATCTTGTATTGTAGCTCCCATAATTCCCATGTGTTGTGGGAGAGACCTGGTGGGAGATAATTGAATCATGGAGGTGGTTTCCCCCATACTGTTCTTATGGTAGTGAATAAGTCACACAAGAGGTGATGTTTTTATAAGGGGTTTCCCCTTTGCTTGGCTTTCATTCTCTCTCTTGTCTGCTGCCATGTAAGATGTGACTTGCTCCTCCTTGCCTTCCACCATGATTGTGAGGCCTCCCCAGCCATGTGGAACTGTGAGTTAGTTAAACCTCTTTCCTTTATAAATCAACCAGTCTCCGGTATGTCTTTACCAGCAGCGTGAACCTTTATAAATTTTATAAAGACATACCCACTCTCTGGTATGTCTTTATCAGCAGTGTGAAAATGGACTAATACACCCTCCCTGCCCTGCCCACGGCACTACTATGCTCTTCTGCGTACATTTTGGCTTCTGCCTCATACTTCCTTTGTGCAGTAGAATTCCATATTTATACTACATTAAAAAAAACTAGCCTAGATATTATATGTCTTTGGCTCTAAGTGTTAATGTGTTAAGGCAAGAACTAAGTGGTATGGAGCTGAGTCCTCTTTGTGATTCTGAGTTTTAAATTATTGTGAAATTAGTAGAGTTAAAATCATATTTTAAATAAAGTAAGTAGTAGAGAAAAAAAACCATCCTACTAGGTTAGTTTGTTGTTTCTGTGTTTCCTATAAAAATTGAGAAGAAAGATGGGGAGATGTAGATACTCTATACTTTTCTGGTAAAGATATTCTTGACCCTGAAGGAATTTTAAGTTTCCTGCATATTATTAATGGTTTCTATGAAATTTTGAAATTGGGGTGTGTCTGTTCAGACTGCTATAGAAAACTACCAAGGACTGCATAATTTATAATTAATAGACATTTATTTATCATGGTTCTGGAGGCTGGGAAGTTCAAGATAAAGTTGCTTACAGATTTGGTGTATGGTAAGAGCCTGCTTTCCAGTTTATAGATGGCTGTGTCCTTACAAGGCAAAAGTGGGAGGGGTGTGTGTCTTTTTTATAATGGCACTAATCTCATCCATGAGGGCTCTGCCCTCATAAACGAATCACCTCTCAAAAGGCTCCACCTTCAAATACCTCACACTGAAAGGTAGGATTTCAACATAATCAAATTAGAGGAGATATAAACATTTTGTTTACAGCATTCCACCTGTCTCTCCAAAATTTCTGTCCTCAAGTGCAAAATATATACATTATATCCCAGCAGTCCCCAAAGTCTTCTCTTGTTCCATCATCTACTTCAAAGCCTAAAGTCAAAAATTGTATCTTAATATTATTTAAATCAGATGTGGGTGAGACTCAGTGTATGATGATTCACCCTGTGGCAAATTCCTCTCCAGCTGTGAACTGCTGAAATCAAACATGTTATGTGCTTCCAAAGTAAATGGTGGGACAGGCCCAGGACAGATATGCCCACTATAAATGGAGAAACAGGAAAGAAGAAAGGAGGGACAGGTCCCAGAACCTAACAGGGGAAATAACATTAAACCTTAAGTCTCAAGATATAATCTTTGGGCCATGTATGGTGGCTCAAGCTTGTGATCCCAGCACTTTGGGAGGCCTGGGTAAGTGCATTGTTTGAGCCCAGGAGTTTGAGACCAGCCTCAGCTACATGGTGAAATCTCGTCTCTACTAAAAATGCAAAATATTAGTCAGAAGTGGTGTCCTACACCTGTAGTACCAGCTACTTGAGAGACTGATGTGAGATCACTTGAGTCTGGGAGACCAAGGCTGCAGTGAGCTGAGATTGTGCCACCGTATTCCAGCCTGGGCAACGGGAGTGAGACCCTGTATCAAAAAAATATACGCCTATATATTCTTTGGCTTGAAGTTTTGCGTACTGGATGCACTTGGGGGAGGGGTCTTGCCTTTTGGACACATTTCAGGATAATCAGGGGGCCAAAATCAGATGCTCAAAATGGATTTTCAACTTTTATCAGCCTAATTGTTTGAAGGCACATCCAATAATGATCCCATCTTTATGTAAGCCTGAAGGCATTTCTGCCCATGCCTCACTGTGTGAAACTTCCTATAGGTGGCTGCATTGCTTGATCATATTAAATGTTTTCTTGACTGCATCATTTATTTTGACATGTATTAAATAAGGCTTGCTAGGTCAAGGGAGATGCTCCTTCCTACCTCTGTTGCTTTCACGGTAATATGTTTTCAGATTAAAAAAAAAATCTAACTGGGTTTTTCTACATAATGTTATTTCAGTATTTCAGTTGATAGTGCAATCAATACATCAGCCTTGGTGGCAGTTTCTGACCTAGACTATATTGTCGTATTAATCAATCAACTTGTAGGGACATTCAAAGTAAATCCCCCATTGACAGTCACAAAGCTAAGAGAGAAGGCCAGAGGAAGGAAGCAACATTTTAGATAACACAAATCAAACGAGTTTAGAAAAAGTCTTTTAGAGGTCACTGGGAAAGGAATGTTACATGACAGTTTTCTGAGTATGTCAGTGTTTTTTAAAACTACATTTCCTCCTATACCAAGTTTCACATGATGTGCCTAGTTTATTGCACATTGGAAATATCAAATATTTATAAATTATGGTGGTAAAGGAACCATAATTTACCTAGAGAAATTGGCACTAGATTTTTTTGAGATTGCATGGAATTGCTTTAGAGTTTTGCCTTTACACTTAGTAGTTTTGTCTATTACTTGAAATTATAAATTAGTCAAAATACAGAGATGTTTAGGCATTGCCATCTAATACTGTGAGAGAACAGTGGCAACTTAAAAAGGAAAATATAAAGACTCACTTGCTTCTCCCATTTCATCATTTCAAAGGAACTTCAGTACACCTGCTCGAAGGCAACTCTGTCAGGGAAAGCTTTAATTAGAAAGAGAAAGCTCCTGTTTAATGACCAGAGAGTAAACAGAGATCAGCATGGAGGTTACTGAGAAGTGTGTTATTCTTACTAGCTGAACAGAGGAGTCTTTTACCAATAAGGAAGAAAAACTAAAGGTTCTTTTCAATGAGAGCACAATTGGCTAATCACATGAATAATGGTAGAGTGAAGATTTGGAATGGTGATTGTTGGTATGTTCTTTAAAGAAAAAATTTAAAACAGTTTTTAAACTCAGATATTCTGCAGTTCATGAGAAACCATAATCATCATCTCTGCAAGATTTGTTTCTTCTCATTATTTTTTAAAATTACTGTCTTTATCTATCCATCTATCTATCCATACAGAAACAGCCACTAGAGAGTGTTTAATATACGACCTGAGATCTGTAGTTTCTTAAAAACATGATTTTCCTTGTGCGAATTCACATAAAGAATACTGAACTAGCATCTTTATTTTTTCCATTAGATGTTTTGTTTTTGATTTATTCATTTTGCTGTATATAACTCTCATTCATTATTTCTCTTGCATTATAGCCAACTGAAAGAATCCACTGTATTTATCACCTTAGCAGGGCATCTAGGTTGTTTTCATTTCTCTGCTTGCGTAAAACAGTGCTGCAAAGCACATCCTGTACTTGCCACCATATTAATTTATGCATGAGTTTTTCTTCAGGCTGGCAAGTTAGGAGGTTGGGGAATAACACCAGGAGTGGGATTACATTAATGCATACTTAATTTCATTAATTTCTGATGGATTGTTCTCTAGAAAGTCTGTGCCACTTTATATCTCACCAGCTGGGTCCTGAGTGTTTTCATTTTTTTGCCCATCACTGGCAGTTAAAATGATCTCACATCCTAATTTTTATCAATGTGATAGATATAAAATAATACTTCATGGTTGTTTTAATATTCGTTTCTTCCTGACTACTAGAAACATAGAATATCTCCTTATATACAGTATCTTGTTTAGCAAATTACTTTTTAAAATACTTTTTTCTTTCAAATTTGATATCTTTGCTGTTCGTGGTGTGATTTAAAGCCACTCGTTCGTGTATTCCACATTGACGTTGGTTTTAGATATTAAGAACTCTGTTTCTCCAGACTACTTTTCTCCAAGGTGTCCCACGTAGAAAAAAAATCCCTAATTTTGATCTGGTCAAATCCATACATTTTTCACTTCATCATTTATTCTTTTCTCTCTCTTTTTTTTTTTTTTTTTTTTGAGGCGGTGTCTCGCACTGTCACCTGGGCTGGAGTGCAGTGGCGTGATCTCGGCTCATTACAACTTCCACCTCCCAGGTTCAAGCGATTCTCCTGCCTCAGCCTCCCAAGTAGCTCAACTTCTTCATTTGGCTTCCAGAACTCTACTTTATTTGAGCTCATTTCAAACATCTCTGGGTAGTCCTGACTCCTTCAATTTCTTTTCGATTTCTTTAGTTCCATGTTGCAGTGTGCCCCAGAGCTCTGTTCTCAGTCTTTCTTTTCTCTCCCGACTCATTATACAGATAATCACATCCAATCTCAAGCCTATAATTAACCTGTATACACTCATGAGTCCCAAATCTCTATCTCCAGCCTAGACCTCTCTTCCAACTCAAGACTGATAGATATCTAAGTCTTCACTGAATCATGTATCAGTCAGCATCAAACCAGAGAAGCAAAATCAGTAAGAGATGTCTTTCAGAAATTTTGTTGCATGGAATTGACTTACATGATGGGAGGCCTGGATAGGAAAATCAGAGATCGGAGAGAAGGCTGGAACTCTCAGGCAAGGGCTCTAGCTATTGTCTGCTGAAGCAATTTGTTTTTCTTCATGGAATTCTCAGCTCTGCCCCGCCAACTGATTGAATGAGGCCCACCCAGGTTAGGTAGGATAATCTTTGTTACTTGAATGTAACTGATTTTGAACTTTAATCACATCAGCAAAATGCCTTCACAGGAATAACTGGATTAGTTTTCAACTGACTAACTGGGGACTGTATCGTAGTCAAGCTGAAACATAAAACCGTCATATTCACTAACTATATCTAAAATAAAACACCTACTTTCTTTATCCCCAATGCTCAAGACTTACCCTTACATAACCTACACCAGCTCAGGTCATGTCACTTCCATTTTACCTGTTCCTCTGACCAGAAACTGTAGTGTATTCATCAATCATTTTGTTCTCTTACACTTTGCATCCAATCCACTGAGAAAACCTATTAAGTTTTATTTTTTAACATAGCCGTATTATGACCAATTTCTACCAGCACTCGAGGTATGGTCCAAACCACTATCATCTGTTTCCAAAGTTACTGCAACAGACTTACAGTAGTTTTCTGTGCCTTCACTGTTGCTGCTGGATGGTCTTCTATTCACACCTTGTAAGTGATGTAGTTTGTACTTGAACCCTAGGCAGTCTGATTTTAGTGCCTGCACTAAAATTTATTTACTGTGGGAATGGCCTACAGTCCTTGTTTATAGGGATAAAGAGGTTAAGGTAATAGAAGGTGAAGGTAGTTCGAAAGGGCCCATTGCCTGTAGTACAGTTACAGGTTGCAAAGGTACAAATATTTACCTCTTAGCAATGTGAGAACTTTCCTAAGACAGACATAATTAGGCAATTTTTATGGAAACAATTGGTAGGACAAAAGAACATACAAATACTGGTGGGCTATATAAATTACTAGAAAATATCTTAGAAAGAGTCTTTAAATATTGCTGAACTGTCCCCAGAATTAGAGACGTTCTGGGGGAACCAGTGCTTTATTTATATAAAATGAAGTAGGTACATTGGTCCATAAACACATAATTTGGGGAGTCTTTATTTCTAATCAAATGCAAGAGAGCATAGTTGCTGCCACTTCTCTTCCTCCTTCTCCTTCTTAAGGAGCCATGCTGTCTGACTTTACATACGTAAGGGAGAGGGAATGTTGAGAAAGACAGATTTGGAATCTGAGTAAGACAAGTTAAAACACCTTTTCTTTTCTGTGGTGGTAAATATTACTGCAATTATTCCAATTATAATTGACTTTGCTTGTGAATAAACCACCCAGACTATGCTTGAAACGGGGTGGGGGTGGGGAGGTGGGCGGCGGGGGGAAGTATACTATAGCTCTGGGTCAAATGCAGCCCACTGCCTGTCTTTTTAAAATAAAGTTTTTTTGGAACACAGGCACATTCATTTGTTAACATATTGTTTGTGGTTGTGTTCATGCTAGGAGCAAAGTTGAGTAGTTTGGGGAGAGACCACAGGGCTGGCAAAGCTGAAAATATTTATTATCTGGACCTTTATAAAAAAAAAAATTGCTGACCACTGATCTAAAGAAAGCCCTTAGAGATTATTATTATATGGTAAGGTTTAAGTTTAGACTAATCAGTAAAATTAGTTGCAAAACTGTTCTACTTTCTACAGCTGTCCAAAAGTGTCCAGTTGGCTCTGTAGTTAAGACAGTATTTGGTCCTAGGGTCATGACAGCAAAAACGCCCCCCATAGGCATAAGCAATGCTTTCTTACGGGAGTTCATGTTTAGATAGCGAATCTACTTAAAATCACTTGATACAAATTGCAAGGCAAACTTTGAGCTGTTAGAGCCCCCTGGGAATCATTTGTTTGATTCATTGGCTGTTAAACAGATGTCCTCACATTAGGATTTCAGGGTCCATAAAATGTGATAAGATCTGGGAATGCAACTAAAAGAGAGAACATAAAGACAGTCTCTTTTCACTTGTGTCTTTATGAGCTCCTCCTCCCACTTCCTGACCCCCCACTTTGTCTCATTCTTTTCATATGCTTTTGCTGCCCAGGTATTTATTATAAAGCTCTGTCATTTGTTTTAACATTCACCAACAAAACTAAACAATCCCAGATTCATTTATTTTATGGTTCAGAAACACTATGAAAATACTTAAAATAATCTGCTATTAAAACTAGAATATCCTCCAATATCCATAGGAGGTATTTAGAAAGTAAGCATCTGTTTAGGTGGTATCTTCAATATAAGATACAGTGGCAGGAAATGGGGCACCATATGTATATATCCTGATTACATAGTGCTGTGGTCTAAATGTGTGCCCCCAAATTCATATATTAAAATCCTAGCCCCTATGGTGATGTTATTAGGAGGTGTGGCCTTTGGAGGTGATTAGGTCATGAGAGGAGAGCCTTCATAAATGTGATTAGTTTCCTTGTAAAACAGGCTCTAAGGAGCTCATTTGTTCCTTCTATCACTTCTATCACTGAAAAATCGGCAGTCTGCAACCTGGAAGGGGGACCTTGCTAAAACCAAACTGTCCTGACACCCTGATCTTGGATTTTCCAGCCTCCATAACTGTCAGAAACAAATTTCTGATCTTAATAAGCTACCCAGACAATAGTATTTTGTTATGGCAGCCTGAAAACACTAAGACACATAATATATAATTTGTTCAAAATTGTTACACAGTATATAATTTCCTAGATATGGGGAATTATTGGATATTCAGTTACGCTTAATATGCTTTTAATGTTTTTCCTAGTTAAAAAAATAAAAAAATCTTCTCCAGTAACGTCTCATTTTTTTAAAAATTTTGTTTTGTGTTTTGAGAGTGCATCCACACCTGGGAAGTATCTGTATATACGAACTTATGACTAAATAAACCAGGGATGAAGAGGGAAAGAGAACATACAAGGAGCTAAAAGTGAATTATAAATGAATATATGAAAATACTTGTTGACATAAGGTAATCTCATTTTAAAATGATATTTGACATTACAGGAGACATATATGGTCAAAATGAACTTTGGAAGAAGTAGAAAATCTGAAGAGACAACCTCAGAAACAGGAAAAAACATTGTTATTCATAAAATGCCCCGGATTACGGAACTGTGAGAGGTCTTTGTGCATGCATGTGTATGCATATGTAAAGATGTCAAGTTTTGTTATATGTTTAAATATACACACACATATATATCTCATATATGTATATGTACATATATATGTGTATGTCTATCTATTGGTGACATCTTGAGGTAGATAGATGGACAGCTCGATATCTCCAGGCAGGTTTTTAGATAATGTAAAGAATATAATTCTTATACTCCACAAATGAATCTAAAATACATAAGAAATAAAGCCAACATATATATTTTGTAAGTTAAATGAATTGCTGAGCTCAAAATTTGCCCAATGTAGCATGAAGAGGACAAATACCAAGGGCCATTCTGTTATGAATTTGGATGCAAAAGTCTATATAAAATATCAGTAGCTAAGTCTCTAGAACAATAAAGAAATCATCTACCACCACAGCATAGGTGTTAGCTCAGGAAAGTAAAGGTTATTTACATAATGCATCTAATTGTAGAAACAATATTCAAAACTAAGTAATAAGCTCAGATGTGGAAAATGCAGCCGATGTATGTCAATACCATTTCTCAATGGGATTAAAGAAAGTCACATAGAAATCTGATCACAAAATGCAGTTATTTATATCTCTCTCTTTATATCAGTATTTATAGAGATACATGAAATATTTCATATACTGTCATTTACCTCCAAATCTGAAAGAACTCAAGATATAAGTAGCATTATTATTATTGAAATTGCCCCTAATAATGGTCAAATAAGGGAGTGTTCTCATTTTGGGGGACACATGCCGCAGTTTTTAAGAGGGAAATGTCATGATTTAGATATTTTAGGGTATGTGTGAGTAAAAGGTATATATAGTATGTACACTGTATATATATGTATGTATGGATGTGTGTAGGACACATATAAATATTATAGTATGTACCTGTATATATATGTGTGGATGGATGTGTGTAGGACACATATAAATATTATAGTATGTACACTGTATATATATGTATGGATGGATGTGTGTAGGACACATATAAATATATAAAAGGTATATATAGTATGTACACTGTATATATATGTATGTATGGATGTGTGTAGGACACATATAAATATTATAGTATGTACACTGTATATATATGTGTGGATGGATGTGTGTAGGACACATATAAATATTATAGTATGTACACTGTATATATATGTATGGATGGATGTGTGTAGGACACATAAATATTATAGTATGTACACTGTATATATATGTATGGATGGATGTGTGTAGGACACATATAAATATTATAGTATGTACACTGTATATATATGTATGGATGGATGTGTGTAGGACACACATAAATATTATAGTATGTACACTGTATATATATGTATGGATGGATGTGTGTAGGACACATATAAATATACATTATAAACAAAAATTTAAAAATATGTATGCTAAATTGCTAATAATTGTTGAATCTAGATGATGGGTAAATGAGTATTACCTTATCTTTTCTTCTTTTCTGTATATTATAATTTTTTATAATTTTAAAAATATAAATTCTCAAATATATAGTTTAATTCAATTGTATGAATACATTGAGATTTGGGAAGATTATCTGACACCATGATTTTAATATTCAGAGAGACAAAATAAATAGAAAGAATTAGCAAGGAAAATATTAAAAGTTAAAATTAAATGAGTTTTTATTTGATATCAAAATACATACATAAATAGGAAATATATTGTAAAACCACAGAAATTTAGGGAGTATATTGACATAGCAATAAATATACAGAATGAACATAGAAATAATAACTGGTAACCTGAAAAGTAACTTGATGCATACACACAGAGACACACAAAGACATACCCATGCACACATAAAGTATGTGATAAAGGAGCATCAAATAACAGTGAATGAGAGTAAAATATTCATCTAATGATGCTTGCAAAATTGAAACAAATAAATGAGCCAAATCTAATTTTTCATTTTACACTCTAGTGTAAAATAAATGACATTTAGGAAAAGAGTTAAATATTATAAAACGCATAAACTAATTGACAACATAATTTTAGGGCAATAAAGTTTTGAAAAAAATTGAATTCTTATTTTTTTCAACATTTATTGTAGATTCAGGGGATACATGTGCAGGTTTGTTATCTGGGTATATTGTGTGATGCTGAGGTTTGGGGTATGAATGATTCCATCACCCAGGTACTGGGCATAGTACCCAATAGTTATTCCAAGCTTCCTCCCCTCTCTCCCTCCCCACTCTAAGTATACACCAGATTCTATTGTTGCCATCTTTATGTCCATGAG
Source organism: Homo sapiens (assembly GCF_000001405.40). Classification (NCBI taxonomy): domain Eukaryota; kingdom Metazoa; phylum Chordata; class Mammalia; order Primates; family Hominidae; genus Homo; species Homo sapiens. The sequence continues at coordinate 1,763,058 of NC_000003.12, read as the reverse complement.
TACCCAATGTTTAGCTCATACTTATAAGTGACAACAAATAATATTTGGTTTTTTGTTCCTAAGCATTAATTTGCTTAGGATAATGACCTCCAGTGGCATCCATGTTGTTGCAAAGGACATGACTTCATTCTTTTTGTGGCTGTGTTGTAATCCATGGTGTATGTGTTCCATATTTTCTTTATCCTATTCGCCATTGATGGGTGCCTAGCTTAATTTACTGTCTTTGCTATTATGAATAGTACTATGATGAACATGAGGGTGCATGTGTTTCGGTAGGATGATTTGTTATTTTTTTGGATGCATACCAGTAATAGGGTTGCTGGATTGAATGGAAGTTCTGTTGGAACTTCTTTGCAAAATCTCCAAACTGCATTCCACAGTGGCTGAACTAATTTACACTCCAGTCGATAGTGTATAAGCATTCCCTTTTCTCTGCAGCCTCATCAGCATCTGTTGTTTATTGACTTTTTAATAATAGTCATTCTCATTGGTGTGAGATGGTATCTTATTGTGGTTTTGATTTGCATTTCTCTGATAACTAGTGACATGAGGCATATTTTCATATGTGTGTTGGCAGCTTGCACGTCTTCTTCTGAGAAGCATCTGTTCAAGTACTTTGCCCATCTTTTAAATGGGATTATTTGCTTGTTGAGTTGTTTAAGTTCCTTATAGATTCTGGATGTTAGACCTTTGTTGCATGCGTAGCTTATAAATATTTTCTCCTATTCTGTAGGTTTTTTGTTTACTCTGTTGATAGTTTATTTTGCTGTGCAGAAGCTCTTTAGTTAAGTGCTACTGGTCAATTTTTGTTTTTGTTGCAATTGCTTTTGAGGACTTAGTCATAAATTCCTTCCCAAGGCCAATGTCCAGAATGGTGTTCCTAAGTTTTCTCCTAGGATTCTTATACCTTGAGGTCTCACATTTAAATATTTGGTCTATCTTGAGTTGATTTTTGTATATGGTGAAAAGTAGGGGTCCAGTTTTCTTTTTCTACATATGGCTTGCCAGCTTTTCTTGCACCATTTATTCAATAGGGAGCCCTTTCCCCCTTGCTTATTTTTATCAAGTTTGTCAAAGATCAGATGGCTATAGGTGTGTGGCTTTACTTCTAGGTTCCCTATTCTGTTCCATTGGTCTATGTGTTTTTGTACCAGTACCAGTAGTAGTACCATGCTGTTTTGGTTACCATAGCCTTATAGTATAGTTTGAAGTCGGGTTATGTGATGCTTCTGGATTTGTTCTTTTTGCTTGGTATTGCTTTGGCTATTTGGGCTATTTTTTTGGTTCCATATGAATTTTAGATTAGTTTTTTTCTAGTTCCATGACAATAGTTTGATAAGAATAGCTTTGAATATATAGAATGTTGCTGCAGTATGGCCATTTTAACAATATTATTTCTTTCAATTCATGAGTATGGAATGTTTTTTCCATTGGTTGTGTTGTCTATGATTTCTTTTAGCAGTGATTTGTAACTCTCCTTTTGGAGATCTTTCATCTCCTTGGTTAGATGTATTCCTAGACATTTTTTTTTTTTGGTGTGGCTAATTACAAATGACATTGCAGTCTTGATTTGGTTCTCAGCTTGAACGTTATTGGTGTACAGGAGTGCTATTGATTTTTGTATATTGATTTTGTATCCTACTGAAGTTGTTTTTCAGTTCCAGGTGCCAAATTTAGGCAAAATCTTTAGGATTTTCTAGGTATACAGTCATACCCTCCATGAAGAGAGATATTTTGACTTCTTCTCTTCCTATTTGGGTGATTTTTATTTCTTTCTCTTGCCTGATTACTCTGATGAATACCACTTGAATAGGAGTGGTGAGAGTGGGCATCTTTGTCTTGTTGCAGTTTTCAGGGGAAATGCATCTAGTTGTTGCCTATTCAGCATGATATTGGCTGTGGGTTTGTCATAGACAGCTCTTATTATTTTGAGGTATGTTCCTTTCATGCCTAGATTGTTGAGGGTTTTTATCATGAAGAGATGGTGGGATTTTATCAGAAGCTTCTTCCACCTCTACTGAGATGATCACATGATTTTTGCTTTTAGTTCTTTTTATGTGGAGTATCACATTTATTTAGTTGTATATATTGAACCAAAATTGCATCCTAGGAAAGAAGCCTACTTGATTGTGGTGAATTAATTTTTTGATATGCATTGAATTTGGTTTGCTAGTGTTTTGTGGAGGATTTTTGCATCTATGTTTATTAGGGGTATTGGCCTGTACTTTTCTTTTTCATTGTGTCTTTTTTGCCTGTTTTTGTTTAAGTGTGATGATTGTTTCAGGCAATGAGTTAGGAAAGAGTTTCTCCTCAATTTTTTGGAGTAGTTTCAGTAGAATTGGTACTAGCTCTTATCTGAATGTGTGGTAGAATTTAGTTGTGAATCCATCTGGTCTGGGGCTTTTTCGGTTGTTTTTTTTAATACTGATTTAATTTTGGAACTCAATATTGGTCCATTAAGGGTTTCTTCCTGATTCTTGGGGGATGGTGTGTTTCCAGGAAATTGCCTGTTTCCTTTAGATTTTCTAGTTTGTGTGCATAGAGGTGTTCATAATAGTTTCTGAGAATCTCTTGTATTTCTGTGGGATAGGCTGTAATGTCACCTTTGTTATTTCTGATTGTATTTATTTGGATCTTCTCTCATTTTTTTTCTTTTTTAATGTAGCTAGTGCTCTATAGATCTTGTTTATCCTTTCAAAGCACAAAGTTTTGGTTTTATTGATTCTTTGTATGTATTTTGGGTCTCAATTTCATTCAGTTCCACTCTGATTTTAGTTATTTCTTTTCTTCTGCTAGCTTTGGGGTTGGTTTATTCTTGCTTTTCAAATTCTTCTAGATGTGATGTTAGATTGTTAATATGAGATCTTTCTAAGATTTTGAGGTAGGCATTTCATGCTATGAACTTTCCTCTGAACAGTGCTTTTGCTACATCCAAGAGGGTTTGGTATGTTGTGTCTCTGTTTTCATTTATTTTAAATAATTTTTTGATTTCTGCCTTAATGTCATTATTTACCCAAAAGTCATTCAGGAGAAAATTATTAATTTCCATGTAACTGTTTGGTTTTGAGAGATCTTCTTGTTACTGATTTCTGTGTTTATATGGTTCAAGAGTAAATGTTTGGTATGATTTCTATTTTTTCTATTTTTTTTAAATTCATTGAGACTTGTTATATGGCTGGGCATGTGGCCGATCTTGCAATATGCTTGCTGTGCAGATGAGAAGAATGTATACTCTGTGGTTGATGGATGTAGATATCTAGTAGGTCCAATTGGTCAAGTGTTGAGTTTAAGTCAAGAATTTGTCAGGTTTCTGCCCCTGTGATCTGTCTAATGCTGATAGTGGGGTGTTGAAATACCCCACTATTATTATGTGGCTATCTAAGTCTTGTCATAGGTCTAGAAGAACTTGTTTTATGAATCTGGGTGCTCCTGTGTTGGGTGCATTTTATATTTAGAATACTTGTCTTCTTGTTGACTTGAACTCCTTTACAATTATGTAATGCCCTTATTTGTCATTTTTTTTTTTTTTACTGTTGTTGGCTTAAAGTCTGTTTTATCTGAAATAATAATAGCAATCCCTGCACCTTTTTGTTTTCTATTTGCATGGTAGATCTTTCTTCAACCCCTTGCTTTGAGCATATAGGCATTGCTATGTGTGAGATGGGTCTCTAAAGACAGCAGACAGATGGGTCTTGTTTTTTCATCTCACTTGCCACTCTTGTCTTTTAAGTGAGGCATTTAGACTATTTACATTCAAAGTTAATATTGATTTGTGAGCTTTTGATACTATCATGAAATAGTTAGCTGGTTTCTTTGTTGTTTGGATTGCACGGTTGCTTTATGGCGTCTGTGAACTATGTACTTAAGTGTGTTTTTGTGGTAGCAGATATTGTTCTTTCATTTCCATGTTTAGAACTCCCTTGAGGATCTCTTGTAAGGATAGTCTAGTGGTAATGAATTCCCCTAGTGCCTGCTTGTGTGGAAAATTTTTTATCACTCCTTCGCTTATAAAGCTTAGTTTGGAGGAATACAAAATTCTTGGCTGGAATGTCTTTTCTTTATGAATGATGAAAATAGGTCCTCAAACTCTCTTAGCTTGTAAAGTTTCTGCTGACAAGTCCACTGTTAACCAGGTGGGGTTCTCTTTGTACATGATCTGACCTTTTTCTCTAGCTACCTTTAAGGTTTTTTCTTTAGCATTGACCTTGGACAGTCTGGTGACTATATGCCTTTTAATGTTCATTTTGTATAGTATCTTACAGGTCTTCTCTAAATTTCTTGTATCTGGATGTCTTTAGCAAGATTAGGGAAAGTTTATTGAATTACTACCTTTGCTTTTCCTCCTGTTTCTCAGGAATACCAATAATTTGTAAGTTTGGTTGCTTTACATAATCCCACATTACTCAAAGACTTTATTTTTAAAAATTCTTTTTAAAATTTTTGTCTGATTGAGTTAGTTCAAAAGAAGGTCTTCACACTCTGAAATTCTTCCTTCTGCTTGGTCCAGTGTATTGATAAGGCTTTCAATTATATTTTGAAATTCCTTAAGTGAGTTTTTTAATTTTAGAAGCTCTGATTGATTTCATTTTAAAATATTTATCTGTTTCTCCATTTCCTGGATTGTTTTAGAAGTTTCTTTGTGTTGATTTTCAACCTTGTCTTGCATCTTGTTGAGCTTCCCTGCAATCCATACTTCAAATTCTTTAAATGTCATTTCCATTTTGGCTAGAGACCATTGCTGAAGAGCTAGTTTAATCGTTTGGTGATGTTACTACACTCAAATTGTTTATGGTATAAATTTTTGTGTTTGCTTTTTTCCCATCAGGAGATGCTGGCACTTCTAATTTTTGTAATTATTTTCACATTGGCGAGGTGTTATTTCATTTTCTTTCTTTCCCTATAATAGTGTTTTTAAATTTCTCTTTCTCTCTGTGCCCCTCCCTCTCTCCAGTGGGTATGACTGTAGAGAATATGGAATAGGGTTTTTGGCTTTGCTTCTATAGCCATATACACTTCTTTTGGCTGGCTTTATATTGGGCTTTGCAGTTTGACCTACAAGCCCATAAATGGTGTTTATAGGTAAGAGCTGGCTGCGTCCAGCAGGGTAGGTATATACTTGATCCTTGTTTACTGTCAGAAGCTCTCTGTTGCTCAGGCAATGGGCTAATTACTTCTATGCACAGTGGCCTAAACTCCCTACTCAACTCCTGGGTGGCAGGCGCCATGATGAGCAGAGCTGGACTGGGCAGGGCTCCCCAAAGGTCCCCCAGTGGCAGGCACAAACACCTGCACTGAGGGAGAATCCAGTGAACGGCCACCAGACAACCAGAAGTGTGCCTACACATGGAGCTGGGAAACGTCCTCAGCTCCAGGCTCTTTGCGAAGGGGTGAGGAGTGGCCTCAACTGCTAATCTAGGATAATAGGTGCTCCAAATGCCTGGAGGTCCATCTGGGCATAGAGTGGAGAGAACTGCCCTGTGCCACAATCCCTGCACAGGAGGGATGAGGTGACTTAGGCTACTGAAGCATATACGCAGATACTTTGAATGCCTGGAGATATGCCTGGCTATGTAGCAGAGAGGGCTTTCCTGGACCAGCATCTGTGCACAGGAAGGGCAGGCCTCCTCATGCTGCTGATCTAGGAGAGCTGGTACTCCAGACATCTGGAGATCTGCCTGGACATGGAGTGAAGAGGGCCTTGATTAATCACAATCCGTGTCCAGGAAGTGTAGGATGGCTTGGGTTGATGAACCAGATCAGTGGGTGCCCTGAGTGCCTGGAGACCTGCCTGGGTGTGAAGAGAGGGGGCCTCCCTGTACCAGGATCTCTGTAAAGGATGGATGAGGCAACTTAGGGTGTGGATCCAGGCAAATGGGTGCTCCAAATGCTTGGATTTCTGCCAGGAGATGGAGTGGAGAGTGACCCAGTGCACCATGATCTCAGGGGGGCAGGCTGGCGAACCCAGCAATGGCTCATTAAGACTGGTTTCAGGTCGCCAATCTGGCCCTGGTTTATCACCACTCAGGAACAATGGCAGCTTTAGCAGTTCTCCTCCTGGTCTAGGCTTGTGGTGGGGGAGAGCACAATTCCAGCCCCTACTTCTGTGGTACTTTCAAAAGTTCTGACTGTGGAGGCTCCTACCCATTCCAGAGTGGGCACTTCAATCTCTGGCCCAAGATGAAAATGCCTGCATGGCCATGCTGCCAAGTCACCAAAAAATGGCTGAGTTTGTATGTGACCACATTAAATATGGTGTCCTGCTCTCTGTCCCAGGTCTGGAGAAATGCCTGAGGTTTTCCAGGTGTCTTTCTCTCACAGTGTCTCCAGGCCTTGCCCCAAGTTAGCTCCAAGGCTTGGGAGAAACAAAGAGCTCTCCGTAGCCCTGGGTTGCTTGGATGGGCAGTGGTAAGGTGAGTCACAGAGGGAAGCTCTGTTTCCCTCTCATGTACTGGGGCTTCATTCACTTTTATCAGCCAGGTGCCATCAGAGGGGCTCTTTGCTGGCATCCTCCCCTCTGGGTCTGGTATGTTCTTTACCGTTCCAGTGTAATCCCATTTTCCTTCTTGAATTAAAGCTCACAGAATTGATCTTTATGCACTGTCTTGCTCTTTCCAAGTGGCTGAGGAATGCTGAAAGCCTCTAATTCTCCATCTGAAAAAAAAAAAACTTTTATTTTTTTTTGAGGCTATGGAAAGCCTTTGTTTCTTTCTCCCAAGCCTTGGAGCTAACTTGGGAGCTAGCTAATTCCCATCTGAATTTTTTTTTTTTTTTTTTTTGAGATGGAGTCTTGCTCTGTCATCCAGGCTAGAGTGCAGTGGCATGATCTTGGCTCACTGCAACTGCCGCCTCCCAGGTTCAAGCAATTTTCCTATCTCAGTCTCCTGAGTAGCTGGGATTACAGGTGCACACCATCATGCATAGCTAATTTTTGTATTTTTAGAAGAGACACAGTTTCATCACATTGGTCAGGCTGGTCTCAACCTCCTGACCCCAGGTTTCCCACCCACCTTGGCCTCCCAAAGTGCTGGGATTACAGGTGTGAGCCACCACGCCTGGCCCCATCTGAATATTTTAAAAAATCAGTTTAAATCTAACCAATAAAGCAGTTAATAATAAAATACTATTTTGCCTATCAAATTCACCATTATGTGTGTATACATATATTTTAATATGTGTTAGCTTAGAAAATTAAAGGTAATTAATGTAATATAATTCATCCAATTTATACATACAATGGTAAAGACCTGTTGTAATCTCAGTTGTTGAAAATGCAATTGATATATGCTCCTACCTGTTCCTTAAAGAATAAAAACGTCACATAGACATCTGAAGGTAAAGGGTACTTCCTTATATCTTTCACTCTATATCAATATAAATGGAGATATACAAAATTAACACCTATTCAAATGGATAAAATAAATAGGAAATGATGAGAAAGCTTAGCAATAAAAATTTTAAAAATAAAAAATAAAATGGGATTTGGTATTCCAATTAATAAATGTTTAATTGAAATCATCACAGGATTAAATTTTAACAGCAATGAAAGTTAACATAAACCATGATCACTTCTATGAGCCCCACCTGAGTGAAGGAATAGACGGTCACAAAATGCCAGGAATTGAACAGGGATCTACAGTGGCAAGAAAGAGTGGCTTTTCTTCATGGAGAGGATCTACTAATTCCATTCAGTAACATGCCACCCAACCAACATTTCTAGATGTTCCAGGTACCATGCTTCTGCAGTGGATTCATATTAATTCAGGAAATGAAAATGTCAATTCTATTATTCTGAAGCAATGCACCACCAGTGCCAGCATCCAGTTTGCCATTTCTTGTGGAACATATCTCTCCTCTGGGCCTCAATATTCCAAACAAAATGAAGTTTACTTTGGGTTGTCACATCATACTCAATGTAGTCACTACCATATTACCTATCAGCCATGCATGCATAAGCCCAGCACTTAGGGCAGCATTTCACATTGAATCTTCATTCCAACTGTATTTATTGTATTACATGCAGAATTGTGTGTCGTGGGAAGTCAGGGACTCCGAATGGAGGGACTGGCTGGAGCCACGGCAGAGGAACATAAATTGTGAAGATTTCATGGACATTTATCAGTTCCCCAAATTAATACTCTTATAATTTCTTATGCCTGTCTTTAATCTCTTAATCCTGTTATCTTTGTAAGCTGAGAATGTACGTCACCTCAGGATCACTATTGTACAAATTGATTATAAAACATGTGTGTTTGAACAATATGAAATCAGTGCACCTTGAAAAAGAACAGAATAACAGCAATTTTCAGGGAACAGGGGAAGACAACCATAAGGTCTGACTGCCTGTGGGTTCGGGCAGAATAGAGCCATATTTTTCTTCTTGCAGAGAGCCTATCAATGGACATGCAAGTAGGGAAGATATCACTGAATTCTTTTCCTAGCAAGGAATATTAATACCCTGGGGAAGGAATGCATTCCTGGGGGGGATCTATAAATGACCACTCTGGGAGTGTCTGTCTTATGCGGTTGAGATAAGGACTGAAATACGACCTGGTCTCCTGCGGTACCCTCAGGCTTATTAGGGTGGGGAAGAAACCCCACCCTGGTAAATTGGAGGTCAGACTGGTTCTTTGCTCTCGAACTCTGTTTTCTGTTGTTTAAGACGTTTATCAAGACAATACATGCACAGCTGAACATAGACCCTTCGAACTGTGTTTTCTGTTGTTTAAGATGTTTATCAAGACAATAGGTGCACAGCTGAACATAGACCCTTATCAGGAGTTTTTGATTTCACCCTTTGCCTTGTGATCTTTGCTTTGTCCTTTGCCTTGTGATCTTTATTGGCCTCAGAAGCATGTGATCTTGTTCTCCTTTTTTGCCCTTTGAAGCATGTGATCTTTGTGACCTACTCCTTGTTCATACACCCCACCCCCCCCCGCTTTTGAAGTAATTAATAAAAACCTGCTGTTTTTGCAGCTCAGGTGGCATCACGGTCCTACTAATATGTGATGTCACCCCCATAGGCCCAGCTGTAAAATTCCTCTCTTTATACTCTTTCTCTGTATTTCTCAGACCAGCCAAACACTTACAGAAAATAGAAAGAACCTACATTGAAATATTGGGGGCAGGTTCCTCCAATAATTGTGTTCACAGTGTTCTGGTGGAGGCTAAGGAGGCTCCACGTGGGTGGGTAAGTTACCCAGTGTTACGATGTAAGCAAGGAGGAGAGGCTGAGTTTGAGCCCATTTTTGTTTGAATGCAAATACCATTATATCACCCTCTGTGCTATACAAAGATATCACACCATGTACACCTTTAACTTTCTCTCACTTTTGACTATTTACGCTTGATTCAATATTCATTTTGTTTTTCAAAATTGAGTTATTTTGTTTTTCAAAATTGAGTTTCACATTCTATAGAAATGTGAAACTCTATATAACCTTCAAAGAAATTGGACTTTGGGGCAAGGAGAGGTCTCTTCCTTCTAATGTTTCAAGAAGTCCTTCAGTGAACATTTAAATTGTAAGGTTAAATATCTGCAAAAACTTCTGATACTAGCTAGATTTAATTTAACACTGAGAGATTTATTCTCCCTAAGCAGGTACAAGCAATTGATGTTTTTTTTTGTTCTTCCTTTTGAAAAATAAAAGTCTTGTCCTTATGCACTTTAGTGATTCCTAAAATACCTGGAAAGAATTTTAAGCCTTTTGTAGTTCTTCACTTGATCTTAGGCAAAAGGCTGAAAAGAGATCTTTTGTAGTTCTTAAAAGCCACTCAGTTTTACTCCCAAATGATAACTTTACCTGCTATAAGTTGTTTTTTTTTTTAAATTTCATAAGCTATTTCTCAAATAATTTTATACCCATTAAATAGAAGAGAAAGGTGGATTCTTCTATCCTGAGGTAAGACAGAAATCCATTTTTCACTTAGATTCTAGCTAGAGGTTAATCACCAGAGAGCTTGTAGGTTCTCTTTGGTGACTACTGTGTTTTTTATTTTAATTTTGAATAAATTTTATTTATAGAGCAGTTTTAAGTTCACAGAAAAGTTGAGCTAAATTACAAAGATTTCCCATATATCTTTCCCTGACCACCCACAGCCTACCTGACTATTAATACCCCTCACCAGAATGATACACTTGTCGCACTTATTGAACCTACACAGAAATGTCATTATCACCCAACGTCCATAGCATACATTAGAATTCACTCATGGCGTATACATTCTGTTGGTCTGAACAAATATATAATGTCATGCATCCACCATTATGTTAACAGTGGAAGTTACCTGAGTCACACGGCATGTTAGTGGTAGAAAATATTTGTATCCATATGGGTCTGCAACAACCTCAGTTCCTGCTCCTAAGAAGAAAGAATTTTACGAGGGGCATAAGGCAGAAGGAGAGACCGAGGCAAGTTTTAGAGCAGGAGAGAAAGGTTATTAAAAAGTTTTAGAGCAAGAATCAGAGAAAGGAAAGTACACGTGGAAGATCGCCAAGCAGGCAACTTGAAAGACAACTGTGTGGTTTGACCTTTTGACTTGGGGTTTTACATGTTGGTATACTTGTGTGGTTTGTGTCACTTCTCCCAACTCTGGAGATCTTATTGGGAAGTTGCTGATCACCAGTTTCAGGCGTTTTTTATCTATTAGGAGACTGCCTTTCCCTGGTGCCAGCTGTGAGCAGTTATTACTTTAGAGAGACAGTTAACAACCGTCTGACCATCACCCCATGGTCACCCAACACTTCTGGTATGTGTGTGGGTGGGTCGGGGAGCCCTTTCCTGCCTTACTCATCCCCAACTAGCTCCCCACTGTAACAATTATAGCATCATACAGAGGCGTTTCACTGCCCTAAAATCGTGTGCTCTCCTCCTGTTCATCCCTCCTTAGTCCCTAAGCTCTGGCAACCACTGATCTTTTTACTGTCTCCATAGTTTTGTATTTTCCAGAGTGTCATCTAGTTGGAATCATTGATGTGTAGCCTTTCTCATTGGCTTCTTTCACTCAGAAATATGTATTTGAGTTTGTCCATGTTTATTCATGGCTTGATAGCTCATTTCTTTTGAGTGCTGAATAATATTCCATTGTCTACGTGTCCCAGTTTACTTGTCTATTCATATACTGAAGGGCATTTTGGTTGCTTTCAAGTTTTGGCAATTATGAATAAAGCTTCTATGAATATCCATGTCCAGGTTTTTGTGTGAACATGTGTTTTCAGCTCATTTGGGTAAATACCTAGGAACATGATTGTGTAGTGTTTTTAAAAAGTGTACCTGTGAAAACTCTTAAATGAGACTTGTTTGCCCTAGATAACTATAAATGCATGCACCTTCCACTGTATTACACCCAACCCTCTTACTTTTTATGTGACCTTTTTTAGGCATTTGAGATTTAACTACAATAACTAAAGATTTTGTGTACTTCACAGTAGGAGACATTTTCCATCTAAGAAGGAAAAATATTTTTATACATGTATTATAGTTGTTTTAATTCATGATTTAATTATTTATATTACCAAGAAACTATAGTCTGAAGACCCTTGAAATGGAAACCCTTGACTTTCATTAGTTGCCAGTAGGAGTTGCAGAATGTTTTTCTTTAGAGATGAAATTACTTCTTTTTCTGTGTATTGTCTTCCAAAAAGTTATACAGGCATTAGAAGACATAGTTTTGATCTGAATCTTGTGGAAAATAGAGCTACTCTTGTTCTGCCCATTTCACACCGGTGTTGTGAGGACTACATTTACTAAATAAACCTTTATGAACTGCACAAATATGAGTTGCTACACAAAGACAGAAGGAGGAGGTGAATGAGCTTTCATTTTATATGCCACTAATACAACTCTTAAAAATAGCTGGAAGCCTTGAATCAAAGTCCGTTTTATCATAGGGAATATCTTTAATTGATAGGATGGAATTGAGATGAATTATGAGGATGACACATGGGGTATTGCTTTTGGAGTCATTTCTTTCCTGTAGAGTCCACACAGCTATGGAAGACAAAGCCTGACTGGGGAGATATTAGTTTATGAACTTCATCTATGAACTTATTATTGTTGTGATCTACTTTATACTAGTAAAACATGTCATCTGAAAATGTAAGGTGGTGAGAAACCTATGACAAGCCTTCTCTACAAAGAGCCAAGTCAATTACATGAAGGAAATAGACAGTTTAAAAATTTGGCATTGCCTCTTGGTGGAAACATAGCTGAAGAAAAAGTAACAATTTCCAAGTAACAATTATCTGCACAGTTATGTGTCTTAATGATTAGATCAAGTGTAAAAATGGCATATAGATCTGTCAGGGAGTATATGCATAGTAAATTATGTCTGAAATAATAAATGGATAATTTCCACAGGATAAGGTAAACAGCCAATTAAAATAAGATATGACATATACTTTCTCTACTCATTAGTCAAAGCATAAAACATTTTAACATTGCCTAAATAATTTACTTGTGTTAAAATAAAGGGAAATGCTTAAAACATTAATAGGGTACTTTACAATCTTGAAGTCAATAAGTTGTTATATGATGTTTATGTAAATAATTGACATCTCCATTGAGCAGAAAGGGACTAGGGCATTTCTGCACAGAGCAAATACTTTGTGTTTGCCATAAATTTCTCCACTGGGCCATGCCATCTCCAATGGCTTGTCATGGATGAAGCCTGGAGGGATTTTGGTGCTCATGTTTTACTCCTGTTTCTCTCAGTGGAAATATTATTATCTTTTATTGATTGCTGCTCTGATCCTAGCACCATTTCAAGTGCTATGAAAGAACACAAGTAAATACTGTGGTCATACCTGGATTCTTTAGACAAAAAAAAATGGAGATAAGTAAAAAATAAAAATAAATAACCAAACCTACACATGTATCAGATAAGGATCACTTTTAGTATACAACTCTCAGTCAAGTTTATAATTTGGTATGCAAGAGAAATCTGATGTTTACAGAATAATTTCCCAGAAAATAATGCATGAATTAGATTGTGTGCCTAAAGTATGTAATAAAAACAAGAGATCAAGAAGGCAAAGGATCACAAAACACTTTTAGTAGTATTCACTTGAGATGCAAGTATGGATAAAAGTTGAAGAGGTTAAAGGAAGAGAGCAAGCCATGACACAGAGAGGGAGTGTATGGGGTCGCCCAAGTGAATTCACCTTCAGAGAGGAAAGCTTGAAATCTTCTCTCAGAAGAGAATGGTTCAGGCAAACATCTCTACTTTTAGACCAATTTATTCAGACTACACCAAAGGATACATGAATCTTTATAGTTAAGTAGCATGGTCTCAATGTGCTGCCATATGCGATATTTCAATTCCCTATTATTCATCAGCTCAAATATGTCTTCCCATAATTTTAATTTTCTGATTTGTTTGGGCAATGGGCCTTAACATGTGTGCAAATATCTGAATGAAACATGTTACCAAAACAAGATAAATAACTGAATTATGTAACAAAGTTGTGCATATATCAGAATTTGCCTTTTATTTTCACAGAATAGGGAGTAAACTAGGAATCACTATATTAGATGGAATCCCTGTCTGTGTGCTTTGGTGGCTCTAGGAAAATATAGGAAACTACATTTAAAAAATAAATGTTTGTAATTAGCTTGCTAGTGCATCCACACTCTTAGGCAGTCCTGGGTTCTGACACATATACGTTCTTTGGCGTGTTCACTGGCTCCGTGATATTCACCAGCACTCCTTGAATGGTTCATAACAGTAAATTGGTCATTTCAGAAAAAAAATAAGGACTTTTAACCCCCCCTTTTTTATTGAGATACAGTCTTGCTCTGTCGCCCAGGCTGGAGTGCAGTGGTGCGATCTTGGCTCACTGCATCCTCCGCCCCTTGGGTTCAAGGGATTCTCCTGGCTCAGCCTCCTGAGTGGCTGGGATTACAGGCACCTGCCATCATGCCTGGCTAATTTTTGTATTTTTAGTAGAGACAGGGTTTCACCATCTTGGCCAGACTTGTCTCTAACTCCTGACCTCAAGCGATCCACCCACCTCAGCATCCCAAAGTGCTGGGATTACAGGTATGAGCCACCACACCTGGCCTGCTAACCCATTTTTAATCACTAATGGATTATATAATGGGATCCAACTGCATCCAATCTATTCTAAGTGTGCTTGAAGATGGAGTCAGAGAATTATAAACTGATGCTAAAAAATGCTTCAGTTCATCTGGGAAGTCCTTCTCTATCAATAGACTGCATGTATTATCAGAACTTCTAGAGACAGATCATTCGTCAGTTTTTCCCACCACACCTAAAAATACAGAAAGTAATCACTGTTTCCACATAACCATAAATATATACATGCGATCCCCTGAGTGAACATGAACATGCGTGTGCACTCCCCGCCACCCCACCACTTTCCTGTTAGTACATGGTGGTCAGGACATGGTTAATGAATTTGACATAACGCAAAATTTTCACCCATAATGAGCACCACAGAAACAAGCTGATTTTTAAAAATTGAAGCACAATATGACTCCTATAACAAACTTTATGAAGCAGCATTTTAATCTTTTTGCTTAGAGGACACTTAAATATTTTAGAGTATCAGAAAAAGAACTACCAACTGATTCTCATATATCACTATTTATTTATAGACATATATAAGACAATAAGAGTTATTTAGATATATTTATGGTGTTAACTTCTTTACTTTTGTCATTTGCCTTTAATCTAAAAAATGAACTCTTCCAAAGGTGATTTCATTGGATTTTTTTTTGATTCAAGGAGTTATAATTTAATAGATTATCTTAATTTAAACTTTTATATTAAAAAAGTCTGTCCCAAATCAGAAGTGTATCTTTAAGCTGACAACTTCGAAGTGGTAAACCCTCATAGTAACATGATTGGCTATTCCAAATTTGAATAGTTCTCTTTCCTTGTTTTTATAAATGTGTTTGTGTCTATATTTGAAATGATGTTTGAATGAACATTTTATGATTACTGTATGTGTTTTGGAAACATAAAACACCTAAAAATATCATTAAAATACTTTTACAAATGTCCATAAAAGGTATGTTTGAGGTATATTATCCACATAAAGCTTAGAATTTTCCATTGATTTGGCCTTTCTGAACACCATAACTTTCTTTTCAATGTACAATATCTATTATCTGTTATTTTCTTGGCACCAAAGAGAAGATGCCTCAAATTAACACTACTGCAATTGAGGGCACAACTGATTCAGAAGGTAATTTTTTTCCATTTCCTATATCTGTACAGATATACAACATTAAAACAACACCCTTTTAAAAAGATTTATAAAGTTGTAATAGGCAAGAGAATCTTAAAGTCAAGTGTGTTAGCTAATAAACCCAAGGAACCATTAAATCTATGCTCTTTATTAGTCATTCAGTTTACACCCTATGAAAATAAAACATGCACAAATTAGAAAAGCAATTTTAGATTTCCTAAAAACATTAGATGCACTTGTTTTTGGAGTATGATAGAACCTGAGATTATTTTTATTTTTCTAGATATTACACAGCATGAACCTGAGAAAGGATGTGGGGGTTAGATCAAGGTGAGGAGAATGCATGGGATATAGAGAGTTGTGCCATAGGATAGAGACAGCTGTGCCTGCGAGACAGTAGCCACCATCCACATGGGGCTAAATTAAACTAATTAAATTTAAATAAATTAAAATTGAACTAATTAAAATAACTACATAAAATTAAATAAAATTTAAATTTAGTTGCTCAGTTACAGCAGTTACATTTCAAGTGCTCAACAGACACATATGACTAGTGGTTGCTGAATTAGACAGCCCCAAGTAGAACATGTCCATCATTGAGGAAAGTTCTTTTTTTTTCAGCTCTGAATAAAGAACAGCAATCACACAAATTAAAATCTTAATTCCAATATATCTAATGTTTCAAATATCCAAGGTCAGCCTCTTTTTAGTTCTAGAAATATACAAAGCTTGCTATCTTTATTTACTTTTAATATTTAAAATATAAAAACAACGTTTTACTATATAGGGACACAAAATTGAGTATAAGTACAAATCTCCATGAATTTTCACAAACTGAAATGGAACACATCCATGTAACAAGCACCTGGATAAAGAAACCGAACAATCATTCCTGGAAACCCCAAACCCCCTGTCCCCTGCTCTCCTACCCCACCACCCTACACTCTCCTGTCACTACCTCCCTTCTAGTAACTTTATCCCAGCAAGAATAATCACCGTTGTGACTTCTAACCACAGAAATTACTTTTGCTTGTTTATTTTTTTATTATAAATAGGTCGTATATTATCTAATCTTCTGTGTTGAACTTGTTTGGCATGAAATTGTATCTGCCTGTGAGATTCATTCATGTTATTGTGTAATATTCCTAAATGATCTTTTATCTGCTATAAGTAGAGGTAAGAAAACTATGTTTTTTTAAAACGGGGCAGATAGTAAATAATTTCAGTTTTTTGGGTCATGTGGTGTCTGCCACAACTGCTCAACTGAGTTATAGAGTGAAAACAGCTATATATAATGTATAAATGAATTGAGGTAGCGACTGCGTTCCAATGCAACTTTATTTACAATAACCAGCAGTGGTCTACATTTGGCCCAAGATCTGTGGTTTGCTGAATCTTGCTGAATAGTTTTCCATTGTGTGACTGTACTACAGTGTATTCATCCAATTGCTGATAAGCATTTGGTTAGTTTCCAATTTGGGTTTCTTATTAGTGCTATGTGAACATTTTGTTACCTGTTTTTAGTGAGTACTTTTAAGTCCTTTTTACTCCTTCTCTACCTAGCATGCTTCTCCCTCACCAAACAGGTATTTATTCTTTGGCACATATTTTAAATCTCACCCTCTGTTATGAGTTGGATTTTATCTGCCCCCCACCAAAGATGTTGAAGTCCTAACCCACAGTATTTGTGGATGTGACCTAATTTGGAAATAGGGTCTTTACAGATGATGAAGTTAAAATGAGGCCATTAGGGTGGACTCTAACTCAATATGAGTGGTGTCCTTATAAAAAGGGAGACTTGGACATGGATCTAAGGATAGGGGAAAGACAGTGAAGACACGTGGAGGGTGCAGTCTACAGGTCGAGTGCCTGAGGCTACCAGAAGCTAGGAGAGAGACCTGGAACAGTCTTCATCACAGCCCTCAGAAAAAAACCAACCATGCAGGATGATGGCTTAATCTAGGACTTCTAACCTCCAGAACTGTGAGACAATACATTTCTGTTTTTTAAGCCACCTGGTTTTTGCTACTTTCCTGTGTAGCCTTGGCAAACTTATAATACATCCCTAAATGAAGTCTTCCCTGGCCATGCATCTGAAGTGGCACTCTCTCCCATTGTCAGCATTCAGCCTTGTTTATGTCTCATTTCTTTCATTTGTTTTCCATTTTCCCTGCTCGAATTAAGTTCCATGAGAGCAAGGAGCTCAACTATTTTTTGCTCTACTAAGTTTCCCTTGCCTAACATACTACAGATGATCAGTAAATATTTTGTAATAAATTAATGTGCAAGGGGTCTGGTTTTGCAACATATATTGGACTCCTTGAAATTGAAAGTAACTGGAATAGTCAGATCCATAAGCTAAAGATGGCTGAACTAATATTTTTAGAAGACCAACACTGAATGACATTAGTATGAGCAGCTTAAGAAGAATTTTAAGTAGTGGAAGAATGGAATCTCCTAAACTAGTATTTCCTGAACGCCTGCTATGAACCAATTGCTATATAATATGGCTTGGCTCTGTGTCCCCACCCAAATCTCATGTCAAATTGTAATCCCCATGTGTCAGGGGAGGGGCCTTGTGGGAGGAGATTGAATCATGGGACGAACTTCCCCTTGCTATTCTAATGATAGTGAGTGAGTTCTCATGAGATCTGGTTGTTTGAAAGTGTGTGGAACTTCCTATTTCTTTCTGTCTCTCTCTTCTGCTCTGCCATGTAAGACGTGACTTGCTTCCCCTTTGCATTCCACCATGATAAGTTTGCTGAGTCCTCCCCAGTCACGTAGAACTGTGAGTCAATTAAACCTCTTTTCTTTGTAAATTACCCAGTCTCAGGTAGTTCTTTATAGTGGTGTGAAAATGGACTAATACAGAAAATTGGTACTGGGAATGGGGTACAGCTATAAAGATACCTGAAAATGTGAAAGCGATTTTGGAACTGGGTAACACGCAGAGGTTGGAACAGTTTGGAGGGCTAAGAAGAAGATAAAAAGATGTGGGAAGGTTTGGAACTTCCTAGAGTCTTGTTGAATGGCTTTCACCAAAATGCTGATAGTAATACAGACAATGAAATCCAGGTTGAGGTGGTCTCAAATGGAGATGTCAAATGTATTGGGAACTGAAGTAAAGGTCACTCTTGCTATGCTTTAGCAAAGAGACTGGTGGCATTTTGCCCCTACCATAGCGATTTGTGGAACTTCGAACTTGAGAGAGATAATTTAGGGTATCCGGTGGAAGAAATTTCTAAGCAGCAAAGCATTCAAGAGGTGACCTGGCTGGTCCTGACAGCATACAGTCATATGTATTCACAAAGAGATGATCTGACATTGGAACTTACGTTTAAAAGGGAAGCAGAGCAGAAAAGTTTGGTAAATTTGCAGCCTGACTATGTGGTAGAAAAGAAAAACAAATTTTCTGGGGAAGAAATTCAAGCCAGCTGCAGAAATTTGCCTAAGAGAAGCCAAGTGTTAATAGCCAAGACAATGGAGAAAATGTCTACACGGCATGTGAGAGATCTTCATAGCAGTCCTTCCCATCACAGGCCTGGAGGCCCAGAAGGGAAAAATGGGTTTGTGGGCCAGGCCCAGGGCTTTACTGCTCTATGCTGCCTCAGGGCATAGTACCCAGTGTCCTAGACGCTCCAACTCTAGTTGTGGCCAAAAGGAGCCAATGTACAGCTCAGGCTGTGGCTTCAGAGGCTGTGGCTTCAAAGGCTGCAAGCCTGAAGCCATGGTGGCTTCCATGTGGTGTTGGGTCTTTGGGTGTGCAGAAGGCAAGAACTGAGGTTTGGGAACCTCTGCCTAGATTTCAGAGGATGTGTGGAAATGCCTGGATGACCAGGCTGAAGTCTGTGGTAGGTTTGGAGCCCTCGTGGAGAACCTGTACTAGGGCAGTGTGGAGGGGAAATGTGATGTTGGAGCCCCCACACAGAATCTCCACTTGGGCACTGCCTAGTAGAGCTGTGGGAAGAGGGCCACTGACCTCCAGACCCCAGAATGGTAGACCCATGGGCAGCTTGCACCATGTGCCTAGAAGGCCACAGGCACTCAACACCAGCCTGTGAAAACAGGGCTTTATCCTGCAGAGCCACAGGTGTGGAGCAGTCCAAGGCATTGGGTGTCCACCTCTTGAATTAGCATGCCCTGGTTGTCAGACATGGAGTCAAAGGAGATTATTTTGGACCTTTAAGATTTGACTGCCCTGCTGGGTTTCTGATTTGCGTAGGGCCTGTAGCCTTTATGTTTAGGCCAATTTCTCCCATTTGGAGTGGGACCATTTATGCAATACCTGTACCCTCATTGTATCTTGGAAGCAACGAACTTGTTTTTTATTTTATCAGCTCATAGGCAGAATGGACTTGCCTTATCTCAGATGTGACTTTGGATTTGGACTTTTGAGTCAATGTTGGGAGGAGTTAAGACTTTGGTGGACTGTTGGGAAGGCATGATTGGTTTTGAAATGTGAGAAAGACATAAGATTTGGGAGGGGCTAGGGGTGGAAGGATATGATTTGGCTCTGTGTCACTCTAATCTCATGTCAAATTATAATCCCCATGTGTCAGGGGAGGGGCCTGGTAGGAGGTGATTGAATTATCAGGGCAGACTTCCCAGTTGCTATTTTTGTGATAGTGAGTGAGTTCTCAGGAGATCTGTTTGTATAAAAGTGTGTGGCACTTCTCGTTTCTCTCTCTCTCTCCTGCTTTGCCATGGGAGAATGTGCTTTGCTCCCCTTTTGCCTTCTACCATGATGGTAAGTTTCCTGAGGCCTCCCCAGCCATGTGGAACTGTGAGTCAATTAAACCTCTTTATAAATTACCCAGTCTTAGGTAGTTCTTTATAGCAGTGTGAGAACTGACTCATATGCTATACTATGCATTTACTATTTAATTCTGCCTGTGCTTTTGCTTAACTTCTGTAAGCCCATTTTTGTAAACAATGGGGAAAGTATTAATATTCTATAATCATTGAATGGAGTAAATAAGAAAATACCTACAAATCACTCTGCATATGTGTCAGTATAGTAAGTGTGCAATAAATGCTAACCTCCAGAATTCATATCGTATTTAACAGAAAAGGAACTAAACACTAACAGTCTCTGCCCATGGGTCTACAGCTTGTAAGTGGCAAAAGCAAATTTTGAATACAGAATTATTTGATTCTATTTATAATTCTGGTTTCCTATTTATATATTCTTCCAGGATTTTTTTTTATTAGCTCCTGGCTTGACTACTAGTCATACTGCATGAGGAAAAGCCTTTTTTTATTTTTTAAGAGAAAACAAAATTGGTGGCTTTGAAAGGTCACCTCAGTTATTTTGACATGTGGCTGGTGTTCACAGTAGGGGCCCCTGAAGCTTCCATTCTGGGACGCAAATTGTAGGCCGCAGCACTGGAAGCAACCATTACATTTTAAGAGCAATGCCATGTTAATTTGCATCTGGTTCTGTGAAGGCAACATCATAAAGCTCTTTCTGACTCTGTGATTTCACACATGCAAGACCACTTTATTTGGAGAGATTTTAAAATGTTGACACTACTTATGGAAATTTGGAAATTAGGAAGACTAAAACTTGATTTTCAGCATTGGTGGTGATGATCTGGCCCAGGGAACACTTGGCAGTGTGATAGGTGGCAGTCAGCACAGGCAGATCATAGCCATCATGAATGATGGCACAGCCTTTGGAAATGAGCCTATCCCAGCATGGCAATCTCGTTGGCCTATTTGTAAAAGACACTATCTTAATCTTTTGCCTCTAATATAACTTGTACATTTCTCTGGCAATAAAACAAACACACTTCAGGTTTGTAGAAAATCAACATTTTAAATGCTTGCCAAAAATGGAATGACAGGGAAGGCAAAGTTCTAATTTTAAAATATTGGTAGTTATTCTCTAGATGTATTATATACACTTGAGGATGTAGTGGTGCATGAGAGTGTGCATCTACAAACAAATACACTAATATTCATTCAACACATTGTGATTTTTGTTCTTTGGAAAAGAGAGATTGACAAATTTCTATCTATAAACTCAAACCCTTTACAATTTAAGGATATTTCATGGTAAGAAAGGAAGCCAAGAATCAGCTACTAGGGGTAGTTAATGATCCCTAGTTTCCTGTAGATCAGACAGCAAGAATAATGATTTCATAAATGTGTACCAATTTCAGGCAGACAATAAATGCGAAAGTAGAGGACACTTACCACATAACATAGTTATTGCTAAGAGAAAGAGCATTTTAAAAGGTGAGAACATTTCTGAGATGAAGTCAAGGCCCAAACCTTGTGGTACTTTGAGATTGTAACATAAGTAATGATCCTGTATTCCTTTCTCATTCTCAACCTGTAGTTGACTAAAAATTACAGGGGATTTTTTAGCTTTGCAGTATTTATTAACTTGTATTTTGTTGCATCAAGGAATGATGGTGTTATTTAAAAAATAGATACAAAAATCGTATTTATCCAAAGAAATGTATGTTTTAAGAACAATTGGCATGAGAAAAGTGGGCAAAAAACCTGCAATTAAATATCTACAACTGAATGCCTAGAACTTCCTAGAACCAGAACCAAAGTACATAAAATATTTGTTGTTTAACTTTTTAGCTGCTCTTGGCTGTCTGATTCAGTGCTCCCTATTCAGGGACATGTCTGTTTCCTTTGGGATATTTTCTGCCAGCCGATGACAAGTATGCTGTTCCAAAATGAAATTTGGAACCCAATTTTAAATTGAATCTCACCCTCCAGAGTACACAATAGATGGAACCTGCCTATTAAATCATCAACTTTTAATTAAATCCTTTGCAGCTGTAAGATCCCCATACTCAACAAGGTGATAGATGCATTGTGTTTTAATTTAGTTATATTTCTTGTACTAAACTCACTGCAAAAAAAGAGGGTATAATATTTACCAAGTTACCAAAAATGGCTTCTTTGTGGATTCTTGATCACAGCATAGTGAAGTGTTTAAAAACTTTGGAGTCAGCGGCAATATGGGGTCAAGTATTGGCTGTAGGGAAAACTAATTTGGTGATCTTGTAAAGTTAAATGGCATCTCTTATTTTTTTTTTCTTTTAGAGACAGAGTCTCACTCTGTCACCCAGTCTGTAGTATAGTGGCACGATCATAGCTCACTGCTGCCTTGAACTCCTTGGCTGAAACAATCTCCTCGCTTCAGCCTCGTGAGTAGCTGGGACTACGGGCAAGAGCCACTGTGCCCGACTTTAAATGACCTCTCTTAACTTCAGTTTTTTTTTTTTTTTTTTTGAGACGGAGTGTCGCTCTGTCGCCCAGGCTGGAGTGCGGTGGCGCCATCTCGGCTCACTGCAAGCTCCGCCTCCCGGGTTCCCGCCATTCTCCCGCCTCAGCCTCCCGCGCAGCTGGGACTACAGGCGCCCGCCACCGCGCCCGGCTAATTTTTTGTGTTTTTTAGTAGAGACGGGGTTTCACTGTGTTAGCCAGGATGGTCTCGATCTCCTGACCTCGTGATCCGCCCGCCTCGGCCTCCCAAAGTGCTGGGATTACAGGCGTGAGCCACCGCGCCCGGCCAACTTCAGCTTTTTAGGTAGATTAAATTACTAACTCTCATTCTTCTCTTTTCCCCCTCTCTTGTATCTGCACCACTGTCATGAACTAATTGTGGATAGAGTGTATTACTTCTGTCCTTGACTTTGGGCTTGACTATGGGCCTTGTTTTAGCCAAAGAAATGTGGATGGAGGATAGCATGCCATTTTTAATCTTAGGTCTTAAGAGGCCTTCTGTGTTTTAGCTTACTGTCTTGCATTCTGTCACTACCAAGAGAAAAGGTTCTCCTGGGTAGTTGCTTCTCTTTGATCCTGAATCCTATGATCAATGCATGAGGAGCAGAGCTGTTCCTACTCAATCTGTCCTGCATGAATTGACTGGCTAACCTGCACATATGTGAGGAATCAATGTATATTCTATGCTACTCAGATACAGTGATTGTTTTATTACACAACATTATTGTAGTAATAGAGAACTGATACAATTTTCATATTGGTAAATTTCATATGGCCTCTTAGTCATAGAGATGGAAAAATTAAATTTATTCATTTAAGGATATTAACTGCTACTATCGACAAGGTCCTTTGCTATAAGCTTGGAGGATAAGAGAGGCAAGTTTTCCGTCACTTGGGAGATCACGTTCTAGTTGTAATGTATGTATTTCAATATTCAATATGTTATTTATGACATGGTAATCATAGTAAGAAATAAGATAATTACTAACAACATGTAAAAATGCATTACTAATTTATGTTAGTAATTCTACTGCATGTTGATACCATGAAGGATGGCAAACATAAAATGAGAACTAAAATACAGCATGAAGATTGGATACCCAATAACTACCTTTGTGGATAAAAATTTTCAATAATAAGCAACCTGTACAGAAACAGATAAAAACTGAAGAAAACTGCAACATAAGGCAAAACATATGTCTTTAACTTAGCAAATGTTTCTCTACAGGTTTGGAAGTCTGAGAAGCTTCAAGAGGGAGGAAGTTTGATTTAATGATATCACGTAGTGTGAGGGTTAATTTTATGTTTCAACTTGACTGGTCTACGGTGTGTCCAGATGCAGTCCTGCATGGGGTATCAACATTTCAGGAAGTCCTAGCAAGAGCAGTCAGGAAGGAGAAAGAGATAAAAGACATCCAAATAGGAAGAGAGGAAGTCAAACTGTCTCTTTGCTGATGATATAATTCGGTACTTAGAAAACTCCATAGTCTCTGCCCAAATGCTCCTAGATATGATAAACAACTTCAAGAAAGTTTCAAGATACAAAATCAGTGTACAAAAATCAGTAGCATTTCTACACATGAATAACGTCCAAGCTGAGATCCAAATCAAGAACACAATCCCATTCACAGTAGCCACTAAAAGAATAAAATACCTGGGAATATAGCCAACCATGGAGGTGAAAGATCTCTACAATGAGAATTACAAAGCACTGCTCAAAGAAATCAGAGATGACACAAACAAATGGGAGAATATTCCATGCTCATGGATAAGAAGAATAAATATTGTCAAAATGGCCATACGGCCCAAAGCAATCTGCAGGTTCAATGCTATTTCTATCAAACTACCAATGACATTTTTCACAGAGTTAGAAAATACTATTTTAATATTCACATGGAACAAAAAATGAGCCCGAATAGCCAAAGTAATCCTAAGCAAAAAGAACAAAGCCAGAGACATCAATCATACTATGCAGCTTCAAACTATACTACAGGGCTACAGTAACCAAAACAGCATGGTACTGGTACAAGAACAGACACATAGACCAGTGGAACACAATAGAGAGCCCGGAAACAATGCCATATACCTATAACCATCTAACCTTTGACAAAGTGGACAAAAGCACACGATGGGGAAAGGAATTCCCGTTCAATAAATGGTGCTGGGATAACTGGCTAGCCATATGCATAAGATTAAAACTGGGCTATTTCCTTTATCAAGATGGATTAAAGACTTCAATGTAAAACCTAAAACTATTATAATTCTAGAAAAAATAACTAGGAAATACCATTCTGTATATAGTCCCTGGCAAAGGTTTCATGACAAAGATGGCAAAAGCAATGGCAACAAAAACAAAACTTGACAAGTGGGACCTAGTTAAACTAAAGAGCTTCTGCACAGCAAAAGAAACTATTAACAGAATAAACAAACAACCTACAGAATGGAAGAAAATATTTGCGTACTATGCTTTTGACAAAGGTCTAATGTCCAAAATTTATAAGGAACTTAAATCAACAAGCAGAAAAAGAACCTCATTTAAAAATGGGCAAAGGGCGTGAACAGACATTTCTCAAAAGAAGATATGCATGTGGCCAATAAGCATATGAAAAAAATGCTCTGTATCATCAATCGTTAGAGAAATGCAAATGGAAAACCACAATGAGATAGCATCTCACATCAGTCAGAATGGCTGTTACTAAAAAGTCAAAAAAAAAAAAAAAAAACACAAAAAAAGCAAAAAACCAGGTGCTGGTGGGGTTGCAGAAAAAAGGGAACACTTACACAATGCTATTGGGAACGTAAATTAGCTCATCTACTGTGGAAAGCAATTTGGAGATTTCTCTAAAACTTACAACAGTACTACCATTCAACCCTGCAATCCCATTACTGGGTATATACCCAAAGGAATATAAATCATTTTACTATAAAGACATGCACACAAATATTCATTGCAGCAGTATTCACAATAGCGAAAACATGGAATCAGCCTAGATGTCCATCAGTGGTGGACTGGAGAAAGAAAATGTGGCAGATATACACCATAATATGCTACACAGGCATAAAAAGGAACAAAATCATGTCCTTTGCAGCAACATGGATGGAGCAAGAGGGCATTATCCTAAGCAAATTAACACAGCAACAGAAAACCAAATACTGCAAGTTCTCACTTATAAGTGGGAGCTAAGTATTGAGTATACATGAACACAAAGAAGTGAACAACAGGCCGGGCGCGGTGGCTCACGCCTGTAGTCCCAGCACTTTGGGAGGCCGAGGCGGGCGGATCACGAGGTCAGGAGATCGAGACCATCCCGGCTAAAACGGTGAAACCCCGTCTCTACTAAAAATACAAAAAATTAGCCAGGCGTGGTGGCGGGCGCCTGTAGTCCCAGCTACTCGGGAGGCTGAGGCAGGAGAATGGCGGGAACCCGGGAGGCAGAGCTTGCAGTGAGCCGAGATCCCGCCACTGCACTCCAGCCTGGGCGACAGCGAGACTCCGAATCAAAAAAAAAAAAAAAGAAGTGAACAACAGACACTAGGGCCCTGCCTACTTGCGAGTGGAGGGTGCGAGGAGGATGAGGATTGAAAAACTGCCTATCAGGTATTATGCTGACTATTTGGGTGACAAAATAATCTGTACAGCAAACCTTGGCAATGCACAATTTACTCATGTAATAAACATGCACATGTGCCCCCTTAACCTAAAGTAAAATTCGGAAAGAAAAAGCATTTCAGTAAAGGATTTCAGTCCAGGATGGTGGTCTGCATATATGACTGTGGTGTCATAAGAGTATAATACTGTATTTTTCTTGTACCTTTTATATGTTTAGATATGTTCAGATATACAAATACTTACCGTTGTGTTAGAATTGCTGACAGTGTTCAATACAGTCAAATGCTATACAAGTTTGTAGCCTAGCAGCAACAGTCTCTACACCACATAGCCTAGGTGTGCAGTAAACTGTACCATCGAGGTTTGTGTATATACACTCAATGATGTCCACACAACAACAAAATCACCTAATTAAGCATTTATCAGAATGTGTCCCATACTTAAGTAATGCATGACTGTATTTGGTTAAATATTATCCTGGTGTTTCTGTAAGGATGTTTCTGGAGGAGGTTAACATTTGAATCTGTAGACTGAGTAAATTAGATTTCCTTTCCTCTGTGAGTGGGATTCATCCAATTTATTAGAGGCCTGAATAGAACAAAGAAGCAGAGGAAGGAAGAATTCGTTCTCTGCCTATCTTTGAACTGGGACATTGGTCTTCTCCCAGGTTTTGACTCAAACTGGGGCTGAAACTTACACCATTGGCTCTCCTGATTCTCAGGCCTTCAGACTCACACTGCAAGTGTACCACTGGCTTTCTTGGGTCTTTAGCTTGCTAACTGGAGATCATAGTTCTTCTCAGCTTCCATAATTACCACACAAGCCAATTCCTTATGATTTATACATATATACTTATATGTATATACATTCTATTTCTCTAGATAACCCAGGCTAATAACACATAGAAACTATTTTTTTCCTTTTGCCTTTCTGTCCAAATCACATTTAAACATTGCATGTCTCTAAACATAGATTCCACAACGCAGAAAAAAAAATCACAAAAGATATCTCAAGAAAAAGAGATGTCATACATTTTCTTTGCTATTATTTTTAATCCTTATGTTAAAGCATACATGCAAAGAAATAACCTATTTCTACAATAATGGAATAATAACTTCTAGGGGATACCAGGAAATCGCTGAATGTTAGAAAAGAAAGGAAAATCAGAGAATTTTCATTCATCATTTTACATGATAAAATTTCCCCCGGGGAGGAAACTTAATTTGCCTAAGGCCGTGGAGAGGCCAAAGTTGAGATAATAATACTAGTAAGGCACTATTTTTTATCCTGTACTCGTTACATGCCTCTCATTCTATATTTTACATTATTGTTACATTTCACAATCATTGAACAAGTATGCAAGGTAAACATTTGATTATTCTAATTTCTCGAATGAGGAAATAAAATGTCAAACAACATGGCTTGGAACCCACCGACATGTGGTTATATCAGGCTTAAAATTCCAACCGTTTTACTGTAGAGCAGCGCTTTTCAAACTTTAATGTGCTTACAAATCACTTGGAGATGTTGTTAGAATACTTGGACCCTACCTCAGTGTCTGATATAATTGATACGGAGTAGCCCTCCAGCAAAAGCATTTAAACAAATCTCTCGTGGGTGATTCTTATATGATTCTAATGTGGAGCCCTGGTTGCAATCCCTATTTAGAGCCTGTATGGCTGTGTCCCCTATATACCTCGCTTGCCCTTTGGAAAAAGCATTGAAAATTAGGTCATGCTTCAAACTACAAAGTATAAAATTTCCTTTTCCTTAATATTCAACTTGATTTTTAGCAAGCAAGAGAGACTGGAAAACAGGAGTTGTATTAGGTGGAGGGAGGTTGTCATGAAAAATATTTTAAATACAATTAGGACAGAAAGGGAAGATCACTTGGGACAGTGAATGTTAGTACATCAATGTTATAAACCAAAATGATTTCAGTAATATTGACAATATCAACAGCAGCGTTCCAATTGTTCTAGACAAAATTAGAACACTTCCGTTACTACAGTAGTAGACAGGCTTGTTATTCCCAATTTATTTCCTTCCTGTGATAGAATTAAACATCCAAGACATTTGCCATGTGAATTTGCAGCACCTCCCACCAGAGTAGGTGAATAATATGTCCTGCCTGCAGATGTTGGGCTTGGTATGTGATTTGCTTTAGCCAATGAACTTTACTGACTATGTTCATGCAGTCAGAGGCTTTAGCACATCTAGGGTTCTGACTGGCCTTTTTACTTCTGCTATCAGTTTTGAGAAGATTTTGCCCTAGGTAATCACTGATGCCAGAATGAGAGACACGTGGAACAGATCTGAACCCAAACCCCCAGGCAACTCCCTGTGAGTCACAGCTGATTCACAGAACCAGGAGTGAGCCTTAAATTGCTATTGTTGGGAGCCACTATATTCTGGAGGATTTTTATTTTTCTGCATTATTGGAGATGGAGGACTAATGCAAGGGTGTTTAAAGATTAAAAAAAACCTGCATTACACGTTATTGTTTTCATTGACCAGCATCTGAAACACTCCATATCTTTCTGATATTTTGGAAATGTCTGAATGGGTTCTAGCAGAAGGCAGCCCTCTGTTTACTATGGAAATTAAAAAGCCAGCTAGGGTATGGGCATGCGACCAGGCTCACCCATCAACCTTACCCATATGGTAATTTAAATCTAGATATAATAAAACACAAGAGCAGGGATTGTGAAAAATCCCACTTCTGGGGGACATCAGAAGGGAGATATGAATGGCCACATTTCATTCTGGTGATGAAAGTGGTATAAGCTGTGGAGTGCCATATTGAGTGGTTGTAGCACTGGTAGCCCCACCACACTGTTTCTGGGGCACGATTCTGGCTGGTCTCTGGCTGATTATCCTTCATTTTCTCCTGCTTATTTTACCTGCCCCATTTTGAGCCTTCCTAGCTCTCCTCTGAGCTGACAATTGCCTTTTTGTAAACCTGATTCTTGCTTAAATCAATAAAGGCAAGTTTCTTCTTTGCAACTAAAATGTCTTCATGTCTCATTTTCCTTTGTTTATTTTGTTTTCAAAGATATATCGAATATCTGCTACATGTCAGGCACCCTGCTGGACTCTAGAAATAAAGAGAAGAGTGAGGACCAGTTGCTTGCAAAGGATATACAGGCAGCTTTCCATATCCATGGGTTCCACATTCACAGATTCAATCAACTTCAGACCAAAACTATTCAGGCAAAAAAAAAAACAAACAAACAAACAAAAAAAAAACAAAACTAAAACAACACCAATAATAAAAAAGTAACAATACAACAACAAAAAATGATAAAAATACAATATAGCAACTATTTTCACAACAGCTACATTGTGTTAGGTACTATAAGTAATCTAGAGATTGTATAAAGTGTTCGGGAGGATGTGCATAGGTTATATACAAATACTATGCCAGTTTGTATAAGGGACTTGAGCATCTGCAGATTTTAGTATTTGCAGGGATCCTGGAACCAATCCCCGACCAATGCTAAGGGACGATCATATACATATATATACAGTTGATTCTTGTAATTCACATTAGTTATAATTTATAAAGTCTCTGCAAACAGTAAATACTGATCCTTGCCTCTAGGGAAAATATGAGATTAAGTTCTTATGAGCCTCCAGTTATAACATTTTTATCAGTTGATCAATATATAACCTTATTTGTGTTTCTGCTTAAAGATAGATTATATAATACATATTTTTGTATGAATTTAAACGTTTATATATGTTAACATTTAACGTATTGCCATCGGTGCTGTAATTCATGCTTGAATGAAGCTTACCTAACACATATGTTTTCTCTGTACGATATATTATAGCCTTCTTAAGGTTAGGAACATTAGACAACACTTCGGCACTATGCTTGGGAGCCATTTTAAACACTTAAATCACCAAGAAAAATCACAAAAATGTAAAAAAAAAAAAAAAAAATGGAGCACTAGATGTACCAGGAAAGAAACACTTGTTCGCAGTATGAGACCCAAAACAGGAAAGTGGAGTGTTACCTTATTCCACCTCAGCTGGGAATGTGCAGTATGAGTGACTCAAATGTTTCTCCTCTTTGCTCATTTTGGGAATGGCCTGGAAAGAGTGCAGCGAGCATTGATTTTGGGTTTACAAATGAATTTCAATACAGGTGAATTTGCAAATACGACATCTGTGAATAACGATCTATTACATACTGATAGATTGGATACAGATCTAGAGCTCTAGAGATCTATGTGTGTGTATAAATAAGCAGTTTCAAGGTTTGGTATATATATTCTTATACACACATGGAGAGAAACGTGAAACCTAAGGTGAGAAGCGCACACTGAATGGGAATACAGTGGAGGAAGGCAAACCCTGTCAGTGGCAGTTGGAATAAAGCTGGCTTAAGATAAGAAGTGATATTTGAGGCATGCTTGGGAGATGAATGAGAGATAGGCTTTCTGGGACAGAGGAAAAGCCCACACAAACACCCAGACAGGAGACATCACAAACCATTCTGGGAATAGCATACTGTGACAAGGGAAAACAGGAAGATGGAGGGAGCAAGAGAGAAAAGATAAGTTGGGTTCCGAGAATAAATAAGTGTATGTTGCACCAGTGAGTATAGAGTATGGAGTAGGACATGCTCAGATTTTAGCTTTGGAAAGATAACTTCCATGATAATGGGATGGTTGGATTGATGGGGGAGAGGCTGGAGATAGGAATTCTATATGGGAGAAAGTCTTACAAACCAAGTGCTATGAAGCAGAACCAAGACAGAGAGAAGGGAAAGCTGCAAAAGATTTGAGGGGAAATTAACTGTTACAAAATGAGAAGAGGAAAAAATTAAGGAATAATCAGGTTTAGTTTTTCTGTTGAAAACTCTTAACAGCCTGAGAAAGCAGCGGACAGTTTTGATAGTAAAGAGTGCGAGTTTGGATTTGTCCATGCTGAGAGGGAGGCACTCCTTAGTGCGAGCTACAAGTTATAAGGTTAGGTTTTGAATGTCAAAAAAATTTTGTCTTATTACACACAATAGCATACATCTGTGTATGTGTATTAGAAAACAATAATTTATGTACTTCTATAAGATTTATTATTTATCTGATTTATAATAAACATCAGCACCTTTATGTATTTTTATGCTCATAGCTTCCCAGATACCTAAAGCATGTGTGTGGGTGACCTACCTATTATCTCAAGCCATTAAACCCATGCCTGATCACATAATATCAGTAGTTTCAAATAAAGAATCCAATAGTGATCCCCAGTAGGAAGTCTTGTCCTCATGTTTCTTTTTATTTTCAGATTTACAGAAAAATTAGGAATAATTATAGCCTAATTAAAATTACATAACCAGCACATGGACCATTTCCCTGTTAAAAGAAAATCTCCCCCCACTGAAAATAAACCTTTAAGTAGATCACCATCAGAACTATGATTTATGGGCATACCAAATTAAGTCAATATGCCTTTGCTTTTTGATGGCTTGTTTTAGCCTATTATTTTTGGTTTTAAATAACAGCTTAAGCACAAGAAAGTACAAATAAAAGAAATATAAATGTCAACCCCAACAAATAGACAAATAGGCAGGGATCATCATGTAATTCAATGGCTTTTTTTTCCCTAGAGACAATGAATCCTACAACGTGATTATCTCTCACAAATCCAAGCTGAAAGAGCCATTTACAATGAATATGTCCTGTGAGTGCTTATTGTTATGTAGACCTGGAAACCTAGAAAGTTCAAATCATCAGGTGACCAATCCCAATGATACTTAATAGACAGGATGTGGCTGGTGCTCCTTTGATTAAAGGGTGAAGTAAGATTTAAATGCTGATATATTCATTTCAGGTTATTTTCATTCACTTATTCATTCAGCAAATATTTACCAGGCATTCCTATGTCCCCGGCACTGTTCTAGGAGCTGTGAACAAAAGAGACAAGTTTCTGCCTTTGAGGATCTTACATTATACTGGGCAGGCAGATAATAAATAGTCAACTTAAGGACTAAATAAATGATCTAATGAGTTAGAGGTGGTGAGTACCATGGGAAAAAAAAGAAGTCGTGCAGAGTAAGGGGATTAGGAATGCTGGAATCCAGGTTGGAACTATGAAATAGGGTGGTCAGGGTAAGTCTCATTGAGATTAAACTGTTGAGCCAAGTCAGACATAAAAGAAGGAGTTAGTCAAGCTATTATCTGGGTAAAGAACATTCCCAAAATGAGAAGAATTGGAGCAATGGTCTGAAGGTGGGATATTCCCATGCACTGAAGGAATGGCGGGGAGGTCAGTGTGACTGGAGCCAAGTGAGAGAGAATAGAACTAGAAGAAACTAGCAAGGTATTTGGTGGCCTGGCCAAACAGTGTTTTGTAGACCATTGAAAGGACTTTGGCTTTGACACCAATAAAATGGAGTGCCACTGAAGGGTTTTGAGCTGAGGAGAAATAGGACATGATATTATAAATATATATTTTTAATGGTGAAAAGATATATATTTAGAATTAGCCAGCTGGGTGTATGAGATGATTCCAATTTTGTTGGCAACATCCAAAGCCTCATAGCAGGAGTCAATGGAACATATGTCTTCTCTCCATGACATATCATGGTGTTGACCTTGGCCACATCAACGTCAGAGAACTTCACAGCCAGTTTGATCCTGTGTTTGTTGGTTTTGACATCCACAATGAACACAAGTGTGCTGTTGTCTTCTCTCTTCTTCACCATGAACTCAGTGGTCAGGGGAATGTTTCTCCAGGGCTGGTGTTTCTTCCGGGGGTGCTCTTCCGAGGATATTTGGGCTGTCTCCAGAGCCTCAGTGTCTTGGACCCCAGAAGGTGAGTGGTGTGTGAATCTTCTTGAATTTGTGGCTGTGGACGCCTTTCAGTACTGCCTTCTTGGCTTTCAAAGCCTTTGGCTTTGGCCTTGGGAGGTTTAGGAGCTGGGAGAGAAGGAAAAAAACCGAGGTCGTGGGATTCAGAAATTGGACACTTTCATCCTCAAGACCTGTAGTGGGGGACTCTGGCTGTATGTGATAGGACATTAGAAAGGACACCCTGGGGGCTGGGCTAAGAATAGACTATTGAGGAAATAAGGGTAGCAGCTGGGAAACTTGAGGCTATGGCAACCAACTTTAACCACTGTCTTTACAATGAGGTTACCACTTATTGTTGTGGCATAAAGTAATTACATCCTTCCAACAGACTAAAAAACATTTTTTAAAAATAACTATCATTGATGAAAAAAAGGCCAGGATTGGTGACTCACACCTGTAATCACAGTGCTTTGAGAGGCTGAAGTGGGAAGGATCGCTTGAGCTCAGGAGTTTGAGGTTACAGTGAGCTGTGATCACACCACTACACACCAGCCTGGGTAACAGAGCAAGACCTTGTTTATTAACAGAAAAAGTAATAAATGAATAAATAAAGTCTGGGATGATTCCATGTATATACATGAATAAAGGGCATAGAAGGTGGTGTAGCTTCAGGGAGGAGTTAAATGGGACCTGATTATAGAAATATCCAATTTCAAGGTTCCAAGATGTTTTTGACAAGAATTAATTGTTGAAGCTTTTAGGTGTAAATTCCATCTAAGAACTGTCCCAGAGATGTTACTGCCAATAGAATATCTTATACCTTTTCCCAAATTATATTCATTAGCACATGATATGTGTTTGTTAGCTTTGTGTTTTCCTTACCAGACAGTAAACTTTCAAAGTGATTTGAGCATATGCTTCAAGTGCACTGTCCAAGCCCTACTCTGTAGAGCCCTAATATTTCACTTTTTTTAGTTCAGTGAACATTTAAGCTTATTAATACTTACTGACATTATAAAACTCCACAGTTTTTCGTTGCTGAAAACCACCTAGGGGGAGTTGGAAATTGGATGTACTTTTAAATTCTCTTTGGAGTCCAAATCTAAATCCTCTTTTCTCCTAGCCTCTGCGCTGGGAGTTAATGATCTCAGTCAAAGAGAAGTACTCTTCCTCAGAGGTCCTCTTTTGTAACTGTATTCACAAAGAGTAAGAATTCAAAAGGGGCCATTCCAAACCACGTTGGTCTACTGCTTTCATATTTAATTGATGTACAAGAGGAAGTAATGCCCCCAACAGACCCGTTCATTTATTATCCTTAATACTTGCCTGTGACTTCTTTTTTTTTTTCTTCATCGAGTTTCTTCCCGTCGTCAGCCCCAGATTTACTAGAGTGATCATCACTGCCCAGGTGATGCCTGTGGAGAGCCAACCTGGCGTATATATTCCACAATTTAATCCTGCTTATTGGGAATATGGTCTGGCACAGAATATACCCATTGTGTTTTTGCCCCCTGAAGTGGTGACTTTTATTGCATTTTATGCCTTTATGGTCTTTAATTGTCCCAGCAGAAAAGGACTAAGTGAAACAACATGTGTGAAGTCCTTTGAGCTAACATTTAATGAAGAGCTTTGAAATTCACAGGCATAAAGCACCATAAAAGTGGTAACCATTATTATCTTCCTAATAAATAACTTTTCCATTTTCTTTCCCTTGTGTCATTTTTATTCTTCAGGTTTTTTCTGCTTCTTTTGAATTTAATTTTTAAATGAACAAGAATGGTTGTTGTAAACTTCTTTGTTACAAGTTAGAGAAATATTTGAGTATGTTGCTTCTATTAATCAAGTGCGTTTTAGAAGAGATATATAATGCTGTACAAATTTTTCTTTTTCTTTGCTTTTTTTTGCACTGATCACATAATTGTACTTTCTATTCAACTTTATTGTAGGTTGTTGACAGCTACACTAATAGGAATCTTCTCTCAAAGAGTTTGAAGATATGTTTGTACTGAGTATAAGATCATCAACTTTAGTCAAAGACTAGTTTTTATGTAATACTCAGGACTTTATAAATCCACATTAAAACCAGAAATTTTAAAAGATTACATAGATAAATGTGTTGGAGAGTGAGGAGATTAGGTTTCAAAATGATTTCAGTTCACTTAAAAATAGTTAAAACTATGCCAAGAAATGTATTGGAAATTAGCTCCTCAATTCTCATTTCTAACACAGGGGCTCAGATGTATTTGGTATAATGCTAAAATCTTTGATGGCATATGTAAAATATGTATTATATGTAAAATATTGTCATTTGTAAAGAAAGCTATTATATATCAAGCATATTTTTCTAATATCACCAAGTATGATATGGGATAAAATATTTTGGCAAACTTTTAAAGGTGTTTTTATATAACTGCTGTAGAGGGGAAAATGCTGCAGGTGAATCTAGCTCAGTGATAGAGCATAAGACTCCATCTCTGGGTGGTGGGTTTGGGCCTCGTGTTGGGTGCCAGAAATTATAGGGGAGAAAAAGTACTGTCTTTTCATTACCCCATGCAAGACTCATGGCGGACACACCTATAACGAAACAGAATAAATGAAAAGCATATAAATGAACTTAAAATTTATATGACATGACAGCCTTCAGAAACGAAGACCAAAAGACTCAGGGAAAAGTATATTTTTTATGGCCAGTCATACAAAAATGTAATTGGAGAACACCAGGGTATAATCTGATGGTAATAAACTGACGGGAATTCAGCATGGTCTATTTGTTCAGATTGTTCTTGGCCTCCTGTGTGACACTTTATCCTCTTGGTATAGAGTAGGACACCTGTCACATGAGGGTCTTTAGGAAAGAAGTGAAGGAGAAGATCTTACAGTTTTGCTTCAGGGAAGAAGGGTGAGGGGAAAGTCAGAAAGACCTTCCTGCTTTTGCTTTTTTCTCAAATGCCAAGACGCCATATTTTGGGATATCATTTCTGAGCCCTGACATAGCATATTTTTCCTAACTTTGTCTCTATAAGACACTACAAAAATGGAAAGCCGACTAAGAATCTAGTAGAAAAAAATGAATGCAAACCAATAATCCAGCTTTAGAAAAAAAGATAATTAAGAAACTTGATTCTTAATCAAGATAGTAACAAACCTCTCCTTGATCAAACATTGGTGAGGCTCCTCTGAACCCTCTTCCAACTAGACTTCAACCTTTGGGCTTCTGTGTTTGTCTTTGCATCATTCAGCTTTGGCAATAATCCTGCTAAGCCAATTTAGAGAGAATACCCCCACCACCCGCCAGGTGATATCTGATCAATGGGGCTTGCCTTCAGCAAGAATCAGGTTAGGTCTGTTTAACTATTATCTTCCCCTATCCCTAATGTTTTTTCTTAGTAGTGTTTCATCCGCTGACCCCCAACTTGTTCCTTGGCTGTAGATTCCCACTTATCCATGCTGTATTTGGAATTGAGCCCAACTCTATACTGAGATATCTTTCCCCCATTGGAACTAAAGCCTGTTTTTACTACTTTAATTAACATCCAACTCTGGTTTTCTTTAACAGTTGCTTGGAAAGAAAGTTTGGATGAAAAACTTCAATACCACCACTCATCTGGAGACATAATTATATTTTAGTGACACCACAATTTCTTGTACTTTAGACCATGTGCTCTTGCTCATACTATCTTGTACTTAAAGTCTCTCTTGCACGTGACCCCTCATCAAAAACTTGCAATCACTTCCTGTTTCACCCTGATCAGCAGTCGACATTTCCCAGACATCCAATATTTTTCCCCATGTGTACCTCGATTGCTATCCAATTTTCTTACTACTGTTTTTGATATATTCTCTGATTCTGCAATCTTTAAGTATTTCTGCCTGATTATTCTTTTGAAGACAGAGAAGTAAAGTGTGGTGATATGGTTTGGTTGTTTGTCCCCACCCAAATCTCATCTCACATTGTAATTCCTATGTTTTGAGGGAGGTACCTGGTGGGAGTTGATTGGATCATATGGGTGGTTTCCCTCCTGCTGTTCTTGTGATAGCGAGTGAGTTCTCACGAGAGCTGATGGTTTTAAAGTGTGGCACTTCGTTGCTCTCTCTCTCCTCCTGCCTCCTCGTGAAGAAGGTGCTTGCTTCTCTTTGACCTTCCACCATGATGGTAAGTTTCCTGAGGCTTCCCTCACCATGCAGAACTGTGAGTCAATGAAACCTCTTTTATTTATAAATTACCAAGTCTCAGGTAGTATCCTTATAGCAGTGTGAAAATGGACTAATACATACAGAGTTAAGAGAGAATGTAGAAAAATTGCTTAGAATTTGGACTTTTGAGTCACACTGTCTGTGTCTGAAGCTTGGCTCTAAATTCTCTAGTTATTTGATTCTGGACAGGTTATCTGATCCCTCTATTACTGAGTTTCTTTACCTGAGAGTAAACAGAGAAAATACAGTTGGCCTTTCGTATACATGGGTTCCACATCCAAACACATAGTCCAATAGAATGCATATCTCCCCCTATCTTTGCAAAGAGTTCTCAAATTAAGGGAAAAAATCATTATGCTTTAATACATGTTGAATGGTCCTTTATAAAATTAAAATGAAAATTAAGTAAACCAAAGCATCCATGGTTCAAAAAGACAAGAACTGTGCCTGTTTCCCCTATTTATTTTAGGATATCAAAAATGAGAGGCCCTTAATAAACAGGATTTGATGATCATCATAAAATCATACACTATAAGGCAAGGCAAGGTGATATAACTATAGTCATGAGAAGGATATTTAATTGGGGGTGGAGGATTAACAATATAGTGGCAGAGTTTGAAGTTAGTTCTTCAAGTTCAACAAAAGAGTAATGCTGACATTAACTGACAAAGGAAAGCTATGAAATTGACCCCTGTGGCTATACTGGGATAAAAAGTTCTATGAAATGTTTACTATTGTTTTGAAATGATATAATAGCATTCATTTAAATGAGGCTCTTACCAAAATTGCATTTAAAACCAATTTGATCTTTTTTAATATCTTCTAATGATAACAATCTGAATAATGATTGAAAAACTGAATGTGTTCAGTTTAGTGGGGTGTTTGAGGATGCAAGTCTCAAACTATGTGGGTTCAAATATCAACTCTGTTTCTTCCTAGCAGTGTTAAGTTGAACAAGTTACCTAACTTCTGTGCTTTGTTTCCGTATTGATAAAATAAAGTAAAAATGGTACCTGTCTTATGGGGTGTAGGAAGGATTAATTGGATTTGTTTATGCAAAGCACTCAGTACATTGGCTGGAAACTTGAAGATTTTTAATGTGGTAAGGATCTTCCCATCTCAGACTAGGACACTTAGAAATTGTGAAAATAAATAGAATTTAAAAGATGTTGGAACCCCTCAAAACCTTAAGCCTTGAGAGAGATTTGACTGTGATCTGAGAAATTATAACTTATGGTTATAATTTCTGTTTCTCAGATTACATATTAAGTCACTTTGTCATTTTTGTTGTCCTATAGAATGACTAGAGAGAATTAAACGAAGTCAGGGACAAAAACCTCCTGCCTTCTTAATTAATGATCCTTCATATAGATTAATTTCCCCTTTGTTGTTCTTCCTTGCTTAGACTAGATGACAGAAAGCCCATGACTATTACAGCTTCTATTAAAATTTGTTAAAATTACCCTTCCTCAAAAGAAACAGTGCCAATCACCAATTAAATTGCTACAACTATGTGCCAACCTCGTATAAAAAATGTTGTAATCCTGCTAAAAACTCCCCTGTCTTTGCCTATATAAAGGAAGCCTTAACTTCCCTACTTTGGGATGCTGATTCCATTCTTTAAGAGTTGGTGTTTCTGGGTGGGCTGTCCTCAAACTTTGTGCTCAAATAATCTCTCTTTAAATTTGATTTTTTTTTTTGATTTTAGGTTGGCAAAATCATCAGATGAGCCAGGGCTTTTCACAACACCCACATCCAGTTTCCTCCTTCCAAACAGTGAGATGAAAAGTTGAGATTGTGGGTACACGGTGTGCATGCCAACACTTTCCTCTGTGTCTCTGGTGCTCTTGATAGTCAATCATGAATGACATTCTTCACTCCTGAACAAGGCCCTGAACTCAGAATGATTCTCAGATTTTCATTTGAAAGCCATTCCTAATCAATGGATTAGAAGTGGCATGCAGAGTACAATCTATTTTTCATCTCTTGTCTAGAGAGAGGAATAGAGAAGAGAAACAGCTACAAAGGAATATATGTTTAAACATGTACTATGTTTCATTCCAAAGGTATGCCAATATCAGATGCATGGTTCTCCTCTTTACCAAGACTTAACTAGCATTGCCTACTGTAAATAAACACGAGCTTTATTTTTAAAGGGGAAGAGCATCCTGTAAGTTCAACAAAGGTGATGTTTCTTTTTGCTTTTACTCCACTGTAATGAAATAAATTAACACATCACATGCATACATGTTATGGACAAATTTCAAAGCAAATGATTGGGCCTTTTATCTATTTAAATAGAAGCTGACTAAAATTACTCCACAGGAGAAGATAATTTCAGTTTTTCAAAGTATCAATCTCCAGGTAAATAATTCTTGAAAATTGTTAAAAAATGACAAAGCCATTATACTGAGGGAATTAAAAGAAAGAAAACTGGATAAATGTCAATAGTGCCTGACCCAATGGAACTGACCAAACAATAAGGTGAAAGCTAACTGGTAATAGTAGAACACAATTTACAAAATGTAAAATGGGAAGTGATAATAGTTATGAAGAAGAATAATGAACCTTCCAAAAATATGGCCCCCAAATATCAAAAGACTCAGGCTTGCACTCCTGTTACCAGAGCAATCTAGGGAGTAATTAGGGGATTGGCACTATGTATAAAATTGAATGCATTACTTATCTTCTTCATTTGAAAAAATCAGTTTATTAAATGGTTCCCAGATGTCTTTCTATTTTGGAGTTGCTGACCTTCTATGACTGAGAAACGTTCTTCTCTTCAGTGGGCCTCAATAGCATAACTTAACCTTTGCTGCAATATACATATCCTCTTAAGATAACAGTAACGTTTTTAACTGGATGAAAATACGAATACGAAAATAACAAAACCCTTTTAAACATTGATCCCTCTATATAGGAGTTCCGATCAATGATTAAATGGACCACTTTATCTAATGCCCCCCAAACTACTCAACCAGGAAACTATAACCTTTTCTAGAAGGACAAGTATAGTAACAGGCAACTCAAAGGAGCATTGCATTCTCCTTCCACCACTTAATAGCTCATTGATTTGGGGCAGCTTACTTAACCCTTCCCAGCTGATTTCCTCAAATGTAAAACGGACACTGTTACCTTGTAAAGACCAAATGGTTTATTTTATAAGAAGTGACTTGCGCAAAGTAGTGTAGCCCGTGCAGTTCCCTTCATCGCCTCTCTCGTTGTTTACAGATAATACTAAAGTGATTTTTGCTATAAGTAGGTCACATCGGCCCACAGCTTTTATGAGTGTTTTCTTTCCACAGCTTTTATGAGTGTTATCTTTCAGCAATCCTCAAGCCTAGAACAAGGATCCAGAGCTGGAAACCAAAGATAGATGTCAACTCATTATAAGAAAGAAATTTGTAGTTGTGTCATCTTAAAATGGATATGCTTTGGTTTGTAGTGAGTTCCCAAAAATGAAGCAGAAACTTCAAATCCTTTAAAGGGATGCTACTCGAAATCAATTTCTAAGACCTCTCAGCACATTAATTCTTTAGATTAGTTACCTATGATTCACTTCCATCCCCAATTACCTGCTGAATTACTTTTCTAGTGTTGTACATCAAATGACCACAAAGTGGCTTAACACAAAACACACTTATTATCTATAGTTTTCATAAGTCAGAAGTACAGCATGGTTCAACACTCTGCTGAGGGTCTAAAAAGTCCAAAATCAAGTTGTTGTCTGGCTGGACTCTTCTCTGGAGGCTATGAGGAAGGATCTACTCTAAGCTCATTTAGATTGTCAACAGAATTCATGTCTAGTGGCTGTAGGACTAAGGTCCTTGTTTGCTGGATCTTTGCCTGGGGGCAGTTTTGTCTTCTAGAGATGACCTGTATTTCTCATCACATGGTCTTCTGCGTCTTTGTAGTCAGCAACGCTGTGTGAAATCCTTCTGGTGCTTCTGATCTCCCTGACTTCCTCCTCTGGTGCTAGCCAGAGAAAATTCTCTGATTCTAAAGAACTTACCTGCCTGGGTTAGCACCATCTACATAATTTCTGATTTTAGGCTCACTGACTTGGGATCTTAATTACATCTTTGAAATCCATTCATAGCAATGCTAGATTTGTGTTTGTCTGAATGACTCGGAAGCCATCCTTACTATCTGGGAAAGCCATCCTTAAAATTCTGCCTACCATACCTGATCAAACTTTCTTGTCCAATTCCTATTATAACACAATGTCACAAACCAAACGAAGTAACCTATTTGCATTTCATAAGTGCTTGAAATGCTCTTATGAAAATGTTTGTACCTTTTCTTCATAGATCTTGTCCCTGCTCTTAATTAAGCATTTAGGTTTTGTGGTTATTTGATTATAATTACTGTATACCCATTTGACTATAAGAACATATCTATTATTTTCCTCACCTTTGCACCCTCAATGCCTAACATTATTGATTAACATGTGATAGGTGCTTAGCACATATCTATTAAATGAGAAGCAAAATAAGTACACAAATAAGTGAACATGGGATGCTTCTGTTACTATACCTGAATATAGAAAATTCATAAATTTTTCAGTGAACTACAAAATTACTAGGTATGGGTTCTATTTGCATTTAAAAAAAATGCCTAGAATGAAAAGGGCATAAATAAGAAAGACTTTTCATTAACTTTTCACATAGCATCTGACCCACGGCTTATCGTGACAGATTTCCCCAATTTAAGTCTCTTATTAATATACAGCTAGAATAATCTTCGGATATTGCACATCAGATCATATCATTTGATATCACACTACAACCAAATAGCTCCCTCAGTGTTTCCTTAGTTTCCTTTTGATGAATGAAGAAGTTAAAAGTCATAGTCCAGCCTGAAGTTCCATGGTTCTATTTGTACCAGTTGAATAACATCAGTCCCAAATTCATGGCTACTTGGAACATCAGAATATGACTTTATTTAAAAATGTGGTTGTTGCTGATGAAATGAGATAAGTCGATGCAATGCTGTATTAGACTGGGTCCTAAATCCAGTAGGACTGGTGTCCCTATAAGAAGGTCATTTGGAGACACACAGACACAAGGAAGAACACAGTGGTAGTGAAGGTAGAGATTGGAGTCATGCTGCCACAAGACAAGGAAGGCCAGGGATTGCTGGAAACCACCAGAAGCTGAAAAGAGGCAAACGACTCTTCCCTAGTTCCTTCAGAGGGAATGTGATCCTAACACCTTGATTTTGGACTTCCAGCCTCCAGAAGAGTAAGAAAATAAATGTAGGTTATATTAAGCCAACACATTGTGGTACTTTGTTATTTTGTGTTCCTTAGTGAGTTGAGCTATCTTTTATTTTGAGGGTTTTGCCCAGGCTGTTTCCTCCACACCCAGTACTTGTATGAAAACCCTTTGTGATACATTGTGTGTATTGTGTGTTCTGTTTGATCTCCAGCACTCATTTTTCAGGGGCACCTAGGAAAAACACCATCCCCACCTTGGAGACATACTTGGTTGCACCTATGTGATGCCTGCATGTCTGTGCCCCAGAAGCTTCAGGATCCTTGTGTTTCTAAGCTGCAGGAAGGGGGAAAATACAGTTTCTTGTACCACATTAGCTGTGGGATCCTCCTTCATTGAAAACTCTAGCCAAGCATGTATTGGGAGAGAGAGCATGTAATTCTGTATGTGGGCATATGACACCTCTGCCAGAAAATTCCAGATTAACATGTGGATGCTTAAATCAATAGGATCAAGTACATTTCCACAAATTTCCTTTATGCATAAAAGTGAGTTTCTGAGGCAACCAGTAAGTCATTTTTCCAACTTACTAACTGGTTTATTGTGCTGGGCAGCAAATGAACTCTGAACTACTAGAATCTGTCAGGAAAGGCCAAATGAAATTTTGAAGTTGGTTCCTAATATCTGGAATATGTTCTAGTTTCTTCTCCCTTCTTGCTGCCTTCTATTCACCCAAGTGTGAACTTAGTTCTACCTCCTGGAGAAAGTTGTTCCTGATTTTTAGACTGGGCTACTTAATTTGCTCTCATGCTCTCCAACCATAAAGACTTTCCCTATAATGGCAACCTTGTTTGTTTAGTTGTTGATTTTTTATACCAGACTGTGAGCACCCTTACTATTGCCTGGCACAATGGTAGGAAAATAGTAAAAGCATTTAATATAACTCATTGAAAGAATGAATGAACCGGTCTGAGGTTCAGAATAACTTTGGCATTCCATAAGTAGGTCTATGTGCTATTTTCCATATATAATAAAAACCTGAGAAATCGTTTCTTATTTAAAGTTCTAAGGCTGACCAGGTGTATTTTTTAACAGAATCATCTCCATATGTTCCGCCTCAAAAGGACAGTAACACCACTTCATACTCATTAGAATAGCTATTATAAAAAAAAACAAAAAAGGAAATAACAAATGTTGTCAAGGATGTGGAGAAATTAGAACGCTTGTGCATTACTGCGGAAATGTAAAATGCTACAGCCACTGTCAAAAACAGTATGGCAAGTCCTTGAAAGATTAGAGAGAGAATTACCAGCAATTCCATTCTGGGTAAATACCCAAAAGAATTGAACCAAGAACACAAAGAGATATTTGTACACTATATTCATAGCAGCATTATTAATAATAAACAAAAGGCAGATGCCACCCAATTGCCCATCAATGAATAAACGGATGAGCAAAATATATATGAAAACAATGGAATATTATTCCCCCTTTAAAAAGGGCATTCTGACATGTGCTACTGAGAGGTGAAGCCAGCTGAACTTCCTGGGTCAAGTGGA
This sequence comes from Homo sapiens, assembly GCF_000001405.40. Classification (NCBI taxonomy): domain Eukaryota; kingdom Metazoa; phylum Chordata; class Mammalia; order Primates; family Hominidae; genus Homo; species Homo sapiens. The sequence continues at coordinate 1,719,214 of NC_000003.12, read as the reverse complement.
GACTTAGAGAACTTTTCTGTCTTACAAGAGGATTGTAAAATGCACCAATCAGTTAAGGGGATTGTAAAATGTACCAATCAGCGCTCTGTAAAATGCACCAATCAGCGCTTTGTAAAATGGATCAATCAGTGCTCTGTAAAATGGACCAACCAGCAAGATTGGAGGATTGAGAAAAGGGCATTCTGATAGACAGAAACACGACATGGGGAGGGGACAAATAAGGGAATAAAAGCTGGCCACCCCAGCCAGTAGCAGCAACCCACTCAGGTCCCTTTCCATGCTGCGGAAACTTTGTTCTTTCGCTCTTCACAATAAATCTTGCTGCTGCTCACTCTTTGGGTCTGTGCCATCTTTAGGAGCTGTAACACTCACTGCAAAGGTCCGCAGCTCCATTCTTGAAGTCAGTGAGACCATGAACCCACTGGAAGGAACCAACTCCAGACACACTACAACATGCATGAACCTTGGGGGCATTATGTAAATGGCAAATTTACCTTTTCACAAAAGGTAAATATTCTATGATTTTTCTTATATGAGGTACTTAGAGTGGTTAAATTCAGAGACAGAAAGTAGAATAGTGATTCTGTCCAAGAGCTGAGGGAGGGGGAAGATAGGGAGTTATCATCTGATGGGTACTGAATTTTAGTTTGGGAACATAACAAGAGTTCTAGAGATGGGTAGTGGTAAAGACTGAACAACAGTATGAATATAATTAATACCACTAAAGTATACACTTAAAAATGGCAAAAATGGTAAATCTAATGTTATGTCTATTTTGCCATATTTGAAACCATTTAAAAATATCACTAAGAAGACAATAACAATAGAATATCAACAAAAATTTAAATCTCTCAATTGACTTAGAATATTTGAAGGAAGGTACTCGCAGGTACCCTTCCTTCATAACTATCTTTCCTGGATTCTCTGCATATCAGCAACATGATAAGGATGATATGATCCATTTATTAATATAATATATCCAATATAGAGAGATGTTTTAAAATCATCTTTGATGAGGTTATTGTACAGAATAGGGATTGGAGCAATTATTTCTGGAATGAAATTAAGGAAAAGCAGATCAGGTAGAGTCTCAAGATTTCTAAATCAGCACTGTCTATTGTATCTTGCATATTCATGACTTATTAAGTGTTCTCATTGTTGGTAGCATCCCAGCACTGACACCCTATCATTAGATTGCTCAAGAAGAAAAGCTTAATAACACTGAAATTTGAAGTTTAAGTTTTTTGATTTTCCACATGAAATAACTTCCTGAGTTATTTCACCATAAGCTAAGATAGTCTAGGGAATTATTTGAAATAAATATTGAGAAAGAGAATTCATTTAAATGGAGTTAATCCTCCCAGAAATGGATAGCAACAAGATATTTAATCACTGCATATCCAGTTAAATCACATTCAGAAACTGCTAGAAATTGAGCTGAGATAACTTCCTTAATTTAGAGGACAGTGTAATACTTAAGACTTTAATCCCTTTATGATAGATATTGGACTTAGGACTTTGGCACAGTTTTCATGATAAAACCCTTTCTCTTATTAAGATGTTTTATACATTAGTCAGTACAAGTCATTTGTAAATCAACTAAATGCACTAAAACAGAACTCTGTGCTTGAGAAAACATGAATATTGACATTAAAAAAATCTGAAATGGTGATCTATTGTATGAAAACCTGTTTTCTAGGACTGTTTAAAAACTTGAAGAAAAATAGGAGTGGGCCCTTCACCATACAAGATCAGAGAAACTCAGAGTCTGGGATTTCTGCATTTTTGTTTTGAGTGCTAAAGAAGAGATTAAAGGAACATATTATGTGGTAATAAGACTAGAGCCTAGAAACCATATGGCTTGGGCACTTTTACTAAGTGGAATGTGAATAGTAAATTTTGATCTGATATATGTCATGTAAAAGTTACAAAGCATTCTCCGTCAAAAAGTCAGAAAATTAAATTAAAAACATCTATCTTAGCCCCTTTCCAGTAGGTAATATAGCCTCAGTAGTGAAATGTAAGTCCATGAACAGATTTCAAATTAAATTCCTCATCATATGAAAATAAAAATCATATAAATAATACAATTTATTATATGTTTTGTCATCAAAAATGCTAGCATAATGCTTATATACACTTTCATGACTTAATCTTTATCCCAAAGTAAACAACTTATAGAATGAAAACTCCTCTGTGAAAAGAGTATAGTAATTTATTGCATCAGGTAATACCCATATAAGCTAAATAAAAGTTATTTCTAAATATCTATAGTCTCTAATGCATTTTAAGAAAGAAAAAAAACTACTTATTTCTAAGGATCAACTTGGCAAATATAACAGCAAATATATTTTATTACTTGGGAACATATCTTTAGAGAAAATATAAACAAAGCTACAGCTTGAGAATGTGCTTATTGGATTATTTAACTAAATGACACAAGTACTTTGCAGGAAGTAACAGGATTTGCAATGGTATTTTGCAGAGTTCTGAGGTATAGACTTCTGTGATATTGTGATGTAATATGAATTTTTTTTTTTGGTCTCTGCCTGCTCCTGGTTCCTGGTACAGAGCTCTTAAACCCTCTGGAAACTCCAAAGTGATAAGAGTGTCTTTTGCATGCTAATGAGATAACTGGTGGCTAGGGTCCCCTAGATAGCTTCAGGATGGGGGCTGGTCAACAGAAAGACCAAGGCATGATTAGGGGGTTGGCAGTTTCAACCGCCTAATCAATACCCTGTAACCTTTGGGAAAGGCTACGTGATTCCCCTGAAACTTATGAACCTTCCTAGTGTCAACTGAATCATCATGAGGTTCATAAATTTGGAAAGGAGAGCTTTATTCCTCATAAAGGGTTGCAGCCTGTAGGGTGGCCTTTCTGTTAGGCTGGGAAGTATAGCATCCAGTGAAAGTGCTTCAAGGGAGGGAAGCATAAGACAGGAATTTATGCTGAGCAGGGTGGCTAAGTGTACATATTCTGTGAGCTATATGAGGACTCATGAATATTTACGAAATGAGAAACATGAACATGCTCAATGGAGCTTCATGCCTCTTCATGGATTGCTTGTTTAAAAAACGCAGCATTAGTGTAATCTGAGGGTGGACTTTTTGGTCTTCTGATATCAAAAGGTGACACAAAACCCTCACTGAGCAACCTCCTCAAGTCTGCCAAAATCTATCTGGGATGGTAGTCAGTTTTCAGGAAGGGATTCATTGTGAAACTGGTGAGCTGTGAAGCTGAAACTGCAAAGAGGAGCGGGAGTCCGGTGGTAACCTCAGATGACGGGCTGAAGGCAGTAAAAGAATGTGTCCTCCTTTTCTTGTTTTCTAGAGCTGGCTTCTGCTCATGCCTTAGGAAAGGATTCTGGCTAAAGGTTAATAAGGAAGGGACATACTAGGTGTCATCAACCTCCTTTCCTGTCATGGCCTAGAACTCAGTTTTAAAAATTTCCCTGGGGTCCTGTTTCCCAAGACAAACAAGGGGTTTGCTCAGTTGATTGGGGTGCTTGGGATTTTTTTTTTTTTTTTTTTTTTTTAGACGGAGTCTCGCTCTGTTGCCCAGGCTGGAGTGCAGTGGTGTGATCTCGGCTCACTGCAAGCTCCGCCTCCCGGGTTCACGCCATTCTCCTGCCTCAGCCTCCCGAGTAGCTGGGACTACAGGGGCCCACCACTATGCCCGGCTAATTTTTTTGTATTTTTAGTAGAGACAGGGTTTCAACGTGTTAACCAGGATGGTCTTGATCTCCTGACCTTGTGATCTGCCTGCCTCGGCCTCCCAAAGTGTTGGGATTACAGGCGTGAGCCACCGTGCCTGGCCGCTTGGGATTTTATTTTTATTTTCCAATAGCAAATTAAAGGAATCTGAGAAGGAGATTGGGAATCTTATAAATCATAGCCCTAACCTGTTGGTCAGAATCACAGGTAAAACAAGCTGGTACCTGCAACTGGCATATGAAATAAGGGAGAACTCTTGTAGGACTGAGCCTTTAACTTGTGGAATCTGACTCTATCTCCAGGAAGCTAGTGTCAGAATTGAATTGAATTAGATAACACCCAACTGGTGTCCCCTGCAGACTTGCTTGGTGTGTAGAGAAACAACTCTCACACATCTGGTGTGTCAGAAGTGTTGTGTTGAGTTCTGTCAGAGTAGGAAAACACTTCGGTTTTTCCTATCTTTTATAATGACATATTGACTTTTGTGTTTGGCATTTGAGCAACCTTCAAGAGCGAATGCATATGAGTAGTTTTTCTGTTTTAATTTATGTTTAATTCTGTTTAATTTATGAAATTTTGGATACACAAGAGTAAATTTAATAAGTAATTATTATCTTTGGAACATGATTAATGACAACCGATTTACCTAGTGATTTCTTTTCAAAATGAAAGTAGTTATTATTATCTTTGAGACAGAGTTTCACTCTTGTTGCCCAGGCTGGAGTGCAGTGGCGCAATCTTGGCTCACTGCAACCTCTGCCTCCCGAGTTCAAGCAATTCTCCTGCCTCAGCCTCCCAAGTAGCTAGGATTACAGGTGCCCGCCACCACACCCAGCTAATTTTTGTTATTTTTATAGAGATAGGGATTCACCACATTGGCGAGGCTGGTCTTGAACTCCTGACCTCAGGTAATCCACCTGCCTTGGCCTCCCATAGTGCTGAGATTACACGCATGAACCACCGTGCCCAGTCCAGTTTTATTATTTTTTGTTTAAATTTAAAGTAAAGTATACTTATAGAAGTCAGATCACCTCAAAGGAGAATAAAGGAAAAAGTAGCCATCACTTATATCCCCCAAATCCTAAAGCACCGGTGTTAATATCTTGGGGCATATCCTTCCAAATTTATTTCTGTGCATAACTGTGCAACCGTATACATGCATGTACATGTATTTACTTAAATATAAAATTATACAATATCTATAATTCTATTTTGTAACTTTATTTTTACCTTTATATTTATATTTACTTTTATATTTTTGGCAGCGTCCTTATTAAAAGATCTATGTCTATTTTGCTACTGGCTACTTTATATTTCATTATAGTTGGATATAATTATTTAGTCATACACTGTGCATATAAAAGTTTATAATGACTAAACTATATACTACATATTTTATATTACATTATTATGTTAAAGTATGCCCCCAGCCAGCAGAAAAAATGGATTCCATGTGGCTGAGGTGTTCAAAGTTAAGACAAAATCAGGGGGCCGCAGCTTAGTGAAGGGGCAATCATGTACTTTGTGACACTTGGTTTGGTTTGGACTGCCTGGGACACTTGATCTGATGCTATCTCCAGGTAGCTAGTGTCAGACACTTGGTAGAAATGTTACAGGTGGTCCAAACCAAACCAGTTCCTACTGGAAATTTCCCAACTCAGCAGCAGCAAACCACCTGGAACCAATCAACTGAGAGAGACTGGTGATTTGAGCCTGAAGGTCGTCCAATCAAGTCTCTGCTCCTGATTCCCCTGCCTCCCTCCCCGGCCCTGTGGTTTTTGCCTTGATAATCTAACACTTCACCTCCCCTTTGGAGCAGGTTTTTGTTTTGCATTGAAGGCTGTATCTCTCCAATCTGCAGGGTTTTTTTTTTTTTAATAGAAAATGAAACTCTCCCATTCCCTCACTACAGATCTCATGGTCTTTAGTTAATGATTATAATATGTAATTAATCATGATTTATTTAAGGAATCACCCAATGATAGGTATTTACTTTCTCATTTTACTTGATAAAAAAATACAATATAGGGGAATTTTCTAATCCATGCCTTCCAGTAACTAAAAATCAAGCAAATAAAAAAGTAAGAACACACATATACACACACAATGATTTGGATAAGAGACTCAACCAGCTTGATGTTTTATACACATAAACATACCTGCAAATACATATTTGTGTTGTTATCCTCTATAGAAGATATAGATTCCTCACTTATCCTCGTCAAACACTTATAAAATAAATAAATATGGAAAAGAAGTCATGTATTTGGCCTCAAAGAATACTCCCCAGAGTGGAAACTATATAAGAAATAGCACAGCTGGGCATAGCGGCTCACTCCTATAATCCCAGCACTTTGGGAGGCTGAGACAGGCGGATCACCTGAGGTCAGGAGTTCAAGACCAGCCTGGCCAAAATGATGACACCCTATCTCTACCAAAAATACAAAAATTAAAAAATTAGCTGGGCGTGGTAGTGGGCACCTGTAATCGCAGCTACTTGGGAGGCTGAGGCAGGAGAATTGCTTCAACCCAGGAGGCAGAGGTTGCAGTGAGCCGAGATCACACTGCTACACTACTGCCTGGGTGACAAGAGAGAGACTCCGTCCCAAAACAAAAAACAAACAACCCCAGAAATATCTTGGTCATGTGTTCATCTACTAAATTAACAATGTAAAAGAGTTTTTAGTCATTTTTTAAAAGGGTTAAACAGTTACACCCTGTGAACACAAAAGTACCTAAAAGCAGTCTTAATGAAATTTGAGAGCTTATTTTGCCAAGGTTAAGGACATACCTGTGACACAGCCTCAAGAGGTTCTGATGGCGTGTCCCCCAGTTGTTTGGGGTACTACTGCTTGCTTTTCTACATTTTAGGGAGACATGATACATCAGTCAATACATGTAAGATATACATTGGTTAGACCCGCAAAGGTGGGACCACTCAAAGTGGGGGGCTTCCAGGCCACTGAGGTAAATTTAAAGATTTTCTAATTCGCAATTAGTTGAAAGAGTTAAGTTATCTAAAGACCTGGAATCAATAGAAAGGAATTTCTGGGTTACAATTAGTGGTTGTGGAGACCAAAGTGTTATTATGCAGATAAAGGTAGTAGGCTTCAGGGAAAATAGATTGTAAATGTTTCTTATCAGACTTAAGGTCTGGTTGATGTTAATGATGGTGAGCTTTTGCTGAATTCCACAAGGGGAGGAGGGTATAATGATGTATGTCTGATCCCCCTTGCCATCATGGCCTGAACTAGTTTTTCAGGTCAACTTTGCAATGCTCTTGGTGAAGAGAAGGGATCTGCTCAGATTGTTCTAGGGGCTAAGAATTTTATCTTTGGTTTACTACTCCTTCAAAAAATATTTTGTGTGGCTTTTCCAAGGCTAATAAAATGAAATTTTTAATTATTATATTCGATATTGTACTACTACACACATCACAGCTGAAAGTTTGCATTTGCTATTTCCCTCTTCCCCTTCTCTATTCACAGTTCTCAGTTCCCCTTCCTGCCTCAGTCTTTATCATTAAGATGAACTTGCTACACTATTATTTCATTTCTTTTTTTTTTTTTTTTTTTTTTTGAGATGGAGTCTCGCTCTGTCACCCAGACTGGAGTGCAATGGCGTGATCTTGGCTCACTGCAAGCTCTGCCTCCCGGGTTCACGCCATTCTCCTGCCTCAGCCTCCTTAGTAGCTGGGACTACAGGCGCCCGCCACCATGCCTGGGTAATTTTTTTTGTATTTTTAGTAGAGATGGGTTTCACCGTGTTAGCCACGATGGTCTGGATCTCCTGACCTCGTGATCCGCCCGCCTCGACCTCCCGAAGTGCTGGGATTACAGGCGTGAGCCACTGAGCCCGGCCCTATTATTTCATTTCTAAGCCCCACCTCCTATCATTATTTAGGCCCATTTTGATAGAGGCAGGAAGCAGAGAGATTCTAGGCAGACAAGGGCAGGTCCCTGGCAAAACCTCACCTTTGAGCCGAAGAGCCTGAAACCTGTGGCCCAAAGTGAGAACTTCCATCCCTGTGTGCCTGCTCGCTCCTGATTGGTTCTTTTTGAATAATGTCTTTTTACCAATCAAATGCTGCCTTTTCCAAAACTACCTATAGCCTACCCCACCCCTATCCTGTGCCTATGAAGATCCCAGACTCACCTGGCAGAGAGAAGTGGCAGCATGTCAGGAAGAAGCAGCTGGATGTTAAGAAGAGGCAACTTTGAGACAGTGGGTGGATGAGGCAACTTGCCTTTGGAAGAGAGAGGCAGAAAGGCAATTTGACTTCAGGGGAGATGGAGCTTCCCTTCCTGTCCCCTTTCCAGCTCCCCTCTCTGCTGAGAGCCACTTTCATCACTCAATAAAATTCTCAACACTCATTATCCTTCAGTTTGTCCATGTGACCTCATTCCTCTTGGTCACTGAATAAGAATTCAGGAGGCACCGGGTGCGGGTACCCAAAAAGGCTATCACACTGACCCTTCACCCTCGCTGGTGGAGGGCAGCCACCCCATGTGATGAGGCAGAGGGCCTGCTGAGCTGGTAACACACTGCTTTCTGCAGACGGCAGAGCTAAGAGAGCATTGTACCACGCCCTCTGGGGCCTTGGGGTCGCAGACACCCCATCTGGACGCTGTTGCAGGGCCTGCATGGAGTTCACTTCTGCCAGCGCCAAAGTGGCCAGTGCCTGTACTCACTTGTCTGTGTGCTCCCTCCTGCAAGGAGTGGAGCCCAGTGGACCCGAGTGAATGGAGTTCACTCGTGCAGGTGCTAAAGTGGCTGCTTCCTGCACTTGTTGGCTCGCACACCTCCTTCTGTGAGGGGTTGTGTGGGATAGGCTGAATAAATGAGGCACCCCTCTGGCAACTCCCACGAAGTGGTGAAGAAAGTATCCTGCATCAATTTCTCCAGAGAATCAACCTCCATTTCTACGGGTAATTGCTAGCTACAGGTGAAAGGAGTGAAAATTTGTGGTTCTATCTTTTTATACGTATTGCCATCCAGTTCATGACATTGGGTCTGAAAACCCTTGGGATTTTTTTCTTCTTCTATTCTCTGTGGTTTATGTAACAATTGGTCACCATTTTGGCTATATTCTCACCCTCTCAGACTGTGGTAGCTGGTTACTCCAAGTCTTGTGGTTAGTTTATTCCTCACTATCAAGTAAATTATGGATCCTCCATTCACTTTTGACAGTTAGATAGATAGATGATATAGTTCTGCTATCTGTGTGTGTGTGTGTGTATATTAGCTTTTGTGCAATTATGTTTTCTAAAAATTACATTTCTGCCTTGTTATTGGGGTTTTGGAAGGGAGTAAAAATGTGAATAAACATAAATCTAAAAAACATTTAAAATAGGTTTCTTCATTGAGTTCTCATAAAACCCTTAGCAGGGTGGTATTTTGATTATTGATCCTAATTTATGGTTGATAAAACTGAGGCTTTGCAAAGTTAAGCACAATAAGTACCTAAAGTTAAGTATAAGTCTCTACTTTCTGTAGTGGGTGAAGCCAGCATTCAATGCCAAAAAGTTTCACTATGAAGAAACTTTGGCTATGATATTCCTTCTGCAGTAGATCTGCTCTTTTCTTGGCTAAGTCACTTGGGCTACAACCAGTTTCCTTGTTTGTGAGCTGCTGGGTTTGGACTCTTAAAAGTTTTCTCTTGGTCTAAAATTAAGGCACAGGATGAAAAACTGTTAAATACCTCAAAACTGCAAGGAGAAGCTAGCTTGAGGGGATTTATACCTAATATCCATAGACAAAGGGGAAGAGCCAAGGATGAGCTGAAGCTAGTTATGAAATTCCACATAATGTTTTGTTTTCTAAAGTTTACTTCTGAAGGAGCGCAAGGAATTTCACCCCAAAATATGGCTCCCTGGTATAATGAATATTTTAAGTTAAAGCTCTTACACATCAGCAGACACTAGAAGAGCCCTTTCCCCTATTTATATAAAGACAGTAAGGTCCCACCATAGAGAACAATTGTTTTGTTCCTCCCCTCCCTGTATCTTGTTATCTATTAAAGAAAGAAGATTCAGTCCCCTCCCTGTATCTCGTTATCTATTAAAGAAAGAAGATTCAGAATGTAACCACACCTGAACACACCCTTTCACAAGATAATGTCTGTTGCTCAGGTTCATGTAAATTCCAAAGAGAAATATTTACAGGCCAATCTCTGTCCCCAATCCTTTCATTCTCCCTAATAATCATTCATTGTCCCTCAACAGAATTCCTCTTCTTGTGCCCAGGAGTTCAAGAGCAGCCTGTGCAACATAGTAAGATCCTGTATCTATAAAAAATTAAAAATAAGCCAGGCATGGTCCCAACTACTGGGAGGCTGAGGCAAGAGATGGCTTGAACCTAGGAGTTTGAGGCTATAGTGAGCTATGATTGCACCATTGCACTCCAGACTGGCCTGGACAACAGACCAAGACCTTATCTTAAAAAAAAAAAAAAAATCCTCTTCTCCCCTTTCCCTTAAACAATTTTGCCAGGATCCAAGCCCACAGTCTTTATATAGCCTGAAGATGATATGTAAGTTTTTGAACCCCACTGAGGGGTGGGTAATTGCTATTTTTCTGCCTCGTATGCATGTTAATAAGTTTGTATGCCTTCTCTCCAGTTAATCTGTCTTTTGTGAGCTGATTTTCAGTGGATGCTTAGAAGGTGAAGGAAATGTTTTCCTTTGGCCCCTATACTTTGGTTAGGTTATATGTCCTTTAGGAAAATAATATGATAAGAAAAAAATATATATCTCATCTTCTATAGTAGAGAACAAATGGAAACATGTTCATTATCTGCATTTAGTTCAATGTTTTTGAATCACCTCCCATCTATACATATATATAATATATAAATATATATAAAAATATATAAATATATATAGAAATGAACTCACCATTACATATTTATATATTTATATATTTTAATTTATATATACATATATACATATATAAATGAAATTTATATGTGTATATGTACATATATACATATATAAATGAAATTTATATGTGTATATGTACATATATACATATATAAATGAAATTTATATATGTATATGTACATATATACATATATAAATGAAATTTATATATGTATATGTACATTTACACATATAAATGAAATTTATATATGTATATGTATATACATATATACATATGTATATATATACACATATGTATATACATATATACATATGTATATATGTGTATATGTACATATATACACATATAAATATAAATAAATAATGTATTTATAAATATATAATATATATGTATAAATATAAATATATAATATATATGTATAAATATAAATATATAAATGAAATTATATATGTGTATATGTACATATAATTTATATATGTATATATATTATATATGTATATGTACATATATAAATTATATGTACATATACATATATTTATATATGTATATATACATATATAAATATTTATACATATAAATAAATAATGTATTTATAAATATATAATATATATGTATCAATATAAATATATCATACATATGTATAAATATAAATATATAATATATTATATATGTATAAATATAAATATATATGTATAAATATCCATATATATGTATATATATTTATACATATAATTTATATATAACTATATAAATATATAAATACATATTAAAATATAAATATATAAATATATAAATATATAAATAAATATATCTATTTATATGTAAACTATAAATTTATATATAAATATATATGTATACATATATAATATATATATAAATTTATATATTAATATATATATAAATTTATATATAAGTTAAATTTATATATAAAAATATTATTTATATATGTATATATACACATATAAATTATATATGTATACATACATATATGTATAAATATATAATATGTATAATACATATAATAATATATACATGTATATGTATACATGTATATGTATACATATAATATATGTATACATATATAATATATGTATTATATATAATATATATATTATATGTATTATATATAATATATAATATATATTATATTATATAATATATATAATATATAATATATGTTATACAATATAATATATATTATAAATATATTATAAATTTTTATGTTTTTATATATTATAAAAATATATAATATATATAATATATATTATAAAATATGTATTATAATATAATATAATATAATATATAATATATAGTAATATATGTATACATATATATCAATATATAATAATATCTGTATACATATATATCAACATATAATAATATATGTATACATATATAAATATACATATACTTTAAGTTCTGGGTTACATGTGCAGAACGTGCAGTTTTGTTACGTAGGTATACACGTGCCATGGTGGTTTGCTGCACCCATCAACTCATCACATACATTAGGTATTTCTCCTAATGTTTTCCCTCCCCTAGCCCGCCGACCCCAACAGGCCGTGGTGTGTGTTGTTTCCCTCCCTGTGTCCATGTGTTCCCGTTGCTCAACTCCCACTTATGAGTGACAACATGTAGTGTTTGGTTTTCTGATCTTGTGATAATTTGCTGAGAAAGACGGTTTCCAGCTTCATCCATGTCCCTGCAAAGGACGTGAACTCATCCTTTTTTATGGCTGCATAGTATTCCATGGTGTATATGTGCCACATTTTCTTAATCCAGTCTATTATTGATGAACATTTGGGTTGGTTCCAAGTCTTTGCTATTGTGAATAGTGCTGCAGTAAACATATGTGTGCATATGTCTTTATAGTAGAATGATTTACAATCCTTTGGGAATATGCCCAGTAATGGAATTGCTGGGTCAAATGATATTTCTAGTTCTCGATCCTTGAGGAATAGCCACACTTTCTTCCACAATGTTTGAAGTAATTTATTCTCCCACCAACGGTGTAAATGCTTTCCTATTTTTCCACAACCTTTCCAGCATCTGTTGTTTCCTGACTTTTTAATGATCATCATTCTAAGTGGTATGAGATGGTATTTCATTATGGTTTTGATTTTCATTTCTCTAATGACCAGTGATGATGACCAGTTTTTGAAATACCTGTTGGCTGCATAAATGTCTTCTTTTGAAAAGTGTCTGTTCATACGCTTTGCCCATTTTTTGATGGGATTGTTTTTTTCTTGTAATTTTGTTTAAGTGTCTGTCGGCCCCCTACTGGGAGGTGTCTCCCATTCAGTATACAAGGGGGTCAGGGACCCACTTGAGGAAGCAGTTTGACCCTTAGCATAGCTCGAATGCTGTGCTGGGAGGTCTGCTGCTCTCTTCAGAGCCTTCAGGCAGGGATGTTTAAGTCTGCTATAAGCCCCTGACTGGGGCTGTTGCCTTTTTCACAGAGATGCCCTGTCCAGAGAGGAGACACCTGGCAGTCTGGCCACAGCAGCCTTGCTGAGCTGCAGTGGGCTCCTGTCCAGTTCAAACTTCCCAGAAGCTCTGTTTTCACTGTGACCGTAAAACCACCTACTCAAGCCTCAGCAATGGCGGACGCCCCTCCCCCAACCAAGCTCGAATGTCCCAGGTGGATTTTAGATTGCTGCTGTGCTGGCAGCGAGAATTTCAAGCCAGTGGATCTTGGTTTCCTAGGCTCCATGGGGGTGGGACCTGCCAAACCAGACCACTTGGCTCCCTGGCTTCAGCCCCCTTTTCCAGGGGAGTGAATGGTTCTGTCTTGCTGGTTTTCCAGGCCTCACTGGGGTATGGAAGAAAAAAAGAGCTCCTGCAGCAAGTTTTGTGTCTGCCCAATTGGCCACCCAGTTTTGTGCTTGAAACCCAGGGCCCTGGTGGGGTAGGCACTGGAGGGGATCTCCTGGTTTGCCGGTTGCGAAGACCATGGGACCAGCACAGCATCTGTGCTGGAATTTCTCAGGCTCAGACCCTCATGGCTTCTCTTGGGTAGGAGAGAAAATTCCCAAACCCCTTGTGCTTCCCGGGTGAGACAATACCCCACCCTGCTTCAGTTCACCCTCCGTGGGCTGCACTCACTGTCCAACAAGTCCCAATGAGATGAACCAGGTACCTCATTTGGAAATGCAGAAATTACCCACCTTCTGCATCAGTCTCTCTGGGACCTGCAGACTGGTGCTATTCCTAATCGGCCACCTTGAATCCGCATTCAGTTCATTTCTTTATGTAGTGACTATTACAGAGGGTATAAAAAAGAGGTATTTTTACTAATATGCACAATGTTTTTATATAAAATGTTGCTATAACATGCAACAATGTGTGAAAAAATATGAACGTGACAATTTTCAGTTCAGAGGACTTCTGTTTCTGAGACAATTCTTTTAGAAAAAAATAGGGACAATAATGGAGGGATGGGAAAGATACAAAAAATGAAATTAATTTCCCCTGGAAAAGGGGGCTGAAGCCAGGGAGCCAAGTGGTCTGGCTTGCCAGGTGGGTCCCACCCCCATGGAGCCCAGGAAACTAAGATCCCTCCTTTGATACTTAGAATTAAAATATCATCTAACATTGTATCACTTTAAGCCTATATATATATTATATGTAATCATCCTAATATATGTGTACATATATTTCTCTTTGGGATTTATAATTGTTTCTAATTTGAGATCAACAATGATTTTTACAAATATCTTGATTTTCTCCAGGGCAATTAGTGCTTTCCTACAGGAAGGGTAACTGTTACAATGGTGGTAATAAATAGTGAGGGCATACTTTCTCTTTAAGAATTAAAAACAGGCCCAGCACAGTGGCTCACGTCTGTAATCCCAGCACTTTGGGAGGCTGAGGTGGGCAGATCACCTGAGGTCATGAGTTCAAAACCAGCCTGGCCAACATGGCAAAACCTTGTCTCTACTAAAAATACAAGAAGTAGCCGGGCATGGTGGCATGCACCTGTAATCCCAGCTACTTGGGAGGCTGAGACAGGAGAATTACTTGAACCCGGGATATGGAGGTTGCAGTGAGCCAAGATCATACCGTTGCACTCCAGCCTGGGCAATAAGAGTGAAACTAGATGTCAAAAAAAAAAAAAATTCAAAACAAGCCATGGAGTTGAAACAGAGCCAATGTCCTTTTATTAGGTTGGTACAAAAGCAGTTGCTTTTATGCCAATCTAATACATGGTGTGATGAGTCCATGGAAATGGAGGCTAGCCTCCAAAATAATGTTACAAAGAGGGCATTTCCTATTTCAATAACAATAATTTTGGACAAGGGAATATTGAGCTTTATGTCACTTGTAACCTTAAAATCAACTGCAATTAATTTACATTGATAATGGCTGTAGAAATTCCAGAGCTGGACAGGCATAAAATGGAGAATAATCCCATCTGGAATTTGGAGTTTCATCGTCCAGGAAACAAATGCACTGGATCATCACTAATAACTTCTATGAGTTTTGCAGTTTAGTGAAGGCTATGGGGCAGAAAGTCAAAACTGCCACCAGAGAACAATGACCACAAATAAGCTTTCATTATCTAATATTTGAAAATGCCACTCATTTAGATTTATGCCTCAAAATGGATTTGTAAAGTCAATAGATGCTGAATAAAAAATAAGAAAAAGGAAATAATGATGCTGTCTTGTAATTCATTTATATATTCCTTTTCCTTTACAAACTATATGAAGTTTGAAAAATTATGCAAGAAATGATACTGAAATATAAGCCACTCAAGAAGGTCTGGTTCGGATGAGTAAATGTTGCTACTGAAAAAAATAATAACTACAATTAATGTGATTTATTATGTGTCCAAATAAATTGCTAAAAACTGGAAAAATAATTTGGATGACATTTATTTGGTACTTATATTGTGTCAGAGGACATGCAGTGAACGGTATACTGTAATGTACATTTATCATCTCTAACCAATGACACCATAATGATCCTTGTTTAACAGATACAGAATCCAACATTTAGGAAAGTTAAGTCAATTGCCCAAGTTCTCATGACTGGCAAGTGGCAGAGCCATAAAGAACAATCCTACTTATTACAATGCCTCAAGTATACCCATGTCAGGCAGCAACAATTTTTTGTAGTATTGTAGGTCATGGTAGGAAACTGCTATATAAAAGATGTTAACATTGAAAATCCACAGATTTTTTTTTAAGTGTGATTCTAGCCAGTTTATAAATGCTAAGTTCATCAATTACAATTTTTAATTGCTTACACTGCATATTTTCTTAATAGAAGATCATCTGCCATTCTGATGGTTCAAGATGTGTAAATAAGTAAGAGAAGCAAATGGGACTTCATCAGAGGTCGTGATCTATATTGTACCAAACAACTGAATGAGAAGTGAAAGATACTATAGTCAAGTAACTGGATTTTTCTAAATGTTTAATAATTGCCCAAAGGCTGATTGAATTTTTCTTTATTCCTTTTTTTTCTTTTATTTCTTTTGAAATTTCAGTTGGTCATTCAGTAAACTGTATTTGAGATAATATGGAGGGAGAATTTATAGGATCAGACAGAGCTAGGTTTGATTCCTGACATGGCCACTTGCTTGCTGTTGGCCTTGGGATTAATTATGATGCTTTATCTTTCCTGTCTGCTGTGATAGCCAGAATAGTGGCTCCCCCAAAATCTCTATGTCCTAATCCCGACAGCCTTTTCATATGTTAGGTTACATGGTAAAGGGAATTAAACTTGCAGATAGAATTAAGGTTGCTAATCAGCTGAGCCGGTGATGGGGAGACTCCTGGATTAACTGGGCAGAGCCAATGTGATCAGGGGATCCTTAAAAGAGTTAGAGGAAGATGTGACTGTGAAGAACCAAAGAGACAATCACTTGAGAAGAACTCTGTCTGATGTCACTGGCTTTGGGGATAGGGGAAGGGGCCGTGAGCAAAAGGATTGTGGGCAATTTCTAGAAACTGCCCACAGTTTCTAGAGATCGAACAAAGAAACAGATTCTCTCCTAGAGCCTCCTGGAAGAAACACAGCTGTGTTAACACTTTGGTTTCAGCCCAGTAAGACGACTTTGGACTTCTGGCCTCCAGAACTATATGATAATAAACTTGTATATTTTAATCCATTAATTTTTTTGATAACTGTAGTTAGAGTAGCAATAAGAAACCAATACATTTGGCAGTTGGATATATTCAGAGTGTGGTTGTTTTGAAGATTAAATGATATATGTGTGACGTGCTAAGTCCAATTCCTAGCACAGTGAAAGAATCAATAATGGTCACTGCTATTGATCTAATTACTTTTATAACAAATATTACATAATAATAATTATTATTAAAATACTGAAGAAAATCAAAAGATACAAACTGAGCTACATTTTGCTAAAAACAATGAGAAAGCTTGGATCCACTGGTAAGTGATATTCCAGGAAATGATTGAAAACCTTAGTGTTTATAGTAGGCAGGATATACACTGTGACAAGTATTAACATTTAGAGAAAACAGAAACCACAGGAGAGTCTCAGTATTCTTTTTATCCTACTGAGCTCTTTAATGAATATATTTCAATACTTGGAATAAATCTCTGTGTTTATTTCAATAAAATTTGATAGCATCAAAATTCCTAAGGGTGAAGAATACTTAGAATTTCCATTTTCATGAATAGCTTCACTTTACAGACAACTGACTATATGTAATCTCCATAGTTTGGATATTGATGGAAATCATTTTATATATCACTTTTCCCCTAGTCCCAAAGATGAGTGAAATCAATTTTAACAAATAATTTTATTCCAAATGACTTAAACTTTCCATAGTTTCAAAAGTGATTATTCCATGATACAGATGAGGTTTTTCAATTGTTTTAAGTAAAACATCTTTAATAACACTTATATTCATTTACACAAGAGTCCATACTCAAGTTCCATGTTCTGGTAGAATATTTAGCTTTTTAATTCTGTTTTCCATGATGCATGAGGCGATTTTTAAAGCTTAACAGTGTTTTTTTGAAAATCAGGACAGAGTTTTGAAAACTAAGCTTGCATTTTACATTTCTTCAGTGATACCCCTCCTTAGAAACCCATTTTTATGACCCAGATAGTGGTTAACAAATTCTCTATTGCTCTTCTCCATTCAAAACCACAGAAGTTAAACACTGCTATGATCAGCCCGTGATTTAAATGATATAATGTGGATAACATAGATAATGTCTTACACATAGTAGGCACAGAATAGATTTCATAATAAGTTTGCTAGTCTGTAGAGATTGTCTTTAGCCAATGCTTTACACAGACAACAAAATTAACTTAGGGACTTAAATTGGGTTAACCCAATATGACTCATTTGTTTATTCATAAATATTTATTCATTTATTCACGAATAGTTGTGTGTAATATATATAAAGATACTTTACGTGGTAATTAGGGGATAATACAAAGATACATAAAGAACAGTCAGTAATTTTGAGTCATCCGTGAATAAGGCAGGGTAAGAGTGAGGATTAATGCACAAAATTTGCGCTGGGAACAAGACATAGAATATTGTGAATAACAAACACTGAAGTTGTCATGGGGTGTCTTGAAGTTGTCTTGGGGTGTTGCTTCGCCAGCCAGAAACCTCTGTGGCCAGTGGTGCCTTTTACCTGAGTATTGCTTGCACCCACTGGGCTCGATCTGCCCACTAAGCCTGGCAGGCTGTGCTTGGCTCATGCTACCAGCCCAGATCCCGCAGCTGCCAAGGGTGAGCCAGGCATGGAGCAGCGAGGGATGTGTGGGTGAGTGAGTGTGACATCTGGCCACTATGCACAGTCAATCACACTGGCTGCTGCACCAGGGCAAGTAGCTCCAGGCATCTGCACAGGTGCCAGCTCCGTGTGAAGCTGTGGCTGGACCAGATGTACTGCATGTGGCTTCCACTGCTGGTCACCACATCTGGATGAGGGGGGATGCAGTGGAGCCTGGAAGCTTGGAGATGCCAGGAACCACAGAGCCCCAGAGAGAGTGTCAGAGCCCTGGCTCAGGGATCCCCTACGTGTGGGCTCCCTGAAGGGCTGCAGCTCTTCTCTCCTTTTCCTTGCCAGCAACATGGTGAGCAGGGTGATGTGTTTCAGCCCGGTTTGTGTTACAGCTCTTTCAGTCCTACAATTCAGTGGGTACCGAGTCCAGAATGAATGAGGTATATGGACAACTGGAGGGTGAAAAAGGAGAAGAGGAGCTTAATTAACTGAGAGACAAAACAGCTCTCAGGAGACCTGCAGTGGGTAGCTCCTTTCTGCAGGCAGGTTGTCATGACGTCTGTCCAGCTGTCTGTGGAGAGGGAACCTGCAGTGGGTAGCTCCCTTCCTCAGGCAGGTTGTCACGATGTCTATCCAGTTCTCAGCAGAGAGGAGACCCGCAATGGGCAGCTCTCTTCCTCAGGCAGGTCGTCAGGACATCTGTCCAGCTCTGAGTGGAGAGGAGACTCGCAGTAGGTAGCTCCCTTCTTCAGGCGGGTTGTCAAGACGTCTGTCCAGCTCTCAGTGGAAAGGAGACATGTAGTGGTTAGCTCCCTTCTGCAGGCAGATCTTCCCCATATCTGTGTGGGTCTAGCTATGTTGGGGGTTTTTATGGGCTCAGAAGGGAGGAAGTGCATGCTGGTTGGTCCATAAGCAGTCTGAGTGGGCTTGGAAAAAGCACCTTAAGGTCCCACTCTGGGCGGTGGACTCTACCCAGAATTAGTAACCCGGCCCCCAGGCATCAGGCCGTCCCTGGCATGAAGGTGGGGTTTCATCAGGGACCCGCCCCTTTCCTCCCAGGGACCTGTCTGCCTCCCACCATCAGCATGCTGTCCACTGTACCCAGGCTGTCCATGCCAAGGGGTGCCTGTAGGCCAGCGCCAAGCTGCTCTCAGCCCCTCCTCCTCGGCCTCCCTCCCATGTTCATTAGCACCCAAAGTGCAGAGTGGGGGTGATGCGGCAGGGGGCTGGCGTGTCAGCACTGCCCCAAACGTGGGCACACCCAGCTAGGTTGCAGCAGTGCCTGGGCTCAGTCTCAACTTTACTCCAAAATTGGAGCAAGCGCCGGGAGCAGGGAGGGACCAGGCAGCGGCAGCAGACACTTCTGAGCCTGCAAAGGCAGGAGTCTTCCCTAGCCCCCGAAAGCACAGGAATGCGCAGGTGCACAGCCGCGCTGGGCAGCTGCAGCTGTGCCCAGGAGGGTGGGGCTCCTGTCCAGCCAATTTGGAAGGGGGCGGGACTCCCACTTGTTCCCGACTCCTGCCAGCTCCATGGAGCACAGCCCAGGATGGGCCACCCATGCTGCAGCTGGGGTCTTTGCAGCGGCTGCTCCGGACTGGCTGCCACTGCCATCAAAATTGGGATACTCTTTGTAGGTAATGACAAACCTCAATTCATGGTAGATGTTCTCAAAAGTTTTGTGTTTGCGGTACATTTTCAGATATTCAAATTATTTTCGGTTCATGTGAAGACGGTAAAAGATTCAAAACGAGACTTTATAAAACAATGTAGAAATGCAATTACCTTTAGAGTGGAATGGTGGTTCCTAGAGTCTCTGTGAGTATCTACAGTTTTTAGCTATTCTTGATAGCCCCTCAACAATATAAATTTTTTGAAAATAACTGTACTGCCATAGCTCCCTCATTTACACACAGCGACAAATTCTGGTGCATGCCAGACCTTTCTCGAGATTTCCTTGACGTTATATTCTGTTTACACTTTATTCTGTTTTACAACTTGTTTAGTTACGTTCTCTGTTCCTCGTAAATATGCAATATTTAAATACCTTGATTCCTACATATATTATTTTATTCTATCTCTATAAGTATATTAATTATGGTATTTACAATTTTCCTCTGTTTTTATCGTTATTTTTTTCTTTGTAGTCTCAGTTTTCTGTTTTTATATTTTCTCTGTGTTTGTGGCTTGTTTCAAGTGCCTGACAATCCTTGTTCATCTACTCAAATTAACATGAGGCAGTTGAAAGTTCTTTGGCAACTTGGTGTAGGGAATTGAGACTTGCCTACTTTGGACATCTGCAAAGAATGATCTGGCTGAGCCATTTTGTGGAGACCTCTAAGTGAATGTTACCTTAGGCCTATTCTTTGGGTTGGTCGGGTTCCCGAGTTTCCTGGCTGACTCACAGTATTCCAGAAATTGAGGAGTCTGAGGGGATAAACATTCATGAGGTAGACATACTTTATGACGTAAACACTTTTAGAGACCTTGAGTGTTTTGTTCAAGAATAGGCATAATAGGAGTAGGAAACTGGTGCTGCAAATTCTTGAGAATTTTTGATAATTTATGGTACAAATCAGGTGGTCTCCTGTCCCTACAACTAGCTTGAGATTCATCTACTTCCCTTTCTCTCTCCCAGAGTAGAACCGTTGATCATTCTGCTTCTCAAATTAAAAATTATTAATTAATTAGTTAATTTTCACTGTTACCACCTTTCTCATTTTCTCTTTTTTTGGTGATTCTTTGCTTTATAACACAGTGACAATTAAAGGATACACATACATGCACGTACATACTCCCAGTCACTCTAGTGCATTTTTTTTTTTATGGAGCAAATAGAAATAAATATACATACAGCCAGGCTCAGTGGCTCAGGCCCATAATCCCAGCACTTTGGGAGGCCGAGGTGGGCAGATAGGTTGAGCTCATTAGTTTATGACTAGCCTGAGCAGCATGGAGAAACCCTGTTGCTACAAAAAATACAAAAATTAGCCAGGCATGGTGGTGCATGCCTGTGGTCCCAGCTACTTGGGAGGCTGAGGTGGGAGGATGGATTGAGCCCAGGAGGCAGAGGCTGCTGTGGGCCGAGATCATGCCACTGCACTCCAGCCTGGGTGACAGTACCAGACCTTGTCTTAAATAAATAAATAAATAAAATATGAATTACAAGTGTTTAAAAAGGAAGCTGGGAGTGTCTTATAGGTTTTTATATTAGGTATTGATTTTATACGTAGTGCAAGAATGTGAATTTCCGCATGTGGAATGGTGCAAGTTAGGGGTTCTGCATTCCCTTGGATGCCTCTTTCCCTTCATATCCAGAGGATCACTTGTAGAGAAAACGCGGGTTTATTTTTTCCTGACTGTGAGATGCATAGCCTCAGTTTCTAGGCTTACACAGGCAGACCTCACAGCCTGGTATACAGCGGCATGCCCGTGACTCAGATCCTTCTTAGAGTGGAAATTTCCTTTTGTTCTGGCACCTGGACTTTTCATATTATGATTTTTGAACTTAAATCTGTATTTACATATTTTGAAAAAAATATATGCTTTATTTGTTCATTGTATATGTTTGTTGTAGGGATGAAGGCTTTTCATTTCAGTTCAATTTTCCATCTTGATTACAGTATTCTTCTTATTAAAATACATTAAAAATGGACACAGTTTATAATGCCGTCTCAATTATTAGGCAGAAAATAAGTTAGGGATGAGAAAAATTTGTCATATGTAAATGGATGACACATTTATAATTTTAAGTCACATTTATTTATGTTGCTGCCAGTAGAAAGGAGAAGCAGTACAGTGCTAACTCACTGTGAACTTTAGTCTGCTAGATCTTTCTGGTACTTTTCTACTTTGCTAATAACATTCACGCCATTCTCAGCTTTATATCTTGGATTGTCTGCTTTTCATTCTAGATTACCTTTCCAATCAGTAATTTTAATCTTCTTTACCCTTTTATCACTGGAAAATACTTTCATCATTAGTTTCTGGATTTTCTCCAATATTTGTACAGTTCTATTAGTCAGCTGCCAAAACTGGCGTAAGGCACATGGGTACATACTGACTAGAATGACAAAGGGGATAGAAAGAGAGATTCTCACGTCCTTCCTTTCCCCAGCAGTCTCTTAAACATTTCTTTGCTTTTATTGATAGATTAAAATGTTCAGCCAGCAATGTTGATGCCTTTCATCGTGGCTGGTTTTGATGTTTCACAATTATATTTGCATAGGAAGTTATCTGTTAAATTTTTGCACTGTGTTTTACTGAGGAAAGAAGAAATTTAGATGGTTTGGTAAAAGACTGACTCACAGCCTGTGGGAATCACATATATCCTCTTGGTTCATCTCTAATTCCATTTCTAAGAAGAAAGTACAAATACAGAAAAGAGGGGAAAGATGGGAAGTGAAGAACGAGAAATGGCTGGACAGTTAATGATGCTTATTGACCAGCCAAAGTGGCAGCATGGGCTTTGTTTCTTGGGTTAATAAGAAACATAAGAATAGATAGATAAGAATAATAAGAATAGATAACCAGGTCAGGAGCTTACTGTCTTGTACCCCACTAATTTCAATTATCTCAAGAAAACATACTCTGAAGTTAGAGGGCAGAAATATCCATTTTATATTATACTAAGTTTTGTTCTAAACCACAATACACTGCTTTCCTTATTCTTAATTATTAGAGAAAAGATTACATTCTAGACAAATTATAATTATATCCAGTTTATAATGTAATGATAGCAATACAGTATATAATTATATACAGCTTTTTTGTTGCATCTAAGATGTCATCACTTACAGGATGCACCATTATTTTATGTATGTCTGTGCTAGAAGTGAAGGTCTTGTCTCTCAACTTCAGACCCATCCTTTCATGTTCTGCTTTGTCATGTTGGTGCTGAGACTCTGAGCCCACATTTCCCCTTTGCTAGATGGCTCCCTGTTAGGATCTCCCAGCAGGAATTGCTATGGGGAGAGAGACAGGAAGGCTGAGGAGGAAGAAGAGACTTGTTCCTTCCTGTTTGTTTTCTGCCCCTCTCAAGACACTGTCATGTCAATGTGTTGAGAATATTTTCTCTTGGTCCTTGGTTTGCCTTCTTATTTTCTAAACAGTGTGTTTCTAATTTTAACATTTATTTTAATTTTGACAATGTCCAATTTATCAAATTCTTTTCTATTTTTAGTGCTTTATGTTCTGTCCAAGAAATATTTGCCTATTCCAAGTTGTGAAGATAGCCTTCTGTTTCCTTTAGAAAGATTTATATTTCTGGATTTTATATTTGGGGCTATGATCCATCTTAAAAATAATTCTTGTGTACAGAGTTAGAATTCAAGGCTTAAAAAAATCATATGACTGTCCATTTGTTCCAAAATCATTTATTAATAGAAGTTTTCCTTTCCCACTGAATGGACTTGTCATCTTGGTTGAAAGTCAACTGATCATATATGTATGGGAATATTACTGTGTTTCTAGAGCCTTGATTATCTTTCAGTTATATATCTCTCCTTATGCTAATGCTACTCTCAGAATGGGGTGGGCTAGACCGTCACATCTTTTCCTGTTTTTCTTGTTTTCTTTCTCCTTCTCACATCTGTTCTCTTTATCCATCTTGTTCTTCTCCATCTTGCTCTTCTTCCCCACTTCCTACTCTTTCTCCTCCTCCTCTCTCAAGATTGTTTTGCATATTATAGATCTATGCTGTCCAATATGTTAGCCATCTGCCCAATGTGGCTTTGAGCACTTAAAATGCAGCTGTCCTGATTGAGATGTGATGCAAGTATAAAATATACACTGATTTCAAAACATAGATTGAAAAAAATGTAAAATATCTCAGTAATTTTGCAATATTGATCCCTTGTTGAAATGATAATATTTTGATTATATTGGCTTAATATGATGCATTATTAAAATTAACTTTACAGTTCATTTTTACTTTTATAAAGTGGCTAGTAGAAAATTTTAAATTGTGTATCTCACAATATATTTTTATTAGATAGTACTGTTTTTAGATTCTCTTGAATTTCCACATAAATTTCAGGGTTAAGTTGTTAGGTTTTTAAAAAATATTCTGCTAAAAGTTCCTTATTGATTGCAGTGTCTCTATATATCCATTTAGGGAGAATAACTGCCTTAACAATATTTATATTGTCAATTCATAAATATAGTTTATATCTACATTTATGTAGGTCTTCTTCAATTCTATCAATTATCTGTAGTTTTTTATGTAAAGGCTCATGCTATCTTTTTCTTTTTGAAAGATATATTATTAGGAATTTAAGGCATCTTAAACTTTTTGAATAGTATTGTTTTTAAACATCATTTATAATTTTTTATTTCCATTATGTAATATGATTGATTTTTGCCTGCTAACCATACCTTGTAACTTTACTAAATTCACTTAGTTCTACTAGTTTGCTTGTAGATTCCTTTTGATTCTTCATGAATTCAATATTTTCATTAAATAAGGAAAATATTGTTTCTTTCTAAAATTCTTTATGCTTTATTTATTTATTTCTTACATCATTGTAAAGGCTAGGAGATACAGTAGAGGAATTTTAAGAGAAAAACATTCAGCCTTTCTTCACAAAGTAGAGGGATCCAAGGATACTTTATCTATTTTTTAGATGGCCTTTATGAGATCCATAAAACATCATTTTATTACGAGTTATGAGCTTCTGTTATTAATGGATGTCAAATTTTGTCAAGTGCTTTTCCTACATCTACTGAGATTATCATATGTTTTTCTCTTTTGTTCTACTAATGTGGTGTATAGTAGTGAATGACTTTTAATTATCAAACCAGACTTACATTCATAGAATAAAATCTACTTGGTTATAATATGTTAACTTTTTGTACATTAATAGACTCTGTTTGTTAAAAATTTATTAAAGATTTTTGTGTCTGAGTCCATGAGAACAATTACTTTATAATTTTCCTTTCTTATAATATTTTTGTTAGCATTTGGCATTAGAGTAATGCTGGCCTACTAAAATAAGTTGGGAAAGTTAACCTCATCTGCTGTTTTTTAAAAGAGATTATATAAGAGTTAATTTTCATGTAATTGTTTGAAAGAATTCAGTAGTGAACAAACTACAAGGTCAAACAGTAAGAGAAAAAGAAAGGAACAAAAATATACATAAAACAACAACAAAAACCCTAGTGAACAATATGATAGGAACAAAGCCTCACATATCAAGAATAACCTTGAACATAAATGGATTACATTCTCTGCAGAAAATATACAGAAAAGCTGAATTTATGGATGAAAAAACCATGATCCAATGATATGCTGCTTACAAAAACTCACCTTACCCGTAAAAACACACATAGACTAAAAAGTAAAGTAATGGTAAAGTGGCTACATTGTCTGTGGTATATACCCTGGGTTTGTCCTCGCCCACCAGGAAAATTTAGGACATGGACACACATGAGATGTTTAGGAACAGAGGTTTAACAGGCAGAAGAGAAGAGAAAGAGAAAGAGAAACAGCTCCCTCTATAGAGAGAGGGGCCCCAGAGTGGAAAGGAGCGGCTGGCAGCAGTTGCACCAGATTTTATAGTCTGGTTTGAGGAGGTGGTGTCTGATTTACATAGGGCTCACAGATTGGTTCCATCAGGTATGACATTTACATAGTGCATGGGGAAGTCTGGTCACCCCACCCTAATCTTATTATGCAAGTGAACTCTCTCCTTGGCTGTTGCCATCTTGTCTGTTTCTTACTGTCCATGTGGGTGACAAAGAGAAGGTAAGGTGGAGCCATCATCTTGAACATGTCTAGTCCCTATTTCTTGTCAGCATTCATCTGTGCAAGCTGCCAGTTTGCTTGTCTATGTGTGTAGCTCAACTTTACAGGCTGCTTTTGTTAGAAAATGATTTGGGGCTGCTTTTCATTAAAAAGAAAAGCCTTACTGAGGACTCCCATACCTTTACTATCTGCCTAAGTGATTTCATCTTAACTCCTCTATCAACAGAAAAAGATATTCCACACAAATGGAAAGGAAAGTTGAGCAGGAATAACTACACTTAAATAAAAAAAACTTTAAGGCAAAAACAGCTTTAAAAAAAGGACAAAGAAGGTCATTATATAATGATAAATGGATCAATCTAGGAAGAGGGTACAGTAATTATATATACACCTGATACTAGAACACTCAGATTCATAAAACAAATATTACTAGAGCAAAAGAGATAGCAAAAGTACAATATAACAATAGTCAGGGACTTCAACATCCCACTCTCAGCAGTGGACAGTCTAGACAGAAAATCAACAAGAAATATTGGATTTAAAGTGAACTTTAGACCAAATGGACCTTACGGATATTTACAGAACATTCTCTCCAATAACTACAGAATATACACTCTTTTCATCAGCACATGGAATATTCTCCAGGATAGACTATATTGTAGGCTACAAAAAAAGTCTTAACAAATTTTTGAAAATTGAAATCCTATCAAGTATCTTCTCTGATCATGGTGGAATAAAACCAGAAATTAATACCAACAAAAACTCCAGAAACTATACAATTACATGGAAATTAAACAACATGCTCCCGAATGATTACTGAGTTGATGAAGAAGTTAAGATGGATATTTTAAAAAATTATTGCAACAAATCAAAATAGAAACATAACATACTAAAATAGATGGATACAGAAAAATAATGCTAAGAATATTTATAGAAATAAATCTCTACATTAAAAAAGTAGAAAGATTACAAACTAACAGTCTAATAATACACTCAAGGAACTAGAAAAGCAAAAGCAAAGCAAACCAAAAATTACTGTAAGAAATAATAATGATCAGAACAGAAATAAATAAAATAGAAACTTTAACAATAAAAAGGGCTAAAAAATGAAAAATTGTTTTTTCAGAAAGATAAACAAAATTGATAAACCACTAGCTAGATTAACCAAGAAAAGAAGAATGAATACCCAGATGAACGAAATAAAAAATTAAAAACAAGACATTACGACTGTTACCACAGAAATACAAAACATCGTCAGGGACTATTATGAACAACTATATGCTGATAAACTGAAAAACTTAGAGGAAGTGGATACATTTTTGGATACATAAAACCTACTAAGATTGAATCAGAAAGAAATATAAAACCTGAACAGATCATTGAGTAGTGAGACTGAATCAACAATAAAACGTCTCCCCAAAACAATAGCAAGAAAAGCCCAGGACTGGATAAATTCACAGCCAGATTCTACTAAATATACAAAATGAACTAATACCAATCTTCCTGGAACTGTTTCCAAAAATCAAAGAGGAAGAAACTCTCCATAACTCATTTTATGAGGCCAGAATTACTGCATTACCTGGATACTCAAACCAAACAAAGTGACAACAACAACACAAAACTATAGGCCAATGTCCATGATGAATAGAGATGCAAAAGTCCTCCAGAAAATACTAGCAAACCACATTTAACAGCACATCGAAAAGATAGTAAAACATGATCAAGTGGGATTTATAGCAGGAATGGAAGGCTGGGTCGACACATGCAAATCAATAAATGTGATACATCACATCAACAGAATGAAAGACAAAAACTATATCATCATCTCAATAAATACAGAAAAAACGTTTGATAGAATTCAACATCTCTTCATGATAAAAACTCAACAAACTAGGCAAAGAAGGAACATACCTCAAAATAATAAAGGACATATGTGTGAAACCTACAGGTAACATCATACTGAATAGGGAAAAGTTGAAAGTCTTTTCTCTAAGAACTGGAACAAGACAAGGTTGCTTACTTTCAACACTCACAGTCAACATAGTAGTGGAAGTCCTAGCCAGGGCAATCAGGCAAGAGAAAGAAATACTACAAAAAAGGAAGTTAAGTTGTCCCTTTTTGGTGATGGATGGTATGATCTTATATCTAGAGAAAACTAAAGAATGTACTGAAAACTCTTAGACTTGATAAATGTATTCAGTAAAGTTGTAGGATACAAAAATCAACGTATAAAAATCAGCAATGTTTCTATTCACCAGTAATGATATAGCCAAGAAAGAAATCAAGAAGACAAACCCAAATTTAGTGAATTTGTTCATATAATCAAAATTGTCATACTTACTGTCTGAACATGTTCATTACTTTCCCTATTCTTTTTGAGTCTATAAGCTATGAAATGTTTCTTTCTTTCCTGATATTAAAGTTTTGTGTTTACTCTCTTGTTTTTTTCACTAGTGTTGTTATGCTTTTATAATTTTTTTTGTTCTTTTGAAAGAGAAACTTTTAACTTTGTTGATGTTCTTTTTGTCTTTTTTCTAATTAATTGATTTTTGTTATTTCAAAAATGTTTCTTTTCTTCTTTTATACTTTCCGTCCCTCAGATGAAATGCTTCAGCTAGGTACACAGGTGAGCCATCCTTTCCACTAGATTATTTACTATATGTATTATATTTATTTTAGTCTTTGTCTGATAGTTTCAACATGTAGGTCATTTCTCAGTATCTTTCAATGGAACGTTTTCCCTTTTGACCATGTGTAATTTATTTTCTTCCTTCTTGGTGTGCCATGGAATTTTTGGTTGTATATTGGATATTCTGTATGTACAAATAGTACAGAATCAATAAGTGATATTTATTTCCCCCAAATGGTAACCATTCTTCTATTTGATGTCAATATGGGGAACTACAATGTAGCTTAAAGTAGAACTTGGTCTAGTCTAGTCTTTGTTGCAGTTTCAATCATATTCAGTTCACTACTTCACATATTTTACGGTGCAGAGAAAAAAAAAATCCCCTTCAGTAGGACTTGGGATCTGAGCATTGACAAGATTCCAGAACTTTCTTCATGCTTTGCAGTTTAGCTGATCCATTTCTAAGCTATCTGAGATTTCTCCCTGCTTTTCAGCCTGTATCCCAGATTTTTGAGTCACTGAGGATTTCTTCACCAGTTCTTTCACCAAATTTCTCTGCCGTAGAAGATTTCTTGGCACTCTGCTGTCCTGCCTCCAGCCTTTGGTGGGTCACTTCATTGTACTCACTGAAGACTAAGAGAGCTTTGAAGGAAGTTATCTCAGCTATTATGTCATGACCTCAGTCCTTGGAGGGTGGCTGTAATGCACAAAATGAAGGTTCAGAATTCCACAGAGGTGTATCAACTCCTCTGCTGCCCCGCACTCAACCTTTGATAGCCTGCTTTGCACTTGCAAAGGTTCAACTTGCCATGAGGAAATTTCTCTTGCTACCCTATCTGTGCACTACATCTCTCTCAGCTTTTCTTCCATGACTGTAGTCACTACATCTCTCTCAGCTTTTATTCCTTGACCCTAGTTCTTGGCAAACTACCTTGAGGTACTTGCTTCTGGTTGATAAGAGGAATTGGCGGTAAGGTAGAAACCCTCAATGGTAAGGGCTTTTTAGGAATCTCTTCTTCATTTCAGCCACATGTAATTATAACACTGTTAAAAGACTGGCTGATCTTTAATGTCTCTCTTTCACTTACCTTCAGTTTATGATATGTATATCATTTTCAACACTCTGGCAGGGATTTAAAAATGGGTTTCCTTTTTTCTCGGCAGTGTTGTCACTTTCTGAAATCGAGGTTATTTAGGCTTGTTAGTGTTCTTAACTCTTGGATTTTCTTTACGATTTTGTCACTTACATGGCTTATTGTCATTGTTTTGGTGGATATTATTCACGTGTAATTTTTTTTTCTTTCTAATCAGAAGAAGCAGTCTAATATAAATTTGTCCTAGAATTACATTTTTAGCTTACTTTAATTCTTATCTACTTTTCTTCTTTATTTTTGTTCTTTATAATCTCAGGTACTTATTAACTAATTGCTTCCTTCTATTTCAAAGAGACCATGTCTCTTTGAACTTATGAAGATGAAAGAAGGTTTTTATAAAAGGTTTTAAACCAAAATATTAATTACCACTTATCAAGTATTTACTATGCCACTCTATATGGCACTTGTAGTTATTAAAATCCAAGAAACTGTGAGGTATTCATTGTTATTCCTGCTTTCCAAAATTGTAAACTCAGCATAGACTTCTTAAATTACATGCTTAAGATGATACTGTTTAGTTAGTGTATAATATGATTGAGATTCTAACAGATTTATCTAATTTAAATATTGTGTCTCCATACATGTGTATGTTCATCGCAGCACTATTCACAACAGCAAAGACATGAAATCAGCCTAGATTCCCATCAGTGATGGACTGGGTAAAGAAAATGTGGTACATATACACCATGAAATACTATACAGCCATAAAAGATAATGAAATCATGTCCTTTGCAGCAACATGGATGGAGCTACAGGCCATTATCCTAAACAAATAATTGCAGGAACAGAAAACCAAATACTACATGTTCTGACTTATGATTGATTTTGATGAGTGCTTCATCAAAATCACTAACCATCTTCCATTCATGATTAGTGGGAGCTAAACATTGAGTATACATGGACATAAAGAGGTGAACAATAGACTCTGGGACCTACTTGAGGGTGGAGGGTGGAAGAAGGATGAGGATTGAAAAACTACCTATCAGATATTATGCTGATTACCTGGGTGCAAAATAATCTGTACACCAAACCCCTATGACATGCAATTTACCCATGTAACAAACTTGCACATGTACCCCTTGAAGCTAAAATAGAAGTTCGAAAGAAAACAACAACAAAACTATATTATACAATCATTTTCAAGTATTATTACAACTAAAAGTTTCCTAATTTTATCTCTGGTTAAATGCTAATATATGCAAATAAGTACAAATGTAAGAGCCATTTTAGATGTGTTGTTCTAATTTACAATATCTTCTACAATTCAGTCAATTTTTTTTGTATTTCCTTGCTAGTTTATTCTGACCAGCTTTTGAACCATGCTGAAAAGATATTTATTTATTAGGTAACTAGTGCTTTAATAAAGCAAAATTCTAATTAATCACTAGTTGTGTGTTCCAAAGTACATACTGTTTAAGACACTATAGTTCATAAAATAAGAAAAATTCTAATTATACAACTAGTTATATCATAAAAATCATATCATTATTTCATAGAACCAAACACAAGCAGAAGTCTACTAAAACTTCTAGTGTTAACAATGAAAGCTGGACAGTTGGTCATTTCAATAATTAAATTTCTTTCTTTTTATTATACTTTAAGTTTTAGGGTACATGTGCGCAACGTGCAGGTTTGTTACATATATATACATGTGCCATGTTGGTGTGCTGCACCCATTAGCTTGTCATTTAACATTAGGTATATTTCCTAATGCTATCCCTCCCCACTTCCCCCACCCCACAACAGGCCCCGGTGTGCAATGTTCCCCTTCCTGTGTGCATGTGTTCTCATTGTTCAATTCCCACCTATGAGTGAGAACATGAGGTGTTTGGTTTTTTGTCCTTGCGATAGTTTGCTGAGAATGATGGTTTCCAGCATCATCCATGTCCCTACAAAGGACATGAACTCATCCTTTTTTTACGGCTGCATAGTATTCCATGGTGTATGTGTGCCACATTTTCTTAATCCAGTCTATCATTGTTGGACATTTGGCTTGGTTCCAAGTCTTCGCTACTGTGAATAGTGCCGCAGCAAACATACGTGTACATGTGTCTTTATAGCAGCATGATTTATAATCCTTTGGGTATATACCCAGTAATGGGATGGCTGGGTCAAATGGTATTTCTAGTTCTAGATCTCTGAGGAATCGCTACACTGACTTCCACAAATGGTTGAACTAGTTTACAGTCCCACCAACAGTGTAAAAGTGTTCCTATTTCTCCACATCCTCTCCAGCACCTGTTGTTTCCTGACTTTTTAATGATCACCATTCCAACTGGTGTGAGATGGTATCTCATTGTGGTTTTGATTTGCATTTCTCTGATGGCCAGTGATGATGAGCATTTTTTCATGTGTCTTTTGGCTGCATAAATGTCCTCTTTTGAGAAGTGTCTGTTCATATCCTTCGCCCAATTGTTGATGGGGTTGTTTGTTTTTTTCTTGTAAATTTGTTTGAGTTCATTGTAGATTCTGGATATTAGCCCTTTGTCAGAAGAGTAGATTGCAAAAATTTTCTCCCATTCTGTAGGTTCCCTATTCACCCTGATGGTAGTTTCTTTTGCTGTGCAGAAGCTCTTTAATTTCATTAGATCCCATTTGTCAATTTTGTCTTTTGTTGCCATTGCTTTTGGTGTTTTAGACATGAAGTCCTTGCCCATGCCTATGTCCTGAATGGTATTGCCTAGGTTTTCTTCTAGGGTTTTTATGGTTCTAGTCTTTAATCCATCTTGAATTAATTTTTGTGGAAGGTGTAAGGAAGGGATCCAGTTTCAGCTTTCTACATATGGCTAGCCAGTTTTCCCAGCACCATTTATTAAATAAGGAAGCCTTCCCCATTTCATGTTTTTCTCAGGTTTGTCAAAGATGAGATAGTTGTAGATATGTGGCATTATTTCTGAGGGCTCTATTCTGTTCCATTGGTCTATATCTCTGTTTTGGTACCAGTACCATGCTGTTTTGGTTACTGTAGCCTTGTAGTAAAGTTTGAGGTCAGGTAGCATGATGCCTTCAACTTTGTTCTTTTGGCTTACAATTGACTTGGCGATGCGGGCTCTTTTTTGGTTCCATATGAACTTTAAAGTAGTTTTTTCCAATTCTGTGAAGAAAGTCATCGGTAGCTTGGTGGGGATGGCATTAAATCTATAAATTACCTTGGGCAGTATGGCCATTTTCATGATATTGATTCTTCCTACCCATGAGCATGGAATGTTCTTCCATTTGTTTGTATCCTCTTTTATCTCATTGAGCAGTGGTTTGCAGTTCTCCTTGAAGAATTCCTTCACATCCCTTGTAAGTTGGATTCCTAGGTATTTTATTCTCTTTGAAGCAATTGTGAATGGGAGTTCACTCATGATTTGGCTCTCTGTTTGTCTGTTATTGGTGTATAAGAATGCTTGTGATTTTTGTACATTGATTTTGTATCCTGAGACTTTGCTGAAGTTGCTTATCAGCTTAAGGAGATTTTGGGCTGAGACGATGGGGTTTTCTAGATATACAATCATGTCATCTGCAAACAGGGACAATTGGACTTCCTCTTTTTCTATCTGAATACCCTTTATTTCTTTCTCCTGCTTAATTGCCCTGGCCAGAACTTCCAACACTATGTTGAATAGGAGTGGTGAGAGAGGGCATCCCTGTCTTGTGCCAGTTTTCAAAGGGAATGCTTCCAGTTTTTGCCCATTCAGTATGATATTGGCTGTGGGTTTGTCATAGATAGCTCCTATTATTTTGAGATACGTCCCAACAATACCTAATTTATTGAGAGTTTTTAGCATGAAGGGCTGTTGAATTTTGTCAAGGCCTTTTGTGCATCTATTGAGATAATCATGTGATTTTTGTCATTGGTTCTGTTTATATGCTGGATTATGTTTATTGACATGTGTATGTTGAGCCAGCCTTGCATCCCAGGGATGAAGCCCACTTGATCATGGTGGATAAGCTTTTTCATGTGCTGCTGGATTAGGTGTGCCAGTATTTTATTGAGGATTTTTGCATCGATGTTCATCAGGGATATTGGTCTAAAATTCTCTGTTTTTTGTTGTGTCTCTGCCGGGCTTTGGTATCAGGATGATGCTGGCCTCATAAAATGAGTTAGGGAGGATTCCCTCTTTTTCTATTGATTGGAATAGTTTCAGAAGGAATGGTACCAGCTCCTCCTTGTGCCTCTTGTAGAATTCGGCTGTGAATCCATCTGGTCCTGGACTTTTTTTTGGTTGGCAAGCTATTAATTACTGTCTCAATTTCAGAGCCTGTTATTGGTCTATTCAGAGATTCAACTTCTTCCTGGG
Source organism: Homo sapiens (assembly GCF_000001405.40). Lineage (NCBI taxonomy): Eukaryota > Metazoa > Chordata > Mammalia > Primates > Hominidae > Homo > Homo sapiens. The sequence continues at coordinate 1,685,084 of NC_000003.12, read as the reverse complement.
TTAGTCTTGGGAAAGGGTATGTGTTGAGGAATTCATCCGTTTCTTCCAGATTTTCTAGTTTATTTGCGTAGAGGTGTTTATAGTATTCTCTGATGGTAGTTTGTATTTCTTTGGGATTGGTGTTGATATCCCCTTTATCATTTTTTATTGCATCTATTTGATTCTTCTCTCTTTTCTTCTTTATTAGTCTTGCTAGTGGTCTATCAATTTTGTTGATCTTTTCAAAAAACCAGCTCCTGGATTCATTGATTTTTAGGAGGGTTTTTTGTGTCTCTATTTCCTTCAGTTCTGCTCTGATCTTAGTTATTTCTTGCCTTCTGCTAGCTTTTGAATGTGTTTGCTCTTGCTTCTCTAGTTCTTTTAATTGTGATGTTAGGGTGTCAATTTTAGATCTTTCCTCCTTTCTCTTGTGGGCATTTAGTGCTATGAATTTCCCTCTACACACTGCTTTGAATATGTCCCAGAGATTCTGGTATGTTGTGTCTCTGTTCTCGTTGATTTCAAAGAACATCTTTATTTCTGTCTTCATTTCATTGTGTACCCAGTAGTCATCCAGGAGCAGGTTGTTCAGTTTCCATGTAGTTGAGCGGTTTGAGTTAGTTTCTTAACCCTGAGTTCTAGTTTGATTGCACTGTGGTCTGAGACTGTTACAATTTCTGATCTTTTACATTTGCTGAGGAATGCTTTACTTCCAACTATGTGGTCAATTTTGGAATAGGTGTGGTGTGGTGCTGAAAAGAATGTATATTCTGTTGATTTGGGGTGGAGAGTTCTGTAGATGTCTATCAGGTCCGCTTGCTGCAGAGCTGAGTTCAATTCCTGGATATCCTTGTTAACTTTCTGCCTCGTTGATCTGTCTGATGTTGACAGTGGGGTGTTAAAGTCTCCCATTATTATTGTGTGGGAGTCTAAGTCTCTTTGTAAGTCTCTGAGGACTTGCTTTATGAATCTGGGTGCTCCTGTATTAGGTGCATATATATTTAGGATAGTTAGCTCTTCTTGTTGAATTGATCCCTTTACCATTATGTAATGTCCTTCTTTGTCTCTTTTGATCTTTGTTGGTTTAAAGCCTGTTTTATCAGATACTAGGATTGCAACCCCTGTTTTTTTTTGTTTTCCATTTGCTTGGTAGATCTTCCTCCATCCCTTTATTTTGAGCCTATGTGTGTCCCTGCATGTGAGATGGGTCTCCTGAATACAGCACACTGATGGGTCTTGACTCTTTATCCAATTTGCCAGTCTGTGTCCTTTAATTGGAGCATTTAGCCCATTTACATCTAAGGTTAATATTGTTATGTGTGAATTTGATCCTGTCATTATGGTGCTAGCTGGTTATTTTGCTCATTAGTTGATGCAGTTTTTTCCTAGCCTCGATGGTCTTTACAGTTTGGCATGTTTTTGCAGTGGCTGGTACTGGTTGTTCCTTTCCATGTTTAGTGCTTCCTTCAGGAGCTCTTGTAGGGCAGGCCTGGTGGTGACAAAATCTCTCAGCATTTGCTTGTCTGTAAAGGATTTTATTTCTCCTTCACTTATGAAGCTTAGTTTGGCTGGATATGAAATTCTGGGTTGAAAATTCTTTTCTTTAAGAATGTTGAATATTGGCCTCCTCTCTCTTCTGGCTTGTAGAGTTTCTGCCGAGAGATCAGCTGTTAGTCTGTTGGGCTTTCCTTTGCGGGTAACCGGACCTTTCTCTGTGTCTGCCCTTAACATTTTTTCCTTCATTTCAACTTTGGTAAATCTGACAATTATGTGTCTTGGACTTGCTCTTCTTGAGGAGTATCTTTGTGGCGTTCTCTGTATTTCCTGAATTTGAATGTTGGCCTGCCTTGCTAGATTGGGGAAGTTCTCCTGGGTAATATCCTGCAGAGTGTTTTCCAACTTGGTTCCATTCTCCCCGTCACTTTCAGGTACACCAATCAGACATAAATTTGGTCTTTTCACATAGTCCCATATTTCTTGGAGGCTTTCTTCATTTCCTCTTATTCTTTTTCCTCTGAACTTCTCTTCATGCTTCATTTCATTCATTTGATCTTCCATCACTGATACCCTTTCTTCCAGTTGATCAAATGGGCTACTGAAGCTTGTGCATTCATCACGTAGTTCTTGTGCCTTGGTTTTCAGCTCCATCAGGTCCTTTAAGGACTTCTCTGCATTGGTTATTCTAGTTCGCCGTTCATCTGATCTTTTTTCAAGGTTTTTAACTTCTTTGCCATGGGTTCAAACTTCCTCCTTTAGCTTGGGGTAGTTTGATTGTCTGAAGCCTTCTTCTCTCAACTCGTCAAAGTCATTCTCTGTCCAGCTTTGTTCTGTTGCTGGTGAGGAGCTGCATTCCTTTGGAGGAGGAGAGGTGCTCTGATTTTTAGAGTTTCCAGTTTTTCTGCTCTGTTTTTTCCCCATCTTTGTGGTTTTATCTACCATTTCTCTTTGATGATGGTGACGTACAGATTGGGTTTTGGTGTGGATGTTCTTTCTGTTTGTCAGTTTTCCTTCTAACAGTCAGGACCCTCAGCTGCAGGTCTGTTGGAGTTTGCTAGAGGTCCACTCCAGACCCTGTTTGCCTGGTTATCAGCAGCGGAGGCTGCAGAACAGCAGATATTGGTGAACAGCAAATGTTGTTTCCTTATCGTTCCTCTGGAAGTTTTGTCTCAGAGGAGTACCCGGCCGTGTGAGGTGCCAGTCTCCCCCTACTGGGGGGTACCTCCCAGTTAGGCTACTCCGGAGTCAGGGACCCACTTGAGGAGGCAGTCTGTCCATTCTCAGATCTCAAACTCGGTGCTGGGAGAACCATTACTCTCTTCAAAGCTGTCAGACAGGGACATTTAAGTCTGCAGAGGTTTCTGCTGCCTTTTGTTCAGCTATGCCCTGCCTCCAGAGGTGCAGTCTACAGAGGCAGGTAGGCCTCCTTGAGCTGTGGTGGGCTCCACCAAGTTTGAGCTTCCTGGCCGCTTTGTTTATTTACTCAAGCCTCGGCAATGGCGGGTGCCCCTCCCCTAGCCTCTCTGCTGCCTTGCAGTTTGATCTCAGACTGCTGTGCTAGCAATGAGCGAGGCTCCGTGGATGTAGGACCGTCCGAGCCACGTGTGGGATATAATCTCCTGGTGTGCCGTTTGCTAAGACTGTCAGAAAAGGACAGTATTAGGGTGGGAGTGACCTGGTTTTCCAGGTGCTGTCTGTCACCCCTTTCCTTGGCTAGGAAAGGGAATTCTCTGCCCCCTTGCACTTCCCTGGTGAGGCAATGCCTCGCCATGTTTCAGCTCAGGCTCGGTGCACTGCACCCACTGTCCTGTACCCACTGTCCGACAATCCCCAGAGAGATGCACCTGGTACCTCAATTGGAAATGCAGAAATCATTCGTCTTCTGCGTCGCTCACTCTGGGAGCTGTAGACTGGAGCTGTTCCTGTTTGGCGTCCAATAATTAAATTTCAAATGAAACAAATAAAATTCTCCCTTTTTACTTGCAATGAAAGCTAATAAAAATGTGGAGTGTCTCAAAAACAATCTTCTGTTTTTAAACACATACTAAATTGTCTCTTGGAATTCTTTCTTGTGGGTTCTTAATTCAGATTTCTCTTTTAAAATATGGATTATTAGAATGCCCTTTCATTTTCCTTTCTGTTTATATGAAAATGTTATGTTAATTTTACTATTCTTGTTATTGTTGTTTTTTCACTGTCTAATGCAGAAAACTCTATCTATCAAAACTCAGTGTTTGCCAAATGATGAGTATGGATTTGCCTCACTCTTTCACAAATTCTGTTTGAAGCCCCTTCTCAGAGACTGTTGTCCATATCTTTTGGCCCAATTCTGTTCTGATTGATCTTCTCCTATACTGCTGTGGTTTGAATGTGTCCCCCAAAGTTCATTTGTTGGAAACTTAATCCCCAGTGCAACAGTGTTGAGGAGTGGGACATATAAGAGGTGACTGGGTCATGAGGGCTTTGCCCTCATGAGTGGATAAATGGCATTATCACAATAGTGGGGTCCTTACAAAAGGAGGAGTTCACCCCCCTTCCCTCTCTCTGTCTCACCCATCTGATGCCTTCTGCCACATTATGATGCAGCAAGAAGGCCCTCGCCAGGTATGGCCCCTTGACTTTGGACTTCCCAGCCTCCAGAACTGTGAAAACATAAATTTCTATTGTTTATAAATTACCCAGTCTCTGGTATTCTGTTATAGCAGCAGAAAATGACCTAAGATATATATCCTCTGCCTCACTCTCTATTGCTCTGTACAGATTAAGTTCCAGAATTCATGAATAGTGAGGCTATCTCCACTCTTGTGTACTTGGTTTTATTTGTTGGAATATCCTTTGCCTGATGCATTAAGCCTTAGCTGTTTGCCTTAATTGAAACATAGTTCTTCCAGGTATAGCAATCTTTAACCACATACAGAAAGAGAGGTTTTGGGTTTCCTCAAAAACAAGCACTCTTTCATCAAAATGGAATGTCTAGGTATTTTAGTAGATACAGATGTACTATTTTTTAATGGCTGTTGGTTGGCGGGAAGGAGGAGATAATGGATTAGCTTTCAATTTCAACAGTTCAGGTAAGGCAACACTATAATTTTGAATTACATCCAAAAACTCCAAAGAAATGAAAAAATCATATTATACAGTAATCATGTTTTCTAGGTGGTTTTAAATTTTCTCTTTTCATGTAGTATAATAAATAGTTCAGCCAAATGTATGGAAAATCTGAATGCATAATTGCTAACTAGATGCTATTTTAAACCCGAAGCTCTGAAGTAACAACTAATGATCATTTTTCTTTTCTTTTTTTTTTTTCCCTTTTTGTTTGTTTGAGAAAGTGTCTCACCCTGTGAGTGCAGTGGCACAATCATGGCTCACTGCAGCTTCAAGCTCTCAACTTCTGGGCTCAAGCAATCCTTTTACCTAACTGACCTGAATTAGCAGGGGCTACAGGTGTGTGCCTCCACACCCAGCTAATTTATTTTATTTTGTTGTAGAGATGGTATCTCACTATGTTTCCCAGGCTGGTCTTGAATCCCTGGGTTCAAGCCATTCTCTCATCTCAATGTCTCAATGTGCTGGGATTACAGGTGTGAACCACTGCACGGTCTTTTTTTTTCTAAGTCTGAAAACTCATTGAAGGTCTCTGAATGGTGGACTTTAGTAATTCACTTCAGCAACGAACCTTATATTTGAATAATGATATGGCTAAAAATTATGTATAACAGTATTATAAGAATTTGATAATATTACAGTATTATAATTTTATAATATAACAATATCATATTAATGTTATAACACTATAATGTTAAAACACACTTCTAAAACTCATGGCTTTGATCTATAAGTCCATATTTGCATTAGGAGATATACCTAATGTTAAATGATGAGTTAATGGGTGCAGCACACCAACATGGCACATGTATACATATGTAACTAACCTGCACATTGTGCACATGTACCCTAAAACTTAAAGTATAATAAAAAAAAAGCCATGACCAAGCTTTCTCTAGATCACTGTTGAAAAGAAACAATGCAAGTCATGCAAGCCCACCACATATGTAACTGTAAATTTTCTAGAAGACATATTTAAAAAGTTAAAAAGTGAAACAGCTAAAATTAATTTTCATAATGATTTTATGTAGCTCAAGGTATCAACAATTATTTTAACATGTAACCAATATAAAATTACTTTTAAAAGTAAAAAAACTGTTTCTGTTGTGATAGAGTGTTGTTACAACAAATATAAACCATTTTTTTTCAGGAGAAAATTAACTTTTCTTGCTACTGGAATGATGGAAAATTCTCCCATGAGCTTTCATAGAGAAGACCCTATGTGATGTAGTGAACATTGTTACGCATTATTCCTCATTACAAGCAAATGTCATACTATCAAACCTCATTCAGGTCTGCAAGAAACACACAGTAACACAATTTGAATTTGCTCCTTCGTGAGGATATGTTGTAAGAAAAGTGAATGCTGGGCAGCCGATCAGTTAGGTGTTCTAATTTTCAGATCTAAGCTTTGAAGAGGAGTTATGAGATTAAGATTTTAATCTCTGGCACAAATCTGGAGTGCACATTTTATGGTAATACAGAAGGGCTCATTCATAAATTTTGACCTTCAGTAACGAACGAGGAGAGAGCTAAACAGACCTACTTGATAATGGAATCAAGGGGTCCTAACAGTGTGCCCTAGGGCATGGCTAATATTGTTTTTTCCTGAAAATAGTTCTGAGTAATTTAGACATACAAATATATTTCTTTGTCATTATTTGGAATTATTAATAAAGTGACAAGCAAAATGACTGGGGGAAAAAGCTACCAACAACATCCCCCAAAACCTTACCATGAAATAAAAACCTTATAAATATTTTAAAATCTTTTTAAAGCCACCCAAGATAATATAGATATTTTTTCTAATTCTAAAATTTGAATACTACATTTACTAAAGTAATTATTTTTATTCTAGCTTTACTCAGCTCCTGTGTGATTTATGGTGCCCTTAATCTTTAGGAACAGGCCTGTACATAAAATACGCATTATTAATGTCTTTCTATCTCCTCCCCAAATTCGTATTGATTATGCCATATGTTGTGAAGAATCATTGATCACTTATCAGTTCTTTATGCAGAGTGATGAAGTCTAGTTCATAAATCTATGGCAGTAAATTTGTTAGACCAATTTTTTTTCACAGGGAGTTTCCAGCATTCAAGTTAATGAAGGACTTTATTGTGCCCATTTCCAAACACAATGCCACTTACTGACAGCCACGCATTGATTGGGTGTTTGTCCCTTTAAATCTTTGGATTGCCTGGAGTTGAATGATTTAGGCATCAGCAGAGTGCACTTTAATTAGCCTTGAGGAAATCACGGTGGGGATGAAATAAGTTGGCTTGTTATTTTTCTGTTTGCACTAACACCAAATAAGAGCATGTAATTGGATTTCTGAAAAGCATTGTCAGTCCTCTGGAGTATGCCTTATTTACAGTTACGATTGCCTTATCTAATATGAGTGTCACACCTCCTAAAAAAGGGCCTCTTTCAGAGTCTGAAAGGTGTTGCATCAGGAAGACTCTATTTAAATTGTGCCCCTGCTGTCTGGGCCTCCACTTGATGTACTTAAAAGGAGGCCTGCCACATTACTCGGTGTCACTGTGTGTCCGCAGCTGCGCTGCCTAGTGCTGGTATACCAATGTCTGTCCCACTCGGAGCTGCAGTAACAGAGAAAGGAAAATCAATCATGGGTAAAAGTTACTGGATTCTGTTTGCGAGAGTAAGCATTTTAGATGCTTCTCTATACTTCCTACAAGTCACAAGGGGATAGGAAAGAAATCTCTCTCATATCCTCTTGGGCACAATAGCTAGTACTGTTTTCTTTCACAGAATGTCAGTATCAACTGGAGAAGATTCAAGAGAATACGAGTGTGTGTGTGTGTGTGTGTATAATCACATAGTAAAAATATTTCAAGCACTTAGATAAAAAACCATTCAGATTAGGAAAGAGTCAATAATCACCTTCCCCTACCTTTTTGATCTTTCATTTCTAAGTTACAATCCTAAAATGAAGGTATGCTCTAAACTCAAAATTTGTTGGAACAAAAAATTTAGGGCTAATATTACTATGAAATAATTTCTCTCATGTCAAAAAGATGTCTTTCTTCTAAAGAAATTGTTTGAATTAAATGATGAAGGGGGATCATTGAGGAATAATAATTTCTGGTTACATAAAAATCAGGTTATTCCCAGTTATATAAAAGCCAGAAAGAAAAAGACAAGAAAGCTACAGATCAATATTGCTTAAGAATAAACATGCAAAAATATTTAACAAAATGTTAGAAAGTATAATCCGGTAATACATAAAGAAAATATTATAAAATGGCCAAGTGGGGTTTGCCCCAGGACTGCAAATTGAGTTTAACATTTGAAAATCAATCAGTGTAATTCACTATATTTACAGAGTAAAGACAAATGGTATAATCATCTCAATAGGAACAAGCAAAGTAAAGAATTTTGATAAAATTCAATATCCATTTATGATAGAAACTTTCAGTGAACTAGAGATAAAAGAAAACTTCCACAATGCAATAAAGGCTAACATATCACCACAGTTTAATGATGAAAGACTAAATTATTTTCCTTTTAAGTCTGGGAAAAAGACAAGGATGCCTTTTCCCACTGCTTTAATATACAACATTTTACTGGATGACTTAGTGGGTGCGAGGGGTTGGGGATGGGGTCCATAGGCAAGCAAGTTGGAAAGAAGATGTAAAACTTTATTAATAGACAGCATGATTGGTATGCAAAAAAGGAATCCATAATATGAAAAGCCATTAAAACTAATAAGTGAATTTAGAAACATTTCAGTATACATGGTCAAGATATAGAAACAATTGTATTTTTATATATAATTTATATATTTAGGAAACTAAATTTAAATAGCAATTGTCATTTTTTATAATTTATTTCTTAAAATATATTTTGTCTTTTCTTGTTTTTTGTTTTGTTTTGTTTTGTTTTTGAGATAGAGTCTCACTTTGTCATACAGGCTGGAGTGCAGTGGTGCAATCTCAGCTCACTGAAACCTCTGCCTCCTGGGCTCAGCCAATCCTCCTGAGTAGCTGGGACTACAGGAGCATGCCGCCATGCCTATTGTTTGTTTATTTTTTGTGGAGAGATGAGGTATCACTGTATTGCCCAGGCTGTGCTCAGGTGGTCTACCCACCTCGGACTCCCAAAGTGCTGGAATTACAGATGTGAGCCACCACTCCTAGCTAATGCCATTTTTGATAGCTCAAAAATTACAAAACACTTATTAGAGAAAATTTTAATATAATCTATAAGATCTATACACTTAAAAGTACAAAATGTTGTGAGAAATGAAAGGAAATCTTTTTTAAAAGAGAGACATAAACCATAACGCTATGTTGGAAGATTCAATATTATTAAGATATTCTCCAAAACGGGTCTATACCTTCAGTACAACTTCAGTCAATATTCTAACAGACTTTATATTTGGAAGAGAAATTGAGAAACTATTACGAAATTTGTCAAGGAATGCAAAGGATCTAGAGTGACCTCAATTTTTTTGAAAAAGAACAAAGTTAGAGGCCTTATGCTACGTGATTTCAAGATTTTCTGTTATGCTATGGTAATCAAGATCTAAGGTAGACAGACACATACATGGAAGGAACAGAATAGTCTGTCCCAAACTAGACCACACAGATATGTTCAATTGAGTTCCTAAAAAGTAATCATGGTATTTCAGTGGCAGGGGCATTGGTAGGGTGGGGTGCAGTGAAGAATAGATTTTTTAACAAATGCTTATGAGACAGCTGGGTGTTGATATGGAAAAATGAACTTCAACACTTACCTCAGGCAATGAACAAAGATGAATTTAAAATGGATTATAATCCTGAATGTAAAATCTAAAGCTACAGCTTCTAAAAGAAATTATAAGAGACAATCTTTGTGACTTTGGATTAGGCAGAGTTTTCTCAGAGGACACAAATTAGAAAAGATAAGTCGATGTGTTTCACATCCTCAAAATTAACAACATCTGTACTTTAAAAGACAGCATGTAGAAAATATAAAGCAAATCATATATACATCTGTGTGTACTGTGTGTATGTGTGCGTATCTCAAATATTTTATATTCACAATACATAAACAACCCTTACAGCTCAATAGAAAAATTACTGTCCCCACCACAATGGGCAAAAATTTGAAAAAATACTTCACAAAATAAAATATAGCCAATAAGTACATGAAACTCTGCTCAGTATCATGAATCATCCAGGAAATTATATGAAAACTAAAATGAAATAGGACCACATACTCGTGAGAATGACTACAATTAAAAAGGCCTACAGTACCAAGTGCTGGTGAGAATATGCAGTTCCTGGAGTATTCATACATTGCTGCTGAGAATGTATAACAGTAAAATTTATTTGAAAAACTGTTTGCCAGTTTTATTTTTATAAAAAGTTAAATATGTACCACTTGTCATATGAACCGGCAGTAACACTCCTTGGGGTTTCCTTAAGAGAAATGCAAACATGTACGCACAAAAGACGTATATATACACACACATATATATAGGATTCATAGATGCTTAGTTTTAATACCTTACAACTGGAAATAACCCACCAGTTCATAAACAAGTGAATGGATACAAATTATGATACTTACATAGAATGGAATACTGTTCATCAATAAAAAGAAAAAGAAATACTTGTATATGTTGCATACAACAACATAGGTGAATCTCAAAAACATGCTGAGCAGCAACAAAAAATCTAAACCCAAATGAATACAAGCCTATTACATATTCTGTTTACCAATGTGATAAGGAATGCATTGCTGATAGAGCAGCAGCATCAATGAGACGCTTTGGTAGATGTCCTCTCTAGGCATGGCTGACTGTAGGAGACACTATTACTGAACAGAATTATGTAGTCGCTAAGGGGCTTATAGAAATCCAAACTAGTAGTTATCTGGTGGAAGTAACATTAGTGCAAATTATCTTCACGAGTGGCTAGGTTAGAAAGGGTTGGAGTGACTACCAGGAGACCTGACCTATGAGGAGCTATAGAGATGGTTAACAAAATCTGGTGTCACTAGGGTGTTATGTTGTCTATGACACCCCACTGTCAACATTAGACAGATCAACGAGAGAGAAACTTAACAAGGATACCCAGGAATTGAACTCAGCTCTGCACTAATAGACATCTACAGAACTCTCCACCACAAATCAACAGAATATACATTTTTTTCAGCACCACACCACACCTATTCCAAAATTGACCACATAGTTGGAAGTAAAGCTCTCCTCAGCAAATGTAAAAGATCAGAACTTATAACGAACTATCTCTCAGACCCCAGTGCAATCAAACTAGAACTCAGGATTAAGAAACTCACTCAAAACCGCTCAACTACATGGAAACTGAACAACCTGCTCCTGAATGACTACTGGGTACATAACGTAACGAAGGCAGAAATAAAGATGTTCCTTGAAACCAATGAGAACAAAGACACAACATACCAGAATCTCTGGGACACATTCAAAGCAGTGTGTAGAGGGAAATTCATAGCACTAAATGCCCACAAGAGAAAGCAGGAAATATCCAAAACTGACACCCCAACATCACAATTAAAAGAACTAGAAAAACAAGAGCAAACACATTCAAAAGCTAGCAGAAGGCAAGAAATAACTAAAATCAGAGCAGAACTGAAGGAAATAGAGACACAAAAAACCCTTCAAAAAATTAATGAATCCAGGAGCTGGTTTTTTGAAAGGATCAACAAAATTGATAGACCGCTAGCAAGACTAATAAAGAAGAAAGAGAGAAGAATCAAATAGACGCAATAAAAAATGAAAAAGGGGATGTCACCACCGATCCCACAGAAATACAAACTACCATCAGAGAATACTACAAACACCTCTATTCAAATAAACTAGAAAATCTAGAAGAAATGGATAAATTCCTCGACACATACCCTTTCCCAAGACTAACCCAGGAAGAAGTTGAATCTCTGAATAGACCAATAACAGGCTCTGAATTTGTGGCAATAATCAATAGCTTACCAACCAAAAAGAGTCCAGGACCAGATGGATTCACAGCCGAATTCTACCAGAGGCATAAGGATGAACTGGTACCATTCCTTCTGAAACTATTCCAATCAACAGAAAAAGAGGGAATCTTCCCTAGCTCATTTTATGAGGTCAGCATCATCCTGATACCAAAGCCAGGCAGAGACACAACCAAAAAAGAGAATTTTAGACCAATGTCCTTGATGAACATTGATGCAAAAATCCTCAATAAAATACTGGCAAACCGAATCCAGCAGCACATCAAAAAGCTTATCCACCATGATCAAGTGGGCTTCATCCCTGGGATGCAAGGCTGGTTCAATATATGCAAATCAATAAATGTAATCCAGTATATAAACAGAACCAATGACAAAAATCACGATTATCTCAATAGATGCAGAAAAGGCCTTTGACAAAATTCAACAGCCCTTCATGCTAAAAACTTTCAATAAATTAGGTACTGTTGGGACGTATCTCAAAATAATAAGAGCTATCTATGACAAACCCACAGCCAATATCATACTGAATGGGCAAAAACTGGAAGCATTCCCTTTGAAAACTGGCACAAGACAGGGATGCCCTCTCTCACCACTCCTATTCAACATAGTGTTGGAAATTCTGGCCAGGGCAATTAGGCAGGAGAAGGAAATAAAGGGTATTCAATTAGGATAAGAGGAAGTCCAATTGTCCCTGTTTGCAGATGACATGATTGTATATCTAGAAAACCCCATCGTCTCAGCCCAAAATCTCCTTAAGCTGATAAGCAACTTCAGCAAAGTCTCAGGATACAAAATCAATGTACAAAAATCACAAGCATTCTTATACACCAATAACAGACAAACAGAGAGCCAAATCATGAGTGAACTCCCATTCACAATTGCTTCAAAGAGAATAAAATACCTAGGAATCCAGCTTACAAGGGATGTGAAGGACCTCTTCAAGGAGAACTGCAAACCACTGCTCAATGAGATAAAAGAGGATACAAACAAATGGAAGAACATTCCATGCTCATGGGTAGGAAGAATCAATATCATGAAAATGGCCATACTGCCCAAGGTAATTTATAGATTTAATGCCATCCCCACCAAGCTACCGATGACTTTCTTCACAGAATTGGAAAAAACTACTTTAAAGTTCATATGGAACCAAAAAAGAGCCCGCATCGCCAAGTCAATTCTAAGCCAAAAGAACAAAGCTGGAGGCATCACACTACCTGACTTCAAACTATACTACAAGGCTACAGTAACCAAAACGCATGGTACTGGTACCAAAACAGAGATCTAGATCAATGGAACAGAACAGAGCCCTCAGAAATAACGCCGCATATCTACAGCTATCTGATCTTTGAGAAAGCTGAGAAAAACAAGCAATGGGGAAAGGATTCCCTATTTAATAAATGGTGCTGGGAAAACTGGCTACCCATATGTAGAAAGCTGAAACTGGATCCCTTCCTTACACCTTATACAAAAATTAATTCAAGATGGATTAAAGACTTAAATGTTAGACCTAAAACCATAAAAACCCTAGAAGAAAACCTAGGCATTACCATTCAGGACATAGGCATGGGCAAGGACTTCATGTCTAAAACACCAAAAGCAATGGCAACAAAAGACAAAATTGACAAATGGGATCTAATTAAACTAAAGAGCTTCTGCACAGCAAAAGAAACTACCATCAGAGTGAACAGGCAACCTACAGAATGGGAGAAAATTTTCACAACCTACTCATCTGAGAAAGGGCTAATATCCAGAATCTACAATGAACTCAAACAAATTTACAAGAATAAAACAACCCCATCAAAAAGTGGGCGAAGGACATGAACAGACACTTCTCAAAAGAAGACATTTATGCAGCTAAAAAACACATGAAAAAATGCTCACCATCACTGGCCATCAGAGAAATGCAAATCAAAACCACAATGAGATACCATCTCACACCAGTTAGAATGGCAATCATTAAAAAGTCAGGAAACAAAAGGTGCTGAAGAGGATGTGGAGAAATAGGAACACTTTTACACTGTTGGTGGGACTGTAAACTAGTTCAACCCTTGTGGAAGTCAGTGTAGCGATTCCTCAGGGATCTAGAACTAGAAATACTATTTGACTCAGCCATCCCATTACTGGGTGTGTACCCAAAGGACTATAAATCATGCTGCTATAAAGACACATGCACACGTATGTTTATTGCGGCACTATTCACAATAGCAAAGACTTGGAACCAACCCAAATGTCCAACAATGATAGACTGGATTAAGAAAATGTGGCACATATACACTATGGAATACTATGTGGCCATAAAAAATGATGAGTTCATGTCCTTTGTAGGGACATGGATGAAATTGGAAATCATCATTCTCAGTAAACTATCGCAAGAACAAAAAACCAAACACCTCATGTTCTCACTCATAGGTGGGAATTGAACAATGAGAACACATGGACACAGGAAGGGGAACATCACACTCTGGGGACTGTTGTGGGGCGGGGGGAGGGGGAAGGGATAGCATTAGGAGATATACCTAATGCTAAATGACGAGTTAATGGGTGCAGCACACCAGCATGGCACATGTATATATATGTAACTAACCTGCACATTGTGCACATGTACCCTAAAACTTAAAGTGTAATAATAATAATAATAATAATAAAAAGAAAAGAAAAAAAAAAGAAGGATTGAGAATGTCTGCTGGCTTCTTCACACAAGTCCTCACATGGAAAAGCGCCTTAGGAGGGCTTACCATTTGCTCAATGCAAATGGACCAATTCCTTCATAGCAATGCAAACACAGCCATGGACTCATTTTACAGCAAAGTAGCTCTGGCAGTGGACACATAACCATGGGGTCCACAGATTCTATCACCCTGTGCCCATTAAGTAGAATACATGACATTAAGGGCCCAGAGGGGAGACAGAAGTGCTTTCTTCTCCACGAGCTTAGGTTCTGTGCTTCTATAGGTCTTGTTTCTTCTACAAGAGATAGGGTTAGAATCCTATTTAAGTACGAGGTTTGAGCTTTGTCTGCCATCTTTTCATTTAGGCTCCTCATACCAAGGAACTCTCAGGGCATCAAAGGAATCATTACAACGGTAGGGGTAGTTGACTGTGGCCATGAAAAGGAAATAGAGCTGTTATGACACGTGAGGGTAAGTGGTTTGCAGGGAAGAAGAAGTTTGACACTTAGGTACTTCTCTTGGTACTCTGCTGGCCAATTTTAATGGTAAATGGACCAGGAAAGCAGCCACAACCTGAGAACTCTGTGCTGACTGTGGTCTCAGACCCCTTGCTGATGAAGTTCCGTGTCACTCCATTAGCAAAGACACCTTGCACAGTAACAGAACCTGCGGAATGTGAGAAAAATCTAGAATGAGAAGTAGAGGTGAAAGATGATGAGTATCAGCTGCAGGCCTAAGACAAACTGCAGCGGTGAAAGCTCAGAGCAACAAGATGAACTAACTGCCTCGTGTTCTGTGGCTTAACCTAGTACAGGGAGATAATTTGTACAGGAGAAGAAATCAGTGTGTTTATTTTCTCTGTGTTGTTTTTCTTCTTGGAACATTAATGAAGAAGACTGCATTTTAGTCAAAGACCAACAGTTTGCTATTGACCAGACCCTTAAGATCAATTTTCTCTGCCAGGACTTTCTTGTGGGCCTGGACTATACGATCCAGTTTAAATTATAAGAACACTTGGCCCTATTTAAGCTTGGTTTTACTTCTACCAAGGTTGTTACATGAACTTAATGCTTTTCCTTATTCTACTACACAAAGGTCGCCACTGTGAGATTTATTTGATTTCGCAGTCTGGCTAATTAATTTTTTCATTCTGTGCACTCAGCATCAGCACTGTTTTTTGGAGCAGTGCAGCCAAAGCAATAGATTAATTTACATGGTACCATGCATCTAGAATAATCATTACCCCACAGAATTGTTATTGCTTGAATTCTAAGGAGAGAGAAGGTGTTTCCCTACTGAGATAAAAAGATGCTATTGCAGTTTTTCATTTAAAAAGAAAAGAAATGTGTCTAAACTTTTAACAGGAGAACTTTTGAAACTTTTAATTTAAATATACTAACTCTAATGCACTATTTTCCTGACTATTCTGGTTAAATAGCTTTGAGTTGCAAGGACTGAAAAAACCCCACCTAGTGATATTTTAAATAAAGGATACAGAGAAATCTAGAAATTTATGGAGGGCAACAAGTACAGAAAACATCATTGGGAAAAAACAAAAGACTGCCTGTTTTTATTTCCCAATTCTCAAAACTGCGCATATCTTTTTTCATGCCACACAACCTTTTCTTCTTTCTGTTTTATTTTTTATCTCTGTGCGAATTGCTTCTTACTCTCCCTCATCTATTTGGACATGGTCCATTATGGCTTACCATAAAAACACAGCCTAAGCCCCTCAATCTTCAGTGTTATTAGCTCAGCTACCCATTGTCCTTCAACACCCCAGATGAATCTGACCAGCTTAACTTAGATCAGGTGAAAACCACAGCCCAGTTGGCTGAAGGTAGTTAGGGAGGTGGGTCATAGATTTGAACAGGCTCTCTAAGTCCAGTCCTTCAACAGTGACATTTTGTGGACAGGCATGCCCAAAATATGTCTATTACTCTGATCCAAAATTTGTCAGATTTTCTGGGCTCCAGCTAGAAAAATAAAAATGCTTTTATTACTTAGTTTACAGCTGGTTTCAATGACAGTATTTAATTAAGTTTATAGTGCCAGTTGAGGCTCCATGGTGTAGAATGCATTTGGACTAAGGAGTAATATCCACTCCTCAGGCAGGTCAGGATAACAAAATCAGCTGGTGTACAATAAGTGGTTGAATGTTACAAAATGAAAGACAAGCTGTCACAATGGCAGCTTTTGGCTGCATGCAGACACACTAAGCTTTGATTTTTACCACAGATACACACACAACAGAAATAAGAAATTGTTTTAGCAGATTGGAATATTCCATTCTAAATAAATCTCTGTAGAATAAACATCAATTGACAAAGACAAATTTAGTATATGACTCAATTGGAAAGTTTGATTTTTCATTTTTTACTGACTAGCACATTTTTGGCACAATATATAACTATGGTATGAAAAGGTCTACAGAATTTTGTGTACTTTGAAGCTCTATAGGAAAATAAAATTATATATGTAATTGCCCCTCCATAGCTAAAGCAAGTCAACTCTTCCTGACACCAGAGATGGTGTCAGTAGTTGTGTGTATCATTGTAATGTTGGTCTTCCTGCTTTTATCAGTCTGTAGCATGATTGCTGCATTTGTACCAAATGTATAATAATTTATGACTACCAATTTTATCTTTCCTAATAAGTGCAAAATCTGTGAGATTGTTGAAGCTGCTAAGCCAAGCTTTATTATTACAATTAAAAGAGAAAACAAAACAAATTCAATGCCATCAAAATTCATTCATTTAAGAAATTTAACTTCATGAATATGCCTATGTCTATAGCTTTTATATGCCTTAATGGGCATAGGGACAACACATACCCACATATTTTTAGAACCTAAATGTTCATAGAGGAACTTCTATATGTGTAGAATGAATTTATATTTTATTATTCTATTTTACTTTTTTTTTTTTTGAGACACAGTCTTGCCCTTGTCATCCAAGCTGGAGTACAGTGGCACGATCTTGGCTCACTGCAACCTCTGCCTCATGGGTTCAAGCGATTCTTCTGCCTCAGCCTCCCGAGTTCCTGGGATTACAGGCACCTGCCACCATGTTCTGCTAATTTTTGAATTTTTGGTAGAGATGAGGTTTTACCATGTTGGCCAGACTGGTTTTGAACTCCTGACTTCAGGTGATCTGCCCACTTCAGCCTCCCAAGGTGCTGGGATTACAGGGGTGAGCCACTGCATCCAGCTGCATTCATATTTTAAAATGTACTATTTAATCTGAGAGAGATTTTTCCCTTCAACAAAATCGTGTCTTGTCACCATATTTAATTCTTCAATTTTCAGGATTTTATAAAAATTGCATTAAATACAGATGCAGGATCAAGTAGAAAAATAAAATTATTCTTATATTTATAGATAAAATATGCTTCAATTATCTAGCCATTTGTAGTAAAATCTACTTCTGCATAATATTTTCAAGATAATTTTCTAGCTTTATTTGTGGTATAAAGCAAACTAAATCAGTGTTTCACAATTAATAGAATGTAAGAAATATTACAGAAGTTTGTTGTATATGTAAATAATGTAGAGTATAAAGAAGATATTGAAAACCACTGGATAAAATAAAGCCACATGTTTATTGAAAATATATCTTCCCATACAAATATGCTTAACTCAAAACATACTAATTAATTCTATTACCACTTATTACTACTTCATTTCTTTAATAACAGCTTTATTGGGATATAATTCACATGCCATAGGATACACCTTTTTAACATGAACAATTTACTTTTCTTTGTATATTCACAGGGTTGCGCAACCATCACCACAATCTATTTGAGAACTTTTTTGGCCTTAAAGAAACAAAACAAAACAAATCAAAACCATACTCATTAGTAATCACTATATATTCTTCACACTTCCCAATCCCTGGCAACCATTCATCTACTTTCTATCTTTATAGATTTGCATATTCTGGATAGTTCATATAAATGGAATTGTAAAATATGTGACCTTTTGTGTCTGAATGTTATCACTTAGCATATTTTTTACATTCATCTATGTTGTATCAATAGAATGTATCAGTATTTGATTTCTTTTCATGGCTGCTATGGAATATGTGATCATACTTTTTTATCTACTTATCAATGGATGAACATTTGAGTTGTTTTCACTTTTTTAACCACTTAGAAAAATGTTGCATGAGCATTCACATGGAAGTTTTTGTGTGGACATAGCATTTTCAATTCTCTTACATACCTAGAAGTAGAGTTGCTAGGTCGTATGGTAACTCTATGTTTAACTTTCGATGAATGCCAAATTGCTTTTCAAATTGGTTTCACTCATTTACGTTTTCACCAGCAATGCATTAGGGTTCCAACATATTCGAATTCTTGCCAACCCTTTTTATTTTTCAAGGGGTATCTCATTGTTGTTTTGGCTTACATTTCCCTAATGACTCATGATGTTGCAAATCTTTTCATTTGCTTACTGTCCACATCTTTGAAGAAATGGCTGTTCAAACTATTTCCCTGCTTTACAGTTGGCTTGTCTTTTATTGTTGAGTTGGAAGAGTTCTTTACATATTCTGGATATGAGTCCTTTATCAGAGATATGATTTGCAAAATTTTCTCTCATTCTCTGGGTTTTCTTTTCATTTTATTAATGCTATTTTTTTCAGCACAAATAATTTAAAGTTTGATGGAGTATAATTTATTTTTTTCTTTTGTTGCTTGTGCTTTTATCGTCATAGGTAATAAACTAATTAATTGATCCAAGGTCTGTCAGATTTCTATTTTTTCTTCAAAGTGTTTTATTGTTTTAGCTCTTACATTTAGGTCTTTGTTCCATTTCAAGTTAATTTTACATACGGTAGGAGGTAGTGGTCCAACTTCATTCATTTACATTAGCTATGTAGTTGTCCCAGCACCACTTGCTGAGAAGACTATCCTGTTCCTAGTGAATGGAGGGTCTTAGTAATCTTGGTGAAAATCACTTGACCATGTATATGAAAGTTTATTTTTGGACTCTGAATCTCTCAGTTCTATTCCTTTGATCTATATGTCTATCGTATGCCAGTACCACATTGTCTTGATGAATATTTCTTTGTAGTAGGTTTTGAAACCAAGAAGTCTGACTCTTCTTGTTTTGTTCTTTTTCAAGATTGTTTTGGCTGTTCTGGCCTGTTGCAATTCATGTGAATTTAGAATTACTTTGTTAATTTCTATGGAGAAGTCAGCTGGGATTGTGATGGGAATTGCATTGAATCTGTAGAACTACTGTGGGAAATACTACTATCAGCTGTTTAGTCTTCTGATTCACGAACATGAAATGTTTTTCCAACTATTTAGATTTTTAATTTCTGTCAGCTATGTTTTATAGTTTTGAGAGCATAAGTTTGCACTTCTTTTGTTGAATTTCTAAGTGTTTTGTTCTTTTTTATACTATAAAAAAAGAATTGTTTTCTTAATTTTATTTTCAAATTGTTCATTGCTAGTATAGAATTACCATTGATTTTTATATATTGATCTTATATCTTGCAATCTTGTTGAAATCATTTATTTGTGTTCTCTCTCTCTTTTTCTGTCTGTGTGTGTGTATCCTAAGGATTTCCTATATTAAAAAGATCATGTTATCTGGGAATAGAAACAGTTTTACTAC
Organism: Homo sapiens; assembly: GCF_000001405.40. Taxonomy (NCBI): domain Eukaryota; kingdom Metazoa; phylum Chordata; class Mammalia; order Primates; family Hominidae; genus Homo; species Homo sapiens. The sequence goes on along the minus strand of NC_000003.12, from coordinate 1,665,227 downwards.
TTATTTTCCAATTTGATTGCTTTTTATTCTATTATTGCCTCATTGCAAGTGGTTAGAACTTCTAGTCCTATCTTTAAGAATGGTGAGAACACACATCTTTGCTTTGTTCCAAGTCTAAGGTGGGAAGACTTTCAGTCTTTCGCTAGTAAGCATGATGTCAGCTGGTGTTTGAGATGGCTTTTATCAGATTGAGGAGTTTTTCTTCTATTTCTACTTTGGTGAGTGCTGTTATCATAGGGGTATGGTCCATGGGATCACTTTGTATTATTTCTTTCCAATGTATATGAAATTACAATTATCTTCAAAAAATTGTCATAATAATTTATTATTTTAAATAATAGTTCCAAATGTCTCATCCCTATACATTTTTCTCTTATAGGTATTCCTATGGATTATACTTGATCATAAGAATGTTGCCATTCTCTTAAAAATCAACATGGGCTCTTTTAAAATATTTTTGACAGATTACCCCAGACCTATTATGAAAGTTTGGCTCAAGTATGCTTTATGTAGAAAATACTGATTATTAATTAAAAGCCATTTCCTCTTCTCATGTAGCTTAACTGTTTAGAGGGCTTGGATAATATAATTTCATTGAAGACCAAGCAGCAATCCAGTATTTTGCCTCTACCAAAATTTGTGACAATTCCCATGGTTATGAATGCATAAATCATCGTTTTCTTTCTGAAGTAATCCTGATTGCCTTCCCTACTTGCCAGGGAAAAAGTAACTGATATAGGCCCATTAAGCTCAGATTTCACAATCACTGGCTTTAAGCCTCCTTGTTCAAGAAATTTTCTGTGGTCTCCACCATCCTGATTTTCCTAGTGCTTTCATAGTGTTTAGTCACTTTGAAATGATGATGAGAACATACCCTCTTTCTGTGTGTTATGATCAGACAAGTAGGAGCAAATGTGCCTGGGCCCAAGAGTTTTATACCTATTTTAATTCATTCAACTGATCAATGTGTAGCCACCCAGACCCCAGAGCACTTAAACTTTCAGGGTAGCTAACTCACAGTAGGTCCCAGGACCACCTATTTGCTTTCTAACTGTGCCCCCAACAATATAGAAACCTTACCTCCTGAATGCCAGCAATGGAATCTGGAGAAATATGATGTAATCTGTCTTTTTATTTTTTGTAACTTTACTCTTGGTCTTTTTGGCATGGTTCTATCCTTATATATTAAAAACTTTGCAAAAAGATGTAGGGTACCTAATTATTTTATGTCTGAAGATATCTCTATTGTTTTGTTTCTATGCGAAACAACAGAAGTTACAGTACACAGACACCAAAATTATATCAATCATCATTTCGGTGAGGGACAAGGCAAAAGTAAAGCAATATAAGAACAGAGAAATTGCAAGTTCTCATTGCTAGTGTCTTTAAATAAGTAAGAAAAGTGTAGGCTGGATCAGTGCCTAATCTTGGTGGAAAAAAATGCATACAAGCCATGGCAGGATTTCTTTTATTAGAATCCTATAATGTAATTGAGTATGTATGCTTAGTAAGTAAACCCCATCCCCACATTAGTAATTTTAAGTAATCTTCCATATAACCTTAGGAAATAGAAATTATCTACATTTTATAATTAAAGAAACTGAGGTTACAGGTTATTATATAAATAACCCACAAACAGGTAGTAAATGGCACAGTGGGCATTTGAACCTAAGACTTTCTGATTTCAATGTGTTTTCTTTTTTGTTACATCTTACTGCCGGCCTATGAATCATTATCAAATAAAAAAAAAGTTGAATTAAAATAACTGAAAAGACAATGAGAAAATAATGAAAACATTGAGGTTAATTTAAAAAATATTGGCTCCCGCCTGTAATCCCAGCACTTTGGGAGGACGATGTGGGCGGATCACGAGGTCAGGAGATTGAGACCATCCTGGCTGACACGGTGAAACCTGGTCTCTACTGAAAATACAAAAAAAAAAAAAAAAAAATTAGCCAGGCGTGGTGGTGGGCCCCTGTAGTCCCAGCTACTCGGGAGGCTGAGGCAGGAGAATGGCGTGAACCCGGGAGGAGAACTTGGGGTGAGCCGAGATCGCGCCACCGCACTCCAGCCTGGGCGACAGAGCAAGACTCCGTCTCACCAAAAAAAAAAAAAAAAAAAAAAAAAAAAAAAAAAAAAAATTATCTCCATTTAAAAATCATTCCATTTGAATGTACTGTCAAATGGTTTACAAAAAGGTACAAAGATCTGAAATATGTAAGTCTAATGATGCATAGTTTATTTGCCATAAGGTAATTCATTAGGGAAAGGATTGTCTTTTAAAAAGTGGTGCTAGAATAATTGAAGAACAATATACACAAAATAAAATGAACCTCAGCCTTCACTCTTAACCGCATACCAAGTATAAATTGAAATGTGTCATAGACTTAAACATTAGATAAAATAACAAAATGTCTAGAAAATACAAAGGAAAAAAATCTCTGTGACCTTGGCTTATGCGAAGATTTCTTAGGACACAGAAGGGAAAAATCAAAGAGAGAATTTGATAAATTTGGCTACGTCGAATTGAAATATTTTGGGTGAATTCAATTACAGATGCCTTTATAGACCTGAATTTTTAAAAAATATTTACTGTAAATTTACTATGTTAGTTTGTAGGCAGTGGGTGTGCAAAGAAAACAATAAAATCTTCCTCCTCAAATAATTTGTAGTCCAATGATAACAATCTAGACAAACAATAGATACAAAATAATATAATCAGGGCCATAATAGGAAGATAATATAGGAGCTTGGAGAAACACCACTGATTTCGTCACGTGAAACATGTAGAAATGGAGCTAAATAGTTTTAAAAATTTAGTATATGATAAAGATGACGTTGTGCATACCAGTGATGAAAACAGGATTATTCAATAACAGTAAGATAGCTATCCCTTTTTAAGTTCTCACAGTGTGCAAGTTTTTAAATTTCGTTTTTAACTATTTTTTGAAGATTTGAAGAGAGAGTTCTGTTCTCCTTCCCCTTCCTTTTGAATAACTGGAATTACAGGTGCACAACATCACACCTGGCTAATTTATTTTTTAATGTAGAGACAAGGTCTCACTTTTGTTGACCAGGCTGATCTCAAACTTCTGGCTGTAAGCAGTCCTCCTGCCTCACCCTCCCAAAGTGTTGGGATTACAGGCCTGAGTCACCACGTCTGGCTAATAATTGTTTATTTTCCTTTTATGAAGTAACTTAAACCACAGAATTCTATGAGGAATGTATTGTTGATACTGTCCCCACTATCAATAAGGACATTTGAGCACAGAAATGTTAGGTAACTTGTCTAAGGTCTCACATGAAACCATAAACATACCTAAAAGAAAAAATGGGAAAAGGTTATAATATTGGAATGGAAAACAGTTTTCTTAGCCATGACAGAATCCCAGCAGCCATAAAAATGTTTGATAAAATTGGATATAAAAATTAAATATTTGCATCACAAAATGCTATGCAGAAAGCTGGCAGACAACTGATAAACTGGGAAAATATTTTTATGAGAAATTGCAAGCATTGGGAGTATTAATTTTCTTAATATATTAGTAATACCTACATATCAAATAGAAAATATTCAATAAAAATGGGTAAAGAGTATGAAACTCAAACTGAAAAAAGAATGTAAAACACCCTTAAATATAAACAGGGGCTAAACTTCACTCGTAATAAGAAAAATGAAAATTAAATAAGATACTACATTTTACTCAGCAAATCTATAATGCTGAAAAATTAATACACTGTATTTATTGGGGTGGGGCAACATGTACAATTATACATTGATAATGGGAGTTGACAATGATACCCCTATAGAAGGCAACTTGTAATATTTGTAAATATTTGTAATGCATGTGCACTATTCAGGTAATAAGACTTCTAAAATTAACTTTAAATTTATATTCAATTATGTATAATAGTATGCATGTGCAAAGATCTTCATAACATGCTGTTTATAATAGTGAAGTACAAAACTATTAAAAATAAGAAAAAAATTAGCCATAGGCGACTACAGAAGCAAAATTATCAACAGCCAGTTTAAAAATATGCTGTTCTGTTCTTTTGGCTTACGATTGTCTTGGCTATACGGGCTTTTTTTTTGGTTCAGTATGAAATTTAAAGTAGTTTTTTCTAATTCTGTGAAGAAAGTCAGTGATAGCTTGATGGGATAGCATTGAAGCTATAAATGACTTTGGGCAGTATGGCCATTTTCACGATATTGATTCTTCCTATCTATGAGCATGGAATGTGTTTCCTTTTGTTTATGTCCTCTCTTATTTCCTTGAGCAGTGGTTTGTAGTTCTCTGTGAAGAGGTCCTTCACATCCCTTGTGAGTTATATTCCTAGATATTTTATTCTCTTTGTAGCAATTGTGAATGGGAGTTCAATCATGATTTGGCTCTCTGTTTGTCTATTACTGGTGTATAAGAATGCTTGTGATTTTTGCACATTGATTTTGTACTCTGACACTTTGCTGAAGTTGCTTATCAGATTAAGGAGATTTTGGGCTGAGGTGATAAGGTTTTCTAAATATACATTCATGTCATCTGCAAACAGAGACAATTTGACTTCCTGCCTTCCTATTTGAATACCTTTTATTTCTTTCTCTTGCCTGATTGCCCTGGCCAGAACTTCCAATACTGTGTTGAATAGGAGTGGTGAGAGAGGGCATTCTTGTCTTGTCCCAGTTTTCAAAGGGAATGCTTCCAGCTTTTGCCCATTCAGTATGATATTGGCTGTGGGTTTGTCATAAATAGCTCTTATTATTTTGAGATACATTTCATCAATACCTAGTTTATTGAGAGTTTTTAGCATGAAGGGCTGTTGAATTTTGTCAAAGGTCTTTTCCGCATCTATTGAGATAATCATGAGGTTTTGTCCTTGGTTCTGTTTATGTGATGGATTATGTTTATTGATTTGCGTATGTTGAACCAGCTTTGCATCCCAGAGATGAAGCCCACTTGATCATGGTGGATAAGCTTTTTGATGTGCTGCTGGATTCTGTTTACCAGTATTTTATTGAGGATTTTCACATCAATGTTCATCAGGGATACTGGCCTGAAATTTTCTTTGTTTGTTGTGTCTCTGCCAGGTTTTGGTATCAGGATGATGCTGGCCTCATAAAATGAGTTAGAGAGGAGTCATTCTTTTTCTCTTGTTTGAAATAGCTTCAGAAAGAATGGTACCAGCTCCTCTTTGCACCTCTGGTAGAGTTTGGCTGTGAATCTGTCAGGTCCTGGGCTTTTATTTTTATTTTTTTTTGGTTGGTAGGCTACTAATTACTGCCTCAATTTCAGAACTTGTTATTGGTTTATTCAGGGATTAAACTTCTTCCTGGTTTAGTCTTGGGAGGGTGTATGTGTCCAGGAATTTATCTATTTATTCTAGATTTTCTAGTTCATTTGTGCAGAGGTTTATAGTATTCTCTGATGGTAGTTAGTATTTCTGTGGGATCAGTGCTGATATCCCCTATATCATTTTTTGTTGGGTCTATTTCATTCTTCTCTCTTTTCTTCTTTATTAGTCTAGCTAGTGGGCTCTTTTGTTAATCTTTTCAAAAAACCAGCTCCTGGATAAATTGATTTTTTGAAGTGTTTTTCGTGTCTCTACTTCCTTCAGTTTTGCCCTGATCTTAGTTATTTCTTGCCCCTGCTAGCTTTTGAATTTGTTTTCTCTTGCTTCTGTAGTTAATGGTGGTGTTTGGGTCTCGATTTTAGATTTTCCTGCTGTCTCCTGTGGGCATTCAGTATTATAAATTTCCCTGTAAACACTGCTTTAGCTGTGTCCCAGAGATTCTGTTACATTGTGTCTTTCTTCTCATTAGTTTCAAAGAAAATCCTTACTTCTGCCTTCTACCCAGTAGTCATTCAGGAGCAGGCTGTTCAGTTTCCATGCAGTTGTGCGGTTTTGAGTGAGTTTCTTAATCCTGAGTTCTAATTTGATTGCACTGTGGTCTGAGAGACTGTTATGATTTCCATTTTTCTGAATTTGCTGAGGAGTGTTCTACTTCTAATTACTTGGTCAGCTTTAGAATAAGTGCGATGTGGTGCTGAGAAGAATGTATATAATGTTGATTTGGGGTGGAGAGTTCTGTAGATGTCTATCAGATCTGCTTGGCTCAGAGCTGAGTTCAAGTCCTGAATATCCTTGTTAATTTTCTGTCTCATTGATCTGTCTAATATTGACAGTGGAGTGTTAAAGTTTCCCACTATTATTATTTGGGAGTCTAAGTCTCTTTGTAGGTCTCTTTTTTTTTCTTTTTTATTTATTTATTTATTTTTTATTATTATACTTTAAGTTTTAGGGTACATGTGCACATTGTGCAGGTTAGTTACATACTTATACATGTGCCATGCTGGTGTGCTGCGCCCACTAACTCGTCATCTAGCATTAGGTATATCTCCCAGTGCTATCCCTCCCCCCTCCCCTCACCCCACAACAGTCCCCAGAGTGTGATGTTCCCCTTTCTGTGTCCATGTGATCTCATTGTTCAATTCCCACCTATGAGTGAGAATATGCGGTGTTTGGTTTTTTGTTCTTGCGATAGTTTACTGAGAATGATGATTTCCAGTTTCATCCGTGTCCCTACTAAGGACATGAACTCATCATTTTTTATGGCTGCATAGTATTCCATGGTGTATATGTGCCACATTTTCTTAATCCAGTCTATCATTGTTGGACATTTGGGTTGGTTCCAAGTCTTTGCTATTGTGAATAATGCCGCAATAAACATACGTGTGCATGTGTCTTTATAGCAGCATGATTTATAGTCCTTTGGGTATATACCCAGTAATGGGATGGCTGGGTCAAATGGTATTTCTAGTTCTAGATCCCTGAGGAATCGCCACACTGACTTCCACAATGGTTGAACTAGTTTACAGTCCCACCAACAGTGTAAAAGTGTTCCTATTTCTCCACATCCTCTCCAGCACCTGTTGTTTCCTGACTTTTTAATGATTGCCATTCTAACTGGTGTGAGATGGTATCTCATTGTGGTTTTGATTTGCATTTCTCTGATGGCCAGTGATGGTGAGCATTTTTTCATGTGTTTTTTGGCTGCATAAATGTCTTCTTTTGAGAAGTGTCTGTTCATGTCCTTTGCCCACTTTTTGATGGGGTTGTTTGTTTTTTTCTTGTAAATTTGTTTGAGTTCATTGTAGATTCTGGATATTAGCCCTTTGTCAGATGAGTAGATTGCGAAAATTTTCTCCCATTCTGTAGGTTGCCTGTTCACTCTGATGGTAGTTTCTTTTGCTGTGCAGAAGCTCTTTAGTTTAATTAGATCCCATTTGTCAATTTTGGCTTTTGTTGCCATTGCTTTTGGTGTTTTAGACATGAAGTCCTTGCCCATGCCTGTGTCCTGAATGGTAATGCCTAGGTTTTCTTTTAGGGTTTTTATGGTTTTAGGTCTAACATTTAAGTCTTTAATCCATGTTGAATTGATTTTTGTATAAGGTGTAAGGAAGGGATCCAGTTTCAGCTTTCTACATATGGGTAGCCAGTTTTCCCAGCACCATTTATTAAATAGGGAATCCTTTCCCCATTGCTTGTTTTTGTCAGGTTTGTCAAAGATCAGATAGCTGTAGATATGCGGCGTTATTTCTGAGGGCTCTGTTCTGTGCCATTGATCTAGATCTCTGCTTTGGCACCAGTACCATGCTGTTTTGGTTACTGTAGCCTTGTAGTATAGTTTGAAGTCAGGTAGTGTGATGCCTCCAGCTTTGTTCTTTTGGCTTAGTATTGACTTGGCGATGAGGGCTCTTTTTTGGTTCCATATGAACTTTAAAGTAGTTTTTTCCAATTCTGTAAAGAAAGTCATTGGTAGCTTGATGGGGATGGCATTGAATCTGTAAATTACCTTGGGCAGTATGGCCATTTTCATGATATTGATTCTTCCTACCCATGAGCATGGAATGTTCTTCCATTTGTTTGTATCCTCTTTTATTTCCTTAAGCAGTGGTTTGTAGTTCTCCTTGAAGAGGTCCTTCACATCCCTTGTAAGTTGGATTCCTAGGTATTTTATTCTCTTTGAAGGAATTGTGAATGGGAGTTCACTCATGATTTGGCTGTCTGTTTGTCTGTTGTTGGTGTATAGGAATGCTTGTGATTTTTGCACATTGATTTTGTATCCTGAGACTTTGCTGAAGTTGCTTATCAGCTTAAGGAGATTTTGGGCTGAGACAATAGGGTTTTCTAGATATACAATCATGTCATCTGCAAACAGGGACAATTTGACTTCCTCTTCCTAACTGAATACCCTTTATTTCCTTCTCCTGCCTAATTGCCCTGGCCAGAACTTCCAACACTATGTTGAATAGGAGTGGTGAGAGAGGGCATCCCTGTCTTGTGCGAGTTTTCAAAGGGAATGCTTCGAGTTTTTGCGCATTCAGTATGATATTGGCTGTGGGTTTGTAAAAGAGCTCCTGAAGGAAGCGCTAAACATGGAAAGGAACAACCAGTACCAGCCGCTGCAAAATCATGCCAAAATGTAACGACCATCGAGACTAGGAAGAAACTGCATCAACTAACGAGCAAAATAACCAGCTAACATCATAATGACAGGATCAAATTCACACATAACACTATTAACTTTAAATGTAAATGGACTAAATGCTCCAATTAAAAGACACAGACTGGCAAATTGGATAAAGTGTCAAGACCCATCAGCGTGCTGTATTCAGGAAACCCGTCTCACGTGCGGAGACACACATAGGCTCAAAATAAAAGGATGGAGGAAGATCTACTGAGCCAATGGAAAACAAAAAAAGGCAGGGGTTGCAATCCTAGTCTCTGATAAAACAGACTTTAAACCAACAAAGATCAAAAGAGACAAAGAAGGCCATTACATAATGGTAAAGGGATCAATTCAACAAGAAGAGCTAACTATCCTAAATATATATGCACCCAATACATGAGCACTAAGATTCATAAAGCAAGTCCTGAGTGACCTACAAAGAGACTTAGACTCCCAGACATTAATAATGGGAGACTTTAACACCTCACTGTCAACATTAGACAGATCAACGAGACAGAAAGTCAACAAGGATACCCAGGAATTGAACTCAGCTCTGCACCAAGCGGACCTAATAGACATCTACAGAACTCTCCACCACAAATCAACAGAATATACATTTTTTTCAGCACCACACCACACCTATTCCAAAATTGACCACATAGTTGGAAGTAAAGCTCTCCTCAGCAAATGTAAAAGATCAGAACTTATAACAAACTATCTCTCAGACCGCAGTGCAATCAAACTAGAACTCAGGATTAAGAATCTCACTCTCAAAACCGCTCAACTACATGGAAACTGAACAACCTGCTCCTGAATGACTACTGGGTACATAACGAAATGAAGGCAGGAATAAAGATGTTCTTTGAAACCAACGAGAACAAAGACACAACATACCAGAATCTCTGGGATGCATTCAAAGCAGTGTGTAGAGGGAAATTTGTAGCACTAAATGCCCACAAGAGAAAGCAGGAAATATCCAAAACTGACACCCCAACATCACAATTAAAAGAACTAGAAAAACAAGAGCAAACACATTCAAAAGCTAGCAGAAGGCAAGAAATAACTAAAATCAGAGCAGAACTGAAGGAAATAGAGACACAAAAAACCCTTCAAAAAATAATGAATCCAGGAGCTGGTTTTTTGAAAAGATCAACAAAATTGATAGACCACTAGCAAGACTAATAAAGAAGAAAAGAGAGAAGAATCAAATAGATGCAATAAAAAATGATAAAGGGGATATCACCACTGATCCCACAGAAATACAAACTACCATCAGAGAATACTACAAACACCTCTATGCAAATAAACTAGAAAATCTAGAAGAAATGGATAAATTCCTTGACACTTACACTCTCCCAAGACTAAACCAGGAAGAATTTGAATCTCTGAATAGACCAATAACAGGCTCTGAATTTGTGGCAATAATCAATAGCTTACCAACCAAAAAGAGTCCAGGACCAGATGGATTCACAGCCGAATTCTACCAGAGGCACAAGGAGGAACTGGTACCATTCCTTCTGAAACTATTCCAATCAATAGAAAAAGAGGGAATCCTCCCTAACTCATTTTATGAGGCCAGCATCATTCTGATACCAAAGCCGGGCAGAGACACAACCAAAAAAGAGAATTTTAGACCAGTATCCTTGATGAACAGTGATGCAAAAATCCTCAATAAAATACTGGCAAACCAAATCCAGCAGCACATCAAAAAGCTTATCCACCATGATCAAGTGGGCTTCCTCCCTGGGATGCAATGCTGGTTCAATATATGCAAATCAATAAATGTAATGCAGCATATAAACAGAGCCAAAGACAAAAACCACATGATTATCTCAATAGATGCAGAAAAGGCCTTTGACAAAATTCAACAACCCTTCATGCTAAAAACTCTCAATAAATTAGGTATTGATGGGACATATTTCAAAATAATAAGAGCTGTCTTTGTAGGTCTCTAAGAACTTGCTTTCTGAATCTGGGTGCTCCTGCATTCGGTGCATATATATTTAGGATGGTTAGTTCTTCTTGTTGCATTGATCCCTTTACCATTATGTAATGCCCTTCTTTTGTCTTTCAAAGCTTAGTTTGGCTGGATATGAAGTTCTGGGTTGAAATTTTTTTTTTGAAGAATATGGTGTTCTCTGTATTTCCTGAATTTGAATGTTGGCCTGTTGCTGGGTTGGAGATGTCTTCTGGATAATATTCTGATGTGTGTTTTCCAACTTGGTTCCAATCTCCCTGTCACTTTCAGGTACACCAGTTAATCGTAGGTTTGGTCTTTTCACATAGTCCTATATTTATTGAAGGCTTTGTTCGTTCCTTTTCACTCTTTTTTCTATAATCTTGTCATCACACTTTATTTCATTACATTGATCTTCAATCTCTGATATCTTCCACTTGATCAATTTGGCTATTGATACTTGTGTATGCTTCACGAAGTTCTCGTGCTGTGTTTTTCAGTTCCATCAGGTCATTTATGTTCTTCTCTAAACTGCTTATTCTAGATAGCAATTCCTCTAACCTTTTTTTGATGTTCTTAGCTTCTTTGCATTGGGTTAGAACATGTTGCTTTTGCTTGGAGCAATTTGTTATTACCCACCTTCTGAAGCCTACTTTTGTCAATTTGTCAAACTCATGCTCCATCTAGTTTGTTCACTTGCTGGTGAGGAGTTGTGATACTTGGAGGAGAAGAGACATTCTGGGTTGACAGACATCTCATACAGGAGAGCTCCAGTTGGCATCTGGCAGGTGCCCCTCTGGGACGAAGGTTCCAGAGGAAGGGGCAGAAAGCAATCTTTGCTGTTCTTCAGCCTCTGCTGGTGATACCTAGGCAAATACGGTCTGGAGTGGACCTTCAACAAACTCCAGCAGACCTGCAGAAGAGGTGCATGACTGTTATAAGGAAAACTAACAAACAGAAAGCAATAGCATCAACATCAACAAAAAGGATGACCACACAAAAACTCCATCTGAAGGTCACCAACATCAAAGACCAGAGGTAGAGAAATCCACAAAGATGAGGAAAAACCAGCGGAAAAAGCCTGAAAATTCCAAAAACCAGAATGCCTCTTCTCCTCCAAAGGATCACAACTCCTCACCAGCAAGGGAACAAAACTGAATGGAGAATGAGTTTGATGAATTGACAGAAGTAGGCTTCAGAAGGTGGATAATAACAAACTCCTCCAAGCTAAAGGAGTATGTCCTAACCAAGTGCAAGGAAGCTAAGAACCTAGAAAAAAGGTTAGAGGAATTGCTAACTAGAATAACCAGTTTAGAGAAGAACATAAATGACCTGATGGAGCTGAAAAACACAGCACGAGAGCTTTGTGAAGCATACACAAGTATCAATAGCCAAATCGATCAAGTGGAAGAAAGGATATCAGAGATTAAAGATCAACTTAATGAAATAAAGCATGAAGACAAGATTAGGGAATAAAGAATGAAAAAGAAAGAACAAAGCCTTCAAGAAATATGGGATTATGTGAAAAGACCAAACCTATGATTGATTGGTGTACCTGAAAGTGATGGGGAGAATGGAACCAAGTTGGAAAACACACTTCAGTATATTATCCAGGAGAACATCCCCAGCCTAACAAGACAGGCCAACATTCAAATTCAGGAAATACAGAGAACACCAGTAAGATATTCCTCAACAAGAGCAACCCCAAGACACATATTTGTCAGATTCACCAAGGTTGAAATGAAGGAGAAAATGTTAAGTGCAGATAGAGAGAAAGATTGGGTTACCCACAAAGGGAATCCAATCAGACTAAGAGCAGATCTCTCTGCAGAAACCCTACAAGCCAGAAGACAGTGGGGGCCAATCTTCAACATTCTTAAAGAAAATAATTTTCAATCCAGAATTTCATATCCAGCCAAATTACACATCACAAGTGAAGGAGAAATAAAATCCTTTACAAACAAATGCTGAGGAATTTTGTCACCACCAGGCCTGCCTTACAAGAGCTCCTGAAGGACACACTAAATATGAAAGGAAAAACCAGTATCTGCCACTGCAAAAACATACCAAATCGTAAAGACCATTGACACTATGAAAAAACTGCATCAACTAATGGGCAAGGTAGCCAGCTAGCATCATAATGACAGGATCAAATTCACACATAACAATATTAACCTTAAATGTAAACGGGCTAAATGCCCCAATTAAAAGACACAGACTGGCAAATTGGATAAATATTCAAGACCCATCAGAGTGCTGTATTCAGGAGACCCATCTCACGTGCAAAGACACACATATGCTCAAAATAATAGGATAGAGGAATATTTATCAAGCAAATGTAAAACAAAATAAAAGCAGGGTTTGCATTCCTATTCTCCGATAAAAACAGACTTTAAACCAACATAGATCAAAAGAGACAAAGGAGGACATTACGTAATGGTAAAGGGATCGATGCAACAAGAAGAACTAACTATCCTAAATATATATGCACCCAATACAGGAGCCCCCAGGTTCAGAAAGCAAGTTCTTAGAGACCTACAAAGAGACTTAGACTCCCATACAATAACAGTGGGAGACTTTAGCACCCCACTGTCAGTATTAGACAGATCAATGAGACAGAAAATTAACAAGGATATTCAGGACTTGAACTCAGCTCTGGGCCAAGCAGATCTAATAGATACCTACAGAACTCTCCACCCCAAATCAACATAATGTACATTCTTCTCAGCACTTCATCACACATATTCTAAAATTGACCACATAACTGGAAGTAAAACACTCCTCAGCAAATGCAAAAGAATGGAAATCATAACAAACAGTCTTTCAGACCACAGTGCAATCAAGTTAGAACTCAGGACTAAGAAACTCACTCAAAACTGCACAACTACATGGAAATTGAAAACCTTTTCAATGACTACTGGATAAATAGCAAAATTAAGGCAGAAATAAAAATGCAACAGGATACAAAGTCTCAGGATACAAAATCAGTGTGCAAAAATCACAACCGTTCCTCTACACCAATAATAGACAAACAGAGAGCCAAATCATGAGTGAATTCTCATTCACAATAGCTACAAAGAGAATAACATACGTAGGAATACAACTTACAAGGGATGGGAAGGGCCTCTTCCAGGAGAACTACAAATCTCAGCTCAAAGAAATAAGAGTGGACACAAACAAATGGAAAAAATTCCATGCTTATGGATAGAAGAATCAATATTGTGAAAATGGCCATACTGCCCAAAGTAATTTGTAGAATCAATGCTATCCCCATCAAGCTACCATTGACTTTCTTCTCAGAATTAGAAAAAATGACTTAAATTTCATATGGAAACAAAAAAGAGCCCATATAGCCAAGACAATCCTAAGTGAAAAGAACAAAGCTGGAAGGATCATGCTTCCTGACTTCAAACTATACTACAGGGCTACAGTAACCAAAACAGTATGGTACTGGTACCATAACAGATATCGACCAATTGAACAGAACAGAGGCCTTAGAAATAATGCCACACATCTACAACCATCTGATCTTTGATAAACTTGACAAAAACAAGCAATGGGGAAAGGATTCTTTATTTAATAAATGGTGTTGGCAAAACTAGCTAGCCATATGCACAAAACTGAAACTGGACCCCTTCCTTACACCTCATAAAAAAATTAACTCAAGATAGATTACAGACTTAAATGTAAGACCTAAAACCATAAAAACCCTAGAAGAAAACCTAGGCAATACCATTCAGGACATAAGCATGTGCAAAGACTTCATGATTAAAACACCAAAAGCAATGGCAACAAAAGCCAGAATTGACAAATGGGATCTAATCAAACTAAAGAGCTTCTGCACAGTGAAAGAAACTGTCATTGGAGTGAACAGGCAACCTACAGAATGGGAGAACATTTTTTGCAATTTATGCATCTGACAATGGCTAATATCCAGAATCTACAAAGAACTCAAACAAATTTACAAGGAAAAAAACCCCATCAACAAGTGGGTGAAGAATATGAACAGACACGTCTCAAAAGAAGGCATTTATGCAGCCAACAAACTTATGAAAACAAGCTCATCATCACTGGCCATTAGAGAAATGCAAATCAAAACCACAATGAGATACCATCTCACACCAGTTAGAATGGCAATCATTAAAAAGTCAGGAAACAACAGATGGCTGGAGAGGAGGTGGAGAAATAGGAACGCTTTTACACTGTTGGTAGGAGTGTAAATTAGTTCAACCATTGTGGAAGACAGTGTGGCTATTCCTCAAGGATCTAGAACCAGAAATACCATTTGACCCAGCAGTCCCATTACTGTATATATACCCAATGGATTATAAATCATGCTACTATAAAGACACATGCACATGCATGTTTATTGCTGCACTGTTCAAAATAGCAAAGACTTGGAACCAATCCAAAGGCCCATCAATGATAGACTGGATAAAGAAAATGTGTCACATATAGAGCATGGAATACTATTCAGCCATAAAAAAGGATGAGTTCATGTCCTTTGCAGGGACATGGATGAAGCTGGAAACTGTCATTCTCAGCAAACTAACACAGGATCAAAAAACCTAACACCGTGTGTTCTCACTCATAAGTGGGAGTTGAACAATGAGAACACATGGGCACAAGGAGGAGAACATCACACACTGGGGCCTGTCAGGGGGTGGGAGGTTAGGGGAGGGATAGCATTAGGAGAAATACATAATGTAGATGGCAGGTTGATGGGTGCAGCATACCACCATCGCACGTGTATACCTATGTAATAAACCTGCATGTTCTGCACATATATCCCAGAACCTAAAATATAATAATAATTTTTAAAAATGTTGTTTTGTTACCCATGTAAGCAGAAAAAAAAGATCACCTTAAAGAGAAAACTTATGGTGGCCTCTCACTCCTCTACAACCTCATTCCACACTAGAAAAAAGAAAAAGTGTACCAAATTCTGACAAAAGAGCATTTTAACTATGAATATTATATCTGATTAAGATGTCAGTCAAATATAAAGACAGTAAACAGAAGCAAGGCACAGTGGCTCTCGTGTGTAATCCCAGCACTTTGGGAGGCTGAGGCAGGCTGATCACTTGAGGTCAGTAGTTCAAGGCCAGCCTTGCCAACATGGTGAAACCCCCGTTTTTACTAAAAATACAAAAAAAAAAAAAAAAATCAGCTGGGCATGGGGCACACATGTGTAATCCCAGCTACCTGGTAGGCTGAGGCAGGAGAATCGCTTGAACCCAGGAGGCGGGGTTGCAGTGAGCCGATCTCATGCCTTTGCACTCCAGCCTGGATGACAGAGTGAGACTCCGTCTTAAAAAAAAAAAAAAAAAAAAACCAGACAGTAGGCAGAAATTCTCCAATACAAAATATTCAGGAAACGTTGTAACAGTCTTTTTTGGAAAGAGTCAACCTGCTGGACAACAAATCCAATCAGTTAGGTGGTAAATCAAGACAAAAGCTCAACAATAAAGACACCATGATAAACTCGCTTGCAATTAGCATTTGGATTTATTTAAATATAGAAATAACAACAAATGACTCTGAGAAGGATTTTTATAGAACGCAATATAAAGGCTATAAACATGTATAATGTGAAATCAACATCATAATTTTAACACTAATAAAAAAAATGGAGTTAGAGTAAGGGAAGATGAGGAAAAGTATGATAGTATTAATATTTTTATCTCTTAGAGAGGCAAGAAATACATAAAAGGTATGGAAACAAAAATGAAGGAACTTCCCCACTTCTTACAATGGAATATTAAAGCAAGTATCTTACGATGTAAAGCATCATCAGTTCTTGGTAATAGTAATAAGAAAATTGTCAACTTTTTCTATGATTTTATAAATTTCTAAAAATTTATTTCTACAAAGTTTAAGATAATTAAAATTTTGTGCCTTAAACATGTAACTGACTTCCTTTTATCTAGGTCTAGCTCCAAATAGAGGCATTGGAATTTAAATCCGATAAAAACATTAGCATTCATCTATACATTTATTCTGGGAGTATTGTTGTGGAGGCATATGTAAATAAATAACAATATTTAGAAAGAGGCCATGTTTCTTATGAACTTGAATAAAAATTCTATTTATATTTACATATAATATATAAAATATATAAATATAATGTAATTATACATATACTACAAATATATAAAACATATGAAATTACATATATATAGGTCCCCCTTCTGCGCTCTTTGAAAATTATTCCAGGTCAGGCATGATGACTCATACCTGTAATCCTAGCACTTTGGGAGGCTGAAGTGGAAGGATTGCTTGAATCCGGGAGGTCAAGGTTGCAGTGAGCCATGATCATGCCACCACACTCCAGCCTGGGCAACAGAGCAATGCCCTGTTTCTAAATAAATAAATAAGTAAATTTTAAAAAAGATCATTCCAGCACACCTGAGGAAATTGCACTCAGAGAGGCATATTCAATTAAAGAATTTATTTACTCACAGGTCATAGGGACAGGAGGCAAAGCAAGCCATGCAGGGCCATATGGGAGCAGCTCCCAAGCAGAGGGATCAACCAAGCAGGTGGGGGTGCAGAGAGTGATGCCTGGAAGCCAAGTGCCTTCATTAGGGGTTAGGATGGAGGAGCAAAAAATATGAGGGGATTTCATTGCTGTGTTTGAAAGTCACTAGGTCACCTCACAGCCTGTTTGTGGGGATATTGTGGCATCAGGAAAATATAAAGTTCAAAAATTTTACAATACAATGAGTGTGTGTTGGGGGGGGCTGTAAATTAACACTTTTTAAATTTTTCAGTTCAATTTCTATTTTTGTTTCTCCTCCATCAACACTTAGTATAGTTTAATAGATAATGGATAAAAGCATAGACTTTGAAGTCAGAATGACAATGGTTCTAGTCCTAGTTTCTCTACAACTTTCTAAACCTGTTATCTTGGTCAGATTCTTTAAGCTGTGTAAGCATCAGTTACTGTGACTGTAAAATTGGGTTAATTATATTACCTACTTTCTAGTGCTAATGCAGGCATTAACCTCATATATAAATTGCCATACATAGTCCCTGAGATAGGGGAAATGCTGAGTGAGAGTTTGCATTTGCTGAGGTATCCAGCATGCTAGTATATTTACGATACAGGTTCTCAAAATGAAAAAGAGAAGGGAAAACACTCCTTGCCACTGAGATGTGTATTAACATTTTGGACAGAAGCTACATATAGTTTGACGAAGCTTCCATATTATTCTTGTCCTCTATCTGTCTCTTCCTTTGAGAAGACTGCTATAAATAATTTTTCACTATCGGGTGGGATGGAGTCTATAATTTTGTAATACTCTTGTAAAGTCCCTTAGAAGGAGACTTTTTGCTTATCTATCCATTATTCTTTCATCTACTTTGTGTCAGCATAGTAATAAATAAAATGTAAGTGGCAGAAAATAATATTTGTTCAAAAAAACCACTTCTTGCTATTGAATTGTATTTCAAAATTATTTTTCCTGAGTAAACTTTTTCTTCCAATTCATTCAACTCAAGTTCCTGAGACATTTCTAATTAGCTACCTGGGAAAGAGCCCTCTCCTACCCCAGTTTTTGGCCACTTTATTCATCTTCTGGATTTGTCTCAGTGAAGTATTTATTCAGTCTTTTCTGGCCTACACTTGGTATTTCAAGGGCTGGCATTTCCCTTGCTCGTCTCTGGACACTAATATTTAATCATATAATCATAGGAATTGGAGATGGATGAGACGTAACGGTTCATTCTCCATCTGCCTGCCAAACCCGGTGCTGTTTTCCCTGTCATTTGGTATTAAACTTTACAAAACTGGTGATTAATCCACTAACATAATTTTAAGTGCCATGTTTTTGCACATATATCAGGAATATCTGTCTAAAGTCTTACGTTCATTCCATGGCTTTTTCTTTTAGATGAGATCACCTCTAGTAATAATGTGTACTTGTTAGAAGATGTGTGTGTGTGTGTGTGTGTGTGTGTATGGGTGTACGTATGTCTATGCTATATATATATATGTATGTGTATACATATATATGTATGTGTATGCATATATATGTATGTGTATACATATATATGTATGTGTATACATACATACATATATATGTATAGCATAGACATACATACAACCATACACACACACACACACATCTTCTGTGTGTGTGTATGTGTGTATATATATATATATATATATATATATATATACACACACACACACAGAATTTCCAAATCACCAGTTATGATGGTCAGTTTAGTGCATGTTATTTCAATGTGCAAAACACAAATCAAGCACATAGCTGGGACAGAGATGAATAGGTTATTCGGTCAAAATTTCGAAGGGAGACACCTAGCAACAATGACATCACTCTATGATTTTGTGACTATAAAATACTTTCCTATCATTGAAAAGTACATTGCAAAATCTTGTGGTTTTCTAACTCCTCTAAAGGATAAGTTCTTCCATTTTAAATCTTTATCATATCCTGGAGAGACATGGTTCACATAGAAGTTTTATTATATTTATTATATTACATTACAGATGTGTAGTGGCAAACAGATTTAAAACATCAAAACCAATACAGATTACATTCATCTCCAGATGTCTTCCCACTTAAGGCTCATATACTCCTACCTCAAGCATGCATTGCACTCCTTATGCTTCAGTCACTAAGAAATATCACTGTAAAATATTTGGAAAATTACCTAAAATTATGGATTTATGAGACTATTTTCATAGTAGAATGTGATATGTATGTGACTCCTTCCTGTAGCTTTTATAATGTATTCATATAGGCAGAGAACATTCTAAATCAGAAAATATAAAGTGGTACACCCTAACCCACACCCAAAGCCTAACCCACACCCAGCTTAACCCACACCCAAAGTCATCTTCTGCTATAACCTTAGTCAAGGACTTCAGACTTGAGCTAAAATGCCTCCTTCTTCACCATGCAAATCGTTGCTGTTCTTATTTGAAAGTGAGCTGGTGATGAATCCATACTAATCTTATACTCTTCATCCCTTTGCTGTTCTTGTCACACACACACACACACACACACCCTCCACTTGACTGAAATTCACCTTGACTTTGTTTATTCTTCTGCATTATTTGTGCATAGGTCTTTCTTCTCCACTTGATTGTGAACTACTTTGAGGGCGGTGCTAGACCTCGTACCTAAGCATTCCCTGCATTTTGCACACTGCTTGTGCTTTATAAACTGTAAAGTAAAATGTATTAAGTAAAACAAAAATGCATTATTGGCTTTTTATGAATGGCAAGAAATTATGACAAGCAATTATGACAAGAGTTTCTTTAGTTCCTGCAGAAGGTGAGAGAAATGACTCATAGCTAGAAGTGATTACCATCTTTGGGAAGTTTTGTGCATCTCTAAGCTAAAGAAAGTAAAACTCAACAGCTGATTATACAAAAACGATGGTAGAGTTCAGTGTGAACTGACAAGTTCCTCCCTAGTTTTAAAAGATCATAATCTGCTCAAACCTCCACCCAGACATAGAATTTCCACACTTTCTTCAAGCTAATTTGCCACAGAAACACTCTTCTTTTGAGCAATACTGTTACAATTCTATCATAGAATTGGATAACATCTTGATTCCACCTCTAGCTGGCTGTAATTCCATAGGAGAGTCAGTTAACCTCTCTGTACCTCATTTCTTCATCTACAAAATAGGGGTAGCAATATTTAATAATAGTTACCTTAGGATTGCTGTAAACACAAGAAATGCAAGTTTTTTATCACAATATGTGGTACATAGTAACCACACAATAAATGATAGCTATAATTACTACAATAAACACAAGAAATTCCAAGGTTTGGAAAATATCACAATTCCTTTCAGATTACTTCTTCTTAGTCTCTAAATAATTGTTTTACAGGGGCATAATAATGAGATTAAAACAAAGCTCATCTGTATCACTTTTAGAAAGCAAGAATAAAAGCATTGCTTATTGAAGAACATAATCAACACTATCCCTTAAGAAGTGGTGAACAAAGTATTTAAAAATTATTTGAAGAATAAACAAAAACAGCAATCAGCAAGCAAGATTTGCCATCTCATTAACTGCTTTATTTGAGGAGATGACATCAGTGCATTTCAGGAGTCCCAGGAAAGATTACAGAGATTTATGCAATAAAGACATTCTACTAAGTAGTTATAATTTCAAAAAGTGAAAAAAATGGTAAGAATCCTTTAAATGTAGTTAAATAAAAGAAGGGGTGCATGGCATGCATGGTGTGCTATTCTGAATGCTTGGCCTCAAAATAATCAAATGGCGACAAATCCTTATAGTCAGGGTAAGTGCTATGTACCTAACATCATTTCTAAGAAACTGAAATATAGAATGTAACATATTCCTTAAAGCTATTACCTAAAATACTAGTGAAATCTAAGAGACATGTCTTTTTGGAAGAGTCAGTAATACATGCAAAAACACAAACTATCACTTATTCTGGATAATTATGAACAGTTTTAGAGAATAATAGATAATATTTCAACAAAGATGTGTGTTGATTATTTTAGATCAACAAAATCCACATATATGGCAGTAAGTAAAAAAAGTGCAAAGTCTTATCTTGGAATCATAAAAAATGTGTTAATTCTTTGAATCCTTTTTAGAAATCCTTCCCTCCACCCCACCAAAGTTATAACATACTTGTCATCAATACATACTGTATTTCTTCTGTAGGGACCAATGATACATTTGTTCTTAATTTGATATTAACTTCCTTATGCTTGATGACTTTCAAAAAGTACAATTCTCTTAGTATGTAAAACAAAATGATTTTTTCATCTTATACACTTGCCAGAATTTTCATTTTGTTAGGAAAAAAAATCACCTTTTTGCTTTTTGGTAATTCTAAACACTTGTTTCAGCTGTGTTCTTTCCCAATAAGCTGTTTTGAAAAAAAAAAAAATGTACTTACCAAGCATGGATAGATACATTGTTTATTCTAAAGGCTACTACAAGTTCTAGTGCCCAAAGAGCGTGTAATGAGTATTCATATATTCTAATCTGTAAATATATGGTTAAAAGTATAAGTGCATGTTAATAGACATTGGGGTTTTATTGAGCATAACCACAAATATTTCATTACAGTGTCACCAATCCTAATTGCTCACCAGCTGTGTAATCAATTAGTTAATTAATGCCATATAACTTTTTGCATTTATTTGAAAAACCCTTGCTGGGCCTCTTATGAGTCAACTGCTATTCCAGGTACTGAGGGGATATCAGTGATGAAATTAATATAAATCCTGCTGTCATGGAACCTATATTCTGGTCAGAAGAGAGAGTCATTGGATAGTAAGCAAATAGAAAGATAAAAATCTCAAAGGAACATGTGATGAGGAATATATTTCAGGCTAAATTGACAAGAGTGATAGAGAAAAGGGGTACATTACATGGCTGCATATTTACATAAATGTATATATACATACATTCTTATAAAAATCAGAGGTTCTGTATATATTGTTCTACAAACTTATTTGTTAATGTAATATGTTTGGAAAACTTTCCTTCCTGTTAAACTGCAGTATTATTTTCTGTTCGTTGTGTCACATCCATGCTTCCATGTTCACTTGGGTAAATGTGGGATATCTGTAATACTCCGTAAGAAATGAAATTGCAGTAAAAAGTTACGTATATTTAAAGTTTTAATATATTGCCAAAGGAGATCCCTTAGATAGAACTTTCCTCATATCTATGGTAAAATGTGATATTAAACTTTTAATTTTTGCCCATTTAGTAGGAAATATAATGGATGTGTCATCTCTGTTATTTTCATTTACATTTTTCTGCTTGTAGGGAAGTATTTTTTTCCCTTCCCTTCCCTTCCCTTCCCTTCCCTTCTCTCCCCTCCCCTCCCCTCCCCTCCCCTCTCTTCACTTCCCCTCTCATCCCTCCCTTCCCCTCCCTTCCCCTCCCCTCCCTTCCTTTCCTTTTCTTTTATTTTTTGACAGAATCTTACTCTGTCGCCCAGGCTGGAGTGCAGTGGCGTGATGTCGGCTCACTGCATCCTTCACCTCCTGGGTTCAAGGGATTCTCCTGCCTCAGCCTCCCGAGTAGCTGGGACTACAGGGGTGTGTCACCACGTCTGGCTAATTTTTTGTATTTTTAGTAGAGACAGGGTTTCACCGTGTTAGCCAGGATGGTCTCTGTCTCCTGACCTCGTGATCCACCCGCCTCGGCCTCCCAAAGTGCTGGGATTACAGGCGTGAGCCACCACGCCCGGCCAAAGTTAAATATCTTTTGTTTGTTTTTCTAACTCTTTGATTTGTCTGTTCAAATCTTTTACCCATTATTCTTTTGGATTTTTTGTAGTTTTGATTGATTTATATGTGCATAAATATATATACGCACACAAGATGAATATACATGACCTGTATTTAAACAGTAAACATATACATTACGTATAAACATACATTTGTATATGTACCCCCCACACACATAATCACCCAAAGATACTTATACAAAAATATGTATATATTTTTACAAATATTATTTCCTCTACTACTGTTGCCTTTAACATGGTTTAACGTCTTTTATGGTAGAATGATTTAAATATCACATAGTTAAACTTATTGATTCATTTCTTATGACATTTGTGTGATATTTTATATTTATACACATGTATTTATGTCTTCTTTGAGAAGACCTTTCCTATTTTAACATTAAATCACAACAATGTGTTCTTATATTTCTATATTTTCTTCTAATATATTCGTAACTTTGTTTCTTACATTTTGAAATTTATATATAATTGAATTTATTTTTGTAAATTATGGAAGGTAAGAATTTAATTTTCTTTCTTCTTATTGGTAGACAATTTATCCAGCACTGTTTGTTGCTAGTGCATCCTTTTCTCAACAATTCAAAATTCTACTCTTCCATGCACTAAATTCCCATGGGTTTGTTGTTGAACCAGGATCTCTTTTTCTATTTTTATACCAATATTACATTTTCTTAATTATTATATTTTTATAAGTTTTAAAATATAGTAGGCAAATCTCTCTCTTCCTTCCCCATTTGTCTTATACAAACTTCTCTTGGCATGTTTCCCCTTCTAAATGAAATTTATAAGAAGCATTTTGAGTTTCATGAATAATATTAATAGAATTTTTTACTACATTGTGGTAGATTTACAGATTAATTTGGGGGAGTATTCTTAACTTTACAATATTGAGCCATCCTATTCTGATTACGGCTGAGTTCACATTTTATTCAAATCTTCTTTTATGTCCTTCTGTAAAATTTTATAGTTTTTTTCCTATAGGCTTTATACATATTTTTATTTGGGTCATCTTTATGCATTTTATAGTTTTGTGGCTACTGTGAAGCAGATCTTATCATCTATTATATGTTCTATCATTGCTAGCATGCAATAAAGCATAGAAAATTTCATCTTTGCTGTTTTCTAAAAGTAATGGGATTTTCTTTATCCTTTCCAACAAATAAAGTATACAATTTATTTCTTATTACTTGTTTCCAATATTTGTACAATTTTTTATTTCTTGACTTGGTGAATTGATTAGGGGCTGTATACAATGCTTATTAACAATGTGATAGTAAGTACTTTTTTCTCGTTACTGATTTTAAAGAGAGTATTTCCAATGTTTACTCAATGAGATGCTTGCTCTATAGTTTTCTGATAGCTATCAAGGAAGTTCCATTCTATTTCTAGTATGGTAAAAGTTTTACTTCTTAATTTTTAAAATCAGGATTTGGTGATACATTTTATAAAACAGCTTTTGAATATAATCTTATTTTTTTCTCCCATGTAGGTATTTAATGTAGTAAATTCACTTGGTAGATTTTCTAGTGCTGAACAAACCCTGCATTTCTTGAACAGATCACACTTAGTGATGATATATTATTATTTTCTGGCTCTGTAGGAATTTATTTGCTAATATTTTAATTAGAATACATAACGTTTGTGTTCATTAGTGAGATTGGCCTATACATTTGTTTATTCTGCTGTCTTTCCTCTGTTTTGTCTACAAGTGGCTTTTTTCCTTTTTCCATTTCTGTAAAATGAACTTGGAGGATTATGTATTCATGTATGGTCTAAAAAGTTTATATAATGTGGGAATTTTGTTTAACAACTGTTTAGCATATTGTCAATTTAGATATGATGCAATTTTCAGAGGTAGATGCTACTATGTTTCTTAATATTTTAAATTCACTATTGATCAATTTATCTTACCTATGTGTTTTTAAGCCTTTTAAAACAACAAATAGCCTCAATCATTCATGTCATCTAAATTTATAGACTGCGTCATAAATAATACGTCATGTTGTCTTTGTCATAGATTGTATTTCATTGTCAGAGTTTTAAATTGCTCCTATATTTAAATATGCTCACTTTTTCATTCATTATAATTTTTTTGCAACTTGTTTCTTTTTGTCTTGAATAAGACTTGCCAAATTTTGATCATTCTATAAACCATTTTAAAGAACAAGCCTTTGGTATTACCCTGTTTCTGCACTGTCTTTACCTTGAACTAGACAAGACTGCCTTTTAAAAAAAACTCTATGGGACTCTAAAGATTATATTCTCAGACAATTTTCATTTTTGTGTGTGTGTGGGGAGGTATAGAGGAAGAAAGTTTTCACTTTCAAAAGCTCTATGATTTTGCCTTTCTGCTTTCAGGTGGGTCATCTTCAGTCTGAGCCCATCTCTTGCTTTTAGATCTTTACCCAACACTCCTGTAAGGAGCCACCACACCCCAATGGTGTGACTTTTCTTACTATTTTATTCTAATTCTTCAGCCTCAGTGGATAAATCATGGGTCTCCAAAGACAAGTGATAATTTAACCTAATATTTTGCAGCCATTCACAACAGTCCTTAAAGTATCAGCTTTAAATGATGAATCTTTAATAACCTTGACACATAATTGTATATGATTTTCATTGCAAAATTCCATTCTTTATGTCACATTTTGTAAGTAAAGCATTTGTTAGCTTCCATTATCATTAAGCTGGGCTCCATCTCATGCTCTTTGTAGTTCTCTTACTCTCCAGTCCTCCATCTATTGCCTTTATCCTGAAGCTGGTAGTGATATGGCAGCATCCGTTCAAAGTGCCACATAGAGTTGTGAGCATCATGATTGGCCTAGACCAATCCTGACTTTGTTCCAAAGGGGTGGTCAACTTCTGAAACATAGTGGTGAGGCTGGGAGGTGAGGTTGTGTATTAGTCTGTTTTCATACTGCTATGAAGAAATGCCCGAGACTGGGTAATTTATAAAGAAAAAGAGATTTAATGGACTCACAGTTCCACATGGCTGGGGCAGCCTCTTGGCAGAAGGTGAAGGAGGGGCAAAGGCACATCTTAAATAATGGCAGGCAAGAGAACATGTGCAGGGGAATTGCCTTTTATAAAACCACCAGATCTTGTGAGATGTATTCACGATCACAAGAACAGCGTGGGAAAAACTTACCCCATGATTCAATTACCTCCCACCAGGTCTCTCCCACAACACGTGGGGATTATGGGAGCTACAATTCAAGATGAGATTTGAGTGGGGACACAGCCAAACCGTATCAGGGTGCAACTACTGGCAAGGGTGTGGGAAGGAAGAGTTTGGATAAACAGCTGCGTATCTGCTCTTGCCGCCTATTGTATCCCTTACAGCTGCGTATCTGCTCTTGCCGTCTATTGTATCCCTTACAGCTGCAGTATCTGCTCTTGCCGTCTATTGTATCCCTTACAGCTGCGTATCTGCTCTTGCCGCCTATTGTATCCCTTACAGCTGCGTATCTGCTCTTGCCGCCTATTGTATCCCTTACAGCTGCGTATCTGCTCTTGCCGCCTATTGTATCCCTTACAGCTGCGTATCTGCTCTTGCCGCCTATTGTATCCCTTACAGCTGCGTATCTGCTCTTGCCGCCTATTGTATCCCTTACAGCTGCAGTATCTGCTCTTGCCGTCTATTGTATCCCTTACAGCTGCATATCTGCTCTTGCCGTCTATTGTATCCCTTACAGCTGCGTATCTGCTCTTGCCGTCTATTGTATCCCTTACAGCTGCGTATCTGCTCTTGCCGTCTATTGTATCCCTTACAGCTGCGTATCTGCTCTTGCCGTCTATTGTATCCCTTACAGCTGCAGTATCTGCTCTTGCCGCCTATTGTATCCCTTACAGCTGCGTATCTGCTCTTGCCGTCTATTGTATCCCTTACAGCTGCGTATCTGCTCTTGCCGTCTATTGTATCCCTTACAGCTGCGTATCTGCTCTTGCCGTCTATTGTATCCCTTACAGCTGCGTATCTGCTCTTGCCGCCTATTGTATCCCTTACAGCTGCAGTATCTGCTCTTGCCGCCTATTGTATCCCTTACAGCTGCGTATCTGCTCTTGCCGTCTATTGTATCCCTTACAGCTGCAGTATCTGCTCTTGCCGCCTATCGTATCCCTTACAGCTGCGTATCTGCTCTTGCCGTCTATTGTATCCCTTACAGCTGCAGTATCTGCTCTTGCCGTCTATTGTATCCCTTAGTAAAATTAAATGAAAACTCATGAGATTTGAAAGGGAGCTTTATTGTTACCTCTAACCAGGGGGATAACATTATTTACTAATATTTTAGATTACTGATTCAGTCTTTCTTCTATCATTATCTTTGTTTAATAACGAAGTTCTTAAAAATTGTGAGCTCTTTCTCTTATAATGTCTTTATTTTCTTTACATTGCCTCTTTTATGTGACACTGTAGAGTTATGATTTTTATACTATTAGTAACTTTCTATAGTTCAAAGCAGCTATTCACTTACAATAAACAGTCACAAAGCATATTATAAATTCTTTATGTCCTGCGTGTTGTTGATAACATCAAAGAACAAATATTCTGTTTTTTACTTGCCAATTCTTAAGTGATATTATTGTCCATTTCTCATGAATCTGCTTAATTCTTGACATTATAAGAAGAGTTGCCGATCGGGTTCTCAAGTTAATCAAGGAAGAATTAAGTTCACTGAAGGGTCTATTGTTCACTTAATGCCAAACATTTTGTTAGCTAGTGTATTTAGGCTAAGACATAATCAATTATATGGATGTTTTTATTACCAGAAAGGGGTCTGATCCAGACTTCAAAAGAGGATTCTTGGGCCTTGTGCAAGAAAGAATTTGGGATGAGTTCATATTGTAAAGTGAAAGCAAGTTTATTAAGAAAGTAAAGAAACAAAAGGATGGCTACTCCATAGGCAGAGCAGTGGCATGGACTGCCAACTGAGTATACTTATGGTTATTTCTTGATTATATGCTAAATAAGGGGTAAATGAATAAACGAAGTATTCATGAGTTTTCTAAGAAAGTGATGGGCAGTTCCTGGAACTGAGGTTTCCTCCCCATCTTACAGCATACAGAGTAACTTCCGGGCATTGACATGGTATTTGTAAACTGTTATGGGGTTGGTAGGAGTGTTTTTTAGCATGCTAATGTATTATAATTGGTATATAATAAGCAGTGAGGATGACCAGAGGTTACTCTCATTGCCATCTTGGTTTTAGTGGGATTTGGCCAGCTTTTATGTATTTATTTTTTTGAGATGTGATCTCCCTCTGTCTGCTTCCTGGGTTCAAGCGATTTTCCTCCTCAGCATCCCAAGTAGCTGGGACTACAGGTGCAAGCTGCCACCACACTGGGCTAATTTTATATATATATATATATATATGTTTGGATTTTTAGTAGAGACGGGGTTTCACCATGTTGGCCAGGCTGGTCTCGAATGTCTGACCTCAAATGATCTGCTGACCTGGGCCTCCAGAGTGCTGGGATTATAGGCATGAGCCACCATGCCCAGCCTTGACTGGCTTCTTTACTGCAACCTATTTTATCAGCAAGGTCTTTATGACCTGTATCTTGCACTGACCTCCTATTTCATCCTATGACTTAGAATGCCCATCCTCCTGGGAATACAACTCAGTAGGTCTCAGCCTTATTTTATCCAACCCCTATTCAAGAGAGAGTCACTCTAGTTCAAATACCTCTGACATTTTGACTGCAAAATAATTTAAGAAACCAGATTTAGGAAAGTATTCCTCTAGCCATTTTCTGCCTACAGATTCTGTATTGCTCAAACCCTTAGACTAAGTGATTCAGAAGCACGGCCTCTGTTTCAAAATGTCCTTACCTGGCTCAGAAAGCTTTCTGCCTAGATTAGTTAAGCTTATTGTCTTATCATTTTTTTCAGTTCCATTGGATTTCCTGGTTTTTGTCTGTGATCTCAGTATTGAGCTTATTATTATACTTTGATTTTCATTTTTATGGCTCCTGCTGCCCACCTCTTGTGACTTTTGAAATGTTTGCTCAAATTAGGTACTAGAATGCACTCTCCAGAAACCTGTTCATTTTCTTATCCCGGCGCACCTCTTGTTCCTAGCCTCACAACACGGGATAGCTTGTGCATTGGCTTCAGGTCACTCTTCTCAGGCCCAGACTTGTTCTATACCTATCCTGCATTTCTCCAACCCCAGGAGTACCTCTGTTCTATAGGTCGTCTGCATTTCTATAACTGACTGCATTTCATTGGACTGAATTGATTGAATTCACTGAATGGATCTGATGATTTAGAGTAGTGGTTCTCAATTTTGGCTATAAGTTAGAATTACCGGGGGAACTTGAAAAAGTTTTAAGAAGAATAAATATATCAGTATCTCAGCCATGATCATTTTTTAAAGTTCTCAAATGATGAAATGTGTGACCTCTGTTGAGAACAATTGCTTCCAAATTAAACATGAAACAGGCAGAGTTGGAGCACAGAGTCCCTGTTAAAGGGATAGGAATTGCAATCGTATTGTATCCTCTTCAACTTTTCTTCCACGGTCTTTTTTCCTCTTTTTCCACTCCCCAGATCACTCATTGATAATGTTTATAGAAGTCATGTCAAAAGCATGTAATGAGTGGCAGTAAATAGGGAAAGGAAGAAGACAGGGTCCGTGTTTTCACCCCCTCCTCCCTCATCTGAAGCTTGGACTCTACTAGCCTGTCAGCTATAAAAGGCAAGCTCTTTAACTACAATGTCCTGTATGAATAATATCGAGGAAGGAAATTTTAAATCTACCACTGAATATGAAAGAGCATCAGTGGAGAGAAATAATTTATGAGTGAGGCACCAAGGGATACATACTATAATTTATTTTTATATCGTGATCTTTGTTCGGACCACTGCAAACTCCTCTTCAGAAAGAGCGCGTCAATTATGAGCAAGAAAGAAAAGGGAGACTTTAATACTAGAATATATATCTTTCATACTTACTATATGCTTATGCATACACACTGATAATAGATATTTTGTTGGTTCAAATCATTACAAGCTGTGAACCATGAAGAGAAATGAGCAATAAATAAAGTTCTCTGCTTCTTTTAATAAAATGTCCCCATGTCACAGCCCAGGGAATGGCTTGTATTCACAATGAGTTCAAATGTGCTTTACCCAGTTTTTGAAATGTAAATACCATGTAACTTCTTTACATTAATTTTTTAGACTACCTTTTAAAGTGCTTTACATATCCATGATCGGAAAGTTTGGATGGGGATTATACACGCAAAGTGAAGCTGCTGTTGATATATAATTAAATCGAAACTCCAGATATTTATGGAATAGGCTGTTTAGTGTATATTAATAATGGTGAACTTTTATTGAGTGATTTCTATTTTTAGACACATCTCTGAGTATTTTAGACATAATAATGTACTCCAAAAGTAACCCCATAATACCAGCTCTAGAAGTGAGGCAGCTGAACAGGGAGAGGTTAAGTGACATACACAGTCATACAGCTCCTAAGTTCTGCTACCCAGATTTTGACCCAGGCAATCAGAGCTCCAGAGCCCTTACTCTTATCTGTTGTGGTATACCGCCCTAGATTTAATGCTTCCATAAAAGTAATTATTAGAATTATTTGCACAGAATTATTATTTCACTAGTTTCTAACTCAAAGTCTCTATAGGAGAAAAAGCTGAAAGAATGCCTTATACATGATTTCCTTGCATTGCAGAAGCTTTGGTGATCTTGTCGTGGGGGAACACAAGGTGATACTGAATAAAGGGTAATGATGTTGTAAAGTGCATGACATTAGTTTTAGTCATCAAAACTCGTTAAAAAAGTGGGTGGGACTGAATAACCAACGAGGTAGGGGATGCAATAGTGTGTAAGGTACCCTAAGCAAATGGTTCTCTTGAAGTGTAGTGGGGAAACAGACGTTAACCAAAAATCACATACAGATTAAGTTACAATTATGATAAATGTTGTGGGGAGGGAAACTACCAAGTGCTAGAAAAATACCTAATTGGGCATTTAATGTAGACCGGGATGGATGGGGCAGACTGAAGAAGTCACATTTAAACTCAAAGATGAGCAGGAATTAATCTTACTCACAAAGCAAGAGCTTCTAGGCAGAGGAGAACAGCGTGTGCAGCCTTGAGGGAGAAGTTCAGCATAGTTAAAATAGTAGTCTCAAAAACCATATATTCATTGAGTGTTAGAACTTCTACTTACATTTATTTATTTCAACCTTTAATATGATTATTTTCTGTAGTCTTATAAGACACATACAATATTAGTTCAGCAGCATTTGCATATAAAGTGTGCTATAAATAAATATATAGTATATTAGGATTGCATGCTCAAAAAGTTTTATTGGAAGGCATGCAGGGCAAAAAAATGTATGAGGACCACTGGTGTAACAAACTACAAGAACATCGTGAGTGAATTCAAGGACTGATGGTCGAGTGGGGTGGTGAATGATACTGGATGAGCCAGGAGAGGTAATTAGGACCTGATAGGCCAGGTCAAGTATTCAGGGTTTCGCAGCAGACAGAAGCAACCAGGAGGATTTAACTTAGAAAATACACTTTGGTTATCTTGCAAAAAACCTATGAGGATCACCGTTTACAACCATAGACATAGGGTACAGAAGTCAGAATGCAAAGGTTCAAAGTAAATTCTAAATCTGCCATTTTGATATTAATCTGTGTGTATTTATTTCTCCTTTTAGAGTGAAACCCCTTGAAGAATGATTGTTGCATCACTTACATCTTCCCTTTATATAAATTGTTCTCTGCCCCTCTAAGTGTAAAGCAGAGTGCCTGACCCAGAGTAAATACTCAGCAGGCGGTACCTGACCCGGAGTGAATGCTCTGCAGGCGGTACCTGACCCAGAGTAAACGCTCCGTAGGTGGTACCTGACCCAGAGTAAATGCTCGGTAGGTAGTACCTGACCTAGAGTAAGTGCTCTGTAGGTTTGGCATATACATTACACGGTGATCTCCAGTTTAACATATTCCAAATGGAATTACTTTCTTTACCCAAAACATGCTTGTCTGCCTAGATTCCCAGTGTCAATAGATGGTACATATCCACGCAGGGCTGCAAGTTGGAATGCACAGTTCTCATGACATCCTTATACTCTATACCTTATACTCTAGTCATACCTCAAATCTTATAGACTGTATTTAATAGAAGCCTCCAGTTTCTCCTTATCATCTCCTTGTCTTTGTCATTGCCCTCAGTAATCTCTTTATTTAGTCACCTGAATTTAGACAATACTTCCTTCCCCCTGTTAGTTAACTTAAATTTATTTAATACCTATGCTATACTCAGTGTTTCAAATGTCCTGTCTCCTGTAATCCTCAACATAATCCAGTGAGTAGAGTACTATTTTTACTATTGAAGCACATCACTGTCTGGGGTAAATACCTGGGGTTCCTCATAGCACCATGAAAATTAATGACACGGGCACACATGAGGAGTGAGTTTAGGAGCAGAGGTTTAATAGGCAGAAGAAGGAGAAAGGAGAACAGCTCTCTCCCTTTTTAGAGAGAGGAGCTTCTGAAAGGAGAATCTGGCCTGGGTAGACTGCACTAGATTTTATAGGCAGGCTTGAGGAGGCAGTGTCTGATTTACACAGGGCCCACAGATTGGTTCCGTCAGGTGTGACGTTTACACAGCACTGTGGGGAGGGCTGGTTGCCCCACTCTAATCTTATTATGCAAACAGGGTCTTTGCCTGGCCAGCGCCATATTGTCTTCTCACTCTACACCTGGTTTGACCAAGAGAAGAGAAGAGGGGGCTGCCATTTTGAACATGCCTAGTCCCATGTAACCTTTCCGTGTTGGCCCAACTGCTGGTATTCACTCGTGCGAGCTTCCAGCTTGATTATCTGCAGCTCAGTTTTACAGGCTGCTCTGTATTAGAAAAGAAAATGATTTGGGGGTTGCTTTTCATTAAAAGGAAAACCTCACTGAAGACCACCGTACCTTCACTATCTGGCTAAGTAATTTATTCCTAACTCCTATATCACTCTCAGTTTTTTAAGGAATTAAAGTTCACAAGGTTTAATTGACTTTTAAGTAACTTTTCCAAGCTTGCTCAGAAATCAAGAGACAGAGCAGCTATTCACACAAGCCAGTCTCCTTCCAGGCTTGTACTCTGACCTTCCGCGCTGTGCTCTGCCCCACTCCTCCCCCCTGAAGTTTATGGTAACTACGGTATATTCGCCCCGGCTGACTCCTTGATTACTTTATTTGTTCTTTTATTTGTTCTTCATTTGTTCTTTTATTCACTCATTCACTTATTTTCCACTCATTCACATACATGTACATTTAATGAGTGATTACTTTTACCTGTTTCTCGTGTTGTACAACTCAGGTGAAATCCAGGCACTTATGAAGCATGCAGTTTTAGTAAGGGGCAAACATTAAAGTGAGTTTACTCAAAAAATTATGTAATGGGAATAAATGCTAAGCCAGAAAATGTATTTGAAATAGAAATCTGATGATGGCTGTTGTTCTCATCCATTGCAGAAATAATTTCCTTTCCCTAAAATACCCCTTTCTTCTCTGTTGAAAACCTCATGTCGTCTTTAAATTTTCATATATACAACTTCCTGTCATTTCTCAGTCAGAATTCATAGTTCTCTTATTTGTGCTCTCATTGATGATACTTTATCCCTTCCTCAATTAGTAGTTATTTTACATTACAATTCCTTAGGTAGAGTGTTTGGCATTCTTTAATTTCCTCAGGATTTTTAGTGGTATTGATGCAGTTTTGTGGTAAATAAAAAAGATAATACCTGTAAACCCTCTGACATATTGTAAGTTTCTAATAAATGCTAACTATATATGTATCTGTTTTACTTATTAACATGTCTAAGCTCCTCAGAGAGCACTCCTATCTTCATTCACTAAAAAAATTAAAAATTAAAAAAAATGTTGTGTACTATGTATAAGGCACTACCATTTGCAGATGATGTGCATAAAACTACAGAGCTCTAAACTCCCCTTTGGTGACTTGCCTGCATTCTATTCTGTTATTTTCTCCATGTGTCTTTCCTATTCTCATATTAATGCTACTAGATTGGAGGACACCACAGTTACCACAGAAGCTAGAAATTTGTCAATAATCCTTGTTTCCTTAAATTTATTCTCCACCCACTTAAATCCATCCGAAAATCTTGTCGCTTCTAAAAAATTATATCTCAAATCTTCACCCAATTTCAGGAAACATCTGAAACTGTTAAAAAGAATGTTGCAGGCTAATATAAAAACAGGTCTGAGATATATGATTAAGAAAATATCAATTAATTTCAAAATATTATTCACAGTATTACCCACATTTGAGAGAATGTGTGAGTTACACTTCTCTCACTTTTCCATCTTGATTGCCACCCTCTTCATGTTTGTCACTAGCACCTCTTTTTGTAACTGATTTCTCTCTCCCTACCTCTACTTTGATCACTCTGCAATGGGTTTGCCACCCAGTGGTAAGAGTGATTTCAGAATGTAAATTCAACTATGTTCCTTCATTACCATAGACTATTCTATGACTTCCACTGCATATGGAAAACAAAACAAAAGTCTTCCTGTCTTAGCATGTATTCCTCCTTCTAATGTATGCTCTACTCTCTACTTCTTTCAGTTTTTTGAAGATGATGAGCTCATTGGTAATTTAAGAGCCTTTGCACTTGCTGATAGAGCGTCCTGTAACGCCTTTGCTCCTGCTCTTCAAATGGCTACTTCTTTCCTTCCCGCAGGTCTTAATGGTCACTAGATCAGAGAAGCTTCCCTGATCACCCTGACTGAAGAAAGGAATACACTCCCATTCCAGTCATCATCTACTGAAGGCTCTTGTTACCTTATAGCACCCATTACAGTTGGAAAGTATGCAATTAATTCACTTTTGTGCCTTTTAAAATTATTTGCCAGTTACCTTAGTTCAGGGATTCCCTGAAGCTGATCCTGTGTCAAGCATGTAAATTCAAGTAGCTTATTTTGGATATTACCCCAGGAAACACCAGGAAGAAAGTGGAGAAGTGAAGGAAGGAAATGAATTCAGATACATCATTGGGCAGGCTATTGTTAGGGGCAACTGAAGCTCAGTCTGAAAAGGGAAGTCTAGGCAACAGTATAACATGCTTCAGAGTGGGGCAAGAGAGCTGGGATATTTAGACACCAAATTCTCTCTCACTGATTAAGAGTTGATCCCCAATGGTTCAGGGGCCAAGTGGGCTCCAGCACTTTGTGACTGCCCGAAAAATATCTCAAGCATATCATCATAGAGCTTGTGTTGGTGTGCTTGAGAATAGTAAGTGTAGGGAGAAGAATTGGCACTGAGTAAATCTCTCTCTCTAGGATCTAAGCTCTGTAAAGACAGGGCAGACTTCCTGTCCAAGATGGTACACCCAGGAACTTGGCACAGAGCAGGTGCTCAGCCGACTAAAATGAAGGAATGGATAATAGAGCTAAAGGATAAGTTAGATTTTTGTAATAAAGA
Organism: Homo sapiens; assembly: GCF_000001405.40. Taxonomy (NCBI): domain Eukaryota; kingdom Metazoa; phylum Chordata; class Mammalia; order Primates; family Hominidae; genus Homo; species Homo sapiens. Next base: position 1,629,999 of record NC_000003.12, on the reverse strand, counting down.
GTTTAATTCGAGTAATGAAGTTAGTTTGAATTTGTAGATTATCTAGATCCTATTCACCAAAGAAGTTTCAGAACATTAAACTTTGTGATGTAATAACCAGAGCTAAATCTAGTACTGACTTATTTATATTACAATTCTGTATTAATCTCCCAGACTGCCATGTCAAAGTTTCACAAATTGGGTGGCTGAAAACAATAGACATGTATTGCTCATAGTACTGGAGGCAAGAAATCTGAGCTCAAGGTGGCAGCAGGGCCATGCTCCCTCTCAAACCTATAAAGCAATCCTTTCTTGCCTCTTCCTAGCTTCTGATGGTTTGCTGGCAACCTTTGGTGTTCCTTGGCCAGCAGCTGCGTAACTCCAATCTCTACCTTCATCTCCCCATGTATGTGTCCTATAAGGACATCAGTCATGTTGAATTAGGGGTCCACCTACTCCTGAATGACATCTTCTTAATATAACTAATTACATCTGCCATGACCCTATTTCCAAATATGAGGTGCTAGGGATTAGGATTTTAAAATATCTTTTTGGTGGGGGAAACACAATTTAACCTATAACAATATCCTTGAAGTCAACTCTAGAAAAGAGGGTATTATGGAGTGAAAAATAGTGTTACAGTGTTCAAATCTCAAATCAGTCCTCAAAGTCAAGCCAAAAAATTATGTGTTCCATGAAGAGAAAAAAAACGTTTTCAGGATTTTAAATGGTCTAGGCTCATAATATAGGTGTATATTGGTCACATGTCTGCTTGCCAGGGGGCAATCAATAGTGAGATCCGCTTCAGAGGGATGGTACAGAGAACAAACATGTAGAGAGAGAGGCAAGATTCAAGGGCAGCTGTTGGATCCCCCTGTGATCTCATTAAGGAGACAACTCCAGGGCTTTCCCAGGGATAAAAATAATTTTTTCTTCTTTACTCCCAAATTCTTACATGCTGCCCACCAGTACTGAGGTATTTTAGGAATTGGATATTCTAGAAATCCTTTTCAAAAACCATTGCTTCTGCTCACAATAATTTACAGATAATTGCTCCATGGTTGTAATATTTATAAACTGTGGTAATAAGGCTTATTAGAGAAACAAATAGAAATATTTGCTTTTGGATTTACTGCATACATTAGGTGTTTTTCTAGCCTCAAATAAAATTTCCATAAAATCTGACAATAAATGACTATTTTCTACTTAGTTGCTGAGAATCATTTTGTCACTTTGTAGAACACCTAAATGTTTGACCATGCATCTGAATTTCTCTTAAAAATCAAGGTGACACTTCAGATAAGAGATACTCTTGTAAAATAGACACAACTCCACTTAAAATGCCAAAGTCCATTCCTGTTCCATAATGATTGGTGTAATGATTCTAATTTACCATTTAACTCAAGATTTTCAGGCAAATGCACTGTCTTTACTTCCCTAAATTAGCAACAATAAACTATATTAACGTGTGATTATATAGGCAGAATGAGGTTATGAGTAAAACCAACTTTAGCTATGAGTCAGGAGTTAGTTTTAATAACAGTCTTTTCTTTGGTTAGGTGGCTAATAGCTTTTCTCATATATTTATCAATCTATATTTTATAAACCAAGTGGAAAAATTAATTTTTATTTCCATGATAAAAGTAAATACTGTGATATTTTCTATTTTATCTATTCCAATAATTCAGAAATAATACTTACATGAGAGATAAATCATATTATGTTTGAATTAAATTTTACATGAAGTATAAATGAGTTGATTAAACAATCTTATTTGTACACTACTTAGTTTTAAAGGTACAAAAGTTACAAAATATTGGTAGAAATTAAATAATTCTGACTAAGAATATGCTGTGCTATTACACCCAAAAAGAAACGTTTTTCTCCGCTATCTAATAAAACATAGACTGGAGATTAATGGGCAGAGGGAGACAGGTGGAGAAGTTTCTCCTGTCTAATATATACTGCTTTTCAGGATTTTTTTCTTATCCTTCTGCCTGCTCTTATTTGAAATATTTTTCCTCCGTTCCTTTACAAAATTTATATCTTATAGAAAAGTCTGATAAAAAAAAGTGAGAAATTTCATTTAATCCTTGATCCTATAGATAACCACTGTAGTGGTTGGGTATATATTTTCCGGGGTTAGGGATGCATATGTGACTATGTGAAAGTTAGTGTATTTTCTCTAGACTTGTTCTTATATATATTTTCTAAGATTTAGATCATGATAGAAAGGCTATTTGAAATAATATTTTTCTTTGTAACAATGCATCTTGACTCTGCATGTAGAGACTCAGAGGGATTTTGCAACTTTATCCTCCACTGAAAATATAATATAACATTTAGATTATTATGTATGGCTTCTGAGATTTTAAAAATGCATTACCATATCTGAACTTTCAACATTATAGGAGGTAAGCACATAAGTTTTGCTTATAGTTGGATGTTTGTTTCAAAATGGGAGTTATTTTGAATCATTGACATCCTCTCCTAGGAAGATATTAGTTGCAGTGATGGTTGGGAATCGTAGTTGCCAGTCAGAGCTCTATTATCTCACCTCAAGTTTGTTTTATTTAACTTATTGATGAGGGAGCCAGCAGGGTGAAAAAGCAGGTTGAAAGAAAAAAGTATCTGAGAAATACGCTTTCCATAGTCTGTGGGAGAAACAAACAAAACTACTGAAATACATAGCAGGTTAATGTCTACAGGACAGTAAAACAAACAAACATACACAGTGAACCAACCATGACTCTTTGGTAAAATCATAACATCTAATAAGTTTTACAGAACATAAATTTTCTGAGCCCTATGCTATTGTGTTCCATTCTTCTGAAGCTATAGATGAATCTTCGGTATGGGCTTACAAGAAAATGGCCTAGTACGCAATGGAAAGGACTTATCATTATCCTTCTGCTTTTCCCCCTGTGTTTTGGATATATACCATTTACTATGATTAATGTTTAATTTGTTTTTGTGATTTATGATGTCTACATTTTTTGGTAACATTTGAGAACCACTGTTGTCACAATTTTTTATTTCCAGAGGTTTAAGACCTATCAAAGAGCATTTGGCTAAAGTTTTCTTAAGACATAGCTTGATGATCTTTCATTTTAGATACAATGAATGTTAGGAAACAAATGTCCCAGTTATGGACAGTTAGGCTATTTCCAGTGTCTCATCATTTTAACTGATTCTCAATAGACAGTATCATTGCTTTTTAATTTTGCATAACTACGCATTCATAGGCTAAGTCGTAAAAGTGGAATTATTGCTCCAGTTGTTAAACTTTGTTAAAAAATTGCCAAATGTTTTCAAATTGCCAAATTTATCAAAAATATGCATTTTTACACTCTTGAGTCATAGACCCATTTTGTCTCTGTTTTGTTGTTATTGTGTGTGTGCCTTCACTAATATTGATAAATTTGGTTCTGTTAAGGTCCCTAGTCATTATTAAGCCACTTGGGAAAAAAGAGGAGCAAGAGATAAAGGTGGTGAGTCCCAGAAAGTTCACGAAAAACTGGAAACCAATAAAAAACTAACTATAAATCTAGATAGTAAGGCATGGAGCTTTCCAGTGACATTGCAGAATTTTAGCTAGGAATTGTAGTAGTAAGACACTATTTGAAATTTAGGAGAAAATAAAATAAAAATAATCAACCTCTCACTGAATGTAATAGCCTAAACAATTTGAGATGAGACTTGGAGCTGAAGTTAAAACTGAAGGAGAAGAAAAAGAAAAATTACAGACTCTTAGGTTAAGTAAGTGTGAACTGGAGGAAAATATTCTCACTTTTGGTTCAAGGAAGGGACTGTTTTTGCCTAGGAAAATAATTAATGATATTGGCTAGAGGTAAAGTTGTATCAGGGCTGAGCTTCTTGGAATTTTTTTGAAACAACAAAAGCTCAAGTTGCAACAGTTATAAGTGGACACTTTTTCACAGTGTGTACCCCAAAACCCAGGAAACCTGGGTTACAATAGCATCATTATATTAAAACAATTGCTACTAAATAATAACTACTTTTATATTTGTATTTTCTTATTTACAGCAAAATAACTTATGTCTTCTATGTCTGAATAGAGTAAAAGTTATTTAGACTTTCCCCTTTAACTCTGCCAGTTTCCAGATCTTTAGAATAATTATAGCTACACATCAAAGAAGGACCTAGAAGGTTTTCTAATTAGTGTCTGCTTTTTGCAAAAACACTGTCATCACCACGTGAACTGTTTTGGAAACCCTTTGAAGAAGGAGATTTTCCATTTATCTTTCATACCCCATCCCTGTGTTTAAGAGAGCTCAACATCACCAAGCTTTCCTCTATCAAACTCAAGTCTCTTGGGTGTGTTTAAGGTCTTTCTGAAGGTCTGGAAAACACCAGTTACACTCTTTCAAAATTAGTCTTCAGAAACAAGGAGCTTCTATTTCCATTTTAATGCCATTTTCTTCCATTCTTTAATTTGAAAATCATGTGACAATCCTAGTTAAGAAGAGCGGATTTCTTTGTAAAAATTCAGTATTCAATCCTTGTTCCCCTCTGAGATAGCAAGAATCTTGCTTAGTTTTCTAGATGTTCATGTAATTGTTGCAGTGACGCTCATGAAACTTGTTTTATCCGTGTACAAATTAATCAGAGACTAAATAATCTCTGCAAAGTACAACATTTCCTCAGGAATGTAAACCCTTCCTGTGGGACTATTAAAATATTTCCACCTTTTTTTTTCTTTAATGCAACATTACTTTAGATTACAATAAAAAATAAATGAGAGATGAGATTTTCTTAACACAATAAGCTCTGAAAGAAAGAAAGATAAAAGAAAGAAAGAGAATGAATGAAACAAAGAAAGAGAGAGAGAAAAGCAACTTGAACCCAAACTCTCCCCACACTCTGAGCTTTCTTCACCTCCAGAGTGGTGACAAACTTTCCAAGAATTTTACATCCCCAAGGAGGGAATACAATTCACACCTCCTCTCAGCCAGAAGGAAGCAGCACAAACAGTTGGGGATTCCTCTTGTTATGGTTTCTACCAACCCTGGGATTCATTATCTCACAGAAAGGATGCTTCAGGCTCTAATAGTGTGTGTCAGAAAGGTCGAATCTGGCTATCAATGGGAAAAGAGAAAATATATCCACTATTGCTCTGGTACAAAGATCACTTTTCTCTATTTCATTGATTTGCTCTTCTCTTTTTTGTTTGTTTGTGTGGGGTTTTTTTTGTTTTTGTTTTTGTTTTTGAGACGGAGTCTGGCTCTGTCGACCAGGCTGGAGTGCGGTGGCGCCATCTCTGCTCACCGCAAGCTCCGCCCCCCGGGTTCCCGCCATTCTCCCGCCTCAGCCTCCCGAGTAGCTGGGACTACAGGCGCCCGCCACCACGCCCGGCTGATTTTTATATTTTTTTAGTAGAGACGGGGTTTCACCGTGTTAGCCAGGATGGTCTCGATCTCCTGAGCTCGTGATCCGCCCGCCTCGGCCTCCCAAAGTGCTGGGATGACAGGCGTGAGCCACCGCGCCCGGCCGATTTGCTATTCTCTTTGATATCAGTTAAGGCTTCCTTCATCCATTCATCATCAAAGAAGGGAAAAGGGACTATTCAATATGAAAATACCTGAGTGACTCCTTTATGTCCTGTAAAGTACTAACTATCTTTTGGGGGAGTGACATACATTATTGCAGAGTCAGCCTCTCTAATAATGATTCCTCTCCATAAGGCATATTTCTTTTATACTACGGGAAATACTTCACATCAATCTTATTTATCATTGATTTATCATTAAGCCTTGCAGCATTTTTGTCAGAGGGGTGAAACATTTCTCTTTGGGCAAAAAGTGGTGGCGCTTTGATTGCTGGCCATAAAATAACTCATTGTACCTAGACAGCATGATTTCTGCACCATCAGTGTTGGTGATAACGAGAAATTCATGTTATTAAAGAGTGTTATTACTCACTGCTTAAAAGCTTGTGTCAGGATTGCTTTATAGCAAAGCCCTCCTGCTGACTACTGATTCAACCAGGAAGTTTGTATTGAAAGTGAATGTTTCCAAATGTAATCTCATCTAACCCAACTCATCTAGTTTGAATGGAGTCATTGTCAATAATTGCAGGATGCCTGAAAAATTACAGATTCAGAAAATCTACCCTTTTGCCATAAATTGCTATCTCACCAGAGCTTGGGGTTGCTGTTTTAAGATTCATTTTGAATGTTAAAAATAATGATCAAAGTGAACACTAATAATATTATTAACAATAATAACAATAATAATAATATTAATAATAATGATCAAAATGAACATTATTAATAATGATGATCAAAAATGAACATTAATAATAATAGTGATCAAAAGGAACATTATTATTAATAATAGTGATCAAAAATGAACATTATTATTAAGGTGTGTGGCTTTGAGAATTTTCTTAAGCATATCTAGTTACTGAATAAATGATCTCTAAATTTCTAGGCATGTCTCAAATTTCATTATTCTGTGAGATTCAACTTACTGGTTCCTGCTATTAAAAAGTACTCTCTTGGGCCCAATGCTTAAGTTTCATGTTTATTTCATGAGGAAGATAGATATTAACAAATACTCAATTCTATATATATATATATATATATATATATATATATATATATATATACACACACACACACACACACACACTCTGGATGGAAATAAAAATCACAAACACGCTAAAACAAGCAAAATAAGTATTTCTCCAAGCAACATCCTCAATTTTTTTTTTTTTTTTACCACCTGCTGAATGCCACCTTCACTAGCAACAAAAACTGCCATGGTTTTACAATCCACTTGCAGAAGACCTGTTTTCCTAAAGCAGTCCAGTCAATAAAAGTTCCACATGAACAAAATGGAAATAATTAGTTTAAATAGCTGGTTATTATGGTAGTTACACACTGTCTCTTTTGTTAAACCAGGAAGAGGTAAATTTTCAGAACATGTAGTTCAGATTCAGCCGTGTGTCACCCATTCAAATGAATAGAAATCACAGTCTTATCTATCTATCACACTGAACTTTATTTGTAAAATTTTCTCAGAGGAATGTGAGTGATTTCCCTTCCATTTCATCAAAATTTTCTTTAATAATTCTGGTATATACTTTAACATTGTTAAATATATATACATATAAGTATCATTTTGGCCATGTTGATGAATATAAATCTCATCTATTTTCAGCTTCTTATCTCAAACCCCTACTCACACTGTATTAATGAGTAAAATTTATGATATTATTTTAGCATTGAAAGGACAGGTACTAGAATAATTTATAACCCAGAAGCCATAATGAAAATGATTGACAGATCAGATTATAAAATTTAAAAACTTTATACTATGACCATTATTTTTAATGTTAATAATTTAGTTGATCAATTTTAGGAAAATTTGAAGTGACAACTGATTCACTTTTCAGTAACATTATTTCATAAAGAATATAACAGTTAAGAAAAAATATGGTTAAAATAATTTTGAGTGCTTAATATGAGAAAAAGCAACTAAGAAGACAAATTTAAAGAAAATGTCTTATCAGAACTATCAGTCAGGGTTTTATGCATAAATAATAAGGAATACATGATTTGAATGAGAGAATAAAAGAATTTAATTCAGAGAGGTTCCAGGATGTTGCTGATAAAACCATCAGTATCTACTCAAAAAGAAACATTAAACAGAAAATAAATTTCTGTGTGCTAAAATATTTAGAAAAGAAATATGCATTGGTATCAGTTGTTACTGATATATTGTATTGAAATTGCTCTCTGGAAATGCATTGAAATATCCTAGCTTCAAAGGGACCAAAACCAAAGAATTATGTAAATACCCAAAGACTGATCATTATCCATGAGACTGAGTCACAAAACATAGGTTTATTTGTAGGTGGAATGTTTTTTACTCCTTTTGGGGAGGGATATATATACATATATATATCCTCATTTAGTTTTAGCTTCTTAGTATATATACTATTTTATATATATACATACATATATATGTATATCCCCACACACACATAAAGAGATATATGTTATGTAAAGGTATATATGGACATATAGACTCAAGGTATGACTATTATTTTTATCATTGTACAAACAAGTATACATGTGTATTATCTGACTCAACTACAAAGGTGTCATTCTGCAAAATACCTAAAGGAGCTGTGATTCATATAAATACAGTGCTAAAAGAGGCTGAAAATTAATTTAAAAATATAATGTCCTGAGACATGGATCTCATGCTGTTTGTTCCTCATTCTCTTGAAATTCCTGTTACAAGATGTAAAAAGAGAAGTCACCCAAATCCCATTTTCATGAATAGTAAATAGGAATCAGCAAAAGATAGTGTAGCTTATTAAATTTGCAGTGTCTTTTATGAAGCTATCTGTTCATTGTCTGTCTTAAAGAGCTTTGCATTTCCTGTAAAGGATAATAAATATAACAGTAGGTTCCTTTTAAATGTTTAAATTCCGGAGACCAATAAATAGCTTCTCCATTTCCTACTGGAAATTATGAAAGTAACCATCATGTGATATAAAAATGGCTTCATTTATTCTTCTGGATAGGTTCTACTAGATTGCTGCAGGAAGTTTAAGAAATGACAGTAAAATGGTGATTAAAAGGATTTTTTTTTCAGTCTAGCCCCATACATGAGAAAATAACCTCAACATTAATCCTGTCTTGTTGGAAAGCTTAATATATATATCATCAAGAATCCATATGCATTTCAGATAAAAATAAAGCAGTGGTTATTATTTGTCAGGTAAAATTAAATTAGGACTCTCTCAGTGGCAAAAGTAGGACTTTTGGCAGGAATTCAAACCCACTGAACTCCATTTATGAGACATCCATGTCTGGAGTGTGAATGGGATTTTCAAGCAGTGTTTTCCAAAGTAGGAACTGCAGCTATCAGGCTCCTCGTAGTAGATCCTAAACTAATACATAAACCGATTGAAAAACAATACCTTCGTTCGGGAAGACACAGGATGCACAATAGAGCATTGATTAAGAGCGAAGGCTATGCCTGAAACATAATAATTTCTTAATAAATGCCACTTAGTAGCCGTGATGGTGGAGATGGTGATTGTTGTTGTATTATTATATAATTACCTATAGCTAAGGAATACTTCCTAGTAACCCCTCTTAATTATCAGAATTATCAAAATATCTTGACTGTTTAAAATTAAGGACTCACCAGCATTTACTGAGGTCTTCTTTCCATCTTCTTTTAGAATTCCTATTGCCACACATTGCTTAGCATTATTGCAAACTGACCCTTACATAAGCATTTGAAAATTTCGGTAACATACTATATGATCATTGCTATCCTGATTTGGTCTTAATTTTCAACCATCATTATTCATGGATCAATCTTTGTGTGTCATTTGCTTTTAATTGATGGGCTGTGATTACCTGAATTGTGATTTCAACCCTCTCTATTCTTTGTTATAACTCACTTTTAATTCCCACTAGAAAGTGGAAACTTGGGGGACAGGTGGTCCATGTAGTCCATTGTCTCACCTATGTTTGTTTAGGATTACTATTCTTCCTGAAAACATGGACGTTGGGAAAAATTAAGAACCGCTATTCTAGAGGTGTAAGGGAATCAATGGATTTTGGGAAAACATTCAACCTTTTCTCCAGGAAAATTATTAGATTAATACAATGTGACCTTGTCAAATATTCCTTGAAAGGAGATCTATTATAATGTATTTAATTTATAAATTTCATTTCCCCCATCACTGACCTGTTTTTTGACCTTTGTATTTCTCAAACTGAAGTGCTGTATCATCCAGTCTTTTCTATTTCTAATCTCTGTCACCTCCATTCCATCTAGTCATTCCCAGCAGTGTCCTTCCAAAGAGCAAATCCTTGATATTTCATTATTTGGTTAAAAAAAAAAGATTGATGGCTCCTGTTATATATGGTGAACTTGGCAAATACTGCAGATATCAAGCCATTGACCAACAGGTTTTCTGATTGATAACAGCAATTTTTACTGCTGAACATATAGTACGTTGGTAATTCTCAACAGAGATCAGCAGGCAACCACTACGAAGCAGAGCTGGTAAAGGAAAAGAGACTTGCCTGCCACATTGGTTCCTGGGATCATCATTCACTCTCTTTAGGAGAGTGCACAGGATCTTTTTCATGTGATCTTAGCCTACTACTCCAGTCTGACATCAGTTTCTTTCCCTTGACTCTATGACACCACAGTACATCTTGATATGCTCTAAGTCGACTCTTCAAGACATCACAACCTTTCTCATGTTTCTGCCTTTATCCTTCTTGGATTGTTTCTATTCCTAGAATAATAAACGCCATAGCACAAATTCCACTGGTTAACATTTGATGGACAGCAGGCATCACTGTGTTTTATCTAGCCTTTAGACAATCTGAACAGAAGCATATAATATAGGAAACCAAATTAAATGTGGATCAATTTACCACTTAGTTTTGGCAAAGCTAACCCTTTCTAGGGCCATGCTAATAATTACTTTCATTGCATGTATGAAAATATTTGAATTATTTTTTCCAAGTTAGAAGTTGTGTGGTGGTATGAGGCTTTCCGACAATAACTTGGTGGTGTAAAAAGCATCATTTTGAGTTCAGTTTCTACTCATTCAGAAAAGAAATGAAGCTCCTCAAGTGATGACAAATAACATCTAAATTTATTTTTTAAAGTCTTTCCTAGATTTAATTTATGCCAGGATGGGCCTCTTTGAAATGGGTTTCAAAAGTCAGGAAACTTTTATTTATTTAAGTCTTTATAAAGATTTTATAAAGTACTAAACTTTGTTTTGTTTAATCCTCAAGTTTAGTGTTGTAATAATCATCTTCTCACTCTTGTTCCGTAATATTTTTCAGCTATAATTTAGTTGAGGTAAACAACTATCAGAGTATGGCTTAGAAATTACACAGCATCATAGTTTGCAAGAAGGACCAATAATAAATGCATAAAAAGGTCAGTGAATATCTTCATAAAGGTTATAAGATGTGAAGGCAAAAGTCTTTCTAGTCTATTAAGATGCTGCATAGACCAGGTGCAGTGGCTCATACCTGTAATTCCAGCACTTTGGGAGGCCGGGGTAGGAGGATCACTTGAGCCTAGAAGTCCGAGACCAGCCTGGCCAACATAGTGAGAACATGTTTCTGTGATTAAATAAATAAATAAGTAATAAATAAATAAATGCTACACGATCATAGATTTAGTTTTTTATGTTCAAAAAAATCCTTATTTTCAGAAATTCTCCTGCTAAAAGCCACATAAACTTGGGAAGAAAAATAGAACACAGTGAACCATTATTGGGCATTAATGGCTTACTCAAAATTAATTTTATGTATTAGTCACCCAGCAATATCCTAGAAAAAAAAGTAATGGAACTTAGAAAAACATTTCAGGCTAGAAACTTTCCTTCCTTCCTTCCTTCCTTCCTTCCTGCCTGCCTGCCTGCCTGCCTGCCTGCCTGCATTCCTTCCTTCCTCCTTCCCTATGTTCCTCCTTCACTTTTCCTTTTGTCTAAAATTTTATATAATAAATACTTAAAATATACTAGGTGTTTGCTATGATGTAGGAGCAATATGATTATTTTTTAAAGGGAGAACATAAAAAACAAGCTAGTGATTTAGAACAATTATCCCTTTTTTGGAGGCAGAGGAGTAAAACAAAAATTATAGATATAGAAAATATGTCAAGGAGACAGTGACGTTTTGGCTGAATCTCAGGAAATGGCAGAGTTGTTAGGGGCAAATTATATCAGGTGAAAGAAATGTCTGCCAAAGTCATGGTAAATTCTCAGTCTTTATCTGAACCTATTAGAATTTGACACTATCAGCCCTTTCCTTTTGAAACCCTTTGTTAGTTTCCTGGTCACTGCTCTTCCTTTATTCCCCTCTCTTATGTAACTGGTTGTGTTTCTGTGGTCTCGTTATCATGATCTATTTTCTCCTGAATGTGTACCTGCTGTCCAGACCTCTCCTGGAACCCCTGTCTCGTACATTCAAATGCCCATTCAACATCTACACATGGATGTGTTACAGGCATTCTGAGAATAATGTTCTCCAGATTGAACAAATATAAAGGCTCTAAAGAGGTAAAATGCATATTACTTTCAAGTGACAGCAAGAAAGCCTGTTTTGTTGAAACAAAGTTAAGTCAAGAGGGTGAGAAAAAACCTGAGAGCTAGCTGGAGGCACGGTTTTCTCTATCCACCCCATGCCTGCTTAAATCTGCTCGATCACTACTTCCTCTTTCAATAAACAGTAAACTCTGGTTTCTACTTTCTCAGGACAAATATTTGGAGATATCTTTGATTTCCCAATCTCTCTCACATCCTTAGTCTTCACCTCCAATTCTAAGATACAATAAAATATTGGTCTTCCATTAAAATATGTACAAAATCTGACTTCCTTTAACCACCTCCACTGTTAACACCTTAATCAAAGCCACACTATTTCCTGCCTGGACCATTGCAATGCCTCCTAATTGGTTTACTTGCTTCACCCTGATTATTATGCAGTCCATTCATATAGATCATTATGTGATGAGATCTTGTCAATATTCTGTCCAAAACCTTGTGGTGGCTTCACTCAAAAAATCTTAACTTCTCACCATGGACTACAACATCCTCCTATAAGATCTGGCCTTGGCTACCTCTCTAACCTTCTTACTTCCTGTACTTTGCCCACTTTGATTTATCCTTTCTGGCCTCCTGCTTTTCCATGACATTCAAATACGTTTGAAATTATGATCCCCTTGGCTTTTTTGCTCTTTCTTCACATACTTCCTGGCTTGCTTTCTCTCTTCATTTGGGTCCCCTCTAAAATGCCACTTTACATTAGAGACTATTCCTTCTGCCCCTTTATTCTCTTTGGCTTATGTCTTCCTGCAGCATTATTGCCATCTAATGTACAATTATGGTTATTTGAATATTGTCTGTAGTCCTATAATCTACAAGCACTTATTATTCTTATAAGGCCCTTGAGGACCTGGGCAGTTTCATTCTTCACTATATCCAGGCACTGAATCTTTGCCCAGCTAATACTACATGCCTAAAAATATCTGTTGAATAAGCCTTACTTTTATGGGCATGAAAATGTAACATGAAACCATGTGAGCCATATTGTAAAGTCTGGAAGGCAAGGGAAGGTCACACAAGGTCCGTGGAGCTTAGATTGTGCAAATAAATGCATATAGAGTGTAGCTGTCATAAAAATACTCGTACAGTGGGGGTGGAAAGAAATAGAGGGGCAAATATCAGGGGTAAAAAAGGCACTGCTCATTTGCAATTTTGCCCAATATCAGCTCTTGCTGTTCTTATAAACAGATCTAACATGTTCATGATCATTTGAAATGGCAAACAATTTGCCCCACTTTCTTTTCTTAATTTCTATTCACCAAAATTATTCCTTTATACTAGTGTGAAGATGATGAATAGAAACATTTCCTAAAGATGATTTTCATCCTAAGGAACTTAACTGAAGATTTACATTTGGCTTACAATAAAATGAATAGAGGAGATTTATTGCAAAACTATTTCTTCTGTATTACGTTAAGCTGGTTATGATGGCTCTGAGGTCTTCGAGCAATTTACTCAAAGTAGCTCTCATTTTCCTATGTCTCATTTATTTCTACTATATCTTGCTTATGTTAGGAATAATTTGGTTTTCTTCCTTGGCACCTGCTGATCCTTTCACAATTAAAGTACCTGTAGTTTCTTTTCTTTGTCATATCCTGCCCTAGGCCCCTCTTCTTCAGGAGTTATGCTGACATTCTTCCAAAATGCCCATAACAAAATTATGATGCTAATACACCCAGTGGGTCAATTCATGTCAGAGAATTCTATTGATTTGTTTTTCTTCATATTTAGATTGACATCATCAATTCTCATTCCCAAGAACAGGATGTCACTTTGAAAAAGTGGCAGTGAAACCATAGTATTTTGTTTTGTTTTTGTCATTTTTAAAAATACTTGACCTGTCTTGGTTAAGTCCCAGCTGCTAAGAAGAACTAGATAATCACTGTGATATCATCCAATAATAAAAGATTAAAGCAAGAAGTGATCATTTAGACCAGTCATCTCATCTGAGCAATGAAGACACAGAGGTGTGAAGTAACTTGCCCAGGGCCATAATAACAGAAACCCAGAGGTGACAAAGTTAGCTTGAGACATGAGAGCAGATGTGACATCTTTTAGGGAACTAAGTTGCTGTTAGTGTATTCTGATAAGAATTAGAAAGTCAGCTCAATTGGAAATGTTATACAATACATACATATTGTCTACATAAAAGTATAATGCTTGCATATTTCCATTAATATATTTCATGACTAAAGAAAGAAAAGCAATGATAATTGTGTTGTATCGACATAGACAAATGAAGATGGAGGTGTTGATCAATATTTAAGAAATCATTTATATGATCTAAATCCCAAGTTATTTTTTCAGTTTCCCAGTTCACTCAACCAGGTGCAAAGGTACTGTATCATGTGTGTGATGGTTTGCAGTGGGTGAGACCACACAGGTGAAATCTGTTAATGATATTAACATTTATATTTGAGCATTCTATAAAAGTAAATAAGTCTAAGTTTTGCAATTTTGTGTCCACTTAAGCCCTCTTACAGCTAAGAATTAACTGTTGAATATATCGTAAAATGTTTATTCAGATTTATCCATTTATGAAGTACTTTTAAATTAAAGTAGTCTCTGTTCTCAATTCAGTTTTTTTACAAATGTCTCTGAACTTTATTTGCAAATTTATTGAAATCTTTTTGCATTTTGAAATAAGAAAAGACAAAGGCATAAAATATAGTAAACTTAGTTTACATGCAAGTTTAGATGGACTTTTGTTCGAAAGTGAAAGCACAGACTAAATGATCCACAGTTCGTCAGATGGTATGATGTTCTTATTTCTTGGTACAAACAAGTCCATGGATCTGTAAATTGGAAAAAAAAAACCTACAAAACAACAACTAATTACAGCAGATGTGGGTTTTTTTTGACCTAGAAAACCATTTGAAAATTTTTTTTTACATATTACATGTTTATTAGAGGTACAGCTTTTACATAAAATTTACATTTTATGAAATAAAAATATTTACAAACTTTTGGAAGATGTGCATTTGAAAATGTTTAAAAATTATTTTCTAAAGATAAAATGGAACAATGCATGCAGGATAATTGTACAACTTGCCATCCACAAATACCAGTTTCTCTAAGATTTACCTAAGAGCAGCTCAAACAACAAAATTAAAAATGATTTCCAATCTATATTTCCATCAGTCCCTACTCTTTCTTTTCTATACCACTTTAGTCTCAGATCAATTCTACTCTTTCCCTTTCTTCCTACATTTACAATGCCTTTTTTTCCTGATTTTACATTACAGATCAGAGACTATCTGCAAAGATAAAACTCTCTTAAATGGAGGTTGGAAGATGATAGAAGGTGAGGTGAAGGGATAGGGAGAAAAAACTCCTATTCATTATTAAATCCTATTCCTCTTTTATCAAGTGAATTTGCAGACACTTTAACTATTAATCAAAAGGAGTATTGATGATAATAAGCATCAACTAGAATGGAGGTTTAGGCTGTAATGTCACTTATAGACAGTAATCTGTTCTGCTATATCAAATATTTTACATGAAAAGATCAAAATCTGAAAGAGATTTCAATTGACCAAATGTAATAATGAAAAAATGAAATAGGTAACTATAATGCTTTATGTGTGAAATCAGCAATAAGACCATTGAATTCATGGTGGGGATAAGGTTTGAGTAGGGTGTAACTTAAATAGATAAGAAATTGAAACTCTTTTATTAGCCAATGGCACAGTGTGGTTGGCAGTACGTAGTGATGACAAAAGTACAAGAAAGGAAGCAGTGATGCAGCGATGGCTGCCAGATGGGGTTCTTTATCATGAGCTTCTCAGGTATTGTGTCTGCTTATGTGAAAACATGAACAGCCTTGGTAAAGAGGTACTGAGAGACTGAATTGATGAGAAACCATCTTAAACTCGGAAGCATGTCATATAAAGAGGAGAGGACACGAAGGGGAGGAGATATATAATAGCTGTTTTCAAAAACATATCAAAAGTATTATTAGATAGAACTGAGTTTAAATTCATTTTGTATAGCTTTCATGACATAGAACTAGATTCAATTAAGTGAAGCAAGAAAGAGCATAATTCAAACAGAGAAGGCATTTTCTAATTATCAGACATCCTAAGAAGGAAGGATGAGCACTGTGGATTGCTGAGTACTTGAACACAGTGAAAATGTTTAGTAAGAATAAATGAGAAGCAATATTGGAGGAGGAATAATTCTGAAGGACTAGAAATCCTGAGTATTCTTGAGAATTTTAGATTGAAGAGGCTAAGCTGATGTAAATAGAATATTCTTTTCTGATGTAAATAGAATATTCTTATTTATCCTAAATGGAATTTCTCTTTGAGTTTATGTGCATTTTCCAAAGACTTTAAGAGTTTTAAAGTTTTATCTCCATAAGACAAGCATATTCATATATACCATGCCTTCAGCATCAAAAAACATAACTAAATATCTAACCACAGCAGCAAAAACCATAATAATATAATTTACCATATATTGAGGACATTCAATAAAAATACGTCAGGTACTAAGTGTTTTACACAACTTGCCTTCATTTTACCCCAATGGCCTGTTGGGTAGATAGAATGAGAGTTGGAGATTTGACAGGACACATAGCTGGTAAGTAGCAGAGCTAGAATTTTAACTCACGTTTTTGCAAACTTAATCATTACACCTAACTGTTTTACCATTTATACTATTGTTATTCCTTGTTCTGTAATGTTCCTCTAAATGAAACATAAATAAATGGAGCATGGAACCCATTATTATTCTGAAGAGAACTTGTTATACTACTCAGATAGCCCCAGTTATAGACCTGTGATATTTTCAAAGAATGTTCAGTAACAATGTGGAGACTTGTCTTTAAATAAGTCTCATATGTGAACCAAATGGGCACTTTGTGATGTAAAAGTCAATTCCAAAGATACTACCTTCTAAATTTAATGCTATCAATACTTATGTGTAAAACCAGAAATAATTCATCACAATTCCTCAATGAGGTGAACTATTTCATTATAACTCATAAATATAGAAAGGTTTCTACATCTCACAGACAAAACTAGTTGTTTTTGAGCATACCTGGGAACAAAGCTAGTCGTGCTGTTAAAAACATCTTTGTGAAGCTTTATAGAATAAGGGGCAAAGTGAGAGAGCCAATTGCAAATTTTCCCTTTTTAAAGAGAATCTTGTTGAACTTTGAATAATACATAAGGGTCAGTGATTGTGTTGAAGTAGTTCTTTTCTTTTGAGTCAAAAATCTCGCCAGAAGAGTAAAAATATAAATGATGATAGCATGTAGATCAAACTCACCAAAAGCCACACAGTAATGCTTCATTTACAGTAATTCTTCATGTGTTCAGAAAATAATTAGTAATCTCAAATGTCAAGAATATCATTGAAAATGTAAAAATAGCAGAAATTAAAATGTTTTAACAGCAAAATATGAGCTCAAAACCAACACACAAAGGGTGAATCACCCTACCAAAAAAAAAAAAAAAAAAAAAAAAACAGGCTCTTTAAAGCTTGGGTATTTTATATATTAATTACTAGAATTAATTTATAAGAACAATTTATTATTAATTTAGAAGTCGGAAAATGATTGTCATAAGTAGTTAGACGAGTAGTCTGAAATCAAGAAAGAAGACAAAAATATGATACAATTAGACACGATAATTTTAAAACTGCATTTTGGTATAATAATTGGTAAATGTGAGTTTGTTCTCCCTGGCTACCAGTAGGAGACGGGAACTCAAAATAAGGTTTGAATTGAGTGTGGTCCATTCTGGGGCTGGTAGACACGTTGTTGATTGACATCTATGAAGATGCTTCTTGGTACTGGGAAAGTTTTCTGTATACCTGCCAGGTACACAAATAAGCCCTTGGGAAAAAAATGTTCACCACATCTAAGGAGGCCCCCTACAGCCAGAGACGGGAAGAACTTGAATTTAGAAAAAAGAAAATAATAATCTAAAGAAACTTTCCAAAAATTAAAACAAAAATTTGATGGCAAATATATAGAGATGGATAGATAAAGCTCTGATAGAGTAATACTAAAAAGACTAAGTTCAAAGACTGAATCAAGAAGTCAAATGGCTTCATTTCCTCATCTGAAGATGGAGACAATATCTATTATGTCTACACTACAGATGGAGTGTTTTTGAGGATAGTATGAGGTCTTATCTCAAAGTGCTTTGAAAATTGCAAACTGTTACAAAAGTATTAGTTTATAACTATGATTATTAAAATATGCCACACTGATGGGAAGTGTTCACCATAGAACATAAAACATAAAACACTTTCTAAAAAGTTGAGTTATGATGGTGGCATAAATGCAAAGTGAAATCAGTTAGTTATTAAATCATAAGTACCATAGTTTTATTAGAAATGACATCTCTTACAAAGCATGGAGAAATAAACTTTAACAATTTTCTTCCTAGATTGGTTTTTTTATGTTAATCTAATCAGGACCAGATGTCCAAATATTTTTGTTTTTAAATTTAACATAAGAAGATAATATTCCAGTAAATGGAAGGTGAATATGAGTTTTTCTGAGATATAAATGTGTTGAAAAGTGACATTTTTTTCTTCTTAAGGATCTGCTTCTTAGATGTTAGAAACCCTGTAGGAAAGAAAAAATAATATTTTAAATCTGAACTTTCCTAGATACAGCTTCTGTTTAGAGTCATACCGAACAGAAAAGGTAACATGATCATTCCCCATTGCTTTCTCCTTCAATTGCAATTGATTTTTATTAGTAACTATGAGTATCAGAAAAAGAGTTTCTGTCTCTGTTAATGAACTGAAGTGTGCAGGTGTGTATGGATATGTTCGTAAAAACCAGGGCTGTAAAGTGCCCAAATTCTCCCCAATTTTCTACAATATTTTCTGTTTCTTATCATTATGACCAAATAATGATGGAAAAACTAATGATGCCATTACCCTGTAATTGGGAATTGAGGCCGTTTAGTAATGATAAAGCATGCCCTGAGCAGAGTTAATGGGCCAACCAGGCAGCGCCACTGGGTAGCTGGTCCGCAGAGCAAGAAGACTGAACAGTTACAAGGTAGAGTGTTGTTCATAACAGGCACCAGCTTCAGGAAACAGCTTTTACCGATTATTGTCTACTGCTCTATCAGCTTAGGGAAAGTTAACAGAACTTGAATAAAAATGTGAAGTAATTCTTGATGTAAAAAAAGTCATTTTTCTCCACAATTTGATCTTTTAGAGGCATCTTATTGAACTTATTTTGAAAAGAAACCATTATTTTAATGCTACCCTATTCTGCATATGCTGCCTTCTCATTTAAATGTGATGATGCTATAGATTTTAGGGGCTGTGAGCATATATTTATGTTTAATTATAATGCATGTTCCAGTATTCAGCATGGTACTTGGAACATAGTAGAGCTTGGTTAGCTATTAGTTCAATCGACATGCTTAAACCTCACTTAAAAATAGAAAATAATACCTTTGCTCAAGAATATACCCTCGCTCAACATAGTGAAATCAAATGGAAATTCTCATAGACTTTTAGCATGAAGAATATGTTTTCCTCAGACCAACTAATTTAAAATGAAAGAAGGAATTTGATGATTCAGAAATAAAAAAGACTGGGAGGCACGATGAAAAAAGCATGTGCAAGATAACTTACCCCTGAAACTCTTCCCCGAACTGGGATGCAACAACAGAAAGCATTTTCCGAAGGAGCCATTCTTTTTTTTTTTTTTTAAACAAACGAACCATATTCTATATATATTTGTTCACCTAGATTAGGGGAGAAGTGAAATGTCATTGCTGCTAAAAACAGACAAACAAACAAAAAAAAAAAAAAACAAAAAAAGTAATGCCTCCCATTAGTAATAATAACTACTGCTCTCTGAAGTCAATGTTCCTGGATGTGCAGTGCATTACATTGCACCTAGGTTATCCTCAGGCCAAGCCATCAGGATTGAAGTTTAGAGAAAAGTGGCTCATTTGTGGAACATCTATGTCTCTTCCCTTTGCTGAGAAGGAACACCCTCTTCTCTATATTATTCTTTGCTTCCAACAAGAGAGGACCACACATCCTGGGCCCGAGGCTACCTCCCTCATCTATTTCAGTCTCTTCAGTCAAGTCCTTTTCCTGCTTTCCTGCCATGTGCATCTGAATCTATACATTCAGTTTTCTAGGTCATTTTTAGGTGGATCTGTTATCACAGCTTTTGATTTTACAGAGTGCAAAAGGACATTCTGTTTTCAATTATATCCACCAGAATGGTTGCTCTTCATTCTACAATCCCTGGGAGACATCTCTCTGTGGTTTGGGGTTTTAGAATTAGTGGAAGCAGCTGTGCATACAGTAACATTCAGCCAGTTGCTATTGTCACTGTAATAACCACAGAAGTGAGCTGTGCCACATGTCACAGGAGCACATGGTCACAGCACAGATCGTGAGGACTCCTGGGGCATGTGAAGGAGCCCAGGGGCAGCTTTATTAACCTTCTCCAAATATCTGATTTTTTTTTGTTGGTTGCACTCAGAGTTGCCTAAATTAAAATATTATGTCACATACTCCTCCAGAAATAGTTCCAATCCGCCAAATGGTACAGATCAGCAAGAAACTTCTGGCTAAACATTCTTCTATCCGGGGAGACAATGCAAATATATTTTCCCCCCATTAAGATTTTCCCAGGATTTAGAACTATTTTAGCCTTTATTATAGACATTAATTGACATGTTATGGGAATGTAAAGAAAATCAGTGACTGTTTAAGCAAGTACTCATCGATGTGTATGTTTGTAGCTGAGTATACAGATACCACATATGAGAATTTAATCTATATTGCTCTTTAATCTAGAAACCCCTACGGATGGAGACCTAGCTTTATCAATTATGCAGTAGTAAGTCACTGTCTCGGGTCCATGTAGACAAATGCAAGTCAAGTCAAAGGCAAGGGGAATGCTGAAAATTGACAAAATTGTTGCAAAAAACCACATGATTTCTTCAATTAATTTTTCCTCCCACTTCCCTCTTTCTTATTCTCTTTTTACTGTGGTCAGGGGAGGGGTTACATTGATTAGGAAATTTCTATCTCCTTTGCTTTGATGAAAAAGGTGCATTCCACAGGCAAGCCTTTACAACAACTTTTCTTATAAATAGATGTTTTCTCCTTACTCTCTTTCAATTAACTACATTAGAGGATCTTGACTATAGGTCACTATTTAGGGTGCCATGAGATTTAGTTCCATCCATTCATGTGCTTATCAAATCATTTATTGATTACCTTATGCTGAGCATTTGTTAGGGATCAAACGATGATTCACAAACAGGCATTACTGATGATCAATAACTATCTTGCTGGCAATGGATTTTGTGCCTGTTTTTAGTTGTATGTTCCAGAAGCAGACAATCATTTATTTACATTCCAGGGAGCCCTGATAACATTTTATTAAGATATTTCATTCAGAGAGGGTTAGTTTTGCCATTAATTCTAATGATCTCTTTTTCCATTGAAGAAAGAGTACTTTGAATCTGTCATCTCATATAATGTTTTGCTGAAAGAAAAAAGTCTAAGAATTGCTAATTTAAAGAGAACACTGCCCTTAGGCAGTGTTCAATAGAGAGCAGATGTTATTGTCTGTGACATCATGATATTTATTCATTGTCTGAATATATCAAAAATGGAATGTGGTATAAAGGTTAATCATCTTTTTCACATGGTAATTTACAACTATAATCTTATTTGAGGCTGGATGCTATGGCTTATGCCTGTAACCCCAACACTTTGGGAGGCCAAGGCAGGTGAGTTGCTTGAGGTCAGGAATTCGAGACTAGACTGGCCAACGTAGTGAAACCTCATCTCTTCAAAAAAATACACACACACACACACACACACACACACACAAAATATTAGGTGGGCATGGTGGTGCATGCCTGTAATCCCAGTTACATGGGAGGCTGAGACATGAGAATTGCTTGAGCCTGGGAGGCACAGATTGCAGGGAACCGAGATTGTGCCACTGCACTCCAGCCTGGGCAAGAGAGCAAGAATCAGTCTCTCTCTCTCTCTCTCTCTCTCTCTCTCTCTCTCTCTATATATATATATATATATATATACACATATATATATTTATATATGTATATATATGTATATATGTATATATATATTTATTTTTTATATATATATGTGATTTTACAACATTGTTTTGATGCTCAAATAAATTAGGGAGGAAATAATAATGTGTTAATAATACAGTGGTAGAAAATGAAAACCATTGACCGAGATCTTACATAGACTCTCACCATCACATCCACTGACCCCAGCAGCACCAGTACCAACCTGGTTTGCTTTCACATTTCTTATTATAGGTGCATTGTCCACACTCCTACCCAAGACCAGTCCTTTACTTGTGTAGGCGATAACAATCCTTTTCATCTAGGTGAAACTATCTTTACTACACTTTCCTTGTTCTAGTTCCTGACATTTTATTTGCTCCTATATTCAGTAAAGCTATTTGAAATGTTTTATATTCTCTGTGATCAGTGAGGTGTGTACTCCACCACCCCCTCCCCAAGCTGTGACTTTCATATTACTGAACTCAAAGTCAACCCTTAGTCCTCTTATTTATCCCGTGGTAGCATTTGCTGCAGCAGACATCTCTCTTCCTGGAAATATTTTTTTCTCTTTCTTTCTTCTCTTTCTTCTTACCTCCCTCCAGCTCCTCCTCCTCCTCCCCTCCTCCTCCTTTTCCTACCTCATTGACAGCTCTTTCTGAATCTCTTTCTCTTTTTCCTGAACTCCTAATAGTGTATGTTCTAAGAGAGCACTTCTTGGACTTCCTTATTTGTTCCCTTTGTCACCTCATCCAATCTAATGGCATTAGACACTATCTACATGTTAACTACTTAGAAATTTATAACTATAACCTGGATCTCACTGCTGAATTCCAGGTTTCTTTGCCCCTCTGTTTCCTGATACCTATTACTTAGACATTAAATACACATCTCAAGCCAAACAAGCTCAAATCTGAGCCTCCCACCTTTCTCCCAAACCTTCTCCAGTTGGATCACAGCTAATGGCAATTCTAACCTTGCAGATACCCCCAAAATTTTATACTCATTCTTGATATGTCTCTTTCTCTCACACCCCACAGCTAGTCAGAATATCCTACTGCCTCTATATTCAAAATATATCCAGAGTCAGGCGTTTCTCATTGTTCTCACTGCTACCAACCAACTCCTTCCAGATTACTGTAAGACTCCCAATCAGTATCTCTGCTTCCACCCTTGCATTCTTCCCCTCTTTGCAGTTTATTTCAAATGAGCCTGCCAGTAACCCTTTCAAAACCCACATATGATTCTTTATTTCAGTTACGATGAAATCTAAGTCCTTGAAGTGGCCTCTAAACATGAAAAGACGTTTCTTCCTGTCCTCTGTTACCTCTCTAACTTCCAATACAACTTTCCCTCATGTTCATGCCACTCCCATCACACTGGTTTCTTCGTTGTGCCCCAGACACCCCAGACACTTTTCCATCTTAGCACCAGCTGATCTGTCACCTAGGAATGTCTTATCCTGAGAGAGCTGCCCTACTGAAGAATCTCTAATTTATTTGTCTTTTAAAAATAAAATTTATATTGAAGAATAGTTTAAAATTTGTAGTCAAATTGTGACAATAGTACAGAGTGTTCCCATCTACCCGACATTCATTTTCTCCTATCATTAACATCTTAACATGAGTATGGTATGTTGGTCATAATGAATGAACCAGTAATGATATAGTATAATTAGCTAAAGCCCATACTTTGTCCATATTTCTTTAGTTTTTACTTAAGTGCCCTTTTCGTTTTCAGGGTTTCATCCAGAATATCACATCACATTTAGTCACCATGTCCACTCCTGCTCCTCTTGGCTATGACAATTCTCAGGACATTACGTGTTTTTAATGACCTTGGCAATTTAAAAATTTTTATATTTTGTATAATGTACCTCTGTTGGGATTTATCTGACATTTTCTTATGATTTGATTTGTGTTACGACTTTCTGAGGGGAAGACCCACTGAGGTAAAGTGCCATTTTCATCACATCATATCAAGCCTATGCTTGACTAGCCTTACAGGAAATACTAAAGGAAGGTCTTCAGGCTGAAAGTAAGTGACCCCAGATGGTAATTCAAATCCACAAGAAGAAACAAAGAGTACTATTACATGTAATTATGTAATTATAAAAGATGGTACCAATGCATATTTATGCTTTCTTTTCTAAGTGATTTAAAAAGTAATTGCATCAAGCAGTATGTATACAATTCATTATTGGGCATAACATACAGAAGTAGAATATATTTGCAAATATTTAATAATAGTACAAAGTAGGTGGATGGAAGCAAAACTATACTGGCCTAAAAAATGACTACAGATTTTAACATAATAATTATTATTATCCTAAGCAAATTAACAAAGGAACAGAAAACCAAAGACTGCATGTTCTCCCTAATAAGTGAGAGCTAAGTATTGAATACACGTGGACATAGAGGTGGGAACAGTAGACACTGGCGACTACTAGGGGGTGTGGAAGCATGAGCCGAAAAACTACCTATTGGGTACTATGCTCACCACCTGGGTGACAGGGCCTTCTGTACCCCAAACCTCAACATCACATAATATACCCATATAACAAACCTGCACAGGTACCCCCTGAATCTAAAACTTTTAAAAAGATAAAAAGAAAATAAAACAAAATAATAATTATAACGTGTTTGTTGTTGGATTCATAGCATTAATAGATGTAAAACGTATAACAATAACACAAAAAATGAAGAAAGGGAATAGAGCTAGAGCTACAAGTGGTATCTCTATATGCCCCCGGAAACATGCTAGCATAAAAGTGGAGCTGATTGTGATAAGTTGTGTATGGTAAATCAAAAAGCCATCATTTTTTAAAAACTCTCAAAAAATAGTAAAAAATTATGCAAGGAGTTAAAATGCTAGTTTAGAAAGCATTCACTTAATGCAAAAGAAAGGATTATAGTAGGAATAGAGGGACAAAAAATTAGGAAATGTACAGAAAACAAAACATAAAATGGCAGATATAAATCCAACTGTATCAATATCATTGATATAAGATGTTGTTTCATATGTTAGTAATCCAGTTTTATTTTATTACATTTTGCATGCTGTCCTGGGATTTTCTCACCCTTTTAAATGATTTTCTTAAAAATTGCACACATTAAGATATGTTCACTCTTTGTACTGTAAATTTCAATGAGTATGACAAATGCATATATTCACAATTATATTATCATACAGAATAGTTTCACCACCCTAAAACATTGCCTGTGATTCATATATTTACTCCTCTCTCCCTCTCCACCTTTTAGGCATGTATTTATCTTTTAATTATCTGTATAGTCTTGCCTTTTTCAGGATGTTACATCATTGGAATTACACAGCATGTAACTTTTACAAACTTTCTTCTTTCATTACAAAAATGTATTAAAGATGTCTTAGCCTTCTCATGGCTTGACAGGTCATTTCTTTTCAATCATTAAGTAATGTTTCATTGTATGGATGTACCACAGTTTGTTTATCCATTCATATATTGAATGGCATTTGGGTTGATTGCAGCTTTTGGTGTTATGAATAAAGCTACTATAATTATATCTGCAGATATTTTTCAAGTCAATTTGGGAAATATCCAGGAAAATAATTGTTCAATCATGTGTTCAGACTATGTTAATCGTAAAAGCTACCAAACTGTCTTCCAAAGCAGTCACACTATTTTACATTCCCACCAGCAATGAACAAGAGGTCCTCTTGCTCAACATTTTCACCAGAAACTGGTATTGTCATGAATTTTTTTTTAGCTATTTTAATACGTATGGACTAGTACCTCATTATTACTTTAATTTGCATTTTCTTAATGGCAATCGTGTTAAACATATTTTCATATGTTCATTTTCCATCTGTGTATTTTCTTTGGTAAAGTGTCTGTTTGGATCTTTGCCTATGTTTTAAGTAGATTTTTAAAATTGTTATATATGAAAAGTTCTTTGTATATTTTAGATGCAAATTCTTTATAAAATATATGTTTTGCAAATATTTTCACACAGTCTGTGGCTTGCCTTTTCATTCATTGTTAACGATGTCTTTCACAGAACAAAAGTTAGAATAGAGCTGACCTGAAGAATACTTTTGATCAACTTAATCTAACTGACAGTTATAGAATACTCCATCCAACAACAAAATGCTCACAAGGAGCATGCACCAGGGTGGGCCACATTCTGATCCATAAAACACACCCTGAACAAATCTGAAAGAATAAAAATCATACAAAATATGCTAGAAATCAATAGCAATTAAACTAGAAATTATTAATGAAAGATAGAAAATAGTGAATTGTTTGGAGATTATACAACATGCTCGTAAAGAATACGTGGGGCAAAAAAGTCTCAAGAGAAATCAAAGATATTTTGAACTAAATAAAAGTAATGCAAGTTATAATTCCCTATTTTGTGTAATGCAGCAAAAGTATTTAGAAGAATATAGCACTGAATCCATGTGTTAGAAAAAAGATATATACATCTGTAATCTAAACTTCATCTTAGGAAATTGGAGAAAGAAGGCAAGTATAAACTTGAAGCAACCAGAAAAAAAAAAGAGATAAAAGCTATAGCAGACATCATTGAAGTTTAAAACAGGAAAACAATAGAGAAAATCAATAAGCTACAAACTGTGTTTTTGAAAAGATCAATAAAACTGATAAACCTCTAGCAAGTCTAACAAAACAAGAAAAGAGAGAAGACAAAATTACTCATAGCCAAAATAAAATAGGGGCAAAACTGCTAATTCCATGGACATTAAAAGAATAATAAAGGAGTATTATGAACAACTTCCTACACACAAATTTGATAACTTGGATAAAATGGATGAATTTCTAGAAAGACACAAACTACAAAACTCACACGAGGAGAAATAGATAATGTTAATAGGCCTTGAGATATTGAATTAATATTTAATAACCTTCTAAATAATAATAGTGAGGCACCAAGCCCAGATGGCTTCACTAGTGAATTATAATACCTAAGGAAGAAATCATAGTGATTGTCTACAATATTTTCCAAAAAAATAGAAACATAGGCAAAACTTACTAACTCATTTTATCAGGTCAGTATTACTCCATATTAAAGCCAATTAGACATTACAAGAATGGAAAACTACAGACCAATATCTCTCACAAAAATAGGTGCAAAAATCCTCCACAAGTATTAGAAAAATGAATCCAATCATGTATTAAAAAAAAACACCCCAATCAGTAAAGATTTATCCCAGATAGGAAAAGTTGTTTCAACATTTGAAAATCAATGTAACCCATCACATCAACAGACTAAAAGGAAAATCATATAGCCATACCAACAGATGCTGAAATAGCATTTAATAAAATCTAACACTCACTCATGATAAAAATTCTCAGCAAGCTAGGATAATGGGGAACTTCCTTATTTTGACAGAAAGTATCTATGTAAAACCCACAGCAAACATTATACTTCATGGTGGGAAACAGTATGCTTTCCTACTAAGAATAAGAACAAGGCAAGCACATTCTCTCTTACCGCGCCTATCAGCATTGTACCAAATGTCATAACTGGTAAAATAAGAAAAGAAAATTAAGGTATATAAATATATATGGGAAAGAAATAAATCATCTGTCTTTGTCCACAGATGACATGGTTGTGTAAGTATAAAATCTAAAAGAATCAACAACTGAAAAACCTCCTGGAATTGTCAACACAAAACTGAAGAAGAACAAAAAAGAAGACTGACACTATCTGACTTCCAGGCTTACCATATATCTACAGTAATCAAGACAGCATAATGTTAGTGGAGGAATAGAAAAAATAGATCAAGACAACAGAATAGAGTGGCCCAGATATAGACCTAAACAAATAGAGTCAACTAATCTATGGCAAAGAAACAAAGGCAATAATTCAATGGAGAAAAGAGAATAGTTTCCAAAACTAGGTATTGTAAGATTTGGACGTCCATATGAAAATAAAAAGATTCTAGACAGAGACTTAAGTGCAAAATGCAAAACTATAAAATTCCTAGAAGATAACATGGGAGAAAATCTAGGTGACCTTGCTTTGTTGGTTTGTTCTTAGACACAACACCATAAGCCTTTTAGTTCACACTCAGCCTCCAGCAATCTGACAAAATGACCATTTGTTTGGTTGATGTTAATGTACGTCTCTAGCAACAGCTACTCCAGGTGAGTAGGCCTCTTCTGTAACTCTCTAGATTCACAATTCTCTCCATACTTCAGGGTGGCAGGTTTCCCTTTAACCTTACTTATCTGATGGATCCAAGAAAAGTCACTGATTTTCAGTTCATTCAGCCTTTTTCTTGTTGTAAGGATGAGAGTAATGACTTCCAAGTCCTTTACATGTCAGAACTGAAACCAGAAGTCTCCTCACTTCTGATTTTCCACCCTGACACCCTCTTGTCATTGAGGTCTGTCACTATTGCCCTATTTAAAATTGCTAAACCCTCAACGATTACATCTCTGTTCCTCACTACATTGCTCTAGCCTGTCCCATAAAGCTGAGCCCCTTGGCCGCCCTTTGGCACCTACAGCCTCGGTGCCATGAAAGGCAGCAGGAAGCAGACGGATTCCTGGGTGGAAGGAGGTGGGTCCTGAGCGAGGCTCCACCTTCCGACCATGGAGGGCCTGAAGGCTGGGGTGCAGGCTGCCAGTCACCCGGACTGGAATGGGAACTTGTGGTGCCTTTTCTGGGCCCGCCCATGGCTGCTCATGGACCAGTCGGCACACACTTCCTCCCGGGAAGGGGAGGAAGACAGCGAAAGCAATCGTAACAAAAACAAAAATTGACAAATGGGATCTAGTTAAACTAAAGAGCTTCTGCACAGCAAAAGCCTCAGCTCACCCGGAGCTGAGCAGACGTCGGGACAACCAGCTGCAGAATGGAGCTACACACTCCAGGGGCTCCTCTGTGCTAAGAGCTGCAGGCGTTGGGAGGACTGGCTGCAGAGGGCAGCCACCCTCTCTGCTGGGGGCCGAACACTGGAGGGGACACCCTGGCTGTGGAAAGGAGCTGCCACCTGCGAGAGACTGAGTTGTTCTATAGCTCAATAAAGCTCCTCTTCATCTTGCTGACCTTTCGCTTGTCTGCAGAACTCATCCTTCCTGGTTGCAGGACAAAAATTCAGGACCTGCCGAATGGCGAGGCGAAAATTGCTGTAACACAAACAGGGCTGC
This sequence comes from Homo sapiens, assembly GCF_000001405.40. Lineage (NCBI taxonomy): Eukaryota > Metazoa > Chordata > Mammalia > Primates > Hominidae > Homo > Homo sapiens. Next base: position 1,600,674 of record NC_000003.12, on the reverse strand, counting down.
AACATGCCTCTTGCTCTCCATGTTGAGGGGGAAGAGAAGGAGAGAAGAGCTGCAGCCCTTAGGGGAGCCCAGACCTGGGACCTCCCCAAGCCAGGACTGTGACGACCTCTTTGGAGCCCTGCGGTTTCTGGCATCTCCAAGCTTCCAGGCACCACCACATTCCCTGGTGCCAGCTGGAGAAACTGCTTGCTATGTGCCTGGTCCAGCTGGCGCCCATGCCAGCACCTAGAGCTGCCCACCCTGTGGCAGCAGCTGGTGTGTCTGACTGCACAGTGTGGCCAGACCCGATGCTTGCTCACACATCTCTCGCCACTCCACGCCTGACTCAGTCTCCCTTGGAGGCGTGGGATCCAGGCTGGTAGCCTGAGCTGAGCACAGCCTGCCAGGCTGAGTAGGCAGAATGAGCCCAGTAGGCTCAAGCAAAACTCGGGCAAAGGCACCACTGGCCACAGAGCTTTCTGGCTGGAAAGGCGACCCCTCCAAGATCCTATAACAAAGGGATAAAAATGGGGGCTAATAACATAACCCGTCCTCCAAGTTTCTATAGCACACCACCTGCACTATTGAAATAGTAGTGGCAATGGAGCCCCTGCTCCTCGGTGATTCTCTTTCCCAAATTCTCTAAAAGTATCAGGCCGGAAGCAAAGGTGGATACCAGAAGGAAGCAAGAGAAAATCTCAAGTCTGTGAGAATATGGCAGTAACCAAGTTTCCATTAGGTTTGCTAACCTCTTTAAAACAATGAGGTTTCTCTGCTTCAGCAGTCTGCCCATTGGTCTGGCAATTGAACCAGCAGATCTTCCTCACAAGTGAGCAGCTTAATTTAGTAACCTCCTCAGTCAAAGAAGAAAACTTAGAGAAAGTAGGATGCTATTCTGCATAAACAGTCAATCTAAATAAACTTTATTGTAAAATAAGACTGAATTTACCGACCCTACAGTCAGATGTTTAAGTATGCAGTCGTCAACTTTGAGGATTCACTATTCTATTAATCTAGTATTCAACTGCAACAACAAAAGAGTATAGTTTCCTGTAATTTCTCTTCTGCAAATCTTAAATTTTCCAAAAAAAAAAGGGAAAAAGGAAAAATAATGACAAGTATACATAATGAAAAACTACTAATAAAATGACATTTTAACTCAAATGGACAGCTTTTGTTAAAATTGCAAAAAGTGAAAATACAATATTTTTATAGGGCATTTGATTTAGGACATAAGTTTCTGTTGCTGTAATAAAGCAATATGGTTTGAAATTTAAATTCTTTTTTAAAAATCACGTGCTTTAATTGCAGCTTATAGAATATAAAAAACATATGAAGGTTACTCTGATTTTTTTTTACCAAGCTTAAAATAAAAATCTCTGAAACATTTAAAAGTTAAGACAGCAAATTTCATTAAGAGCCCACTGTATACTTAAAATGACACTTCATGTATTTGAAAATGAATTGAGGCTTGAGTGTTAGAGAAGTGAAAAACCATCCATAAATTATCTATAAATGTGGTAAAGCAAATGAATTCTCAGTCATTGATTATTTTTAGAATGTTCAACTCTGCAGTCTTATAGCCAACCAAGAAACAAAACACAGGAGCTTCCTAAAATATATCTATATATAAAACAGTTTTTTAAGATACCATTTTAGAAGTGTTATTTTATACCTGGGGTCTCTCATCAAGGTATAAAATGCATATGCTAATTCATATTGTATTCGGTACTGTATTTTTCTTTAAAAATTGAATGTATATTAAAAAATAGAGCTACCATTGCTTTTGCTTAATTATATGGTCTTAGTGATTGATACACACAAAAGTATGAGTGAGTAAAATTCTCTACATTTAATATTCAGCAAGTTTAATCAATTAGTTCCTGGTTGACTAAATTTTCTAAATTCAATTGGAGTTTGATCTAAGTTAAGAGCACATGCATTCCATAGTTAGAAATGACTATAGAATTTATATTCTTTAAATCTTCTAATTTTACAGTAAGAAAATTGCATCATATACAAAAATCAACTCAAAATGGATTAAACACTTAAATGTAGAACCCAAAACTATAAAAACCCTGCAAGACAACCTAGGCAATAAAAACATTCTGGAGATAGGTATGGGCAAAGATTTCATGATGAAGGCAGCAAATGCAATCATAACAAAAGCAAACATTGACAAATGGGATCTAGTTAAACTAAAGAGCTTCTGCACAGTAAAATAAACTACTGACAGAATAAACAGACAACCTACAGAATGGGACAAAATATTTCCAAACTATGCATCTGATAAAGGTCTGAAATCTAGCATCATAAGAAATTTAAACAGATTTACAAGAAAAAAACAAATAACCCTATTAAAAAGTGGGCAAAGGACATGAACAGACACTTTTCAAAAGAAGACACACATGCAGCCAAAACACATACGAAAACAAAGCTCTACATCACTGATCATTAGAGAAATGCAAATCAAAACCACAATGAGATACCATCTCACACCAATCAGAATGGCAATTATAAAAAAGTAAAAAACTAACAGGTGCTGGTGAGGCTGTGGAGAAAAATAAAGGCTTATACACTGTTGGTGGGAGTGTAAATTAGTTCAACCATCTGGAAAACAGTGTGGCAATTCCTCAAAGGCCCCAAAACAGAAATACCATTTGACCCAGCAATCCCTTTATTGGGTATATACCCAAGGAATAGAAATCATTCTGTCATAAAGACACATGCATGCATATGTTTGCAGCAGCACTATTCATAATAGCAAAGACATGAAATCAACCTATACGCCCCATCAATGGTGGACTGAATAAAGAAAAGGTGGCATATATACACCATGAAATACTATACAGCCATAAAGGGAATGAAATCATATCCTTTGCAGGAACATGAATGGAGCTAGAGGCCATTAACCTGAGCAAACTAACAGAGGAACAGAAAACCAAATAACTGCATGTTCTCACTTATAAGTGGGAGCTAAATGATGAGAACACATGGGCACGTGGAGTGGAACAATAGACCCTGGGGCCTACTGTAGGGTAGAGCACAGGAGGAGGGAAAGGATCAAGAAAACTAAGTAATGGATAGCAGGCTTAATACCTGGGTGACAAAATCATCTGTACAATAAACCCTTGTGAGATGAGCTTACCTATATAAGAAGACTCCACATGTGCCCCTGATCTTAAAATAAAAGTTAAAAAGAAAAAAAATTTGAAAAAATTGCACTCATGGAGGGACAGAAATTTTTACACCACCAAGCCAGAGCCACAATCCAGATGCCCACATCCCAATTCAGCTTTTATTTTGTAAACACAATTTAAGTTTTGGTTAAGATTATATTTTTATGTATTATATTCCTTTTTTTTGTAACACTTATAAGTGAATGAGAGTGACTTATGGGTAGAAACCACCACTATCAAAATAAAAGGTGAAAGTAAAATTCCTTTCCCTCCTTTAAGAAGTTGGGTGACAGCAAGGAACATCCATATCCCAATGCCAGGTATTTGAGCCAGATAGGAATTAACCACTTACTAGATTCTAGAACTTGATTTTGTTAAAGCACCAGTTAGAAATTCTGTTATATATAACTATTAGCCAACTTAACCAAGAAAGTGATATTATACCAGATGAGTGATGAATAAGCATGTAATGTCATTTTATTGTTATTATTATTGGTTACAATCTATTCTTACTACTTTTTCTACTCCCCCCACATACTGTAAATGTATCATCATGTCACTCCAAATTCAGAAATTTTCAAATCTCTTTTTAGCTTGTGGCACTGCATGGTGCCACCCATGTTTATAGTTATTCAGTTCCAATCTACTTCAAACCTCAGACGTGAAAAGATGACATTTCTTACACATTAAGATAAACAGTGCATTCTTTCTATCACTCCAGGGAATATGTTAGTTGGGTGCTATGATTTTTGCATTTTGCTGTTTATAATATTAATAGCTATGCAATAAGAAGTGTACTATTGAACTGTCAAGAATGATTTGTTACCAGATGTTAGCATAATTTGCCAGCTGTCAAATTTTAATAACTTTTATTTGCCTAAAATGTGACACTTAACTTTCATGGTAAATCAAGACATATAGCAGGGCTTATTTGGTATTACAGAAGCTAAGAAAAAGCTTGCATGAGCCTTGATGGTTTCAACACCTTTAATTGAGCATACACTTTGCACATGGCATTTTGAATATTTTTTTTTCTGATAGATTGAAAAGTTGTGCTTTGCCTTATGCTTTTTATTCACTGAGCTTTGTGTAGAACTAGATAACTTACAGCTCTTCAATACTTACAAGCTGGATGCAACAATCAAAATATACTTTAAAATGTTAGTTTTATCATTTAAATTTATCTCATCTTATTTCCATTCTCTGATAATCTCAAGAGGTGCAAAGAGAGAAACTAATTATTTAAAATAAACAAATATCCTTTTCACAAGATGGTGCCAAAAGCGAAGAAGGAAGTTCCTGCCCCTCCTAAAGCTGAAGCCCAAGGGAAGGCTTTAAATGCCAAGAAAGCGGTGTTGAAAGGTGTCCACAGCCACAAAAAAAAAGAAGATCCACACGTCACTCACCTTCTGGAGGCCCAAGACACTGGGACTCTGGAGGCCGTTCAAATATCCTTGGAAGAGCGCTCACAGGAGAAACAAGTTTGACCACTATGCTATCATGAAGTTTCCTCTGATCACTGAGTTGGCCATAAAGAAGATAGAAGACAACAACACACTTGTGTTCACTGTGGATGTTAAAGCCAACAAGCACCAGATCAAACAGGCTGTGAAGAAGCTCTATGACATTGATGTGGCCAAGGTCAACACCCTGATTCGACCTGATGGAGAGAAGAAGGCATATGTTCAACTGGCTCCTGATTATGATGCTTTGGATGTTGCAAACAAAATTGGGATCATCTAAACTGAGTCCAGCTGGCTAATTCTAAATATATGTATATCTTTTCACCAAATACATGCCTTTCTGTCAATTTCTGGTTGGGCTGGGAGGCCATACACAGGCACTGATGCAACAGGGACACTAGAGTTAGTGTCCTAGGAAAACCAGAACTCGGAACTTGCCTCCATGGTTGAGGGTAACAAGAAGCTTTACAAGAACCCCTTCTTTTATCCCTGGAAGACGATGTGTGTGAAACCAATGCCCAGAGTTTGAAGGGCATTAGCGTCCATTTCAGGGGAGTATGGGTTGGCTAGCTTTTGAGTAGCATTTTGTCCTCACATACCTGTCTACTATGTCCAACCGGTCTGTCTGCTTCCCTCACCCCTTGCCCAATAGAGGGCAAGGATTTCAGAGGAAAAAAATGATAACAATAAAAATAAATAAATAAAATATTTGTGACTCTATTTTAAAATATTGACATTTTAATTTATTATATGCATATCATTTAAAAAATATAAATTCAGCCTCTCAGTAATTTTTCCAATCTCTTTTAGGTACTCATCTTTGATACCATGGGTGTTATTATCTGTGTCCATACCACAAACTTGATTTGGTCATTTCATTCAAGTGACTTATCACCTAGCAGAAATACAAACAACCACCAATGCCAGTGGTATCACTTTCATTTCCATTATTAGGCATTAAGTTTAAAAATGTTCAGCCACTTGTATTTAGGACAGAAAGACAGAACCAAAGTTCTCTGTATCTAGCAACTTAAAAAATCTGAGATTCTTTTCTCTCCATTTTGTTTTCTGTGACTTGGAAAGTTAATAATCTACAAAGTAAGTTCCATTAAGTTCACATTTGAGACGATCTTTGAAAATGATTTAATAAACTTATTAAAATGTGTTATCACTAAAATACTTAAAAAATATACAATGATGAAGAGCAAATAATATTTGGCTTTAATAGAGATATGTGGTTAAGCATATTTTAAGTAACATCACTGATATGAAACACAAAACAATATGAAATAACACAAATAAACATAATACGCAAATTATACTACTTGTTTTCAGCCTACAAGCATTTCTCATACTCATTCGCATCCTTCCATCTCTACTGATGCCATCATAAGATCAGACAGATAATACAGATATCTCTCAGTTGTGCTACTTAGTAGTAACTTGGCTAGTTTCCTTCTTTCATCCTGTCTCCTCATTATCTTTTATTGGTTCTCTCTCCCGCAATAAAATAAGGATAGAGAACTTGGCTGTCTTGTTTACTGCCTGTCTCCAGCATGCCTGACAAATAATAGATGTTCAATAAATATTTTGTAAATGAAGGAATGGATGGATGCATAAAAGAATAACTTAATCTTCCTTATTCACAGCCTTTTCTTTCCTTTTCTTCCAAATTATCCATTATAAAAAATCATGGAAATTCTAACCAAGTTTCTCTTTTCAACACTGGGTTTTTAAAAAAATAAAATAAAATAGACAAGTCCGTTACGATCTGTCAAGGACTTATCTTGTTGACTAAGAATTCTGAGCACTTTAGTTCTAAGTATGGCCCACACCGAAATAATGACTAGTGATTAAGTTGCATCTGAACTAGGATTTTGCAAAACCTATTGAATCACATTCTGATGGATACTTTAAGGATTAGAGATTGGTCCTTATTTAGAAAATAATTTCTTCCTTGAAAATAAAATATATGTTCATACACATTAACACAAACATACAAACATGCATATAAATTTCCTATGTAGGTTTTATTTCTAGATTATAAAATGAAGAAAAAGAAATGTCTTCCCCTTATTTTATGTACAATATTCATATCCTTTTCTAATAGTTTTACATTTTCTGAGATCTGAGACAAATGAAGAATTGGTTCAATATCTACCTAATACCAGCTTCCAGAGAAGTACTGTCTAGGATATTTGGGTTCAAATTCAGACTTGACCATGTAGGGATTAAATGACTTTCAACAACTCCCATATTTTTTGGTCTCAACTCCCATTACTGTTAAATAAAAACAACAAATTAGCTATTATTAGATTTGTAATAAATTGAATATTAATTAGATGTTACTAGATTTGTCCAATCTTCTATAATTGTTACATGTATAATACATAATAATTTAGTATAGTTATATATAATACACACATACATACACATGTAGTTATTTGCTGCTATTTTACAATAGCCCTAAATATAATGGCATAAAAAATGTTGTGTTCATGATATTGTGGGTCAAGATTTTAGGAAAGCCTCCCATGGGCAGTTCAAGTTCATTTTATTTTTGAGGATTTTTACATCTCAATTCATAAGGAATATGGTCTATGTTCTATTTTTTTTCTTGTGATGTCTTTATCTGATTTTGGTGGCAGAGAATACTAGCTTCATGGAATGATGTGGGAACTAGTTCTTCCTCTTCTACTTTGTGGAACAGTGTGTGAAGGATTGATGATAATTCTTTAATCATTTGGTAGAATTAATCAGTGATGCCATCTGGTCCTGTGTTTTTCTTTGTGGGATTTCTTCTTTGTTAATTTTTAATTTTTTTTTTACTTGTTATAGATCTCTTTGGATTTTTTATTTCTTTTGTATATGCCTCATTAGTTTGTGTCTTCCTAGGAATTCGTTCATTCCATCGAGGTTATCTAATTTGTTGCCATAGAGGTGTTCATGGTATTCCTTTGTAAAATATTTATTTCTGTAAGGGCAGTGATAATGTACATTTTTTTCATTCCTTATTTTGTTAGTTTAAGTCCTCTCTTTTTTTTCTTAATCAGTCTAGCTAAAAGTTTGTCAATTTTTTTGATTATTTCAATCAACTTTTGTTTTTCTTCCCTCTCTTTTTTGTACTGTATTTTATTTATTTCCACTGTAGTTCTTGTTATTTTATTCTTTCTGCTAACTTTGGATTTAGTTTCTCTTTTTTTTTTTGTAGTTTCTTAAGGTGGAAATTTAGATTATTGATTTAAGACTTTTAATTTTTTAAATACAGGCATTTACAGCTATAAATTTCCTCTTAAGCACTGCTTTAGCTGTATCCCATAAGTTTTGGTTGTATTTTTATTCATCTTTAAGTACTTTGTATTTTCTTTATGATTTTTCCTTTGATGTATTGGTTATTTAGAAGCTTATAGTTTAAGTTCAAACTAATTGTAATTTTCCAAATTTTCTTTTGTTATTGATTTAAAATTTTATTCTATTGTGGTTAGAATACATACTTTGCATAATCTCAGTTATTTAAATTTGTTATTTCTTCTTAAAAGACTAACCTTTTTATTATTATAAAATGTCCTTCTTTGCTTATAGTAATATTTTTGTCATAAAGTAATACATAGTTATGTCACAAACTTAATATTTTGCCTGATAGCAATATAACTACTCCAGCTTTTTCTGGGGTACTATTTGCATGACATATCTTTATGTATCTTTTAACTTCAGCTTATTTGTGTCTCTAATCTAAAATATTTATCTTATAGATAACACATAGGTGGCTCGTTCTTTCTAGTTTTTTTTTCATTTTGCCAATCTGCCTTTGAATTGGAGTGTTTAATCCAGTTACATTTAATATAATTACTGAAAAGATTTATATCTTCCATTTTTCTACTTATTTTCTCTATGTCTTGTATCTTTTTCCCCTCCATTTTTCTATCACTTTTTTCTTTTGTGTTAATTAGATATATTTTCTCATGTATAATTTAAATACCCTTATTTTTTCTTTCACTATATTTGAGTTATTTTGTTAGTGGTTGCCCTGAAAATTAAAATTAACATCTCGATTTATATACTTCTTGTTTGGATTAGTACCAAGTTGACTTCAATGGTATAAAATCTTTATTCCTATACAGCTTCATTCTGAGGCAGGATAAGTAGTCAAGGAAGTAAACATGTCCTCGCTATGTGGCAACTATGGTGACTGCACCATCAATACAATAAACTGCAGCATTCACCTTATAGTCAAACTGACTCATTCAAGCACAACTATCTACAGTAGGGAATTTCCCCTGTAGAGAGCATGCATATTTTGATTTTACCTGTCCTCGGACTGACTCTTCACTCACTATAATAGTAAAAATCAGAACCCTATGTGGAGATTTAAGGTGCTAATGAGACATATGATGTATGAACAAGCATGTACAGCTACTGCACATGTGTACCCAGAGGACCACCCAGAACATGCTTATTAGTAAAACCTCTTCTAATCCACTTATGAATAATCATATAAGAGTCCCATAAAGGGAGTTTCCCCAGTAACAGTCAACACTGTCTCATCCTCACAAGCAGTCCAATTCAAATCATCTCTTTGTCTATTCTCAACCAGTCTTTCAGAGTATTATTTCACCTTTGCACTAAACTGTTCTATGCTGCATCTCCTTTGCTGTGTGACTCTTGTTTAAATTATTTCAAACAAGGAGACAAGAACAGAGGTTTCTCAACGGCCATCAATAATTCCATTCCACCTTCCTTGTGCTATTTTGTCATACAAATTATATTTGATACACTGTAATCTCATCAGCATAGTTTTATATTTATTGCTTTATAAAGTTATCTTCTAAATAAACAGGATAAAAAATATTTCAAATAAATATAAATTTATACTGTTCTTTATGCTTATCTATATAGTTACATTTACTGGTGATCTTCTTTTTCATTTGGATTCAAGTAACTATCTAAAGTCTTTTCATTTCAGCCTGAAGGAGTCCCCTTATTATATTTATTGTAGGGAGGGTCTTCTATCCGTAAAGTCTTTTTGTGTGTCTGAGAATGCCTTAATTTTTCCATTAATTTTGAAAGACAATTTTTCTAGATATAGAGTTCTTTGATCATGCATTTGACCATGTCATACCACTGTCTTCTGGCCTCCATGGTTCTGAAGAGAAATAAACAGTTAATCTTATTGAGAATGCCATGTGCAGAATAAGGTCACTTCTCTCTTGCTGCTTTCAAAATTTTCTTTATCTATGACTTTGGACAGATTAATTATTGTGTGGTTGGCCATTGATCTTTTTGGGTTTATCTTCCTAGGAAATAATGAGCTCCTAGTTGTGTAGATTAATTTTTTTCATCAATTTGAAACATTTTTAGATATTATTCCTTCAAATATGTTTTCTGCTCCTTTCCCTTTCCCTCTTCTGTGAATTCCATTATGCCTATGTTCGTTTGTTTGCCAGATTTTTGTCCCAGAAGTCTTTCAGGTCTTATTCATGTTTCTTCATTTATTTTTTTAATAGACTAGATAATAAAATTAACCTCTGTTCAAATTTGCTATTGTTTCTTATGGCAGAAAAAAAATTCCCTGATGAGTCCCTATTATTGAATTTTTATTTCAATTAATATACTTTTCAACTCCAGAATTTTTATTTGATTATTTTCTTAAAAACAAAATTCCTATCTCCTTATTCACATTATCTGTTTGGTGAGAATCATTCTCATACTTTCTTCTGACTCTTTAGACATGGCTTGCTTTATTTTAGTTCTTTGTGAATATTTAAAATAGCAAATTTAAAGTCTTTGTAATAAGCCCAGTAGCTGAGCTCATCCGTGACACTTTCTTTGATTGCGTTTTTGTTGTTGTTGTTTTTGTATATCAATCGCACTTTCTTGTTTCCTTGCATGTCTCATATTTTTTAATAAAACCTGGATATCATAAATAATACAATGTGCCAGATTTCAAAATCAGAATCTGCCCCTTATTACTATTTGTTGTTGTTGTTGTTGCTTATTTTTCATACTTTTGGTCTGTTTAGTGACTTCCTAAACTAATTCTATACTCTTTATCATGTGGAGCCTCTGAAATCTCTGCTCAGTTAGCTTAGTGGTCACCTAGTGATTGGACAGAGATTTTCTTAAATGCATGGAACCAATAAATCTACCATTATTTTCCAGGGACTTTGTCTCATTTGGGCATGCCTTCAAGGATAAAGGAGCCAGTTTATAATTCTGCTTCAGCTTTTACCTCTTCTTTGCACAAAGCCTCAAGGTCAGCTAGAGGTATGAGATTAGGACTTCTCAGGTCTTTCCCAGGGATATGGACAGTCCTACACATATGCAGAATGGCCTACTAGATTCCCAGTTATTTTGTAGCTTTTCATAGACTTCTATGGGCATCTTGTTCACCAATTTTTTTCTTTTCAGATTTTGGTAAGCTTTTTGATTGCTCAACTGTTATTAGCACTTCAGACAACTGCAATGCCATTGACTGTTTTTATAAATGCCCCCCAAGAAAAGGTGTCTGCAGTCAGTAAGTTTTGAAATAGATCAAAAAAGACAAACACTGAGTGGTGTTTTCCAGGGAACTGCAAAACAGGTCAAATCATGACAATTTTTTTGGAGAGTAGGGCTTTGGGAGAACTCCAAATTATTTATCCTAGTGGTTGATATAATTCTCAATTTTTTTCTAATTTCAACTTTTATTTTAGGTTCCAGGGGTACATGTGAAGGTTTGTTACAGGGGTATTTAATATAATGTTGAGGTTTGATGTATAAATGAACCCATCACCCAGATAGCAAGCATAGTACCCAATAAGTAGCCTCTCAACCCTTGCACTGCTGTCTCCCTCCCTGCTCTTGTATTAACCAGTGTCTATTGTTCCCTTGTTTATGTCCATGTGTCCCCAATGTTTAGTTCCTACTTATAAGTGAGGACATATGGTATTTGGCATGGCCTTCAGCTGCACCCACATTGCTGCGAATGACATGATTTCATTCTTTTTTTATGGCTACATAGTATTCCATGGTGTATATGTACGACATTTTCTTTATCCACTCCACCTGTGTGGATTATATAGTGTATATATATATACAGTAATGGGATTGTTGGGTTACGGTGTTCTATTTTTAGTTCTCTGAGGAATCTTTTAAACTGCTTTTTGCAGTGGCTGAACTAATTTACATTCCTACCAACAGTGTATAAGCATTACCTTTTCTTTCCAAAGTCAACAGCATCTGTTGTTTTTTGACTTTTTAATCATAGTCATTCTGACTGGTGTGAGATGATATCTCATTGTGGCTTTGATTTTCATTTCTCTGATGATTAGTGATGTTCAGCATTTTTTTCAGCATTTGTTGGCTGCTTGTGTCTTCTTTTGATATGTGTCTCTTTAGGTCCTCTGCTCCCTTTTTTTTTTTTTAAAGAAATTTTATATATCACTACCTATCTTCTAAGTTTGCTCACTTTTTAATGGGATTATTTCCTTTTTGCTTGTTGATTTGTTTAAATTCCTTATAAATTCTCCATGTTAGATATCTGTCAGATGGACAGTTTGTAAATATTTTCTCCCATTCTATAGATTGTTTATAGTTTCTGTTCATAGATTGTCTCTTTTGCTGTGCAGAAGCTCTTTAGTCCCACTTGTCAATTTTTGTTTTTGTTGCAATTGCTTTTGAGGACTTAGTTATAAATTCCTTCCGAAAACTAATGTCCAGAGTGGTGTTTCCTAGATTTTCTTCTAGGATTTTTTATAGTTTCAGGTATTAAATTTAAGTCTTTAATCCATCTTGAGTAAATTTTTGTATATGATGATAGGTAGGCGTCAAGTTTCATGCTTCTGCATAGGATAGCCAGTGTTTGCCACACTATTTATTGAATAGGGAGTCTTTCCCCATTGCTTATTTGTGTTGACTTTGTCAAAGATCAATTGGTTGTAAGAGTGTGACTCTATTTCTGGGTTGTCTATTCTGTTCCATTGGTCAATGTTATTGGGGAAAATCCGCCCCTAGTATTTTAACATAGGTTCTTTCTATTTTCCATAAGTGTCGGCCGGCTGAGAAATAAAGAGAGACAGTATAAAGAGAGGAATTTTACAGCTGGGCCACTGGGGGTGACATCACATATCAGTAGGACCATGATGCCTGCCTGCGCCTCAAACCAGCAAGTTTTTATTAAGGGTTTCAAAAGGGGAGGAGGTATAAGAACAGGGATTATACTGTACGTATATTGTACTTATAGGTACAACAGGGATTGTACCTATATTGTACTTATAGGTACAAAGATCACATGCTTCAAAGGGCAAAAAGCAGAACTACTAATAAGGGTCTAACAAAGATCATATGCTTCTGAGGGAACAGGATAAAGGGAAAAAGCAGAACCACTGATAAGGGTCTTTGTTCAGCAGTGCATGTATTGTCTTGATAAACATCTTACACAATAGAAAACAGGGTTTATGAGCAGAGAACCAGTCTGACCACAAACTTACCGGGCAGAATTTTTCCCCACCATAGTAAGCCTGAGAATTCTGCAGGAGACCAGGGCATATCTCAGTCCTTATCTCAACTGCAGAAGACAGACATTCTCAGAGCAGCTGTTTTTAGACCTCCCCCCAGGAATGCATTCCTTTCCCAGGGTATTAATATTAATATTCCTTGCTAGGAAAAGAATTTAGCAACATCTCTTCTACTTGCACGTCTGTTTATAGGCTCTCTGCAAGAAGAAAAAATATGGCTCTTTTTGCCCGACCCCACACTTTTTGCCCGACCCCGCAGGCAGTCAGACCTTATGGTTGTCTTCCCTTGTTCCATAAAAATCTCTGTTATTCTGTTCTTTTTCAAGGTGCACTGATTTCATAGTGTTCAAAGACACATTTTACAATCAGTTTATACAGTTAACACAAGTCTCTCAGTGGTCCTGAGGTGACATAACGTCTTCACCTTACGAAGATAACAGGATTAAGAGAGTGAAGTAAAGACAGGCATAAGAAATTATAAAAGTATTATTTGGGAACTGATAAATGTCCACATTAAAATGAAATCTTCAAAATTTATGTTCCTCTGCTGTGGCTCCAGCCAGTCCCTCCATTCGGGATCCCTGACTTCCTGCAACACTACCTGTCTGTTTTTGTACCAGCATTATGCTGTTTCCGTTATTGCAGCCCTGTAGAACAGTTTGAAGTCAGGTAATATGATGTCTCCAGCTTTTTTTCTTTTTTTTTTTCCATAGGATCACCTTGCTTGTTTGAGCTCTTTTTTGTTCCATATGAATTTTAGAATACTTTTTTTTTCTAATTCTGTGAAAGATGATGTTGATAGTTTGATAGAAATAGTGTTTTTTTCTAGTTTTTATAGGTGTGATGTTTGACTGTTAATTTGCAATCTTTCTAACTTCTCGATGTAGGCAGTTAGCACTATAAACTTTCCTCTTAACACTACTATTGCTGCATCTCAGAGATGTTGGTATGTTTTATCTCCATTTTCATTTATTTAAAAGGATTTTTTTTAAATTTCTGCCTTAATTTTGTTGTTTAACAAAAGTCATTCAGGAGGAAGTTGTTTAGTTTCCATGTAATTGGGTGGTTTTGAGAAATCTTCTTGGCATTGATTTCTATTTTTATTCCACTGTGCTTAGTATGAGAATGTGCTTAGTATGATTTTGATTTTTCTAAAACTTATCAAGACTTGCTTTATGACCCAGCATGTGGTTGATCTTAATATACACTCCATGTGCAGATGAGAAAAATGTATATTCTGTGTTTTTTGGGTGAAGTATTCTATAGATGTCTGTTAGGTCCATTGGTGAAGTGGCTAATTTAAGTTCAAAATTTATTTTCTGCCTCAATGATCTAATACTGTCAGTGGTGTGTTTAAGTCTCCTACTATTATTGCATGGCTGCCTAAGTCGTCTTCTATGAATCTGTGTGTTCCAATGTTAGGTAAGTACACATTTAGGATAGTTAAGTCTTCTTGTTGAATGGAACCCTTTATTAATATGTAATGACCTTTTTGTCATTTTTTTTAATGTGGTTGATTTACAGTCTGTTTTATTTGATATAAGAATAGTGACCTATGTATGTTTTTGTTTTCTGTTTGCATGTTTTCTGTTTTCATCAATTCTTTGAGCCTATGGGTGTCACTACATGTGACATGTGAGATGGGTCTCTTGAAGACAGTAGAAGGCTGGCTCTTGTATTTTTTGTTTTTGTTTTTAATCCAACTTGTCACTCCATGCCTTTTAAGTGGTGTATTTAGACTGTTTACATCTAAGGTTACTATTGAGGTAGGAGGTTTTCATCCTATCACAGTGTCGGTACCTGGTTGCTTTGTAATCTTGATTGTGTAGTTGCTTTGGAGTATCAGTGAGCTATATACCCATGTGTGTTTTTGTGGTAGCAGGTGTCTTTATTTTGCTTCCATGTTTAGAACTCTCTTAAAGATCTCTGTAAGGCTCATCTAGTGGTAGCAAATTCCTCTAGTGATTGCTTCTCTGGAAAAATATTTCATCACTTCTTCACTTATGAAGCTTAGTTTGATGGGATATGAAATTCTTGGTTGGAATTTCTTTACTTTAAGAATGCTGAAAATGGGTCCACAGTCTCTTCTGGATTGTAAGGTTTCTTCTGGGAAGTTCACTGTTAGCCAGTTGGTATTCCCTTCATATATGATCTGACCCTTTTCTCTAGCTTCCTTTAAGAGTTTTTCATTTGCATTGACCTTGGTGAATGTGTCTTAGGGATTGTCTTCTTGTATAGTATCTCACAGGGATTCTCTAAGTTTCTTGAATTTGCATGTCACCCTCTCCGGTGAGATTGGGGAAATTTTTGTGGATTATGTCCTCATATATGTTTTCCAATTTGCTTACTCTCTTCCTTCTCCCTCAGGAATGTCAATGAGTCATGTGTTTGGTCCCTTTACATAATCTTATATTTCTTGGATACTTTGTTCATTTTTTAAAAGATTCCTTTTTCTTTATTTCTGTCTGACTAAGTTGATTTTAAGGACTGGTCTCCAGTTCTGAAATTCTTGCCTCAGCTTGGTCTAGTCTGTTGCTAGGGCTTCCAACTCTGTTTTGAAATTCCTGTACCGAATTTGTCAATTCCAGAAGTTTAGTTTGGTTCTTTCTTAAAATGCCTATGTCATCTTTCAAGTCTTCACTCATTTTTCTATGTTCTTTGGATTGGATTTCAACTTTGTTTTGAATCTTGTTGAGCTTTCCTGACATCCAAATTCTGAATTCTGTGTTTGTCATTTCAGACATTTCAGTCTTATTACTATCCATTTCTAGGGAGCTACTATAATCTTTCAGAAGTAAGGAAATACTCTGACTTTCTGAGTTGCCAGCGTTCTTGCACTAATTCCTATTCATCTGAGGGGTCTGGTGTTTCTTTTCTTTTTGAAATTGCTACTATTTAGATGGGACCTTTTATTTTCATATTCTTTTTACTTTGAGGATTTGACTGCAGTGTATATTGTGGGTAATCAATTGGCTTTGTATCTGAGTGCTTGCAGAGGGTCAAGGTTCTCCAAAGTTTCCTTAATTGTGGGTTGTTTCCCATGTTGGGTTTCACAGGCATTCAACTGTGCTGAAAGAATTTTTGTTTGGTGTAGTCATTCATGCTGTGATCCAGTAGATAGTGCTTAAGAGTAGGGCCAGTAGGTGGGCTCTTAGCCACATACTTCTTTTGTATTTCAGTGCATACCCAGCAGTGCTCGGGAGAAGGGACATGGAGGATGAGAGAAGAGTCCCTCACCAAGTTTGTTCCTAGGCTTTGGTGGAGCCCCTGCAATTGCTGGCGCCCTGCTCATGTTACCTTAGGTCCACGTGGGGCTTTGGCGGTCTGTGCTCTCATGTCCCAGAGGGGCAGTCTGAGCCAAAGTTTAGGTCACCAGGAGACCTGCAAGTCCCTGGGGACCTGCTGGTTCTCTGAGCTTGGCAAAGTCAGAGTGTGTTGTAGGGTATGTTTGAGGGTGGTCTAGTGATGAAATGTGTCAAGGTTGGAGGATCCCTTGGCAGGGCAGCCGTAGTGGGTTTTTTTTGGTTTGTTTTTGGTTTTGTTTTGTTTTGTTTTGCTTTGCTTTGCTTTTGAGATGGAGTCTCGCTCTGTCTCCCAGGCTGGAGTGCAGTGATGCGATCTTGGCTCACTGCAAGCTCCGTTTCCCAGGTTCACACCATTCTCCTGCCTCAGCCTCCTGAATAGCTGGGACTACAGGCGCCCGCCACCATGCCCGGCCAATTTTTTTGTATTTTTAGTAGAGACGGGGTTTCACCGTGTTGGCCAGGATGGTCTCAATCTCCTGACCTCGTGATCAGGGCGGCTGTATTGTAAATGTGCAGCTGGTGTGGCACCTGTGGTCCGGGGCTGTTATCCAAGCAGACAGCTGTGGGGACTGCCCTGCTCGCACCCTGTTCACTGAGCCCCCTTCCAGCATTGACTCCAGGAGCAGGCCCAACCAGCTGGACTTGTCTCAAGCCTCTGTGCCCAGATTACTGGGCTGTTCCAGGTGTTCCAGGCCACGGATCTCCCTGGGAAAGGGGCCTGTGGCTGGCTAACAGGCTATGTCTTTCCCAGACTGATGTTGTGGAGGGAGGGACACCCAGCTCCTGCACCAGCACACATGAACCCATGCGACACTCTGCTTGATGTTCTATGAGTGGGGCTCCTCCCCAACTTGAGCTCGGGCTGCAGATCTCAGCTCCATACCTCTGGGTACTGTGCTCAAATCTTGGGGAATTGGGACCAGGCCTGCAGTTTTGCCCTCTGTCCTCTCAAGGTCAAGTGCAGGCTGCGCTGGGCATGCCTGACTGCTCCCAGGTTACCTGTGAAACACTCAGGCGGGCCAGGGGAGGCCGCGCTGTGGGCGCCTCTCCTGTAGGAGCGGCCAGGCAGTCAGTCTGGGAGCGGCCTGTGCACAAGGGATTGTGTGGATCGGATGCACCCTGGACCTGTGGGAGAGGCAGCCGTGCTCTCTCCTGGCCCAGGAGTCAGCAGGGACTGGAGTCACTCAGAGCAAGATGGAGAGCCTTGGGAGATGGTCTCTGGCTGCCTTTTGCTGCAGTCGCACTGCACGCCAGGAAACTTTCTGGGCTCTGCCAAGGTTCTGGCTGTATCTCTGCCTGCTCTCTGGTCAATTCCCCCTGCAAATTCAAAAGTCTGTGGAGGTCTAGGGATCTCTTGTAGCTAGGATCGCAGAGGTCCTAGCAGGAGTGTGGTCCCCTGCAGTTCCTTCACTCACCCCTTCCTTAGGACCTGTTCAGTACTGAGAGCTGGTCCTGGTGCTTGGTGACTCTGGAGTTCCCAGATTCCTCCTTCTTTATCCACAGTGTCTGTGTATTCTCTGTACCAACTTTCAGGTTTTCCCCTCAAAAGATCTGTTCAAAGTGTGAAGGTTTTGGGTTCTCTTGGCAGGAGAAGTGTTTCCAAGCTGTTTCTTTATTTTATTTTATTTTATTTTATTTTTGAGACAGATTCTCACTCTGTCACCCAGGCTGGAATGCAATGGCGCGATCTTGGCTCACTGCAACCTCCGCCTCCCAAGTTCAAGCGATTCTCCTGCCTCAGCCTCCTGAGTAGCTGGGATTACAGGCATGCGCCACCACACCTGGCTAATTTTTTGTATTTTTAGTAGAGACGGGGGTTTCTTCATGTTGGTCAGGCTGGTCTCGAACTCCCAACCTTAGGTGATCCTCCTGCCTCGGCCTCCCAAAGGGCTGGGATTACAGGCGTGAGCTACTGCGCCTGGCCTCCAAACTTTCTTTTGTCAGGTATCTTAGTTGTCCCTTGATTCTGCTTTTTATGACTACAATAATTCCAAGGCTGCTCATTTGCAAGGGAACTGTGGAGTGGGAGAGTGGGGGATAGGAATACAGCAAAGTAAAATGCCACAAAAGTCATTGTTATTACTCAGAAACATCCATTTTTCTTGAATGACTGCTACCAGATTGTTGTAAGCCTTTGGTTAATTTCCAGATTTGATTTTGACAATTTTTGTTAGTACTCATTGCTCTTATGGAGGAGTATGTTTTCCCAGCTTCATACTTTAAAACTTCTGCTGACATCACTTCTCAGGATAGTTGAATTTTAATCCAGATAGTTTCATTTATAGCATTTGGGCCTGGAGTATATCCACTTCCAAGATGTCTTCTTCACTTATTGGTCTGGCACTGGGGCATATCATGACTGCTCTATTTCTTTCTTTGCATGCTTTTTCATGCTCCAGAGCCTCCCCACGTGTCTGGGGCTGCCTCACAGCATGGTGGTATCACAGTATTTTATACATGATGGCTTGATTTTTTCATGAGACCAAGTTAAAAGCTGCCAGGCTTATTACAGGAAATAGCATCATTTCTACCATAGTCTATTGAAAAATGCAGTTACAGACTAACCCAGACTAAACAGTTTCTATCTCTTAATGAAGGAGTACCAATGAATTTGTGGTACTCCATAAATCTGCCATAATATATTAGCTATTTTATCTTCACAAAATGTTATGGAATACTTATGATTATTCTCACTTTCCAAATGCCAAACTGAGACTACGCAAGTTAAAATATATAAAAAGCATGAAGCAGTGACTTGCATCTATTTTATTCTATTCTATTCTATTCAAACTCTAAATTTATGTTCTTTGGTGATTACAGATTAGATAAGCATTTTCCCAAAATCTTTTTCCCGGAACCATTGTACCTAGGAATATTCTGAAAAAGAAAAGTGATATATTATAAAATATTTTACAGACAAAATGAAGATCAGTATATTTGATGCCTTTTTTAGAGGCTCACAATGTATATTTTCATGAGTTCTCCTCCTCTTCCTACAAATAACTTTTGAGTAAATAACAGCTCTTTCATTTCCATAGACTATTCATGGAACACACACTTTGGGAAAGGCTTAGGAGATGATAATACTTAACATTTACAGAATTAACTTTAAGAAGGGCAGTCATTAGCGAGCATCTCTGACGTTTTGGGACTGAAGTAAATGGTTATGATTCCAGGCATGAAGTTGTATTGTGTGTCTTAAACAGGTCGGTGGGTGGGGTACAGTGTAGGCGCATATTATTCATTTACCTCGTTAGTGACCGTAGCAGAGCTCAGTTATTGTGGGGAGGGTTGTTTCCTGTGGGTGGTAAGGAACATAGTACTTAGGAAAATGGACTGGCGACACCATAGCTGCCACTTTCCGAATCCTGGCTCCTTCCCTTCCTGAAAGTATGGGATCGGACAAATTGCTTGAATGTTCTGTCTCTGACTCCCCAGCTGTAACATGAAGATAAAAGTGATGCTCACTCCATAGGAGTGAATCGAGATTTGCTTCCTCTGTGTGTCTATGATGATAAATTGAAGAAGTAAAAAAAGAGAACAAAGCTGACTTTTTCAGTTTTAGAATAACCATGTAATTCTCAGGCAGCGTTCAGACTAACCATGTATTTTTTCTTTAAATCCATTATATATTGAATTCATTCATGATTAAAATACATTATTGAATAGAAAGAACCAGTTGCAAGTGAATATGTACAAGTAGTTTCACTATTTTATTGAAAAATTAAACATATGTAGGGTAAAAATCTGTTAAAATATGCATCAAACTATTTAACATTTTGTATCTTTTGGGGCAATTATATGGGATTTATTCCCATTGCTATAGATTTCTGAAGTACATTTTAAACAACCATGTAGATACTTTTATAAATTTAGAAAAAATTAAAAATTTGAATGTGTCCTAATAACAAAAAACGTTTGAAAAAAATTGAAATCTAATTGCATAGATTTAAATATTAATAAGCTCTACTCTTAAATGCCAAAATAAGTGTCACTCTAGTTAAACTTAAACGTCTTTCCCAAGATGCTGAGAATAAGAATATAGTACTGATATGTGATTATTAAAGATAACATTTAAATTTTTATTTATTATTAAATGCAATTAGAAACATAGACATCTCAAAATAACTATATTTAACAATTTATTAGTAAATATTTGGTGAGTCATATAAGGACCTTACCTCTTGGGTGTAATTAGGTAATATAAGTTTCTTTAACTAGAAAGCCTAGTACAGTGCCTTCAAATAATTTAACATGCTAGTGGAAATAATGTTTATTATTTTTTAAGTTGAAAAACAACTGTGTTTGCATATTTTCTACACACAAATGGTTGTAGAATGAGAGAAATAAAAGAGAACTACTTAAAACAATTGGTTGAGTTCTATCAAATTTAGTTGAAAACAATATTTGCCCCTAAAGATTAAAAGGCTCTATGAATTCAACAATTTAGCATTTTTGCTTCAGTGAAATGAGCTTACAGATTTGCATGTCATTTTAATTCATGTCAGAAATGCTCATGATAATGAAAGTTTAAAAAATTCAGTGGTGAAATAGTATCAAGAACATCAAACACATTTATTGCTTGCCATAAAAATGACATAATATAAAATGCAGTTAATATATTAAAAAGGCATCTTATTTATTATAACAATTAAAATATCAAAGCTTAATAACTAATAAACTCTGAGGGAACTTTGTTTTCCAGTGAAAGCTTTTTGGGATAAAAGATAATTTTGACAAGAATGTTTTCCATGAAATACCTACAATCATGGCAGCTATTTGTTGTACTTAGTAAATGCTGAAAAATACATTTCCTGGTGTACAAGTAGCATAAGCATGCATTCTGCAATCTTGTTGAGAAATTTTAGCCAAGTCTAATTAAATGTTTCTAATTAAAATTGTGTAGATAGGAAGAAAATTAATGGCTTTGTTTGAACTATTTGTTTATTTCATCATCAAGTGTACTGGATATAATTGCAATGCCAAGAAGAAATCATCAAAATTATTCTTTACCCTGTTGATTTCCTGTTATATCAATTCATTCACACCCTTCATTTTTCTAGCTTTAAAAGAAAACAGAAGCAGCTAAATATAAGACTTTGACCTAGGGGATTATTTCCCCCAAAACTATTAGCTAGAAACAACATGTATTGAACAAAATAAAGGTTAAGCTTCAATTAAGCATTCTAAATATACTTAGTGAGATATTGAAAAACTCATAACGTTACCACCCACACAATTCACCAACAGCTTTGAATACAGTAAATTATAACAGAGGCCAAAAGAGTGCTCAGATGGTTTATTGCATGATGTGGCTTTCTATGGTAAATTATGATTGCCCTTACATTATATATAGTTGTTTATAAGAGAAAAAATATGTATTCCAAAAAGAAATAAATATAACTATTTCATAAATGCTGCCAACATTGTAGAAAGTCTTCCAAGGAATGGTTGAATTTAAAGCCACATATATACTTATTTTTTTCTCCTCAGATTCAAATGCATTTTCTAGAGCCTAAAACTTAACTGCAACTAGCTCACGTACTTGCTACATTCAAGTCCTGTGTTGTGGTGAGCATACTAGTCGTTCATTTGCTGCCAAAATTGCATGATTAATCTGTGGCTTCAAAATCAAAACAAAAACTCAGCAATGAAATACAGGTTGAAGAGGACTATTTTCCACGGAGGAAGCGGGAGATCATCTCGTGGTTCTGGAGGGAAACATTCTTTCTCTCTGCTTTTCTACTTCTGAGAAATATTTATGACACTGGCTTGAGCACAATTCTCAGATTCTTGACTGTGAGATTTCTTGCCATATCTTTTTGAAAACTGGACTTTTCTTGATGATCTGGAAATTGTTGGGAGCTCATCTGACACAGAGTTCAGTAAAAAGGCTCCAACGTCATAATAATTCCTGCTACAGAGATTCAGCAATGACTGTCTCACCCAGTTGCTGTAGGGCTTGTCTGTGCTACTCCCCAAATTGCACAACTTAGTAATTTTGGCAAAAGTTTCCAACAATTTAGGAGAATGATCCAAAGTTATCTGGCATCATGCATGTATTAACTTACTCTCTCATCCTGAAGAAGGTACTATTATTACCATTTTAGGAGTGTATAAACTGAGTTTATATGTATTAATTTTCCTAAAGTCACATAAATAATGAGAATGAGAGCCAGGAATCTAACCCTGGCAAATCTGATTTTATAGCTCTCCTCTTCCCAATATATTTTATTGCCATGATTAAAGATTTGTGTGTGTGTGTGTGTGCGTGTGTGCATGTGTGTGCATGTATGTGTGTCTTTGAGAGACAGAGACGGAGAGAAAGAAATACAGAGAGAAAAGAAGGAACAGTTTTTCCTCTTCCTAATGTTTGGAAAGATTTTCTTTACATTTTGTAACTTCATCTGGATATCTTTATAAAATTTAACTTTTGAAAAAATGTTTTGATACTTGGAATTCTTGATTCATCAGCTTTCAAAGATACCTATTTATATATGGCAATTAGGACTCCAATAGGTTGTGGTGGATTTATATTGTATCACGTTAACCAACCTGGAACAGTATTTTCCAGATCCCTGTGCCCTACGTAGTATCTGGTTAGCATGGGACACCACAGACATTTTACAGTGAAGCAGTAGCCATATATACGTATATTTTTACACACAGTAGTTTGGTGCAGGGCATTAGACACTGTAGCTCTCCTGAGCTGTTGCATCTTTTCCATCTCACCTTTTTGCTGTGGGACAGAAGCTGAAGTTTAGCTCCTTAAGTTTGTGCCACATTCCCTCCTTCAGCTCCTCTAAATCCTGGGCCAGGTGTGTGCTCAGCCCTGAGATGAAGAAAATCAGTTTCTCCTGCAGGCCACCCCTGCCTTATCAAAGCCGGAGGACTGGAGGTGGTGAGAGGCCAGTGTAGGCTCCAATCCATTCTCAGAGGTTCCCCCTTTGTCCTGCTTCCTACATCATGTTTGGCTTTCCTCCCAACTGCCTTCCCTGTGGATATTTCAGGTTCTAGCAAGAAACACAGAAGCAACAGTCTTACATACATGACTTAGCTTCCACAATTGTAGAAGGTCCAATCAATATAATAAATGTGGCTCAACGACTCTACTTCTCTGATTGTTCCCTGATTGATATGGTGTCTATACAATGTCTGTTTATCTCCCCCATTCCTGACCCTGGCCTCCACCACATATTTTGGTTGGTTTCACCCCTATTCTTGTTTACTGTATACATGTAACTGATTATTTTCTGTTCAATTTATCCCTTTCAGGGAGTTAAACCATTTGTATGTGACTTTCCTTTCTCTTCTATATCTATTCTTTTTCTCAAACGTGTTAAGCACGTCTTTTCAATTTCATTCCACTCAGTTTTCGGAAGCTGATCTTATTCACCCTTGCTGTGCTTTAAGGAGTGACTGATTTTCATTTTATTCCTTTAAATGTGACTTTTGCTTTCACAATGTTAGTGTTTATCTCTTCCATTTCTTCACTAAGGCCTTTCAGCTTATTTTTCACTTTATAATTTTGTTGTTTTTCATATCTTGTTTGAACTTGAAACATTGAAATTAGACTTTTCAATTTTTTTTGTATTTCCAGTGGCACTTATGTAAAACTCATAATTTAAATTTGCTTTGCTGTATAGCTTTTATGGCTTGAATTATTTTTCTCCTGGCTGTTTTTCATCCCTCTTAATTCTGATGTAGATGATTCTGTAGCTCCCATAGCGTTTGTTGCTGTGGTTACTCATTTTTAAATAGGAGTACTTTTTTTCCAGACCAGATAATCTTTGAAGAATAGTGTCAGGAAGTAGTTGGGAGTGTGGGGTGGATCAGCCAGCCTCTAGGATGTTAGTCCGTTGCTTCAGAACACATTATAAGAAATAACCTGCTCCATGACGTGTCTGTATTCTGGCCTTGCTCAGAGTGGAACCTGATTTGTCATGAGTCCTTCTCGTGATGTAAACTGAATCCCATCCAGGTTTAATTGGCACTGTCACAATGACATTCTGACTCCTGCCCTATGGCTTTTCTGTGCATTTCCTCATTTGGCCCTGCCACTCCCTTGTTATGATATTGTGGAGGGCAGAGATTAGGAAGGCTCTAGCAACACAACTTACACAACTAGTAGATCATCTACTAGTTCAAAGAGAGGAATTTATTTTCCTCCTCAGGATGCAAAATATACTTTTGGACAACTCTGAAGAGTTGTTCTGAAATATTTATAAACATGATCATGTTTTCCCACGTCTAGTTTTAATTTTCAAAGCATTTTTAGGCTTTTCTTTATTGTGATTCAGCATTATTTCTATTTTCTAGTTTATGACAAATCTTATTTATTTTTTCTTTTTCACTTTCTCTTTTTTATTGTCAGTTGGTTTGAAAGATGAAAGCTACACAGAGACTCTCTTTACTTAGGACAAGAACTTACATTACTTTTCACCAAAAATATAAATAATTAAATAGCATGACCAATTATTGCCTGCTACCTATCTCTACTATATCATATATATATATGTGTGTGTATATATGTATATATATACTATATATAACTATATAGTATATCTACTCTCTCTCTCTCTATATATATATATCTACTATATACTTACTTATTAAGTAAGTACTTAAGTCCTTCATTTAGCAGTTTCTGCTCCATTAAACCCAGTTAGGACCAAACCTTAAACATGAAGAGCTCAAACTTCAAGAAGTTATGCTCTTAATTTGAAGTCTATTATATATCTAGAGATGAACTGCTTGTCAGATCTACATTGGAGACTCTCTCCATGTTTCTAATTGTTGGGTAGAATCCTGTTTACATCCAGTCCAAACACTTGGCCATCACAGAGTGGTTAATGGGAATGTGAACCAAATGAAGGTGTTGCCATTTACTTGATGAGCATCATCGGTGCCTACAATCTTTTTTGACATGCTTCTACAATCTCATCATTTCCTCTTGAAAGTCTACAACAGGAAAAATCATACCTAAGTCTGCCAACTGGAATTTGTGACTTGCTCTGCTCATCAGAATCTTTGGAAAAGCCAGTTCCGTAGCCAATGTATATCTCTTAGTTCTGGCCTATTTGTTCCTCCCTTTCCTTACCAGCTGTTTTTTTCTGAGGTTCATAGAATGCCCTACATTCAAACCTAAGCAGGGTACATCCACTCTATTATAATGGGAAAAAATCAATGTCACAGTTATAATCTTATATATGATGACAGATACCAGCTAGAAAACAACTGCTCTGCTACAACAGTGTCACTCCTGATAAGAAGAAAAATGAATGTGATGAGCTAATTCTGATATCATTCTATGTTAATCAGTTTAGCTATATCATTGTTCATGAAAAGCTAAGGTGTTTGTTAACTTAGTTCAACAATGCTATTGACTAATCCAGTCACTTGCATTTCCATTATTGCAATTGTCCCCATTTTCTTTCTGAAAATAGGAAAAAGATGATAGAAGAATTTAAGCAGAAAATCTCATTTGCTCACAAAAGCATTTGAATAGCATTATTGTGTATACTCACAGTATCTCATTTAAAGTGATTTAATGGAGACTGAAGCAAGCATTGTTTACATACCTACCATAAGCCTTGTAAGAAGCTCAGAGAGTATTTCCATTAGCTTATTGAATATATAAGCACTTCACTGAGAAAGAACACTGTGACAACATATATCCTGTCCCTTATTGTGAACCTACCGTGATACACTACAATGAGTGATAAGGCTGCTATTCAAGTCTTGATTCTGTCATATGTTGTACATAAGATTTTTTACAATTCATCTAATTTCTCGTCCCAAGTTTTTTTCATCGTAAAAAAAAAAAGTAATGCCTGACTCAGGGGCTGTATCAAGGGTTAAAAGAGAATGCTTTGTTTCAAGCCATGTATCATTATGTAAGTGTAAATATAATCACATAACTTGGAGAAATCAGAAAGTCTTCAAAGAGAAGATTTGAACCAAGTCTTGAAAAATGAGCACAACTTACCTAGATACAGAAGTGTAGAAAGGGGGTTTCAGGCAGATAGAACAGTATATGCAAAGGCACAAAGGAATGGTAAAGAGAGGTAAAGGGAAAATTGAAGAGTTGAGTGTGAATTAACAAGACTGTAGGGTAAATTCAGAAGAAATAATGAGCTAGAGATAGAGAAGTAGGTGGGGATTAGAAACTTTCTTTATCCCATGCCTACTACTTCAAGCTAATTTTGCAAAATTGTGCTCAAATCTTATCCTCAAAGTTTTAATTCATTAGTTTTGTTTTGAGCAAGGTGCACAATTCAAATCTAGGTTTTTTGGTGCTTTATTTTTCTACAGTTAATAATTTTGTTTGGACATTTAAAGATGTAAAAGGAATACCTTGGCTACATAGCTATAAGCAGCATACACAGTCATGTGCTGCGTAACAATGTTTCAGTCAATGACTGACCATGTATAGAATGGCAGTCTCATAAGATTATAATCCTGCATTTTTACTGTCCTTTTTCTATATTTAGATACATAAATGATCACCTTTGTGTTACGATTGCCTACTGTATTCAGTAGAATAACATGCTGTACAAGTTTGTAGCCCAGGAGCAAAAGGCTATACCATATAGCCTTGTCATATATAGAAATGTCATAGGCTATATCACCTAGGTTTGTGCAAGTAGAGCCAGCCCTGTAATATCCGTAGGTTCTGCATCCATAGATTCAACCAAACACGGATAAAAAATATTTGGAAAGCTAAATGAAAACAACAATAAAAACAATATCAATTTAAAATACAATATAACAACTATTTACATAGAATTTACATTGTATTAGGTATTATAAGTAATCTATAGATAATTTAAAGTATACAGGGGAATATACATAGTTTATATATGAATCCTGTGACATTTAATATAAGGGATTTGAGAATCCATGGATTTTGGTATCTGTGGGAAATCCTGGAACCAATCTCCTGTGGATACTGCGAAATGAGTGTACACTCTATGATGTTTGCACGATGACTTAATTGCTTAGTGATGCATTTCTCAAAATGTACCTCTATTATTAAATGACACATTACTGTACTTGAATCTTGCTTGTTTTGTTTTTTAATCTGCTCTGACAGTCTCTGTCTTTATAATAGAGGTACTTTGACCATTTACATTTGCTATGATTATTAACACAGTTGGGTTACAATATATCATCTTACAATCTATTTTTCTATTTGTGACATATTATTAATCTACTTTTACTCGTTTACTGCCTTCTTTTGGATTAATTATGATTTTATAATTTCATTTTATCTCTTTGGTAGACCAATGATTCCTTTTTAGTAGCTGTTTTAGAGTTTATAGGACATACCTATAATGTAATAAGTCTATCTATAGGTAATATTATACCATTTCAAGGATATAATTTTAAAAACAAACGATAATGTTATGCTTCCTTTTCCATCCTTTGTGCTATTATTTTTATATTTTATTTCTACATGTGTTATAAACTAGCATATACATTGTTATTATATTTGTTTTACATAGTCAAATTTTTAATAGACTTTAAAAATAGGGAAAAAAACCCTCATATATTTATACACCAATTTCCTGTTTGCATGGTTTTCCATTCCTTGGTGAAGATCTAGATTTTCATATGGAATCTTTTCCCTTCTGCCTGTAGGAGTTTCTTTAACATTTCCTCAAGGGTAGGTCTCCTGGTGATAAATGCTTCTTGAATGATTATGCTTGAAGAGTCTTTATTTTGTCTTCATTAGTGAAAGATATTGCCGCTATGAATACTAGGTTGACAGATTATTCTTTCTGTAGTTTGGAGATGCTATTCCGCTGTCTTCTGGCTCACTTTGTTTCTTATGAGAACTCTTCTGCCATTCTTATCTTACTCCTCAGTATGTAATGTGTCTTTTCTTTTTCTGACTGCTGTTAGCATAGTGTCTTTATCAGCTGCTTCCAGAAATTTGATTTCAATGTGGCTTAATGTAGTTTTTTTATGTATCTTGTGCTTGGGATGTATATGAATTTTCAGATCTGTTTATTTCTAGTTTCCTTCAAATTTTGAAAAAATGAGACATTATATCTTTAAAATTTGTTCTGTTTTGTTCTCACTCTCCTCGTTCTCCTTCAGGAACTACAGTTGCCTATTTTTTAGGTCACTTAAAGTTATCCCAGAGTTCAATAATATTCTGCTTATTTTTTAGTTTTTTTTTCTGGTCTAATGGTCTAATTCTATTTCCACAAGTTCATCAACCTTTCACTTTCAACTCCATTTCTGCAGCTCAGAGTGTGTCCATTGAGTTCTGCATTAGTTCTCTGCTTCTCCACTGCTGCCTGGAAGCAGTCTCCATGCAGTAAGCTGCTTTAATTGAAGAACTCACTTCACTTGTTTCCACTATTTCAGGAGTTACTGCTCTGCACTGCATGATGTTCTGTGTTGGAAACAACTGTTTGATATGTTTTGTCCAGTTTTCTAGTTGTTTGTGGTAGAAAGGGTAAATATACCTTGGCTGAAAGTAGAAATACTATTTTAAACACATCTCCAGTATACAAAAAGCTTAACGATAAATGGATGAAAAACAGATTAGTCCCACATTAACCCACACCAAACAGGAGGACCTATATTGATATTAGATGAAATAGATTTCAGAACAGTGAACACTACCTGAAATAAAAAGGGTTATTGGATGATGATGAAAGATCAATTCAGTAAGATGAGAGAACAAACCAAATATTTATGTATCTAGTGACAGAGCTTCAACATTCATGACAAAAACTGACCAAACAGAAGAAATGGACAAATGTGCTGTTATAGTTGAAAATGTGTATGCCTTTCTATTAATAAGTTATAAAACAAGTAGACAAAAAGTTAGAAAGCATATTGAACAGTGCTATCAACCAATTTGAACTAATTGACCTATTTGAAATTACTAGAAAATTCTACCCAACAAACAGTAGAATATACATTATTTTGAAGTACACTAGGACAGACCACATTCTCAATAAAGGACAAGTCTCCAGCACATTTGATCTGATTCAGATAATACAAAATATGTTCAAAGACAATATTTAAATTAAATTAGAAACCAATCAAGCTATTTTCAAAATCTCCAAATTCATGGAGCCAAAAAATTATCATTTCTACTATCTCATGGGTCAAAGAAATATTAAGGCCAGGCCGTGGTTTGCATCTGTAATCTCAGCACTTTAGGAGGCCAAGGCAGGAAGATTGCTTAAGTCCAGAAGTTTGAGACCAATCTGGACAACATGGTGAGACCCCATCACTCCAACTACATTTTTAGAAAATTAGCACAGCATGGTGGCATGCCTGTAGTCCTTGACACTTTGGAGGTTGAGGTGGGAAGATCACTTGAGCCCAGGAGTTTGAGGCTGCAATGAGCCATGATCTTGCCACTGCACTGGGCAACAGAGCAAGACTCCATCTCAAAAAAAATTAGAATTTATTGTGATTTGGATAAAAATGAAAAAGCAACATATCAAAATTTGTGGAATACACTAAACCAGTATTTAAAGAAAATTTTATAGTTCTAAACCCTTATGTTATAAAAGAAAAGAAGTTTCAAATAAATGACCCAAAGTATCATCTTAAGAAACTAAAAAAGAAGAACAAATTATACCTAAAATAGGAAAAAGGAATATAAATTAACAAAAAATAAAACATTAAAAATAGAGAAAAATCAATAAGACTAAAGATTGATTCTTTGAAAAGGCCAATAAAAGTGATTAACTGCTAGTTAATGCTATACTTAATGGTGAAATGCCATTTACTAGTATCAGAAATGTAAATAGGGAAAAATTTGATAAAAATTTTGAAAGACTTGTGCAATGTAAGCCTCCAAATCTTGCTCAGAGAAATTAAATAAGATCTGAATAAATGTTCACATATCACATTAATCAATATTGTCAACAATTTTACTACTCCCCAAATTTATTACTGATTTGATTAAATCTCACGCCATATCCTAACATGATTATTTGTAGAAATTAACAGAGTGATTATAAAATCCATATGCAAATTAAAAGGCTAACAATGCTGAAAACAAAACAAAGTAAAACTTACACTACTAACTTTTGACATATTGAAAACTATAGTAATCAAGGCAGTGTAACATTGATGTAAAGACAAATGGATGAATAGAACAGAATAGAGTTCAGAAATACAGCCGAGCATATATGATCAATTTTTTGATACATATGCTAAAGAAAATCAATGGAAAAATTGTAATCATTTCAACAACTACTTCTAGAACAATTAAATAGCCATTTGCAATCAGTCAGTTAACCATGTAAAAAATTAACATTACATCATGTACAAAATTAAAACTATACCATATACAAAAACTTACTTCAAATAAACCAACTGTACTATAGTTCTAAATATGCCAGCTAAAACTATATAATTTCCAGAAGAAAACAGGGAAACATCTTAGTTTCTTGGGTTTGGCAAAGATTTCTTAAACATAACACAAATAGAAAGACATATAAATTGGAAACAATATATTTGACTTCATTAAAATTTAAAACCTTTGCATTTCAAAAGACACTGTTATAAATATAAAAAGGCAAGCCACAGGCTGAGAAAACATATTTGCACAACGTATATCTGACAACACTCATAGATATAGTATATCAGGAACTTTTACAAGTCAGTCAGTAACAAAAAGAGAAATAATGCCAAAAAATGGAGAAAAGCTGGAATAGACACATCACCAAAGAAAGTATACAGATGGCAAGTAAGTACATAAAATATTTTCAACATCACTAATCATTAGAGAGATACAAATTAAAGCCACAATGAGATACCTGTACATTTCTACCTCAATGGCTAATTGAAAAAGTTGACCATGATAAGTGTTTTCAAAAATGTAAAAGAACTGGAATTCTCATACCACGTTGATAGGAATGTAAACTGGTACAACTGCTTGGAAGACGATTTCTCAATTTCTTAAAAATTTAAACATATGTCTCCCATATGACTTAGCCATTATACTGCTAGGTTTTTACCCAATGTAAATAAAAGTATGCTCATGCAAAAACATGTAGATGAATGTTTATAGCAGTTTTATTTGTTGTAGTTTCAACTGGTACCCAAAAGCCCATCAACAGTGAATGGATAAACAAATTGTGGTATATTCATTAATCAGGATGTTACTCAGCAACAAACCTGAATAAACTATTGACACATACAATAACATGGATAGATTAAAAAGTAATTATATTGAGGGTAAAAAGTCAGGCCCCAAACAACTACATACTTAATAATTCCATTCATATACAATTTCAGAAAAGAAACCTAATCTTTAGTGATAGAAAAACATAGCAATGTTTTCCTAGCTGCGTGGGAGGGCAGGAAAGAGGGAGTAAGAGAGTGTGGCAGGGGAAATTTTCACAGGGTGTGATTGTTATGTTCATGATCTTAATTGTAGTGATGATATCTGCATACATATGTCAAAATTTGTCAGTTTATACACTTTATATATGAAGCAGTTTATTATTGGTTAATTATACCTCAGTAGACCAATAATACCAAAAATTAAACCAATACTTAAGCAAAACCCAACAAATCAATGTTTAAGCAAAATATAAAATTTTAAAATTTTATTTTTAAAAAAACCTCCCAAGTTTAAAGCAGACATGAGAACAGCTCCAGCATTTTACATCTCTTTGTATTCCCCAGCCCAACTCCCTACCAGTAATGCCAATGATTCAGAATAATTGTGAGGAAATACTTCACTCATTTATTCAACAAATATTTATTGGGTTCCTGCCATGTGCTTGTTTCCACTTTGGTTGCTAGAATAAAATGGAAACAATATAAACAGTGTCTCTAGCCTCATGAAAATTGCATTTTGAGGGTGTAGGGGCCAAGGAAAAACCTCCCTTCACTGTCAGATTATTAGGAGAAAAGGCATGCAAATGTTAATGTACACAGAAGAGGATCACAGAGTAATTACCCCACCACAATGGGACACAGATGGCTATACACCCTTCTTAGGGGAAAGGGAGATGGGGAGATGTGGATGATTTCGGGGGGTGGGGGCAGTAAATGATTTTTCAGAAAATTCAATGGGCTTGAAGAACATAGAATGGTTTGGCACAAAATCTGTGGGTTTGCAGAACAGACACTGGCCTGTGACAAAGTCTGTCCAGGTGCACTGACGGACTTCGGTCTGTCTTCCTGTAGTATGAGTTCAGGCAATGAAAATTCAGGGAAGGGACCAGGGCTAATTGTTTTCTTCTTTGGTGCGTCCAGGCTTTAGGCAGATAAGGGAATGTCAGAGAACAACTTCATGCTGTGCTCTGGGAGAGATGGGGCCTGGGAGGAGGTCAGAGAGAACTTGAGGCTTCTTCAGTTCACCATGTCAAAGCACCTGTCAAAGCACCATATTTGGGGGTATCAGTTTCTGATTCCCAACATTGGGAAAGACAAAATCAAGTAAAAATAAAAATAATTGCAATGAATGACTTATAAAATATAGTGATCGAGAATAACAAAGGTATCTACATTAGAGTGACCAAAGAAAGGCTTCTCTGAGGAGATGACATTTGAGTTGAGCCTTGATGTTTGAGAAACAGTAATTTACACAAAGATAGCAGAAAGGAAAATAGCAGGTATAAGGCTAGAAAGTAGTAAGGCTTGACAAATGAGAACATGCTAGACATGTTCCAGAAATTGAGAGAAGGTCATTGTGACTGTATCTCTAGCAGCAACACACATGAGACTGATTCTACACTCATTATTTCACTTTAATTTTATGGGCTGAGGCCTTCCTTTTACAGCTGTCCCAGGTATCTTTAGTAACCTTTCATAATTTCTTCCAAAGCATACATTCCAAGCTTAAGAAATCCCTGAGAAAAACTGGCTAAAAAAAGACCCTAGATTTGTGAAGTATTAATGAAGCACGTATATTGTAAGAGAAATATTCTTGGTTTTTAGATCATTTCTGCCACATTTTGGTTTATAATCTTAATTTAAACTTGGAACAAAGATTTTTAATTGCACCACGTTTTCTCTGAAATTAGTGCCATATTTTTTAGATTTCTGTACAGCATCAGAGCCAATGCCAGTAAGAATTAGAGGGAGAAAGATAGAAAACAAGATAATACCAGGAAGAATTAGAGGGAGAAAGATAGAAAACAAGAAAGGAAGGAAACCAAGAGAAGAAACAACAGGGATAGAATTAAGGAAAAATATTTACTTTGAAATATATTTCTCAGTATTACGTATGATACTTACCTTGTCTTTGCCTTTTCAAGAAGTGATGGAAGGTAACAGTGTAAAAACAGCAATCTCTCTATACTCCTTATGAACATAAAGGAAACATCAGAAATACTAAAAATACCAGTACTCATATTTTCATTAAAATAATCACACATTCTTCATTTTTTGAACGTGTTATATTAAAGACAATGATGCTAAAATTGTCTGCCAATGTCATAAAGGACAACTCAGGGATGTCAGGTGAGTATTAACTAAGATAAAGCAATCAATAAAGTCCAAAGGTTGCCTTCAAGGAATGGAAGTAATGATTATAAACACGTGTTCCGACTGCCAGGAAGCAGGATCTGCAATACAACAGGTTTGGCTTCAAAGGCAACACAAAGATTAATAAAACTGAGAACTTTCCTAAATGAACTATTAGAGAGGTGATTTCTTTTTTTTTTTTTTAGCATTATTATTGTATTTTTTTTTTGTATTTTTCTTTTTTATTTATTTATTTTTTTATTGTTATACTTTAAGTTTTAGGGTACATGTGCACATTGTGCAGGTTAGTTACATACGTATACATGTGCCATGCTGGTGTGCTGCACCCACTAACTCGTCATCTAGCATTAGGTATATCTCCCAGTGCTATCCCTCCCCACCCCCCCACCCCACAACAGTGCCCAGAGTGTGATGTTCCCCTTCCTGTGTCCATGTGATCTCATTGTTCAATTCCCACCTATGAGTGAGAATATGCGGCGTTTGGTTTTTTGTTCTTGCGATAGTTTACTGAGAATGATGGTTTCCAATTTCATCCATGTCCCTACAAAGGACATGAACTCATCAATTTTTATGGCTGCATAGTATTCCATGGTGTATATGTGCCACATTTTCTTAATCCAGTCTATCATTGATGGACATTTGGGTTGGTTCCAAGTCTTTGCTATTGTGAATAGTGCCGCAATAAACATACGTGTGCATGTGTCTTTATAGCAGCATGATTTATAGTCCTTTGGGTATATACCCAGTAATGGGATGGCTGGATCAAATAGTATTTCTAGTTCTAGATCCCTGAGGAATCGCCACACTGACTTCCACAAGGGTTGAACTAGTTTACAGTCCCACCAACAGTGTAAAAGTGTTCCTATTTCTCCACATCCTCTCCAGCACCTGTTGTTTCCTGACTTTTTAATGATTGCCATTCTAACTGGTGTGAGATGGTATCTCATCGTGGTTTTGATTTGCATTTCTCTGATGGCCAGTGATGGTGAGCATTTTTTCATGTGTTTTCTGGCTGCATAAATGTCTTCTTTTGAGAAGTGTCTGTTCATGTCCTTCGCCCACTTTTTGATGGGGTTGTTTGTTTTTTTCTTGTAAATTTGTTTGAGTTCATTGTAGATTCTGGATATTAGCCCTTTGTCAGATGAGTAGGTTGTGAAAATTTTCTCCCATTTTGTAGGTTGCCTGTTCACTCTGATGGTAGTTTCTTTTGCTGTGCAGAAGCTCTTTAGTTTAATTAGATCCCATTTGTCAATTTTGTCTTTTGTTGCCATTGCTTTTGGTGTTTTAGACATGAAGTCCTTGCCCGTGCCTATGTCCTGAATGGTAATGCCTAGGTTTTCTTCTAGGGTTTTTATGGTTTTAGGTCTAACGTTTAAGTCTTTAATCCATCTTGAATTGATTTTTGTGTAAGGTGTCAGGAAGGGATCCAGTTTCAGCTTTCTACATATGGCTAGCCAGTTGTCCCAGCACCATTTATTAAATAGGGAATCCTTTCACCATTGCTTGTTTTTGTCAGGTTTGTCAAAGATCAGATAGTTGTAGATATGCGGCGTTATTTCTGAGGGCTCTGTTCTGTTCCATTGATCTATATCTCTGTTTTGGTACCAATACCATGCTGTTTTGGTACCAGTACCATGCTGTTTTGGTTACTGTAGCCTTGTAGTATAGTTTGAAGTCAGGTAGTGTGATGCCTCCAGCTTTGTTCTTTTGGCTTAGGATTGACTTGGCAATGCGGGCTCTTTTTTGGTTCCATATGAACTTTAAAGTAGTTTTTTCCAATTCTGTGAAGAAAGGCATTGGTAGCTTGATGGGGATGGCATTGAATCTGTAAATTACCTTGGGCAGTATGGCCATTTTCACGATATTGATTCTTCCTACCCATGAGCATGGAAAAATTTCCTAGATGTGTTTTCAGTTGGTAAAACTTCATCTTTCATAGTCTGCAAATTTAAAGCTAATGAAATATGGTGAGAAGGCAGTTACCAAGGGAGAAATTTCTAAAACAGCCAGGTTGCCTTGTTTTGAAGTATCTCTTAGAAATTAGTGCCATAAGATCCTTTTGTTCCTATTAGCTCAACAGAGAATGGTGGTTTGGAATTGCCAATTAACTTGGGCTGACCCCCATGTACAATGGGTCAAAGCACCAATGGTGTTCAATCAAAGGTAGTTAGAGGAGGAGCGCTGTGTGGTGTTATTCAAATGACTCTGCTATAGGCAAAGGTAGAAACTTCAGCACAGCTCACATAAGAAAATAGGAAAAATCCACCTGAAGTTTCTACAGATACCCAAATCCTGAAGCATAGATGATGAGGATGACAATGAAGAAGGAAGTAGAAGCCAGATAGTTCCAGATCCACCATTAGACCTTTTACGAGTCATGTAATCTGTATATCTGTTTCACCTCCAAAAGGAGGTCACACTTTCCTAGTTCACAAGGATATTGTGAGGTTTAAATAGGATAAATGATGTAAAAGTACATCGTAAATTGCAAAGACCACACAGATGTTGGCTATTGATATGGCAGTATAGCCTGGATGTCACAATATTCTGTTTGCCATCACATTACTGTGAATAAAAGGGTTTTGGCTCAACATAAATTTGGATGGCAACATAGTTTAAGTCAACCAGTACAGTGGCAGAAAATCAACAGCTGGTTGTCTATATTAGTCTCTTTCACTGTTTTCTTCAGTACTGGGTTTCTATCACAGATACTATAGCCCCTAATTATCAAACAGCATGTGGCTCGGAAGGGCTCAGTGGTTTGTGAAATAAAACCCTTTCTGAAGACTCACCATGGTCATAAGCTCAAATGGATCCAGAGGGGCTTGTCAAGTGGCGATACATGCTTTAATAACTTTTTAATTTGCTTTTTTCTTGAAGGAACTGGATTCTTATGTCTTCTTGAGCAAATAAGACTCTGAAAGTAACTGTGGCCCCACACACTCAAAAGCATATGAAGAGACAGAGCAAAGAAACCTGCTAAGATGAGCTTTAACAGGTTAACACAGTGAAAAAACAAAAACAAAAACCAAAAACTTAAAACTCCTTAGATTGAGCCCATGGGATTAAGGCCTGAAAGAAATTATGCTGTGGGCAATTATGCATTTTTATATTACTAAAAACTCAAACCTCTTGTGCTGTAACATTTTGGGGGCTACAAAAGATATTTTACCTTAACCATGATTCCTATGATTTGGGAGAGAGAGGTGAGAATTATAACAAGGCCAGATTGCTAAAAATAAAGAATTCAGTATTTATTATTTGCCTTTGTATATTCTCTTGAGGCAACTTGGATTAGTAAGTACTAATATCAGTAAAAGAAAGGTTAGGTGACTTTCACTTAACAAATTTCATTCATTTGAACACATTTTGAATATCAACTATATCTAAGATACTGTGCCATGTGTGCCAGATTCTGGGGTTAGAAAAACATCAATTATGAAATGGTTTTTGCAACAATATAAGCAATGAGTGTTATAGTGGGCTTTAGAGAAAGAAAGAGCTGATTCAAACGTATCTTCTACCGTTACCTTTTCTTTGGCCCACAGCGAATTAAAGTGGAGCCAGGGTATGAATCCAACACTTTAACTCACAGCTACTACTGTGAGTTACTACATACCAGGTGTAACTACTAAGCTATCCTGCTTCTTATGTATCTGAGGAATACTATACTGTCTTAATATGTGGGCTGTTTATGGAATTAACTCCACAGGGAAGTCACGGGCAGGCATAGTTGTAATACGAATTATGAAGTCATTAATGAACAAACACTGACATAAATTCTGGAAGAAAGGCTAATTGCAAAAGAGGAACCCATGAAAATGTAGGATTGGTAAAAATCACCAGCATCTGGCTAATTATTCAAGAGAAGCCGTACCTCAAGGATGCTATGAGCTTAAAGTTTGCCTTCCTCTTTGCCACCTGTGTGCCTTCAAACAGTACATAGCTTCTAGCTTCACTTTGTTCTTTTTTTTAACCATCGGGAGAACAACACTTTAGTAATTTATAATGTACGATATAAATGTAAGTTATAAGGAAATAACTTTAATACAGGATATAGAGGGCTAAACATAAAAGGGTACACTGGGTTTGGTGCAAGTGCCAAAATACCCAGTTGAAGGTGGTTTTAGAATGGAGATTCATTTTCCCCTTGTAACAAGAAGTCTGGACACAGCTCGCACCTGGATCCTGGATCAGTCAAGTAGCCAAATAATGGTGGGACTCTGACTGGGTTTCCCAGAGATGGTTTCAGCCTCCCAGTCAGAGTGGCAAGCTGACTTCGGCAAATTCACCTCTCACTGTAATTATTTTCTACAGACAAAACAGGAAGGAAGGGGCTTTCTTTTGCACACTTTAATTTTATCGTGAAGGAAAATTCTTTCTTAGCAAATTTCCCTTCATAGCCCATTGGTCAGAATAAGGTCACATAGCTATGTACTGTAGTGAATAACGAATGTAAGGCAAGCACATGTGTGAATTATTCAGCTTCTTTAAACAAGTCCTACCATCAGTGAAGACAGGTAGAGCAGCAGCTGGTGAAGAGGCTGTCACATCTCAGAGATAGGAGGCAGGTACTCTCAGGACATTGAATTGCAGAATCAAAGGCCTAGATGGAAAAGAACCATGGGGGTGGGTGGTGGTGGAAGTATGCAGGAAGAGTAAATATTTTGGCTTGACCTGAGTATGTGGAGTTGGAGGAAAACAGTGAAATAATTCATTCTTTCAGTTACCAGTTACTAAATTCTTGTAATACATATGAGGTACCTTGCAGCCCGACCATGGACAATCTTAAACGTGAGGTTAAGGAGTTAAAATGATTGTGCTTGCAAATGTAGTTTTACAATTTTGAAATACTGAGAATCCTAAATACTAGGGCATAAATGTCAGTTGATTGATGCCAGGGGGTCTACAGCAATTAGTGATAGACTCATGACCAAAGTAAAAAAAAAAAAAAAAAAAAAGTGCAAGAAGCCTAGTATATATTTACAACCACTGTTTTCTCTGAGGAGATAGAATTCCTTAAGCTTTCTCAGTCTGCTGACATATTGGACAGGACTGAGCCATGGGGCACAAACTGTGTAAATACGCCCTACAATACCTTATGTTATATTTCCCTTTCCTGTTGTATTCTGAGGACCAGCTGGCTTCTCAGCATTCCATGGGGAACAAACTGTACCGGTGGCTGCAGCCAGCCATTTTGCATATTCATAAACTTTATCTCAGGGAAGACTCCACACAAGAGATGCTTTTGTGCAAATGTAGTCATGCTTATAGGAAAATTTAAAGGATCTCAACCATCCGGATGATGGAGTATAATTTTCACAATATAAGCTTCATGAGATCAGCGACCTCATCTGTTTTGTCCATTGCTATATCTCAAGGGCCTAGAATGTAAATAGTGCATACTAGACAACCATTCAGTACATGACAGTTATTTTTAGTAAGAGATAAATTTACCAGTTATTAAGCTCTAATTCTACTATTTTCGAGGATTGACAACTGCATTGAACAGTTATCTCAAAACAACCTATTGCCTGGGAATTTGGAGTTACATGCCTTTTTCCTAGTCCTAATACAAATTATCTGTGAATGTGGACCCACAACTTAGCTTTCCTGTACTCCAATGGTCTCATTTTTAAACTAAGGGGATTTGGCCGGATGATTGCTTTGTTAGTTGTGGGAAACACAACCATAACCAGGCTTCATTTTATCAAACAGGTAGAATTTATAAGGATATGGAGAAGTTTCACAACACTCAGGGCCAGAATTGCAACAGGGCACCTGGAAAAAACCAATCAGAGCCTGGAAACCTCACCTTTTTCTCTTATTTGTTGACCTACACTGTCTGCTTCTCAGTTCAAAAGCCAGACAACTTTGCCATCCACAGATTCTGAATTTACATAATAAGATCTAAGCACCTGAAGAGATGGATTCATTCACTGAACCCAAATTCCAAAAATCTTAGGAAAGAAATTAGAGTCATCTATCTTGAATCTGTTATCTATCCCCAGACCAGAAATAAGGGCTGGGAAGATGGTGGATAATGTTGCATGAAATGGCAACTTGGACTCACTTGTGCGTCAAGGATGGGCAGTCACCAAAGAGACAGGAGTTGTTCAGAGCTGAGAGTAGAATACAATAAGGTCTTCTAATGTAAGTAGTTAAGATTGCAGGATAGAATTCAGTCTTGTGTTGTGTGTCAGCCTGTCCTCATGGTGCTGATAAAAACATACCTGAGACTGTAATTTATAAAGGAAAGAAGTTTAATCGACTCACAGTTCCACATGGCTGGAGAGGCCTCAGGAAACTTACAATCATGGTGGAAAGGAAAGCAAACACGTCCTTCTTCATATGGCGGCAGCAAGGAGAAGTGTGGAGCAAAAGGGGGAAAAGCCCATTATTAAACCATCAGATCTCACGGGAACTCATTCACTATCAGAAGAATACCAGCACGGGGATAAGCACCCTCACGATTCAATTACCTCCCACCAGGTCTCTCCCATGACATGTGGGGATTATGGGAACTACAGTTCAAGATGAGATTTGGGTGGAGACACAGCCAAACCATATCATGTTGTCAACCTATATTAGCAGGCACTGTAATGCTGTCCTGAACACTGTAGAAAACTGAAATAAAAATCATCTGACTGATGATTAAGGCTTTATAACCCAAAATTATAAATAGTGTAA
Source organism: Homo sapiens (assembly GCF_000001405.40). NCBI lineage: Eukaryota > Metazoa > Chordata > Mammalia > Primates > Hominidae > Homo > Homo sapiens. The sequence goes on along the minus strand of NC_000003.12, from coordinate 1,560,082 downwards.
GCATAGGGCTTATTAGACTCAATTATCAAGGAAACGAGCCGTGGTATTAAATAATCCAAAACATCTGATAATACAAAGATGATACATGTTTGTTTGGGGGAGTGCATTAATTTCTTTTAGACACAGATTTAGCCTTTTAATTGTTTGCTCGGGCTAATATTAACATTAGTCTGCATTCCCTAAGCACATAGCAATTGCTGGAACAGAGAGTGAGATCAGATGTGTGCTTGGAGGCAAAAAGAAATCAGCCTGAAGTTAAACCAGCTCTGAATAATTCATACATGGGTAATTGAGAGATGACTGACAACTGGCAATTTGACAAATAACCTTTGAGGGTATTTATAAAACTTCTTTCATGAGCATGAGCTGCATTTGAAATGGTAAAGTATATCGTGACACTTTCCCTATGTATCAGTAAAGTCAGGTCTTCTCATGCCAATAGAAGCAGAGATTGAGCAATTATTTGGTGAGATCAGGAATTAAGGGGATTTGACAAACTTTGAGTCCTAAGTGACTTATAAAAAAATGTATGCTTGAAAGATTTCAATAGGATTGTGAAGTCATTTTAGAGGATGTATTAGTTTGCTAGGGCTTTTGCCATGAAAAGCTCCACAGACTGGGTGGCTTCAACAACAGAAATTTATTGTCTAGCAGATATGGAGGCTGGCATCTGAAATCAAGGTGTTGGTGGGGTTGGTTCCTTTTGAGGGCTGCTAGGAAGAATCTGCTCTATGAGACATTGGCTTGTAGATGGTCATCTTCTTCCATCTTCCCTTGATGTATCTACATTTCTTCTTTTTATGAAGATATTGGTCATATTGGATTAGGACCCACCCTAATGACTTTATTTTAATTTGTTTAACCCCTTTAAAGACTCTGTCTTCAAATAAGGCCACATGCTGAGGTACTGGGTGTTAGAATTTTGTCTTTTTTGGAGGAAACAAAATTCAAGATTACTTGGGGGTAACAAATCAAAACAAATATCCACACAAAGTATGTAGTTTAACAAACAAAGTACTATTAAATAGCGACTATGTGTGAGCCATGTATGCAATATAGGGCGTACATTATATTATTATATTGGAACCCTGCCCTCAAAGAGTTTATGTATGTGAAAAGTAAAGCAATAAGGCTTAATTTGCAGTTTAAGACAAAGGAATTTTTAAGATATGACAAGGAAGTTCATGTATAAATAATAAATTAATTAAATATGTAATACTAATGTAGCTGCCAGAGTTCCAAAGAGGGATATTGTCCCAATAGGTTGGGTGGTGAGAGTGAGAACTTCCAATGCTTTCAATTAAGCTTGGAGAGTGTGACCTTCCAATGCTTTCTTATCAGTTTTAGAATTTTGGCTTTCTTAAAAGTTTTAGAACTTATCAGAAAATTATTTAATCACCTAGTACTGTTTGCTTCTGCTATCTGGCTTGCTAATCTTGCTACCCAGTGTCCCATAAATCCTATTATAATTTGTATGTTGCCTGGACTCCTATATATTTAAAGTGTCCCTTTCTATCTCTTCATATCTCTCCCTTTCTTTCGTTCCATTCTCTTCATCTTCAAATTCAACCTTACTCTTTAAACTGCAACTTTTTTTTTTTTTTGAACCTGTCTCTCAGGCTGGAGTGCAGTGGCATGATCTTGGCTCACTGCAACCTCCACCTCCTGGGTTCAAGTGAATTCTCCTGCCTCAGCCTCCTGAGTAGCTGGGACTACAGGCATGCGCCACCATGCCCAGCTATTTTTTGTACTTTTAGTAGAGATGGGTTTCGCCATGTTGAACAGGCTGGTCTCGAACTCCTGACCTCAGATGATCCACTTGCCTCAGCCTCCCAAAGTGCTGGGATTACAGGCGTGAGCCACTGCGCCTGGCCGAAACTGCAACTTTTAACTGAAAACTTCCTACTCACCTCTCATGATACGATGCTCTCCATCTGTGTAATCAAGTTATTGATGATAAAATGTGACACTATAGTAAGTAATACATTACAAATAAATAGTAATGTGTTTATATATCTCTCTCTGATTTTAATTGCCTTAAAATTAAGAATTATATTTTATTTGTGTTCCCAAAGTCTAGCATACTATTTGCAATGTGAGTAAAATATTCGAAAACTAATTCCAACAATAATTTTCTAATATTCTGTATGAAAAACTGGAGAAGCAAAAGTTTCTTCAATTCAGAGTCTGATAACAATTCTAGGCTTGATGTCATGGAGTGGGTGTAGAATTGCCTACATATTGGCTGCAAGAACCTGAGCACTTCAGCTGTTGTGGGCATCAGACAGCTTAAGTGGGCAAAACTCAAAAGTACTAGTCATTAATCCCACATCTGTGCAGATAAACAGGAATATTTTCTCTGAGAGAAAGTGATAAACTGCTTTGTTTTGTGACAGCCAACATTTGCATTTTAAAGAATGAAGAACAAAAAGAGAATATTTTAAAAGTTAAAATTTCTCCATGAGGATAGTAAATTCCTTATGTAGCTTGCAATATATTGAGTAAAGACTCAAGAAAAGAACAAACGTGGTCTCTTGTGACTTGTTACATACATCTAACTCAGCTCATCCATTTCTGGGATAATAATAACTAATATTTAAGGACCACACTATATGCTAAGCCATCAATGGATGGAGAAAATGCTGAGATTTCATGAAGTTATTTTCAAGCATGTGACTCTAATAAAGCTTCAGCTTTAAGAAACATTATCCAGTTATGAAATTTGTAAATAGCAATATCTTTCATATACTTGTTAATCACAAGTGTCAGAAATGTAATAAACCATTTAAAAAGGTTGCCTAGTATTGATACACGAGTCTATCAACAGTCTTTTCCTGCATTTTCCAATGCCCAGATAAAGTTTTCAATGGAATAGTAAACAGAGTGCTATAAAGGCTACAGACATAAAATATTATTTCCAATATGCAAGGAATAGAATTTTCTAATTATATTTTTTCTCAATATTAGCAAGTATGATTTGTTGGTAAAACAGATCAATACATCATAATTTCACTGTATATGTTTGCCTTTTTGTTCTATTAAAATTACATAATATTGTCCTCTCTAAATTTAGAATAATATGAAATTAATTTTTCCAAATTGGGAGTTTGAGAACCGGAGTATTTTAATGGTGAGATTGCAGAGAAAGAAAATATTTCCAATTTAACAGATTTGATAATCTCAGTGAAGATGACCAACAAATACTAAAGAAAATCATGTAATTTCATTTCTCTGATGCAGATTTTTAAAATAAAGTAACTTGATTCATGCTAAGGTATATATTTATTGAGACAAACTTAGAGACCAAGTCATTGGTAATTGATTACGTCTATTGTTGTTCTCCCACTCCATTGCCATCATATTAGACTGCTAAATTTGAATGGGGAAACCATCTTCTCTTCTATTATTTTACATAGTAGAAACCAGTCAAAGTAAATATCTACTGAAAGCTTATTTCATTGAAAAATATTTCCTTAGACATTAGAAAATACCAGTCTTTAAAAATTTAAATATATTAATATTTATAGATGCTACAGGGGTAATGACATTTTTCTTTATTTCAATTTATATAGTCAGACATTGTGGATCATTGTAAAATCATTCTGTAATGTTTTAGTCTTTCATGTAGCTAGTACTGTTGTTATACTGTATCAATGCTAGTACAATTCCTAGATGACCATACCAAGTTTAACTTAAGCTTAGAACACATACTGAACTTGAGTATCAAGTGAAACAGTCATTTGAATGATTTATATCTTCTAAAAACCAGTTGAGCCATCAGGATATTGATAGATATATTACTTAGATCTCTTCAAAGTGTGGAGGAATTATTGTGTATGAAGTCAAAGCATGTGCTCTTGGGTCAGTAGGCAAGAAAACAGCAATCAAAATAAGATGACAGAAAGGGCTAAAGGAAGCCAAGATAAAGCTAAGATCGAAGCCCACATGATTCCAGAAAAAAAAAAATGATGTCATTTATGATAAGAGAGTTCTGGCTCTAGCAATTACATTGGGGAAAGTTACCTTACCTCTCTGATTTCCTTACCTGCAAAATGAAGAGTTTCACAGGAATAAAACCAGATGATCTCCCAGTTTGAGGAGACCCTTGAGAGCACTCATCCTAACCTCCAGCTAATATGGAAGGCCCAGTGTGAATGGCCACCGTGACTCAAGTGAAAGAGAATCTCTTACTTGGCGAGAAACCTTGTTCCATTAAGATAAAGTTCTAATAGGTGATAATTTCACATTTGAGCAGCACATTACGGTTTAGAAAAGGGTCTCACTGACATTACCTTTGATAGTCATGTGATCGTATAGTAGAAGGAAAAGATTGTTTTTAATAATCCTCATTTTATGCATCAGGAAATTAAGATTTAAAGAGGGTAACTGATCTCTCTGATACCACAACAGCCAGTACAATACATGTTGTTGCAGACATACAAACAAAAGTGTTTGCATTCCAAGTTCAGTGTACTTCCTATTATACCTCATTGACTCTCTATAAGTGTCTGCTCATATTGCACTAAGATCTACTTCTCTCCAATCCCCACCCATTGATCCTAGCATTATTATTTGGACTAATAAGCATTTGATATATTTTAACATAGCAAACATTTTAAACATAACTTAAGTCACTGCAAGACCTCTTTAGGACTTTTCCCTATAGTATGTAGATGATGTTTGATGATATATTTGTTGATGTGTTTGACAGAGAGACTGTGGTGGGAGAAAGAATTAGAAGACAATTAAAAGTCTTAAGGATAATTTAGAAGGGGGCACTGCTAATTACAGCTGAATCACAAATCAAGAAGATGCCATTCTGATGAGGTATTTCAGAAGCTAAATATAAGGAAATATTAGAAGAGATTCAGTAAGTCTAGAAAAGCTTCATGGAATGGATGAGTATTTTGAGTTTTGAAATAGCAAGTATCCCATGCAGTTGAACGCTATCCTCATGAACTTTGTAATTTGATCATTAGACTTCAGAAAAAAAATTCAGAAGAAGGAGACTTAAAGCGTGATGAAGCAGGACAGCAGCTGGCACCTGCTTCTACCTGTTGCCATTTATCCAAGAGAGAAAACTCCATAACTTTCACTGATGACCTCTCACCTTGGTGATCATTTCCTCTCCCAGAGGGTAGTCCAATTAAATGTCACCCTAACCTATTTATTCCACAAATATAAACACAACATCTGTGAAATAATTTGTCAGAGAGAGTTAACCATTCAGGAAAATGTATGCCGTTCCTCCACAGAATAGTGTGGTGGCTGGGAACTGGCTGCCCAGACAGAAACTACATGTGCCAGACTCCCTTGCATTTAAGTGAGGGCATATGCCTATTTTTTGCTGTCAGAATGTCAGTGAAAGTAACATATGTCACTTCTAGTATGAGGAGGTTAAGAAGTGTGAATATCTTCTTCACTGTCTCCTTTTTTCACCTTCTTTGATCTCAGCACAGAAGACTCTGGAATGCTAGACAATGGGAGAATTCCATGATTAAAAAAAAAATGAATCTCTAAACCTTTAGATGGAAGAAATTCACATTCAGACTAGAAACATTTGCACCAGAAGTGTTATCTTAGCAAGAAATAAGCTTCAGTTGTGTTGTCACTGAACTTTTGAGGTTTATTTATTAAATCAGCTTGCATTAGGCAAGTTAATATAGGAAGGCAGTGGTGAATGAGACACAAGATGAAATGAAGGAAAGAGGGAAATCCGTTCTAGATGTAGTTGTGAATTTCTTATACAGTTCATTGTCATTTCTTAGGACTGGTTTCCCAGTATTCAGATCATTCTACATTATATTTCCTAAATTTGTTTTTCAAATTTCTCCATCAGCAAATTTTTGAAATTTAAATTTATTTTTCTGAAGTTTTAAAGGTGAAAATAATTAAACATGTTCCATTACTGAATTTCTCTTACTCAGGCTATTTTGAAATTTCATATGTGTAAAAACACTGGAAAAGAACATAAATTCACCCTTGTCTCACTTTCATTTTTCCATCCAAAAAGCATTTGTGCCACGGACTATTCCACTCTCTCTGGATTCTTTCCCAGGTTCACTCTTCTACTGTTATAATATTGATTACTAGAACACTTTCTAATAAACTTATTATCAGGGAAGCTCAAAAGATCCTGAAAACAACCCTTAATTGTGTGAGCATTTAAGTTTAATTTGATCTTCATTACTCTATTTTAAATCAGGCTTAATTTTCATACTAAAATTATTCATACCTTGATTTTATATCATAATTCATTCATCCTCTTAAATAAAGAATGCTTCTTCTTTTTAATTTTTTTAAATATAAGATCTATCGAGAGATCACAAAAGTACAGAAAATTTTATTTAACACTTTACTGGCCATCTGCCATTCTGTGTATGGTAGTCAACAATGATTTGTCAAACAATTAACAGAGTCAATAAATACTCACAGAATAACCTGATCTGCCTGCCACCAGTAGTCACTAGTTGGGAATTAATGTACTGAAACTATTCAACATCACACCTGATACCCAACCAGATGGAGAGCAAGCATGACATAGCAGATGATGATTAATGATAAAGATGATATAGTTCACTGATAACATTTTGGGCCCTGAAAACCTTTTCTCTTCTGGAACCTTTAATCTGCAAACATGTACCATATAATAAAGACTTCTTTAAGCAGAGCTGTATGCACACTTTGAAGTTTTCAGAAAAACACAAATATCAATATGAAAAAAGGAACTGAGGTCTAAATTCACTTGAGTCATCCCGTGATAGAAAAAATTATAATCTGTATTATTACAAAAATTAAAATATGAACATTTTATCCAAGTCACCAGGGGGCTTAGTGTTCATGTTTATAAAACTAAGACTGTTTACACAAACAAATAATCAAAGGAGTCAATTCTGAGAGTGGGGAAAAAAAGAGTAAAATGAAAGAATTATTCAAGCTGGCTGTTTCTTCTGTATCTGATGGCATCTCTGTACATTGGCAGTATTGCTGTTATTCAGGAGAACATGGGCTTTCAGCCAGACTGTCTCATTGTCATCCAAGTTTTACCACCTCTGCTGTGACCTTGAGCAAATTATGTATACTCTCTGAGTGCCATAATAAAAAAAATACTTGGGTAGTGTATATATGTGTGTGTTGTGAAGATTGCCAGGCACATGGTAAGTACTCGGTGTGTGCCATTATTATCCAAACTCAGCTTGAACATTTGTAATAGAGAGAACTAAACTATACTTCTACACAAGGCAGATTACTCATTACTGAAAATTCCAGGTTGTTTGATACCTCTATCTTATGTTTAATATTTTTCCCTAGGTAATTCATACACATTGGCTCATGTTCAATCCTTTAGTATAGTGATTTTCAAAATGTAATTCCAGACCAGCAGTGGAGAGAGAGAGATGAATCTATTATAAGAAGCTGGCAGGCTAAAACCCCATGAGCACGGGATGAAGCTGTTGTCCGTAGTGGGAGTCTCTCTTCCTCTCTGTCTTCTGTTTTTCTCTTCTCTCCTCTCCTCTCCTCTCCTCTCCTCTTTCTCTGCACTCCTACTTTCCCCTCCTCTCCCTTCTTCCTCTCCCCTCCCCTTCTTTTTCAATCCCTCTCTCAGGATGGAAATTCTAGGTACTCTTTTAAGGCCTTCCACCTGATTAAGTCAGGTCCACCCAAGATTATCTCCCTAATTTATTTATTTATTTTTAATTCATAAAGAACATAAACTTCATCAGAGTTCTGGAGGCTGAGATGTCCAAGATTAAGCACAGGCATGTTGTGTGTCTGCTCCATCTTCACATGGCAGAGGAGCATAAGAACAAAAAGGAGCAAACACTCTCCAAAGCCTCTTTTATAAAGCATTAATCCATTCATGAGAGCAGAGTCATCATGACATAGTCAACTCATTAAAGACCCTCTCTTAATATCACTGCAATGGGAATTAAGTTTCACCATAAATTTTGGAGGGGACACTACATTCAAACTGTAGCAATTCATCCCTGGGCTTCCGAAATTCATGTTTTTCTCACATACAAAATACATTTATTCCATTTCAACAGCCTTCAAAGTCTTAATTTTTCCAGCATCAACTTTAAAGTCTAAGTCCAAAGTCTCATCTAAACGTTATGTAAATCAGATTTGGGTGAGGCTCAAGGTATGATTCATTCTGAGGCAAATTGCTCTCTAAGCTGTGAGCCTGTGAAATCAAACATCTTATGTGCTTCCAAAATACAATGGTGGGACAAGCATTAAATAGATATTCCAATTCCAAAAAGCAGAAATAGATAAGAGGAAAGTAGTAAAAGGCCCTGAGTAAGTTCAAAACTCAATAGGGCAAACAATATGAAATCTTGAGGCTTGAGAAAAATCTTCTTTGACTCTATGCATGACTATCTGGACACACTGGGGTGGAGGTTGGTCCCCTAAGGCCTGGGGCAGCCCACCATCATCACTTTGCTGGGTGCAGGCTGCACGGCAGCTCTCAGCGGTTGGAGTTAGGTTCTGTAGCTCTTCCAGGCTAGAGTTGTTGCACACTTGTGGCTCTGCAGGTCTGGCATCTTGGGGGAAGCCTCACTCTCCAAGCCTCCACTAAGCATTGTCCTAGTGGGGGCTTTCTACAATGGTGCCAAATGACCTCCTTAAAGTCAACTAATTAGGATGTTAATTACACCTGCCAGATCCTTTCACAGCAGTACTAATATCAGCGCTTCACTGAATCACTGGGAAAAGGTGGTTTGTGTATGGTACGAAGTGGCTGCTGCTTTCCTTCCTTCTTCCAACTCTTAAGAGGCTATCTCTGGTAGCCCACTCTATGTAGAAACCTACAAGAAGGAATTATGAGGAACTTAGTGTAGCCTAGCCAAGTTCACACACCAAAAAGCCATCACACCAACCAAATCAGAAACTCTAGGTGTGGGTTCCAGCAATCTGTCTTAAGAGGCTCTCCAAGGATACTGATGCATATTTAAATTTGAAAATGACTGCTTTAGGACAGCCTAGAGTGTTCAATCTTTCTTTTTTATGATAGCCATGAAATTACTGGAATATGGTTAGTGTATGTTCTTAAAATATATGCTCTGACATTATATAGATAAAACCTTTGTGAGCAGGTAAATAAATGTGCTGTTTTAATCATATTGTTTCAAAATCATACTTCGTCTTTTTAAATATGTTATTCTTTTGCATATTTCTCTAGTTGATTCACTCTGTACTCCCTACAAATTAACTATAGTACTTGAAATTGGCTAGAATAAGTGTTTTCAACAGTACATGTAATATGACTTCATTATTATTACATAGTAATCCCATGAATTTAGTTAATTAAATTTCATCTATTCTCCTATAATACACGCTCCTCTAATCATGCGCCACTGAATATCAATCTCAAAAGCAAAGACAGGTCAGTATATTTATTTTCACTTTCAGGAAATGATGAGTGTTCCTATACTGTGCCAGTATACAGAGGTAGAGTTGCATATTTTAAATAAGAATCTTACAGAGTCTATTGAAAAGAAGGAGTAGCCAAAACAAGTTGAGTATCCCTAATGTAAAAATTTGATATCTGAAATGCTCTGAAATCTGACTTTTGGAGGGCTGACAAGGCACTCAAAGGAAATGCTCATGGGAGTATTTTGGATTTTGAATGGTGTATTAGTCCGTTCTCACATGGCTCTAAAGAACTACCTGAGACTGGGTAATTTATAAGGAAAAGAGGGTTAATTGACTCACAGTTCCACAGGCTATACAGGAAGAGTGGCTGGGAGGCCTCAGGAAACTTACAATCATGGCAGAAGGTGAATGGGAAGTAAGCACAGTTTACCATAGCAGAGCAGGAGACAGAGAGTGAAGGGGGAAGTGCTACACACTTTAAAACAACCAGATCTCATTAAAACAACCAGATCTCATGAGAACTCACTATCATGAGAACAGCCAGGGGGAAATCTGCCCCCATGATCTAATCCTCTCCACCCATCCATGATCCAATCATCTCCCAGGTCCCTCCACCTACATTGGGGATTACAATTCAACATGAGATTTGGGTAGAGAAACAGAACCAAACCATGTCAAATGGTATTGGAATGTAAATATTATAATTGTTTTAATCTGACATCTGAAATACTTCTCATCCCAAGTGTATGGGATAACGAATACTCAGTCTATCATATGATGGTCCATTATCAGGACTATCCCTATTTTAGTGATAGATACACCCGACTGAACTAGCCTGACGCTTTTAAGCATTAAGTTTATATAAGTGATACTTCTTGCTTTACTTCTGTGCTCACCAAACACTTTACTGGTTATAACGGTTCATTCTTTACAGCACTGCCGATGCAAAAGTGTATTATAATTGCTGATGTAAGACTGCTGTCCACATGATAGTTACATTTCTCCCTGAGATTTAATAATTGTCATAAAGTTATAAGCCAAGAGTGTCTGACTTTGGTAAAATTCTTAGAAGTGGGAAATGCCCTCAAATTTGTGGAGAATGTATGTGTTTATAAAATTAATGAAGACATTCATGTGCAAATACTTGCCTGTGTGCACTCAAAGGCAACTATAAAGAGTGGATATTTCAGAATTATTTGTAATATTAAAAAATGGAACAATATTTTTGTATCTAGCAATAGATGAATGGCTTATGCAACAATAATTCATGCAATGGACTATCATCTTTCAGCTAAAATGAATAAGATAGCTTCACAGAAAGATTTCCAAGACATGTTTTTAAATGTAGATAAAGATATTTTAGGAAAAGGTTTATTCTATGTCAAGGATTGGCAGACTGTTCATTGAAGGGCCAGATGGTAAATATCTAAGGCTTTGCAGGGCAGGAGAGAACATTGAAGTTGTTATGTAGGTTCTTATATAATTATTTAAAATGTAACCATTAAAAAATATAAAAATCTTCCTTGGTTCACAGGCAGTAAAGCATGCCGTTGACAAGATTTGGTCCACAGGCTGTAGTTTTCTGAACTCTGTTTTATATGATCTCATTTCTACGTCTACATGTATGACCACATAAATATCTTTGTAGAAATCTGAAGAAATACATACCAGACTGATCATATGCACATCTGGAAACAGAAATTATATTGGGATGGAAATTTGCAAGTCAGATCATTGTTTTATCTATATTTTTGTAATTTTTACATGGATTTGTATATGCACATATAGACATATAGACACACACACGTGAAAGGGGTCAACATTCATGACTCTTGGGAGGTGTTACAAACAAGGAGGGCACTCTATGTAGCAAGACACCTCGACCTCTGCACCAATCTCAGTCCAGTTTACAGAGAGAATCAAAGTCAAGATTTTCAACTTTTCCTTATATCTGGCTTACTGTATAGCACCAAAGAACAGAGAGGAGACTATGAAGATCTAACTTATTTCTTTATTATCTATTCTAACTTGACAATGTCAGGGGGAAGAGTAACAGGGATCCCCCAAATCCCTCTTGAGTACCTAAAGTTCATCCTTGTGTATCTAACTCAAAATCCTCTCCTTCAAGACATCATTGTTTCTCTCAAGTATAACTCTCTTTAAAATTCCTCTCAAGACTTTCACTTAAGATGGAGCAAATTAGACTATATTCAGAAGTGCTTTTAATTATTATTTAATTTGCACGACCTTTTCCCCCAATATATTTCCATTCTTACGAGGTAGAGTCTGCACAGTGCAACCTTAACTTATATTTAACTTTATTTGGTTAGATTTCCACCATATTCTTTGCCTTTCTCACTCTTTTGACTAAAAACATGCAAATGATTTCACAGTTTTTCGTGTTTTCTTATTGTATTTTTCACTTCTCCATGACTTTCTTGTGGCCCATATACTTTTTCTAGAATTTACTAACTTGATTTCTGTTATTTCTAGAAGCTAACCACAATGCCTCTTTCTTCTCTTACACAGTTGATTTTGCATGGTCTTCCCATTTCAATCAGTGTTTCATGTTTAACATTGCAAAAGTTGTCTCTTCTGTGAAATAAGCTATAAAGTTAATAGGTGATATTTCATGGGTCTTCCAAGGTGTAAACATACATCATGATGCAAGCTCTTCAGAGCACTCCCTCAAGGATTGTTGTTCTTATTCCAATTTGTGGTTTATCTTGATGAAATTGCAAGAATTTGGCTGGAGCCAAGCTTAAGAAGCATGGCTAATCTTTCTCCCACTCAACTCAGGTTCTACGTAGTTCTTTTCAACATTGTAGCAGAATCTTTATTACACACTCTTACCTCGGACTCAAATATTAAAAAAGAATAAAACATATATAAGTCAAAGTTTTCTTGTCTAGTACTATCTCTTAGTAGTATAAACCTCAGTGATTTTAGAGTGATTGTGAGATTTGTCTTTAAAAAATAGTTTAAAACCTCTAGTTCAGTGCTTCTCATACTGTCTGTGGTGAAGACCCAGTATGTTGATAGATAATTACCCACGGAACTCTCATGTTACTGCATGTCTTATGGGTGACAGAGTCACTTAAAGCCCTTTATTCCAAACTGTATTTTCAAAGATGTTTGTACAGTGCACAGCCTTAGAAGATAATTTATCTTCTCCTTCTGGAAACATAAATTTTCTACAATCTGAACATAAAGATAGTATCTCCCTTTGGAGGAAAGGGCAGGGATGCTTATTGTTCATTAAAAAGATCCGGAAGCCTAAATTCAGGATCCCTCTTTTGTAGTGCAGTTCACTGCATGTGTAACTGCAATTCAGTAGCCTTCGTATTATCTGAGAATCAGATCCGTGAATCAATGGAAAAATACTCTGCCTACTCTTATTGCTACAAGTCATAAACTGTCTTTAGTCTATGTGCCGAGAGTCCCTTTTCTTCCTACCAGATCTATGAGACTGTGGCAGACTCTCTAATTTATTAACTTGGACACAAACACAGAGTAAAATCTGAATCCCTTTAAAATTCTTGCCACAGGCCTGGCGTGGTGGCTCATACCTGTAATCCTAGCACTTTGCTTTGGGTGGGCAGATCGTTTGAGCACAGGAGTATGAGACTGGTCTGGGCAACATGGTGAAACCATGTCTCTACGAAAAAATACAAAAAATAGCCGGGCAAGGTGGCATGTACCTGTAGTCCCAGCTAATCGAGAGGCTGAGGTGGGAGGATTACCTGAGCCCAGGAGGTCAAGCCTACAGTGAGCCATGATCGTGCCACTGCACTCCAGTCTGGGTGACAGAGTGAGACGCTGTCTCAAAAAAGCAAATAAATAAAATTTCTTGACACAATGTTGTCTTTTGATTTTCATTTCCAATTGGTCACATACTGATATTTTTATATAATACAAGCTTGTGGTAGATAGCTTCTGAGGTAACTACCAATAATTCCTGATTCATGCCCTGGTGTAATCTCTCCTTGAGTGTGAATCAGGTGTTGTGAATTTCTTCTAGTGAGCAGAATATCACAAAATGGATGGGATGTCTCTTCCAAGATTGAGTCATGAATGAACCCTGGCTTCCATCTTATTTCCCTCCTCATTCTCCCTTGCTTGCTTACTATGATGAAAGTTAGAAACACTGTTGTAATTTTTTCCCTATGGAGAGGTCCACATAATAAGGAACTGATGGAGACCTTCATCCCATTGCTAGTGATAAAGATGAGATCCTCAGTCTAACAACCAACAATAATCTGAATCCTGCCAAAACCATGTGAGTGAAATTAAAGAAAGGTAGATACTCTCCTAGGTGATCCTTCAGATGAGACCACAGCCCTGGCCAACATTTTGATTTCAGCCTTGTAAAATTTTGAGAAAGAAGACCCTGCTAAACTATAACCAGGTTCCTGACCTAGAAAAGCTGGGAAATAATAAATATTTGTTGTTTACACCTTCTAAATTTTGACATAACTTGTTATGCAGTAATAAACAACTAACAGTTTAAGCACTAGCATCGGTTCATAGAGTGCTCTTCCCCTACTCTAGATGGCAAGTGCTCCCAGGAAAGGAATTCCATCTACCCTGATCAATAATGTATCCCCCACATTGTGTATATAATAGGTTATTACCGAATTATTTTTGAAAAGATTAATAAGCTACTAGCCAAATCCAATTATGACCAGAATACCTGATAATGAGCTATAAATTGAGAATTAAGAAATATGAGGGTTGGTAAGTGGTATGTAGAAAAGCTAATGTATTATTAGGAGAATGATAGATGACATATAAATAGATGGAGGAGGAGTTTGAAAGTAATAGTTTAAATAATAATAATGTATGGGATTTATTCTTGATGGACACATAGACATAAATGAACCCAAACATGTATACAGTAAGTCCTGAGTTAATATCGTCAATAGGTGCTTGGCAACTGCAAGTTTAAGTGAAATGACCTATGATGAAACCAATGTTATAATAGGCTGATTGATATAAGTGAGAGTTAAGTTTCTATGGCATATGTCTCGTCACAAAATCATCATCAAACTTCTAAATAAAGACTAAAACTCTTCTAATATTAAACATTGAGATAAATGTGAGCTATAATACATTTAAGAAAGATTAATAAAACAAGTATGATAATTATATACCCAATTATTACAGTTCAGGATTCAGTTCAGTTCATTAAGGTTCAGTCCAACCTCAGGGGTAAGAAACCAATTGGTATCGTTTCAGTATTTATCACCTCCAAATCTCATGTTGAAATTTGATTCCCAGCTGGAGAATCCTGACAGCTCAGGGTGAAGGGTGGAAACCAACCTTGGACAGGATTCCATCCCATTGCAGGGTACACTTACCCATGCCCACACTCACGCTGGGAAAATGTAGACACACCAATTCATCTAACGTGCACAGCTTTGGGATGTGGGAGAAAACTGGAGAACCCAGAGAAAACCCACACAGTCATGGGCAGAACGTGCAAACTCCACACAGACAGTGGCTCTGGCCAGGAACCAATTTTATCTTCCCATCAACATCATAAAGAAATGATGTTGAACAAAATGTTATTTGAGGACCTGCTGTATAAGAGATTTGGCTCAATTAGATATATACAAACCCCTTGACTGTCTTCTACTTTTCTATTATTTTTATCTTTCATATTTATATATACTTTTTCAGTTTAAAAAAGAGGCTACCCTTTTAGCTAACATTTTGGTAACTGATTTGTTACCAAATCAGTGTTTAAAACAACTAGAGCACCAGACTATTGCTATTGATTGTGTGACTGAAATCATTTAATCTGTGTGGCCCATAGTGACTGCAACTGTATAAAGACCATCAGTTAAATGGTCTCTAAAGTCTCCTGTAAAAAGTAAAAATTCGGTGAATCCTTACTCCTCCTGTAAAGGTCAAAATAAGTCAGCACGTACTGATCTGAAAGAAACATTTTATGAAGCTCTTTAAAAAGCAGGTCTAATTCCAATTTAATGCAACCTCACCAATTTAAGAAGCCAATTGATATGGTTTTGATATTTATCCCCTCCAAATCTCATGTTGAAATTTGATTCCCACTTGGAGGTGGGTCCTGGTAGGAGGTGTTTGGTTTGTGAGGGCAGATCTCTTATGAACAGACTTGGTGCTTATTGCTTTATTAGTTCAAGAGACAGCTGGTTGTTCAAAAGAGCTTGACACCTTCCTCCGCTCCTCACTCACTCGCTTTGTGACACTTCCGTTCCTCCTTCACCTTCTGCCATGAATAGAACCTTCTTGAGGTCCTTACCAGAAGCAGATAGTGATGCCATCCTTCTTGTTCAGCCTGCAGAACCAAGAGCCAAAAAAACTTCTTTTCTTTATAAATTACCTAGCCTCAAGTGTTCCTTTACAGCAATCCAAATTGGACTAAAATAGCAACACTTTAAAAAATCTCTAAATATTAAAATTATTCCTTACGACTAAAGCAATCACTTTCCAAAGGGAAAGTCATTGTTTTGGGCCACTACATTTTATAGAAAGAGTTACAAAGAACAGCTCACTGAACATAATAGTTTTCTTAAAAAATCCTAAATTAATAATTTTTAAAATTTAATTTATAATTTGAATTGTTTTAGTTTTATAATTTTTGAGATGTGTTTTATTTACTTTGGATTGATTTTCATCTGACAGAGAATTCATCATTTTAACTTGCAGTTTCTGTATTGCCTAATATCTTTGCAAGTGAATTTATGACTTGTAAATACTGAATCAGCCAAGAAATCCCATTATGTATTGGTGTATTTATAGAGCAATCTTTATTTTTGTACCACTAAAATTATACCTTATTTCCAATTATCTCTAATGGATTTTCTTATTTTTATTCAAAATTCCCCCCAATGCATTTGCTTAATTAAAGTACAACAATAGTTTTCCACATCCACTCAAGCTGAAAGCATTAATTTTTTTTTTTTTCTAAAGTAAGATGGATAGCTTACCTCCCTATAAAGGAAGAAAACCTATTTAGATAACAGGCTTAGTAGGTAGCCGAAATTGAGTTGTAGGTTTGAATTCAATAAGAAGATGCAGATATAATATTTATGCTATAAGTAAATTATCAAATTAGGAAATGTTTCAATTATCAGTGCACAAAAATTTAAAAAGACAATTAACAATTTTCTACAAAAATGCAATTCACAAGAGAAAAGAAAAGTAACAAAGTTAAAAGTCTACAGAAAAATTTGTCTCATTAGTAAAAGGCTATACATTTCCAGGAGCTGATAAATCATAGAATGAAGAGTGCTGATTTAGAAGTGATCAAAGAACTAAAGATATGAATTTAAGAAATTCATGACTTTTACATTTTAAAAGCACAGTTTATTTGCTAATAAAAAGTAAATAAGCACTGAAAGTGCCCCCCATTGTTTTGAAAAGACAGGTTATCTGCACAAAATGGCAGATATGAATTGACTGTGTCCATAAAATTCCTCGATATGTTGGCTAGAATATATACAGGATGCCTTCACTGGCTTTCTTTACATTTATGGCAATGCACTTATTTCTGTGTTTGATAAAAATGCATACTCCTACCAGGATGTAATATAGGACAAACTGAATTTGTAACTGTGAACTCAATCAGAAATGTCACATTTTAATATAAATCTCAACTAATCTGGTCTGACAAGCTCACCATTAAGGAATAGGGTCTGTATTTCACATGTGGAAACAATTCTTAGAAAGCCTCTCAGGCATTAAATATGACTTCCCGGCATACTAGGGCACTGACAAATTTGGGAGATCTTGGAGGAAGGGGAAAAACTCTTGTAAATACTGAAGACAAAAACTAGTAGAAATAGGTGGTTTTTTGTTCTCAGAGAAGATGACTTAGAAAACATAAAAAGAAAGAAAAGATAAATAACGTCTTGCAGACTCATCATATGGATATTTTACAGGGCTTTAGATTTACTGACCATAGACCAAGGAGGCTTATGTGCGTTAATGAATAACACTTTTGCACCTATATAAATAAAATTGGCCACAGTCAGATAAAATATACACCATGTAACTACACAAACCTATAAAATAGCAGTTAGTCATGGGATTATTTCTGTCAATTATTTCCAAATGTGGGGAAGTGGTTCAAAGGCATAATATCAGTATGTTTATGAAAATACATATTGTAGCTTCAAAATCAGATATGAAAATTTAATATAAATGCTTTAAAAATTCTTAGAGTTAATTATAGAAGAGAACAAAGAAAGCATGGAAGAAATCAATCCATTTTTTAAAAGCACTAGCATTGAGTTCTTTCAAAAGCTTGGATTTTAAGGTTTCCAGATGGTTGAAGAGCAAGAGCAAATTCTGTAATGGTTAAAGAGTAAAAAACTCATAATATGAAAAAAAAATTAAATGTCATTCGGTGGATAGTCTGGATTGTGTGAAAGTATTTGAAGTAAGAAGAAATTAAGACAGTTAAAGTAAATTTTCTTAATTATATTACAGTTTAAGACACTACATGTTGTAAAAACTGCTGTGCTTATTAGTTACTGTGGCACCTTATTTTATTTATTTAGCTATCACATAGTCATACTATTATTAAACCAGTTTTGAAGTATATTAATAAGAATAGCACAGTTTATTGCTTTAAAATGTAGCAGTAAAATTTTGATTTCCATGCTCAACGTACATAAACAGAAAGTTATATTGAACCTAATTTCTCTCTTCACGACCCTCTGCCACTCTATTTCAGTCTTTGGGATAGAAATATACACTTACAAAAACTTTTTAAAAATTTGTCTATAATATCTAGGTTAATGCTTCCAAATATTTTTAAAATATTTACCTCTCAAAGTTAAACATATTATTAAACAGAATATAAGAAGTATTTCCTTAGCTCCAATTATGCAAACAACCCTGAAATGGGTTTTTTCGTTGATCAAAAGAAATATAACAAACTCTGCCTTTGAGGAACTCAAAAATCCTTCCAAGAATCCTGCATGTACACGAGTAAAACAATAAAAATAATGTAACACATAATTGACTATTATAACACTGAAAATAACATCATGATTATATTTTATGGTACACTTTGTAAGTCACTTAATATAAAACAAGAATTACAATTGTGAATTTCAGAATTAGAATAATTGCCATTCACCTCCACAAAACATTATTTTATGAAACTTTTAAAACTGTCTTAGTATATAAAGCAGATTCTATGGCTCTAACGTGCTTTGAAATATTTGAATGAAATGCTTTAATGTCATCACTATTGATTATTACTATTTGTCTTTGTTAGAAGTCTGGTAGTAAACATGTGAGGGACTAACATCAAAATAGAATTGCAATAAACCATAATGGGCACAAAAACATGTCAAATGTATTTCCACTGGTCTTTCCTCCCTTCAAACCAGGAATGGTTATGAAGTTGAGTGAGCTGGTATATACATGAAAGATGATAATCAATTTTTTTTAATCTTACTGTCTTATAACAGTAGTTTCCAAACTACTGTATCTCATAGTATCTCAAATAATATTTTTAAATGAGTTTGTTGTCATAGTTTTGCTCATTTTAAAAAATTGCCAAGACCTAATTGGAAAATTAAAAAACATTTCTTTAAATTCAACAAATTTAGCTCTGTAGGAAAACTTTCACTAAAGGGTCCTTATTTTTCTTTTTGCTACAAACCTCCAGGTTCACTCAGGCTGTGTGTAGGTATTCTACTGCTAAAGAGTTCTTTCTTCCATACTCCACATTTTATTTGACTTCTTAATGAGAGTCAGGCTTTTTGTTCTCTAATATATGACACCCAATTAACTAGGGATTTATGAATACTAGACAATGTGAGAATGTACCTAGGTTTTAGAACCAGCACCGCTAAATGGCACAGTTCCAGAAGGCTCTTTCATATTGTATTCTATTTGAATATAGACCCTCTAAAGCACAGAGAATATATCAATGACAGTTTTGAATTTGGGCAACATTGCAAACCCTCTTGAAATACTCTGGAATCTGGACAATATCACCTAATTGGCAGTGTAGACCACTGATTGTTAAAAAATGATAAATTTCCCTAAAAGAACCAGAAATGACCTTCTCTATTGCCTTTTTTCCCTTCCTTTTCTTTTTTCTTTTTTGACATAATGTTATGGTGAAGGGAAGAAAATACAACTGGGAAGATGGGAAGAGAGTATGGACAATATTTTGCAATTGCATATTTAAATGTTTTTATTTTTGTATTCTTTGTATCACTCTCTGAGGGAGATATATTCTGTCCTTATGACGTGCTCTGAAATGTCATGAAATCAGGGTTATTCTCAAAGATTCTATGAACCAGAAAAGGTTACCACTTCAGTGTTGCACCAGTTGTTTAAAGACTCTGATGAGGGCTAACGGGTTATCTGATGTCACTATGACCACTGTTTACCTGCCTAGCCAGGTGAGCACCCCAATTGTTATATTTCTAAGGGAGATGGGCCTTGATGGCATCAATAATATAATCTGAAGTAAAATTGCCAAAATTCTTATGTCTAAAACCAAATGGTTTACATAACCTGAAAAACAAATCTTAGAGTTTATATGTGTGAATCTATTTCTATATGTGTATCCATTTCAAAAAACCCATGTTGCTTGGTAGAATCTCCTGCCAAGCAACAAGGTAGAATCTCCTGGTAGAATATTCTCAGAAGTTCTAATGGGAGTTACTATTGAAAAACACTGAGTTATAAAAATGATTTAAATACATAACTGAATTTTAAGTAGAACACCAGGAGAGAAAAAGATTTAAGCAATTGTTTTTTTTTTAATCAGAAAAACATAAACTCTTTGAAATAGTACCAGATAGTCTCTTTGAAATGTAAATTACCGAATGCAGTGATGAGCTAGAGTTGTGACTGGTTTTGGTATAAATTAGCAAAGAACTATGTACATTAGCTATTAAATGAATATAATTTGTCCATCATGCAATTATAAAGCTTTCAGCCACTTTACCTATAGACTTTTCAATGTTAAACTTTAACTGGAATTGGAAAGGATGTCTTGTAGCATATCTTCTGGGCAGGCAAATTTCAATGCTTGTGCTGAGGGCAAATCCAGACCTTGTACTTGCAGATGCTTTATATTGAAGGCAACAGTTACCAATGAGGTGTAAATACTTTGTCAGAACCTCATAAAATATTCAATCTTGTTTTCTTCTTGGAGGAGTAAGAGGCAGATTCTGCAAAATATTGCCTGCAATCACATATAGAGAATTTTATCCAGGAAAAAAAATATTTTTTAAAGTGTGTGCTTTAAGTAATCTACCCCAAGGATGTCCTTGGTCACTTCTTTTTATTTCTATTTTTCAACATTAGAGTATATTTTTAGTAGAATTTGTATGATGTGATGAAAATACATAGCTGACTCAACTGAAGCTGAGTAGTCTCTAGAGTGTTCATGTGTAAATGTCTAATATCTTGATCAGAAATAGTGTCCTACAGAAAAGGCTAGCATGTGGCATTAACTCCATAATTTCTCAGTGAGAAAAAAGAAATCAAGATAAATAATCTCTGAACGGACCCAAAATGGATGGAAGCAAATGATATCAGATGACTTCTGAATGCATGGGAGATAAAAGAAATTGAATCCTATTATACAGTCATTGCTAATGTACCCAAGTGAGAAGAAGAGAATAGTACAGGATAAAGATGGCTCAATGAAGAAGGATGGTTTGAGGCAAACATTGTTGAATTGAATTGGAAAGAACTAAACCAAACAATGTCATACATTTGCTGCTTAATAAATAAGAAGTGAAGAAACAAGAGCCACGTTGAAGGCAACTGCTGAGAAAATGTGAATCAAACCAAGATAAATAATATTCAAGGATTGTTACTGAGACCCAGCAGGGTGAAGGAAGATAAATGATATAAAACACCCATCTTTAAATGTACTAGTGATAAACCAAGATCAATCTTTCCAGATTTAAAAGTAAAGAAGGGAGTATCTTGCAGTGGAATTTTGATAGGTGCAATACAATAAATATATCTACTGGTTACCATTGGCTTCCTACCCATGGGGTATGCAGTATCTCCTATCCTCTTTCCTATCATAGCCCTAATATGATTCTGTTAGCTTACTAGCCAGCCCTTCCTAGACATGTTCGGTCATAAAAGAATGAATGTTTGAAGGCATCCATAGTATGAAATTAATTAATATATCCTACTAATATAAAAAGAAACTAGCTATACAATCCTTGGGAAAATTGAGGGAGTGATCACTCATTTTTTTTTGAGGGCTTATCTGTCTCCCACTGGATATTTTTAAAAAAATAACGACGTTGCTCCTGTGGACAGCCATCTTAAAATTCAACAGACAGCAGCCTTACGATGAAGCTGAGAGTAATTATGACAGAGTATTTAGACAGAAAGCATCATTAGCCATTGAATTATCCAAACCTGAGTCATTGCCAACCTTTCAGTTTTGTATTAGGTACGATAACCTTCCTTATTCTTGAAAGCAGTCTGAGTTTGTAGAATTGTTTTTGTTATATATAGTAGAAATAATTCTAAATGATAAAAGTCTCCCTCCTGAAGTTAAAATATCATGTATTTCCAAATGATACATTTTATATATATTTATTTACTCTTCAGCTACAAATCGCCTCCAATCCAAGAAACCTATATATTTTTTCAATGCCTTTCTTTTAATTACATAACATTCATGAATTACCTTGATTTCATTTGGGCTGATTCTTTAAAGTCTACAAGTATACATTATGAAATCGCCTGATGAGATGCTTTGAGGTAGACTTATTTAGAAACAATAAAGTTCTAGGGAATCCTAGACACTATAAGAGACTGTGCTGTTGTATCTACTGGAAATTAACCATTGCCATTCCCTTTTACAGTCTTTTGTTTATTGAACAAACATTCTATTTGAATGTTTGTCTATCCTGCTAAATAGTCAAAGTTATGGAAAGAACATGATTTCTGAAAAAGATTGTGCCTTATTTTATCTATATGCTGTAAAATGAATTATCTATTTATATATAAAAGTGAATTTCAGTGTAGGCATGTTGCAGGAATCTTGGAGTGTACCAATATCTTCACAACTTTTATATTTAAAACTCAGGTTTTTCTAAGAAGCTTTAGCAATATATCAGTTATGCCAGTTGTCATTCTCTTTACTCAAACATCTGACGCTGTTCAGGATTTTACATAAACTTTCCTCTTTATTTGCAGCAGGATGATATCGTGGGAACCTGCCCCCAATATTTCAACGTAGGTTCTTTCTATTCCATAAGTGTCAGCCAATCTGAGAAATAAAGAGAAAGAGCACAAACAGAGGAGTTTTACAGCTGGGCCACTGAGAGTGACATCGCGTATCAGTAGGACCCGTGATGCCCACCTGAGCCTTAAAAGCCAGCAAGTTTTATTAAGGATTTCAAAAGGGGAGGGGGTGCAACAACAGGGAGTAGGTCACAAAGATCACATGCTTCAAAGGGCAAAAAGGAGAATAAAGATCACATGCAAAGGGCAAAAGCAGAATTACTGATAAGAGTTTATGTTCAGCGGTGCACGTATTGTCTTGATAAACATCTTAAACAACAGAAAACAGGGCTTGAGATCAGAGAACTGGTCTGACCTCAAATTTTCCAGGGTGGGGTTTTTCCCCACCCTAGTAAACCTGGAGGTACTGCAGAAGACCAAGGCATATTTCAGTCCTTGTCTCAGCCGCATAAGACAGACGCTCCCAGAGCGGCCGTTTATAGACCTCTCCCCAGGAATGCATTCTTTACCCAGGGTATTAATTATTAATATTCCTTGCTAGGAAAAGAATTTAGCGATATCTTCCCTACTTGCTCGTCCATTTATAGGCTCTCTGCAAGAAGAAAAATATGGCTCTATTTTGCCCAACCCCACAGGCAGTCAGACCTTATGGTTGTCTTCCCTTGTTCCCTGAAAATAGCTGTTATTCTGTTCTTTTTCAAGGTGCACTGATTTCATATTGTTCAAACACACATGTTTTACAATCAATTTGTACAGTTAACACAATAGTGATCCTGAGGTGATGTACATCCTCAGCCTACAAAGATAACAGGATTAAGACAATAAAGTAAGACAGGTGTAAGAAATTATAAGAGTATTATTTGGGAACTGATAAATGTCCATGAAATCTTCACAATTGATGTTCCTCTGCCGTGGCTCCAGTTGGTCCCTCTGTTCAGTGTCCCTGACTTCCCACAACAGGATGAAATGAAAAGAACTTCTGCTTAGAGACAGAAGTTCTTATTTGTGGCCCTGGTTCTGCCACAAAAGTGGTATAGCTTTCAGGAAGAGTAACTGGATGATTCCTGATCACTCCTCTTCTGAGTTCCAGATTCACACATCCAACAAGCAGAATCAATTCATGGAAGAAATTAAATCCCTAAGACTCAATTTCCTGAAATGACTCAACAACTTTGAAAAAGGGACATGAGGTATCAAAAAGAACTCATGTAAATGTTATCTGAGACTGGTAATGTTCTATTTATACCTAAATGATTATTATGAAATACATCCTTGAAGCTCGTATGCTCTTTCTCCCAGCTCTTATCACAGTTGGGTCTCTGAGTAAGCCCATGCTGAGGTGGGCTTTGGGATGCAAAGTTTTTGTTTGTTTGTTCGTTTTGTTTTTTAATGGATCAATACCTATGACAGGAAGAAGGAGGAAGCAGGACTGGGCAGAAGTCCAACTGTAATGAATGTCTGACATAGCATTGGCCAACCAGGTGTGGGTGCAAGAGACTCTGGAAAGAGTATTGGCCATCAGAATTGGCTTGTATCTGACTGAGATGTCAGATGCTTATACTTCTGCCTTTCTCAGTCACTGTGTTCAGGCTGCTCTTGGAATAGTGTGACCTTGGTTGGACCAGCTTTCTGCAGCAGAGACAAATCTTGAAGGAGCTGACAGCTGAAAGATGTCTACACTGCACTTCCTTGAAGGGAGATCTCATAAGTACCTCACCAACTTTACCATACTCTTAATACAGCTCTTATATAACTTTGCTATGTCTTATGCTTTCTCTGATATCCTTGATATAGAACTTTTCAACCGTTCAGTTTAAGCCTCCTGCTGTCTCATTCTCTGTTTTCTTTTTTAAAGGTCCTTTTTATTTCTTTCATTTGAGTTCTTTATGATGATGACTCATAATCTATGCCTGGCCTATTTCCTGGGCTCAACTTCCACATTTTAATAGTGTTGTAGACACCTTTGATTTGATGTCATTCTGAAAAGAAAGTCATTTTTAAAAATGATTCTTTTTCAGCTGCTTTTTTCTCTGTTTCTACCCTTATCACCTAAATTGACACAAAATGTCTCAGTAAACAGCCCCAGTATCTTCTCATCTCATATTCTTCCTTCTTCATCTATACTTCCCCTTAACTTTCTTCTCTGGATCCCTAAGTGAACTAAGTTTTTGCATTCACTAAATCCATCTTCTAGATTTTCCTTACTAACATAGATGTAATTTGATTCTCAACTTTTCATGTTCATAATTTTCCTACAAAAATGCTCCCTTTTAATCAATCTGGTCTAGCCACTGTCACCTTGAGCACCAGTAATATAGAAACTTTCCATATTGGCTCTTGCCTTTCTTGTTATCCGAATTCTGTATATATTCTTCTTGTCTTTCAAAAAGCTTTTTCTCATTCATTACATACCTTAAAAATTGCATTATTGGTGATGCCAGTCTTTATCCTTTCAATTTGATATTATTTCTTTATCTTCTGAATTTTTATGATGTTCACTATTTTTTACTACTCGTTTGAAACAAATGAGACATATTTTCATTTTGAAATAAAATATTTTAATATAGTTCTTCTAAAAATACCTATAGAATGTTTATTATGAACCATCTAGACATATTAAGCTTTAGTAATCTACAGTGAAAAAAATATGTCAGTGTATATGCATAGACCTCAGTCTGGTAGGTAGAGAGACAACTAAACAAATAATCAAAGAAATCAATGCAATATTGCTATTGTGTTATTAGAATAACATGTTTATTGTACCTGGAATCTATATAAGAAAATATAATGATATCAAAAAGCCTAGAGGAAACCTTTCTTTAGATATTAACTATTGAGCTGAAATCTATTTGGTAAACAGGAGAGAGTTCAGTGAAAATGGGGGGAAAGAACAACATGTGCAGAGAAAACCATGTATGAAAAGACCTTGTGCTGGGAGATGGAGCGGGACTTAGGGGAAATCAACAAGCGGTCCATATGGAAGAAGTCAAAGTAAAATATGAGATGAGTCAGCATATGTAGGAGGAGGTGCCAGAACATTGTTAGGCCCAGAACATCGAGGGGTTTGTAGGTGACATTGAAGCATTTTGTACTTGTCTTCAACTAAGAACATGCATGTGAAAGTCATTGAGAAATTTTAAGTAGGGGCATAATATCAGATTTTTAGAATGTAAAACAAAACAGAACAAAACTCCATCCACAACATCATCTCTGGCTGTGATGTGGAGATTAGACAAGTCACAAAGGTGGACGTGAGTAAAAGATTTGGGAAGCTAGTACCTTAGATCAGGTAAGAGAGGATAGTGCCATGGTTTAGAGTGGATCCGTGGGAAGACAGGGAGGTAGCTAGAGTTGTGCTGTGTTTAGAAGGCAAAGGCTTCAGGGCTTGTTTTTCAACTGGCTTTGGGAGATGAGGGAGTAGAGACTGATAAAGGCAATGCTGCTGTGTCTGGTTTGCCTAACTAAATGCTCCATTGGTGTAGGAAACCACTGAAAAGGAACCAGATTTACAAAGTAGATCAAGAGATAAGATGTATACTTGTTAAGTATGCAATGGCTCTGAGACCTGCAAGAAGATGATTTAAGTAAGGGAGAGGGATTTATTGCTACGGACCTTAGAAGATAAATATAATCTGGAGATATGAATTTGGGATTCAACTACCAGCAGAAATAAACTTTCAAAATTTAACTACATTATTGCTATGTAACTGCGAACAAATGTGGCAAACAAATGCTCTCTCCAAATCAATTTTTTTAAATTCCTGGGCATATGATTATACAGCACACTTTGCAGGCTCTCATATCCCTAGTTTTCACCACGTGAGTAAATCCTCACTAATGAAATGTGACAAAATGAATGCAGCCAACCTATAGCTTGTTTTCTTTAAAAACATGTACCTTAAACTTATTAAAAGTAATGGCAAAGACCACAGTTACTTTTGCACCATCCTGATATTTATCTCTTTCCTTGTATATGGCTGAAATTAAGTGCAGCTAGAACAAAAGCAGACCCACTCACTGAGATCACTAGATGACTTCCTGGATCAGAGTCTGCCTACCTGCCCTAGATGGTGATGTTAGAGAAAAACTTTTATCTTGTTGGAGCCACTGTACTTTAGGATGTTTTCATCATAGCAGTTTAGCTTTTTACTGAAATTTTTTGAGAGGTCAGTTATATTACAATATAGTGGCAATTTGGAGCAATTCACAGGTTGTGTGAAAAATGCACAGTGTATTTTCTGGCTCATGGCTTCTTGCAAATAATTGTTTATAATCATTTTAAGCCTGCAAGTTAGGTTTCATTAGTCCTCTTATAGAGATATGAAAGTGAAACTCAAAGTGTTTTTTTAGTAAATTGCGCACGTCATTGAACTGACAGGTGATCCCGGATTCAAATTCAAATCCAATTTCAACGACTCTATTATTTCTAGCACTTCATGTTATGAGTTTATATCTCTAATTGGTCCAATGCCTTCAGCATCAGTACTACATCTTTTATTTTTTATTTCCACAGTGCCTAGCATGAGGCTTCACATGTGGTTGCAACTCATTAAATATGCATTTATTTCCTTAGAATGCAGGCCTTAACAGTCCCACTAGAGAATCCACTTCCTCCCATAAAATTCAGCAGTAAGAATGGGCCCAAAGAGACTTAATTTCATTTCAGAGAATCTATATCCAACATCATATCACTATGTATTCTAATCATGGTCTATTTGCAAAAGGAAGGCTCTGTTCTAATAGGCCTGAACGCTCTATTTTTTCCATTTTGCTCAGGCATGTAAATCAGCATGCAGGCAAACAAAAAAACTTCAACAACCCACATACTTGTGCTGTTTGATTATTTGGCTTGTTTTCATTTTAACCTGCCTGCCTCATTCCCAAGGAACACATAAGCACTGAAATCAGCATTTCTCCAAGCTACTCAGCACAAATAATTAAATAAGGGCTTCTCACCTTTGAAGAACAGCTATTTTTAAGAGTAAATCATTTACATATTTATTATTAATACCTCACCACTGTGTTTATTGTATTATTATAATTCCATGTGGAACTACTGAAAACCTCATACTATTAGGTTCTGCATGTTTACCCATCTTGAGACCACTTTGCTTTCATTAGTATTCATACAGCCTTCCAAATGGAGAAATAAGGTAATGAAAACTTAACCTGAATCAGATCCCTATTCACATGGGCCAGCATGAACTAGGAAGTTCATTTTGGCTGAACCCACAAGCTCTCTGATTTACTTCTTTATTAATGTTTTCCTTGTAATCATTAATATAATTTTATTGCATGCTGGGAACACTGTGGGAGTTAAATATGGTCATTAAATAAACTGAGGTATGTGGTTCAGCTTCTCTGCCACTGTACAGATGGCAGGAGAAAACACAGAAATACATGTATAAATCACACATGTGCAGTCTTACCTACTTCTTTATGCCAATATCATGACTTATCAACAGTTCACAGTTGGATATATAGGAGATTTCTTCAGTAATATACAGTGAATTAGACTATCCTTTACTCCCAATTATTAAAAACACTAACAGAAAGGGGTCCAGTAAACAACACACACTGGAAACAAATGATTGCTCATTTTCTTTGAGCATCAAAGGAAGATATCTCTAGAGAAATTAATTAATTTAAAGAATTAATGTAATTCCTTCAATTTTCCATGCCTAAAAATATTACTTTTTCAAGTTACCAAAAAAGTAAAGTTTTGCACTATTAGTGATATGAGTGATAATGACGCTAATGAAATGTAAATGAAATTAAACATTTTACTGTTTCAAGGAATAATTATTATCAATTGATAGCTTTAAATTCGAGTTGCAGGATAATGCTGTGTTGGTGCTGTACAAACAAGTACCATTGTTATCCTTTTAGACCAAAGACGAGCTAAGAATCATATAGTATAATTACTCCAGTAAGAGCAGTCACCAACTGACTTGGACCTATCTCGTTTTATGACCTCATTTTAATGAGGTCAAGGCCATTGTCTCATAAGATCCCAGGGGCAACAGATAATATGATTAACACTAGCAAGCTGCTGTCAGATTTTATGAATTTAGTAAAATGTAGGATAATAGTGGAGGCTGCACAACTCATAGGAAAATCAGTATATCAATAAAAAATCCAATAAAACAAATATTAATAAGACAATAATTGTATTAGCATTATTATAATTAAATAGTTAATATTTATAGAACACTTTTATGTCAAATTAAGTCATTTATTCCATAAATTGATCCAAGGTGGGTATATTTCACAGTTGATGAAATTAAGACACAGAGAGCTTCACTGGTTTTCCTACAGCTAGTAAGTGACAGAAATATGAAACCCAAATAGTCTTGACACCAGTCTTGACGCTAGCATTTGTGTACTCCTTTCCTCTTACATTTCCTTTCTACACAGTATGCATTCTACTAATGAATCCAATGATGGTTGTCATCCTCAAATATGAAAAAGAACATATGCCAGTAGTTATTCGTAATCTATTGTAAAATTCAATCATCATGAAGATAATCATTTAGAGTATAAGTAGCTGCTCAAAAGAGAGAGATTCTACAAGAGCAAGGATCAGATTCAAGAATGCATTTTTCAGTATACACTGGATTTAATGACTACAGATAAAAAACTATTTCGTTAAAACAGTGAAGGAGAAGTATACTTGATTAGGAAGAGAGAACTTTTAGATACAATTCATTTTGAATGTATGAAATTTTTACAGCAGGAAAAGGAGGTCTTTGCTTCCTCTTGGTGAGAGCAATACAACAATATAACCCAAAAAGTGCATGAAAAATTATGCAAGGCACAAAACAAATATTTTCTTCTCTCTTTGGCTCATAGTGGCCCTTTCAAAAATAAGAACAAGGGAGGGAGGGAGAGAGAGAGAAAGAAAAAAGCAATATGATGAGATTATAGGATAAACATCAAATAGTTTAGTAAAGAAAATATTTATACCTCCTTGTATTGGCCTGATCTAAATACAGATGTATTTGTAAAATAAAATTTTAACTCTTAAAGTATCTCATATAAAAAATTAAAGAAATACATATTTCCATTATTTGTGTTTTATATATTCATCAATATATTCCATCCACATGCTTAATAAGAGTAATCATTTCTCAGACTAGAGATGACTTAGCAAAACAAGAGAGTAATTACATGTAACTTACAAATAGAATGGTATTTTTCTCTCCTATTGTTTTCTGGTATATTTCCTTATTCTGGTTTGAATGAAATATTTGAAAGAGAAGGATTTGAATATCAAAATTCTTTAAAAAGTCTGTGCTCATAGCTGCATTCATATGTATATGTACATAATCTTGTTACAATAAAAGAAACTCGCTCTCATTTAATTTGACTTTGTTCAATGTCTCATCTGAAACCAGAAAGATGGGAAAAATGTTTAAATCAGAAATAGCTGAACAGAACTGGCGAGATAAGAATATATGTGGCATTTATAAATTCTGTTTTGAGACATACTTTTCCTTTCTGAAGTCAGAAAATATTTTGTTGACTTTCCTTATCTGCTTCATGACCACTGCTAATCGTGATTCTGATCTGCACGAGTATTTCTATAAAGCACACAATGGCTATCTGGCTATTTTTCGTTTACTTTGGCCACTGTAGGTCCAACAGAGAAAGTTGTATGTTATGAAAAGAACACTGCATTTAGAATCAGACCATCTGGTAATAAAACTCCAACTTGAACAATTACTAACTGTATAATGTTTGCAAGTTATTTAAAATTTCTGAGCTTCAATTTCTCTTATGTAAAAGGGAAATACTACATACATTCCAGTATTATTGTTAGAATGATCTGAGGTAAAGTATGTAGAAGAAAAATAATTCAGACAGAAGATGTTTAATATTCATTGACTAAAATCCAAACTAAACAATTATTTATAAAAGATGTTGAGCTTCAATTGTCTAGTTGGCTCTTTCCATTTATCACAGTATTGGAATGATTTCATATCACAACCTCAGTTTCTGCTATGAAGATTCCATGTACTATATTCTCTGAACCTCTTTTGAGTGTCTGTCCCTAGCAGATTTAATGTAGTGTGAGATACACCACTCCCTTTATGCCTGTTCACTCTCATAATTCTGTATTCACCATAACAGGAATTTCACTGGGTTGCTCTTTTCTTTGCCATTTTCCCTTGTTGGCAAATTACTTTTAACATTCACTTTTTATTAAAAATCTTAAATCAGATGCATGATTCCCTCTTGCTCTATACCAGGCCTCCAGTAGGGCTGCTATCCAGAGTCTAAATGAAGATTGAACAGTTAAACAAACATTATTGAGAGCTTCTCATTTAGAACCACTCTTAGGAATACAGCAGCAGAAATGCTTTGGCAATGTGGTATAAAACAAAACGTTGGAATAAATGTAGAAAAACAAAACTTTAAGATCAAAAGTTCACCAATATGATAAACTAGGTAGAAGCAAAACTGAAAGAGAACATTGACTAATTTTTTTTTTAATGAAAAGAGAAATAAAAGAAAATTTGAAACTGCTTAATAGGAAATGGCTTTTTTGAAATGGTACTCTCTTAGGATATGTTTATGTGCATTCTCTGCCCAACTTCAAAAGCACAGCACACTTTTTCATGCTTTTGAAGTTAGATCAGTGTTGGGGAATGGTTATAGTGTGGCCAGAAGCGAAACTGACACTTTGTTGCGTTTAAAAACAACAACAAAAAAGTGCACGAGGCCAGAAAGGTACATCCCATTAAAGTAGTTGGGAAAATGTTTGTAACTGAAGAATTTTACAGAGGTCCTCCAGGCCCCATTCTACTGAAGCAAAAGGCGTAAGCAATTAAATATGACACATTCTAATGTAGCCAGAGAGGCCAAGAATACAATTTTAAATTATTAAAACATAACATGTTTGGATAAAAATTACACTTGGCTGACAGTCTTGATGAACCTCCTTGTATGACCTACTAAATGCCTTTGATGAATCTGGAAAAGATAAACAAGGAAACATCATGGAAATAGAGGTATGACAGTCTCCGTAGAAAGAATTACCAGAAAGAACCCAGGGCCTATGGAATTTAATTGGAAACACGAAGAGTAGTACATTGAAATACAGATCCAGGAGCAGAGGGACTTTGACCATTTGAAAGATGTGGGGAAGATTTTTGGATTGGGATCATTGACGCAGCACATCTTGAGGACCTCTTGTGGGCCAGACACTGTCTTAGGCACTGGAACAGAATGGAGGATGTCCCTGTTCTGATCGAGTTTGCATTGTGGGGAAGAGTGGTGGAAAATAAATAAATAGATGTTGTGTCCATGCCTTGAGGAAACATAAAACAAGATGAGCAGATGCAGCTCTTCCGGTGAGAGCCATTTAATGCAATTCCCTAAATACTGCTCCAGAACTCACTTTGCTCAATAGTCACTGATTTTTATCTTGGGAACTTTCAGTGTTTTGCCACGTAGGCAACGGCCCCCATTTTCACTGCAGTACATTCCTAGCCTGCTGTGGAGGGATGCCCTCTGCTCTGTTTTATCTACTAACAGAATACTATTCTTCCTGTTTCCTATATATTAGTAAAAATATTATTGTCCTCTAACACCACTGTCCAGTCTGCATATGCACTTTTATTTGATTAAAGAGACGAAGGAGATAAGGCACTGGAAAAGAGGGGAGATAAGTCTGGCTGTCCCATTTACCTCTCACACAGAAATAGAACTGATTTTTTTTATTTTATTGCCTTTTAGTTTTCAAGTAGAAAGTTAAAAAAAAAAAACTAAAAAAGCATTTATTTTATAATCAGAAAAATTGAAACGTTTGAATAACTTAATAGTAATTGTTTAAAATTTCATGTGTATATTACAGAGATTTGCATGTATTTTCAAAAGAACAGTGGGCTGTAAGTTTTCCTGAGAAACAACATTTGTAGAATGCTTAAAATATAAAGTCAAACTATGAGAAAAACCTAAGACCTAGGACCTGAGAGATAACATTTGTAGAATGCTTAAAATTTAAAAAATTACGAAAAAAACCTAAAGCCTGCAATCGGCATATTAACAGATCTAACTATCAAAGAAACACATGGCACAATATTAATATTTGCTAATAATAAAAAATGCAAAATAACGCTATACAATTCCATTTTATAATTTAAGTGATCAAAATACATCCTCTAATTCTTAATTACTCCTATTTGTGAAGTTGGCAAAACCACATACTGTTAGTTTGAAGTACAATTTAATGTAACCCTTTGGGAATGCAAAATCATTGAAATGTTCACCCTTTGATACCATAATTTCATTTTTGAATTTTTTCTTAAATAAAGATTTGAAAGGGACTCTAGCTACATGAGTAGAGTTTAGCTGCCCTTGCCACAAAAATAAAAAAATAGATAACTATGTAAGATTATGGATATGTTAATTTGCTTTACTGTAATAACCATTTTATTATCTACATGTATTCCATAACATCATGTTGCATACCTTAAATATACATAATAAAATTTATTAAATTAAAAAAATTCAATAGGTTTTGGAGTACAAGTGGTTTTTGGTTACATGGATGAATTATATAGTGGTGAAGTCTGAGATTTTAGTGCACCTGTCACCCTAGTAGTGTACATTGTACCCAATAGGTAGTTACAATAAAATTTATTTTTTTTAAGAAAAGTAAGTAACGACCAGGCACGGTGGCTCACACCTGTAATCCCAGCACTTTGGGAGGCCGAGGCGGGCGGATCACAAGGTCAAAAGATCAAGACCATCTGACCAACACGGTGAAACCCCATCTCTACTAAAAACACAAAAATTAGCTGGGCGTGGTGGTGCACACCTGTAGTCCCAGCTACTCGGGAGGCTGAAGCAGGAGAATCACTTGAACTTGGGAAGTGGAGCTTGCGGTGAGCCCAGATCACGCCACTGCACTCCAGCCTGGCGACAGAGCGAGACTCCGAGAAAAAAAAAAAAACACGAAATTAACTACAAATACATTTATTGCTATAGTTTTTAAGAAAAATAAAGATGCACTACTTAAATATTTAACAACAGGAGGATTGCTAAGTAAAAGATTTCATGGTGTTTTATTTGTTGAAAAAGTAGACATGCGGCCGGGCGCGGTGGCTCACGCCTGTAATCCCAGCACTTTGGGAGGCCGAGGCGGGTGGATCACGAGGTCAGGAGATCGAGACCATCCTGGCTAACACGGTGAAACCCCGTCTCTACTAAAAATACAAAAAATCAGCCGGGCATGGTGGCGGCGCCTGTAGTCCCAGCTACTCGGGAGGCTGAGGCAGGAGAATGGCGGGAACCCGGGGGGCGGAGCTTGCGGTGAGCAGAGATGGCGCCACCGCCCTCCAGCCTGGGCGACAGAGCCAGACTCCGTCTCAAAAAATAAATAAATACATAAATAAGAAATAGACATGCATTAAAATAATAGGTAGGCTATATAATACACAGAAAACATTTATACAAAATTAATGTCCAGGCTGGGAGCTGTGGCTCACACCTGTAATTCCAGCACTTTGGGAGGCCGAGGCGGGTGGATCACGGGGTCAGGAGTTTGAAACCAACCTGGCTAATGTGGCAAAACCTCGTCTCTACAAAAACTATACACACACACACACACACACACACACACACACACACAAACACACACGCACAGTGTATTGGTGCATACCTGTGGTCCCAGCTACTAGGGAGGCTGACAGGAAAATCACTTCAACCTGGGAGGCAGAGGTTGCAGTGTGCAGAGCTAATGCCACTGTACTCCAGCCTGGGTGAAAGAGCAAGACTCTGTCTCAAAAGAAAAAAAAAAAGAAATAAAGAAATAAAAATATTAACATCCAAAATTAACTATATGCATGTATGTGTAAATAATTTTTTTCATAAGCATAATTTTAGGTAAACATGGATGCAGAGAAAAATAAAAGTCTAAAAAATTGAACATGAAAATAATTTGTTTTCCAGCAGTAGCAGAATTATGGGTGACTTTTTATTCTATTGTTACATTATTACTCTTATAAAATCATTATAATGTTTGTATAATTATGCTTCATTAAAATGATTTTTAAAATGTCAATTTATCATAGCTTTGGGGCCTGCACTCACTATTTCCTTCCCTCTCTTGGAATCTTCATTCCCTGGATATCCCCATGGCTTGCTTGCTCACTCACTTCTCTTCAAGTCTTTATTCAAATGTCATCTTCTTAGTGGGATGTACACTAGCCACTCACTTAAAATTGCAAATCTTGCTACCTTCCAACTGTTCTTGCTTCCAATTCTCTTTTTAACATTTCTCCTTGTCCACTATACAACATACCTTTCTTACTTGTTTATCTAGTTTGTTTTCTGTCTTCCACACAATAACATAAGGTAAAGTCTGACTTCTTAACCCCCCAAAATCAGGCTTTTCATGATTTGGCCTCAGTCTACTCCAGCTGCACCCATCTTTAATTACTCTTCTCACGTCTTAAATTCCAGTCACATAGTTTTGGAAACCTTCAAAAATTAAGATAGATTAGTGCTTGAGTGGAGGAATAGATAGGCGAATAGATGTGTGGTAGAACAAGTATAATAATATATGATTTAACCTAGTTGGTAAATATGGGTTTGGTGTAATTTGTATGGTTTTTTTGTCTTTGTAGGTTTAAAATTTTCATATAAAGTGATAAGAAAAGCCTATCAATCAATTAAATGTCATATGAAGAGTTTATTTTGACCTGATTTGGATAACTTAACAAAAATGAGTAAACTAAAATGTTTTAGGCAATCAGGGAAATATGAACACTGATATGTTATTAGCTGATATTAAGTAAATAATGCTATTATCTTTCTCAAGCATGATAGTTTAATAGGCACTGTGCTTTTTAAAAAGGGACTTGTAGACAAACATATTTTTAGTGGATGAAATGCTATTGTATCTAGTATTTTATTTAGGGAGTAAGGGGGAAATTAAGGTTTGAAAAAGAATGCACGTGAGAATCTGCCATCCATTGATAACTGTTGAAGTTAGATTATAGGAACATCTAGGAGTTCAATATGCTCTTCTCTCTATGTTTATATTCATTTGAATGTTTTCATAATAAAAATGTGAACACCACTTGTGTTTTCCTTTCATTTATCACAAAACTTGGAATCACATTTGATCTTACATCTTTAGCTGGATCACAAGTTCAACAATTGTTAAGTATCTAGTTTTGTGTTGTTGTGACAAAATACCTGAGATTGGGTGATTTAAAAAGAAGAGAAATTTATTTCTCACAGTTCTGGAGGCTGGGAAGTCCAATATCAAGACACAGGCCTCTGACGAGGGCCTTCTTCCTGCATCATAACATGGCAGCAGGCCCTTCATGACAACAGGGAAAAAGAAGAGGCCAATCTAGTTTTTGTAACAAGTTTATTCTCTTTAGCACCATAACAACACCACCAAGGCTTACCACTTCCACCTCCTGGAACTGTGTCATAAGCCTCACCTGGGTCTGCTTGAGCTGTGGCTGGTGAGAAACACTGCACCCAAATCCTGGGAGCCAAGTCCTTAGGTAGACTTGGGCAGCAAATACTAAAGTCTTGCGAGTGCTTCTCTGGAAACCTTGCACTCAAGATGCTGGCTTGGCTTGGAGATGTCTGAAATGCCTTCAGGGTCATTGTCACATTGTCTTGATAAATAGAACCTAGCTCCATTCTGTCCATAGCCAAGGGTTGCTCGCCCATGCCCTTAGACTTCTCTCCCAAACATGTTCTTTTTTTTTTTTTTTTTACTTTACATAGCCAGGCTGAAAGTTTTCCAAATTTTTCCATTGTGCTTCTCTTTTAATTATGAATTCCATCATTAAATCTTTTCTTCTTTTCTGTAAATTTACTGTAAGTAGCCAAAAGAAGCTATGAAGCACCTTGAGTGCTTTGCTGCTTAGATACTTCTTCTTTTATATATCCTAGTTCATTGCCCTTGAATTCTGCCATCCGTAAATCCCTAGATCATGGAAGTATTTTAGCCAAGTTCTTTGCCACTTTCTAACAAGGATGGCCTCTATTTCAATTTCCAGTACATTGTTCCTTGCTACCATCTAAGACCTCATGAAACCATTACCAACCATATTTCTACCAACATTCTGATCATGACCACTTAAGTAATCGCTAAGAAGTTCCAAACTTTCTGTACATTTTTTGTCTTCTGAGCTCTCACCAGCACTGCCTTTAACATTCCATTCATGGCAAACTGGGCTTTTCATAGTCCACTCCTTCAGATTCTTCCAGCCTCTACCATTGTTTACCCAGTTCCACAGCCACTTCCACATTTTCAGGAATTTGTTGTAGTAACAATCCCACTTTTCAGTATCAATTTTCTGTCTTAGTCTGTTTTGTGCTACTATAACAGAATACCTAAGAACGGTTAATTTATAAAGAAAATTAAGTTATTTCTCACAGTTCTGGAGGTTTGAAAGTCCAACCTCCAAGGTGTCAGCATCTGACGCCATCTGGAGAGGGACTTCTTGTGGCATCATAACATGTCAGAAGGCTCCTCATGGCAAGAGAGAGAGAGCAAAAGGGGCCCAAACTTGCTTTTATAACAAAACTCACTCTCACAATAACTAAGCACCTCTGCAATAAGAACATAAATCCATTTATGAGACAGAATACTCATGTCCTAATCACCTCTTATTAGGACTCATCTCTCAACAATATTGCATTGAGGATTAGCTTTCCAACACATCAACTTTAGTGGACATATTCAACAAATAGCATTGTTTCTCCAGTTCCTAGCATAGTGTCTAGAACAGAGTAGGTATTCAATGATTAATAATACAATTATCTAATTTAAATTATCAAGAGTGACATAGTAATATAAATGTTAATTGAATTTGCAGTAAAGCTCCCTGCAAATTTTTCATTATTCTTTTGTTAAGAAACACAGATGGAAGTCAACTTATACTAAGTAAAAGCATCTATTTATCATTCGTAGAATTGCATCTGAATATAAATAATATGTTAAGAATAATTGTACAAGGTTTTTCACTTGTAGTTTGCTACTGTTTCCAATAATTCTCCATCTCTGTCACTTCATAAACACCATGTTGGCCTTCACAACGTATCCTGAACAGGAATCAACTATGGGGCTGTCTCTACCTCTCTCGATATAACTGAAAGGTTTTGCATGCTTTCCTTTTTGTTTGACTTTCAAGCTAAGTCAGTACAAATTGTTGAGTTGCACTGGGAAACTTAGAACTACAAGAACTGCAGACCCCTTCTCTAAAAAGCTACAAAAGAACAACAATCTTTCTATTTTCTGGATCTCAAGCAGGTGCCAGAGTTAATAGGAGAAAGAATTATGTTGACTCTCAGACACTGGCTTCCTGGTAGAGATGTTACTACATACATGTAAGCGCTGTGCCTTTATAACACATTGGACTCTTCCTATTCTCTGAGGCTTGGTACGCTTTATGGTCAATACATAACTGAAGCTTTGAAGGAAAAAAACCATGTCTGAGTAGCTGTAGGAAGGCAGACATAAACCAAACTGCACAAGCATGTCAACTCTAATGCTATTGAATGAGAAAAATTAGACTACTGATCCGTAAGCTACCTAGTATGTACAGTTGGTTGACAGAATATACTAGGGTTTTGCTCAGGACCAAGGACAGTATAAAACCTCTCTTTAAGCATGTGTGGTTAGAATGTAAAGTTCTAAAATTAATGTTTTTGGGAAAAAGGAAGTTCTTTAAATCCTTTGTGTACGAAACAAGTTTACAACATGTAATATTTCCTACGAAGTATGTTATTTCTCATTTAATTATACATGTCATCATTTGCCTCAGATGTGCGATTTTCTAAGACATAACTTTAGCCCTTCAAAGTGAATCAGGGATTAACTTCATAGTATTGCAAACTAGATGTTATAGAACCAGATGATTAATGGAAAACCAGAAGTGAGAGTCAACACAAAGCCTTTATGACCTTCTTTACATTCATAGCCATGATTCTGAAATCAGTTCTCCTCTGAAGACTTTATAATTCTTTAGTGAACAAACAAATAAAAATTGAGATTTTTATTTCATTGTTGGAACAATTTAGAGACTTATGAAATAGAATGTGCTCTGTTTTTAACTGAGCATTTATAAAAGTGTTCCTTTTGCCACCTCCCCTCAAAACAAAAAAGACAACAAAGAGTTGATTTACATAGTTTTAATATATTACTACTGGGGAAAAATATATACCCTGAAAAATATGACCCTTTCATCAATATCTTTAAATAGCAATATTTAGCACCCAGATAATAGAAATTATTATATGTGCTTACATTTTCTTTATTCTACCAGTTGCACTAGTCATGTATATACCTGCAAAAATTTAAAAATATATTCATTGCATCATCTGGATCTTGTCAAATGGACAGAAGTTTCAGATTAAGCGAACAAATATCAATGTAATTGGTTAAATTTTTTATTAATAACCAGTGTTTGATATTTTATAAGTACAAATATATGTGGACTCACTCATATTATATATACTGTATACATATTTGAAAAGGCATATCCTTATATGTGGATTAAAATACAACTTGAGAAAAACATATATTTTTTTCTTACAAGAGTAGGCCATTTAATATTTATTGATGTTAATATAACACTAAGAACATAAAAGCAATCAGAGTGAAAGAAATTGTCATTAAAAATATTTGGTAGGAGAAAAATGTGAGTATCATACATAGAATTTCATATTTGAAGACAAGACAAGCTCTTGATGACTGGCCTAGCAATATAGTCATGTGATTTTGAAATTGCTTATAGTTGATTTGGTTAAGAGGGATTTTTTTTTTTTTTAGTAGGAGAGGACATCAAATATTTCTTAGATTATTTGTTCTTCAGTTTTCTAAGACTTTGAAACTACTGGTAGACGGACACTAATTTATTCTTTAGTTTACCAGCAAGGAAAGCAATCACAAAAACAAGGCTGTAGGTATCTCAGCCTTTACATCTACAATAAATACATGTACAGGACTGTAATCACTAGAATAGAATTCTCATCTGGAACTTTCTGTGACACTGGACTGAGCAAACTTCAACCTCATTTAATGAGAGTTTGAGAGCACAAGTCCAGTTTTGTCACTTTCGTCTCGTAATTTCAGGCAGAGTTAAGGATTTCAATTTTCCTTTAAAGTAAGGTAAGGCAGCAAGTGTAAATCTTGTCTGTAGGGTAGCAAAATCAGAAAAGAAGGCAAAGCATGTGGCATTACAGAACACAAAAGATGGATAGCAATTAGTATCTAAGTGAAATAAATAATTTTTAAAAAACGTCTACTTTAACATAGGTACATGTATAAACCTAAGCTATAATATATATAGTGACTTACCTAAGAGCAATGTGTAAGCGTAGGTCTTTCTACATATGAAATTGTTTAATTTCTGTGTTTAATTTTATTGACAAAGTCATTACTAAAGCAAACTAAGTTAAAAAAAATCTTTTCCAAAAAGCTTGCAGTTGCAACAAAAGAAATCTTTTGATCATTTAAACTCATGGTTGTTTTGCTCGTCTTCTGAGTAGATGTATTTTTTTTAAATGAAGGGAATGTTAACAAATCCAATTATCTTAAGAGGAAGAGAGTGAGGCAGGGAGAGAGAAGAGAAAGAAAACGCAAAGGAGAAGTATACGATGTTGTAAGGTAATGGTGCTTCATTATTTGTGGTTTGATATCATACTTTACAATGCCTTTCTATCTCCAAGGGACCATGACTTTCCGAATTCTTGATGGCACCATTAAACAGCTGTGCAGCACTCATTCTGAAACAAAAATGCTCAAGCAGGAACACTGGAATTAACTGTGAAGAATACAAATTAGCTCACAGATTTATTCCTTACCCTGACATAATAAACAAATATTGATGGCTTTCTGGTGTGTAATACATCCTTATTCATTGCTTCACAACTCACTCCGAGCTTCTTCATCTTCTCTTCAATGTTTCTAAATGGGTGATTCATCCTATACTTCTTGAAATATTAGTGTGTTTACAGTCTTCAGATAGCTCACAGATTGTGTATCGTTAAAGTAGCTCCACAATGGCTTTCACTGTAGATTGTTGTTCTCTTTCAATTAATACGATTTTTTTTAACTTTTCAAGGTTTTTAAAAAAGAAGAAAATAGATTTTTATTTCACAACAATATTTTGATTATACATAGTGGTATCATCTTTTTAAGAACTTTTAGATTTCCCGATAAATCTTGCATGACTAAAAATACTAACTGTTCAAAGTAGAAATCAGTGATCAAAATAAGTGTCTTTCCTCCTTTTTTGCATAATATCTGACTCCTTCCCTAGCTGGATGGTTAGTTGGAACGAAAATCACCACAAGAGTTCTGTCCATCTTTCTATTTTGAGCAATATTGCAATTGAGAAAATGTCATTTTCTTTTAAACTTTTTCAAACGCAGGAATCAAGTTGTTACATTTCTACATTATAAAAAAGACTCAGCACTGGAAATATTTGTTATATTGTTTATCTTTGACTATATATTTCATTTAAGTCAGAAGTGTGTTTTTGAAAATTGTAAGCACTATGAAGGGATAAAATGACACTAAAGAAAGGTAAAGTGACATATTCCAAATCATAGAACAAACCAGATTGAGCAATAAGACAGAATTTGGAGTGTACACACATGCATTCTGATAGGCATATACTATCTGTATTTTAGAATCCTAAAGACAGGTATCTTGGAATAGAAAATGCAACCCTCAGCCCCTTCTTTCTCAGCTGTTTCATGGTTGAACATGATGACTTTGTTTGCTATTAAATTTGTATCTTTTATGGATTCCACACTGGAGTCACAAGAAAATCTGTCCATTAATGATAATGGATATTGGATATAAATAGTTGCATTCATAATGGAATTCAACCCTACACGCTGTCTGCATTAATGCATAGTACAAAAACACCTTATTCTTCAATGCTGCTGCATCCAAATTCTCCTTACATGTGTTTTGCCTCAGAAAAGAAGACAACTGGGTCCGATACAGTAAAAGGTGTGTCAGTCATAATTTGGTTAGAACTCTCAGTTTCTATAAATATATAAGCAAGAACTTTATAAAATATTATACTTGCTAACAATATAGCATGAATGCTTCTCATAGCAATACTCCAATTTTGAAGTTTGATGATGCAGGAATATCCCACTGAACTCAGTAAACTGGTACATTATGTTGGAGTAGCATATATTATTAACATTGATAACAAGATGCAGGAAAGAATCAATTACAATGTCTTCTGAAGGAAGTTATCGACAGTCTGAATCCAAATGCCTATAGATCCAATTTCACTTATGCCAAAAAGTAACAACAAACAATAAGATGATTGATAAGATATTTACACTTACCTTAGTAATGGTTTTGCAACAAACTAAATTTATCATCTGAAGTGATTTGATACCATATATCCAAGACCCACATTGGAGGAACAGCTATGTTCTGAGGATTTATAAGAATGCTGTAATGGAAAGAACTAGATTTTGACTCAGAAAATCTGGGCTTAAGACCCAGCTCTGCTATATACTACATTGTTTGACCTTAGGCAAGCCACATAACCTTTCTGAGCTCTGCAATTTCAACATCTGCAAAATGTAAACTACAGCAATTCACAGTGTCACTGTGTAAGGAAATATATATAAAACCTATCACAAACTATAAAACATATACTTGTGTAAGTCATTCATTTACATTATTAGACAGAATCTTAACATAGATGTATGCAATCTTTGGTACCTTTGTCACATTCTCCATCAGTATGCATTTCCTTCGTCCTAAAAACTCCATCCCACTTCCCATGTCACTAGGAAACATAGACGTGAATCAAAGAAACATAGATATGAA
Source organism: Homo sapiens (assembly GCF_000001405.40). NCBI lineage: Eukaryota > Metazoa > Chordata > Mammalia > Primates > Hominidae > Homo > Homo sapiens. Next base: position 1,517,619 of record NC_000003.12, on the reverse strand, counting down.
TCAGAGAATAAAGAGGAACAAAAAAGATGAATCCTTAATATCACCTAGAGCATTATGTAACACCCAGGAACACTGTTTATCAATAGCATTTTACTAGGCTAATTATTTAACTTCTCTAGGTATCAATTTCTTTCTACATAAAATAACAAATGAAACTTTGTAATTTTTGAGTAGACTAAAAACACTCTACTATGATAGCACAGTAGCTCGCTGAATAATTGGTAGCTATAAATGTGCCTAATTCTTGCTGCTAACTAATCACTGCTAAAACACATTAATGATCTAAGGTTTGATGTACGTCCCGACATGCTTGGGTCATAAAAGCATAGTATAGCAGGTGTTGATTACATTTGTGTATGACCTCATTCTTTTAAGGATACTTCTGATTATAGCAACTGAAGTTGTGGCCAGACATAAGCTGTGCATGTAATTATTCAAACTTCATCTCCTAGAGTAAAGGTATCCTATTGGGTAATTATTAGACTATGCAATTGCTATATATCTAACACTGATATGTTGTGTATATATGCTAAAACTTGGGATGATTTTGTTGCTATATTGTTTACTTTAATAATTACACTCCCTAAACACACACACACACACACACACACAGAGAGAGAGAATATGTACTTTGCAAGACATGAATAAAGATTACATCCCTTTCAGTTGCATTTACATCAATAATCTGATTGTCCTTAAAACAGCCTAATACACTACTGGAGGATATTAGCTAGGTGAGTATAGTCTTAAGTTTTGATCTGAGACAAAAGTTCCAGCCATCATCACTTACCTAACCCATCCTCACTCTGGTTACAATTTGGGGACAAGCATTTCAACAACTGCTGTGCAGACTTTGACAGATTACTTTCTAAATTTCCCAACTATTTGTAGGGTGGCTCTATTGTTCCGTTAGTTAGGTACGGCGATTGACAATTCTGCTCCAGTTTTCATAACTCTGTTGAACCAATTAGGCTTGTTGCTTTAGAGTTATGCTTATACTCCCATGGCTTGACTCAAATATAATCAGAATTTACCTAATCAAGACAGTTCATGATGAGCACCCTCTGTCATTTCAATCTTCATGCTCATCTTTAGAGAGATCCAGAGCACACACGCTCTAAGGCAGATTCTCTTACAGAGGAAACATCATTCCTTGTGTATGTCCTCGAAATCAAAGATTGCCTTTAAAGTCAAATAAATTATAGATAACATAGCTTGGGTGTTCCCCTGGGAATTGAATCAGTCATTGCCGCTCGTCTTTGAACTTAATGTAGGTTCCAAACTCCAAGCTACAGACAGTATTCCTACATCCATAGCATCTGACTCTGGCAACCATTTCTGACAATCGTCTTGGCAGGCTGCACCCTCCCTCCAGGACTGCTGGTTGCCTTGGTGTCTGCATAGAGCTGCTCTATTGGATAAATTTTTTTTTTTACACTTTTATCAGCTCTCTAAAATGAGGGTTGTCCTTTTTCTGGGCCATGCATGAAAGAAACAAGCCTGCCTACTCGTGCACAGCACAACGGAGGTTCTGTCTCCAGACTGCCGTATCTACTCATCAAGCTCTGGCCAAAAATCTGCTCTGTGGGCCAAGAGGCACATATCACCTTCTGTGCATGTCACATAAATCTGTCTCCTGGCTTTTGGGTCACTTTCCAGTTTGAGACCAGGCATAGGGCAGCTTGCTTCTCTATTAAATTTAAGTGGTTCTCATCAAAGTGCAGAACCTCTGCTGTGAGTGAAATTAACAGCACATTTGATGCATTGTTGGCACTCTGATAATATGAATTTTTGACCACACAGCAGGGTGAATATGACTGAAGTGTACATAAAGTAAACCCTTTATGCAAGTTCCCTTCTTGTCGCTGGACAGGATCCATATCTGTCCTGCGAATTAAGCAAAGCACATGAGGTTGTGACTGTAATTGTTTTGATTTTGGATTATGATTTTCCTCCTCACTTTATAGTAGTCAGTAATGTGTTTATTTAGTGCTTAGTACCTAAAACTGTGTCTGACCATTTTATACTATAAAATTAGTCATCAAAGAGTTCTAAGTTTCTTGTGAGAAACATGATGAACACAAATGAAGCAGGTAGAAATTGAGACAAAATGGATTGTAATTAAGGGGAAAATCTGTATTAGCTAATAAAGATTGTCATAGTAGAGAGATATCATTGTGAGCTACAATAATTAGAAAGGCTTTATTAAAGGTATAGGATTTGAACTCATCCTTGATACTCATCCTTGAGTTGGTGAATGGTACCATACTTGATACTATAACAAAGGGTTTGTGTTCTTTTTTGTTTGTTTGTTTTGTTTTGTGTTTTGAGACAGAGTTTCACTCTTGTTGCCCAGGCTGGAGTGCAATGGCATGATCTCGGATCACCACAACCTCTGCCTCCCAGGTTCAAGAGATTCTCTCACCTCAGCCTCCTGAGTATCTGGAATTACAGGCATGTGCCACCACACCTGTCTAATTTTTGTATTTTTTTAGTAGAGACAGGGTTTCTCCATGTTGGCCAGGCTGGTCTCGAACTCCTGACCTCAGGTGATCCACCTGCCTCGGCCTCCCAAAGTGCTGGGAGGGGTTTATATTCTTATGAGGTTAAATTCATAACCCCAGTGTTGGCCACAACAAGCTATATTCTCAATCACGTTTTCACTTACCTATACCTCTGTCACATGAGATTGCCTACTTCTCTTCAAATAGTACCTGCTGTTTCTAGCCTTTTGCATATACTCACAACCCAGTGCTCATTCAGGAAAGGTTTACTCCTAAGTGATATCCTTACTCAAATCGAACCTTTCCACATTTCTAGATTATTGGAATCAGAATGAATTTCTTCTCTTTTTGTAACCAAGCCTGCGTTATAAAAATTTTAAGGTGTTTGTTTTATTTACCTTCCTTTCTCTTTTTCCTTTTCCCCCTCCACACACGCTTATTGCTCATAGTCATTTCTATAGAGGGGAGTCACTAGTAATTGATTAACTTCATACACTAACCCCGGAGGGCTGCCCGCAAGATTAATGAACTTGTTTTTCTTTTAAAGAAAAATGATCCTTAGGTCATGCAGACCTCCTTGATGGCATCCAGGAGTTTGATCAGGCTGAGGGAAGAAAACATCTTTGATCATCTGGGGATCTCACCTCCCGCATACCTACCTTACTCATAAAAGCTAAGCTCCCAGTTATGTTCAAAGGCAGGTTGAATTTGTGATATTTGTCTCTCCGACTTTCTTGCTTTGGAAAAATCAAATACGTCTCTGCTCCTAAGTGCTGATGTGTCAGTGTTTGGCTTACTATGCATTGGGTATGCAAAACTGGATTTTGGGATTCTACAACATTTTTATATTTATAATATGCAATAACGATCTTTTAACCCTCCTTGCATTCTCTTTAGCAGGAGATTTCTTTTGGTATTATTTTCCTCTGTCCAGATAATAAGGGGTGTGTGTGTGTGTGTGTGTGTGTGTGTGTGTGTGTTCCTATTTATTATTTTCATGTTTAGAAAAGTTCAAACTTTCTCTTTGAAGGTTCAGGTCTAAGTCTATTGAGATGAATTGACAATAGATAGATTAAAAGAAAAAAATGTATAAAAAATACAGATTTTATCATGTGCGTCAGCACAGAAGCCATGTGCTATGTATGAGGCTCAGAGGTGGAGCCAGGTGGTTAAAATGTTTCTATCATCCTGAGGCTACAGAAAGAACAGGAGATTGGGGTTTCCCAGGGGGAGGTGGCATCACAGGTTCTGGAAGAGTGAGGGGAGGAAGGCATGCCAAGCAAAGGCTGTCTTGTTATGCAGATGAAAACCTCTCAGGTAATCTTCGAGCTGCCAGGAGAAAGGATAAACAGTAGGCTGTAGTTAAAGTTTCTCTCTCAGACATTTAAAAGTGTCAGACTATTAGGTCTCCTTTTCCCGTGAGTTAATCTTTCCTAGATCTAGACAAGGCAGATAAGGGGAGTCTCAGAGAAAGCCTGTTTGCATCTGTTCTTTACTTCACTAATGTAGATTTCCTCTACAGATGAAAATCCCTCCCACAAAAAGACAGCTTTTCAGAGCTATTCTACTGTCTGTAGCCCCTTTGAATAGCCGTCTTGAAATATGCCAAAGAAGTAGATTTTGGGGCAAAGTATTCCAGTTTCCTCTCACATGGAGGGTTGAACATTTCATACATATCTGTAAAAAATTGCTGTCTAAATGCTAAAAAATTGAGGACCTCTGTTTAAATCTTTAGTAGCAAATATATATATATTTTTTATCTTCTAACCTGTTGCACAGAGAATCATACTTACTACTTATTTTATATCTACTTCCTTAAACCTGTCTTGAAATGGCCACAGAACAGTGAAAACAGTGAGGTTTGCAAATTGTATTAGGATAAGACCATTACCCTTGGCTTTTCCTAGTTCAGTTCCATCCTGTAAATAGCAAGCAGAAACATTTCTGATAAAGATGGAATTTTAAAGTGTCTGTTTCTAATATCACCAAAACTTTTGTAGTGACTAGTCTTCATGAAGACCTGTTTCCAATAGCAAGCTTCATTTCATCCCACACGAGGTGCCTCCCTTCTGTGGAATTCTCTCTCAAAGAGGCAATTCCTCATTTTGCTTGTGAGACTCAGTCACTGGCTATTGGAATCTAACCTGAAATTCTTGATGGATAGATCCTGTCCTCCAAAATCTGGGGCATATCTGAGTTTGCTCTGGAAAATTTTCACTGCTTTGGTGCACTCAAAGTATAACAGATACAAGAATTAAGAATTAAGCATGTAACCTCTTCCGCTGGATCTCTGGTTCTTTTCAGGCTTGTAGTAGAATCTGTAACCCACATTAAGATAGTAATATCTGCAGCTAACAAGACAAAGATTTTGCAGCTTCAGCTGTAGTTGAGATTCTTGGGAGCTATGACAAAGATACTATGAACAATATTTTTTAAAAGCCCTAAAATAAAACTGCCTTTTGTTGTTGTTAATTTTTAAAGAAGGTCAAACCAATATAATAAAAGACACAAAATCTACAAGCATAAAAACACAAGCACACACACACCCATGACTTCATCTTAACATTCCTCGTTTATCCTCTACTGAGCTGACAAAATAAAGAGGACAGTCCCAGGATGGTTACTGCCACATCCATCCTAGTTTGTACCTGGGAGAAGCTGCCTGGCAATTGATATACTTTTTCTTGGTGTTCACTCCCTATAGACTTTAAGGAAGACTCCCAAGGCTCTGTAAACCTTTCTTTTATATTTGAAGAATGCTTCTGTGAGGAAGTCTATAGGCTCATATATATTAGGGTAGGAAAGGCTCTACATGTCGTTAAGCCAACCCTCATTTTGCAGAGGTGAAAACTGGAGGTCAGTGACAAGAGGGATTTGTTCAAGGTCACCCAACAAGGTCATGACTACCTCTGTCTGGTCTTCCAACACTAAGCCTGCTGTTATTCTGCCATTTCAATGTCTACATTTCCAGAAAATTAGGAACCATGATTGCCTTAAATATTAGTACTGTGGTCTTTCTAAGGAGCCTAGTGGTCTTTTACTTTATACTGTTTCCTGGTTGTACAAATCACAGGATAAGAAGTCTGAGCAGGTTCCTAAATCTATCTGATGTTTATTTCTCTGTTGTTCCTCAAAAATATTTAATTTGGGTTCCATTCCCTTAGGACTTTATCAGGTAACCACTTACTTATCCGGTCTGCAATACCCCTCACATCTCAATGACAGTGTGTCAAATCATCTCTCTAACAAAGCCCTACAGAGACTGTTTCTTAATTCCAAGTTTTAACATCTATTAATGTGAGAGTTTTGAGCTGGCAACTTTTCTTTTTTCTACTTTAATCACCCTTGGTCTATTACCATCATATAATTACTAAGTCCCTCCTATATATTAAGCCTAGGGATAATGTAGTGGACAAGAGAGCTATAATTCTTACCTGCTGGGAGTTTATATTCTAGTGAAGGGAATGGGAAATGAGATCGGGGTGTGTTACATTAGCCAAAAATATTAGGGAAGGCTCCTGGTTATGGCGACGCATTTCATTAGCAATCTGAAGAAGGATCACAAAAGAGGCAGCCTCATAACAGTCTGAAAGAAGAACATTCTGGAAAGGAAAAACAGTGTCAACATCTTCAGCTGGGAGTATGTTGGGTTCCTGAAACACAGAAGGAAGGCTAGTCATACAGGGACATAGAGCAGTAAGGGATGAGGGTGCCGTGGGAGGCAGAGGCTGGATGGCGGAAGAATTTTAAGCCTAGTTAGAGATTTAGATTAAATTCTTATTGCAATGAGCAGACACTCATTTCAAACAGAAGAGTTGAATATGCTTTTAAAAGATCACTGTGGTTACTGTGGTGAAATCAGCCACTAAGGAAAAAAGTGAAAGCAGAGAATTTATTTAGAAGCCTAGCAATCCATTGAGGCATGTCAGTGCCTTAGTCTGGGTTTGTATCCACAGAAGTGGAAAGAAGTGGACTGGGTCTTTATGCAGTCTAGAGAGAATCAATTGCTAAACTTGTATGCTTAGGATGGATATTGCAATTTACTGATATAGGAAAGATGTGCACTATAATAATCCAGATCATTATTTTTTCACCCTGTCCGCAGATATACATGTAACAAATTCGTATTGCATAAGCCACTGCAGATAGTAAAATCATTGTTTATCTAGAGTTCACTGGTTGTTCATGAAAATTATTTTTAAAAAAGACACCACTCATTAAGCTTTCACTATATGTAATCATTGTGCTAAGCATCTGGTGTGGGGTGCACTTTCTAGTTACTGCCTTTTATCCGCTAAGAATCCATTTCTTCCCTCTTTCTAGTAAGTTCCTGATTATAACCAGGAGTGGACACAGGGCCTCAGTGAGACAACCTGAAGTCCTTTCTTGGCATTTGTAATGCTAGAGTTCACAGGGAGAATGAATTCTTTGTTGTTTTGAAAGCCCCTCCCTTCACATATACAAAGACTGAGGAAATAAAGCTGACATTTATTAAAATGTGGAAATTAGGAGCTCAGGAAAATGGTGCTGCTGGAGTTGAGTTCAGAAATACCTGAAGACTCAGCTGGGAGTGGTGGCTTACACCTGTAATCCCAGCACGTTAGAAGGTTGAAGAGGGAAGATCACTTGAAGCCAGAAGTTCAAGACCAGACTCGACTACATAGCAAGACTCCGTCTCTAAATTAAAAATAAAAAGTATAAGCAAGCATGGAGGTGTGCACCTGTATTCTCACCTACTTGGGAGGCTGAGGTAGGAGGATTGCTTAAGCCCAGGAGTTCGAGGCTGTGGTGAGCTACCATTGCGTCACTATACTTCAGCTTGGGCTGCAGAGCTAGACCCCATCTCTCTGGGGGAAACAATATACCTAAAAACCCAGGAGTGTCCTGGAATCCTTGAATCCTTTCTTTGATCTGAGAGCTTTCCCAGTTTCATTTCCCTAGCCAAAGCCACCTTCTCCATCTGCTTTTTTTTTTTTTTTTCTTCCTTGTGTAAGATGATTCAAGTTGTCTTTCTATGGCAGCTGAAAGAGGTGGGACAAATATATCTCAATTCACCCTGTGGCAACTGGTTCAATAGGAATTATCCAAATTCGCAAAACAAGAAACAAAATTTAAAAGGCTAAGTAAGTTATCTCAGATTTGTATAGTTAATCTAATCTAACATTTACATGGTGAGCCATGTTCAAAATTTTGTGTTGCTCTGTGATTAGAGTTCATGCTGCCAATACCTGCACAATATTATACCCCATATGCTAGGGGAAAGATGCATGTGTGTGTATAGTGGTCAAACAAAACTCTGATAGACATAGTTCTTGTCTTCAAGGATAAAGCATGTATATAATAATAAAGGGAACATGAAATAATTGTTACAATAGAGAACAGTGAGAGTGAAGAGGAAGGATGATTAATTTTGATCAGGAGATCAAGGGAAGGTCTTTGAACTAGATCTTGAAAGAAACATAGGCCATTTGTTATGACTTCTGTGTCTATGCAAATCACCTATTATATAGTTGCTTTGATTTATCTCATAAACTCATCCATTCTTTATGGTTCAAATAAAGATTTTTCTGCCAAATATGTTTTTTATATAATATGGCCTATTCACTTGAATCTAAATGTTGTGTCTGTATATCCCTATTGAAACTCTAGCTAGCAGCTACCCAGTTCAGTGGATCCATGGAAACAAGTGAAAGAAAAGCCTACTTTAATTCAAGAACAAATTAAACTGATAACCATCAAAGCTGTGCTTTATTCTATACTGGGAGTTGAAATCTCAGTCCCTATAGACCTTCACAGATATTTTCCCACAGCCAATTCTTTGTTTTAGCTTCCATTACTAACTAAAATTTTTTCTTTGCTTTATTTTGGATTATCTTTCTCTCTCCCATCCCTTTCCCATATCATGCTAATAATTTTGACTTATCTGAAAATTGCCCGTAGATAGCACTACTTCTGTTCATGTATACTATTATTTTCTGCTGAAGAGGGAGAGAAGGGTTCATGAATGAGACTTACCTGGATTTTTTTTTTTAATTCCACACTTGACAGTTTACAGTTTTTTCCAGCGTTCCCCTTACAGGTGATTGTTTGTTTTTGCATTTCATAGTAATTGATGATAAATCTTCTTGGAAGAGCCTACACATTTTATATTGTCTGTGGCTTCCTGGTAACACTGTTTTTGTACATAAGTTTCCAATTCTCCTGAGAGGAAGTAATGTCAGGATATGAACTGCTTCTGGACTTTCTGAAAGACCACTACCTGGAAAAGAAGAGTGCATACATTCCATATCCTGATTTATCTTCTCTCCACATTCCATCTGGCTTTTTGCTACCCTTCCTCTTCTCAGCCTCTCCCAGATTTGAACTCCCTCCATCCTTTTATTCTCATTTCGTATAATGTCACATTATTATATAAAATAAGTATTCTCCTCTTTTTCACATTAAGCCAAACTGAAAGACACTTTGAAGACAGGCTCCTAATAAGAATTAAAAAAAGGATATCAAATGGCACCCAGAATTTCCCCTAATGCTTTGCCTATCACACTTTCATTTTGTTATCAATTTAACACAAAACACATGCACAACTAGGCTGTGCTAAAGTTTCATTAATAATACTAGGGGGTTGTGAGTTGGCCTAAAAAAGTTAACGTGCCTTCCAGTGTTTCTTAGCTTTCTTACTTTCTCTGCTGATTGCACAAAAAAATCCAGCCATTTTTATAGCTCTATATCATTGCAAGGAAATAGAAAATAATGGAAACTGGGTTACTCTGGTTTCTTTTTAATGCATAATTACAACCTAACCCTTCTAGCAATTATTTACAAATCCTTCAGAAACGATTCTGAATCTTATTATCAAATTATTCACAAATCTTACTGCAACTGACCAATCTTCATAAGTTTAGCCCTCATTTGCCATGACGGCCTTGACATGAATGCCGCTTCTTTGTCAGTGGGTAGAAAACAAACACTCTCTAAAAAATAATTCACTTATAAATTCCACATAAAAAATTTATTTGGTAATCAAACACAGAGGGAATGTAAAGAAAGACACTCACATACCAGAGTTAGCTTTGCATTTCTCCTCCTCCTGGCTCATTCCACTCAGTATTTAACAATGCCTACTATCCATATTATGCCACCAAGAACTTCCTGATCACCCCACCTAGATGGGTTCAATTTCCTTCTTTTGAATATCTGCTAGATCCTGTAAATACCTCAAAAATAGAACCTGGCAGGATGACATTCTCTATTTAAACATCTTTCTCTTCCGAAGATAATATAAGTATTAGAGGGGAGGAATTGGGTTTTATCTATTCATTTTGAGGTAAGTTGCTGACTTGAACTTGCTTATTAATTTCTCACACGATGTTTGTGTTATTAATTCCATTTTAAAGAGAAGGAAATTAAACTTTGAGATTCAACTCAGTCAGAGTCTACAAGGTGGTAACAGCAGGAATAAAATATGGACCTAGGGCTGTCTGACTTCAAAGTCTACACATCATCTACACAGTGTTCCATCTATCAGAAATCAGAAGGATATTGCTACTCTGGGCTGTGTCTGACCTGAAGAAATGAGTTGTTAAAAATAAACCTAGATATCTGATAAAATATTTGAATCTAGCATTTATGGAACTCTAACCATTCTATAACTTAAAAATACAAAGTATCAAATTTTAAAGTTGGCAAAGATTTTGAGTAGACATTTCACCAAAAACAATGTGAGTGGTAATAAACATATGAAACGTCATTTGTTGTTTAAAAATGCAAATGAAAACAAGATATCATTTACATCCACTAGAATATTAAAATCAGAAAGAGGAAATAACAAGTGTTGATGGGGAAGCAGAAAAACTGGAACCATCATACCTTGCTGTTCCTGGGAATGTAACGTGATACAGTCACTTTGGAAAACAGTTTGGCAATTTCTGAAAAAAATACGCATAAATTTAGCAGATCACACATTTTTAAGAATCTGTATAAAATAAATAAATGAAAAAATATATTGTTCACATAAAGACTTGTTACTGAATGTTCACAGTAGTGGCATTATTCATAAAAGCTCCAAACTAGAAACAATACAAATGTCCATGACTGGTGAATAAATAAAATATGGTATATCCATATAACAAAATACTATTTTAATATTGGAGAGAACAAAATACTGATAATGTTTCAACATGAATGGACCTAAAAAACAATATTCTAAATGAAAGAAGGCAGATGCAATAGTTGATATGTTATATGATTGCACTTACATGAAATGTTTATAAGAGTCAAATTTATAGAAACCAAAAGGAGATGAGTAGTTGTTTGAGACTAGATTGTCTAAAAACAGGTACAAAGGAGTTTTCCAGTGTAATGAAAACACTCTAAAACTGGATGGCACAGTATATTATTAAATCATGTGCTTACCATGGTGAATGTTATGGTATATAAATTATGCTTCAATAAAGCTTTAATATAAATAAGTAGAATTTTGGATAATCTACTTTTTATGAACCTTTTTCAACATAATTCTGCACATTTTTAGTATTAAATCTACAGAAGTCCTTCCCAGCAAAACCATTGAATTTACTCAGCTTGCAAACCTATGTCTAATTACTGTTATACCCAGAATTAGGCAAACTCTTTCTGTAAAGGGGCAAGTAATTAATATTTTAGGCTTTGTGGGTCAATGTCTCTGTTGAAACTACTGAATTCTGTTATTGTAGAGTAAAAGCAGCCACACATAGTACATAAATGAGCAGGTGTCCACTGTGTACCAATAAATCTTTATCTACAAGAACAGGCAGTGAGCAGGATTTGTTCCATGAGCCATCTACAGTTAACACCTGCTATAGATGAGTAATCTCTGACCTTGTAGTAAGACCTGAACTTCCAGATTTCAGAGACATACCCAGGTAGTCTAATTCCAGAGGCCACATTTTCTTAACCACTATGCTCTACTGTCTCCAATCATAAATTGATACCAAAATGTATTTGAACAACAAACTGGTTTCTGGTTTGTTCCTCTCGGGTTAAGATGAGTTCCTTCATTCAAGAAGCTGAAAAGACACAGGCAGCCTACTGTGATATCTGCAAATTCAAATTGTGTGCTATTTTCACTTGAAACTTACAGCACTTGACACATTTAACATTTTAGTTAACCGAGCTTTGTTCCTAATTAAAGCAGTTTTAAATTCTCTGTTAAAAGGAACATTAAGTTGAATTTTTAAAATTGTGATTTCAGTTGTTAGTTAGAATTGAACTCTCTTCAACATCTTTAAATCAATCTTTCCTGTGACTGTTTCTGTTGTATTATACCTTAATGCCAAACACTCTTCATCTGCGGGTATATGTTATATATAATATATTACAAAACAGTTATTTATTTTGCTAGTTCCAGGATGAATTAAATTCAAGAACACCACTGAAATGCCGATTTATTCATTTTGTTTACCAAATGTAATCGGGGCAGATACTTTGCAAGTCACAGAGGAAGTGACGCATTTCTAATTCAACAAGTTAATCCTGATTTGAGGGATTTGAGGAGAAAGGAAGGAACTGTTTAATGCACTGTATTAGTAAGACAAGCATCCATGAAAATAAAAGGCTTTAAAAATAGTTTAAACACAATATTAAAATAAAAAGCAGAGAGAATTATTTCAGAGGATGTTAGAACCAAAGTAGGAGCTCATAGGGTATAATTCTGATCCATGCTTTTTGTTAGTACTGAAGCCTCCTGCCCCATTATGATTAGTTCGAGACTGGAGTAACTCTGTGCTCACAGGAGAAGCTCATTTGTGAATAATAAATTATGCTAATATTTTAATAATGGAAATTTATTGAATAGCCCCTATATGCCAGCTCAATTTTGCTAGAGAAGTGAAAGGGAAGTTGATAAAACAGGGACTAATCTCTTCAGTCATCTGTAAGCTTCCATCATTTGCTTCGAAAAGTTGTTTTGAATGTAAATCACAACAGGCAGTCTGGTGTAATGGAAAATATGCTGCAATCACAGCCAGGAGGTTTGAGTTGTAATCTTCTAATCTTAAATATGCCAATTATCATTCCTAGCAATAATTACCAATAAAAGTATTTTATTTTTTAATATAAGACTTAGACTGAGTGACATCTAAAATTCTTCATCAATTTGTCATCCCAGGATTAGAATGTATATGTCATTTTTAACCAAGCTTCAAACATATGCTTTGACAGACTGTGTTGTTTTCTCCAGAAACACTTGGGATGCTCTATATAAGATGAAAAAGTTTCTTCAACTTTTCTTATCATATTGTTGTTCTGTGTACCCATAGGAAGAACCAACTCTTTATTGGCCATATTTAGAGTATCTTTAAAAATGTATAATCCCAGCCTTGCCTTTTCCCTTTCCTCACTAGAACTGATTGATAAATATGAGGGAATAAAATTTCATGTCTAAATATTAACCTTGGGAAAAGAATTCATCCTGCTAAATAATATCACGATGACTTTGGAAAAGAATTTTGATTGATCTATGGAAATATTAATAGTTATGAGCATTTATAACCATAGGAATTATTAATACTTATGAGTATTTATAACCATAGGTTGTAGTGAAATTATCATGCTTAGGAAAGATATGTTGTTTCAAAATAGATTAATACAGAACAGAAAGAGCCTTAGTACATTGTCTTAGTGTTCCCTACAACAAAAATTTTCTCTTATGCATCTAGAATCTTAATTATAAAGAGTACAAAAATAAGATTTCTTATTAAGGACTACCTTGAATTATGTAATAAAGACCTTGTCTGTACCCCAAGTGACCCCATGCGAATTGCATTGAGCAATTAATTTAATAAAAGTTCAACCACCACAAAATGCTCCGCTGGCTCAGGGGATGTCAAAGTCACCATGACAGGATTCCCCCTCAACCACCCTATGTCATGCCATTATGATTAGACATCAGCAAAAAGAGAACATGTAAACTAGAACGTATGCAGGGTGATCTGGGGATGTGACATTTACCACACCTTTTCTTATAAATTCTCAAATCCCAATTTCCTGTTGTTCATTTTAGTCAAAAAATGTACCACATTGGCATTCCACTTACACATTTTTACGAAGAAAGCAGTGCTCTTTATTAAGGAAATGTCAACTATATTCATGCTAGTGTCAAGAGAAAAACTTCAGGTTCAATGACATTAGAGTCTTGTTATTGGCATGAGTGTCTTTGGAATCTATATCTCTTTTTGCTTTTCATTGAGAGGATTGGGCTCAGAATACAGAAAATGCTTGGGACAGGAGCACAGAAAGTGTAGGAGAAACAGAAACTAATACAACAGGTTTCATGAGTGGCTTACAAGTTGCTTTCCTTCTCATTTTCTTCTCTTTCTGCTAACTTTTTACTTGACAACATCAATAAAGTTCTGCAAATAGCCTTTCTTTGAACACTTTAAAAATTCTATTTCACAGCCCCTTCAATGAAGTACAGTTTCTATCTTTGTTTGCTCTATTATTATTATTATTATACACTAGCACAAGTCAAGATTTTTCCAGAACCTTGCCCCATAATCAAATTTCAGTAACTAAAGCCCCGTCATTCACACTCTTCCAGTTGTCCTCTTCTCAACAGACATATAGAGAACGCCATCAGTAGTAGGGCATTTATTTTATTTTTTCCTACACCTGTTTGCTGTTAATAAAGTTGCTATCTTTGGGGCCAAAATGCTTTCTTTTACTATATAAAGTAATATGTTCCTTCTACTCTTTTGTAAGAAACAAGCTAGAGAATTCTTTGTGGGATCAGACTTATTAAAGAGTTCTTAGTTAAAAAGAAAGAAACAAATTCCATTTCCCAAGTGGATTTTAGGCTAAGGCCATTTAATAAACTTACATCTGAAGTTTTGAATGTATTCAGAAGTAGGAGCTTGAGAAAATTAGAGACCTTTGTAAGTCTCTGTTAAGCATTGCCCAATTTGAAAGTGTCTTCTGAAAATGAATGAGTGGATGATTAAATAAATAAAACTAAAATTCAGAAAAGTAAATGTCTCCCAAACCCTAGTTCTATGAAAGTAAGCCAGCAGCACTTGATGAAGAGGTCACAAGAAGTATAAAGTGGTTTTGATCAAAAGGCCTTAATATTCCCCTAAGCTTGGCTAAATTTGAGACAAGCTTCTTCCTGACTTGAAGCTCCTGACCTCTCTTTTCTTAGAGCATTTAGTTTAGATAATTTTACATTGTAAATTATTTATCTGGTCGTTTGAGATGTAAATCTTCTCCCAGCCACCTGCCAGGTTTATAACCCAGGAATGCTTTTCCCAAGGACCTGGGCCCTTTCTTTGTGTGTGTGTGTGTGTGTGTGTGTGTGTGTGTGTGTGTGTGTGTGTTTCCGTAGGCTTTAGATTTTTTTTATTTTCATAGGTTTTTTGAGGAACAGGTGGTATTTGGTTACATGAGCAAGTTCTTTACTGGTGATTTGTGAGATTTTAGTGCACCTATCACCCGAGCAGTATACACCGAACCCGATTTATAGTCTTTTTTCCCTCATCCTCTTCACATCCCTTCCCCCTGAGTCCCCAGAGTCCACTGTGTAATCTTATGCCTTTGCGTTCTCATAGCTTAGCTCCCATTTATGGGTGAGAACATACTATGTTTGATTTTCCATTCCTGAGTTACTTCACTTAGAATAATAGTCTCCAATCTCATCTAGGTTGCTGCGAATGCCATTAATTCATTTCTTTTTATAGCTGAGTAGTATTCAATTATATATATATATATATATACTTGCACACACGTTTATAGCAGCACAATTCACAATTGTGAAGTGTCAAAAACATACTTGCACATGCATGTTTATAGCACCACAATTCACAATTACAAAATTCTGGAACCAACACAAATGCCCATCAATCAATGTGTGCATAAAGAAACTGTGATATATATAATATATATATATATAATTATCTCTTTTCCTCTGGGTGGATACCCAGTAGTGGGATTGCTGCATCAAATGGTAGTTCTACTTGTAGTTCTTTAAGCAATCTCCACACTGTTTCCATAGTGGTTGTACTAGTTTACATTCCCACCAGCGGTGTAGAAGTGTTTCCTGTTTACCACATCCACGTCAACATCTATTATTTTTTGATTTTTTGATTATGGCCCTTCTTGTAGGAGTAAGGTCGTATCGTATTGTTGTTTTGATTTGCATTCCCAGACCATTAGTGATGTTGAGCAGTTTTTCATATGTTTCTTCATCATTTGTTTATCTTCTTTTGAGAGTTGTCTGTTCATGTCCTTAGCCCAGTTTTTGATGGGATTGTTTCTTTTTCTTCTTGCTAATTTGTTTGAATTTGCTGTAGATTCTGGATGCTAGTCTTTTGTCAGATGTACAGATTGTGAAGATTTTCTCCCACTCTGTGGGTTGTCTGTTTACTCTGCTGACTGTTCCTTTTGCCATGCAAATCTCTTTAGTTTAATTAAGACCCAGCTATTTATCTTTGTTATTATTGCATTTGCTTTTGGGTTATTGGTCATGAAATCCTTGCCTGAGGCGATGTCTAGAAGGGTTTTTCTGATGTTATCTTCTAACATTTTTATAATTTCAGGTCCTACACTTAAGTGCTTGATCCATCTTGAGTTGATTTTTATATAGGTTCAGAGATGAGGATCCAGTTTCATTCTCCTACATATGGCTTGCAAATTATTCCAGCACCGTTTGTTGAATAGGGTGTCCTTTCCCCCAGTTTATGTTTCTGTTTCCTTTGTCAAAAATCACTTGGCTGTTAAGTATTTGGGTTTATTTCTGGGTTACCTATTCTGTTCAGCCCTTTCTCCTAGTATGTAGGAAAGTAGGACTCTAACTTTAATAAGCATCAATTAGCAAACACACAACTCTTCCAGTGCTTAAACACTTTCCCACTTTTTGGTTCAACTGAGTTGCATTCCATCTCTGTTTCCCATTGTAATAGTCCTGAATGAAGTCTTCTTTGTCTGCTTTAACTTATCTGGTGCAATTTTTTATTGACAGTTTCTGTGGTTTTGTTGCATTTCATTCTGCTTTGGTTTCTATTATTCCTTCCCGCCAACCTCACCCCATATGTATTCCATTTTTCACCTAACAGAAGAGATCCTGGAGAAACAGTCAGCATTAGGCTAGCTGAGCAAAATGAAAAATATTGGTGGTATGTTTTAAAAATAAAATAAAGAAATCTTCAATAATCCTGTTTCTGAAATACTCTTAATATATTAGAAAGCAAGGCTGCCTTTCCCTCTACCTATGTCTGATTAGCCATCTCCCGACCAAACATTTTTTCTCTACCTTTACGTTTCACCTAAAACATGTTATAAATTCTCAAATATCACTTTATAGTCATTTATTTCTTGAAGTGAAGGCATTGAATTCTTTTGTTAAAAATGTAACTGGTATTTTGATGACATAACCAGTCACCCTTCTTGCCAGTCTTCAATGTACAAGTTTAAATTAGTTTTATACTATCGGTTCTTAGGAAATGATTTATGAGACAAAAATAATTTGATCCTTCCGTCATCCAACTTTGGGAAATAATGGACATTAAAAGGGCTGATGTGGTTAGGATGTGTAAGAAGGAAAGATGCTGGTAAGCAGGATCTTAATTCTCCGAAAATATTCTAGAAGAGATTTTTGAAGGGATGATCATGGTAAGTATGTGAAAATATCTTCCTTAACCACAAGGAGTGGAGAATTTTGTCACTTAATGTTTTGACAGGCAAGATATATCAAATCTATGAGGAATGAGTTATTCTCGTGTTATTTAAATTGATCAATGGCATAGAAAAGAGAGTAAGCTCTTGTTTTCATCTAATAAGATTAGCATAGCCACATCTCAAATTTGATAAGGTAGCAGAAAAAGGAAAGCCACTGATATACCTCACTTATAAGAGATATAAAGAAAGTAAACAAAATTTAAATAGGCAGCATGTTTTAAAAAATGTACCAGGAATTAATTAATTCCAGATGTGCAAAGATGATTCAACTTCAGCAAAATTGTATTAATAACAATTTATTATGCTCATAGATTAAATTTTTTAAAAAGATTATCTTGATTTATAATGAAGGAACATTTTATTATGACTTTGATTGGTGATTACGGAAATATCTAAGGTTTGAATTGTGTATCTCAAAGTTCATGTGTTGGAAACTTAATCCCCAGTGCAACAGTTTTGGGAGGTAGGGCTCTAATAAGTGGTGGTTAGATCATAAGGCCTCCGCCTTCATGAAGGGATTAATGTCATCATTGTTGGAGAGAGTTAGTTATGGAGAGATTGGGCGTGTTATAAATACAAGTTTGACTCTCTCTTGCTGTCTTGTGGGCAATTGCCCTTCCTCCTTCTGCCATGGGATGACTTGGCAAGAAGACCCTCGCCAGATGCCAGCACCTTGAAATTAAACTTCAAAACATTCATAGCTATTAGAAATAGACTTATTTTCTTTATAAATTACCCAGTCTGCAGTATTCTGTTATAGCAACACAAAACAGATGAAGACAAGATATTTCTATTGAAAGACATCTTTTATCCAATTAGGAATGGAAGGATGCTTCCCTAAAATAATAGTGTGAGTGAACATAAACAACAGTGGACTTTCTTAACAGCACCACATTAGAGGCCCTCTCTCTTTCTCTCTCTCTCTCTCTCTCTCTTTTTTCCCCCTTTTTTTGACCCATTTCTCCCTGAGATAGGATCTGGAATTTCTTCACCTTAGAAGGTAGCCATTTAAAGGTTTTTGTTTGTTTGGTTTCTTCTCAAAATTTTTTCTTTTTCTCCAGAAGCGTGTTTCTCATGTAGACCCATTTGCAGAACTCCCTAAAATGTTGAATTTGATGTCAGATTCTTCCTTTTCCCCTCTTTTATTATTTGTTTGATTTTTCAGAGCACAGATGGATTTAATATATCAGGTATTTTTGACGACGTGTGAACTTTCAAATCCAACCCTCGGTCTTACAAGCCACTGGTTTCCCTTTCTTGCACTCATCACTAAGTTATATATTACTTAACAAAATGTCACTATGAAACCTATGATAGTACATTCTATCTTCTTATATATCAACTTTTCTAGTCCATAATTGTTCACCTTTTTCCTATAAAAATATTTTCTTTAACATCCACATAAAAATGTACTTTGTGTTTTAATGTACCAGTATAAATCAATCTTTATAATATTTCTGATATTCTCCTTACTATCAGTTTTTGATGCAGTACTTTATACATCTAATATTTAGGAATAATATATAGATTATTGTAATACTCATGATGAACCTAAAGCTCAATCCCTTAACTCAAGATATTTCCCATCCTCATGTTCCTAAAATGCACTGGACAAAGAAAATTACTTCTGTCATTGACATTTCAAAATCATTATAGAAAAACAAAACAAAATATTGCAGACAGAGAGAGAGAGAATGAAGGAAGGAACAAAGGAAGGGAGGAGGGAGAAGGAGGAAGAATGGAATGAAAGAGGGGAAAGATAAAATAAATTTGAAGTGTAAAAAGACATTCAATTGTCGTTATATAAAAATGCTATAACTATTTAATAAAATAGCAGAATATGAGTTAAAAATTATTAAAATAAGATAAATATACAAACACCAATAGTTTATTTCAGCCCTAAATTACTTGTTGTACAACACAATAGACATAAAAGGGTCTTTTCTCAATTCTTTTTCTTTCCTTTCCTTTTATTTATTTATTTCATAGATTGTCCTTTTTTAGGGTAGTCTTAGGTTTACAGAAAAATCAAGCATAAATTACAAGATTTTTCATATAATTCTCCCACATATTTGTCATAGTTTCTCCTATTATTAACATCTGGCATTAGTATGGTGCATGTTCCAATTAAAGGGCCAATATTAATAAATATTTATTAACTAAAACCCATAGTTTACATTAGGGTTCACTCTTGGTATTCTATATTCTATGGTTTTATACAAATGTACAATGACATGTATTTACCATTATAACAGCATATAGAATAGTTTCACTATTCTAAATACATCCTGAGCTCTATACCTATTCATTCCTACCTGCCCCTAACCCCTGAGAAGTAGTCATCTTTTTACTGCCTCTATAGTTGTGTGTTTCCCAGAATAGTAGGAATGACACAGTATGTGGCCTTTTAGATTGTTTTCTCTTTCTTAGCAAAAGAAAAAAAATTCTTATTTTTCTTTTTTCTTCATATTGCTTATTTCTTCATATTGCTAAATAATATTTCATTTTGTGGATGTACCACAGTTTTTAAAAATGCATTCCTCTATTGGATAACATCTCAGTTGCTTCTGTGTTTTGGTAATTATGAATAAAGCTGCTATAAACATTCAGGTGCAGATTTCTGTGTAGACATATTTTCAACTCATTTGGATAAATACCAAGGATCCTGTTATTTATTTCTTAATTATAAAATGTAAGTTATAGCTCTTATAGTGAATCAGTACAAACAAGTAGAAATCGAGGGTCTCCATAGAGATGTAGCAACTACAAAGCATTAATTGGATCTAGTACTGTGTGAAAGGTCAGATCTTTACTTTGATTAGATAAGAGAGTCTAGGAGAATAAGACGTAGTGACAAAATCAACCTGCTGAGATAGATTTCATTTAGTGAAAATTGCAATCACTATGCATCAGTGTATATTTCTTTAAAGCAACTATTTTGCTCTTAGCAACCTATCAGGCACTGGGGAGATTTAAATATTTTATGATCTAAGCACACCATAAAACTTGTCAGGAAATGCAGATCAAGGATGGTGCCTCTAATTCAACTGCAATCCTGATTTAACACTTTAGGAGTTGGGCATTTGGGAGTTTCTTCTCAAATGTTCTTAGGAGCTATTTCCCCCAAACTGTGACCAAATTAATGAGGGAAGGGTTCAGCCAAATTGACTTTGGCTTTTCTGATGTGATTTAAATTTTAATTTGTTGTTTATCACCGAAGAATACATTTTTATATGACTCTGGAAAACCAGCAGCTGTTGAATTTCTAGGGAAAGAAATGTTGCCTGGGATAATTATGGTTTACTCTTGTGTGGTCTCTATAGCATTAGACAATGTATATCAGATATGCTTTCTTATTTGGTATTATACAGGACTTTTGAATGTTTCTGTAGAATAAATTACTCGAACATCCCTATATACCTCCACTTTGTTAATAATTAATTTGTTTAAAACATTATGTGATCACTTTAGAAAGAGTACCTAGCACTCACAATTTACAAAAATAAAATACAAATCAGCTGTCATGACATCAACTAAAGATAACAATCTGGTATATATTGTTTGTTCAGAAAAGTGTTGAATTTAAATGTATACTCATATTTCCATATTCAGTTTTATTTTTACAAATTTAAATCAGATTGTGTTTTCCACTTTCATTTAATATTATGTAATGAACATATTCCCAAGTAATGAACTATTTTAAAAATACATAGTGTGATGTTTGCATAAGTATTCCATCATATGAATATATCACAATTTTTCCTACCAGTTTTCTAGTACCAGAATCTTAGGTAGTTGCAATAATGTATTGGAGTAAATAACAATCCAGGAATAGCCTTGTACTTGTTTTTCCGGGACCTCTAATTTCCTTAGTATAGTATTTAGAACTAGAGTATAGAGCTGTTGCTGTACAGTATCTACAATCAAACAATTTCTAATTCTCCACAGATCATAGGCTTTATGCTCCAAATTAAGAGGCTGATTGGACAGTGAGTAACATATTTGAACAAATAGACACAAATCTACTCCACAACTTCTTAGTTAAGGGGTGAGTTTTCGGGATTACATCCAAATTACCTGCTTATGCTGACATAATACATCGGAATATTGCCACATATCCACTCCTTTTCTGCTGCATAGGCCAATGAGAATAAACTGGAGCTTCATTTAGACTGGAGGTGAACAGATATGAGAATGCTTTGATGTGTGGATGCCAATTGCATCAGCGGTTATGACAACTAGAAAAGGGCCAAACTTAGCAGAATGATGCTCATCCAGATTTCACGTCACCTACATATTTCTTTGGGAACAACTGTCTATTTGTATCATTTTCAGAATTATTGATTTAGAATCCCTATTTCTGCCTATTTTCTCTCTAGTTATAAGGAAGATCACATAAATATTTCTAATCATTTCTAGCCCTATTCCATAGACTTCAGACCAGGCAATTAACTCTTGTGATTTGATATGTAGATACTTTACTTCTGTTTTCTATTAAAACATATTGGGATTTTAAATCTATTATAGGCAATACAACAACAAACCTAAATATAAAAATATCAACTGTAGTTACTATGGTAATGTTGTAAATCACATCCTATCCAGACTTATGTTGCAATTTATGTTCAGCATAAATAATAAAACTTCAAGTTCCTTTGACCTAATCAGCTACATGCTTTACAAATACTAGTTGAAGATACACAGACAGAAGTCAGCAAATAGTTCATGTGGTAAAAGGAGATAAAATACTTAGACATCTGTTGTTATTTAAAGGATTCTACATTTTAGTTGTTCCCTTGAGCTCTCATGACCCTCAAAAACTTTTCCAGAAATTTAAGAACAATATACTCTTGGAAAAGGTTTTAATCTGCATTTGCATATTGGAATGAAATACAATGATATTTTGAAATTTTTAAAGAAAAAGCCTCCTTTAATCATTTGAGTAAAATGTTCAGTACTACAGGAGAGAGTGAATATTCCCTTTTTTTTAAACTCAGACTCTATCTTCTTATCTGCAAGTACAAATTAGAAGTATAATTAGTACTGTAGATGTAGAGTGGTTAACATTTCTATCAGAGGACTTGTTATACAAGATAAAAAGTATCGATTTTTTTTGTGGGGGGGGGGGTTGTTCTCCTCTCTTGCTCTGTAAGGCACCCTGGAAATGGAGAGTGTGCTGTATTCATACTTTTAGAGTTCAATACATTTTACTGTAGATTTTGCTTTTCAAACATTTTTGGATAAATTCCATCTTAGCACCTAGTATGGGAATTAGTACATAGCAACTACAAAATACTCAACACTTACTAAATGAATGAAACAAGAAGCCATGTAAACAATTCTTGAATATTAATCTGTGCCCCTCAATGAATTAAAAAATATGGAATTTATTTATTCTAGATTTTACAAGATGCATTGACTTTCTGGTAGCCATCTAACATAGGAACTAAATTATCTCCCTTTTTTCATGAAGCACAGAGGTAGAAGAAGATGTAATATAAGTGACTCAAGGCATAGAAGAATATCATGATAGGAAATTTAAAAATTGCAATAAGTTATTGAGGTAAGAAGCTTTTTCTTTAACAAGCATATTCATTCAATCATTAAATGTAATTCCATGTCAGGCAAGAAACCTGAACATTGTCTCTCACTGTTCTCTTTATCCTTTGATTCTATTGTTACCATCCAATACTTAAAGCTCTCACTTGAGCCTGTTAGCAATAAGAAGCACTGACGTTTTCCATGACTTGCAGCTCAAGTTGTCTCTTTGGAAGGTAATCATTTGCAATTATGCAAAAACATTGAAAGGCAAAATCTACGCTCCGATGTTCTGTACAAATTCCATTTAACATGTAATTGCTTATATTGGCAATCTCTGTATTGACTTTCCCCAAGCAGGGCTCAATTAAATGAATCTATCTTTCTTATAAAATGATCACTCAACTCATTTAAGACAATTTTATATTCAACATGCATTTGTATGATTTTCATGACAAATATCTTATCACAACACAATTGTGGGTTTTCATCTGATAATAATTATTCCACTATCTGGCATTGCCTTAAAAATATCAACATATTGTAAAAAACCATCCATCATGCAAGTGGGACCAGGGAATAAATTAGTCAAAATTCTCAGCTAACTGAGTTTCAATTCAGGATACTTCAAGTGCTGTTACTGATAATTTCTCCTAAATCTCCCGTCTAAGATCTCTAATAAGAAAAAGGGAGCATAAGTGCTTATAATTATCTTTGAAAGCCTTTTTAGTCAGAAAAACAACCCTCTTTCAAAAATGGAACCAAAAAACCTTAAGTATATTGGGAAATGTTTTCACAATCTCATTTAAAGAAAAAGCAGTTAAGATGTTTGTTGTTGCATATTTGTGGCTTAGTTGGACTTCTACTTAAAAAAGTAATAAAAATGATTTAATCTTACTTAGTTGCAAAACGAATAGTACCTAATCTCAGTAAAATATCAAATAGAGTTTTAAACTTGTTCTATAACCATTTCTGCACATTAGTCTATGAAATATTGAGATTTTCATTTGGAAGAAAATATTAAATTAATAAAACAATAAATATTTAATACACCATATACTTTCCTCCAAAATGAGAAATTCCAAATCAACTTCCATTCAATTTTGGCTTCTCTTTAACCATATTGACCCTAGTTTGTTTTCATACCTTAAAATAGTGTTGTTTCTGTTTCTATGGGTACCTTTCTTGAACGTATCATCATTAGAATTGCATAATGATTTTCTTGATTGTAGTCATAGTAAAAATCCTCCTTCAATTAGCTTTTACAAACGGGAAAGGACACCCTATTTAATAAATGATACTGGGAAACTTGGCTAGCCAACTGAAGAATGAAACTGGATCCCTATCTCTCACCTCATAAGAAAATCAACTCTAGGAGGATAAAACACTTAAATCTAAGCCCTAACGCCATAAAAATTATTGAAAATAACCTAGAAAAACTCTTCTGGATATTGTCCTGGGCAAAGAATTAATGACTTAAACCCTGAAAGCAAATGCAACAAAAACAGAAATAAATAAGTGGGACCTAATTAAACTAAAAAGCTTTTGTACAGCAAAAGAAATAATCATCAGAGTAAACAGACAACCCACTGAATGAGAGAAAATATTTGCAAACTATGCATCTGACGAAGGACTAATATCCAGAATCTGCAATGAACTCAGATATATTAGCAACAGAAAAACAAATATTCCCATCAAACAGTAGGCAAATGACATGAACAGATACTTCTCAAAATAAGATATAAAAATGGCCAAAAACATACGAGACAATGCTCAATATCACAAGCTGTCAGGCTGATGAGCACAATGAGATACCACCTTGCCCCTACAAGAACGGACATTATTAAAAAGTCAAAAAATAATATATGTTGGCTTGGATGTGGTGAAAAGGGAATGCTTATACACGGCTGGTGAGAATGTAAATTAGTACAACCTCAGTGGAAAGCAGTATGGAGACTTCTTAAAGAACTAAAAGTAGATCTACCACTTGCTCCAGCAATCCCACTACTGGGTATCTACCCAAAGGAAAATAAATCATTATATCAAAAAGACCCCTGCATGCGTATGCTTATTGCAACACAAGTCACAATTGCAAAGATATGGAACCAACCTATGTGCCCATTGACTAATGAGTAGATAAAGAAAATTTTGTATATATACACCATGAAATACTCAGCCATAAAAAAATGAAATAATGTCTTTTGGAGCAACTTGGGCAGATCTGGAGGCCATTATTCTAAATGAAGTAACTCAGGAATGAAAAGCCAAATATGATATGCTCTCACTTATAAGTGGGAGCTAAGCTATTGGTATTCAAAGGCATAAAGAGTGATATAATGGACTATGGAGACTCAGAAAACAGAGGATGGGAGGGAGGCAAAGGATACAAAACTATGTATTGGGTACAACGTACACTACTCAGGTGAAGGGTGCACTAAATTCTCAGACTTCACCACTATACAATTCATCTGTGGAGAAAAAAAAAAAAAAAAACACTTGTAACCCAAAAGCTAATAAAATAAAAAAAAAATTTAAAGAGACAAAATTGAAGACATTATGTAGGTACTTATATAATCAAAGAGCACAAATGTCAAAAAATTTTAGACTCTGTTAGACTTCATATATTATGTCACTAGTTCAATATTTGTTGTCATTTAACTTTAATGCTCTATTCTCATTTACTAAAGTGTTATGTTTGTATATTACGACATTGTGATATTTGAGTTCATGCTAATGAGATGACTCTTGATGGGGCTCCTAGATTGCTTCAGGATGAGGAATGTTTGCCAGAGGAACCAACCAAGTGATGAGAAGCTTGGAATTTTCAGCCCTAATCCTTAACCTTTGGGAATGAGAGAGAGGCTGGAGATTGAATTCAATCACCAATGGCCGATGATTTAGTCAATTGTGCCTATGTAATGAAACCTCCATAAAACTCCTAAATAAAAATGTTCAGAGAGTTTTCTAGTTCACGAACACATCCACATGCCTAGAGGGTAGCACATCTCAAATCATACTGGACAGAAGCTCCTGAACTCAGGACCCTTCCAGACCTTGCCCTATGGAGCTCTTCATCTGGCTGTTAATTTCTATCCTTTATGATAAACCAGTAACCACCTTCCTGGGAGCTACTACTATAGCAAATTATTGAACCCGAGGAGGAGGTAATGGGAACCTCTGATTTGTAGGCAAGGTAGACAGAAGTGTGGGTAACCTGGTGACCCACTATTTGTGACTGGCATCTGAAGTGGAGGGCAGTCTTGTGGGACTGATCTCTTTACCTTTGGTGTCAGCACTGACTCTGGATAGTGTCAGAATTTAATTAAATTGTAGGATACCCACTTGGTGACAGCAGGGAATTGGAGAATTACTTGGTGTAGAAAACCCATACATTTGATGTCAGAAATGTTGTGAATAATTATAGGAGTTATATATAATATATTCTTCCTTTGTCTTACATGACATCCATTCTCTCAAACTCCCCACATACTGAAAACCCTGTTGACTGTCTGCATTAGTTTTCTATTGCTGCATAACAAATTACCCAAATACTTAGCACCTTAAAACATCACATTGTCTTAATCTTATTTTCTTGTGGGCCAGTCATGAGAACAGCTGGCTCAAGGTCTCTCATGATGTTGCAGTCCAGATGTCATCTGCATCTTCAGTTATTTAAAGGCTCGCCTGGGCTGAAGGTTCCACCTCCTCACTGGCTCACCAACATAGTTGTAGAAAGGAAGCCTTAGTTCCTCCGGCTCTTGACAAGTCTTCAGCTCCTATCATATTGGTTTCTCCACAGGATCCCACAAGACAGCCTACTTTCCCTTTAGTGAATAATCTAAAAGGCTGAAAGGCTGCAGGGCATTTTACGATCTACTGTTGGAAGACTAATTCCATTAATTCTTCCATACTCTACTCACTAGAAGCAAGTGGCTAAATAAAACTCCACGTAAGTGGAGTGTGAATTAGACTCCACTTTTGAATGGGGAAGAGGTAGAAAAATTTGTGGACATATTTAAAAAGAAGCATATTCCCCTGCTTCATTTCTCTGCTTTCAAAACCCAACCAAAGGTCACCATGTCTAGGAAGATTCTATGACCACCTCTGCCTGTGACAATTTATCTAATTTTCTAGTCCCTTTCCCTATATTTACCACATAGGAGTTACCAAATGTGGTATAAATGAACTGCTCAATCCACAGACCTAGGTGGTCCGATTCTGCATACTTTAATGAGACTCAGGAATTTGTATTTTTTTTTAAGGTTTTGTTTGATTTCTGTATACAGCCATGTTTATGGATCCCCTGGTAATTAATTATACACAAGAAACTGCAAATTAGCATTAAACATGTCTAAAAGATATTTTTAAAAAGATACTGTTAGAATTTGGACCATATTTTTCCCAGAAAAATCATAAAAACAAGAGTTAGGTGTGGCTGGAATAATATTCTCACATGAAAATTTGTCTGCATATGTAACAAAGTAAATAGCAAATCACGTTCTAGTATGATGACTAGTTTTATTCACATCATATATCTTTATTTACTTTAGACAGATTTCAAAGGAGTATGCCAATTAATTTGTTCTAATAGGCAATGTTGAATGTATGTATATCAATGAGGTAATTTTTGAAATATTGTGGGCTCTTGAGAGTAGTGATAAGGCCATTTTTTAAAGTAAAGATTTATCAGTATTAAAAAATGCACAGAAACAAAGCAACATTCCTACAGGGTTATTCATTGCAGCACTATTTTTGGTAATAAAACACTGGAAAAATCTACATGTCGTTCAAGGTGAGTAAACTATGGTATACCCACACAGTACAGTACTGTGTAGGCATTAAAAAATAAAGAGTATATATGATCTTTATGAACTGATAAAGAGTGATTTCCACTATATAATATCAAATAACAAAGCAAGATTACAGTGTAAAAAGGTATATAGAGTAAACCTTCCATAGAAAAAAGAGAGGAGCTTCAGATTATCATATGCATAATCAGATTTATTTTATGTGTGTTATGCATGTACCTATGCACACTTAAAAAAATTTATTAAGAAACACAAATAACAACACAAAAACTAATTTAAATAGGTACTTGTAGATGGGTCAGTGGGAGGAATGTAGAAGGCAAATGAGGCTCTCAGTTTACCTTTTTATATTGTATTGACTTGGGAACCACATAGATGTTTCACATATTCAAAAACAAAATAAATTTAAGGCAAATGCAAAAAAGAAACTCCTGAAATTGAATACGATGAAAAACAAATTAATATATATGTATAATACAAACACCAGAATAAAAGAAGGTTTCAGGTTATACTTGATCAGAATTCAGTCTCAAAATTAATTAGAAAGAAAGTTTAAACTTTATACAGCAGGTTTTTTGTTGGTAGAGAGAATGAATATATTAATTCTGAAAGTATTTTGTATGAATTAAATGATAGAATAAATGAATAAATATACTGTTGTATTTTGGAGCCAATGTTCTCAATGAGAGAAAAGAGATGCCAATATAGAATTAAGGAAGGGGAGGAAAATCTCTGTGTTATTGCAATAGAATTAGCAGTGATAACATAAATTCACGATTTCTAAACTTTAAACATTTTCTACTTCTTTACACTGAAAGGATTAAATGAAATTGTAACAAGAACATCTAGTTTCCAGAACATGGGTTCTAATAGCATTATCTTTGGGGGTGGGAAGGAGTCAAACCTTGTAGAGAAAGGGCTGGTTTGGAGCCTGGGACACAGAAATTATACACTGAGTCTGAATCAAGGACCAGCGGGAGCATGTTCTAGGAGCATAAGATCTTCTCATCGAAAGACATATGACAAAAATGGATAGGCAAGCCACAGACTGGGGAAAAATATTTCTAATACATATAACCAACAAAGCACTCCACTCTGGTTCATCTGACAAAGAAGTACGCATACCTCTGACTAAGGAACTCCTTCAAATCAGCAATAGGAAAAGGAACAACCCATTAAAAATGAGAAAATAATGTAAACAAATGGTTCAAAAAAGAAGATATATGAATGGCCAGTAACCTCACAAAACAAGGGAGCTCAGCATCATTAGTCAATAGGGTGGTGGAAAATAAAACCACAGGAAGTTACTACCTCATATTTTTTAGGATAGGTTTGTCTGGTAGTCTATAGTGTAACAGTTCATATCTATCTCTTTTCTCTAGATAAGATTGATTTTAGACACACAGATGCTTCTACCAAGGCGTTGTCAGTTAGTCTCATTGCACCACTAGAGAGACACCTAAGGTTAGTTTGTTCTACTGTTGGTGATGCTGTGCTTGATCATTTGAATAAGCTGGTGTCTGGCAGACCTGTGAATTGTAAAAATATCTTTTTTTCTTTGTAAATGTAGTAAAATAGGAAGTATGGATTTTGGTATTACCTTTGTTTTTACTATACTGTACTTAATCATAAATTAATATAATTTAATTTTTAAAAATTATTATGTGTAACAACTGGCTCATAAAATTCCTGAAAATAAACAATTGGCTCTTGTGAGCTATTAATAGTATAAACTTGATCCAGCACGTCACTATGATCATTCAACATAGTCTCAAATATATAAAACATCAAGTTATATAAATACATTGAGAACAACATGCATTCATAATTACAGTTCTATATTTCAGTACACCCCACTTGGAACCTGACTAGACAGAAATATGCAAAGACAGAAAATATGAATAACATGACAAATTATATTATCTAATATGGAGCTAGCGCTATTGGTTGGTAGGTAAATCAGATAGATAGATAGATACAACAGACAAAACACATTATGGGTATTTTTTTTTTTTTAATGGAGGAGTCTCACTCTGCCACCCAGGCTGCAGTGCAGTGGTGCCATCTCGATTCATGCAACCTCCTTCTCCCGGGTTCAAGCGATTCTCCTGCCTCAGCCTCCTGAGTAGCTGGGATTACAGGTGCCCACCACCCTGTCCAGCTAATTTCTGTATTTTTAATAGAGACGGGGTTTCACCATTTGGTAGGCCAGGCTGGTGTCTAGCTCCTGACCGCAAGTGATCTGCCTGCCTGGGCCTCCCAAAGCGCTGCGATTACAGGCGTGAGCCAGCTCGCCCAGTCAACGCATTATGTTTTTAATATTCATGGCCCATTCACAAAATGTCAGGCGTGTACTGGGCCACAAGGAAAGCCTGAGTAAATTTGAAAGACTCCAACGTGGCACAAAACAGCTACAAATAAACCACCACCATTGATTATGTTCTTTTACCAAATTGCAGTGAGATTAAAAAACAACAAAAGGATAGCTAAAATTAGATATGAAAATAGAAAAAAATGATATTATAAAATGATCCTTGAAGAGAGAAATCACAACTTATTTAAGGCTGAATGAAGACACAGACTAGATAAGTAAGGAATATGGCTAAATTAGTAGCACCTGTGAGTGGTAATAGTCGTTCTGACTACATTTTACAGTAAAGAAGAAAGTCTGAGACTTAATTTTCAGTCGTAAAATGCATTAAATTGTCAGTTTCTAATATCAAAAGAAAAACAATAGGGAAACAATCGAAAAACAATATAAAAGAAAGCAAAAAATAAGGTTAAATAAAACATTTTAAAACAATAAAGTCAAAACCTAATGTCATAGCTTATAATAACACAAAAAGAATAAATGGTTATGCATACTATATAATAGACAAATCTCTGACATGACTAAACAAGGAAAAAGAAAGAAAAGAACACAAAGAACAGAAAGAAAATAAAACATATATAGATTTAAAATTTAAAATATTATGAATAATTGTACAGCCACAAATTTTAACATCTAAGATAAATATACAACTTTCTAAAAAAAGTATTAAATTCCACTTTAAGATCCAAAATAAATAAAATCTTGAACAGATCCCAAGCTGTTGAAGACACTGCAGTGATATTCTAAAATTCCTTTATTGAAAAATCATTAAGCTCAGATGGCTTCACAAACGATCACTGCCAAAATTCCAGGACCCTGTCTTAATGAGTTGTTTCTGAATATAGAAGAAGATGGAATGTTTATTAATTTATTTGATGAGGTCACTATAGCTCTAGTACCAAACTGAGATAAGAACAGTCTAAGATAATTGAATTAAAGGTCAATTTCATTATAAACATCAATTAAAAAATTAAATATATTATTGGCTGCCATATGTCTCTATATCATTGACTTAGTTTGCAGCATTAATAACTCTGTTCAAACCTGACTCCAATGGTGTCTTAAGTCCGTTTATATGTTTTTAGTTTTCTTGCAAGTATTTCTTCTTACAAGGACCTTCCTTTTCATCTTATGAAGTTGCATTTTCATATCATAATCTATTATCTCATTTGGCTTTCTGCTTCTGCTTTAGAAATTATGTCTTTTGAATCATATTAAAGGTATCAAGCCATATTTAAATTTTTTTTCATTTCCTAATAATCACCCCCTAATAGTTCACTCACAAAAATTACATTAGTAACTTGAAAGACTGGCCCATAGAAAATAATGTAACAAAGTAGATGGATTTGTTCCAAGAATTTCTTCATGCTAAACACCATATAAGAATATCCTTATAGGCCAGGTTTAGTGACTCAGGCCTGTAATCCCAGCACTTTGTGAGGCCGAGGCGGGGGGATTGCTTGAGCTCAGGAGTTCCAGACAAGCTTAGGCAACATGGCAAAACTGTCTCTACAAAAAAATACAAAATTAGCTGGGCATCGTGGTGCACACCTGTAGTCCCAGCTACCTGGGAGGCTGATGTGGGAGGATTGCTTGAGCCTGGGAGGCGGAGGTTACAGGAAGCTGAGATCGCACCACTGCCCTCCAGCCTGGGCGACAGAGCTAGACACTGACAAAAAAAAAAAAAAAAAAAAAAATATATATATATATATATATATGTGTGTGTGTGTGTGTGTGTGTGTGTATATATATATGTGTGTATATATATGTATATATATCCTTACAGAATATAACTTTATATTTGGAAAGCATATAGTTAAATAACATTAATAATAATGTGCTAATGATTATTATTACTAAAATGTAAAAAAACCAAGCATCACTTTTAGAGTACTTAATGTGTTTCAGAAATGGCTTTGTTTGATATTGATGTTGTCTTTGTGTTGCCCTAACAGAATACATGAGAATACATGAGTTCATGTAATTTCTAAAGAAAAGATATTTACGTGGGTCACAATTCTGAAGTCTGGGAAGGCTAAGAAGCATGGAACAACATGTGTTCAGCTTCTGGCAGGGACCTTGTGCTGTCACACAATGTGGTGGAGGAGCTACAGGAGAAGGGGAGTGTGTAACAACCTGCTTAGTAACAAGCCACTTTTTCTGGAACTATTCCATTCCTGCAAGAACTAACCAGTCTTGTGGAAAATACATTGATCTATTTTAACGACCTAATCACTTCTGAAAGGCACCACCTCCCAAGACCAGCATACTGCCAATTAAATTTCAACATAAGTTTTGGCAGACACAAACCACATCCAAACCATAGCACATATTATACATGAGAAAATTGGAATGTGTTCCAAATCAGGCAACTAGTTAGTGGAAGAGCCAAAATTTAGATTCGTTCAGATATTCCTGACTTCATACTCTGTCTTATCAAATACTTGGCCCCAAGGTAGTACTGGATATTATAAGATCCTACCCTCTATAGTATATAGAGCACAGGAGTTCCAGACCAGCTTGGGCGACATCAGTTCACAGTTTT
This sequence comes from Homo sapiens, assembly GCF_000001405.40. NCBI lineage: Eukaryota > Metazoa > Chordata > Mammalia > Primates > Hominidae > Homo > Homo sapiens. The sequence continues at coordinate 1,485,150 of NC_000003.12, read as the reverse complement.
AGGATCTGTTCAGTTTCAGTTATGTCTGTCTGTCTATCTGTCTATCTATCTATCTATCTATCTATCTATCTATCTATCTATCATCTATCAATGTGTGTGTGTGTGTATGTGTGTGTGTATCATTTATTTAGTACTCTCCTTTTTCTCAAAAGCCTTTGGCAATTTTGAAAATAAAACCTAAGAATTTAACTTATTTTTTCTTTAGGTTAAAAATGTATATGCCTGTTGAAACAGATTCCCTGTGGTAGAATGTATAACATAGAAATAAAAATGGACATGAAAGATAACATTACACTGATATTGATTTAAATATTGTATGTAGTAGTGAAAACATGACACAACTTAAATATCTATAGAAGACAAATTAAATTATTTTAATACTGTCAATGGAAAACTATAAAATCATTAAAACTGATATTGTAGAACACAGCAACATGAAAAGGTGTTAATAAACAATCAAGTTATTGTTTCTGTTTAAAAAATTTTTTTTCCTGAATTGTAAACTTAAAAATGGTGACTTTTATGGCATGTGAATTACATGTCAATAAAAATTTTTATTTTTAATTACAACTATGCATTGTTCTGTGGCACAAATTAAAAGAAAGGGACACTTGGTTGACATATTTCTTTTCCTACCTGTAAACAATCAAACACATCCTTCTCTCCACTACTGAAAAGGATTAAACCAACATCAACCCAAATTCCCATGTTTTATTCTTTTAGTTTTGTGCACAGATCATGTTCTATGCCTAAAATAACAAAATACACCAAAATATAAACATGGGCTACCTATTTGTAGAGGGATCATGAATGAGTCTCATATTTTATATTTACACTTAAATTTACCTTCCAATTTTTCAATGTTAAGTGTTTCTTTCTCATGAAATAAGAAATATAAGCCAGACACTGTGGCTCACACCTGCAATCCCAGCACTTTGGGAGGCCAAGGTGGGATGATTGCTTGAGGTCAGGAGTTCGAGACCAGCCTGGGCAACATTGTGAGACCTTCTTCTCTACAAAAAATTTGAAAACAATTAGCCAGGCTGGTGACATGCACCCATAGTCCCAGCTATTCTGGAAGCTGAGTTGTGAGGATCACTTGAGCCCAGAGGTTGAGGCTGCAGTGAGCTGTGATTGTGCCAGTGCACTACAGCCTCGGGGATAGATTGAAACTGTCTCAAATATATATATGTATATTATATACATCACATATATATATCTAATTTTAATATATATATATATTTATACCTTGTAATGGCTAATTCTTCTCAACAGAGATGCTAACACTGTTGAAAGCAGGGGTTCTCAACTAAGGAGGTTTTTGTTATTTGTTAATTTTTAAACACAGATTTCTAAAGCTTTGCATAAAATAATCTGGCAATACCTGACTATTTGTATTAGTGGGCCCTTAATGTGCTGTTTGGTCCAGGCTTTGCTAAGCATGGTGAGAGGATGTGGGCTGTGAATGTGGGAGGGACCAAATGTGGATTACCATAATCAGCAAGGATGCATTTTCTTTTTTTTCTTTTTTCTTTTTATTATACTTTAAGTTCTAGGGTACATGTGCACAACGTGCAGGTTTGTTACATATTTATACATGTGCCATGTTGGTATGCTGCACCAATTAACTCGTCATTTACATTAGATATATCTCCTAATGCTATCCCTCCCCCCTCCCCCAACCCCACAACAGGCCCCGGTATGTGATGTTCCCCATCCTGTGTCCAAGGGTTCTCATTGTTCAATTCCCACCTATGAGTGAGAACATGTGGTGTTTGGTTTTCCGTCCTTGCGATAGTTTGCTGAGAATGATGGTTTCCAGCTTCATCCATGTCCCTACAAAGGACATGAACTCATCTTTTTATGGCTGCAGAGTATTCCATGGTGTATATGTGCCACATTTTCTTAATCCAGTCAGTCATTGATGGACATTTGGGTTGGTTCCAAGTTTTTGCTATTGTGAATAGTGCCGCAATGAACATACGTGTGCATGTGTCTTTATAGCAGCATGATTTATATTCCTTTGGGTATATACCCAGTAAAGGGATGGCTGGGTCAAATGGTATTTCTAGTTCTAGATCCCTGAGGAATCGCCACACTGACTTCCATAATGGTTGAACTAGTTTACAGTCCCACCAACAGTGTAAAAGTGTTCCTATTTCTCCACATCCTCTCCAGCACCTGTTGTTTCCTGACTTTTTAATGATTGCCATTCTAACTGGTGTGAGACGGTATCTCATTGTGGTTTTGATTTGCATTTCTCTGATGGCCAGTGATGATGAGCATTTTTTCATGTGTCTGTTGGCTGCATAAATGTCTTCTTTTGAGAAGTGTCTGTTCATATCCTTCGCCCACTTGTTGATGTGGTTGTTTTTTTTTTCTTGTAAATTTGTTTGAGTTCTTTGTAGATTCTGGATATTAGCCCTTTGTCAGAAGAGTAGATTGCAAAAATTTTCTCCCATTCTGTAGGTTGCCTGTTCACTCTGATGGTAGTTACTTTTGCTGTGCAGAAGCTCTTTAGTTTAATTAGATCCCATTTGTCAATTTTGGCTTTTGTTGCCATTGCTTTTGGTGTTTTAGACATGAAGTCCTTGCCCATGCCTATGTTCTGAATGGTATTGCCTAGGTTTTCTTCTAGGGTTTTTATGGTTTTAGGTCTGACATTTAAGTCTTTAATCCATCTTGAATTAATTTTTGTATAAGGTGTAAGGAAGGGATCCAGTTTCAGCTTTCTACATATGGGTAGCCAGTTTTCCCAGCACCATTTATTAAATAGGGAATCCTTTTCCCATTTCTTGTTTTTGTCAGGTTTGTCAAAGATCAGATGGTTGTAGATGTGTGGTATTATTTCTGAGGGCTCTATTCTGTTCCATTGGTCTATATCTCTGTTTTGGTACCAGTACCATGCTGTTTTGGTTACTGTAGCCTTGTAGTATAGTTTGAAGTCAGGTAGCGTGATGCCTCCAGCTTTATTCTTTAGGCTTAGGATTGACTTGGCAATGCGGGCTCTTTTTTGGTTCCGTATGAACTTTAAAGTAGTTTTTTCCAATTCTGTGAAGAAAGTCACTGGTAGCTTGATGGTGATGGCATTGTATCTATACATTACCTTGGGCAGTATGGCCATTTTCACAATATTGATTCTTCCTGTCCATGAGCATGGAATGTTCTTCCATTTGTTTATGTCCTCTTTTATTTCGTTGAGCAGTGGTTTGTAGTTCTCCTTGAAGAGTTCCTTCACATCCCTTGTAAGTTGGATTCCTAGGTATTTTATTCTCTTTGAAGCAATTGTGAATGGGGGTTCACTCATGATTTGGCTCTCTGTTTGTCTGTCATTGGTTTATAAGAATGCTTGTGATTTTTTCGCATTGATTTTGTATCCTGAGATTTTGCTGAAGTTGCTTATCAGCCTAAGGAGATTTTGGACTGAGACGACGGGGTTTTCTAGATATATAATCATGTCATCTGCAAAGAGGGACAATTTGACTTCCTCTTTTCCTGATTGAATACCCTGTATTTCTTTCTCTTGCCTAATTGCCCTGGCCAGAACTTCCAACACTATGTTGAATAGGAGTGGTGAGAGAGGGCATCCCTGTCTTGTGCCAGTTTTCAAAGGGAATGCTTCCAGTTTTCACCCATTCAGTATGATACTGGCTGTGGGTTTGTCATAGATAGCTCCTATTATTTTGAGATACATCCCATCAATACCTAATTTATTGAGAGTTTTTAGTGTGAAGGGCTGTAGAATTTTGTTGAAGGCCTTTTCTGCATCTATTGAGATAATCATGTGTTTTTTTCCTTTGGTTCTGTTTATATGCTGGATTATGTTTATTGATTTGTGTAGTCTGAACCAGCCTTGCATCCCAGGGATGAAGCCCACTTGATCATGGTGGATAAGCTTTTTGATGTGTTGCTGGATTCGGTGTGCCAGTATTTTATTGAGGATTTTTGCATCAATGTTCATCAGTGATATTGGTTTAAAATTCTGTTTTTTTGTTGTGTCTCTGCCAGGCCTTGGTATCAGGATGATGCTGGCCTCATAAAATGAGTTAGGGAGGATTCCCTCTTTTTCTATTGATTGGAATAGTTTCAGAAGGAATGGTACCAGCTCCTCCTTGTACCTCTGGTAGAATTCGGCTGTGAATCCATCTGGTCCTGGACTCTTTTTGGTTGGTAAGCTATTAATTATTGCCTCAATTTCAGAGCCTGTTATTGGTCTATTCAGAAATTCAACTTCTTCGTGGTTTAGTCTTGAGAAGGTGCATGTGTCCAAGAATTTATCTCTTTCTTCTAGATTTTCTAGTTTATTTGTGTAGAGGTGTTTATAGTATTCTCTGATGGTAGTTTGTGTTTCTGTGGGATCGGTGGTGATATCCCCTTGATCATTTTTTATTGCATCTATTTGATTCTTCTCTCTTTTATTCTTTATTAGTTTTGCTAGCAGTCTATCAGTTTTGTTCATCTTTTCAAAAAACCGGCTCCTGGATTCATTGATTTTTTTGAAGGGTTTTTTGTGTCTCTATCTCCTTCAGTTCTGCTCTGATCTTAGTTATTTCTTGCCTTCTGCTAGCTTTTGAATGTGTTTGCTCTTGCTTCTCTAGTTCTTTTAATTGTGATGTTAGGGTGTCAATTTTAGATCTTTCTTGCTTTGCCTTGTGGGCATTTAGTGCTATAAATTTCCCTCTATACACTGCTTTAAATGTGTCTCAGAGATTCTGGTATGTTGTGTCTTTGTTCTCCTTGGTTTCCAAGAACATCTTTATTTCTGCCTTCATTTCTGTATGTACCCAGTAGTCATTCAGGAGCAGGTTGTTCAGTTTCCATGTAGTTGAGCAGTTTTGAGTGGGTTTCTTAATCCTGAGTTCTAATTTGATTGCACTGTGGTCTGAGAGACAGTTTGTTATAATTTCTGTTCTTTTACATTACTGAGGAGTGCTTTACTTCCAACTATGTGGTCAATTTTGGAATAAGTGTGATGTTGTGCTGAGAAGAATGTATATTCTGTTGATTTGGGGTGGAGACTTCTGTAACTATCTATTAGGTCCACTTGGTGCAGAGCTGAGTTCAATTCCTGGATATCCTTGTTAACTTTCTGTCTCGTTGATCTGTCTAATGTTGACAGTGGGGTGTTAAAGTCTCCCATTATTATTGTGTGGGAGTCTACGTCTCTTTGTAGGTCTGTAAGGACTTGCTTTATGAATCTGGGTGCTCCTGTATTGGGTGCATATATAGTTAGGATAGTTAGCTCTTCTTGTTGAATTGATCCCTTTACCATTATGTAATGGCCTTCTTTGTCTCTTTTGATCTTTGTTAGTTTAAAGTCTGTTTTATCAGAGACTAGGATTGAAACCCCTGCCTACTTTTGTTTTCCATTTGCTTAGTAGATCTTCTTCCATCCCTTTATTTTGAGCCTATATGTGTCTCTGCATGTGAGGTGGGTCTCCTGAATACAGCACACTGATGGGTCTTGACTCTTTATCCAATTTGCCAGTCTGTGTCTTTTAATTGGAGCATCTAGGTCATTTAAATTTAAGTTTAATATTGTTATGTGTGAATTTGATCCTGTCATTATGATGTTAGCTGGTTATTTTGCTCGTTAGTTGATGCAGTTTCTTCCTAGCCTCAATGGTCTTTACAATTTGGCATGTTTTTGCAGTGGCTGGTACCAGTCATTCCTTCCCATGTTTAGTGCTTCCTTCAGGAGCTCTTTTAGGGTAGGCCTGGTGGTGACAAAATCTCTCAGCATTTGCTTGTCTGTAAAGGATTTTATTTCTCCTTCACTTATGAAGCTTAGTTTGGCTGGATATGAAATTCTGGGTTGAAAATTCTTTTCTTTAAGAATGTTGAATATTGGCCCCCACTCTCTTCTGGCTTGTAGAGTTTCTGCCGAGAGATCCGCTGTTAGTCTGATGGGCTTCCCTTTGTGGGTAACCTGACCTTTCTCTCTGTCTGCCCTTAGCATTTTTTCCCTCATTTCAACTTTGGTGAATCTTACAATTATGTGTCTTGGAGTTGTTCTTCCCGAGGAGTATCTTTGTGGTGTTCTCTGTATTTCCTGAATTTGAATTTTGGCCTGCCTTTCTGGGTTGGGGAAGTTCTCCTGGATAATATCCTGCAGAGTGTTTTTCAACTTGGTTCCTCTCCCCGTCACTTTCAGGTACACCAATCAGACGTACATTTGGTCTTTTCACCTAGTCCCATATTTCTTGGAGGCTTTGATTGTTTTTACTCTTTTTTCTCTGAACTTCTCTTCTCACTTCATTTCATTCATTTGATCTTCAATCACTGATACCCTCTATTCTAGTTGATGAAATCAGCTACTGAAGCTTGTGCATTTGCCGCATAGTTCTCATGCCATGGTTTTCAGCTCCATCAGGTCATTTAAGGACTTCTCTACACTGGTTATTCTAGTGAGCCATTCATCTAATTTTTTTTTCAAGGTTTTTAGCTTCTTTGCAATGAGTTCAGACTTTCTCCTTTAGCTCAGAGAAGTTTGATAGTCTGAAGCCTTCTTCTCTCAACTCATCAAAGTCATTCTCCATCCAGCTTTGTTCCATTGCTGATGAGGAGCTGCATTCCTTTGGAGGAGGAGAGGCGCTCTGATTTTTAGAATTTTCAGTTTTTCTGCTCTGTTTTTTCCCCATCTTTGTGGTTTTATCTACCGTTGGTCTTTGATGATGGTGACGTACAGATGGAGTTTTGTTGTGGATGTCCTTTCTGTTTGTTAGTTTTCCTTCTAACAGTCAGGACCCTCAGCTGCAGGTCTGTTGGAGTTTGCTGGAGGTCCATTCCAGACCGTGTTTGCCTGGGTATCAGCAGCGGAGGCTGCAGAACAGTGAATATTGCTGAACAGCAAATGTTGCTGCCTGATCATTCCTCTGGAAGTTTCATCTCAGAGGGGTACCCAGCCGTGTAAGGTGTCAGTCTGCCCCTACTGGGGGGTTCCTCCCAGTTAGGCTACTCGGGGGTCACGGACCCACTTGAGGAGGCAGTCTGTCCATTCTCAGATCTCAAACTCGGTGCTGGGAGAACCACTACTCTCTTCAAAGCTGTCAGACAGGGACATTTAAGTCTGCAGAGGTTTCTGCTGCCTTTTGTTCGGCTATGCCCTGCCTCCAGAGGTGCAGTCTACAGAGGCAGGCAGGCCTCCTTCAGCTGTGGTGAGGTCCACCCAGTTCAAGCTTCCCAGCCGCTTTGTTCACCTACTCAAGCCTCAGCAATGGCGGGCATCCCTCCCCCAGCCTTGCTGCCGCCTTGCAGTTCAATCTGAGACTGCTGTGCTAGCAACGAGCGAGGCTCCGTGGGTGGGGAACCCTCCAAGCCAGGCATGCGACATAATCTCCTGGTGTGCCGTTTGCTAAGATGATTGGAAAAGTGCGGTATTAGGGTGGGAGTGCCCTGATCTTCCAGGTGCTGTCTGTCACAGCTTCGCTTGGCTAGGAAACGGAATTCCCTGACCCCTTGTGCTTCCTGTGTGAGGCGATGCCTCACCCTGCTTCGGCTCACTCTCAGTGCACTGCACCCACTGTCCTGCACCCACTGTCCCACAAGCCCCAGTGAGATGAACCCGGTACCTCAGTTGGAAATGCAGAAATCACCCGTCTTCTGTGTCACTCACGCTGGGAGCTTTAGACTGGAGCTGTTCCTATTCGGCCATCTTGGAACCCAAGGATGCATTTTCATAATTGCCACACCAAAGTGTGCTGCTTGACTTTCCCTTCCAGTTTTATTTGCAATAAATAATACATATGATTTGTTCTTATTTGGTCTGGTTTTCTGAATTCTGTTGGGCAAGTGAAAACAAGGGGACAGTCAGTGAATTATTTCTTCTTCCTATTTGAAAGTAATCAAATGTATTTTACACCCATCTGCAAAATGAGAACTAAATGACATAAACATAGGATTGATGTGAGGATGTTATCAAGTGAAGTATATATAAAAACATTATAAATTTTAGCATATCTAATGGACATCCAAAATAAAAATTCTGTAAATATGAAAAGGTATTCTTAAATACTTTGTTCCGTTATAAACTTTACTAGTTCCTAATGAAGTAAACATCCCTCAAATGTCAGCCAGAAATGACTTATGTGTTCATATCTTGAAATTATTATATTTTGCCTTGCTTATATTGATGGTCATAAAGCCTTGTGGATTGGGTGTGCTAGTGGGTGTTAGGATTATCTTCCTGGCAGTAGACTCATTAGCTAGATAGCAACATTGGCCAATGCGTTCAACATTGCCTAAAATACTTTAGATCCCCAGGCCTACTTCACAGTTACAGAATTAATATGTCAGGGGGATTCTTAGTTTACATCAGGAAAATTTCGGGAACATTTGTTCAGGGTTTTAAAAGATTGGCCCTGGAGTCAAAGGAACAGATTAAATGAGACTTTCTGTTCCACTTCTTGGTTTTTTGTTTTTGAGGTTTTGTTATTTTTTTGAGTCAGGGTCTCACCCTGTCACGCAGGCTGCAGTGCAGTGGCATGATCTTTGCTCATTGCAACCTCCGTGTCCCAGGCTCAATTGATCCTCCCACTTCAGCCTCCAGAGTAGCAGGGACTATAGGGGCACACCACCATGCCTGGCTAATTTCTGTATTTTTTGTAGAGATAGGGTTTCACCATGTTGCCCAGGCTGGTCTTGAACTCTTGGCCTCAATCCAGATCCTCCTGCCTTGGTCTCCCAAAGTACTGGGATTACAGATATGAGCCATCATGCCTGGCTTCCACTTTATTTCAGACATTTACATTCTCTGAGCATCAGTTGCTTCCTTTCTAATATGAAAACTCAAAAGAAGCTAGGTGACTGGATAATTATGAGGATGGAATTAATATACATAAAGCACTTAGGATAGTACCTAGCATAAACTATTTTCAATCAGTCTTTGCTACTTTCATTGTTGTTATTATTACTTTTTCAGTGGGTAAAGGAAGAGTATTGCACCATTTTTCTTCTCTCAGTAGGTGTTCTGTACAAAGTGCTCCATAGTGATGATGACAACTAAAGTTCCTCTGTCTGTATAAGTCTTGTCATTTAGGATACCCCGTGAAAAATGTCCAAATGTTTGACTCTCCTCCACAAATTAACTTTTTTATGCTTATATCTTTAAGAGTTTCTGCAATTAAGATTGTTTAGTGGTTGGTCCTTAAATTATATCTAATGAAGGCTTTACTGTATCTCAAATTCATCTGCAGAATCATTTAAAATTCACAAAGCCTTGCATTATCACACATCAAATGTCACAGTCTGGCAGTTAATCTTATTGAAAGGTTAGTTATGTGTGGCACCTGCAGAGGTGTCTGAACTGAAGATTCCCAGGATTTGATACTAAAATGGGGATGAAGGTAAAATTAAATTGAGGATTGGGAAGGCAGCTGTGTATTAACTGGGTTTTGGGTATCTCAGTGTCTGCAAACGTCCAGCCTGTTTTTCAACTGGTTTTTGATGACAAAGACGACAACATATATAACAAACACTAAACTTCTCTTTTAAAAATGAAATAGATTGTAGATTTTTTCTTTCTATGTAATTCTATAATAAAACAAAATTATTTTAAAGGTATTTGATCATAAAGTATTTGACTTTTAGTTATCTACTAAATTTAGGATTTTTAGAATGATGAATGCCATACAGTCTCAATTACTATGTCTAAATTATTTTCAGTATGCAGAAAATTACCTTTCAGTGTACAGAAGAATTTAAATCTTCGTCTAGTCCCACTATGCATAATGTCTATGGTCAATTTCTGCAAGGCTGTGTGCTCTGGGAATGCAATCTTTAATATTTAACTCATTCTAAATATAATTAGCAAGGACAGACTGCTGGGAAAAGGGAAAAAGAACACACCCTCTTTTGGATTACACACTTTTTGATTATTTCTTAGACACAGATGTCTAGAAGGACAAGGCAGGTAACAAAACTGAGTGCAAATATTTTCTCCCACTCTGTGGGTTATCTGTTTACCATGACGATTATTTCTTTTACTGTGCAGAAGCTTTTTAGTTTAATTAGGCCCCATCTATTTATTTTTGTTTCTGTTGCATTTGTTTTTATGTTCTTGGTCATAAATTCTTTGCCTAAGCCAATGTTTAGAAGAGTTTTTCTGACATTGTCTTTTAGATTTTTTTGTTTTGTTTTGTTTTGTTTCAGGTCTTGGATTTAAGTCTTTGATCTATCTTGAGTAGATTTTTGTATAAGGTGAGAGATGAGGATCCAGTTTCATTCTCCTACATGTGGCTTGCCAATTATCCCAGCATCATTTGTTGATTAGGGTGTCCTTTCCTCACTCTACGTTTTTGTTTACTTTGTCGAAGATCAGTTGGCTGTAAGTATTTGGCTTTATTTCTGGATTCTCTATTCTGCTTCTATTGTTCTATGTGCCTATTTTTATACCAGTACCATGCTGTTTTGGTGTCTATAGCCTTATAATATTAGCATGAAGTTGGATAATGTGATACCTCCAGATTTGTTCTTTTTGCTTAGTCTTGCTTTTGCTATGCAGGCTCTTTTTTTTTTTTTTTTTGTTCCGTATAAATTTTAGGATTGTTTCTTCTAGTTCTGTGAAGAATGATGATGGTATTTTGAAGGGAATTGAATTTGTAGATTATTTTTGGCAGTATGGTCATTTTCACTATATTGATTCTACCCATCCATGAGCATGGGATATGTTTCCTTTTATCTGTGTTATCTGTGAGTGCAAGAGACCAGCTCAGATGTGCATGTCTGATTCAATGGGGCTGGCAGAACCTTTACCCCTACCCACTTCAATTCATGGTCGACTAGTAAGAGTGCTAGGCCAGTACTGTTAGTGCTCCTTATAGTGACTCATTTTCTTAAAGACTGACCATGCCGGCCAAACCAAAGCTATCTGCAGATGGTACGTGGCCAGACGTTATTCGTTTATTACTTCTGTCAGATATAGTGAGGGCTAATCATATGGCAGATGCTTGAATTTAGTAAAAAAATATGCTCAGAGCCTTTACGAAACTATTGTTTTATAAATACTACTACAGCACAGTGTTCTCTTGGAGTTTATGTATTATCAACATAGGTACTTTTATTACTTCCTAATAATGCTGCTTCTCTCCTTATGTGACAGCAAGTAGTCACTAACATCATGTACGACAGATATCTGGAAATAGGGGGTTTAACTCAGCATTTTCCAGGGGAATAGTACAGAGAGGAATCACAGGTGTTCCTGTTTAATTTCATCAAGGTTAAGGGTGTATTTGGGGAGTGGGCATTGTGTGATTTTCCTTCCATACCAATGCTCCTCCCACCACTCCCCCACCGCTCCCACCCTCCCCAACCCCCACCCAGCCTAAGCGTCTTAAGCAGTCTGTTTCAAATGCCCTAGGGCACTGGGTAGGAAAGTTATCTAATATTTTGGTGTTGGTATTATTTGTAAAGATGGTGCAAGGGGGCAACATTTCTGCTAAAAGATCAACATACAAGCAACTTTTACAGATATTCTCTCCCCAGAAACACAGTAAAGTGTGGCTAATATAGCTTTTTGGTTGGCACAATGTGTAGAATTCAGTAACATTGTGATTGACTGACATTTTGCAGTAGGTTCAGCTCCCACTGTCATCCCAGACCCCGGTTGTGGAATCAGTCACTTGCTCAAGCACCAGTTGAATGGTCTGGACTAGACTCCTCCAAGATTTCTCCAGATTCAAGATGCTTTATAAGCACCCTCTTCACATACCTCCTTTTCTTAGTTTGTCCAGCAAGAAATGTCCCTTCTGTCTGCTTTCCAAGGTATTTATGGATACTCTTTATGTCCTTCTAAATCAGGGCCTTCCAATTTGGAGAAAAAAATGTGTGCAAGCATGTATGTGTGCTGGAGGTGAGTTGGGTGGATATTTGTTAATGGAGCCATCAGGATGAGCCACTCAGACATTTCAAGACAGCTTGCTATGGAGAGCCCAGTTGACTAAGAGCTCAAGCTGCTACTCCAGAGAATGTGGAGGCCTCAACTCCCACGCACTTCAGCCAGCCAGTGACTGAGGAGAGTGAGGGCACCAGTGCCAGCCCATTCCTGCCCAGTGAAGGATTCTGCATAGGTAGCTTGTTCGGGGATCTCGTCATTGGCTTGGGAGAGAAGTTTTCAAACCTGAGCTGTGGTCTGAGACTCTTTCTGCCCAATTCTTCTTTTCTTTCCCCTTCCCAGGTGTCAAACCTAACTTGTGGTATAAAGACTCTCCCTGCTTACTCCTTCTCTTTCTCCGTTTCTCCTTCACAGGTCTATTCCCTCCAGTAAATTTCTTGAATGAAGTGTCTGCTTCTTGCAAGAACTGAGCTGACATACGTGTATACTGCATGGGTGGGTGTGTGTGTGTGTGTGTGTGTGTGTGTGTGTATATATACCATACATACATATACACACATGTAAATATATATACATACAGATACACATACATATGGAAATATACATACATATATACACACATACATACATATATAAATATAAATACATATACATAGCTATATACATATACATAGAATTAACAAACAGAAGAAAAGAATATCAGCAAAATGTGGAAATTGCATTAATTGGTATTTGACTTTCTCAGTATGTTAATATTTTGAAGTAATCTGAGACAGGCTTTTCCAGAATTAAAAAAGAAAACCTTCAGGAAAGAGAAAATACTGCATAAGTGATTTCCATTTGTGCCAACTGTGGCTGTTTAGTGGCTTCGAGAACCACTAAACTTTCCACAATTTCTCTGCTAAAACTGCACATGCAAATGAATCTGCAAAGACATTTCTCTCTGTTTAGAAAAAAATTGATTTATGCAGAGGTCTATGTTGTTTATTTCGATAAAACTGGTCTCAATTGGAAGTAAATGTCTCCAAAGAAATTTATCTTGGAGAAAGAGGTATGAACTTTATATTATAAAAATTTGATCAACTATCATGTTAGGTGCCAAGGTCAGTGGAAATTTCACTACATTAATATTTACTTACGTTAGGATTATTTTTATTTTTATTAGTTCTTTGATTACAAAGTTACGTAGGTTTTTACTGTTCCATCTTATTCTTTCAAAAAATCTTATTATTTTAGGGGGTGATTCTGTAGAACAGGAGGCTTTCCTACATTGTGGAAGAAACTCCAGTTTATATCTATAAAGATATAAATGTGTTCATTCTTTTTAGAGAGCCAGGGTCTGGCAAATTAAAAGCTTTGTTTCACAAAGATTGCCCTCAAAAGGAGCTTCAAGGGCCTATTCTGGAGCTCAGAAACTGAGCACTGACTCTTTCTTTCATTTATGTTCTAACAATCTGCCTTTCCCAGTCAGGCAATGGATAATCCAGGCTGAAGTCAGGAAAGGCCAGTATTAACAGTGCAAAGAAGAAGTAGAATAAGTATGTTTGAAGGTACGCCTTAGTGTAGGTTTATTGCTGCTGCTCGCTAGTCACTATCTAAGTGGGATTCACTCCTTACCCTGCACACAGGGTTTCAATTCACGCAGCAGAAAGAAGAAAGAATATACTCACAGGTCACAGACTTTCAGAATCATTTGGCAAGTTGAAACAGTAAGTGAACACCCCTGCTCTGCTGTTTTAATTAGACAGGAAAAACCTTAGACATAAATGTGACAATGTATTTTATCAAGTGCTCTTCACTACATCTTCACTGATGCAAAATATTTTCTCCAGCCACTTAAATGAAAATTCTTCCCTAGGAAATTTTCATTCTGATTACCTAAGAGAAGTACCAAAGTGTAAATATATTTTCAGTTTGCAGAAACAAATGAACATCATTTATGGATTCATAAGTCATCATGTAAGCTGCACGTTATCTCTAGGAGGGAAAGATGAGGTGCAACTTCATAGAATTAAAGTCCAGTGGCGAAAAATAGAATTTTCCCAAATCCTACAACACAAGAGATGTAAGAAGCAAATATTATATGACGTGAGGGATTTGGAGAAAATTTAAGTAAGCATTTCCTGATATAAGAGTCCTGAAATATTACAACATTAAAAAGGATTAAAGAATCAAAGTCAAATATCACACAGTGTTTAGAGTTAGTAAGATGATGCAAGGAGAAGGAGAATAGTCACGGCTAACATGGCCTCGTACCTCATAAATCTTATCCGACCGTATTGATTGGCTAAGATTTCTCAAGATCTCTGCTGTCCAATTCTTTTCATGAACTGTTTGTTTCATTATTTTATATTTGCCTTTTCACATGATTAAGAAAACAGAAAAATTAAAGATGAAATTCTTCTCCATCAGTTATTGTGTAACAGTTCACAGTGCTAGGCAGTAGAATCAGTGGGAAAGAGAAAAATACGGATGTGATGGGACCTTACCCCAGACACTGAATCAGCTTTTCTGGGTGTGGAGCCCAGGCATCTTTAATTCACTAAGTATTTATTATTATTATTATTTTTTTTTGAGACGGAGTCTTACACTGTCGCCTAGGTTGGAGTGCAATGGTGCAATCTCAGCTCACTGCAACCTCCGCCACCTGGGCTCAAGTGATTCTCCTCCCTCAGCCTCCGGAGTAGCTGGGATTACAGGCATGCGCCACTGTGCCCAGCTACTTTTTGAATTTAGTAGAGATGGGGTTTCACCATGTTGCCTAGGCTGGTCTTGAACTCCTGACCTCAGGTGATCCATCCACCTTGGCCTCCCAAAGTTCACTAAGTATTTCTAATGAGCAGCCACACTTAACTGCTAGTCTATAAGGGATACCTTTAATTGTTTTTAAAGTTTAAATTTATCACCCAAATATTAAGCCTTGTACAACATACCCCCCCGACACAAGTTTACCTATGTAACAAACCAGCACTTACACCTCTGAACTTAAAAGTTTTTAAAAGTTTGTGCAAAAGTATGAGATTTTGCTAAAAGATTGCCTTGAAGTATCCATCAAGAACAAAACAGTCATTTTAATTTCCTCATGCAAATTTTAAAAGAAGCTATACTAGGAAAATTCAAGGCCATCTGGAACTAAGTTGCATGGCAGTCACCTAAAATCCTTGGTGGAAAAGATAAGGCTGCAATCAAATAAAGTGAATTTCAAAGTCACGATTATCATTTTAAAATCAGAATTTCGAGCAGAAATATCAAGAACAGGTATTGTTGGAAGAAATATAAGATTTTTAAAACCCTCTGGCTCATATTCACGTAGGTGAAATTAACTGCTCCAATACAAAATACCTTGTGATCAGTAAACTGAACATATCTTTTGCAACAAGAATGTACAAGGTCAATTGGAAGGTGGGGTGGAGCCACTGCTGTGAAGTCTAAGGCTACAAGTGTTGTCAATATGTAACAATCCTTAAGGAAAATTGTTAAGTCACTGTGGACAGTACAGGAAAACTCTGGGCTAACAAGTATTTAAGTAAATAATTATCTCCTTTGCAATTTGAAGATTAGTTAGAAGTGAAATAATTCCCAGCACATAACCTGATGTAAACATTGCCTTATTTTCTTTTTCATTTTCAGGATAGCTATTCCTGCATTCAATAGCCACAAAGAAAGAAAAAAACATAAAATGTGAGATTAAAAAAAATCATTAATTATGACTATAGTTTTTGCACATATAAGTTTTACACATGGCTGTAATGACAAGAAGAAAGCTTCTGCATTGTCTTTGGTCCTGGTTATGATAAGTAACACTGTCCGCCAGACGGTATAGTGATAGACCCTATACTGTACTGAACTTCAAAAGATATTTGTAAGATGGAGAGTTGCCAGTAAGTAGAATGCTTTCACCCTACTTCAATATTAGTTTAACAACTGGAAAGATCTGGCTGCTTAAATATTAAACACATGTTCAATTATTAAACACTTAGGATTCTTCTTCTGATTATTAAACCTGTATGTAAAGAACATTGGTGCTAATGTGCAGTCAGCTTGACTGGCACCACAATCTTCCCATGTTGTGGATTTCAAATTGTTTCTATACTGTCTCAGGCATCAAAACAGGGCTTGGCAGCACCAGAATCTAACAAAAATGCAATTAAAAACTACTTCTCAAAGTTTCCAGTGGGCACGCGGATCATTTCCAAGAAAGATGTTCAGATTATTGCTCAAGGCAAAATGACTTCAGACGGTGATTTTGCCATTGATCTAACAGGAAAGAATTCCCTGCTAATGAACCTCGGGAAAGAGATTAATAGAAATAAAAGATAGCTCCTACCACTACCCTTTATCGAATGTGAGTGAGTCTGACAATAAGACATGAGATTCATTAAAATGTAACAGTAAGAAAAACAGTGTTACAAATAACTGAATTTCTGAATAAGTAGCAGTCTTCTATAAATACTGAGTCAAACAATCAGCTAATGAAGTTCAATGCTCTATCATCCTTGAACATGTTACTATGAAATTTAAAAATGCAAGGAAGTTAATTAATGACTCTTCAAATTAATTTAATAATGTGAACTACCTCATCCAAGTCGATGGTTTGAATAATTCTAGGGGTTCCTGTTCTCCTGAACTGATGACTTTGATTAATATATTTTACCTTATTGCTTTATTCTAATAGAAAATTAGAAGGGGAAATGGAAGGGAAATTTTGCAGAATTAGATTTAGAAACAAAATGTCTTGATTACGCTGTGCAGTACCCAGCATTTCCTATATACAGAAGCATTTAGCTACCTTGCTAAATTATTTTCCTGAAATTTAGTGTTATATACGTTAAGTCCAGGAAACATCAGCTCATATGCTTTGTGATAGACATGGCGCTCGATCTCTACATACAAAAAAAAAAAAAAAAACCTCAACAAGAGAAATGACATCATCCAACTCTTAGGTCACTGGGAGGTACATGCACTGGAATCTGATTACACTGGCCCCACTGCTTCTGTTATCATTATCAAGTCATGTGACTCTGGGCACGTCACTCCATCTCATGCAAAAAATACTTTGCTGGACTAAGTGCTCTCCAGTGTTTACTCTCACTCTACCATTATATAATATATAAATTAACAGGGAAATGTGGCTGAGATAATGCATAAACCTGGAAAATATGAAGTCATTAACATTTAGCCTTAGGATGCAATAGTTTTCTTTCAGGAAATTACTTTCATATTTATATTCTGCCTGAGCTGGTGTTAAAACTAGTTTCCATTCCTAGGTCACACCAGATGACAGTGAAGTCAGATGATTCAGATTCATGCATGGACAAAGGGTGAAGCCTCCTCAAAATATTGACAATATTTAATAATCTATAACACAGAAGTCATTGATGGTATTTTCTGGGTAAATGAACATGATCTCCCATGTCCTTAGTGGAGAACATGACATAATCTATTTTTTTTTTTTTTTGAGACCGAGTCTCTCTCTACTGCCCAGGCTGGAGTGCAGTGGCACGATATTGGCTCACTGCAACCTCCGCCTCCCAGGTTCAAGCGATTCCCGTGCCAAAGCCTCCCAAGTAGCTGGGATTACAGGTGCCTTCCACTACACCCGGCTGATTTTTGTATTTTTAGTAGAGACAGGGTTTCCCTATGTTGGCCATGCTGGTCTCCAACTCCAGACCTCAAGTGATCTACCTGCCTTGGCCTCCCAAAGTGTTAGGATTACAAGCGTGAGCCACAGCACCCTGCGGAAGACATAATTTATTGAGCAAACCTTTAGTAAGTGCCTATTTTGTGCCTACCTATTGTGTTTAAAATTGTGTTAATGTCTGAAAAGAAATTAAAACCTATTGTCTCTTCCTTGAGCAAACTTAAAATAGTTGAGAGTACTGACGAAATAGTATATCATTCAAACAAGACTACAGTTAACTAAGCAATAGCTAAATTATAAGCTGCTAAGCTGCACAGTGAGTTCAAGTTTCTTAATCAAGTATCAAATATGTGAGAGGGAGGTGCTGGGCATGATGGCTCATGTCTGTACTCCCAGCACTTTGGGAGGCCTAGGCAGGGGGATTGCTTGAGCTCAGGAGTTCGAGACCAGTCTAGGTGACATGGTGAGACCCTCATCTCAATAAAAAATACAAAATTTAGCTAGGCATGGTGGTATGCACCTCTAGTGCCAGATACGTAGGAGGCTGCGGTGGGAGGGTCACTTGAGCCAGGACGCTGAGATTGCACCTCTGCACTCCAGCCTGGGTGGAGAACAAGACTCTGTCTCAAAAATAAATGAATAAATACATAAACAAATAAACTATTCAAAGGCGGATTGGGATCACTGTATCCCTATCCAAAAGGGAATACCTTGGATACAATAAAAAATTAAGCATTAACTGAAAATCTGAGGAACTTTGAGGGATTGTTGGGCATGTCCAGATATTAGATCTCCAATAAAGTGTAGAATGAAAGTACATGATTTGATTTAAAGTTGCCTTTTAAGATACTTTATGTGAGAGTGCTACATATTTGTTAGAAATAGGGAGAGATGGTACTGGGTGGTACACCTTATGTCAGAAATGGAAATATTACAGTGACTAGAAATATTAAAGTGACTAGAACATACAATTATCTGACATAAATTTTCAATACATTAGCTTTGCTATGGCAAAATACCCTAAACTTAAACTGATGGAGATTAATTGCTTGCTGCATGTCCACTTACTCTGGAAAACCCCAGTCTGGATTCTAGTCGATAACCCCATATCTGGTTATGATTATAGGTTCAGAGTCACTTATCTCTCAATGTTTAAAGATGTTGCTGTATTGTATTCTGGCATCCAAAGTTACTGTTGGAAAGTCTGATGTTATTTTGATCCCTATCCTTTGCATGTGATTATTTTTCCTCTATGAAAGTGTATTAGTGTGCTGGGACTAAAATTACAAAATACTAAAGACTGAGTGACCTAAACAATAGCTCTTGATTTCTTACAGTTCTGGAGGCTGGGAAGTCCAAGACTAAGGTTCCAGCTGATTTGGTTTCTAGTGAGGGCTGTCTGTCTTGCAGACCATCACCTTCTTGCTGTTTCTTCACATGGAGAAGAGAAAGAGCAAGCTTTCTGATGTCTATTCTTATAAAGACACCAATATTATCCGATTGAGGCCCCACCCTTATGACCTCGTTTTACTTTAATTACTTCCTTATTCCAAAGATTGTCACATTGGGGGTTAAGGTTTCAACATATGAATTTTGGGGGACACAATTCAGTCCATGCAGAAAATATTTAGAAGTTTTCTTAATCTCTAGAATTCTGAAATTTCATAATGCAGGTTTATCTTCAGCTAATCCCATCAGTCCTTCAATCTGGAACATTTCCACTTTTTAGAAAAATATATAATTCTTTTGCTTTTATTTCCTTTACTAAAATTTCTGTTATCTAAATATCAAATCTTTTGTAATTACCTTTTGATTTTCTCATACTGTTCCAGTATCTTTCATTTATTTATCTTTTTATTCTACTCTGGGATATTCCTCAACTGTTATACTATTATTCCACTTTGCTGCCCAAATTTTATTTTGATTATCCAATTTTAAGTTATAAGAGCTATCTTTTTTCTTTGACTTATTCTTTCTTTCTCTTTCTCTCTTACTGTCCTCTTAACCCAATACATTTTCTTACTTGTTTGAGGACATAAATTTGAGGTTTTTGAAAATGTTAGCCTTACCTTATTTTGTATCTTTTTTGCCCTCCATTTTCTGGTAGTTGTTTTTCCCCGACATTGAAGGCTTTCATCAGCTGTCTACGTGTCTGTACATATGTAAGAATGAAAGAATAAAAACCTGGTTAAAAGGTTGAAGACTGATGGGCAAAGGGGGTATTTGTGGTTCTGTGGACTTCACTGCTGAGTCATTGCACAATCAGCTGGACTCTCAATGAGAGTATGCAAAGATTGTTTCCCTGTAATTATTCAGTTCTTCCAGAGAACATTTTTCTAGTTTTCTGTTGCCTTAATGCTTATGGTAAGAGGACGGCGGCTGGGCGCGGTGGCTCACGCCTGTAATCCCAGCATTTTGGGAGGCCGAGGCGGGTGGATCTTTTGAGGTCAGGAGTTCGAGACCAGCCTGACCAACATGGTAGAACCCCGTCTCTACTAAAAATGCAAAAATTAGCGGGGTGTGGTGGTGTGCACCTGTAATCCCAGCTACTCAGGAGGCTGAGGCAGGAGAATTGCTTGAGCCTGGGAGGCGGAGGTTGCCGTCACCCAAAATTGTGCCACTACACTCCAGTCTATGCAACAGAGTGAGACCCTGTCTCAAAAAAAAAAAAAGAAAAGAAAGAAAGAAAAAAAGGAGGGCTTGGGGGCATGGTTTTGTCAACCTTTTCTAGAGTCCTATGAGCAGGGTTCTACAATTTGGCATTGAGACTCTTCTGTATCTCCGCCCTTTTTTAAACTCATACTTTACCCCAGACGTTCACTGTACTTGCGGGCCTGAGGTCAAAAATCTTTTTTTTTTTTTTTGTATCTCTAGAAACTATCCCTCCTCTCTCCTGCCAGATGGAGATAAGATAGACCATCATTTCCGTGTTGCTCAGAGTGGGTGAGGATTATGTGGTTCATCCGCCATGTAACACTCAAAACTAATTCTGTTTTCCTTCGTTTTTAGTTCCCACTCCTACGTCAATATCCTGTAGGCTTTTAGTTGTTACTTATTCCACCTTGCTAATTCACTTGCCACCCTTTATTTTATTTCTTTCATAAATTTGTTTACATTCCTTATCCATTGCGTTCTTCTTTCTTCATCCTTTTTGTTAAGTTTGTCTGTCATGGCAAAGTACCTCTATAGGCTGCTGTCCTTTGAAATAATTTTCTTTAGTGATAATTAAAGAAGACATTTTAATTGCATGTGTTATCTGAAATGTACTGTTAGAAATAATGACTTCTCAGATTCAAAGAGAATCTATCACAAAGCAATCCTCTACTTTGTGCAGTAATATAACTTCTCAATAACACTCTTGCTCCTTTCTTTTCCGTTATCAACTGACAGTCTTAAAAAAAAACTATTTTCATATAATGTTTGGCTGATATTTCTTAGTTATGGTAATGGTTTTATAGAGATTAGAATTTATAACTAAATATATTAAGGTCAGAAAGGGAAAAGTAAATGTGCATTAGCTAATATTTGTGTCTTATTTTAAAATAATTTTCAAATGATAAGATTGACATAATGTACATTGTTGATATATTCTTAAACACTGTGACATGGAAATAGATTTTTTTATAGTTCAAAAATTAAACTTGAATACATCAGAATGGGGAATAGGAGTATCTGTTTAGGAGCTTGGATTTTGAAATTTGGCAGTCCTGGGCTTGAATGAGAAAGCGTTGACATTTACTAGATGTGTGACCATGGATGTGATACTTAAATAGCCTCTCTTTGTCTCAATTTTGTTATCTCTAAAATGTGGATAAATAGCAGTAAAATACTATCTGTATGGAATTGTTTTGAGGATTGCCTGAGATAATTTGGATACACTTCTAAGCATAGTGACTGACATAAACTAAACGTACAATAAACTCTTGCTAACATTAGCATTATTATAATTAATATTAATGACTTATTAATTGGTGTGGGTCTCTTGGATTATGGAAAGAAGACCTAGAGAAAACCGGAAACAGTCAAGGGACTCTGCAGAATGAAACACGAAATAGAATTTGACAATGGAAGAATGAGTGTCTAATGGGCTGGAGTACTAGCAGTATAATGGGAACATCAGAATACCCATGTAAATGCAGACGAAAGCAAGCTCCAAGGAAGTTTAAAGATGAAGTAACTTAAGTAATCTGTATTTTGCAATGTATTGGAAATTTCTGAGGTTTCATTCCATTCATCATTTCATAGCTAAAATTAGAACTGGGTAGGACTAATTTAAACGATCAAGTGTTCAAGTAAAAGTCAACTTTATATTTAAAAAAATTATGACCCACAATTCCACTGGAGCACCAGGCCAAGGTTATGCAGAGTTTTGACTCAAGTGTGTATTATGTGGATAAACCACCTAGCATTGACTATGCAAAGAGGCAAGCCCTTTGTTTAGTTGACACTTGCATTTATATGGAAAATTTAGTGCTAAGGTTCCATCGATTCATATTCTGTCACCTTTTGATTCATTTCTTGTAAAAGTCAATATGTCACTATTCTCTGTACGTCAGTGGAGACTGATTGGAATGCTGACTTTAAAGACAGGTCAGAAAGTCATTGAAAAAAAAAGGCAACAACCTTTACTGGAATGAACAGAATGATGTTAAATGTCAAAGAACAAAAGATTTAGATGCTATTTAGACTGACATGCAAAATGTTTAACTGAATTGCTGGGATATTAGGTTCTAAATTATGCAAAACCTACCAAAGCTCATGGGACAGTCTTGCAGAGTCCCTTTGGAATGCCACTTCTCTCCCAGTTTCTCCTGGAAAGGAAGAAGAAGGAGAAGTAGCCATATATACTTTTTGTGGGGGAACCTCCATCTACGCTAAGGTATGTGGGAAATCTAAACATAAAAAGAAGAGAACAGTTTCAAGTGAAAATGCTGGGCTTCCCGTCCCTAAACATGTTTTAAGTGAACCATGTTATATCTCTAGAAAAGTGGGCCCTCTTATTTTCATGGATACTGTATCCATCAGTGCTTCATATAAAGAAGAAATATGATCTCTCGTGGGTAAAAATATTCTGAGGAATGTATGACACTGAGGCAACCTACAACAATGTAAACTTTCCTTCTGTATTGTTATTCTTGGAAAAGGTGTTCAACCTAGATCCTCTTACTTCAACTCATTCCTTAGGTTTGCCCTGTGTTAAGTAAGTAAAGAAATTAGGAAAACAGCTCTAGGGTGAATATGGTCTGAGGCTGACATATGATGTTGGAGTTGAATTGAGGTTAGGCCAGGACTAGAGACAAGTACAAAATCAAGGATAGCTACTGCTTACATTAATTGCAAAAATTAAAGTAGGTATTTTGTTTGTTTAATGAGGTTAAAATGCTTAATTTGCCTCTTTACATGATTTATTACATTTCAGAAAACATATATCAGAGCACTTGCTACATGCCACAGATTTTGCCTGGTGCTGATAAAACAACACAGAACAAGACATTTTTGTTTGTTTGTTCCATTGTTGTCACTTAGGAAGTCAGGCACAAACCAGATAATATTTCTGTGATATGGTTAGGTGAGCAAATGCACAGAATACCTTGAAAACGCTTGGCTGAAGCCCACTTTTCAGAGTTGGCTTCTAGAGAAGGTGACACTTTTGCTGACTCTTAAAGAATGTTCAGTGGCTATTATCTAGCAATACATGAAGAGCAATCCAAACAGTACTAGAAGGAGCAAAGCTACAGAGACATGAATATGTATGACTCACTCAAAAACTACCAGTTGTTCAGCACTATTTTAAGAAAATAGTTGGGTAGTGGACAGATATGAGGCCATGGAACCTCAGCACTATTAAGACTTTCTATGAAGATGGAAATGATCTATGTTTGCACTGTGTGATACATAGCCTCTGGCCACCTGTGGCTATTGGGCATTTGAAATGTGACTAGTGAAGCTGAAGACATGAAGTTTAAATTTTATTTAATTAATTTCAATTGAAGTTAAAACTACATTGCTACATATAGCTAATGGCAACATTTGATGCAGCAAAATTCTAGAAGTGTATACTATTCACACGCAGCAGGTAAAATCGCTTGGATATTATTCTGACAACAATTGTAAGCCCTTGATAATTTTAAAGCAGGGAAGTGGCATGGCAGAATTTGTGTTTCAGACTGATTATAGTGGCAACAACACGGAGAATGGATTTGAAGGGACAAGATAGGAGTCAGAAAGACTAATTATAATACCACTGTTATTATCCAAGGGAGAGAAACAGTAATAGGGATAAGTTGGATTGATTTGAAAAAACTATTTAAGAAGTAAAGTAATCCATCATATAAACAGAACCAAAGACAAAAACACATGATTATCTCAATAGATGCAGAAAAGGCCTTCAACAAAATTCAACAGCCCTTCATGCTAAAAACTCTCGATAAATTAGGTATTGATGGGACGTATCTCAAAAAAATAAGAGCTATTCATGACAAACCCACAGCCAATATCATACTGAATGCGCAAAAACTGGAAGCATTCCCTTTGAAAACTGGCACAAGACAGGGATGCCCTCTCTCACCACTCCTATTCAACATAGTGTTAGAAGTTCTTGCCAGGGCAATCAGGCAAGAGAAACAAATAAAGGGTATTCAGTTAGGAAAAGAGAAAGTCAAAATGTCCCTGTTTGCAGATGACGTGATTATATATTCAGAAAAACCCATCGTCTCAGCCCAAAATCTCCTTAGGCTGATAAGCAACTTCAGCAAAGTCTCAGGATACAAAATCAATGTGCAAAAATCACAAGCATTCCTATACATCAATAACAGATAAACAGAGAGCCAAATCATGAGTGAACTCCCATTCACAATTGCTTCAAAGAGAATAAAATACCTCGGAATCCAACTTACAAAGGATGTGAAGGAACTCTTCAAGGAGAACTACATACCACTGCTCAATGAAATAAAAGAGGCCACAAACAAATGGAAGAACATTCCATGCTCATGGATAGGAAGAATCAATATCGTGAAAATGGCCATACTGCCCAAGGTAATGTATAGATACAATGCCATCACCATCAAGCTACCAGTGACTTTCTTCACAGAATTGGAAAAAACTACTTTAAAGTTCATATGGAACCAAAAAAGAGCCTGCATTGCCAAGTCAATTCTAAGCCAAAAGGACAAAGCTGGAGGCATCACGCTACCTGACTTCCAACTATACTACAAGGCAATAGTAACCAAAACAGCATGGTACTGGTACCAAAACAGAGATATAGATCAATGGAACAGAACAGAGCCCTCAGAAATAATACCACACATCTACAACCATCTGATCTTTGACAAACCTGACAAAAACAAGAAATGGGGAAAGGATTTCCTAGTTAATAAATGGTGCTGAGAAAACTGGCTAGCCATATGTAGAAAGCTGAAACTGGATCCCTTCCTTACACCTTATACAAAAATTAATTCAAGATAGATTAAAGACTTACATGTTAGACCTAAAACCATAAAAACCCTAGAAGAAAACCTAGGCAATACCATTCAGGACATAGGCATGGGCAAGGACTTCATGTCTAAAACACCAAAAGCAATGACAACAAAAGCCAAAACTGACAAATGGGATCTAATTAAGCTAAAGAGCTTCTGCACAGAAAAAGAAACCACCATCAGAGTGAACAGGCAACCTACAGAATGGGAGAAGATATTTGTAATCTACCCTCTGACCAAGGGCTAATATCCAGAATCTACAAACACCTTAAACAAATTTACAAGAAAAAATCAAACGACCCCATCAAAAAGTGGGCGAAGGATATGAACAGACACTTTTCAAAACAAGACATTTATGCAGCCAACAGACACATGAAAAAATGCTCATCATCACTGGCCATCAGAGAAATGCAAATCAAAACCACAATGAGATACCATCTCACACCAGTTAGAATGGCAATCATTAAAAAGTCAGGAAACAACAGGTGCTGGAGAGGATGTGGAGAAATAGGAACACTTTTACACTGTTGGTGGGACTGTAAACTAGTTCAGCCATTGTGGAAGACAGTGTGGCGACTCCTCAAGGATCTAGAACTAGAAATATCATTTGACCCAGCCATCCCTTTACTGGGTATATACCCAAAGGATTATAAATCATGCTGCTATAAAGACACATGCACACATATGTTTATTGTGGCACTATTCACAATAGCAAAGACTTGGAACCAACCCAAATGTCCATCAATGATAGACTGGATTAAGAAAATGTGGCACATAAACACCGTGGAATACTATGCAGCCATAAAAAAGAATGAGTTCATGTCCTTTGTAGGGACATGGATGAAGCTGGAAACCATAATTCTCAGCAAACCATTGCAAGGACAGAAAACCAAACCCTGCATGTTCTCACTCATAGGTGGGAATTGAACAATGAGAACACTTGGACTCTTGGGGGAAACATCATACACTGGGGCCTCTTGTGGGGTAGGGGGAGGGGGGAGGGATAGCATTAGGATTTATACCTAATGTAAATGACGAGTTAATGGGTGCAGCACACCAACATGGCACATGCCTACATACATAACAAACCTGCACGTTGTGTACATGTACCCTAGAACTTAAAGTATAATAATAATGAAAAAGAAATAAAGGTCTTAGTGAGAAAGAAGGATGATATTGGAATTCTGGGTTTGATGACCAGGTATATATACTGGTGCCAATGATATGAGAGAAGAATAAGGTGAGAGCAGAAGGATGAGAAAAAGGCATTTGCAACTGCAGTTTTTTCCAGGAAGAGTAAAGGCTCCAACACTGATAGCCACCCCATCGAAAATAAGCCTGTTATCGTTCAAGAAATCATGGCACACTGTAGTCTGCTATTTCCTACTGCCGGGCATCTCTGTCTTCTTTTGGTCAAAATATTATTTTATGTGGGTGTGATACCATTCTCTGATATCATGGAGAATGTTCTGAAAATAAAACACAGAGGGAAGTAGAGCTGAGGGAGATTTCTAATGATAACTGATTTTTATTGGTATCTGGATCTAGCATTGTCTAAAACAAGAGGCTTCTGGAATTTTCAGCTATGTGATTCAATAAATTTCCTTTTTTTTTGATAGATATTTTGGGTTGTGTTTGTGACGGTCATCACTTAAAGAATCCTGTCTAAACACTCACCCACAATCAGCTGACAGTGACTCTTTGGCTGGCCCCACTGCCATCAAGGCAGAAAGTGATGCTTAGGACAGCAACGAGTGTTTACTGATATTGTTCCTATTTCTATTTGGAGTAAGGCATTCTGGGAGCAATAAGAGAAAGTATTATTGTTGATCAGAACTGGATGCCCATGTCAAATTTTGAGCATGTTTATCTCATCAACAAGTCCATAGTCTTCTCCTAAGTACTCAGTAATGGAGACATTCGCAATTGGCAACAGGGCAATTCTCCATTGTAACAACGTTCAGGTTTCTCTGTCACACTAAAAAGGAGAGTGACTAAAATTAAATCTCTCCTCCCTTACTTTACTTCTAAAAAGACTCCTAGGGTCATGGGCGGGGGGGGGTGGTCTTTCTAATATAAAGGCTAGACTTACACAAGTATATTTTTAAACGTCCTTATTGATATTATCTTAATATCAAATGGATTATACTCATGCTTTTGAAATTGGTAATAATTTTTTAAAATTATTAAATTGCTGAATAAACATTTAACATATTGTGATATTTAAGAAGTAGAACGTAATGGCTGAGAAGGTAGGTCCACCTCTTACTGACTTTGGTCAAGTTACTTAACCACACTGTGACCTATGTGTTAAGTTAGTTAATATAAAAAAAACTGTTCTGAAAAGTGCCTGACAAATAGAAAGTGCTCAAAAATGCTGCTTTTTATACCAGGTATATTGCAGTGTCATGCCACCTAAATATGAGTTTTTATAGCAGTGCAAATGAGAACCATATGGATGCTTTTTATTTGACTTCCTTTGAGAAAATAGGGATAGAGCAAATCATTCCAGTTTAAATAATCCAATATGGTTTCTTTGAGCTATCAAAATACCAGGTTAAACTATAGTCAATTTCACAGTAAATTTCCTAAGATAACTACTCTCCCAGGTCAAAAGCCTATAAATTTCACTGACACCTTGCTTGGCTTACTTCCTTCTTTGTTTCCTCCATTTACCATGAGAAGTATTCATTTTTTTCCCATTGGTGATTATCTAAATTCTTTGAAGAAACCATATTTTTTTTAAGGTGACAGAAACTAAAGTGATAAACCCCACCATTTATGCAGTAAGTTAAAAAATATTACTCTATGACTTGTGGTCATCATGTGACTAGTGAAATAGAAAGGGAGAGAATATTCTAGTACACAAGTAGACAAAACAAGGCCTGGTACCTGGTCACCAACTCACAGTTTAGTTTTCTTTTTGTTTTTTAGTCAAGAAACATTTCTATCTGATGATCTATGCGATGATGACTTGCTGGTGAGCTCAGTAAAATGTGTTTGCTGGCTTACTTCCGGTTTTAATTGATTAATGTTTCTGTTATAGAAATCATTGCTGTGCTGTGCTGTTCTAAGTGATGTACTGCTGGCAGTGTTTGTACAAAGGCCAAAGAATGAATGGGCAGCAGAGATAGCCTTTTAGATCACACTTAGCTTCATGCTTCTTGAGCAGGGAGAAGGCTCACATGAGAAGAAACAAAGAAGACATCTGGCTGCCACAGCTGCCTTTGATGTTTATTTTGTACTTGGCAGATTTCAAATACAATCAGGGATTAAAATGTTGCTAGTGTATCCTCTCTGTCCTTACTTGGGCAAGTCCTAATGGCATTCCTCAATGTGTCTTATTCACATGTTATGTAGAGAAAATGTCCACTCATTGCATCTCTTGAAAGGAGTTTATTATAACGCTGTATCTAAGGAATTGTGCTCAAGACATGAGCTTGACACATGGCTCCTCTGTCTGAGGACAATGGGCAGGATATTTAATGGCCCAGAGTCTTGGCTAACTCACTTGTAAATCAGTTCATAATTATAATACCTACTTCATAGAATGGCTGTAGAATAAAATTAGATAATGCATACAGGGTAACTGACACATAGAAAGGACTCAGTATTTGGAATGTAATAATAATTATAATCCTAGGAATAAATCATAAATGTAACTTTGTACAATAATTATTAAATATTTTAATTTGTTTAATAATATTTTTATTTTTGTTTTTGTTTTTTGTTCTGATTTGTTTTGTTTTGAGACAGAATCTAGCTCTGTTGCCCAGGCTGGTGTGCAGTGGCGCGATCTCTGCTTACTGCAACCTCCACCACCTGGGTTCAATCCATCCTCCTGCCTCAGCCTCCAGAGGAGCTGGGACTACAGGCGCCTGCCACCACACCTGGCTAATTTTTTTGTATTTTTAGTAAAGATGGGGTTTCAGCATGTCGGCCAGACTGGTCTCAAACTCCTGAATTCTGGTGATCCACCCACCTCAGCCTTCCAAAGTGCTGGGATTATAGGCATGAGCAAACGCACCCAGACAGGCATGGGTTTTATAACATCCATTTGTTAATGGCATGACTGACAGCTTGCTGTTTTTCTTGTTGCATTTCAAATAAAGAATGACACAGAATTGGTAAAAACAAAACGAAACAAAGCAAAAGAACAAAACCCCACAAAAACCAAAATACTCACTTGCTAATACTTCCCAGTTTTTATTATTAATAGATAAGTTTCGAAATTCAGCAAAGTTGAATTTTACAGTGAACACCTTATAGCCACTAACCACCTCTCTGTCTTGTTAATTTTTAAGTATATTAACATGTGGTACAATTTGAAGATTCATTCTATTTCAAGGAAGAGCTAAGTCTTACAACCTAGAAAAGTCAATGGCAAAATTGCCTGGGCTACCAGGCTGAAGAGTGTCATGGCAGAACTGTGTCTGGAATTAGTTCCTTCCAGTAAGTTCTTGGTCTCACTGACTTCAAGAATGAAGCCGTGGACCCTCGTGGTGAGTGTTACAGTTCTTAAAGATGGTGTGTCCAGAGTTTGTTCCTTCAGATGTTCAGATGTGTCCAGAGTTTCTTCCTTCCGGTGGGTTCATGGTCTCGCTGACTTCAGGAGTGAAGCCACAGACCTTGGCAGTGAGTGTTACAGGTCTTAAAGGTGGTGCGTCCGGAGTTGTCTGTTCCTCCCAGTGGGTTTGTGGTCTCGCTGACTTCAGGAGTGAGCCGCAGACCTTCACAGATTTTACAGAATGCTGATTGGTGCATTTACAATCCTTTAGCTAGACACAGAGCGCTGATAGGTATATTTACAGTCCTTTAGCTAGACACAAAAGTTCTGAGGCTCCCCATCTGACCCAGAAGCTCAGCTGGCTTCACCTCTCAGAACCATGCACATCCACATTGTAAAATGTGAAGGGCTTTCTATGTTAATCCAGACCCAGATCCCTGTCTAGGACCTGGACAGAGAGGCCCTAGATATGTCTCTGGGATTCCCCATCCCTGGAAGGGGAACTTTCAGGTGTGTGGGAATGGAGAGAAGTGAGGGTTACTAGTACACCTGCTAGAATAATGCATAGTTATTTTTCTCTGGGGAAAATAACAAAGGAGTGTCAATAAAGGGCAAATGGCAATCACTTTGAAAAGTGGGAGAGAGCAGAGTAGTGAGTCCTTGTTTTTTTATGGGGCTGTCTTTTCCTTGTGGTTCTCAACCTGGGTACTGCTACTATTAACTCCAAGGGCACATACTACTTAGCCTTCTAAATTCTGGTCAAATTATAAGTAACCTCTTCCCCTTCCTATTTTCTGAGATAGGCTGATATTTTGATGTGTCTGTATCTATATCATCTATATCTGTATATTTGTATCTATGTGTTGATGTCTCTATGTCTCTCTCTTATCTATCTAGACACACACACAATGTTAGGTTTTTTTAAAATTTTGTTTTAAAGTTAAATGCTAAGGAAAATAAAGCAGGCAAAGAGTTCATATGTCATAAAGTAGTTGCATGAACGAGTGTGAATATTTCACCAACAATAGCTATCCAAATGCCAGGGTAAACTATAGTCAATTCTACACTAAGTTTCCTCAGATAACTACTCTCCCAGGTCAAAAGCCTAGTAAATTTCACTCATGACTTGCTTAGCTTACTTCCTTTTCTGTTTCCTCTGTTTACCATGAGAAGTATCCACTGTTTTCCCATTGGTGATGATCTAAATTGTTTAAGGGACATACACTTTTTTGGACATAATTAAAGCAAAGCTTCCCAACCCCAGGGCCATGGACCGGTGGCAGTCTGTGGCCTGTTAGGAACCAGGCCACACACCAGGAGGTGAGCAGTGGGCGAGCAAGTGAAGCTTCATCTGTTCAATACAGATGCTGCTTCCCGTTGTTCACATTATGGCCCAAGATCTGCCTCATGTCGGATCAGCAGTGACAATAGATTCTCACAGGAGTGTGTGTCCTATTGTGAACTGCACATGGTGAGGGATCTAGGTTGCATGCTCCTTATGAGAATCTAATGACCTGTCACTGTCTCCTGTCATCCCAGATGGGACCCTCTAGTGGCAGGAAAACAAGCTCAGGGCTCCCACTGATTGTACATTATGATGAGTTGTATAATTATTTAATTATATATGACAATGTAATAATACTAGAAATAAAGTGCACAATAAATGTAATGTGCTTGAATCATCCCCAAACCATCCTCCCCACCCCTCATCCATGGAAAAACTGTCTTCCATGAGACTGGTCCCTGGTGCCAAAAAGGTTGGGGACCACTGGTTTAGAGGATCATCTTTGAAGGAGCTGTCACTCACCAATTTCCTTCTGTTTTTCCATTCAAATAAAAATTTAGCAATTATTTAACACCAATAAAGAGCAAGTAGAAGAATGAGTTATTTCATCATTTATGTCATCGATTTCCTATCCTTTTGGCAGTTCTGTGACATTTTTTTGGGCCTGTACATTTTCCTCTTGGAAGCTGCTGGTAAGTGGCTCATCAGACCCTATATAGTCACAACAATCTATTTGTTCCTTTATTGACAACTTCAAAAGGCCACATTTTACCTCAGCCACACACATAGGACCCTTTAGTTGAATGTGAGTTTCTTGGCATCATTAGGATTTACATAATAATTGATGTGGCATTTGAAGTTCTCCACCTTAATCGTTCCACATAATAATAGTAACTTGCTCCTTTATGTATTCCAAGTCTGTATCTCCACCAGCAACACAAGGAAAGAACAGCCTTAATGTATTATTTTAGTATATAAATATACTATTTTAGGCTACCCAGATTTCTTCATCTACTTCACTTTTACCACCTTCCTCCTTTCCTTTTTCAACTTTTTCTGCTGTGTAATAAATATATCTCGAGTTTAGTGCCTCCTGGATGGTTCTATAGAACTCTTCAACCTTCTTGGATTTCCATTGTAGTCCAAGCTTTGTCTAAATTTGCTGTAACTGTCCATGATCTTTTAAGCAGCTCTTCATCCAAGGGTATTCTTTACCCTCTGAGATCCCATAAGCAATATCTGTGATCAATCCTTGTGCCTATGAGTTTCTTGCAATGCCCCATTGTGTTAACAGCATTATCTCCACTGCAATTCTGAAAACACAAGCACAATAGTTTGCTGTCTTCCTGAGACAGATGATGGACTCAGGATGAGCACCAGCCACTTTGCATCCAAAACATGATAAACCTGTAACAGTCCTATTGGTCGTCTCCTCCGACCTTAATTCTCATTGATTTTCTCTTGCTTTTACAAATACCTGAAAGAAACTCAAGTTGTCCTGAAGATAAGAGCATGATCCGGACATGAAGGTTTCTCTTTTTCCTTTTTTATCTTTGATCTTTGTTCTGAGCCTTAGCTGAAGATCCTGATTTACAATTAAGTGGATTGGAGGAGACTGTCTATTTTCTGCATTGCAAAGTCAAACTAATGATGAACACAGACCCTTGCTGCATGAGGTTAATAGAGAGAGGGACATGAGGGTTTTTTCTATCCTTGTGTTTATTTTGTAGCCTCATATCAGATAAGCTTTAGTATATTACATCTCTTACGCTGAGATAAAAAACAAAAATTGAAAAATAAAAACTTAGTCAAATTAAACCAGAGAGTTGTTGCGGTATCCTATATAGCCTCCTCCTGGCATATTTTAATGCGGTTGAAAGGCTGATTGGTTACCTAACAGTTATTGAGTGAATGTCTTGTGTTTGTGATTTCATAGATTTCAAGGTACAGAAGTCCTAATGTAAACATAAAAGTAAATGTGTGGGATTTATATAACTGGATGGTTCAGAGAGAGGTCTAGTTTTAGGCTATCCTGGACAGAGAGGTCCTAGATGTGTCTCTGGGATTCAACCTTTCTTTCTCTATCTCTTAGTCTTATTTGAAACAGTTTTTTTTTTTTTTCTCTTAGTTGCAGAATAATTACCAGAACCTTGCTATCTACACATTTAATGGTTCAAACCCTAAAGCAGACTCCTAAAATTTATTCTATGACCAGCTTAGGTCATGTGCCTGGAAGCAGTCACCATGGACCAGAGAATGGTGTGCACAGGTGGGCTTAGGCCAGATCCACATGTTCCATCTGAAGGTTGGGTGTGGCTTGAGACTAGAAGAGATAAAATTTTGATTAAATATTTGATAAAATGTTAGAAGGTAGAGGTAAACAAGATAGAGATAAGTTTGGGACGGTCACTTAAGACTAGATTATACAAGTCTAGGGAGTTCTGGATAAAGGGCACTGACCTTTAATCTGTAGGCATAGAGGAATCACTGAAGCTCTAGAAGAGCAGAATTACGTGAGAGCTGTTAGTAAGACTCATCTAGAAATGGGATATAATAAGACAGAAGGGGAGACAATCCAGATAAGAAATAAGAAACCAAGAAAGAAATAATGAGGGCCTGAGAGGATTATATCTAGTATTTTGTTGTTGTTCTTTCATAGGAGAAGGCAAACTAGAAGTGTCTATAGTATTATTTACTAGGCTTTGGGATGTGTGGAATATAAGGATAAATCCAAAATAATCTCTGCCTTTAAATATAAGTGACAAAGTAATGAAGTAAATTAAAAATTAAAAAAATTTCTATGGAAGTTCAATAAATTAAAAAAAGTTTTGGTGAGGAGTTGAGAAGAGAAAGGGATGGATGAAATAGTCAAGAAAATTACCTTTCTTTCTTTTTCTTTTTCTTTCTTTCTTTCTTCTTTCTCTCTCTTTTTTTTTTTTCAGGGTCTCACTTTGTCACCCAGGCTGGAGTGCAGTGGTATGATCTTGGCTCACTGCAACACAGGCCTCCTGGGCTCAAGTGAGTCTCCAGCCTCAGCTTCTGAGTAGCTGGGACTACAGGAGTGAGCCACCAATGCCTGACTATTTTTGCTTTTTTTTTTTTTTTTTTTTGGTAGAGACGGGGTTTTGTCATTTTGGACAGGCTAGTCTTGAACCATTGAGCTCAAAGCGGGGAATGGCATTTCAATGGTCTGGATAGGATTTGTGCATTCAAGGATAAACAGTCATAGTCAAGATGGGAAAGCAGAAAATTGCTTGGGCTTAATGATGCAATAAGTAGGATACTCACAAGTAGGGTTACAGGGCAAAACATTAGAGACAAAGGAATAACATAGCAAAAGCACAAAGGGTGACAGCACAGTGCAGTTTCAGAAAGCCCTATGGAGTTACAATGCTCTTTAAGGCATGTAAAATGAAGGTGAATTAGTCATGGAAAAGTTTGGAAACGTCACTTTGGAAAGATGCTAGAGGTCTTGGTAGCTCCAGATAAAGTGTATTTACACCTCCTCTGCGGGTGCTGAGGAATCACTGAAACTCTTGGAAAGCAGAATAGCAAGGTAAGAGCTGTCAGTAAGACTAATCCAGCAGTGGAATATAATAGCATAGAGGAGGAGACAATCCAGTTAAGAAATAAGAAACCAGGAAAAAAATAAGAGGGCCTGGGAGGATTATTCCTAGTATTTTCCCATAGCTACTCATCTATACTGGAGACTGACTTTGATAAAATGTTAGAAAGTGAAGGGTAAATAACAGGGCTTAGAGCCACTCCCACCTGTGTTTGTGTTAGGACAGTTCTGAGTTTAGTTAATTTGGAAGCAACCTGGTAGTGAGTCTGTTTTGGCAAAATAATCCTCTTTGCACTCTTTCAGTCAAGGTCAGCAGTTCTTCACATTAGCACCTTACAATTAATTCAGTGAGACTTTGAAAAAATAATTTGTCTGAGATAGGGCCCCAGGTAAAGGTGTCTTTTTGAAGTGGGTTACCCAGGTAAGACTAATATGCAGCTAGGATTAAGAATCACTGATCTAGTGGGAAGAATATTTAATTGATAGCTTAGTGACTTCCGTTGTAGTCCAAGCTCTGTCTAAATTTGCTGTAACTGTGCATTAGACATTTAACTTCAGTTTCTTCGTTGACCAAAAGTGATATGTACATATTACCTAAAGCAACCTTTGACATTATAGTAGGGACAAAAATCTGATTTTAGAATTAGACTTGCTCAAGTTGAATCCAAGTCCCACTACTCACTAGCTGTGTGACCTTGGAAAAATTACTTAACCATTCTGAGCCATATAGAAATATTAAGGAACTTGCTCAAGGTTATGGAACAAATGTAGGGTGGAACTGGAACTTGAACTCAGGTTTTCCAAGTAATGCCTTTGCATTCAACTTTCTTTAAATAAGGAGAAAGTAAAGGTGGACTCTAATGGACAGAACACATAGGTCAATTATTTAACATTTGAGCCTCAGTTTGCTCATTTGCCCAAAGGTGAGGTTTTGTTATATGGTCTCTTTAAGATTTCAAATAGAAGCAGCAAGCGTTTATTGACTGCTCAGTGTGTATCAGGCACATGAGAAGCATGTATAATAAACTTGCATAATTCTCACAGTGATTTATGAGCTTGGTGTTATTGTCCCCCTATTTTAAATATAGGAAACAGTGATCAAGTAGCTTGCCTAAGATCACACAGCAAGTACAGGTTCTGAACCCAGATGACCTGTCTCCAGAATCTTCACGTTTAACCACTGCACTATATTTTTAAAGAGTATGTTACCATTTGTATGCTGAATCAGTTCAAGTCCATTTGAACTGGGAAATGGCATTTAACGGAACAGGCTTTTGAACTGAAATGCTACTGTAGGCAACAATTGCTTCATGAAGTAACCCAACACGTGCAGGCTCCTGACATGACAAAAATGCAGATCATTTTACAAGGTGACTTGTTTCTTCTTTCTGGAATGGTACCTCTCACTTTGCTCATTTTAAAGGATCATGGAATCAGAATCTATGCAGATATTACTAGGAAGGACAATGAATGTGACTTCTATGTGTACCTATCACACACAAAAAAAATAGTATGCAATGGCAATCCTATAAAAACATTATTAGGAGATAAACAGCACTGTGAAGTCAAGTGGGATTAACAGATGGGCAGCAAATCTGATAGAACTTGAATAAAAAGAATTTGAATTTAATGTTATTTGGAATTTGCCTACATAGAACCAGAGTCCCTCTGATAAATTGTAATGTTCATAAATAAAGTTGATCCTCCTCCTCTTTATAAAATGGACAACAGGAACTCTTTATAGGGAACTTGTTGTGGCTTTTTTGTTAGGATAAATAGAAGGCAACCAGGATGAGACAAGAACAGAAATAATTACTTGCTCCATCTCTGGGTTGAATTACCCTAAATTATCTACAGCTAGCGCCGTCCTCTTGGTTTCACTGTTTTTCTTTTAGGGG
Organism: Homo sapiens; assembly: GCF_000001405.40. Classification (NCBI taxonomy): domain Eukaryota; kingdom Metazoa; phylum Chordata; class Mammalia; order Primates; family Hominidae; genus Homo; species Homo sapiens. Next base: position 1,448,949 of record NC_000003.12, on the reverse strand, counting down.
TAAAAATGAAGCATCTTAAAGATCTTCTATAAATTCCTTTCTCTAGTCACTCAATTCAAGAAACCTGGGTCATTAAGTAGAATGAGAGATTTGAGATAGGTGATCCATGAAGCATCACAAAGTTAAAGCAAGGAATCCAACATTATATTCTTCTAAGAAAAAAGTATTGTTTTTCAGAAAAATCCCTAGCTTATTAATAGTTTAATAAGAATAGATTTGGAAATAGGTTATTAAGTATGTTATATTTTTATTTATTTTTTATTCAATTCTGTACAGATTAAAAAGCTATTTTATTAAATAAATATTTTACAGCATATTGTCTCTTTTTAATCACAATTATTTTATTATTTATTTATTTGTTATTTAACTTATTTCAGAGGTACATGTGCAGGTTTGTTACATAGGTAAACTTGTGTCATGGGGGCTTGTTGTACAGAATATTTCATCACCTAAGAATTAAACCTAGTCAGTACTCATTAGTTATTTTTCCTGATCCTCTCCTTCCTCCCACCCTACACCATCTGATAGGCCCCAATTCCCCTCTATGTGTCTGTGTGTTCTCATCATTTAGCTCCCACTTACAATTGAAAACATGCATGTTGTATTTTTTAAGTTGGAAAACACATGAAGATGTCCTGCTAAACAATACATATTTTCTCAGACTCTCATTATTTAGTGACACAGAAAAACTGCAGAGGCATTAAGTTTATAATAATTTTTCCCCATTCTCATCAATCGATGAAAGCAGAAGAGAGAAATAGTGTGAAATATAAATATATGACTAACATGAATACTATCACCCCCTACCTTGGAAAGTGAGTGTAAATACATTTAAAACTTTTGAACAGAATTTTTTTTTCCAGGTAAAATACGGAATATTGACACATAATTATTTGCAACTATAATTATAATCACCTAAATCCAAGGTCCAAATTGTAGGCATCTCTAGGATCTTTTGCATCTGCGGTGGCTTTTGCATAGCAACCTCTGAGTAAATGTTTTGGGATTTTGTTAAGTGGAGGCAATTCATAAGGAATTAAATCTACAACTCAGCATTTGTTTGAATACCCATAATAAGGAACTAAGCAGGAGAAAACTCCCAGGTTTCATATTTTAATCTCAACAAGGATAAAAACACTGTAGGTGATATTAACATACATTTAAGTTTTGGGGACCATGGAAAATGTAAGTCAATAAGAGAAAATTTTATATACTTCCTCTGACTTCATCCTGCTAGCCAAGTACATCTCTACTGAACAGACTTTATAGCATTTCTACTCTAATTAGACGCTATCAATTTCCTCCCACAGTGAAATGACCTTGAAACATCAAAAGTTCTTTCACTGCTGGCTTAAAAAATGCTTTCTTGTGAGTTTTCAAGCTCCTCTTTATTTCTCAGACCTAACATCTTTCCAGTAAGGGCATTCTTAAGAATACTCTGGAATGAATATACCATAAATAAACACATCTTACTTTCACCCCTTAAAAAATTAGAATTTCTGAGCAAAATGTTATTTTTTTTTATTTGAACAGTGGACATTTTTGAGAGGGAGCCAGAAGGTAGTCATTTTTTTGACTTGTGATTGACCTAATCTAAATTTTTTCAAAACAGATAAGCACAAATAGAAATTAGACATAATTATAAAATGTTGCTTCAAAATGAAATCTGAATTTAAAAACACAATTGACATAGTTTGACCTTAAACAGTAAATCTAAAGACTAAGATTGATTTATTACAGATTCTTTGTAAGCAATTTTAACTCAAGGAAGAACGTATTTATTCAGAAATATGGCACTGTGCTTTGTTGCTAGAGAGACATAACTTTACAATTCTATGAAGCTGTAAATGCCAAATGTCCACTTGTCTTCAAAAGAAATCCAAAGTAGATTATTTTCAAGGAAGAAAATGGAAGAAAACAGCCTAAATTCTACATTTTCTTTCTGAAATACATACATTTTTTATTCCTTTTTAAGGCAAGAGACTAAAATAAGACTGAAAACCTGTTGGATTTATTCATACAAAGCATAAAATTATTTTTATTGATGTCTCAGAAAATGGTTGGTTGAAAAGCACACTTTGCATTGGTTTTATAAGATAACATATGGATCTAAGAAATCATTCTTTCAAGAAGGAACACTTTATTCTCTGTCTTTCAAAAAGGGACAATGACATCTTGTTTCTTCATGGGGGATATACACTAGGACAAGAAACAATAGACCCATTCTCACTTTGTTGGAGCAAATGGTTGAGAAAAGAGTTCTCAGTGCAGCTTGTGTTTGGACCCTGAATTTGGGTGCAACACATGGGAACAGAGTTGGTGTCTACTTTCATCTAGGGATTTCTGAAAGCAAGAAGAGCATTGGAATAATTAATACCAGCAGGATATGAAAAGACCTGTGTGCCTGGGTATAGGAAAGGAATAACACCCACCATGTCCTAAATTTGGGTAGACTTTGGAAGATATGGAGGGGATATTTCAGTTATTTAAGTAATTTTAATTCAAGGATAAATTTAAGTCTGGTGATTCCTTAAAAGTTAGATGAAGATCCAGGCACTACTCTGGTAGAACTCTGGCCAAATTCCAGTCAATACAGAAGGGCAGGGAGACAGTAGTAATGTGAGGCTGGAGGGAGACATGGCTGACCATTTCAGGACATCCTCTGTAGTGGATGCAGCCAAGAGAAGCTGAACACTGACTGCCAACACACACACACACACACACACACACACACACACACACACACACACACCATATCTTCAGAGGTCATCATTTTAGATGGAAACAGACTACACATGAAAAAGCCTCTTTACCAGTATAGTACTATAGTCTACCTGGTAATTGACAATATCACCAATAGAGGATGCTCAGCGTTTTTAAATAATATTTCTTTTCTGAGAAGGTAAGTATATTCTTTACCATCTTTTTAGGATATCAGAATATGAGAATTACCAGGACCTTTGAAATATAATTTGACTTAGCTTTTTCCTATCTTATGTGAAAAAGTTTTGGGCCATGAAATATTAGTAACTGTTTCAAAAACAGAATAGCTATATTTCTGTGGTCAAATAATTTCATTATATCATAGGATAAACAAAGTGAAAAAGACTTTAAAAATTTATGAATTCAACTTAAAAAAACTTTTTTTTGCTGCCATACTAATATGAATTGAGATCATCCAAGGTAGTGTCTATTAAACTATAATGTGCATAGGAATCGCTTGAGGATTTTGTTCAAATGAACATTTTAATTCTGTAGTATGGGGGTGGGACTACAGAATTAATACAGATTGTGCATTTATAACAAGTAACTATGTAATGCCAATGCAGCCAATCTCGGACTACATTCAGAGCTGCAAGGCTCAGAAGAGCATGATGAAAATGGTTATCATCATTATAATGAAAATGGTTAATTATCATTTCTCAATTTAATCTGACCACGAAACTCCTTGTTAATATCCTGATGAACAGTAATGTTCCCTAGTACACAATCTGGGAAGTATTCATAAATCTAATCTCCTAGTTAAAGCTGGCGTCTGATAAATCTCTTTTACACCATTTCCAGTGCAATTGTATGTTTTGGCCTAATTCTTGTAAACATATTTTATTTCCCAGTTAGCATAATCTGAATGAATGAGATGTTCTGTATAATTAACTAAGGACAAGTCAATGAGGTACAGCACAAGGTTACAATGTGAAGGTGGATATTTCTATCAAGTAGGAAAGAGTTAAGTGCTGTGGAGAGCTCATTCTTTTTTCTGATAGAAAATAAATAACTAGAATTCCTCAGGGCAGAAACTAAACTCTAACAAGGAGAAAGAAAGGACATATTCCTACTTTCTCATCTGTGTAGGCATTCTGATTGATCCCTGGGGACTTTGCTTCATCTGGGCAACTCTAATTGGCCTCACTTGGAAATTCTTTTTTCCTCACCTGGAAGGAAAGTCAGATCTTAAAAGAAAAAGAAGTTTTTAAAGCAAATGAAAACAGAAACAGAAGAATGAGAGAATGAATGAGAAATCATTGTCATTTTCTTTAGAGAATGTGCACTGCTTCCTTATTTCCCATGATATCAAAGGATACAAAGTTTAGCTCAACTTGTTTCAGAAATACTCATGTATGATAAAAAAAAAAAAAAAAGAGAGGGCATCATATATTTGGCCTCCTTAAAGGATGGGTACTCTGTTGTGTATTTTATTGTTTTAGCAACTACATTAAAGATGTTGTTCAAAGAAGTCCTCTGCTATTTATTATTAAGTAGAGCATGAAAAGGATCCTTAAGTTCTAAGCTAAAATTATTGTCTCATTGACTTTGGTTGTTGTTGTTGTTTTTAACCCCAGAAGGGCAACAAAGAGAAAATGAGCCTCAGGGAGAAATGGTCAAGTTGTCATGTTTAGAATATGCCAGGGTGTTCAGTGAATTTCTTGAGTAATGGAAATTAATGTGGTTACTAATGATGTATTTACTGTCTAAAGCAACGTGGTTCCCAACCTTGGCCGCAGAGTAGAACTACCTGGGGAACTTTCAAAATTCCTGATGCTCAGGCCACACCCAAGAATGTTCAATTAGAAGCTCCAAGTGTGACTTCAAGCATCAGTGCTTTTTACAACTTCCCCGAAGATTTCAATTTGTAGTCAAGGAAAACTACTGGTAAAGGGAGATAAATTTGTATCACCTATTAAGTTACATACATAAAGGTAGTGTTAGGCACTGCTAAGCACTATTTGAATTATTTTATTTAATCACTTAAAATAAGACTATGAGGTAAACATGTATTATTATCCCCATTTGAGAGGTTACAAAACAGAGGCTGAAAAAAGTTAAAGAATTTATCTAATTTTACACATTTAGTGAGCTGGGGAAAAAACCTGGGTCTGGGTCTTGTCTCTCAACACGACACACCCTGTCTTTATAGTTCATGGAGACCATTACTTTCAGACAACAACCTGAGGGATGTTGTGAGATAATCATCTTGATCTTCTTTGGTACTTCTCTAATTAAGCCTCATTCCTTCATCTTCACATTTCAACTACTATGACTATTCATGTAGAACATAATTTCATAAAATCTCCATTTTCCCTGTAATTCATTGTGTCTTACAAAAAGCCTTCAAATGTCACTATAAAAGTTATCAATACCCAGGGATTCTGGATGAAGAGTTAAGTCTGCTCAAGTGTTATTTCAATACTCTAGTAGTTTCAAGTTTGTGTGATCTTAAAGTTAGTTCACATCACTGATGATTTTTCACTTTTCTTCTCCCAAATCTTACATATTAAATACATCTCTTTGTCTTTGCTTAAAAATAGGGAATAAAATATAAACTCTTATTGCGCAGTATCAAAAGAATTTCTTTAGCCTAATGAAGCATTGAGAGGAATTCTGGAGATTGAAGTGAAATACCACATTGCATATTCAATGCTAATTGTTCATCCTGAAAATGATGAGCACCAGAGAAGACTCTCATTCCTTATCCTGAAATGTTAACATAAATACCTTGAAACATCTAGTTTCTGTGCAATTTCTGTGATTTTAAAAAATCATACTATTTTGGCGGGATGTTACAATGTAAATGGCCTCTTCTAAAAAACTTGAGCAATTGTAGCTTCTGGTTATGCACCCTAGCTTATGTTCTGTGTTGGTTTTAAAATATGTCTTTCCAATTAATTTGGTCTTTAAGGTTGTTAACTGGCTTCTGTTATAGAACTCACAGCAAATCTCTGCCATCCAGCTATTTAAACACGTTAATAAAAAGGATATTCTAGAAGTGAACACACTTAGCTAATGACAGTTGCTTTGGTTGTTTAACTAGTGTCAGCATTACTGCAGCTCTGGGGCAGCAGCGGTGGGCAGCATGGCCGCTAATTGCATGATTTTAATTTATGCACCTGTTTGTTCACCAACTCCATTGCCATGTGCGGGGGGATGAATTGTATGGTGAACAGAAGTGTGCCAGCAGTAATTTTTTCTTTTGGCTTACTCCACTGTTCTTCCTTCCTGCTGTTGCTGCTTTCATCCTCAACCTGGATTCCAAGCCATCCTACTTAGCAGGCATTCACTTTAACAATTGGCCCTTTGCATGATTTAGATTTGGCCAGAGGGCTCAACTGTGGGAAGTAATGGCTGAGACATGAAGCAAGTTATTTTTAAGCTACTTACAACAAAATCCTAAGTATGCCACTGGTTGAAATATACTGACTTTGAGAAGAGGGCTTCTCTGCCACCACATTATATACTTTCTGCTGTAAAAGTCTGTTGAATGTTCCCAAACTTTTTACAGGGAATGACTAGTGGTTGTTGAGAGGAGAGAAGGGCAGTAAGAAAAATGACATATTCAAGCTATGGATGAATAACTGAAATCCAGGCAAGTTTTCTAAAGTTAAAAGAAAAACTAAAATTTTGAGAGTATAAAGGGGATCTGAAAGTTCCTCATGGGTGTCACTTCCTGTACCTGGAACCAGGTCAGCCAGCTTCGTGCTAAGAACTTCAACATCAACAGGGCCGGTGATACAAACGTGTGACCTTTGCCACTGTACAGGACCTAGACTCAGCAGAGTCCTGCACTTGCCTAATGCCCTAGAATTGCCTTCTTGAAATTATTAATAATTCTGAACAAGGAGCCTCACATTTTCATTTTACACTGGGTTCCACAAATTGTGTAAATATAAAGGACACTAAACAATCATCAGAATAAATTACAAATACAATGCCAGTTGATGCAGGTTTCCACACTGTTGATCCTTATATAGCTGGTGAAACAGAATGCACCTAGAGGTGGAAAGAAACTTTTAAGAGAAGCAAACGCTCTCCTTGTAATGGTTGACCTATTCGATGCTTACGTTTAGAGTGGACTTTTGCTTAATTAGTTGGCGATATTGTTGGGGGCAACATTAAAAATGTGTCAATCTTGAAGTCACAGTCAAAATTTTGAAGCTGAATAATATCAATGTATTATTTGCTGAGAAAAGTCAGGTTTTGGGAACTAATGTCTTGCTTAAAGATAGATGTTTTCTAAAAGAAACAAAGAGCAAGAGAAACAAGACTCTACCCTCAGCCACAAAGTGAAACAAATAAAATTTAAAGAAAATCACATTGAAGAGGCATCAGCTTTTTAGTCTGTGTAGGCACCTCCTCTCCAAGTCTAAGTCTGCCCATATTTTGTGTTTTTTATCTGTATTATTTTTTAGTGGAAAATTTGTCTTTGAAATATTTTCTTTCCTGGCAAACTGTTCTATAAATAAAAACAATATTGCAGTTACTACATAAGTACCTTTAAGTCACAAAAATAAGGTTCAGAAAGCAAAATTTAGTTCATGGACATCCAGCTAACCAGGGCCGTAACTGGGAATGGATGTAGGACTGCCTGGTCCCAAAGCAAGTGTCCATCACCATCAAGGGGAGAGAGAAGAATCACACTCCAAACCATGAAGAAGATAGAGGAGAGAGAGAAATTATAAAGAAAGAAACAAAATATGAAATATAAATAAAGAAATAATAAACAGAAGCCCCCAAGAAGGGAATTATTATAAAGAAGAAAATAATATATGAAAAGAAGACCAGATAGAAGTTATGATGAGGTAGAAGCTAAAGGAAACTTAGCAAATAATCATAAAGAAGAAGGAAATTGTGAAGAAATAAAAAAATAAACAGAAGAAAATAAGAAATTATTAAAAACTGAAAAGTTAATGCTAAAAAACTGAAAAGAACATAAAGAAAATAATTGTGCAGAAAGAAAAATATAAAGAAAAACACAAGGAAATAAGAATCTATGAAGAAGGAATGAGAGGTGAGAAGAAATTAAAAAATGAAAAATATTCTTTTAGGGGAAAAAAGAGAGGCCAAGAATAAAAAAACATGAATAAGTTTAAAATAACCAATGAATAAACAATATTTATACTCTGAGGATATAGAAAAAAACAAATCCTGTTTCTCCTGATATACTCTCAAACACAACACAATGCTTCTGACATTACACGGGTGGGGAAAATTCCAAGCAAGCAATCTATTTTGCAATGAACACCAGCTGAGTGTCCTCTAACTCAATTCAATTCTACAATGTCTACCTGGAGGTAGGGTTAGATTCCACAGGTTGGTCAAGAGCTCAGTCCCACAAGAGTGCCTCCTACTTGAGACAGGCATTGCAAGCTGTGCAGGTCTTCTAATGGATGGGTTATGGACTGGTTACAGATCAAAGTTTCTACTACCCTTTCTCTATGAGTTCTATGAGTTTGCTAGAGCAGATCACAAAACTGAAGGAAACACTTTATTTATGTTTACCTGTTTATTATAAATGATATTTTAAGGGATACAAATGAACGTCCCCAATGGAAGAAATGCATGGGCAAGGTATGGGGAAGGGGTGCAGGGCTTTCATGCCTTCTCTGGGCACACTGTCCTCCAGGAACCTCCACAGGTTCAGCTATCAGGAAGTTCCTCCGAAATATGTCCCTCTTTTTTTTTTTTTAATGGAGGCTTCATTATGTAGACACGATTGATTAAATCATTATTCATTTGGGATGAACTTAACCTTCAGCCCCTCTCTCCTCCCGGGAGGTTTGAGGGTGGGGCCGACTGGTCCAATACTCTAATCATGCCTTTTTATTTCTGGAGACCAGCCCCCTTCCTGAAGCTATACTGGGGCCTCCAGACACAAGTCATCTCATTAGCAAGCAGAAGACACTCTTCATTCCAGAGATTTCAAAGGTTTTAGCAGCTGTATGTCACAAAACAGGATGAAGACCAAATATATACTTCATAATATCATATATATAGGAGGAAAAAAAGCTAAGAAGGAAATTAAATTATGAAGAAAACAGGAAACTTTGGAAGAAAAAAAATTCCACAGAGAAAAAAGATTGACCCACCAATAGCTGAAATAAAACTCCTGATATTACTTTCACATTGATTCTTGTGATTGTGGGGATGCATTTCTACACAACCTACCTTCGGACACTGAGCCTATTCAGGGTTGGGAGATGGTCTCTTCTTAACTGGTTCTATTGATTGAGGGGCAGATCATCCCTCCAGGCTCCTCCAGGCACGTCCAAGCTCCACCAATGACCACCCCTAGCTCCCCTAGTTCATTCCATGCTCCCAAACCCCATACGCTTTCCCCCAAGGTCCCCCAGATCCTCCAGACTCCCCAGAACCCTCCCCCAGTGATCCCAATGCTCCTGTAGTATTTTCAGTAATCTCAGACCTCATCAGCTTCTCTCCAGGGTCCTCAAGGCTCACCTAGGAAAGCTGGGCCCCTTTATCCTTCTTTGTAGACCCTCCACTCCCCACAGCCTACCTTCAAGTCCCTCAAAGGGTCACATGATTCTCTTAGTCTTCTCTGGACTCTCAGGCTCCCTCTGGTGGCCCTGTCCCCTCAGCATCTATCACACCAAGGTGCCCCAGGCTCCCTTCCTGGACGCAGGCTGGCTACCTAGGTCTTCCTGCCCTCTCCAGAAAATGTTGCAAGAGGAGAAGGGCAGGAAGAAAGGCTCACTCTTCCCTCAGTGCCTATTTGCGCCTGGGATATGGAAAGAAAAATGTTGAGTGGTTGCTGGGGCCTTATTTCTCCCAGAGGCTGTATTCTCATTTCTGTCTGGACAGGGTGTGTTTTCCTGAATCCCCTGGAAACCACTCCCATGGAACAAAGCATTAAGGAGCTGAGGACCAGGGGGACCTGGGTCACAACGTCTTCATGCATCTATAGTGAGACTTTTCATATTTTTTTCCAAATATCTTATATATTCTGTGTGTGCTAATATGTTAAATACAACCACTTAAAATACAACTTAGTTATTGTGACTCGATGTTGGGGTTATTTCTTCATTTTTAAACTTCTATTGAGTACCTCAAGGAAATTTTTGGCCATTCTCCTCATCTGAGTGACTCCACCAGCAAATTCCAGCATCTGATTACCACCAATTCACCCTGAAAATGGCTAGTGCTTCTCCACTCACTCATTTATTCTTTCTCGCAAAGGTTGTGTACTGAGAGCATGCTGTCAGCAGCAGTAACGAAGACAAGGAAGGGTGTGGCTGGCGTCTCTAAACACGTGGCCTGGTGGTTGAGACATGCAATCGCCATGCACTGCGTGAAGAATAAGGGGCTCTCAGGGCTTTGTGGGAGCACTTAGAAGGGAAAGCCAGCCCGGACTTCCCAAAGCCTCATGTCTTCCCAGAGCCAGAGGTGTTGAGTCTGAGATCTGAAAGCTGAGTAGGCATTCCACATGGAAGGGGGTGGGGCTGTCGCAGGTGAGTGAAAAGATGCACAAGACTCAGACCTAAGAGAGACTATGACCCCTGAATTACTCATCACATGTGGGCTTTGGATGTTGATTGTGAGGTTAGAAAAAAATCAGGGTTGCAATCTTGTGTGTCAATCTAAGGGGGCTTGGCCTTATTTGAGGGCAATGGGGACAATACCAAACACATTTCATTTTAAGTCAGGAATTAACAATATTCTCAACTCTGCAGCTCCCAACTCTGGGCTTAGAGTAATAATTATAAAGAGTAATGGCTATAAAGTAATATAGTGGGCTATTGTATTCAATCATTCACAAAGTTGCATTGAATGCCTTCTCTGGGATAGAGGCTATGCTCAATATCGTGATTGCAATGGTGTTCAAAAGGAGTCCTTCCTTATACCCTGGTGCTGTTGCAACGCAGGTAGCTACTGGACCTAGTTAAAATGGAAGAAAAATATAGCCCTCTGAATGTCTTGGTGCTGATTGCCCCAGCTGGCTGTCAGTAGCCAATTTTGCTATTCTGTATTGCACAGATCAATGGGAACCAGGGGACCCAGAGCCTTAGTTACCATAGCTCAGAATAAAGCGAAAGACAAATGGTATTCCCTGCTGCCTTTTTCAGTATGAAGAAAATTTCCAGTGCCGAAGAACAGCTAAATGATTCCTTTTGTGTTTGCCTGACTGTGGACAGCAGTGACCAAAGCTGTGAAATCAAGTCAGAGAGAAACAGGCAGACTCACCAGTGAACTAACAAAACATTTACAAGGGGTGCCGAGGACATGGCACATTTCCAGCACCATATGGAATCTTTACATTTTACCCAACAGGGAATATTTTCTACTCCCTGAAGTGTTCTGTCCTTTATTTCCTTTTGATCTGACTTTGACTTTGGTAACTCAACTTTCGTAGAAGTCCTGCTACATTCTGTATTTTCTCAGATCTTTCTCCTGGAGTCACTGGGTAAAAAGGCCCAACGCATATACAGGAAACCAATTATACTATACTTGTATGGATTTCTACTCTGCTTATAATATTCATAAAGATATATTAACTTTAAGAGAGCTCTACTTATTTAATGCAAAAATATTTAGGCATACATACTATAATGATACATAAGGTAATATTGGACCCTTAGATTGCAAAGAAACTTTTTCAGACTTGTAAAAAAGAGAAAAGTCATCATATGACTGTGTAAACAGACTAGTAACTAAAACATAAGTCCAAAAGGATTTTGGGGTTTCAAGTTTCAAAATGGTATTTTCATGATGATTTTGGTGCTAGCACAAAGCAATCTGGATATGTATATTTGCATGTGTGTATGTGTGTGTATATTCTGAGTACAACAATTTCTCAAATTGTAAAATACTAGCTCTTTTCATTCTAAGCAGTGAGGACAGTGGGTAAATTATATGACAAGTTGAAGGGAAAATATATTTCATTTTAACAAAAAACAGAAATTGCCATCTTTACACTCAGTGAATAAATCTGGATTTCAAAAACAAATTATCTACAATTTGCTTTGCTTGAGTTACGAGGATATTGAGAGAGTGAAAAAAATCAAACTGGATCTTACTGCTATTTATTAATATTCCAGATATTGAGAGAAAGATATTTTTGTCAGAATCATACTGCTATATCTTGATTATCTGGTGAGTAGACCTAATGTTGCATTGACTAAATATTTAAGTCCTCCATTTACTAAAATACATTATTTTTCTGTGTGGCATATGCAAATTATTCTTTTCAAAGAATAATTATTTTAATAATAAAAAATCATAATTATAATGACAACTGGTAGTGACTTCTATAAATTAATCATTTCAAGTCTACTATATTATCTTAGTTACTCAAAGGACTAAATCTTGATTTCTACGAAAATGGAAAACATTATTTTTTTGAAAGCCTACTCTGAGAACATTTGCCAGCTTGTCATATCCAGAAAAGTCAGCCCTTTAAAAGCCATACCTAGAAATACCAGTTGATTATTAAATCCTCCTAACTTCAACTTCCTACCCTTTGTTTTGCTACACTTCTTTAATAAAGATATTTATCAAGAAAGTGTCTTTCTATGGTTTACTGTATTGATGAAAATGAAATCTAGAAATAAAGATACTTTTGTGTCTCTCTGTCTTTTTTTGTTTAATGTGGTTAGTTGATCTATAGTAAAACATACAGATACTAAGTATACACTTCAGTTATATATGTGTGTGTGTATTTATATATGCACCTGTTACCATCGTTAAAATTAAGATATAGAAATTCTCATCGTCCCACAATGTTTTCTCATGTTCCTTATTGGCCAATCTTAACCACCTACAGAGGTAACCTGTAGCTTTAATTCTTTTACTGTAGATTAATTTTGCCTGTTTTTGAAGTTATATATATATATGGAATCTTAGTGTATGTACCGGTTTGTGTCTGGCTACTTTTGTTTAAAATAGTATTTTAAAAAGTGATTCATGTTGTGTGGTTGAGAAATGTATTCTTTTTATTCCTGAGTATTCCATTTAATGAATATACAATTTATCTATTATATTGATGGAAATTTGGGATATTTCAAGTGTTGAGCTATTATGAATAAGACTCTCATCGACAATGTTATATAATTTATTTTTGAGATGGTGTCTCAGTCTGTTGCTCAGGCTGGAGTCCACTGGTGCGATCTCAGCTCAATGCAATCTCTGCCTCCTGGATTCAGGTGATTCTCCTGCCTCAGCTTCCCAAGCATCTGGGACTACAGACGCGTACCACCACACCTGGCTCATTTTTGCATTTTTTAGTAGAGACAGCTGTTGTCTCTACCATGTTGCCCAGGCTGGTCTTGAACCCCTAGCCTCAAGTGATCCACCCACCTTGGCCTCCCAAAGTACTGGGATTACAAGCGTGAGCCACCATGCCCGGCCTACAATGTAAATCTTTTATGAATGTATGCTTCCAATTTTCTTGGGTACCTAACCATTAATAGAAGTAGAATTGTTGAATCATAAGGTGTTGGGTATTTAACTATGTTAGAAACTGTCAAACAGTTTTGTAACATGATTGTATCATTTTACATTTCACTTTTCTTACCCAAGACATGCAGTTTCTCATATCTTCCTCAACACTTGCAATTGTTAGACTTTTTACTATTAACTATTCTAGTGGATGTAAATTGATGTCACATTTTGGTTTTAAAATGTATTAGCATTGAAACGAATAATATGAAGTGTTTATTGGGTTTTCATCATCTCCTGTGAAGTATGTATTCACAAGTGTTTTTAACTTTTTAACTTGAGTTATTGTCTTCTTGTAATTCATTCGTATCCTGGATAATAGTCCTTTGTAAGATACATATTGCAAACATTTTCTCCTAGTTTGAGATTTACCCTTTCGCATTACTAACTATAACTTTTGATGAGCAAATATTTCATTTTTTTGAAGTGTAGTTTGTCAAATTCTCTTGGCTGGCTATTGTTTAAAGAAATATTTAAATAATATATGCCTATACTATAATTATAAAGGCATTCTTCCATGTTTGTTTCTAAAAGCTTTATAGACTTAGCTTTCATGTTTGGGACTATGATTAACCTAAAATTAATTTTTTATGTCTGATGTAAAGTAAAATTCAAGTTCTTTCCCCTCAAAAGAAGTTGCTGTGGCATCAACTGTTGAAAGAACTTTTCATTTAGACATAGAAATGCATTGATTCTTACATCAAAATTCAAGTTACCTTATATAGGTGTCTGTTTCAGTACTGTTGATTATGTGCCTTCATTTATTTGTGTACCCTTTCATGAACAGCATAATGTCTAATTTTTATAGATCCAAAATGAGTTGTAACATCAGTTATAGTAAGTCCTTTGAGTTTGCAGTACTTCTTCAAGATTGCCTTAGATATTCTAGGTCTTCTTGTTCTTTTCATATGCTTGTTACAATGAACTTGTTCATTTCTATTTTTAAAAAGTCTTTTGGAATTTTTATTGGGTCTTATTGATTCTGTAAATCAATTTGAGGAGAATTGGTATCTTAATATTGCACCTTCTAACTCATGGCCAGGTCAATTCTGTATTTGTTTTGTTCTTCTATCAGTACTGTTTTGTAGCTTTCAGTATAAATGTCTTTCACTAAAAATGCCTTCTGCACATTTCATTAGATTTATTCCTATAATTTTTGTTTCTTTTTAGATTTCACTGTAAATGGTGTTTAAACAATTTTATTTCCCAACCATTTGTTGATTGTTCATGTGTGTATGTATGTATTACATTGACCTTGTGTTCTGTACCCATGTCAAATTCACTTATTAGGTCTGTTATTGTCTTTGTGAATTCCTTTACATTTATTAAGGTACACAGTGCTGTGATCTATCCATTATTTATGCCTTTTATTTATTTTCTTTTATATTGTATTCAGCAAGATCTCCAGTACAGCGTTGAATAGAAATTGTTTGAGAAAACGCCTTTGTGTTGTTCCCGATCCTTTTAGAAAAGCATTTGAATTCTCGGAATCAAGTATGATGTTGGCTTTAAGATATTGGTAGATGCACTATATCTTAAAGATGTTCTATTTTTTTGTTTGCTGAACATTTTTACTTAGTATTGTTCTATGGTGAGCAAGCATATGCAAACCTTCCCCCAAAAGGCCAAGGAAGCTTTGGGGACAAAGAAAGAGCCCGACATTCCCAGTTTCTCAGAAACCTTGAATACAGATTTACAAGCAGAAGCAATAGTCTAGGGCAGCCGAGAGACCAGTTCATGGATCCATGTGCTTACCACCAAGATCCAGGGCTTATATATCATAGACAAGAAACGTGCAGGGCAACTGAAGTCAACTCCCCAAGAAAAGGCAAGAAAGTTATGTGAATCTGCCTGAGGGAAGGACTTGTGGTCTTATGGTCAAGGTTGCTTTGACAGAAGCATAGGATTTACGGTAATAGTACATAAAGTAGAAAGCTGAAAAGCATTCCCAGAACAGAGGTTAATCAGAAATCAACATGGTGGATTAGCATCCAAGGACATTCCTTAGCCTCACAAATATAAATATGTGTTGAATTTTATCAAATGTTTTTTTAGCATCTATTCAAATAATATGGTTTTTCTCTCTTTTTTTTGTTAATGGGGTGATTACATTGACTGAATTTAAAATATTCAATCTTGCATTTTTTGTTTGGTTATAGTGCATTATTCCATATATTCCATAGATATATTTATGATATATATGTCTGTAGATACTACGTGCTTATAATTAAAAAAATTTGTATCTATGTTCATGAGTGATATTGGTATGTAGTTTTTTCTTTTATATCTATATTATAGTACATATATTTATATCTGTTTATCAACACTATATATAAAAAAAGATTTATTTTTATATATAGCAGAAAGTATATGTATTTCTCTCCCCTTTAATATCTGATATAATGACCTTATCAAATGAGGTGGGAAATGTTCACATAAACTCTGTTGTCCGAATACAGTTACAACTGGTATTATGTCTTCTTTAAATGTTTGATTGAATTCACCAATGTAGTCATCTGTGCTCACAGGAAAAACAGAGAGAGGGAGGGACCCAGCCACAGGAAAGATGGGAACCAAAGCAGCTCAGAAGTTCAGAGTGCAGATCTTCATTGCAGGAAGTCTTTGGCAGTCTCAAAACCCAAAATAACTCTCCATCCAGATTTTTAATTGTGTGTCACTTTGCTCAAGACCCAACTTTCAGGGAAAACAAGTGTCATCATTCATGTCTAGGTCAATAGCCCACACTGATTGGCCAGAAGTTAGGATGAAGAGGCAAGTCACTGCAGTTGACATTTCCAAAAGGGATACACTGAAACATAGAGGGGCAGTTCCCCAGAGAAAAGTAAGTGCCAGGCCGGGCGCGGTGGCTCACGCCTGTAATCCCAGCACTTTGGGAGGCCGAGGCGGGTGGATCACGAGGTCAGGAGATCGAGACCATCCTGGCTAACACGGTGAAACCCCGTCTCTACTAAAAATACAAAAAATCAGCCGGGCGTGGTGGCGGCGCCTGTAGTCCCAGCTACTCGGGAGGCTGAGGCAGGAGAATGGCGGGAACCCGGGGGGCGGAGCTTGCAGTGAGCCGAGATGGCGCCACCGCCCTCCAGCCTGGGCGACAGCGAGACTCTTGTCTCCAAAATAAAATAAATAAAATAAAATTAAAATAAAATAAAATTAAAATTTAAAAAAATAAAATAAAATAAATAAAATAAAGTGCTTTTACTTTTACAGAGAGAAGAGAAATGCATGAGAAAAAGAGAAAGAGTAGGTGGGTAAAATGGTGGGTGTTCATTATAATTATCACTTAGTCTTCAATTATTTTATGATGTTTAGCTTTTATGATTAGAGAATCTGAAAAGAGGATTGAAATCTAGTTGTTAGGAGAAGAGATTCATTTCTTTAAATCTATACTAAGATGTTAATAAAACTCCAGTCTTTTCCAGAAGCCGTTTTTGATGAGAGACATTTTTGGTTTCCTGAAGAAGGTACACTAGCAATAACTATCTTTCTTGAGTACATAGGTTTCCCTTAACAACATGTATTTTTTAAACCTCATAGGAATCTACAAGGGTTTTAATTGCTCAAGTTACTGGACTTAAACCTCCAATCACTTTCTAGCTATTGTTGTAAATAATAATCTTCATTAATGCAATGACACCGAACACTAATCTTTTAATTTATAGTATGAGGTACAAGTAAAGCATAAAGACAGTAACTCAATAGAAAAAATAAAAGAAAAAATGTCTTGACAATATAAAACCTT
This sequence comes from Homo sapiens, assembly GCF_000001405.40. Classification (NCBI taxonomy): domain Eukaryota; kingdom Metazoa; phylum Chordata; class Mammalia; order Primates; family Hominidae; genus Homo; species Homo sapiens. The sequence goes on along the minus strand of NC_000003.12, from coordinate 1,431,962 downwards.
ACCTCTAAGGAGAATCTCACACATTATTTGAGATACTTAGTATTTTCACAACATGCATGAGTGCTAGATCTTTAAAAATCTCATATAGTAAGTGGAATTTTAACTCTCTTCCTTAGTTCTTTCTCTCAGGGACTATAAATCAACTTTTTCCACCAAGTAATAGAAAAGAGTCATTTATTTTCTTATGCAATTTGTATTGTACAACTTTATAAGAAATGTGAATTAATCGCCCTTACACAGCGAATAAAAAAAAAAACTTACTGGTAATAAGGAAGAGAGTTGGCGATGTTAACAAAGACTGTCCTGATGTTTGAATGTAATTGTTCAAAGTTCATGTGTTGTGTCAGTCATGCACTTAACTGGTTCTGAGTCCACGATTCAGAAAAAATTCCCTGTGGGTCTAAAAAATGCATATTGTGGGCAAATATAGACGAATAAAACATTTATTTGGTGTCCCAGAATCATAGAATTTATGAGTGAAAATGGATCCCAGAGATCATTTTAGCTAAATCTTTCATTTCATCAATGATAAAATAAATCCTGCAATATTAGATGATATTCCTATTTTACTCTGTTTGCTACTGGATTAAGAACCAAGAACTTTAGATTCTTTCTATAATATTCTTTCCACCCCAACTCTGTATGGATCATTAAATAATAAAAATGACATTTATTTTTACATGATTTTTTAACATGATAAGCAAGGTGCTAAATGGTTTATATAATTTTCCGAATTAATTCTCATCATAACCCTATGAGGTAAGAATCTCAAGTTTATAGATAAAAATATTCCTCACTCTCCTTTCTTCCTCCAAATGCAGTTCCTCTTCCAGGATCTAATGTCGTTCATTGTTTCCCACCGTCTTATCTTTCTTACTCTAGCTGAAATTTATCTCTTCTTAGTTTGATCGTCCATGAAAAACTCTTAGCAAACTGTGTTATCTTTTCACATGAGGTTGTAATATGGGGACAGCATACCATTCCATCTTGTTATGGGACAGTTCATTTTTCTATCAGCTACAGTGTCAACTTTCTGAGGGGGCGATGACTGTTTTGTACATGGTTTTGCTCTGCACCATGCCCTCCCTACACATACATGGTAGACGATTGGCAAATCCCTCTTGTGCAATTGACTTAACAGGTAGCATTGGCTAGAAAGTCAATGAAATTGAAACTTGTCTTTTAAACATAGTTAGTGGATGTTATCATCTTTCACATATTTGATATTTAGCTCAGCATGAAAGGGGTTGAGTCTCAAAGTCGGCTCCAAGAACAAGGAAAAGACAATTTGGGGTGGAGTAGGTTGGGAGAGAGGTTTACTAGTCAATGCTGGTGATCATTAAAAAGCAAAACAGAACTACAGTTTATGGGCATGGTTTTGAAAACTACATTCTAGAGATCTGGGTAATATTGTACGAATCACTTAACCTCTATCACCTATTTCCACCTACGTGAACTGGGAAATCACTGATCCTAAGTCTGATTTCAGTCACACAACCAATTTTTGTCACCTTGAATAATTTACTTATCTCACTAGATCTTAGTTTCCTTGGCTGTTCCATGAGGAATGTGGACAAGTGAGCCCAGCCTAGCATGGCTCTTTCCAGCTTGCCTTCACACAAACCAGGCACTTCACTGAACAGGAACCCTAGGATCAGAGCTTTGGTTTTCAGCCTTTTTCTTCAGCTTCACACCTGGCCCTACACTGCTTCCAACCTTTTTGGTTATCATTACTGTTGCTTGTTTTCTCATTTTGGAATACAATGTTGAAGCATGGCCAGTCATAATTGGTACCGAATTAAAACATAACAGAGTGAGTGACTTTGTTCCAGGATGTTTTCAGAACTTTAGACGTGGAAGCCAATATATAAGTACAATCTTTTTAGCAGCCACTTACTCTCATTTCTTCAAGAAAAAAAAAAAGCCTCTGAATTGAAGTTACTTTCATATATCAACTTGCAGATTGTCTTGCAACAATCAGGACTTGATAGAAGTAAGTGGCTTACCATGTGAACTAATATATCGTGGAGCCAATAGGGAGATAAAATTTGCCAAGTGAGTAGGAGTTCTGTTTTAAGTATAATTAAGCCTTCTTTCATTATTATAACATATTTATGCCCTCAGAACCCAATGAAAACCTAAATCATTTGTCATGCACTGATTTGGACCATGGCAGAACAATGTCTCTGCTCGCCATTCCCATCTTATGTCCGTTAAACATTCTAATGATTTTATTGTCTTTTTCCCCCTTCTCTGTGATATTTAGAGAAAGTGTTCTGCTTGGACTTCAGTTTTCAAACCTTAAACTCTGAAGACAGATGAGCTGTTGAACAATAAGACATCTGGTAGACAAAGATGCTGCTAGCCAGGGAGTCACCATGGAAACCACCTAAAACATGGATTTCGAAGATGAATAACTCTGAGTTAATTTCTTCTCAAGGTTGTGGCATTTTGGTTCATCAGTTCACATGTTGAGATGTGTTTTAGAGGACAGGCTGTCAGAGACACAGAAGTTTCTCCCTAACATGTTTTATTGTAGCGTAAAATTCAGAACAAGTCAGATCCAAGTCATACCCTTTCAAGGGAAATTAGTTATGAAAGTAAGAAAAAAAAAACAACAAAGAAAATATTCCAAACACAAAAAAATCCCTGCTAAAATGTCATCATGTCTGACCTGGACATTGAACCACAAAGTAAACCCCAAGAAAATTATTATCATGGGATGGCAATGGTTTCTGTCACTTCAGGTTTTATATCATGGAATTTCTACATGTAGTGAATCATCAGATAGAGTCACCTTTCCCACTCTCCCTACACATTAACCCGCAAGCTGTAGGTCAAATCTAGCTACAGATCATTACATCTATTTTCTGTGTATCCTATATAAAGTGTAATCAATGGCAATGATTTTAAAGTTTAGCAATGAGTTGTAATTTAAGAAATATGGTGAGTCCCTTTAAAAAACTGGAAGGTTGTCAGTTGGAATATAATTGGTGAATAAGAAATGAATGAGCTAGAAGGGACCTTGACGACTCATCTAGTCCGGCAGGAAGCCTTTAACTTGCCCTCCAGCAGTTAAATGTCTGAGCCATGTAGGACAGATAGATGCCTGTTCTCATCTTGAAGTTCTCCTGGGAAGGAGTCTCAAGAACTTAATTCAATAATCCTTGCTGGGGTTTTATCACCTTGACAATCTTAGAAATTCTTCCTTAAATTGCAGAAATCTCTTCTGTAACCGTTTTTTTTTTTCTAGGTGGTGAACACAACAGAAAATGGTAAAGTGTTCTGAGCCTTTCTAAGAAACATTGCTCACATATGCAGGTTGTTGCATCTTGATAGTGTCTGAGTAAAATTACAACCATTTTCTCATGTTTTGACTGCATACGACTTATTTCTAGGTCCTTTGGGATTACTTTTCCCCGATCATAAAGTTTTGAAATAGGAAATAGCTTCCACCTAAGTTGCAAGGAAAATCATAACAACAGTTACATGTGTATGGTACTTTGCAATATTCAAGTCATTTCATATGCATTATTTCATTAGATCCACAACATCAACCCTGGTAATTAAGCAGAGAATAAAATTCTCAATTGTATTTTCAGGATTATGTAAACTAAGTATTCAAGTGGACTAAAGTACTGGTAAATAAACCCAACGGAAAACATTGGGCCTCCGAAACATACCAGACACACAGCTGTATGTTCTGCTTTATTATTTTAGGTATTTTTACCTGCCTAAGCTACTTATCAGAGACTATTATCTGCATTTTCCAGTTCAGGAAATTGATTTTATTCTATTTATGATAAGCAGGTCCTCAAATAACTTTGTTTCTTTCAATGTTATTTCCTTATAACGTTGATGATGAAAAAATTGATTCCCGCCAGGGCCACTGTGTTTATGGAATTTGCATGCTCTCCTCATGTCTATGTGGGTTTTATCAGGACCCTCATGTCTCCCCCTACAACCCCAAAATGCATATGTTCAGTTCATTGCTGTGTCCAAATGGTCCCAGTCTGAGTGAGTGCGGGTGTGTGTGAGTGTACCCTCCAATGGGATGGCATGCTGTCCAGGGTCCTGTTCAGGGTTGGTTCCCATCTGGTTCCCTGAGCTGCTGTGATAGGCTATGACCACCCGAGACCATGAACTGTTATGAATAAGTGGGTAAATAATGACCTTACTGATTAATTAATTATTAACTGAGACAGAGTCTTGCTCTGTTGCCCAGGCTAGAGTGCAGTGGCATGATCATAGCTCACTGCTGTCTTGACCTCCTGGGCTTAAGCAATTCTTCTGCCTTGGATTCCTGAGTAGCTGGGACTATAGGTGCACACCACCATGCCTGGGTAATTTGTTTTTTATTTTTATTTTTGCAGAGAAGTGGACTATTAGGTTGTCCAGGCTGATTTCGAACTCCTGGCCTCAAGTGATCCTCCTGCCTTGGCCTCCCAAAGTGCTGGGATTACAGGCATAGGCCATCATGCCTGGCCTTTAATCTTTCTTAAATATATGTGTAGCTCACATTTATTTCAATGTTTAATGTTAGAAGTGTTTTGGGTATTCATTTTGATGTTTGGTGATATGTTTGTGATCAGAAATATGCCATAAGAACTTACCTTTTTTATATCAATTAACCTATGATAAAACTGGTTTCATTATAGGTCATTTCACTTAAAGTTTCAGTTTCCAAGAATATGTCAACAATGTTAAGTGAGGACTTGCTGTATATGTTTTTCCAGAGGTCATATAGCTGGTAAGTAGCTGACCTGGGGTTGGAACATATGCCTCCTCAATTTCAGGGATTTTCCTGCTTTTAAACAATTGCTTCTTTCTTGGTATTCACAGAGGTAAAAAATATCACAAAGTATCAAAGTACCATGATGATTATATTAGGTAATGTTTGAATTAATGTTTAAAACAATACATGCTACAAAGTAAGTGCTCAATTAATTTTAGCTGTTATTAGTATTGGGGTTAGCTATAAAATAGAGAAAACAGCCTGGGTGCAATGGCTCATGCCTGTAATCCCAGTGCTTTGGGAAGCTGAGGCAGGAGAATTGCTTGAGCCCAGGAGTTTGAGACCAGCCTGGGCAACATAGTGAAACTCCGTCTTTACAAAAGATTTTTTTGAAAATTAGCCTAGCACGGTGGTGTGCTTCTGTAATCCCAGTTACTCGGGAGACTGAGGAGGGAGGATTGCTTGAGGCTGTGAGGTTTAGGCTACCGTGAACTGAGATAACACCACTGCTCTCCAGCCTGGGTAACAGAGTGAGACTGTCTCAAAAAGAAAAAAATAAAAGAGAGAGAGACAGAGAGAGAGAGGCAGAAGTCAAGCAGTTTGCTTGGGATAACCAAAACTAATATAAAGTGGTTATATCTAATGCAAGACCAGTAACTCTTTACTACAACTTTTTACTAAAAAAGTACTTACGATGCAAGTCGTGTTACTTAGAAAAAACCTTCAGATTGACTTAGAAATCTGGAAACCAACAATACAACACAAGAAACAGCCAGGACCTGAAGAAATTTTGCTACTTGCTGATAATCAGGAATCTATATTTCTGAGTGTAGTGTTGAAAATAAATTAGAAAGATTATCATAGTGGACACTAGATACAAATGTCTACTGCTACAAATGTCTAATATTTCAAAATCAGTCCTTTGATTTTCTCTCAGAGAGAATAATGAATAATTTATTTATCTCTTGACTATGAACATTCGTTATATGATGCTTCTGAAATAAAGACTTCTCACTTTTCACCTCTTTGCTTCTAAAAGTCCTCAATCTCATGCCATAGGAGATTCTTTTTCTTAGCATTAAAGATCTACAAGCGCATTATTTCTTTCTTACTATTTCCAAAAGTATGGCACTGCCCTTGCTCCTAGTATTAAACATGTAAACACCCTGTTTATACTGCATCTAGTTGGAGCAGTAGATCAAGATGTAAAGGTTTTGGGTCCTAGTTCAGCTTTGGAACTTATTTGTTTGATGATCAACTCATTTAAATAATTTCCCAATTCCCTTACCAAACATTATTTCCTTCTATATACAGGGTTGTATGAATCAGATGAGTTAATATAAATGAAAGCACTTTGAAAATTAAAGTGTTATTCCCTCCAAAATATAGAGTTTTACCAATATAAAGCATTTCTTTCTGTGCCTTTAATTTATAAGGATCTTCATAGCTTTTAGATAAGTATGTTTTGTTGACTGACCAGAATGTACTACATCATTTTTCTTTTTTCCCTTTCTCTTATTTAATACCTTCTTTGTAAAACTCTTACACGTTTTAAGTCCTGAGTCAAATGTTTCTTCCTCTGGGAATACTTGTTCAAATTTCCAAGGTTGAGATGGTCACCTTCTCAATCTGTGTTCTCACCTCTGGTTTAACAATTATCCTGCTTCAGGTTAAGTCAGGTATTTAAATACTCATTTCATCTACTGCATTGATCACGTCACACAGATGATGTCACATTCCCCTCAAGTACATCATCAAACAAAAAATCCTAAAGTTACAGGAGCTTATAAGAAATCATTAGAAACTCTTAATACTGTACCCATCTTCAGGAACAAACATTTCAATTATTTACCTCACCCTCACTGCTCCGGTAGACATTTTGGGACAATTGATACTTCTCTCAAATGATTCCATACACAGGTTATCACAGTCACATGTAGGCATCCAGTCATTCTCCCATTGCCTCCCTGGCCAGGTTGCCAAGATCCTCACCCACTCAATGAGCTCCGAGCACTTCCTCAATGGGCTGCCCAGGTAATGCCACACCTTTTGCAGTCAGATAGATTTAGGTTTGAGTCTTGACTCTTTCATCTGCTTTTATAAAACGTTGAACACATTGACAACTTTGAGTCCCTGTTTCTACATCTGTAAAATGGGAATCAGAACACCAGTATTTTGGGGGTATATATATGTGCATGCGTGTGTATGTGTTTTACATACGTTGTCTCAGTGGTAAGAGTTACCTACTGTCTCCATTTTTAAGCTGGAGGAATGGAGGCTCAGAGTTTTTAAAGTTCTTTGCCCAAAAGCCTAGAGACAAGATTTTAACTGAAAACTATTATAAAGTTATTTGAAACAGTAAGTATTATGTATCCTCATAGGCATAGAATCCAGTGGTTAGCTGTGGGTTCTGGAATATGGGTGCTATGGTGTGAGTCCTGACTCCTTCACACTAGCTGCAAGACATTGAGGAAGTTCATGTAACTCTATAAACTTCTATAAGATATGGATATGATAATAGCTACAATCTCAGAGTCTTGGAATGATTGAGTGCTATAATCAAGGTAAACCTTTTAGTATAGTGTATTTTACATTCTGAATAAGGCCTTTTATTATTATTTCTATATGTTGCTCTGCTAGTTCACCTTCCCATATCTTGTTCATTTTTCTTCTCATAGAAAAATGGCTTTTAATTCCTTAGACTAATACCTTTAGATAAAGAGAGAGAATCATGGTATCATACCTCTCAGGGAGGAGACAGGGTATTTTTAAACATTGTTCTTTCCAACCTACACCAAAGGCCCATCCGTCTTCCTAGAATTCCTCCAACTTTGTGCAGATTTGGCTAGTCACAAAAGCTACCTTCCTCTAAGAGGCCTTGCTTCTCTTGAAATTGAAAAGAGGATGTCTATGAGAATGATAATACACATGGAAAAGATTATGGACCATGTCTCAAAGGAAAATATCTCTTTTATTAAAAACAGATTAAAGGGAAGAAAATCAATCTTGCAAGATCATGAAAATCTGGGAAAAGCTAAAGTTGATTTATTTATTTAAGATTTATACCCAGCCTACTTCCATAAGGGATTCAAGGTGGTGGCAGACTAGGCTAAAATCATTTGCTTGTACTATGTTTCAGACTGGAATTAGAAGTTCGTTTTCTAGCAGATGAAGTTAAGCTGATTATAGCAAATGAGCTATTGAAAATCAATACCATGAAACCATTCCATTAGTACCTGCACAATCATCCCAGGATTATAAGTAATATTTATATTCTCAGACACTGACGTTTTCAGGAAATGAAATGCACAACACTTGCATGGGGCACAGCCACCTGTGGTGGCTTGGCTCTGATGATTAAACTATGTTGCTAATGAGGCCAAGGCCATAGGCTCACTCCCTACATAGCCCAATTATCTTCCCTCTGTTCTGAAGCTATGAATGGAACCAGCTTCCTGCAGTGGCTCTCTTATTTTAATGTGTGGGGGGTCACTGCACATAGGAGAGGATGGATTTTGACAAATGCATCCCCTCTGTTGGACAAGCCCCCTTCCCACCCCCCACCCCCAGCCAAGTGCGTGGTATGATGGCTGTGCTTTTTCTATGAAAGGGATTGGGCACACACACACACACACAGACACAGACACACACACAAACTTAAACACGCACACATAAACACACATACACACATGCATGCACCATCCAGGGAGAGGCAGACTGATGCAGGGAAACAATATGTGGAGGAAAAAGATCGATTTTTATTTAGTCAGAGGACAAAGCAAGTTCTAATTTTGACCTATACTGGCAGCAAGGCCTTGGGTAGGTAACTTGCCTCAGTTACAGAAATGGACAATATATTCACCATAGAGGAATGGGGAAGTACCAAATGGGGCAATAAGTGTAAAGCCCCTGTTGTGTTAGGCACACCAATGATAAAGAACAATTTAATTTATTTTATATACTAGGTATTCAAGTAAGTTTTTACACTCATTGTCTCATTTAATCTTCACAATAGCATATGAAGTTGATGTCATTGTTATTCTTTCTTTTCATAGTGAAAGAAAACAAGATTTGTAGGTTACAAGTTACTTGCCTCATGCCACACAATGAGAAGACATCATAACTAGCGTCCAAACCTAAGATGTACTGTGCCATATCTATGCTATCTCTCCAAAGGAAGAAAAAAAAGTTTCTATTATCATCATAGCCTCTATAACTGGCCTTTAACAATGTGGTCCGTGCTCTGTCACAAGAATATATTTTCATCTGCTCTGTGCTGCCTGTTACTTCAGCACAAATCCTTAAGTTAGTATTGCTCCTGTCATACTCAGGAATCTGCTAGAGTCACTTCGGATGATATATTCCCTCAGAGACCTATGTTAACATAAATTCTTTATCTCTGGAGCCTCTTACAGGAAACGTAAATGTTAAATATAGAAAGTATAGTGAAAAAGAATCACAGGCTACTTCCCCCTCTATTTGTGAACATCTACTTTTACTCCTGGGGGTCTACAAGATGGATTTCTAGAGTAGATTTACTATGAAACTGCACAAACATTAGGCAATGACCTATTAGGAAACTACACCAATGATTTGACATCTCTACATTTGAAGGCCAAATAAGTTACATTCATTTGATGGTGTCAAAATATGCTTTTACTAATCTGACCTTTATTCCCTGAGAGAAGAAATTACAGCTTCAAAACACCTTTTATGGAATGGACATCCAGAGATTCCTAAGTTGACAGAGTTTGTGCTCGAGGTCTATGGTTGGTTAGCTGTTAGAACTAAAATTTCAATTTCTGAGGCAGTTTGACGAAGTGGAAAGAACATAAGTGTTGGAGTAAAGTGAAGATCTAGGTTTGAACTCAGAGCCTGGTACTTACTAGCACTGCACCTAATTAAGTATTTTATCTCCAAATTTCTGCTTTTTTGTAAGTAAAATAGGATGATAATAATACTTAATTCCAGTTTTGCAGTGATAATGTAAGCAACACACCAGACACCAAGTAACTATTATATATAACTATTAATTAAGATTTCCTAGAGAAACACGTCTATGGATTCAGGAGCATGGGGAGATGGATCCTATGGTAATCCTTTTTCAAATAAGTCTTCGATTAATTATCAGACTGTCATGGTGGAGGTATCAGCCAGGGTCCAGGTGGTAGACATGAAATCAGATAATTTGAGGGGGATTTATGAACAAAATGAACTTATGGAAGCATAAGACAGTTGAACAACTGTATCAGTCATCTATTGCATAACAACCTCACCTCCCAATCTTAGTGTTTTAAAACATTTATTTGCTCACAATTCTGTGATTTAGTTATTTAGGCTAGGATCATCTGGGCAGCCCTCCTGCTAGCCTGGCCTGAGATTGTACATGTAAGTGCAGTGATCTGGCAGATTGAATGGGTTGAAAGGTCCCAGGTAGCCTCATTCACATCACTGAAGTTTTGTTTTTACTGTTAGCTGGGGCAGTCCCATCTTGTGGTCATTCATACTCGAGTGTAACTGGGATTCCTTATACGATGATCTTAAAGTTTCAAAAAGGAAAAGGCAGAAATTGTAAGGCCTCCTGAGGCCATGGTTCTGGAACTTACGTATGGAAAATGTCACTTTTGTCACATTCTCTTGGTTAAAGCAAGGGATAAGAACACCACTAATTAATGGGATGGGGAAATAGACTCCACTCCTATATTGGAGAAGAAACAAAGTCTCATTACAAAAGAATATTTATACAACAATGAAAATAATAATTGCAGCTATCTCTGTGAGCAATCTAACACACAACCCTTGGTTCAAAGGGAAAAGAGAAGAAAGTGGTTACCAGAACTATGAGCGAGAAAATTACATAGAATTAGCTGCATTGAGAAAAGCAATGATGGTAGAATAGAGTCAGTTAAAGGAACCCCCTCCAACCCTGCCAGTGACCTCTATTGGTCACATTTAACAAGAAGCCAGAGAAAATGGAACTTATAAAAATAATCCATGCAGATCATCCTCCTAGGACAAAAAGAGGGGCAGAGAAGGGTGGAGAATCGATCTGGAGGAACACAAGGAAGATATGCAGAACAGGAAGAGTCCATACCTTAGTGGTTCCAGAACATGGGTTTTGTAGTTGACTCGACCTGATCTGAATTTCTGGTCTGCTATCTTCCTGTATGTAATAACTTGGGCAAACCGTATCTTCACTCTCAGCTTCAGCTTCTCATTTGTAAAACCAGTATAAGAAATGCCTTCCTTGGAGCATTATTGTGAGGCATAAATGAGATTATGTATGTATATATGTATATATATATATGGTATAGCAGAGTGCATAAGCAATACATTATTAGCAATTAAAGATTTATGTGTCAACAGTTATTAGAAAAAACCAATGTACATTGCTTTTGCTACAATCAACTTCTTGTGACTTGGTTGGGTCTTAATTTTCTGGTTAAATGCTTTATTTCTCTTTTGCACTTTGCGTGGGTAGGCAAATCCTGACTGGAAGACCCCCAGAGCCCATGTCAAGCCTGTCTAACAGCCTATAAAGTCCCCTTCTGCTGCTTATAGCCAGGTCTCCCATCCATTGGAGGAGGGAGAAGGTGATCCTCCCATAGTGATGACACAAGCCCATAAACCAGGGCTTTATGTAATTGTGTTTACCCCAAATGTCACAGGTGTCTCATATGCCAGCAATTTTTCTTCTCAGCCTCTTGTGCCACATAAAATGAATGTGTAATCCCCCTGGAGTGGGCAAACACAGACACCACAGCTGGCAAGAAGAATTGGTAAGGGCTGAGACAGAGGAGGCACTTTCTTCTAAAAATTGGTCCCCAAGAAGCAGCCTTTTCCCTCCAGCCTGTTCAGCCCACACTGTGTTCCGCACACTAATCGTGCAAACTGTACTTCCAGCCACAAACTGACTCCATGGGGGCGGACCAATACTATTATAAAAGAAGGTCTCAAGGCTGTAGAAGTAGAGGCACCAAGTCCTTCCTGCACCCTCCTGGGGAACCATATACACTCCAGGAATGGTAGAGGACTTGGGGACCTGGGATATTATCTCATGGGGCACTTCCCCCACAGGTTTGGTGGAATATTATCTGGTGAAATTTTTGTAAGTTTCTTGCAAATAATGTTTAACATGATTAAATAATTGTGGACATATTGCATTAGAACAAGGTAATCTTTTTCATTACTTCAGGACTTCCAGGAGTTTTTAGATTGGTCAAGTGCCTTGTGAAGCTCCTAGAGGGGGGATAGAGCCATGCATCCTAAATGTCATTGATCGTGGAATAATTTTTTTGGGGGGAAGAGTTCTCTAGGTTTAAATATTCCACAGACCACATTTTTGGAAATGTTTTTAACTATAAAAATCTGTTAATTTATAATCCTCCCACCATCTCTCTAAACATTTCCAATACTGAATCTCAGAGAAAAGAAGAGACCTATATGTAGCTTCTCAACAAGATGGAGGGTGTTATGAGACCAGGTATTCTTCTGAAGAATTTTGTGCATTATTATGGTCTACATAACAATGCTTGAAAATTCAATGAAAATGTTAAAAGAGCCTGTGTACCTCATGTCCCAAACTCTACCAGCTCTCTAGAGTTAGGGCATTTATTTTGAAATAAATTATTTTCTCACAGAGATCATTGTATTGTGTTCATTTCATCCAGTCTCACACCTTGTGGCCTCTGGCCTGATAATATGCACTTTTCTTTACTTTGACCTACCAAGGTCTTTGGGAGCAATCAGCTATATTCCTTTCACATTGTGGAACAAATAGTGGGTCAAATGATAAAAGAACGTAATAATAATCTCATGCTTGCATGGAGCTTTTAACTCTGGATAGTACTTTTGCATACTGCTTGCAGTTTCATCCTCAAAACTCTTCATAGAAGAGACAACGGAGGTAGAACAAAGTTCTTAAAACATTACATATTTGTTTTGAACTCAACTCAACCACAAAACAGTGAAGATAGAACTATAGACTCATGTATTCTGATGCTTGATTCCAAGATTTTACTTTAAGTTTGAGCTTCTTGTGATAAGTTTTGTTGAACTAGTCTCATGTCAATTCTCTCATGTAATTTCCTGTGAAAAAAATTGTTGAAAAATAAAATTGAGAAGTGATTTCTATTATATAATGTTATGTTCCTCAAAGAATCATAATGCATAGTTCAATAAGAAAGGCCCAAAGAGGTGGTATAATAAAAGAAAATAAATTCATTTAACCTACTTTATTTAAAAAGTGGGCAAACAACTATATTATATCCTTTGATGGCAGCAAATTTCAGGATGTATGACCTTAAAGCATGGTAGCAAAGAATCAATGGAGACAGCAGGGAGGAAGAAAGGAAATAATATTTGCTGAACATCTACCAATCCTAGGTGATTTACATGCATTGGCTCACTTAATCATCACAACAGCCTCCTGCGGTAGATATTAATGTGCTTTTTAAAGAGATAAGAATCAAGCTCAGAGAGGTTAACTATACATTTCAGTATCATCCACCTGGAAAATAATGGAATTACAAGTTGATCTGTCTTCTTTCTGGCTCTAGGAAGTGGCTATTCTCTAACTGTTCTAAATACTTCCTCCAAGTTACATCAAAGCCTGGCTTTTAGCACAGCTTCTACACTCTCTGGTCACACCTGCTCCCCAAGCTCATTCTTGTAATGAAGCGCCCTTCTCTTGTTTCCTTATACCTTTCTAAGTATCTGTTTATCACTTCTTGTCTATTGCTATTAGTTTTGATTTCAAGATTCCTGATATCTAAATCATGAAAAACCTATCAGCAATCATTAGTAAAAATTATAGTTGTAAACTCTCCCTGCGCTTTAAAAGAACATTGATGCACTCACACAAAGTAAATGAAATCCATGAACCACAATCAATTGGCAGCCCAAGGATAACACTGGTAGACTTTAATTTCGTGTAAGTATTACTGTTTACAGTACATCTTCAGCATCTCATGAAACAGGCTGTATAAACAGTATTTAGTACCACTTTGATACCGAGTATATCTCTGCTCTTGTATTACCATAGAAATGTATTATTTTCAAATTACCAAAATTAGTGAGGCAGTACAACATTGGAAATGACACATGCATATATATGTGTATACATGGATATATGCACATATTACATTTATGTATGCATATACATATATATGTATATTTATGCTATGTTTATATATACATCTGTGTGTGTGTGTGCATGCACGTATTTGTTTTTACATTGACAGTTAAATAAAATGATAGCTAAGTAAAACACACTGCCCGGTTTTATTTCTAACCATCCATTCACTGTGTGAACTTGGCAAGTTTCTTAAACTCACTGTATTTGCTTCCTATTACTGCTGTGTCACAAACTTAACAGCTTACAAAAACATAAAAGGGATCTCAGGGGGCCAAAATATAGGTTTTGGCAGGGTTGCATCTCTTGTGGAGGCTTTAGAAGAAAATGCATTTTCTAGCCTTTTCCAGCTGCTAGAGGCTGTACACATTCCTTGGGCTGTGTCCCCTTCCTCCATCTTCAAGGCCAGCAGTGGCCCCTGTGGACTTTCTCACATCATCTCATTCTGACTCATCTTCTGTCTCTCACGTTTAAGACCCTTGTGACTACATTGGGTCCACCTGGATATTCCAAGATTACCTTTTTACAACAAAACTATGGAACAATTTAAAGCTGTTCTTAATGTATGGGTGGAGCTGGAGAAATGCCAATAATTAGAAAGTAAGTTCTCATCACAATTCCCCAAAAGTTTATATTGCTGTAAACAGAAAGGAGACTTTTTATTTTACCTCTTTAAGGAATTGTAAATCAATTTCATTTCATGGTGCCAGTAAAATTAATTAGTAGTAGTTGCCTGCATGATTGTGTGAAGAAGGATTCTAAGGATCACCAGGAGGCAGAGTTATGCATGCCAGATATTGCCACCTTCATTCCACTGGTGATATGGGTTCGCTGTGTCCCCACCCAAATCTCATCTTAACTTGTATTTCCCGTAATCCCCACTTGTCATGGGAGGGACCTGGTGGGAGGTAATTGAATCATGAAGGTGGTTACCCTCATGTGTTCTCGTGATTGTGAGTGAGTTCTCACAAGATCTGATGGTTTTATAAGGGTCTTTCCCCTTCTTTGCCCAGCACTTCTCCTTCCTGCCACCATATGAAGAAGGACATGTTTGCTACCCTTTCCACCATGACTGTAAATTTCCTGAGGCCTCCCCAATCATACTGAACGGTGAGTCAATTAAATCTCTTCCCTGTATAAATTACCTAGTCTCAGTTATGTCTTTATTAACAGTGTGAGAACAGACTAATACAACTGGGTTAATGAAAAAAGTATAGATTGGAGGTAAGGTGAAGGAGGCATTCAAAGTAGAATTTAATGGAAATTTTTCTGATTTCCTATTATTTTCAGTGCTGTAAGAATGATGAGAAAACATGAGAAAAACTGTCTATTGGTTTTGAGGAAAAAGTAGCATAATTAAAGCTTTAAATTGAGTCCTATGGACAGGAGTCTTTAAGAGAAGATACAAGTAATTGTCATTAAGTTATTAACTTTTTATTTTATAATGTAAAATTTTATGTTTATTTAATTAGATATTTATTGTAATTGTGACTCACTTGTTTCTAAATAAATCCCATTTACTGAGAGATTCCCAGGTGCCAGCACTATGTTAAGTACTGGGGATACAATCAATGATCAACCCAATACAATAGGATTCCTATCCTCATGGATCTTGTAGATTGTTTGGAAATTATAGGAATTAATTGGAGAATAACAGAAATAAATAAACTATAGCTGTGATAAGTGTTAGGGAAGAATAATGTTGGTGCAGTGGAGAAATATAGAGTTTTACCTAATCAGAATGAATAGCAATTAACCAGATGAAAGGAGCAAGAATACATTGTTGAGGGCAAAAAGAAATTGCAGGAAAAGGTACTAGCATGTGCAAAGGCCCTGTGGTGAGATGGAGGCCCAGCTTATCAGTAGGAGAGAATAAAATTTTCTTGGGCTAGAACACAAAAAGCTAATAGTAAAGTGATACTAGATGGGTTTTAAAAGGTTATTAAAAGAGAAAGTAACAGAAGAAGATAAGACTGGAAAGTTCCTGAGAAGAGTGGGAACATGGCGTGTGGATGAAAGCTGATCACCTGATAAAGTGAGTTTCACGATGGAAGGTTCTTTCCTTACAGTTCTTTAATTCCTACAACCTGGATCTTATGTTTCTGCTTCTCCACTCTTGTCTTACTGGGGTTCCTGTCCTACACCATGAGAGACGCCATATATGCTGTCATGGAGTCCTTGTTGCTCGTGGAGTCCTTGTTGCTACTGTCAAGTTGCTGGTATGTTGGAAGAAGATGTTTTTCCCATAAGCAAAGCCAGAACTCTGAAAATGCTTTGTTGGTGAATCGCGGTTTCATTTTAAGATTGGGTTCTTGAGTACCATGAAGTGCTACACTGTCAATCCATTATAAGATAAATAGGCTTTTACAGGCTGCAGAAAAAACTGTTTTCAGCAGTATTTCTATTAACAAAGTGAACGTGTGTCCCAACAACTAAATGACAGATTTCTTAAGACAATACAATTTATTCATAAACTGGTGAATGTCTGTACCTTGAAGGACACATATTTCATCCTGTCTGGAGACTGCAGCTTGGGAAGAGCTAGAATTACCCCCCCATCAAGAACCCTCCCAACTCTGTGATTCTAGGGGTGCTGAATGACAAGACTCTGTAGGTAGGTCAAAAGGGTAAAGAGGAATCTATTTAGGTGAAGAAATTAAACATTGATCTTGGTGATGAAAATGCCTAAATCATTTGCCTTTGGGTATTAACCTGTCTTCTGGACAAAGGAGGCAGTAGTGCTGGAATTTTGTTTGCCTGGAAATATCAGTTTACAGAAAAAAACTTGCTTCTTTAACTGTCACAAAGCCAACAGAGTTGTCTTATGTACTACAAATCCCAGAAAATAATTCATATGGAGCCACTTATCGTAATATCTTAAAATGTTTGTTCATCAGTTTGCCTGAAATGTTCTAATAAAAGATTTGTGTTGATAATATGTTTTTTTCTTCTTATTTCAAGATATTTCAAGGTGTGCTTTTTATAAATATTAGAAAAAAATTTCAGGCAAACTAGAGTATTTAGTATTACAATTCTATGTTTTTGTATTTTGATTCATTTTATTCTAAAATATGTGATTGGCAAAATACAGTCAGACTTGCTGAAAAACAAACAAAAATTGAATTTCTTTTTTTTCCTCTCTGCCTATTTGTCTTCCTTATATACATCTCAAGAACCTACTATGTTCCCAGCATAATAATCACCTTATATACATCTCAAGAACCTACTACGTTCCCAGCATAATAATCACCTTATATACATCTCAAGAACCTACTACGTTCCCAGCATAATAATCACCTTATATACATCTCAGGAACCTACTACGTTCCCAGCATAATAATCAGTGCTGAAGAATTTACAATCCCCAATTAATTCACCATCAAGTGAGAGAAGCAGGAAAGGAAACCAACGGTTGAGAAACCAAATGCCAAATGCTATGACTGAGACGGACACAGGGAGCTCCAGGGACTGAGTAAAATGCGAGAGTGGTCTGAGGAGAGTGGGCTGCAGCAAAAGTCTCAGCAGTGCAGTGGCTGGCACTGGAGCTGGTAGCTGAAGATGCTGCTCCCCAGGCAAAGGAAAGAGAATATTTCACACAGAAAAGGGAAAGAGAATATTCCAGGCAGAAAAAGGAAAGAGAACATTCCATGCAGAAAAAGGAGCATAAGCAAAATTCTAAAGGTGCAAAAGAAAAATGCCAAGGACCAGCAAATCGTAAGTTTACTTTAAGCTTATGAGTTTACAGTTTGAGAACTCTGTTTTTAGAATCAAGTCAAGGATAAAAAACAAAACTTGTTAATTTCTCATTTTAGAATTTGGTCACACCTGAACAATCTTTTTGTTCTGAATTAATTATCAGTATTCAATCTTAATGACCAATTTAATTTTGGAATGGAGTTTTCCAGTTAATTCCTTTTTATGATCTTTAAAAAATTTGTAAGTTGACATATAAAATTAGATTCATTTATCATGCACAACATGATGTTTTAAATGATATATACATTGTGGAACAACTAAATCTAGTTAATTAGCGTATTCATTACATCACGTAACTATCATTTTTGTGGAGAGAACACTTTATACCCACTTAGCATTTTTAAGAATACAATATGCTGCTAATTGTAGTTACCTTGTGGTACAACAGATCTCTTGAACTTATTCATCCTATTTAATGGAAAGCTTGTATCCTTGGACCATCATCTTCCCAACTCTTCACGTGCATTCCCCTACAATCACCCCAGCCTCTGATAACCACCATTCAGCTCTATGCTTCTATGAGATCAACTTTTTAAGATTCCACATATTAGTGAGATCATGAAATATTTGTCTTTTGGTGCCTGGCTTATTTAACAAGACGTCCTACAGGTTCATCCATGTTGTCACAGATTACAAGGGTTCCTTCTTTTTTATGGCTGAGTAGTATTCCATTGTGTATATTATAGTTAACTTTTTTCTGAACATCTTAAAGGCAAAAACACTCTTAAGCCTAATAAAGCCAGCATGGTAATCTGAATTTAACTCTTTCAATGACTGACTCAGTATCTTGCAGTTTGAGAGTTCTTGTCATAAAATAGTAATGTCCAACATTTATACTGCTTGAGTACTAATAATAATGTAAGTGTTCCTCTAACAAAGCAGTGCATTATATGGAAGAAAAATTTGAGACTCATAAAGTGAAGTAGGTCACCTCAAATGTCACCTTCCAAGTCAAGGGTCAGTGTTGCTCATTAATAAAAGAGCTAGAACTTCTGGGGAAACCCAGATCTCCTTGACCCTAATTGCCAGATCTGTCTCTTTAACAACTCCACCCAGATCTCTCATAGAGATCTCTAACTTATGTCCCAAACTGAATCTTGACTACCACCCTATCTTCTGTATTCCTAGGAATGATCATTCCCTGGTATTCTCCATGTGATAAAATAAAGGTAGCTTTAAAATATTCAGAGGGATCCCTCACTCTCCTTATATCTCATCAATGGGCAATTCTTGACAAGTCTACAGGTCTATTACCTGCCACCAAACTAGTCTACCCACCACTGATCTATTACAAGGACTACTATTAGAATCTTCGTTTCTCTCCTTGACACATGGCAATCCACTTACCACACAGTAACCAGAGTGATCTTCTTAAAACATAAGTAATGTTTAAAACCTAAATCCAAGTTACTTCTGAAGACCTGGAACTTTCAGGATCACCAGGTTCCAGTTGGCTCTGTGAACTCATGCCTCAGTCTCCTTTCAGCTCCATCTTCCATCCACACCAGACTTCCTTGAGTAACTAGAACATACCAAGCTCTTCCTCTCCTCAAGGCATTTGCAGACTTTTTTTCTTTTTCTGTCTGGAATACTTTTTTCTCCGTTTTTAACATGCCTACCTTTTGCATCATTCAAGTCTCTCTGTAAATGATATTTCTCTAAGAATAGCCATCTGCCAATCCAGTTTGGGGTACCCATCTGGCCCCATGTTTTATCCTCTATCAGAGCATCTTCCTTGTTTTTCCTCAGCACTTATCATAACAGGTGATTGTTGTTTTGAAGTGAGAAGAGTTGGCTTAATTATTACCTGCTCCTCACCTCGGTGGCATGTTTCTCTTCTTCACTGCTTTTTTTTTTTTTTTTTTTCGTAGAGTCAAGTGCAATGCATAGAACATGGTAAACAAGTAATGTTTTCTTGACAGATTTGATCAATTATAAATGTGAATGTATCTATTCCATGAGTAGTTGCCATGTTTCTGACCCCAATGTAAAAAGAAATACATATTTTTACAAGATGAATTCCTTATCATTATAATTTTATTTTTCTTGTTATGTAAATGTTCAACTTTCTTACATTAAATGCTCATAGTTCATGACAGCTGAAATGAGGTGTTCATATAAATGAGCATAAGGTAATATGGTGTAAAAAACAATGACTCCATAAAATATTGTCTTCTAGGTACATTGCATCATATATAACAAGGGTCAAAACTCAAATGTCTAAAAGGGCCAGATAGGTTCATAAATGGATTATGAAAGCTGGGAAAGGAGCATGGTAAAGAGAAGAATGCTCCCTCTCGAAGAGAAGACTTACTCACTAGTTCACCAGCTTAGTGCCATGAAGGAAGGCAGACTGAGAGTGGTTCAAGGACAGTGAGATTTACATGAAATCTGACATCTAAACATTGACAGCTGTTTTCATCTTTAAGTAAAGAGGCACTGATGACATCTAACCTGTTTGACCTTGTACTGAAAGTTTGCCACTTCCTTAATGCCAAAGAACTATTTTTTCTCTGAAATTTTCAGCAAATCCATCAGTTATTTTGAGCTTTTGGAAATAAAACTGAGTGAATCTTACAGTATGACCTAAAGAAGTAGCACCTAAAAAGGGGAAGTCATAAGTTTGTGTTATATCTGCCAACTAAAAATATCTTCCTGGCTGAATATATGGATTTAATATTGTAGCATGACAAGATTATTACATTTTGTTATGTGTATGATCAAGGGTATAGACTTTAGTTAATTCGGCTGCAGGGAAAATAATTGCAACTTAGACCTTGGAATGATCCTCATGGCTTCTGTGACACCATGGATGTTGCTCTCTGGCTTGGTTATGCAATTCTAATAGCCATGTTTATACAAATTTTGAGAATTGTCTTTTAAAAATCTTTGAGGGGAAGGAAAAGAAACTCTCATAAAATTACATGGTATTTTCTGTTAAAAAAGCATTACCCTTAAAATTTATTTTAATCTTAGAAAGCTTTAAAAAATTAAAATATTTTATATGCAGAGAGTGCTGCATCAACTGTATGTCATATTCAATTATACTGTTTTACAATCAGCCTTAGCAAAGTAACACAGGGACAGAAAACCAAATACCGCATGTTCTCACTCATAAGTGGGAGCTGAACAATGAGAACACATGGACACAGGGAGGGGAACATCACACACCAGGGCCTGTTGGGGGTGGGGGACAAGGGGAGGGAGAGCCTTAGGACAAATACCTAATGCATGCGGGGCTTGAAACCTAGATGATGGGTTGATGGGTGCAGCAAACCACCATGGCACATGTATACCTATGTAACAAACCTGCACGTTCAGCACATGTATCCCAGAACTTAAAGTAAAATAAAATAAAATAAAATAAAATTAATAAAAGCCCCCAAGTAAAGACACCCCAAAAAAGAGCAATAATAACAAGATGATAAAAATGTTTAAAAGTGTGTTAAATCCCCCATGATAAATTATTAAAAATAATAAGGCAAAAACAATATAATATTTTAATATGAAAGCTTTACAAAAGACAAAATTCTTTAGGTTAGCTTTGCCACTTTTCCAGGAGTGGCAATGAGATTTTATTAAGTAATGCACACTCAACACTTTCTTTTGTTTGTATATTCATTGAAAACATATGTGTTGAGCAACTACTGGATGTCAGGTACTCTTCTGGGTGTGATGGATGCAAGGGGAAATGCAAAGATAAGGTCCATCGCCTCTGGAACTCATTATTCATTTTCTAAAACAAAATGAGACATATGATAATTAAATAATAAAATATGGTGTAAGGCAACCTAATGTAACATGATATAATACAAGGCATGAAGTTTTCTGATGAAGAATATCAATTTCAGGTAGAAAAATCTGGTATCTTAGTTGTTATCAACAGATATTAAATGAATATTAATTTCCATTCTGTCAATTTTTTCTTTGAGACATAGTCTTGCTCTGTTGCCCAGGCTGGCGTGCAGTGGCGTGATCATAGCTCACTGCAGCCTTGAACTCCTGAGATCCAGTCATCTTCCAGCCTCAGCCTCTCGAGTACTGTCTACCTATTGACACCAACAAGTTGTGGGTTTTCAGATTTTCCTTAACTAGTTACAGTCTTTTTTCAACTGTCATCTAGTTTGAAATATTATGTGAGTCCAAACATTACTCAAAATAACCTGAGCCATGTCCTCGGACTTAGGAATCTCTTTTAGAAAATTGTAGACTCGGCCAGGGGCGGTGGCTCACATCTGTAATCCCAGCACTTGGAAGGCTGAGATGAGTAGATTACCTGAGGTCAGAAGTTTGAGACCAGCCTAGCTAGCATAGTGAAACCCCATCTCTACTAAAAAAATACAAAAATTAGCTGGGCGTGGTGGTGCGTGCCTGTAATCTCAGCTACTGGGGAGGCTGAGGCAGGAGAATTCCTTGATCCTGGGAGGCACAGGTTGCAGTGAGCCGAGACCATGCCACTGAACTCCAGCCTGGGTGACAGAGGAAGACTCTGTCTCAAAAAAAAAAAAAAAAAAAAAAAAAAAAAAATATATATATATATATATATATATATATATATATATATATATATATAGACTCTATTCTTTTAAGAATTTAGAAGATGAAAATATCTCAGTATGTTTGCAAGTCTAAATACAACAGTAATTTTGATGCCTAAATTACAACATTTTCACTTTTACACAGATAAGGAAAAAAGGCCAGTAATATATCTAATTACGCTTTCTGTCAACAAAAATAGGCTAAAATGAATCTGTTCCAAGTTAGTTTTAGTTTTGGGGGGTTTTATAACTACTGCAGTTACAGGTAATAAAAGTTCCCTAAACTCATTATTGTTACTATGAAAGCCCCTGAGATTACCTGAGGTTTGTTACAGGTATATATCATTTCAGGAACACAGTCTGTTGCTATGACATTTATTTCACAGGCTGAAAACTGTCATGAATAGATGTAGATTACTTCACGTTTGAATTAAAATTATTTAGTCCATGCAGACTGGACTAATTTATAATAGTCTGCTATTATAAATTCACCTAAATTTTCAGTATCTCAGAATTATTACCTTTCAAACTTTCCAATTACTATTTTCCTCCAGGCATGATACCTGGCCTCAGTCACAAATGCATGCTTTTTCAAACTGCTATTGCAAAAAGTCAATATACTTCTTGGAAAAAAATCACTATAATAGAAATGATTAGACTTTATACAATGCTTTCCATCTTTGAAGTGATTTATAAACATTAATTAATCACTGCTTAAGAATAGGATTCTATCCAACAGAGCATTCAGTTCCAGGAATAACATGATATACCCACAAACATTTTAGCCTAGCTTACTCCTTCTCTTTAATGGGTGTAGGGAACAAAACACTTTACATCAAGATTTCTTTTCACTCTCATTGAGCTGCAACTTGCTATCTTTATTTAAAGAGTCATCGCGTGAGCTTTCCTCCAGAGCTTTACTCCAAACAAAATAAGGATCTTCTAAGGCACATCTAACTAGATTTTAAAGTATGTGTTTTAAAATAGCAACATACCAGCATTTCTGATGTTTTTTCAAATGACAATATTCGAAGGATTTTATTTTTATTTATTTTATTTATTTCAGAGATATATTATTTACCCACCAAAATCCGGAGTTTAGGCACGATCTCAGCTCACTGCAACCTCCTCCTCCCGGGTTCAAGCGATTCTCCTGCCTCAGCCTCCAGAGTAGTTGGGATTACAGGCATGTGCACCACGCCTGGCTAATAATTTGTATTTTTAGTAGAGATGGAGTTTCACCATGTTGGTCAGGCTGGTCCCAAACTCTTGACCTCAGGTGATCCACCAGCCTTGGCCTCCCAAACTACTGGGAGTTTACAAGCATAAGCCACCTTGCCTGGCCCTTATTTTATTAAGGAAACCAAGGGAAAACAAATTGCCAACAGTTGGCTGTATAAATCAGTCCAGAAAGCAAATACATGTTTTAAGCATCATTCTCTGCCCAGGACCACACCAAGCACTGTTAAGAACAATAATATTTGAAAAAAACTGAAGAAATAAATGTATCTTTCAATAAAAATTATTTTGCTAAAATAAAATTATTTTGCTAAAATCATTTGTAAATACATTAAAGAAAGCCTAACAGCTAACTATATTTAATTTCATGAAATAATTTTTAACATAGAAAAGTGGAAAGCAAATAATTTCCATATTTTAAGATATTAAAAAAGTCAGGATTTTGACATTCTATTTTTCTTGCAATCTAATTATATTCATGTTTTGTTATAAGTGGTAGGCCATATTTCCTAGATTTATATAAGTAAATGTATATAAGTAATTTATATAAGTAAATTAATAAGTAAATTAATATAATTATATAAGTAAATTAATATTCATATAAGTAAATTTATAAGTAAATATAAATATTTATATAAGTAAACAATAATTCTATAGAACTCAGAACCTTGGTGTTTTGGCATATAAACTACAGTTCAACACACAAAGTCAAATTGCTAATTTAATGGTTATGAGATTAAAGAAATATTAAAAAGATGACAACACCAGTGGTTTTCAACTTTTCATTTTCCTTAGAAGATAAACATTTTTAATAATAAAAATAATTGAACTTGATATAAAGTAATCTACTCTTTTCCCAAGTAAATTATTTTAAAACAGAGCAGGTAAAACAAACTGTGATCCATTCTCAACTTTGTTTCCCCAAAGAATGAGCATTTCACAGTGCAGGAAAGCCATATTTCACAAATTATTCATTATGAATAGCTCACCAAACTCTACATGTTTTTCTTATTTTTTTCACTGAACAGTGAAAACTTCATTATAGTCCTGCCCTTGGGAACCACTGCAATACACCAGTGATTCTCAATGGAGTGCAGAGACGGGTTAGAAACTCTGAGGGTCTTTTGTAGTTTGAAAAAGCATGCTCAATTTTAGTAATGTAAACTCCAGTTTAAAAGGCACGGAACGACTGGTAAAAACACAGGGGAAAAAAAGGGAAAGGACTGTAGAGTATGTGTGGGTTGTGAAGGTTTCTGAAATACTGTCTTATACCCAAAGAAGTCACACATTATGCACATTAGTACAAAATTATAGAGTTTTAAAAGAACTCTGAGATCTTGTCATCCCAACATATGATTTTACAAATGAATAAATTGAGAGGAGCATTTAAATAATTTCATTCCAAAAGCTGATGAAAGCAGAATTGAATTATTTAATATCAGCCCAAAGAATACTGTGATAGTTAATTTTATGTGTCAGCTCCACTGGGCCATTTGGTGCCCAGATATTTGATTACACATTCTAGCTGTGTCTGTGATGGATTTTGCGGATGAGATTAATACATTTAATTGGTAGATGGAGTAGGGCAGATTGTACTCCTCATTGCAGGTGGGCATCATCCAATCTGGTGAAGGCCTGAATAGACAAGAAGCCTGAGTAAGAAACAATTATTCTTCTTTGCCTGATTGTCTTTGAGCTAGATTATAAGTAAGTTTCATCCTGCCTTTGGATTTGGACTCCGACTGGAATTTACACTATTGGCCCTCCTGGTTCTTAGCCTTCAGCTCAGTCTGGAACTGTATCAAAGGCTCTCTTGCATTTGGACTTCTCAGTCTCCATAATCACATGAGTCAGTTCCTTGTAATATATTTCTTTCTCTCTCCACAAACACACACACACACACACACACACACACACACCCTATTGGCTCTGTTTCTCTGGAGAATCCTAATGCAAGTATTGACCTCAACAAAGATGTGATTGTCTAGAACAAAATATCTCCTGAATTCAATATGTAGTTCTATAGCACATTAAGTAATAATTGTACACAGGGAGTTGATGTGGTTTGGCTGTGTTCCCACCAAAATCTCATTTTGACTTGTAGCTCTCATAATCCTAATCCCCACATGTCATGGGAGGGACCTGGTGGGAGGTAATTGAATCATGGGGGTGGTTTTTTTTTTTTCTGTTCTCATGATAGTGAATAAGTCTCATGAGATCTGATGGTATTATAAAGGGTAGTTTCCCTATACACACTCTCTTGCCTGCTGCCATGTATGATGTGTCTTTGCTCCTCCTTCACCTTTCACCATGATTATGAGGCCTTCCCAGTCATGTGGTGCTGTGAGTCCATTAAACCTCTTTTTCTTTATAAATTACCCAATCTCAGGTATTTCTTCATAGCAGTATGAAAATGGACTAATACAGGAGTGTGTACTCCATGTTGCATCTCAAGACTGACATACATAGAAGTATAAAAATACTAGATTTACTTATGAGAAGTAATAATTATGTTATTACATTTAGAATCCATATAGGTTCCAGGTCATCCCTCACCATCTGCATTTGTTTTTAAAGACAGCAGCCATGCCCTCCTCACCCCCTGCTGTATAGATAGAAAAGAGACACTGAGCATGGAGGATTAGAGTGTGAACAAAAGAGAAAAAAATGAAGCTGTGTTTGAACTCTACACGATCTAGGCAGTCCATAGCTTTAAAGTGGTATTTCCACTGTGTTGAGTCTCCTAAACCTTATTTCTGGTTCCTTCTCCAGCCATTTCCAGGTACAATCACATTATCTCCCTTTTTTGTAGGAAGTATGGAAATGACATATCATGTTTATAACAGCAGTCTACTCAGTCAATACAGGGATGCACTGGAAATCCTTCTTGAATGTCAGAGGAGTATACACATCATGTAGAACATTTCCCTGAAACAGGTTATTAGAATCACCACTGTTTTCATCCTTGAGTGCCATGTAGTATGGAGAGTAGGTGATCAATTCATTTTTCTTGAAGCTGGTTTGGATTTTGACATAAACACAGGTTGAAACTATTTTCATAATATATTGGATATGTAAACGTAATAACTTATGTCATTTGGGATTTAATTCATAGCAGCAGATAACAGCAGCTCCATTTATTGACAACTTACAATGTTCCTTGCACCATGCCAAATACCTTATGTACATAACACTCTATTGTTCTGATATTAGTGAAATGGAGATGTTAAAAGAAATATGTCCAAGTTTTCACTAAGAGGAGAGATTCCTATCGCACCAAAGCCCATGCTGCTTATTATTAATGCCAAAGTATATTCTGAAAAATTTAGTGAACTGATGAAAAGATAAATAATATGTTAGATATGTTAGACAGTGAATACAGACATTTAATATTCCAGAAATCATGAACTAAATAGTACTCTGCAAACATATAAGAATTATTGATAAAAACTAACTTAGCTTTTGAACTCACACACAAATGACTGTATATCTGATTCACTTAATTAGTAGAAACAAAAACCTCACAGTATTTTTAACCCTCAATGTCTTCTTTGGGGAGGAGGACACAAATCTTGTCTCTTACCAAATTAAGGAAACCATTAAGACCATGTGCCAGCACTGGTATCTCTGGTCAATTCAGATGTATCTTGGCCAGGCAGCTGTTAACACGGGTGTGCCAAATAGTATTTGTTGTTGCTTATTTGTTTTGCTCTACAAAAGCACAGTCAGATCATATGGCAATGGGGAGAATAAGGCTCATTAATTTGCATTGTGTGCTTGACACACTGTTCAGGCAAGGAGCAAGTTCTGAACTATGAAAGCCATTGTTCATCTGCTGCTGACTACATGGGGTATTTTAAAGAGTTCTAAAATACCTCAGACATGCAAATGACAAAATCCCATATTGAGGATTGTATGATTTGAGGGTTGTGAGAATAGCTCAAATATTCTCAACATAATTAAGAGGTTGCACCATGTTAAGAAGATAAAAGTCACGTGAGCATTTCTCACATTTAGCTCTAAAGGACAACAAACCTGACTGGCTGGGAGCCAGAGAAGGCTGACAGCAGGAACTGACCTCTCAAGGCTGTTTGTGGAGGAAGGGGGGTGGTTACATAGCATTCTATGGGCCAGGTCACTAATCTCACCTTCTCCCAGACTGCTTTCTCCAGACTACACAATCCTAAGAAGTGAGGTCACTGACTGAAACAGGCTCACCCTAGAGAAAAGTCAACCCACACAATCTTTCTAAACCCTGGTTCATGTAGAATTGTTTTCATAGCTGCAGAGAAGATTGGCAAAAAATAATATTTTGACCAAAGTGTAGAAAACTTGATCAAATAATTCTGTTTCCACATTGTTTTATTATAAAAATAAGGCCACATACATTGCAATCAACTTGTCATAATTACCTGAGATTTGTTCATGCAGCAGTTCAAATGTTCAACTTTGCCATGAGCAATTGCTTAATATATACCAGAGTTGTTAGAAGATTATTTTAGGTGGGTGCTCATTTCCCATCATTTATTTTTCTTTGCCATAAAATACTTTTTCTGCCTTTATTGTGACTGAATCTTCTGAAAAGTGGGCTGAGAAGAACATCATGTATATTGAAATATTCTTGAGTAAAAAGATTTCTTATTCCAACTTGATTCAGAGATAAAAGCACCCCATGCTTTGGAATAGTTTGTATTTTTAAAGAATCCCAACTATAAACAAATAATTGTATTTTATTTTGAAGTAGGGTGGAAATTTTAAATACTGAAGTGATTGTCTGGAATACATAAAAATGTACATGTGAGTTATGGTAACTAGGAGCCAAGTTTGTATTCATCATCAGCATCATTGAGGGGAGTTATTTATTTTCTCCATATAAGTAACTTAAAAGACACAGCAGTTACAACTCCCCAGGTTAATGTGGCACCTAGGAATTCATGTAATCATGTGCGGATTTTAAAATTCAAAAGTGTTTAAAATTGTTTTATTAATATACCATAGATATTTACAGGATTTTAATAATATACTTTTTTTTTTCTTTGCAAACAAGTCTGTATTAAGAACGCATCTTGTGTCAGAGGCTGGAGAGCATATATACAGAATGATTTGCTTTCAAAAAACTCTCAAAGATTTATGGTTTTATTCATCAGATAAGTGGCTGAATAGCAAAACAGTGAAAAATCACAATGACAATGGAAAGAAAATGGGTGCTAGGTTCTAAGAATTGAATTCCTCTGGAACTCAAACCTGCAAAATATAAAAATAAGACAAAAATATTTTGAGATAAAGTATTGCCTGTTAGATTAATTTTTCAAAACCCCAATTTCATACTATCATTTCTCTTCTAGTAACATATTTTATTATACTTGTCTCATTCACATTATATTTAATTTTAGAAAGTGCCTTACCGTGTCTTTGTCCAAGGACATCTGATTTAAGTATAAAAATGCAAAAGGAAAATCCCTAAATTGGCAAAGTCTGCCTAAAGGATTGGCCAACATTGGATGCTAATGACTTGCACTCAATCACAGCTTCAGGCAGATGAGTAAGTGATTTTTCTAATGCAAAAATGATACATTATTATTGCCTGCTAACTCTGACTGACTGGTGTTGGTTGGCTTAGAAAATTGTTTTGAGGAGGACTTGAAAGTTGTGACTCAGCTCCTTATGAAAGCCACACTTGATTAGTGATGTCTGCCATGAACATGGGAAAGGGTGTATATTTACCTGTGCTTCATATTTGCCATTCCTGTTGTAAAAGACCCGAAAGAATCTATGAAAAATCTTTCTGATTTTTGTGATAATAGAATGAGTGATACAATTATGCTCTAATGACACAAAGATTTTTTTTCCTGTTCTCTTTTTGGTTTTCAAATGAGGAAGCATAAAACCATTTATAGTGTATGTTATAATTTTGGAGAATAACTTAAAAAAATGGCTCATCACCTTTTGCTCACAATTGAAAATTTATCTTATCACCCAACATTTAAGCCATAACTGGAAGGTTTCATGGAGCTGAATTTCATGCTGCAGCTGTCTAGGTTCAGAATCTACTACAGCAATGGTGACTCAACTTACTTGACATTTTTGGAATCCTAATTTCCTCACTGCTGCTTCCATCTCCACCATCACTGACTGTTCTTATTTCAATTAAGTAGTCTTCTTCAAATGGAACCAGAAGCTCAGCTGATGTATTGTTTGTTTCCAAAATATGAGTTTTACTCTGTCTGTTTTGCCGGTACAGAATCTGAATAAAATGAGGTATCAAGTTAACATGGACATGTTGCTTTTCTAAGGTTCACACAACTGTTCTGGAACACTGTAAGACATAAGATACATCATCATAAATGTTGTACTCCTCAGATGGAAATATCCAAGTGATGTCTTTTCCTTATATTCCATTGCTCCTGTTAAGAAAAAGAGGTGTTTTTTTTTTTGGCCAATGCCTCTGGAAGGAGAGTAGATTTATCCCTATTAGTTAAATAGCTTGAGGCTATTATCATTGGAGCTTGCTGTGGAAAGTCACTGTTGAGTTTGGACCCATTTCAAATGTTGAATATATGTCTGCCAAGAGATGATGTCCATTGTCACTGATGGAAATGAGTTGCTCTGGGTACTTGATTGTACTCTTGTTAGATGCCTTTTATGTTGTTAAAAGATCACATCATACTGCAGCCTAAGTTCTAAAATCTCTATTTAGATATATTTTTTGATCTCATTGTCATCACATCTACTATGCACATAAGCCATCATCTTATGATAGCAAGGGATGCCACTTGAAGAAAAAATGTTACATCCTATGGAATTTGATTTATTGATGTTCCCTAATACATTACTGGACCTTGGAATGTAAAACATTTTCAATGGAAAATTAGAAAGCAGCAATGGTATTTTCAAAATAATTTTGAAAAAGATTCCAGTGTTTCCATATGCATCCAATTTGTTTTCCATTTGGGTGTCACATGTTTCATTCCTTAGTAACTTAATTGATATGATTAAAGGAAAAACTAAAAACTCACCTTGTACCCCAAAACTTCAGACTCATTTTCCATGGTTTTTACATGCTCCCAGTTCAAGCATAATTTAGAGTTTGTCAGCTTCCAGGCAATGTTTGCTGGTGGTTGGCTTGGA
Organism: Homo sapiens; assembly: GCF_000001405.40. NCBI lineage: Eukaryota > Metazoa > Chordata > Mammalia > Primates > Hominidae > Homo > Homo sapiens. The sequence goes on along the minus strand of NC_000003.12, from coordinate 1,401,433 downwards.
GCTTTAAAGAGATAATCAAAGATCCAAATGAATGTTAATTAGCTCATGGTCAAAGTATGATGCATCAACATGAAAAGAAAAAATAAGTCTTCGATGATTTGCATAGAAGGAGCTAAAATGTCTTCAGTGTCATTTGAAATATATTAATTCTAATCACAGTAAGCAAATTTATTCAAATCTGGTCATTTGGGAATGCCTTTGTGACAGACTTATGAATTAATAATGGCTTGCTGCATGTCCAGTATTAATTTATTAATCATTGCTGTTGAGTTTGTTTACTTTATCATATATAAACAGACAGAGGGTCTCTTTATCTAGGATTCCATTTGGCCATCAATCAATGAGCATGTTTGGCAAATTCAAGTTGCAAACATTTTATATATATCAACACATAGATGTTCATTCCTAAAATTCTTTACTTTTTAACATTGTATTAGTTAGCTTTCTAACTGTAACACAACTAACTCAAGATATTTTAAGCAAAATATTTGTAGTAAATTATCAAGGATATTTCTTATAAGTCATGGCAGATTGCAGCAGAGTCTGAGGAGAGAAAAAAATGTCACAAAGCCACAGTCTTCACTCTGCTTATTGAAGCAGGGTCTGCTGTATACTCATCTTGCCAGAGAGTACCTCTTTGTCATTCTCACTGCACACGGCAGAAATCATGACTGTTCACCACACCTGAAACTTAAAACCTCCTCTGTTCAGAGATAGTCCAAGTTTGAGTTCCCCTGAGAAAGCTGATGATTGACTTCATTTGGTCGTATGTCTATCTTAGCTTAATCAACTGTGTCTGGACAATGTGAAAGATGCATGCCGTTTAAAATAAATGGAGCTTTTGGGAAGCCAGAAAAGGGGAAAATCATCACAAACTGATTGATCATCCCAAAGGACATCAACTTTAAATCCAAACTGCGACTTTTAGTTTTCTGAAATTAATGTTGTCTGCGTGAGAGATGGTGGGAGATAAGAGATGAAAGATTTAGAATCTGGCTTCTAAAGTAATGGATATAGTCCAACTAGAGAATTTTACATACAAGAAAACGAGAATCCAGGTTGGGAAGTCACTTATCCAAAAGCATGCAGCTGACGAATCTTGGTCTAGCGCTTTCAGTCTAGTGTTTCTGCAGAACAACTTGCTGCTTATCTGAGTCCACATGACTATTTTTGAGATTGAAACTGGAGAGATATAAAATAATTCATCTGGAAAGTGGAAGTAAAGATAAAACTGCCCAACAAGATGTTTTTGGCATCTCTTTTGAATTTGTGAGGCTGAGTGAGCATAATATTTAATTCATTATAACACTGGTAGAAGTGGAAACTATTTCTTTCATAGTTTTGAGTCAACTGCTGTTTAATCTCCTGTGTGTCACTGGAAGATTCACATATTGCTGAATCCAGGTGTCTCAAATATATTACCATACATTCTCTTTCCACCCCACTTCCACTGGGATATCACTATTGTTCACTCAATCACTTACAGTCCAGTTGGGATGTGATAGAGAAATGTTTCCCTGTATGCTTACATGAGGCTTAGTTCATATTTTATTATAGGTTTATCACATTGGTTTACATTTATTCTTGGTTATGTGTTTGTTTAAATTTCTTGAGGGCAAGTGCCTTACTCAACTCTGTATTACTAACCCCTAGCACAGTGCCTGGCACATAGGAGACATCCAATTCATACACGTTGAATAAATGACTGTACAATAAGGTGGCTAAGGAAAACTGTTCAGGGCCCTGTGGTGATCTTCTCAGGCTGTATTGATTATGCACTGGGCTCTGGGCAGATCCATAGGTGACACAATACAGCCAATCCATTCATTATGTTGTCCTATGATCAAGACCAATTGCCGTGGTCAGACTCATAGCAATCCATACCTATTTATAAGATGGACAGGCCAATTGGATTGACCATGTCCTGGTACATTTCTTGACAATATAAACCCATAATTAAAGGCCTGAAAGCTTTTAGCTTACTAAGCATCCATTACTTTGCTTGTCAATGTACAACGTACTTGTCATTTATAATGCTTATCAACATATTTATTTCTAAAGGTCTGAATGGCAGCAAGAATTATTTTGTAACTATCCTTCCTCAACTTATCCTCCAGTGCCTTTTAAAATCTTTTTCTCAGCTATAAAAGATATAATATCAAAATTCTCACAGGATATTGCAATTTTAATATCTAGTCTACTCTTGATACCTTTCTTTTTATCTCTGTTCTTTAAAATTCAGCACTAACATTACCATTATATAATCAATACAGAGAAAATACAAATTCACCACTTCAGTGTCATTGGCAGTGTGGATTCTGAATGTTTTATGTATTTCCGGATGTTTTGTTTGTTTTAGGAAAAAGTATTGTTTTCAACACTATAAATCCATTGAAAAAATCAACTGGCTAGGAGACAGAATTGATTTCTTCCAGCTATGTAAAGGAGCAGTTTGCAATGTTGGCAATGACTTTGTCATTGACATGTTTGCATTTGTGTCCTCATCTACCAAAGCAGAAGCACAACTTTCTGTGGGCATAAAACGAGAAGAGTTGCATTCGGAGTGAGTACCTTGGTATGAATAGCCAATTATACAGATTATTTAGAATGTTTTACTTCTCTTGCTCTCTGGGAGATGAGAAGAGTTGGGCTTTGATGTCAGAGAGACTTGAATTTGTATCCAATCTCTTCCAAGAGCCGGATTTTCCCATTATAAAATGAAACGAATAACTCCTAATTTATGAGATATGAAATAAAATATGAAATATTCCTCATTTGGTTAGTGGTATATATTAAAAAGCCCTGTAACTGTTAATTCTCTTCCAAGAGTAGCAGTTCTCCACTGTGGTGTTATGACATAATCAATTTTTCAGTTGTGTTCGAAGTGGTTTGTTGCTAATAATCCAACTCTGAAGTTTGCAAATGATTCACTTCTTAGATACAATTAGTGTACATTCAAGTTTTCCCCTTAATAATATTGCTCTTACTTGGATGCTTGATATGTTTTTAGAAAGGGAGATAAAATGGGAGAGTCTCAGCTAATTATCTTAGAATATCTCTTAGTCTACATCCTTTCTTATTTTTATCAATGGATGTTTCTCCAGTGTCAATCCTTTATGTCTGATATTGACAAATAAAACTTCTGAAAGCTGCTTTAGAAGGCCATCACCTTAATGTGAGTACTGTTAACAGTTCTGGTTTGATATAGTTGATTAAACTGGATTGCAAATATCTATGATAAAATTAAAATTTCTATCATCTTGAGAAACCAAAACACTGCCACATGGATAGCACAAAACACATGTCATGATATTTGTACCAAGTCTGTCAATGGTAAACTCAGCAAACAAGCACTTTTCTAACTTTTAAAATCTTTCCAGGCAATTTCCAAAGACTAAATCATTTTCTATTAATCAAATGACAGAGCAACATTAAACTAGCCCCTCAGAATTCTAATGGTTTCCCTGTAATCAATTTTTCTGTAGATGGCATTTCTTTTCAACTGTAGTTCACACTGTGAACTCAATTCAAAAACAACTTCTTATGTTACACCTCTAAGTAACAGCATGGGGTTGACATTTGGGCAGAAGAGAAAGAACATAAGTGCAAGATAAAATAAAAGCTTAATGCTTCCTTTATGTTTAAATATGGATTGATTGCATATTTGCAGCAAGAAAGAATCGAGTACAAAGTGCTAGTCAGTCAACGTCAAGGGCCAAATTGAGCCAACATTTGCAAACACTTTTAGTTATTGCGTCTGAATACTTCTTTCCACATAAGTAGTGTTTTGTTTGTTTCACTTTTCTTTTCTGCTTGGAATTGACATAAATATTTTTCTTTCTTTCCTTGTAAATCTAAATTCCATTTAAGTAATGTCTGTGTGGATCACAGTATATTTGCAGTACCTCTGTTTCTTTTGGAAATCCATCATTTCCACTAGGCTTTGGTACTTGCAGATGAATCACTGATATTTGTTTAATAATACTAGTATCATCATCATCAACAGCAACAATAATACTTAAGAAGTTTGGCATATGCTGTTCCTTCTGTCTGGAAGTTCTTTTGTCCTTTAACTCCTCTTTATCTTTAATTTTGTATCAAAATACATAGCCTATCCCATATAGATGCTCCTTATGTACATCTTAGTTTCTCATTTATTTTCTTCACTGTTCTTTTCATAATTTATGATTATTTTATTCATTTGTCTTTTTTTCTTGTTTTAGGTTGCCTCTTCTCTAAAAGAGAAATTGCCGGTTGGCAAAGATCTTGCTTGGTTTAATTGCTCTTAGGCCCTCAGCATCTAACTCTAGGCATGGCTCATGGGAGGCACTATCTCTTGAGTAGATGACTGGATGATCATGTGAGAAAACAAACAAACAAAGAAAATACCTCTGTCTTCTCTTTAGCTTAGCCAATTAGAACAGGCAGAGATTTTGGTAAATGTGAGCTCTGCTTTTTCAGACTTTCCAATGGAAGATCAAATATCAGATTACAAATCTAGACAGTGACAGTGCTGAATGCAGAATTTTTTCAGTCACCACTATTGAGAGGTAATCTTGATGTCATCTCAAGGACATGGAGAGTCAAAGTTACATACAGGAATAGCACCTGGAATCATGGTTATCATCAATGTTTCAGTAAAGCTGTTTTTCATGCATGCTTTGGATGTCCTTCTACGACCCTTAAAGAAAAGAAAATTCTGCAACAAACTTATAAAGTGAAAGAAAGTAGCTGTGGTTTCTTACTTTAAAAAATGCAAAGAAAGTAAATTGCCTCTAAAGGAGGAGTATAATAACACATGTTACCAGGCACTGAGCCTTGATGTATGACAGCCTCTGGGTCACCTTGGTGTACATTATATCCTTTGGTTCTCAGAGAAATCGCTAGAGGTAAGTATCTTCATCTCTATTTTTCAGATGAGAAAATGCATTCAGAGTTATCAAATAATTAGATCTGGCACACAGATAGTACATGGCTGAGCAGGGATCCATATCCACAATTCTCTCTGAAGTCCCATTCCAACTTTTTCCAACACTGTTTCACAATGGGCCAAAGTTATTGGAATTCTTAGAAAAACGCAAATACATTAAAGGGGAAATTTTGGGGGAAGCTATAGAGCAGAAAAAAGACCATTTGACCATATATAGGCCTGGCAGGGGTACTACAAGCTGAGAGATTTCATGAAGCCAGGTAAGTGAATGTTAAACTTTAGAAGATCAGTAAGTTTGAGATGTCAGGGCTAGAAGAGGAATGTTATAGAAAGGAGCTTTGAGACACATTGTGAAAGATCTTGCTTGCCTTTTTCTTAGTCTACATTCTCTGGAATAGAGGAGACAATGACATTTGATGAAGAGAAGAGAAGTATGACGGCATTTTAGGAGGAAAAATTTCAAAGCAGTTTGAGGTTTAGATGGAGGATTTGACAGTCAGGGAGAGAAATTATTGGGATGGTTAGGGAGGAAGGTGATAAAGGAGCACAGTGGTAGTGGGATGAAGAGATTTCATGCTCATCAGTCTAACAGAGGCCATGACAAAACCTTTCTAAGCATTTGTGTCCTCCTATCTAGAAATTAAAATACCAAACTCCTTGACTTATTGTAATAATTAAGTGAGATTTAGTATGATAAAGTTAATACAGGGCTGGGGACATAGAAGTGCTCAATAATTTGAAACTGTGGTAAGCAAAATAAGGATCCCCCAAAACATGATCACATCCTAATCTCCAGTACCTGTGGACACATTACTTTATATGGAAAAGGAGTTTGCAAATGTGATTAAGAGTCTGGAGATGAGGAAATAATCTTGGATGATTCAGGTGGCTCCAATGTCATCAGGAGGGTCCGTACAAGGGAAAGAGGGAAGCAAGAAAGTGAGAGTTAGAGGAGTTGTGATGACAGAAGCAGAGGGTCAGAGGCAGAGATGTGAAGGTACCCTACTGTTGCTGGCATTGAACATGGAGGAAGGGGTCACAAACCTAAGGAGGGTCACAAGCCAGGGATATGGGTGGTCTCCAAAAGCCAGAAAACAGGAAACAAATTATCCTTTGGAGCTTCCAAAGCTAGTGCAGCCCTTGAGCACATCTGGATTTCTACCCAGTGAAACCCCTGTCTAACTCCTGACCTCCAAAAATGTGTGATAAGCAACTTATATTGTTTTAAAACACTGAGTTTAAGGCCATTAATAGAATAATAGAAAAGTTACTCTTCTGCTTTCACAATGTCTGTGATGTAGAATGTCAAAGTAATAAAATGAGAGGTTGGATAGGTATTTAAATGCAAAGGGATGGAGACTTGTATATTCTTCTTATTCTCAGGTGCTTGTTGGCTATTTTTATAGGGTCACTGAAGCATACAGGCTGGTAAGAGTCAAATTTAAGAGCTATTGAAACTAGATATCTAGGAATTACAGAGGTTTTTCTTGTTTGATTTAGTTAAGAAAGCTGAATACTTAAAGGAACGCTAATCTTCAGTTTAGAATTTCTGATTATTATTTCACTTTTTCCTTAGCAGAGGTATTCTAACGTTGTGTCTTGGGTGAAATTACTCATGGTTAATTTAACTGTTTTCGAAAATTTTTATCTCCTACTCTTTGACAAATTGATCATACGTTAACCATCAGACAAACCAATAATCTTTAGCATTTGATGTGAATTTCTGTCCAACCCATTTGTAGGATCAATTGGGTCAACTGAAAAAATTTAGTGTCAAAAACAAGGATTTGTTTCTGCTTAAAAACATAGAATAATTTAGCACAAACTAACACTTTTAATTTAGGTTTCATGGACAATGAAACTAGCAAATTCAGATGACAGAAAAAATTATTACTGAGATGTTCTGATATATATATATAGAATATATACAGAGCGACTTCAAAGACACCTGGGTCAGGTGCCCCGTTGCAGGTGCCCATGGCCCGCCCTGTATGCTGTAGGAGGGGCGCGCGCCAGAAGCCCCTTCCTCGGCACTGTCAACCCGTCACCCAGCTCGGCCTGGGGCTACTCCTGGCGCTGGGCCTGCCGCTGCTGTCGTCCCTGGGAACGACCCTGGGCGCAAATATCAACCCCTTCTGCAAATGAGAGTAGCATTGTTTGGCCTACACCCACCAGCTCCAGCTCCAGTGGAGCCCTGTTTCGGGGGGCCGTCACTGCTATCATCTTGGTCCTCTGATTCCTGGCTGTCTTGTTCCTGGCAGTGGGGCTGGCACTATTGGTGCGGAAGCTTCCGGAGATGAGGCAGACGGAGGGCACCTACTGGCCCAGCAGCAAGGAGCAGTTCTCCTATGTAGCTGAGGCCTGGGCCTCTCAGTACTCCAATGAGACCGTGTGGGGCTGCCTGCACATCTAGGCCCCCTCTCCTCCATCTGTCCCCCTTCATTGCTGTGTGACCTTGGGGAAAGGCAGTGCCCTATCTGGGCAATCAGATCCACCCAGTGCTTAAGAATAGCAGGGAAGAAGGTGCTTCAAAGACTGCCCTTGAGGTCAAGGGAGTGTGGGGCTACTCACTTTTATATATTTATATAAAATTAGTAGTGAGATGTGAATATATATATGTATATATCATACAGAAAATCTCAATAAGAATTTTAAAACATGTATAGGTATTATATATGTCATATGGATATATCTCTCTCTTCCTGAGGTAAATGATTAGTTCAGTGTTCAAGTTTCAATCCACCTTAAACTGGTTGATGGGATTATGTATAATAAAAGTTGACCTGAGTCTTGGCTCAATAACTGCACTAAAATGTCTGTCAGTCTACCATGATACAATGTGTTTTTTTTTTTAATGTTTGTTTCTTACACATTTCTAATCACTCTTGATTTTGCTTGAGATAGAAACTGAATTACACACAAGAGTTTCTTTTTTTTTTTTTTTTTTTACTTCTTTAAGTTTTAGGGTACATGTGCACAACGTGCAGGTTAGTTACATATGTATACATGTGCCATGCTGGTGCGCTGCACCCACTAACTCGTCATCTAGCATTAGGTATATCTCCCAATGCTATCCCTCCCCCCTCCCCCCACCTCACCACAGTCCCCAGAGTGTGATATTCCCCTTCCTGTGTCCATGTGATCTCATTGTTCAATTCCCACCTATGAGTGAGAATATGCAGTGTTTGGTTTTTTGTTCTTGCGATAGTTTACTGAGAATGATGATTTCCAATTTCATCCATGTCCCTACAAAGGACATGAACTCATCATTTTTTATGGCTGCATAGTATTCCATGGTGTATATGTGCCATATTTTCTTAATCCAGTCTATCATTGTTGGACATTTGGGTTGGTTCCAAGTCTTTGCTATTGTGAATAGTGCCGCAATAAACATACGTGTGCATGTGTCTTTATAGCAGCATGATTTATAGTCCTTTGGGTATATACCCAGTAATGGGATGGCTGGGTCAAATGGTATTTCTAGTTCTAGATCCCTGAGGAATCGCCACACTGACTTCCACAATGGTTGAACTAGTTTACAGTCCCACCAACAGTGTAAAAGTGTTCCTATTTCTCCACATCCTCTCCAGCACCTGTTGTTTCCTGACTTTTTAATGATCGCCATTCTAAGTGGTGTGAGATGGTATCTCATTGTGGTTTTGATTTGCATTTCTCTGATGGCCAGTGATGATGAGCATTTTTTCATGTGTTTTTTGGCTGCATAAATGTCTTCTTTTGAGAAGTGTCTGTTCATGTCCTTCACCCACTTGTTGATGGGGTTGTTTGTTTTTTTCTTGTAAATTTGTTTGAGTTCATTGTAGATTCTTGATATTAGCCCTTTGTCAGATGAGTAGGTTGCGAAAATTTTCTCCCATTTTGTAGGTTGCCTGTTCACTCTGATGGTAGTTTCTTTTGCTGTGCAGAAGCTCTTTAGTTTAATTAGATCCCATTTGTCAATTTTGTCTTTTGTTGCCATTGCTTTTGGTGTTTTAGACATGAAGTCCTTGCCCATGCCTATGTCCTGAATGGTAATGCCTAGGTTTTCTTTTAGGGTTTTTATGGTTTTAGGTCTAACATTTAAGTCTTTAATCCATCTTGAATTGATTTTTGTATAAGGTGTAAGGAAGGGATCCAGTTTCAGCTTTCTACATATGGGTAGCCAGTTTTCCCAGCACCATTTATTAAATAGGGAATCCTTTCCCCATTGCTTGTTTTTCTCAGGTTTGTCAAAGATCAGATAGCTGTAGATATGCGGCGTTATTTCTGAGGGCTCTGTTCTGTTCCATTGATCTAGATCTCTGTTTTGGTACCAGTACCATGCTGTTTTGGTTACTGTAGCCTTGTAGTATAGTTTGAAGTCAGGTAGTGTGATGCCTCCAGCTTTGTTCTTTTGGCTTAGAATTGACTTGGCGATGCGGGCTCTTTTTTGGTTCCATATGAACTTTAAAGTAGTTTTTTCCAATTCTGTGAAGAAAGTCATTGGTGGCTTGGTGGGGATGGCATTAAATCTATAAATTACCTTGGGCAGTATGGCCATTTTCATGATATTGATTCTTCCTACCCATGAGCATGGAATGTTCTTCCATTTGTTTGTATCCTCTTTTATCTCATTGAGCAGTGGTTTGCAGTTCTCCTTGAAGAGGTCCTTCACATCCCTTGTAAGTTGGATTCCTAGGTATTTTATTCTCTTTGAAGCAATTGTGAATGGGAGTTCACTCATGATTTGGCTCTCTGTTTGTCTGTTGTTGGTGTATAAGAATGCTTGTGATTTTTGTACATTGATTTTGTATCCTGAGACTTTGCTGAAGTTGCTTATCAGCTTAAGGAGATTTTGGGCTGAGACAATGGGGTTTTCTAGATATACAATCATCTCATCTGCAAACAGGGACAATTGGACTTCCTCTTTTCCTAATTGAATACCCTTTATTTCCTTCTCCTGCCTAATTGCCCTGGCCAGAACTTCCAACACTATGTTGAATAGGAGTGGTGAGAGAGGGCATCCCTGTCTTGTGCCAGTTTTCAAAGGGAATGCTTCCAGTTTTTGCCCATTCAGTATGATATTGGCTGTGGGTTTGTCATAGATAGCTCTTATTATTTTGAAATATGTCCCATCAATACCTAATTTATTGAGAGTTTTTAGCATGAAGGGTTGTTGAATTTTGTCAAAGGCTTTTTCTGCATCTATTGAGATAATTATGTGGTTTTTGTCTTTGGCTCTGTTTATATGCTGGATTACATTTATTGATTTGTGTATATTGAACCAGCCTTGCATCCCAGGGATGAAGCCCACTTGATCATGGTGGATAAGCTTTTTGATGTGCTGCTGGATTCGTTTTGCCAGTATTTTATTGAGGATTTTTGCATCAATGTTCATCAAGGATATTGGTCTAAAATTCTCTTTTTTGGTTGTGTCTCTGCCCGGCTTTGGTATCAGAATGATGCTGGCCTCCTAAAATGAGTTAGGGAGGATTCCCTCTTTTTCTATTGATTGGAATAGTTTCAGAAGGAATGGTACCAGTTCCTCCTTGTACCTCTGGTAGAATTCGGCTGTGAATCCATCTGGTCCTGGACTTTTTGGTTGGTAAACTATTGATTATTGCCACAATTTCAGCTCCTGTTATTGGTCTATTCAGAGATTCAACTTCTTCCTGGTTTAGTCTTGGGAGAGTGTATGTGTCGAGGAATTTATCCATTTCTTCTAGATTTTCTAGTTTCTTTGCATAGAGGTGTTTGTAGTATTCTCTGATGGTAGTTTGTATTTCTGTGGGATTGGTGGTGATATCCCCTTTATCATTTTTTATTGTGTCTATTTGATTCTTCTCTTTTTCTTTATTAGTCTTGCTAGCGGTCTATCAATTTTGTTGATCCTTTCAAAAAACCAGCTCCTGGATTCATTAATTTTTTAAGGGTTTTTTGTGTCTCTATTTCCTTCAGTTGTGCTCTGATTTTAGTTATTTCTTTCTTTCTGCCAGCTTTTGAATGTGTTTGCTCTTGCTTTTCTAGTTCTTTTAATTGTGATGTTAGGGTGTCAATTTTGGATCTTTCCTGCTTTCTCTTGTGGGCATTTAGTGCTATAAATTTCCCTCTACACACTGCTTTGAATGCATCCCAGAGATTCTGGTATGTTGTGTCTTTGTTCTCATTGGTTTCAAAGAACATCTTTATTTCTGCCTTCATTTCGTTATGTATCCAGTAGTCATTCAGGAGCAGGTTGTTCAGTTTCCATGTAGTTGAGCGGTTTTGAGTGAGATTCTTAATCTTGAGTTCTAGTTTGATTGCACTGTGGCCTGAGAGATAGTTTGTTATAATCTCTGTCCTTTTACATTTGCTGAGGAGAGCTTTACTTCCAAGTATGTGGTCAATTTTGGAATAGGTGTGGTGTGGTGCTGAAAAAAATCTATATTCTGTTGATTTGTGGTGGAGAGTTCTGTAGATGTCTATTAGGTCCACTTGGTGCAGAGCTGAGTTCAATTCCTGGGTATCCTTGTTGACTTTCTGTCTCATTGATCTGTCTAATGTTGACAGTGGGTTGTTAAAGTCTCCCATTATTAATGTGTGGGAGTCTAAGTCTCTTTGTAGGTCACTCAGGACTTGCTTTATGAATCTGGGTGCTCCTGTATTGGGTGCATAGATATTTAGGATAGTTAGCTCTTCTTGTTGAATTGATCCCTTTACCATTATGTAATGGCCTTCTTTGTCTCTTTTGATCTTTGTTGGTTTAAAGTCTGTTTTATCAGAGACTAGGATTGCAACCCCTGCCTTTTTTTGTTTTCCATTGGCTCAGTAGATCTTCCTCCATCCTTTTGAGCCTATGTGTGTCTCTGCACGTGAGATGGGTTTCCTGAATACAGCACACTGATGGGTCTTGACTGTTTATCCAATTTGCCAGTCTGTGTCTTTTAATTAGAGCATTTAGTCCATTTACATTTAAAGTTAATATTGTTATGTGTGAATTTGATCCTGTCATATTATGATGTTAGCTGGTGATTTTGCTCGTTAGTTGATGCAGTTTCTTCCTAGTCTTGATGGTCTTTACATTTTGGCATGATTTTGCAGCGGCTGGTACCGGTTGTTCCTTTCCATGTTTAGTGCTTCCTTCAGGAGCACTTTTAGGGCAGGCCTGGTGGTGACAAAATCTCTCAGCATTTGCTTGTCTGTAAAGTATTTTATTTCTCCTTCACTTATGAAGCTTAGTTTGGCTGGATATGAAATTCTGGGTTGAAATTGTTTTCTTTAAGAATGTTGAATATTGGCCCCCACTCTCTTCTGGCTTGTAGAGATTCTGCCGAGAGATCTGCTGTTAGTCTGATGGGCTTCCCTTTGAGGGTAACCCGACCTTTCTCTCTGGCTGCCGTTAACATTTTTTCCTTCATTTCAACTTTGGTGAATCTGACAATTATGTGTCTTGGAGTTGCTCTTCTCGAGGAGTATCTTTGTGGCGTTCTCTGTATTTCCTGAATCTGAATGTTGGCCTGCCTTGCTAGATTGGGGAAGTTCTCCTGGATAATATCCTGCAGAGTGTTTTCCAACTTGGTTCCATTCTCCCCATCACTTTCAGGTACACCAATCAGACGTAGATTTGGTCTTTTCACATAGTCCCATATTTCTTGGAGGCTTTGCTCGTTTCTTTTTATTCTTTTTTCTCTAAACTTCCCTTCTTGCTTCATTTCATTCATTTCATCTTCCATTGCTGATACCCTTTCTTCCAGTTGATCACATCGGCTCCTGAGGCTTCTGCATTCTTCACGTAGTTCTCGAGCCTTGGTTTTCAGCTCCATCAGCTCCTTTAAGCACTTCTCTATATTGGTTATTCTAGTTATACATTCTTCTAAATTTTTTTCAAAGTTTTCAACTTCTTTGCCTTTGGTTTGAATGTCCTCCCGTAGCTCAGAGTAATTTGATCGTCTGAAGCCTTCTTCTCTCAGCTCGTCAAAGTCATTCTCCGTCCAGCTTTGTTCCGTTGCTGGTGAGGAACTGCGTTCCCTTGGAGGAGGAGAGGCGCTCTGCGTTTTAGAGTTTCCAGTTTTTCTGTTCTGTTTTTTCCCCATCTTTGTGGTTTTTATCTACTTTTGGTCTTTGATGATGGTGATGTACAGATGGGTTTTTGGTGTGGATGTCCTTTCTGTTTGTTAGTTTTCCTTCTAACAGACAGGACCCTCAGCTTCAGGTCTGTTGGCATACCCTGCCGTGTGAGGTGTCAGTGTGCCCCTGCTGGGGGGTGCCTCCCAGTTAGGCTGCTCGGGGGTCAGGGGTCAGGGACCCACTTGAGGAGGCAGTGTGCCAGTTCTCAGATCTCCAGCTGCATGCTGGGAGAACCAGTGCTCTCTTCAAAGCTGTCAGACAGGGACATTTAACTCTGCAGACGTTACTGCTGTCTTTTTGTTTGTCTGTGCCCTGCCCCGAGAGGTGGAGCCTACAGTTGCAGGCAGGCCTCCTTGAGCTGTGGTGGGCTCCACCCAGTTGGAGCTTCCTGGCTGCTTTGTTTACCTAATCAAGCCTGGCCAATGGCGGGCGCCCCTCCCCCAGCCTCGCTGCCGCCTTGCAGTTTGATCTCAGACTGCTGTGCTAGCAATCAGCGAGATTCCGTGGGCGTAGGACCCTCCGAGCCGGGTGCAGGATATAATCTCGTGGTGCGCCGTTTTTTAAGCTGGTCCGAAAAGCGCAATATTCGGGTGGGAGTGACCCAATTTTCCAGGTGCGTCCGTCACCCCTTTCTTTGACTTGGAAAGGGAACTCCCTGACCCCTTGCGCTTCCCAAGTGAGGCAATGCCTCGCCCTGCTTCGGCTTGCGCACGGTGCGCTCACCCACTGACCTGCGCCCACTGTCTGGCACCCCCTAGTGAGATGAACCGGGTACCTCAGATGGAAATGCAGAAATCACGCGTCTTCACTGGGAGCTGTAGACCGGAGCTGTTCCTATTCGGCCATCTTGGCTCCTCCCCCTACACACAAGAGTTTCTGTGAGTTTGGCATCTCTCAGTCAACTAGAACTAAATGTCTAGGTAATCTGAAAACTGCTGATTGATTGGAGATTTTCATTCGGATTTGCAGATTAGCTGAAAGAAGCTAAACCACTCCAGGAAGACCAAAGAAGCAAATCATACATCCAAGTTATCTGGCAACAACTTCATTGATTTAGTCAACATTGAGTAAAACAGGAAAAGGAATAGAACTTCATTGTTAACTAATCCATTCTTGAAAATAACTCACAGCCCAGCCTGTCTAAAACTGGGTGGACTGGAGGAAATTTGGTTCAAAAATTTTTGCTCCACAGGCTTTTGCAGTTCCACAGCACTTTGTATTTTCTAAGATGCTTCCAGAATCAGTACCTTGTTTGTGCTTCATGGGTAATTTGGGAAGGAGTGAGGACAGAGATAATTTCTATTTAATAAATAGATAAGAACATGAAAGCAAAAAAATGGAATGCCTTGTCCTATTTCAAGTTGTGAGTCAATGATGTACCCAGAATTGGAACATGAATATCTGACAGTTGATCTGGTTGTGTGGAAATAACTGGATAATCTATTTAATCAAGGGCCTATTCTCTGAGATGGTTCCTAACTAACTTCTTTTGGACATGACAAATATACGCATATATACGCATAAGGGGAATAACTTTAATATAACTTTATTTTCAAACTCTTCTTAACCATCTCTTCTTTCCAAATATGGTGGTGTAATTAGACTACGGCATGTATAGGTAAACTAGATTTTTGTAAGTGGCACTGAATTTGTCTTAGTCTTTCTCAAAATTCAGCAACTATATTTGTTATCTTTCATTCATCAGGATTCAGAGAGCAAAAAAATGTGTTTTAAAAAGTCTGATTTTATGAATAATTTGTGTTCATTAATAATATATAAGGAATATGTAAATATTATTCAACCACAAAAAAATCATCTTACAGGAACAACTAAGTCGGATGATCAGACCTTTCCCAATTTATTGCTGTGCCTCGTATTATGGAATATTTGTGCATTACCAGACTCAGTCAGAAAATAAAGGCAGCAACAATCACCAAAAGATGAAAAACATTCATCTTTTATGTAGCAGATTCTGATTCTGTGAAATCACCTGGCTGATTATCAGGGGATATAAGACAAAACAGAAGAGTTCATTCTTAGATTTCAGGGACTTCCAAGTAAGCTGTAGTAATAAGGTATCCTAAAAGGAAAGATCTAGGTGTCTGACAGTTGTAGGATCACATGTGAATATACTCGGACTCAAATGACAAAACAAAAAAACCATTTACTGAGCATATATTAAGGTGTGTACTGGACACTTATTATTAATAATCTCTTTCAATCTTGAACAAAACCTATGAAAACATAAATATGACTTTTTCCTCATTTTATAGGTAGGCAACTGAGACTCAAAGATAAATACCACCTAACGTTCCAAGGATAGGAGGTCAGTTTTTGAATGCATTTAGAAGGAGGGCGTCAGGGCCAGTCTTAAACATTATGCTCTTCTGTCTTTCATCGATATACTTGGAATATTCCTCTTTTGGAATTCCAGAAATATGAAAACAATTACCTTGATTGTTACCAAAAGGTTTCAACAAGTATCCATATTTAAGGGACAAACCAACTAACCAAAGTAACCAATTAGTAAAGAAATGAGGTGTGGGAATGAAATGAACATCAAGCAAAGGAATAGGTTGCTCTTCACAGATGAATCTTGTTTCCTGGAGTGTATGCATACTTACGAGACTTTTTGGTGGTAACATTGACTGGGGGGCTTGAGGGCCCTGTCCCAGCAGTGTTGTAAGCTCTTACGGAAGCAAAGTAGATGGTATTAGCTTTCAGCCCCGTGATGTTTTTGGTTGTGACATTTCCACTGACTCTAATTTTACCTATCATGGATTCTTTGGAGTCATCTGTCCAGTATAAGACCTGATAATTAAAAACCAAAACAAGCAATTTATTGTTCCCCAATAACTATCAATCATTTTTTACCAACAACTATCAACCACAACCACAAGGAATATGGGAAGAAGACAGAAGTATAGATGACAAAAACGTTTTCTAATTAAAATGGTTATACAACAACAAAATTGTTATTCTCTAATATTTATGAGGAAAAAAGTCATGAATGCAAATTCACAATGGAAATTAGAGAACGTGATTTTTTAGATTACCAAAATAAAGTATTTTATGAGCTATCTAAAGGTTACCAGCTTTAGCAAATGATGTATAACAAGTCAGACAAAAACACATTTGTATATAATCAGTCAAAGACTTTCATTATAATGTCTTGCTATTGGCATTTCTTTTCAGAGTTATTTGAATCACAGGTTAATTAATAATTCAATTTATACTGAACCCTACCTTTGCATTAGCATTGTTTTAGGTACATTGAAAAAAAAAGAGAATAAATTAAGTACCTATTTTCAAGCCCCTTATCATCTAGCTAAGAGGTTAGAATCCACAGTGTATGTGAAAATAAGTCACAGAATGCATTGCAAAGAAGTGGTATAGAAAAAATATGCTACAAGAATTTGACAAAATACATCAGGAATTGATGGGAGTAGAGCTCAGAGAGAAGAGGCGACTAGGGATGAAATTTGAGAAGTAACTAGGGTTCAGATAAGAGGTAAGGCATTCTTGGCATGGAGTGGAAAAGACACCTGTCCTGAGAGTAGAACTTTCTGTTGGAATCAGAGGATTATGGTTATATATATATATATATATGTGTGTGTGTGTGTGTATATATATATATATATATATATATGTGTATATATATGTATATATATGTGTATATATGTATATATATGTGTGTATATATAGTATGTATATGTATACGTGTGTGTGTGTGTATATATATATATATATATATAGGCAAAATTAAGAATGTTTAGGATTATACATTTATTCTAAATCCAAAGTTAAATAAATTATGTTACCCATTTTGTGAATCACTGAATTTGCAAGTTGAAAAAGATTGAGTGATGAACAACTTTCCCTTAAAATGTTCTTGTCTCTTTACTTTGTGAGATGAAGGCCTACAAATGTAATTTGCCTTATTCTTCATAGACTAAAAATAGCAGATTCAAGACAATCTAGGTATTTTTTTTCATTACTTAACTGCCTTTTCTGAGATGATTACATCTTTCCAAGTTATACTGCAATTCACAAAGCAGGTTTCTCAATGAAATTCTTCCATGGTGTAAGATGATTGAGGAGCAGACTTCACCTCTTACCAAGGGAAAAAAAAATGACTGCAATTTGAATAATTAATCATATAATCACCTGATCACTTTTGAAAAATGATGTTGTGGTAAGAACACTTAATATGAGATCTGTCCTCTTGAAAAATTTTAAGGGTACAATGCATAATTGTTGACTCTGTGTGCACAGTTGTACAGCAGATCTTTAGAGCTTACTCATCTTACTTACTGAATCTGTATGCCTTTAAAAATGGCTACTATGTGTTAATTTGTTTGCTTTGAATTACCTAGAAAGATTTCCCTTACTTTGAGGGAGGAGGCAGGACTTTACTGTGGACCAGATTGAAGACTGACTGAAACAGGGAAGAGGCTAAAGCACCTCTCCATAAGACACAACCACCAGTTCCGTATCAGTTTACCACTGCCATGGCAACACCTGGAAGTTACCATCCCTTTCTATGGCAATGGCCTGGAGGTTACCACCCTTTTTCTAGAAATTTCTGAATAACTAACTCACCCATTAATTTGCATGTAATTAGAAGTGGGTATAAATATGAGTGTAGAACTGCTTCCAAGCTGCTGCTCTTAGCACACTGCCTATGGGGTAGCCCTGCTCTGCAGAAGCAATTTCAAAACTGTAACACTGCTGCCTCAATAAAGCTGTTTTTTTTTGTTTTTGTTTTTGTTTTTGTTTTTTTACCACTGGCTCACTCTCGAATTCTGTCTTGAGCGAGGACAAGAAACATCCCAGGCTAAGCCTCTCAATGTGGGGGCTCACCTACCCTGTCTCAACTTCATTCTCTGCTTTAGCTTTAGACACACATTATCATATGCTAACAACAGGCTAGTAGGATAGGACTGTTGAATAGGAGCTATTGCGAAGTCCATTGGCACATTCATAAGCAAAAGTGAAATTAATGTGGATTACCTCATAGCCCAGCACTCTTCCAGTGTTTCTATTCCAGGCAATAGCATTCCATGAAACCTCCATTTCAGAAGCAGAAAAACTCTGGAGAGAAGTTCCCCTTGGGGCCAGTTGAGGTTCTACCATCCAGAGAAAGACATAACCATCTTTAGCAGAGTGGTTCATTGAAAATGGAACAAGGGAACACAAACTATGCATAGAGTCTCAAAGAAAACCAGAGTTGAGGACAACTTACCATCTTCCCCAGAGTAGACAATGGTCACAGTACTCAGGGATCCTTCTCCTTCATTATTATACACACCCACTTTGACTTCAAAGGGAGACAGTGGGATGATGCTTTCATTTCTGTAGACAAACCTTGATGATTCCACAGATGACACTTTCTCCTTGGACCAGGTTGTCGAGCCCACTGGCCGGAACATGATGATATATCCAAATCCCTCCCCATTCTGCAGTTCTTCTGGAATTGACTTGGGCAGAATGTGATCAATCACTGAGTATTTGCAAAAATATTTTATTAAGCTACTATAATGTTTATTGATTATTTCACATTTCTTCCATAGAGACAAATATGGATATTTATTCTGTTTAATGATGTATTAAAAAACACTTTTATTTGGAATGCCAATTAGAAAAATGATCCCAGTTAAAGATACTCAGATAAATAGTTTAAGTTTTCAGATAGAAATATAAAACAAGCTTTACATATTTATATATTTTTCTTTGATCATTCATAAATTATAATAATAAAACAGTTTAAAAGATTTTATGATACACACTCAAATGTGGTTTGATATGAATTTTTAAACTCAGCACAAATTAACTTCTTAACTATTTATTTCAAGACTAGATATGTTTTCCTTTCACAACATTTTAAACAAGTTTTTGTAAGACATGTGTAATGGAATTACTGTGAAATAACATATGCTTTAAGACACAGAATATTTCTTTAAAAAAGTATAAAAGACCTCCCATCATTTTTTTAGGCATACATCTTCATTGGTAGTGACATGTGTGCATTTTTCCTCACATGAAAGAATAAACTGTTAACTCTCACAAAGATCAGATTCTATAAAATACATTTCAAATCTAAAATTACTAAAATAGCAAAATAGAAATTGGTAATATTCCCCCTGTACTCTGCAGATACTAAAAATTGTAAACAATCACATAAACTTAGCAAATTAAAATGAATCTGTACTTGAATTTAGACCAACATATCTCCTGATGGCAAGAAACTTGTATTGAAAAATCAATGGAATTTATTTGGTTTTTCCCAAGGAAAATGCTTTGCTTTTTTTTTTTTAATAAATATTCTGACAGACTAATAAAGGCAACACCTGACAGGACACAGTGCTTCTAGTCCCTCATGTCCACAACTCCATTTCAGAGGTTCTCTTTATTCATGGGAGTCCATTTATTCTATCAATCACACTATCTACTTGCCACTTGGAACCCATGCGAGCACCAATTCACGAGCGCCAGAACCACAGGCACCGTCTTGGTGAGTATCTATGAGGGCAGAATCTCTGTACTCTACGGTGACTAACAGACCTGGTCAATTCCTCTCACAGAGTTTGCATATGAAACATGGTGGGTGGCAAAACAATGATAGATATACACAGAGCAGGCAAAAAGTAGAGAACATGGAGTAGCAGGAACAGTGAGGCAATAGAAGCTAAGAGAAAACAGATGCTGTAAATTAGAGAGAGGGCATCCAAATTAGCTGGCAGCCAGGTAGAAAACTGGAAGTAAAGGAAATGGGAGGAACTGAGGCATAAGCATGAGAGACTATTCAAGCCGGGGCTGGATCAGCAGAGGGGTTGTTGATGGTTGCCTAGAGCTCCTGTGCCCGAGTGCCCAGAGCAGTGATGAACCATGTTCCGGTTCTTCATCTGACCTTCCTGCCTGCTTGCTGAGACTTTTTTCCTGTCCTCATTACTTCCCATGTAGCTTTAAAATAAACCCCCATTACCCGAGATGACCTGAGCTGGTCTCTATTTCTTGCCATGTGGAACAGTCTAACAAATACAGAAAGTGAAAAGAGGAAGAAAAGTGCTGCTCCGGACATCTGGGGAAACAACAAAGTATTTCCTCATATTAACACTTCTCTTCTTTTTCATAGGGAGACTAGAAGTAAACCAGTTAATTTTGAATGGCATGGAAGAGATTTATAAGAATCGATGCTACTTGCTAGAGCATTTGATTCATTTCTGAAGTTTCTTTCATCTCGGATTTAATCACGATGCTTAGTCAGTTCATCTACATAAATAGGGGAGTTTTGTTTTTGTTAGTCAAGTACAATTAGTGTTTCTCATGGTGCTCTCTCAAGAAAGACCTGAGTCCAACATATGCAGATTAGAGGGGAAAAAAGAGACTTATTTAGATACTTCCCTTTATTCTTACATCAACAGAGAGTCAAATGATTAAAAAATATATATAGTTATTTAACAAGGCCAGAAAAAGAGTTTTCTTTAAGTGGAGACAGTGTTCAGTAAAATAAAGAAATTGTGAAATTCTCCTGGGAGTAAAATCTATGAAAATTGATAAACTAATAATGTAATTCTCAACCACAGTGTCTGTAAGAACCAAATCTTTAGTACAGACTAAGAATCAGCAAAACTATGTACTTCTAGCCACATCTGGCATGCAGCCTGGTTTTGAAAATAAAGGTTTTGAGACACACCCACACCTATATGTTTGTAAGTGGTATGTGGCTCTTTTGAGCTACAAAAGCAGACTGAGACATTAGAAAAGAGGTCATGTGGCCCACGAGACTGAATATTTTTACTGTCTGGCCCTTTAAATAAAAAGCGTGCCAACCCTCAGTGTAGGTATGTATCTCTTACTCTATAGTGCTTTATCCTGTGTACCTAATTTTATAGTAATATTTATGAGACATTCACCACAAGCACCTCAAACCTGGAAGTATTTGGGAGTATACACATTATGATAAAATAATGTATAAACATGCCCTTAAAAAGGAATTACCCATTGCTATATTCTAAAAATTTGATATTATGTCTAGGTTTTTGGAAACAAACCAAATCAAAACAAATAAACAAAAAATCTACATTTATTGTGTGGCTCTGGGGAAAACACGGGAAAGATATTTAGTTCAGTTCAGGCAGATTATACCACAGGGAGCCTAAATGAAGGATAATCATTAAAGTTGTCACTTATGAAACGTAATGGCAGATTGTGACTGAACTTAGAACAGTCTTGTGTCGCGCAGTGCCTTTCAAAGTCCAACAGGTACTATTTCAACTACAACAGGAGTGACATTGACCTGGGGTGGCCTCTCTACTTCCAAGTCACTTTTCAAAACGTAGTTCAGATATACTCAGTTCTGATGGTGTCTTTCCTGACCTCCTTCCAGGCTGGGTTAAGACCATTCTGTCCTCTACGCTTCTGAGCATTCAGACCTTTTCTCATCCATTTTTGTATTCCACTGATAGGAACAGAGAAGCTACCTAATAGAGTTCATTAAATTGAAGGAATTACTACCTGCATTCTGGTGGCTCAGATTCATCCTAATGTATGAATCTTCTCCTAAATATACATAACTTATTCCATAAAGAAGCTGGGCACCAGAAGAAGTTGGCTCAGTATCTGCTTGTACATAATGTCAAATATGAGTGATAAATGGGAAACCGATTTCACTAATTTACTTTCTGCAAGTATCTGCATATCAGATATCCACCCCCCACCTCCTCCTCAGGAAGAAAAAATAAACACAGAGGAAGTGGCTTTAATTTAGTTTAATTTTTAAAAATAGGGGTTAGTATGCTTTTTCTGTAGAGGGCCAGAGAGTAAACTTAAAAAAAAAATTCAACTTTTATTTTAGATTCGGGGGTACATGTGCAAGTTTGTTGCATGGATATACTGTGTGATGCTGAGGTTTGGGGTATGATGGATCCCGTCACCCAGGTAGTGAGCACAGTACCCATTAATATAGCTAGTTTTTCAACCCTCGCCCTTCCTCTCGTCACTCTAGCAGACGCTAGCGTCTATTGTTGCTACCAGATAGTAAATATTTTAAGCATTGTGGGATATATGGTCTCATGCAACAGCAAGAAAGCATCAATACATTAATGGATGTAGCTATGGGTGGATTTATTTATCAAAACAGGAAACTAGACAAATTTGTCTCATAGGTCATGGTTTGTGTACCTTTGCCTTAAAGAAAAAAGAACATTATAAATCGTGGAAAGACAGTATTCTTTGGTAATTCATGCTCATCTCTATTTAAGAATGAATGCATAGCATTTGGGCCCTCATTATAGACTGTGTACAAGCAATTGCAACAACAGCCTGTAGGAATTTCTTACCAAGGAGGAGAACAAAATAAGTTATTAAGTCAGGCAAAACTTCCTGTACACTATGATGATAATGCTTATTTGGCCTTTGATGAATATAGAAACCTAAATAAACTACTCACAAACAATTCTCTTGTAGACTCATTTGAAAGTCAGTGTTTTATGGGAAATATGTTTGGAGTAGTAGGTATAATATGGTTAACTTACTACTTAAGGTAGATATACTCAAGGACTCAGGCCCACCCTCAGCCATCACAGTGCATGAAGACAATTGGGATTGTAATACAGGATACAGTAAAAGAACAGAAAGAGAGAACCCTGTGTTCAAATGCTTCTCTGCCCAATGATGTCACTTTTCTAAGTCTCAGTTTTCTTACTTGAAAGTGGTATAACCACCTTATAGCATTATTGTGGGGACTGAATGATATGAAATGCTCTGTGTGGCACCTGAAATCCTGTAAATGCTTGAAAAAATAGGGTTTCCCCCTCTGTCTGGCCTCTGAGAGTTCCAACTCTCTGAAAACACTACCTTCCATTCAACAAGTGTTCATGGAGGGTGGACCACTTTCCAAGCACTGTGCTAGGCCTATAATGTCCACATGAAACAAGATATCCAGAGGAAAGGGTGACTTTCAGGGCAATTGCATCTAGTTTCTGACACTGTCATTTATAACCATAAAGAATAACGTCTCTGGTTCCCAGTTATCTCTCATAGCCTAGCTATGTGAAGTAGGCTACAGCAAGAAACACCTGGTTTGCATTTCCTGGAACATAAGGGACGCAGGTTCATTTAACTGACAAATGTCTGAGAAATTTAAAGTGGGGAAGAGATCCAGACAGCCCACGGTGGCAGAGTGAAGAGAGATGCTAAGTGGGTATGCATTGCACTTCCGCTAAACATGGAGCAGGGTATGTGTCTGCTGAGGACAAATGTGAAACCCATGCAAGTGGGTCATCCATGGACAGCCTTCAAGGGGACTCTATCCACAAAGACCACCTACAAGAGAGAGAATATTCACTGGAAGAGTCTGGAAATGGACCACCAAAATCCAGGAACTGATACCCTTCAGCAGCCAGTTGGGTCTGCACCAAGGAATTGCAGTTGGGAGTCCTTGGTGGGGGATCATCCAGTGGCCATCTCCCAGATAAAAAATAAATTAAAAAACGCAGAAACCCTACCCTATGAAATGGCAGCGTCTGATAATTTGCCATAACTAGAGCACACCAAAGTCAAACGAGAAATGTACCAGCAATCCAGACCTTTTCCTTTCTCCTCCCCTACCAACACCAACCTTCTACAGCTCTGGAGAATCCAGAGGTAACACTGTGAATGGGGAAAGATAAATTAAAGAGCAGAATGGAGAGAAGTTGAACTGACCACGTATTCCCTTTCACGCTATAGAATTCTTAGGCTGAGGCACTGAGATACTGAAAATGAGAAACTTTAAATTGGTTGAAAGTCTAAATTCTAACGTTTATACTCCAGTTTGAAGTGTACACACCAGACTGAAATTTTTAATAAGGTAAAAAAATGAGCCTGTATGTTAATGGGTAATAAGAATGACCACAAAATCTACTCCATGTGCCTAAGCTTTCATCTAGATGCAGGGAAGAATGAGTTGATCAGAGGTGAACAGCAGGGTTAGGACAAGAACTATTTTTTGCCTACAGTCTACTGGGCTCAACTTATTCACAATACAACAGTGCCACAGGTAACAAATCAAACAATGCCTAATTCATCAAGCGATAACGAAAATGCTACTGACACACGCTCAATAGATACTGAAGTTGTTTTTCGTGTATTTGGGAGAAAATTGTGCTGAGTTCGTCATACTGTCTCACCATGAGAAAAGTTCCTAATACCTCCTCTAAATAATTCATCATCAGGATGATGTATTTTTATACCATATTTTTTTACGCTCTCAATAGTGATCAAATAAATCTTTTTGTTTTTCAGTTTCTTTCTGGCCAGTTAAATCTCTTTTCTTCAAAATAACTCAGTTGGACAGAAAATTACCTCCCACGTAATGACGAGTTCAGACCGACTTCCTCCACCTCCATGGATGTTTACTGGTGCCACAACAGGGACTAAAAATAACCAAGAGAAATGTGGGATGGCAATTATTAAAGTACGTCTTCATCAGGAAGAATTTTGTTTTTGAATTTCACTTTTCAAAATCTCACACAGGCATACTGTGAGAGAGTCTTGCATTTTTAATGAACGTAAATTATGTTTACACATATCCAAATTTCTAAGAGAGAGGACACAGTTGTGTTTGATACATGAGCACCCTGGCTCCAAAATTAATTAAAAATTGAGTAACATCGGGTATTTGACATCATTATGCATCATCTACTAATTGGCAAAATGATGTTCCATTCAGATGGTGACAGTGACACTGCTGATTTAGTGCCTAATTATACAGTTGAGCTGTAAACAAGTTACTGAGGCAGTATATTAATTATTTTTTTTCAATAAACAAACTAAACTAATTTTTCCTTTTATTAGTCATCAGGATATTTTACCAGTTAAAATTAAATACTGAAAAATATGTAAATAAATATTCTTGTTTTAAAACTCCTCGTTACAATCTCAAATCTCTCGGGAGAGAAGAAGAGGGATTTTCTTCTAACTTTTCACTTGCAAAGTCAGGTTTTTCTCCTGTCAAGAATGCGACTGGGAGAGGTTCTTTCTATTTATTTCTTGGGATCTAAGGCTCTGTGGTAGAGGATTCAGAAACCAGTAATTTTGATGAGTTTTAAAAAACTATGCCCTTCAACTCTGTATCCTTGTAAGGACTAACACAATGAATAATAGATCATAGAAACTGTAAAACTGAGGAAATGCTGAGTGTGTATATGGTATTGTAGTGCCTCACGAGAATGAGGTTTTACTTTACACATGCGTAAGTGTTTAAAAGCATTATTTTTCTTGACGTAATGACAAAAGTATCCTAAATCTGTGATAATCGCTAAATCAGCAGGGTATACTTTTTAAATGTGGAATTACATGAAATTGTCTATACTGGACCATGTCTGAACAATAGGAGAGGTGGTTGGTTGAGGAGGCACTTGGATATGTCTGGGGATTGGTAGGCAGGGATTAAAATATGTAAGTTTTAATTCCTCATTTCAAATTTTTCCCCACCATATAGACCACCTAAATAAATCTAGATTGCTTATTTTATTTATTTCCATTTCATACTGATGTTTAGCTCTATAAACATGACCAGAAAATAGTCATATGATAATCTGATTGTTCTTTTTCAAAATTGCACCTTTCAGATATACCTTTTCGTATTTAAATTTACCCTTAACTTTGTCAGCTTTAAGCTTCATAATTTTTTAGAAAGAAGTTATGTGAACCTAAACCTTATTTTCTAAGACTTCCAATGCCTTTGATCAAAAGCGATGTGAATCAGAGTGGATTTTACAGAGTTGCTGAATTTATAGTGCTTGACAGCTTAGAGTGACTAACTGCACACTATCTCAGGATCTTTGCATAGTTTAGCTGTGTAAGGAAAAGTATTTTGAATTATATTTTGATTTACTTTCTACAAAGTTTCCAATGTTCTGAGAAATAGAAAATTCCTTTCCCTATTCAATTTTAAATTAATTGTACTTAAGCCTAAAACCATATTGAGAACAAGTTGTTAGTCTTTGATGATGTCAGAGACAGAGAGGGAGAGACGAGAGACTCAGTAGGTTTTCAGTTAGTAGAGTTTGACTCAGTGGGTATGAATATCACCAGTCTCATTCTGCTACTGAAACAAGAGAGTATTAATGGTTAGAAGGTGGCACACAAACTTTGCTATGAAAATGTAAGAGTTTCTGTCAACCCTGTCCAAAGCTACCAAAATATAAATCAACTGTAAACAAACAACCTGAAACTAAAGCTCATATCCAGAGTCATGGACAACACCTGAAGATTCTGATCCAGGGGGTATATAGGAGGGCCGGGGAATTTCTATATTTACACACTTTCTTTGGCTAATCTATTGCTCATCTACATTAAGATCCTCTTTTATGGAGAATGCTGGGTGTAAAAATCAGGAGGTTTGGATTCAAAACCTAGCTCTGTCACAAACAACCAGCTAATATCCTGGTGTTCATTTTCCTCTTCTGTAAAACAAAGGGATTTCCTCTCAGCTGTAAGCTTCTAGCGTGATTTAATTGGATGATATCACTGTCAAGTATGTCCTTTTTCTAGCCCCAATTCTATGATAAACATATAACATTATCTTTAGTTTAAGGATTGATTTATTGACTTCTGACAATTGTGCACACTTTAATAAGGTAATTTGTGTTTGTTAAATTAAGCTAGCCATGACAAGTGATCCTTTGTTTATGTGATCGAATAAGAATGTGAACTTTGTGGGCTATATACAGCTAGCAGATTAAATGTCACCCTGGATGTAAAAGTTTGAGTGGAACAAAGAGGATCCATTGAAAAGAGCTTAAGAAGGCATGGTATCTGATCCAGGTTCTTGCGTTCTGCTGTTCAGTGAACCAATTAATGCTCAATTAGTGCCCCTGTTAAATGAGCTTAGGATTTACCTCATTTGCATGGAAAAAAATTTATACTACTGCTCAGTGAAGCTACAACTAGTTCAGAGTTGAGAAATAGATGAAAATATATGGCTGACTGCACCAACAGAGTCTCAGTTAATTCCTGGCTACAACATTTTAATGAAACAAGCAGTAACTCATTTGCATATACAAATCTACAGATTCTCTAATGAATTTTGACTAGAAAATAGATGCGATGCAAACACAGTTTCCTAAGAACTCTGATTTTGACATGTTGGCTTAAAGGTAATCATTTCTTATTGAACCTACTATTTGGAGAAAATACACCTTGCCTTGTGTATGTAAAAATAAAAGAAAATGAGAGCCACTCGTTTACTGCCAAACAATTTTGAGCCAAAAGTATTAGAAGACACATAAAAATACTTGTTTTGTTTTAAGAACTGTATCATACGAAATCTTCCACACTTTTAGAACACATTGATTCTTTACCTGATGCTTTAGTTCTTAACAATTCTGATGGTTCACTTGGTTCTCCAATCCCAATGCTGTTGCCGGCAACAACACGAAATTCATATTCCACCCAAGGACTCAAACCAACCACTGTTGCATTGTATGTCTTACCATTGAGAATTTCTGGAACTAAAAAGAATGAGACACTAAGGCACCTAGGTTGGGACTACTCAAAAACAAATAATTGTACAAAATTATATAATTATTAATTTAAAATGTAATTGCATTTATTAAAATTATTGGACTAAAATATTATTTTTAAAGTGACCCAAAACACTTTTGTCACTCACCTGTAGCAACAGCCTGCCAACCCACAGAAAATGGTGTCCGAGTCTGAATAGTAAATATTTGAATGGGACTGTTATTATCTGGGCCTGCTCTCCAACTTAGTTGAGAAGTAGTACTGGAAATGTCTTCCACTTGCACATCCTCAGGAGGACCTGGTGGACCTTGAAAAAAATGTTTTATCATGACTCCATTGGAGATACTTACATTCATTAATTTGGTACTAGGATGGTTTATTTTTACCTGTTGTGCTTAGGAAGTAAAATATTGACCATAATGTATTTATAGCACATTATTAGCGATAAAGTTCTATTAATTCCCTTTACATGGTAAATGACATTAATGTAGTAGTGCTTCCTCTGGAGATTAGAAAATATCAGGCATAGGATGATTGCATATCAACCTATACTCAAAGATTGAGAACCATCATCTTTAATTCCTCTTAAAATCTAACTCAAGTAATTGCAGCTAATATGAAGAACTACAGGAGCATGTGGATTTGACTCTGGATTGACAAGAATGATTTATTATAAACAGAAGGTATGTCTAAGTTTTAGTTACTGACACCGCTTGCCAAGCGTGACCGTTCATGATAGTCAAATCCTACACAGTTCCATGTCTGTATTCACACAGTTCCATGTCTGTATTCACACTACCCATACCATGGAGTCCTGGGGTTTAAAAAATAAAACTCTATCTGATTACATCTCACTTCCATAACATGGTGTGGTTTCTCAGAGGTCTACAATTTAGATATGAACACTGTAACTGTGAAGAAACAATGTGATCACTTTTTCACCATTTATGCTTACCTCTAACAATGATATCGGCTACTGCAGATAAACTTTCTAGGGTTGTTTGTACTGTGCAGAGATATTTTCCTGAATGATGTAACTGAATATTCCTTATCATCAAATCCCCAACAGATTCCTGCAGACAGAAAGGGAGAAATGGATAAAAACGTAAGCCCATATAACAAGTCCTACTTTATTGTTACAGCTGGATAAATACGAAACATAAAACAACTCTGAAATTAAAAGATATACTAGTATCATTGTCATTTCTTGTATCTAAACCCTTTTATTATCCCCCTTATTATAATTACATCTAGAAAACAAGTATTTCTACGGAAGACACGAAACAAAATAAACCAAAACAAAAACAAATGTAGCTTCAAAAACAGTCAGTGATTATCCATGCAAATAAAGATGGAGAGAGTAACTATGAAAAATGGTGATTCATGTAAAAGACTTGATTCATTTTATTAAGCACTTAACAATTTCAGTAACTTACTCCTCCAATCCTTTCAAAATGAGCCACTCCTTTTTTTAAGTCTATGACATCTCCATTGAAAAACCATACAAATACCACTTCAATGGAGGGGTCATGGGACACCTGGCATGGTAGCACTATACTCTCGCCAACTGTAACATCCATTTTGGAAGGTGGGACGGTAATGACAGTTCTCTCTGTTGAGAAAAAAAATTATTTTTTAAAGCTTATGAAATGCTAGCCTATGGTTATAAAATACATATTTCTGAATACTTTATCATTCATTTGAAATTATATAAATGCAACCTGGAGTTCTACAATGTCCAGTATGAAATATTCCTTTGCCTGTTTTTAAATGTCTTGTATTTATTATTGTAGCTTATTACTTATACTAAAATTAAAAATATATTCACACCTTATATGAAAATAGTTTACAGAAAACTGTAGACCTCAAAAAATGGCATTCCATATATACAGGATGCACTGCATTGTTTTTGTTATATTTTATTCTAACATTTTAGTCATAACATTACAATTGACACACTGGTAACAGCTCTAAATGCTCTCTGTTAACTTCATATACCATGAGACAAACCATGTTTCTAAGATTATGACCACCATAGTTTCTATAGAGATTTAGACATACGTTTATATTTAAGAGGGTGAATGCAACATAATTATTCTGTCTTTGACGTAGCTCTAATTTTCTTTTTGTTAAAGATGCAACATGAATAGGGAAGATGGAAGTTTTCCCTTTAATAATTCAGATTTTCCAGTGTTAAAATTATGCATCCATCATAAAAACCTTCCCTCTAGAAATGTTCTCTATGTCAATCTTTCTTTTACAAGACCTAGCATTTCATTGACCAAAATTTCAAAGGACAATCCCAGGGTGTGCCAGTTGTACTTGAGAGTCCTATATTTGTTCAGATTAAAAGAGACTCACAATGTAGATCGTTATGACTACTTCGTTTATAATAAAGTTCTGATTCCAGAGAGTTGAGAATTCATCAAAGAGCAACTCAATATCTATGAAGGGGCCCTGGACAAATATTTGGATTTAGATATGTACCATCTTACCAAGAATAAATTGTTTTGAAAGATTTACATTTAAGAATAAAGGTTTTAGGCAAGTTATTGTAAAAAAAAAATTATACATGAAGAAGTTTAAAAATAGTGAAATGACCCATGGAGAATCTATTTCTCCATGGGTAATTTATAAGATAAAGTTTAGCTCTCTAAGAAATGGACTAAAATCTTCACTTTCTTCTACCTTCTTCATTCTGCTCAAGAAACCAAACTAACATTGAGATTGCATTTATATGTTCACAATGATTAATGTGTAACTGCATTTTACCAATAGAATGTTTAGTTATTATTTGACCATTTAAACATTTTTAATTGTTTTCTTCATTCATAAATATTTAGAAGTAGAAAGTAGGAAGTAATAATTTGGGGTTTTAAGGTACATACTGACAAAAGAGCCATGAAAAAATAAAAACACACGCTATAGTTCTGAATATGAATATAATAGAGAAAATCAAACTCATTCTGTATCAAATATGTCTTCATTTTTTATTATTTAAAATACTTTCCATATTTATATTAGATGCATGTACTTTTTTTTACTTTTGTTATTATTATTTTTGAGATGGAGTCTCGCTCCGTCACCCAGGCTAGAGTGCAGTGATGCCATCTTAGCTCATTGCAACCTCCGCCTCCCAGATTCAAGAGATTCTCCTGCCTCAGCCTCCTGAGTAGCTGGCATTACAGGCACGCACCACCATGCCAGGTAAATTTTTGTATTTTTGCAGAGACAGAGTTTCACCATGTTGGCCAGGTGGTCTCAAACTCCTGACATCAAGTGATCCACCTGACTTGGCCTCCCAAGTGCTGAGATTACAGGCGTTAATCACTGCACCTAACCAGATGCATGCACTTTATATTCTAATTTTGTCTAAGGAGAAATTTAAAGAATGATTTTGTGGACTATGCCCATTCTTAATTCCAAGGCTTCTTCACAGATTTGCAACCAAAATAAGGGTAAAAGATATCCAGGGATCCATGTTGGTGTGCTGCACCCATTAACTCGTCATTTAGCATTAGGTATATCTCTTAATGCTATCCCTCCCCGCTCCCCACACTCCACAATAGTCCCCGGTGTGTGATGTTCCCCTTCCTGTGTCCATGTGTTCTCATTGTTCAATTCCCACGTTGTGCACATGTACCCTAAAACTTAAAGTATACTAATAATAAAATTAAAAAAAAAGAAAGAAAAAGAAGAGAGATGGAGGAGAAACCAATAGATTAAAAAAAAACTTGGCCAACTGCCATGTATGGATCTTATTGGGTTCTTTCTTTTTTTTGGATCTTATTGGATTCTAATCAAAGAATAAACTAGTAGAAAATAAAAAAAGATACACATTAAATTATTAAGTTTGTTACATTAGCAAGGTGAAGTTGAAGGGTAAGAGAAAGAGAGGGAATCATTATTACTTTATATACTTTAGACTTTGAATTTAAAAAGCTTGTATTGTTTTGTAATTTAATTGACTGAAATAAAATGTATGAAGAATTGAGGAAATGTATGACCTAAAAAACTTAAAAACATAAATGAATAAAGTGTGATTGAACCTTAAAAAAAAAAAAGATATCCAGGGATCCAAGAAAATTTTTTAGAACTAGAGAAAATATTTTCCTTTTGTAGTTACTCTGAAAAAAAAAATCACAAATGTCTTATTTACATTTATAGGAGGATAAGTTGGCTAACTGGATGTGTTGACAGAGCAAAACTGCCCAGATTTAAAGTTTTAGATCATGCAATTAAAGTAATTTTCAGACATTAAAAATGACAGCAAGTCCTTCCATTTATGACACCACATAGTGGCAAAGTTGGACAAATTATTCCCTATCTACATAGCTCATTGTTGTACAGTAATAATGATGAAAGCTTTATGAATAAGAAATGTTTATTTCATCACTTATAATGGTTACATTTTTCACTAGTTAACTCATTTGTAACTAATATTTATTGAGCATGTAATGTATGTCCAATCCTATGCTAAGTACTGGAGTCAAGATAGGGAAGAAAATGAGGAAAAAAAAAAAAAAAAACCCGCAGCAAGTCAAAAAGATAAGGAGTGTTGCTTCACAGAGATGAACGTCTACAAAAGGAAGCTAGCATGAATCCAATCATATTAGTTACTATACAGTAATGTGTGATAAGCACCATATACTAGAAGTGACTTGTTTGAAATGTTTGGCAAATCCTGAGGGGATCAGTTTATGGAGAAAGAACTGTTTTCGCTGAGAAGTAAAAGGCAAGTAGTAGTGAGCTGGGTAAAGGTAGCAGGTAGAGAGAGGAAACTAGATTTCCTGCGCAGGCAAGAGCGTTCACAGAGAAACTGTGTGAAAAAGAACTGTGATCGGCAGACTCCGTGCAACCATGTGCTGAAAATGAAAGGATTAAACACAGAGTAATAGAGGAGTGAAAGCGAAGAAGATGAAGCTGGAGGATAGCCTTGGTCAGGATATAAGCCACAAACGTCATTAAGGTCAGCTACATAATTTGTGGGTCCAAGTGCAAAATGAAAGCGTGGGGTGTCTTTTTTGAAAAAGAGGAAAAAGTGTCATTAAAGGTATTAAATACAAAGCTTTTCGCTTTAAAATAATTTATAACTTATAAAATAAAATTAGGGTATGATTCATAGATGAGTGATGACATACACTTACAAATTACAAAATACATGATTTTGGTGTCATAATTTTATACGATATAATAAATAATACTTTATTGAGGTTATATCTTGATTGATTATATAATTTTCTCCATTACTTTTCTGGTCAATTGTTTACTAGATCAACAGAATTTATATTTTTAGCAACTTCATTTTCAATTGATATAACTTCAGTGACATCAGTCACTCCTGGCAAATGCAAGATCACAAATACTTTTTGATAAGTTTTTATTTTGCAAAGTATCTTTCTCTGATGCAACTTTTATGAAACCATTAAGACTGTTTTATAGACTGTAGTAACATTCAGAAGTTTCTGATGAATTATACACTGAAATATAAATGTTGAAATATCTAGAGCTGATGATTCTCTTCACCAATATTTTTCTAAAAAGATTTAACTCTTTATACAAATCTGTTTTATGAAAGCCTGAATTTAATTTTAAATATAAATGTATGCAATGGAATCTTAATGTTTCCTCTGACATACACTGTAACTTGTGGAGGTTGTACAAGAAATTGAAAGGGACTTCATGATTTTCGTATAGTTCAAAATGCCTGTTTTACCATTCCATTTTTGTATCTTCAATTACAAAGCAAAACTCATCAATTATTGGTTTCCCCAAAGCATCATATAAAAATAATGTTCTTATCATTGACTGGAATAATCTTTAAGTTTAATTTCTATTTCTAAGCCTGTGGATTTTATTGCAATGTCCATGTGTATGCCTTCCTTTTGCAATAATTTATTGACAAAGTTTATTGCCTGAGCACTAACAATTTCTGTTCTGGTGCTCAGGATGGAGAGTTAATATTTTTGCAAATCCCACAGAGACAGCCTCCGGCGAGGTATGGGCAAGCTGGCCTCCCACCTTGGATCCTCCTGTTGACTACTTTTGAAGTCGCTTCCTGCAGCCTTTGCTGCCATCCACTGCCGTTTCTATGGCTGCTACCACCATTATCTCCATCCCTTTAAGAGGCCCAGGTTCTGATGTGCCCATGCCCTCAGGACTCCAGGACTATGACTACCCAGGCAAGCATGTGCACACCTGCACACCACACCAACTGCTGTGCACGCATGCCGACTGCTGGGTCTTTAAGCCTGAACTTGTGTGTGCAGGAGCTGCCACATATGCATGTGGGTATGGTGAAGCAGCAGCAGCAGCAGCTCATGCACACACAGGTTACAAATAAATTCTTAATCATTTTACCTCTCAATTTGTGTTTAGTATGTACAAAACACAAATTGAGAGGTAAAATGATTAAGAATTTCAAGACAGTCACAGCAGAATATTTCAAACATGGGGACTTCCTCAGCACAGGGCTCTGTGTGACTGGATTGTATGTCCATGAAACCAGCTCTGGATGTCACGCTAAGAAATATATTCTTACATAGTAGAGAGTAGCATAGTAAAGAGTAGCATGGTGGTTATCAGAGGCTGGTGGGAGGGAGGGATGGGGAATGAGGAGATGTTGTTCACAGCGTACTAAGTTTCAGATGGGAGGAATAAGTTTTAGAGACCTACGGCACAGCATGGTGACTACAGTTAATGTAATACATATTTCAAAATTACCCAATGAGGATTTTAATTCTCATCACAAAAAAATGATAGGATGTGAAGTGATGGCTGTGTTAACTAGCTTGATTTAATCATTACACAATGTAAACATGTATCAAAATATCACATTATATCCCACAAATACATAAAACAAAATTACTATTCATCAATTAAAAATTTTAGAAATGCATTTTTTGCTGAAAAAGTTAAAAACTTTGGAAGTATGAAGCAGAGGAGTGATATGATGACATACCATTATCTGCAGTGTGAAAAATAGACTGTATTTGAAAAGAAGTAGCTCTACATAAGCATGCTTATTATCCAGAAAAAGGGGATGCATAGTTCCTCCTGGGAGTAGCCTCCTGTGTGGGTGAAGAGGTGCTTGGACAAGAACATTTTAACTGCTGTATCCTCTCCACCCACCACAGGCAGACCTGTCCTCATCCTGTGCAGATGGCTGTCTAATAGCCATGAGGCCATTGATTGCTCTCTCAAAGAGTTCATTCTACAGCCATGTGCAGCCTCAGCCCCAGCACTAACATGAGTACCCCACAGAGACAAAAATCACACTTGCAGGGACTGGAAGATTGGTGCTTGCACAGTTGAAATATGCAAAACTGTTCATGCTACTTTGTGGAAAGAAGAGGGGCTTCAGTCCATTAATTCCTCATCAAATACACCTTAAATTCTTAAGAAACTCAAGCATCTGAGAGATTTCTTCAAACCACTCAGATCCTATATTCTACTCACTTCCTAAGAGTGCATATGTGCCAGTAGAGTAGCTGCAGTTACTCGAGGCTCATCGACACTGAAACACTTCTCGGTATTTATGGATCGGTGAGATCTTTAGGGCCTGAATTATAACAAATTAAAAAGGAGGAAAGTTGTTGACTACGCTAGACTCTATCGTTTGTAAAAATTTGAGATTCTTTAAGTCTTTTCAAACAAAACAAAGGGTTACTTATTCGCTTTCATTTCATGTCATGCTATTCTTCTTGCATATTCCTTAGCCATTTGTAGGAAGTCTGATCTAGTGGTTTTAAAATTTTAACATGTGTAAGAGTTTCCTGAGCATGCATTCAAAACGTGAGCTCCTCATATTGCACCAGAAATACTGATTCAGTGTGTCTAGACCTTGAATACGTCCTTTCATCAGGCTTCTCCACTTGATTTTGATATAGTTATTCCAGAGACCATGCTTTGACAAATGTTCCCTTAGTTTTTAAAACTTGAACCTGAAATTTCTATTTAAGAAACATTCAAATATAAAATATATTGTCTGAAATTCTCTAATACTGTGGATTTAGGAAAAATTTATATCCAGTAAGTGTTCCTGGTTAGTAATACTTCAAGAAAGAAAGATGGAGTCCCAAGGTTAACTGTAATTAATTCTGTATATTATCTCCACTTTTATCATTTCTTAAACATTTTAACATATTAAAAGCTCTGAGAATTCCTAAATGAAAGGAATTCTTATTTATTGGATTGGTGCAAAAGTAATTGCGGTTTTTGTCATTAAAAGTAAGTTTATTTATTTTTAAAATTTTATTTAATTCAAGGTTTCCTACATTTGGTAGAGTATGGAATATTTTTAATCCATGTAACATTTCTTGATACATACAGTGTTCGTACATAGAAATGGAAGTATATCTTGGTATATAAGGACTTCTGAGAAACAATGTCCGGAAATGTTGCTTTCATGATTGAAGAGGATTAAACACAACATAAATATGTCATATATTCACATATAAAATATATGTGTTTTTATTTAACATGCATACACATATAAGCTTACATATTTATGAGACTATTATGGAAATTTGAATTCTAAATAATTTAGAAATAATAATTTGTTACCATAAGAAAACTGGTTTTATGTTATATTAAAAAGAAGATTCCTTAATCTTTTAAAGATACATTCTGATATATTTGTGGGTGAAATTATTGAGGTTTGGGATTTGCCTCCAGATAATTGGAGTTGTGGAAGTAGGTTAGTGTATAGATTAAACAAGATTGATAAGAGTTGCCTTCTATTGACTCTGAGTGATGTATACATGAGAGTTTCTTATACTATCACCTCTACTTCTGTGTGTGCTTGCAATTTTCAATAATAAAAGGAAGAACATGTTGGGGGAGAGTGAATATTTACATACAGAATAGGGAGGAACATTTCTCATTCACTTTCTGAAATCATAAGAACTAGCCACTTTTTGAAGATTGCCCTAAATATAAATGACAATCATTCATGAAGAGTTTGTAAAACCACAGAATTTTAATATTTACCATTTTCAATCTCTGTCAGTGAGCTAAAAGTTATTATATAAAAACAGCTTCATCTAGCAGTCCTATTCTTAAGAAGAGTAATAGAATATATGATGTGACGCTTTTGATGAATAGCCTTACTGAAATTCACATTTCATAATAGCCAATGATGTTTCCAGAATGCATTTTAGTTACGGGGACCCCAGCAGACATGAAGACTAATTACATCAAAACTTATGTCAGGACCATTTATTGTGATTTCTTTAAACACTTAAAAATGGGACTGCTTCTCTATATCAATGGCCAAATAAATACACTCTTACCTTTCATGATCTCTAACTACATTTTTAGAAGCAAGGGGATGGCAGTTAAATGTATAATTCATCTTTCCTGACCATACAGAAAATATTGTTTGTTTGTTTTGTTTTTTTTTTCCTTCAACTCAGTTGAAACCCTTATCAATGTCACTTTTCAGAATAATAACTGCTAAGGTGTTGCTGAAGTTATAAACTCCTCTCAAAGGATAGACAAAAGTGTAAGAAAAATTATCAAACTCTTCCTCCTGTACAAACATGGGGCTCTTCCTTTATTTATCTATGACATTATAGAAAATGTTGCTAAGAAATCAATATTAAGTAAACTAGTATATAAATAGCACTTCAAATAGGTGACAAAATTCTCTCATATTTTCTCTTGCTAGTTAACTTGCAATGTCTAGAAATAAATACCTTTAAAAATTGGTCTTTTTTCTAATGAATTCCTCAGAATCTCAAATTACGCTACATATTAAGATATTAGTCCTTTCCGTTGCTCTTTATTACTTCCTCTATATACATGGTTTTCCTTCCAACTGTAGAAACTGAATTAAATAGACAGTTTTCCAAAGAAGACATACAAATAGCCAATAGGTATGTGAAAATGTGCTCAACATCATAAATCATCAGGCAAATGCAAATCTAAACCATGATGAGATGTCACATCACACCTGTTAGGATGGCTACTGTCAAAAAGACAAGAGATGACTGTTATCTAGGGTGTGGAAAAAGGGAGCTCTTACATACTGTTGGTGGGAATATTTATTGGTACAGCTATTATGGAAAACAGTATGGAGGGTTCCCTAAAATTAAAAATAGAGATACCATACAACCCAGCAATCCCTCTTGTGGATATATATCCAAAGAAAATAAAATCAATAGTCAAAGGAATATCTGCACTCACATGTTCATTGCAGCAGTATTCATGATAGTTAAGATATGGAGATCACCTAGTGTCCATCAGTGGATGAATGGATAAATAAATTGTGACATGTGTACACAATGGGATATTATTCAGCTCTATAAAAGAAGGAGATACTACCATTTGCAACAATATAGAAGAATCTGGAAGAACTATGCTAGGTGAAGTAAGCCAGGCACAGAAAGAAAAATCCTGTATGATCTAAATTATAGGTGGCATCAAAAAAAGTCAAATACATACAAATAGATACTAGAATGGTGGTCACTGAGAGCACAAAAGTGAGGAAAATGGGAAGATTCTGGTCAAAGGTACAAAGTTATTGTTATGTAGAACAAATAAGTCTAGAGATAGAATGCACAGCACAATGATACAGTTATCTGTGTATATATATATCTGTATACTGTATCATAAATACTGTATTGTATACTGAGAACTTTCCAAGAGTTTAGATTTCAGGTGTTCTCATCGCAGAGACACACACAAAAGAGGCAGCTATGTGAGGAAATGCATAAGTTAAGTTGCTTAGTATAGTAACCACTTTATTGCACATAAGTAGGTCAAACATTTAAGGTGTTGTACCCCTTAAATATATGAAATTTTTATTTTTTTAAGTGATGGGGATTCTCTCAGGTTTTGTTTGTTTGAAAGCATCTTTATTTTGTCTTTATTTGGGGGGATTTTTAAATAGGGATAGAATTCTTATTGGTATTGTCTTTAGCGCATTAAAAATGTCATTTCATTTTCTTCTGGGTTCCTTTTTTCTTTGTTATATCAACTGCTAGTCTTGTTTTTTTGACTTAATGTATCTTTTTTATCTGATTTTTTTCCCTTTAGTTTTGCTACTGTGTGCTTAGCTAGGCTTTCCTTTGCATTTGTCTGAATTGGGACTCACATAATTTCTTGAATTGGATACTTATCATTTTCAGTTTTTAAAAAGTATCTGGCAAATATTTCTTCAAATATTGCTCATGCCTAATTTTCTTTCTGTCCTCTCTGCTCCTTTTGGAACAATTTTATATATGTTAAAAGTTATTCACTATATTCCATATTTTCCTTATGATACTTTCTGTCTTTCCCATTTTATTCTCTCTCCATGCTGCAGTTTAGACATTTTCTATTCACGCATCCTCCCCTTTACTAATCCTCTTTCTGTTATAGCTATCCTTGTGTTAAATCAATGTATTCTGTTCTTAATGTTAGCACTTGCAATTGTCAGTTCTAGAACTTCCATTGGAGTTTTAACAGATGCCATTTCCTTTCTGAAATTCTCCATCTTGTCATCTATCTTTTAATATATTAATCAAAATTATTTTAAAGCCCTTGTCTGAGAACTTCAATATTTCTATCGCTGTGACCTGTTACTATTATCTGTTTTTTTCTCTGAGTTTTGGTCATTTGGTCATAGCTCCAGTTATTCCTAGTAACGTTTTATTGAAT
This sequence comes from Homo sapiens, assembly GCF_000001405.40. Lineage (NCBI taxonomy): Eukaryota > Metazoa > Chordata > Mammalia > Primates > Hominidae > Homo > Homo sapiens. The sequence goes on along the minus strand of NC_000003.12, from coordinate 1,362,267 downwards.
GCTAGACGTTGTGGATCAAAAATGTAAGTGATTTTATAGTGTTATATTTGTACCGGGAAGATTTACTTTTTCAAGCATGCAATTATAAAAAGAGCCAGAAGCTGGTCCGAAACTGATATGAATTGAGTCTGGATCTTAGTCATTTTAAGTCCTGGTCAATTTTATTTTATTTTGTTTTGTTTCTTACTAGGACATAGTCCTTCAGATGTCCTGACTCAAGGTTGAGCTGCTTAGCAGACTTCATTCTATTTGGTTTATTCTGAACCTCTATTTGTGTCTCCCTTTCACTGTAAGTCTACCAAAATTTCTGCTGAGATGTTTTCTACTTTCTGATTGGTTTCTTCATTCCTGATTTATACTGCTTAGGAATTGACAAATTTCTGAGAAGAAAAACAGCAGGGAATGTGGGGCTAACCTCTCTGTGCTTTTGTTTTCTCCAGGCTTCTGCACCTCATGTTGCAAACACCTTGGCTGTTGTCACAATTCCTTGAAAAAACTGTTTTTGTTCATTTTTAAATATTTTAACAATATTTGTGGTGAACATCAGTGGGAGGTTGGTGTGATAAGCTTACTTCAACTAGTTAAGACAGATTATTCTCCTTTATTATTAATGTTTCATAATAGATTAAGTGTATTGGTAAAAATATTTAGGCCATTTATCAGTAGGTTTTTAGATAATAGCTTGAAGAGTATGATAATTGCTGTCAGTTAGAGAAAGAAATAAGTATAATTTTGGACAGAAGTAGAGATTCCTAACATAGAAATGTACTAATTGTTTATTCAATCATCTATTGAAAACCATTTAATTAGTATTGCACCCTTACCTTATTCCAAATTATACATCAGTAGGAATGCTGAACAAAAGGAACAAAACCAAACTGAAGAACCATTAGAAGATTTCAGTCCTAAGAGTGACAAAATCTTGCCTATATTTTAATAGCAACATTGTAGCTTCTAGAAGGGAAACAAAGAATTAGGACAAATGCTTTTGAAGCTATTACTGGGTTTCCAAGCTTAACATTTATCAACAGTTGGTCCAAATAATTTTTTCTTGTGTGTGTCAAGGTGTGGGTTTAGCGTGTGTGTGGTGCAAGGCAGCGGATGGGGTCGGGTGAGACCCTTCAGTTGTGAAAACCAAAAATATTTGCATATTTTGCCAATGTCCCCTGGGAGACAAAATCATCCTGGTTGAGCCATTCTGTGCTATAGCAATACTCTGGGAAAGAGATGGCATGGCTTAAAGTTTGGTCATTGAAGCGGAGAGAAGTGGTTAGATTCTGTATGTACCTTGAAGCTGAAACCATTTTGGGGCAATTGAATATGGGGTTTAAATGAAAGAAAAAAATTAAAAATAATCTCAAGGATTTGGTCTAAACAACTGTCAGTGCAGACTGTCATTAATATAGTGGAGAAAGAAGACAGTAGAAACAAGTTTGGGGAGTAAGAATCAGGAGTTCAAGGTTAGGATATAGTAAATTTGTAAGTGAAGATGATAAAATAGGCTGTTGAATTTGGGGATTGAAGAGAAATATCTGAGCTGGAATTAGCTTGATTTGAGTTTGGGAATTAACTTATAGATAATATTTAGAAACATAAAACTGGATGAGATACAAAGGGTAGGTACAGCTATAAAATGAAGACTAAGAGAGAAAAAAAGAAAAAAAATACGTGTATACATACATGTATATAGAATATATAGAATGTGTATAGAATATACATGTATGTTTATATACATACATATAGATGAATATAACCATAAACTAGACTACCAGTTTAGAAAATATAACATTTAAATAACAGGGCTTTTAGGAGAAGGAATGGAATAAAATATTAAATTATTCAGAAAGATATTTTAGGACCAAGAAGTATGAGTTTCTACAGCGACAAAGCCTGCCAAATGCCCAGTGTAATAGTTGATAACAGATTTAAAACATGACACATTATCTTGAAATTGTCAAACATTGGAGAAAACAGAATTCTAGAGAACAAGAGGGAAAAGGTGTCACAAACAACAGATTAGAAATCAACAAAGTTTAGGCTTTCAGAGCACAGTAACGGCTCAAAATTTCTGAGAAATAATGGCTTCCAGTCTAGAATTCTACTTCAAACTAAACCACTAATAAAATGTAAACACAGAATAAAGACACTTTCAAACATGAAAGATTAAAAAAATTGTATATCTCTTGGATTATTTCTCAAAAATCCACTGGAAGGTTTAATCAACCAAAGTGAAGGAGTATGTTAAGAAACAGAAAGGCATGGAGTTAGGCAATGGAGCGTCAACACACAGGGCAGGCTGATATTGAAGGGAGACTATTGAGATAGATTTGGGAAATGAATTGTTGGCAAGTCCGTAGAAAACTAAGCAAACGAACAAAAGAAGGGAAAGCAAACACAGGAAAATCAAAGCTAATACTCTGAAATAAACCTTGGACAGAGAAAAGCAGGCAAACGAACAAGGAAATCGGTGTGATGGGGTCTTCATTTCTCCAGGTGTAGCAAGCCAGAAATAAAGGAGTTGTTTTTAGTCTTTAGTTAATAAGCTTTTCCTTTTTGCAAATACAATCCGTAAGTCTAAAATGTTTTATATCCTCTTAGACAAGTGCATGATTATCTGCTCACACGTGTATCTACAGATTAAAATCTACATGCAGCATTTATCATATTTCACCACAGAGTAAAATTTAATTTCAATGCATAAAGTAATCATGGTCAATATATTCCAATTTACCTTCAGGTACCATTACTCATTTATTTACTACTTCAACATTTAAATGGTTTGGAATAAATATTAAAAGACTACTGAGAACCCCAGATTAAAAGAAACAAGTGAAAAACCAGTCTAGAGAAAGCATTGTCTAAAAGTTGAGATGTCTAAATGAGAAAACATGCAATGTTACCCTATTTCCCTAGCAAATAATATTGTAAAATGTAAACACAGATCTTTTATATTAACAAATAGTCAAAGCAGGGCCTGACATCTATTTAAACAGAACATGCTCTGTAGATTCTGTGTAATAAATTAGATATGACAACTACTCTGTTTCAAAGCTATTAGTACATAATAGGCAGTGACTACATATTTATGGCATCATATTTATATTTCTTATAAATAGATAGTGTTCATTCAGACTATTCTCCAATAGTAACTTCATGCTGGCTGTAGCGAATTATACAATAGAAGACTTCTGTACCTTTTTTGTTTTGGGGGACAGGATCTTGCTGTATTGCCTAGGCTGGAGTACAGTGGCATGATCATAGCTCACTGCAATCTTGAATTTCTGAGCTCAAGTGATCCTTCCATCTCAGCTTCCCAAGTAGCTGGGACAACAGGCATATGCCACCATGCCTTACTAATTTTTCTTATTTTTAGTAGAGATAAGGTCTTGCCATGGTCTTGAACTCCTGGTCTCAAGCAATCCTCCCACCTCAGCCTTTCAAAGTGCTGGGATTACAGGCATGAGCCACCACACCCAGCCTGTAGTTTTGTAGAAGATGAAAGTAGAAATTTTTATTGTGCCTGTCAATAGGTGTTAATACAAATGATATTTTCTTCTGAACGTTTCATGTTGGGATGAGGGAGTCAAAATGAGAAAATAAAACCCAAAAAAAGAGGATAAGGCTAAGTTTGATTCATGTGATTATTTTTTCCCCTTCCACGCCCTTCAACCCCATTCCTCTTTTGGACTTGAAAGCATTTGGTAACTACTTGCTTGAGTATTCAGGATCCAGAGACTGAAAACATAGCTTGCTTCTGGGGAAGTCTTTTCCATCTTAATGACATAGTTTATTCCTAAAAAAAAAAAAAATGGCCCTAGAGCATAAGTGACCACTGAGCTAATTTAGAGAGAGAATGCCTAAGAAGAAGAGTAGCCTAATTGCTTCTTTTACGGTCAGAATAGAGTCAAGGTAAATTTACTAAATTTCCAATTCTTAACTAAAAACTCAAGAAACAAGTGAGCACAAGTGTTTGCAGGTTTGGGCAGGAAACTAAAGATCAAAAAGACTTAATAGTTTGAGATTTATATATACATACATGTATATATGCATTTAGTTACCTGCAGAATAAACGTATCGGTTGAAGTGTTTTTTTATTTTAATAAAAATAGGAGATGGATAGCTAGTGGTTTATACTGTATGAATGACACCAAACACAAAAGAATACACAATATAAGGTAGCATTTGAATGAAATCTATGGTGAGAAAATTATTACAGTAGCTGCTTCTAGGAGTGTAGTAGGAACAAGGATTAAGTGACATAAAAAAAGTTCTAGATGTTGGATGATAATGATGTTCTATATCTTGTGTGTTTTGGGTTACAAATGCCATTTTCAAAATTTAGTGAATATACATTAAAATTTATGTATTTTATTATATGTAAATTTTACATAAATGTGCATTTACATAAATGTGCATTTATGTAAAATTTACATATAATAAAATGTAAATGCACATAAATATTGCACTCAAATGAATTTTTACATATAAAAATGTACATATAAAATTGCACTCTAATGAATGAAGGCTGCGGTATTTAGGAGGAAGTACTAATATCTGCATGTTACTATACTTTTATTCCTGCTAGACTTTGAACAATGCGATGTAAAATTGTCTCATGCATTTTTTAATATGTACATTTGTTGGAAGATGGAAAAGAAGGAAAGCTAAAGTTCTGCCACTTACTAATGCAGGGACCTTGGGCAAGTGGTTTTAGCAACCTATTCCTCAATCTCCCTTGTATAAAATTGAGATAATAATATCTGCTTCAAAGCATTACTCTGAAAGTTGAAATGAGATGATATACACAAAGAACCTATCATGGTGCCTAGGACAGAGAATGTATTTAACAAATAGTAATGAATAATAATAATAAAGAAAACAAGATGAATAACCATAAAAACTAAGTCGTCAAGTTCCACGTTAGTTAGTAATGGCAGGTTAATATAATTCCAGAGGCTGTGTATTGACCACTTTAGTAAGAGTTCTATACTCTTCTGTGTCTGGTCTCCTTCAACTGGCATAAACCACTAGCTATACACCCCCTATTTTTATCAAAATTAAACAAAACTTTGACCAATAATAGGTTTAAACTATGCAGTAAAAATATCTTGAAAAAAGTGGTAAAACCTATGCTGTATTAACATCTATCCTTTACATTATATTTTGTAAAATATACATTAAGAAAAAACACAGCTATATGTCATATGTGGTAATTTAATCTGAGTGACATATGCTGCATTTTAAAAAAGATTGTGAACTAAATTTTCATGAAGACCAAGACAACATTGATCTTAGTGGGCTTGCTTAAATTGATGCGTGTTTTTGCTTGTTTTTACATTTTTACTTGAAGAGATTGTAGTATTCACGTTTCAATAATTCACGCAGCATCACTTTCAATATTGGAACAGGAAATTTTTTCATCTGACCAGTATAATAACTCCTTATATATTTTCTCACCTTGAAAGTAATTTTTACCATCACTAATTTTTAAATCAAATGTTCATTCTGTTGAAATGCTTTCAGTCATTCTGTGTAGGAAAGTGGCGTGTGGAACTGAACATTTTTGGGGAGATTTTAGTGCTGCTGGAGACTTCTCTGGTGTTTTCAAGTACTACGATATGACAAATGTATTCCAATACATCTTGTCATTTCTCTGAAAGTGTACTTTTGGTCTGCTCAATCAAACTGGGCTTGTCAATAAAGCTGAGCTTGATACCTCAAATCCTTCAAACTGCCTTCTAGAGCCACGAAGCCTCCAATTATCTACATATCTTGGGCATTTCTCTTAGTAAACTTAGACCCGTATCATTCTGCTGGAGAAAATGGATAGGCCACTCTGTAATGCTGGTATAATAAAGACTTCTATCACGAAGAATAAACAACTAAATGAGCAGCAATAAACTTAATTTGCACATTAGATATGCTTTTCCAAGTTCCGACATTTCAGTTGAAAATAACACTGAAGCAATGAGGCCTATAATTGAACATCCAAAACTTCTCCAGTGGGGAAACAAAAACAAATGTTGCCTGCAAACAAGATCATTTTTATAGCCTGCTGTTACTCTGCTTTTTAATAATTTTCCAAATGCCAGATCAAATAATTTCTCCTTTTATGTGATTTTCATATACCTCTTAGTGTATGTACACATTGTAATTTTAATCTCAGTCCTCCAAAATGAAAACACGTAAACTCTCTTTCCTCTTGATTCCTTGTTTGTGCCTCTGAAACATGTCCTTAAATTATACTGGGCATCTTCTGAGGCGCTGGAAAAGCTGCTGCTAATTGCACTCACAATGTTTGAATGGAAAATCGCCTTATCCTGCTGTATTAGTGAAATAGAAATTTCCAACATACAGTGCAGATAACTTCAGAATCCTCTTAACAGAGATAAGCCATATCAGCTAAAAACTAAGCTGGAAAATATCTCACTCTTGTAACTATTATCTTTTCCATGTTATCTAACAACAACATTTCTTGCATGACAGAGGCTGATAAGTAAATTCAAAGGGAGATGATTGTTTTATCAGCTTTACTGAGATTTCTCATTTGCTCCTTAACACTCTATTACTCTTAAGGTCACTATACACTGATTTTGGCTTGAGAAACAAAATTATATTTGATTCTGTAACAGCAATCATATGAATATTACTGATGAGAAAATACACATACATATATACACAACTATTAAGCCATCTTAAGAAACAACCAGATGACTATACACCCAATAGTCAAGAAAATGGTTGAATTGATGTACACTATTATAATTTTTTCCTATGCTAGGCTTCAAATTTGTAGGTTGTAAAATAATAATTCCTTGGCAGTGATGTCTTCAACATTTTTATATGAAAGGGAATTAGAGATAACAGTCTAGTTAAGAGGACATGGTAATAATAGACTTAGAACTGTGCTTGTATGACAGTCACACAATTTCATAAAGATTAAACATTACAGATAAATAATAAAGCAACTTTCTAAGGCTGTTTTTCTTCATACTGTACACACATTTTGTGTTTATTTTATTTATATGTATTTGTGTGGTTAAGTATGTACATGTTTATATTGCATAGGATAGTTCTTGTTAATGACAAAGAAGCAAAAGACCCCAAAGTCCACTTAAAATGGGATGTGGATGTGTCATGAAGGTTAAAATATAGCAAAATTTCCTTCCCATTATTAGGTGTAAATGCATGAAAGTAACTTGATAATCAGGCATAGTGACATCAGTTATGTTATCATGTACCCTTTTTGTATATGTGAGTTATTCTCCTGTACTGTGCTAGAAATACCAAAACAATGAATTCTCTTCACGAATTTTTGGATTTCGATGTAGGTTCAGGCTTGTACCCCCTTAGGAGAGTGAGGTGATCGATGTCTGTCAGAAATAAAAGATTACAAACCCTACAATTAGAAAGTGAATGCATGTAAAAAGGTTGGTTTTTTTCTTTGATGTTCTTTTTTTGCAAAGTGTCCTAAGAAGCTCAGACCCTGAAAAATTGAAAACTGTCCGATTTTAGAGCAAGGAAGCCAGTATGAAAAATATCCCTATGAACTAAGCTGCATAAGATAATAACATTTTATTAAATCAATAAATATTTACTGGGCACATACAGTTCCCAGCAATGTTCTAGGATTTATGATTCATCATTGATTAAAACAAAAATCCCTGCCCTCTTTATGCTTCTGTTCTAGAAGGGAAGAAAAGACAAGAAAAAAAACCATAATAAGTAAGTCAGTTATACAGTTCGTAAGAAGATAAAAAGTGGTACAGAAGAAGAAAGAGTGGAACTGATTAAGGTAACAAGGAATGCCTAGTGGGATAATTTTGTTTCAACAACCTCAGCAAAGAGCACTAGAAATGAACAAACAAAAATGTAAGTCAGGCTTTTTTTTTTTTTTTTGTTAACTGAGCTATCTTGATTAATTATTGTTTTACCTATGGAAAGAGCAGAGTAGCTGGGGATTATGGTTAGATTTATGGAATACTTGAAAGTGTAGATAAACTTATTTCTATCATAAGTACTAGGAACCTAACTTGCAGAAAACATGGCTATATTACACATCTGAAATATGCAAATGTTACATCCAGAATGCAGTCCAGTGGCTTCCGAGTTTCTCAGTTAGTATTTTTGTTAGCCGTCACCTTTTATTTTTCTTTCATCAGTTATTAGTGGACTGTGAATATTATGATGTCAAAGTTTAAGAAACACTGGAGGAAGAGTGCCTATTCATTCAGTTCAATCTACCATTAACTTGTGTTTTTCTTATCCTCCAGAGTGAAGGAATCCCCATCATTGTATTTTAACAGCAAAACCATTGGCCCTCCTCCCAGATCACCAGTATTCTAAAGAAACTTTCTTTTAAAAACTACATTGCTACTGCTGATGTTTTCTATCCCTTCTATTTCACGTTTTAATGCCCTCTGGATTTTTCCATACCTAGAAGATTTAACTGCAAAATGCCTTTTTATCCTTCACCACATTTTAATCTTCTGCTGTAATAAAATTTGCATACTACCTACACCTTCTTAATTTGAAATGATATAATAAATATCTTTTTTTCCCGTTAATGAACTTGTTACTTTTCCAAATATAAAGCATTCACATTTTTCAGTGTCTGAGTATTGCCAAAAATTTGCTGGAGAAATAGTCTGTTCCTAAATATAGCCATAACATCTATCTTGAAACACTTAAGTCCATCTCTGTCTTAAAAATTGATGACAATACAATCTTAAGGAAGAGAAGTTTTTCAAAATATGCCATACTGGTTGGATTTTGACACACCAAGTTTTATCAGTCACATTTCCCCAGAATACTTCAGACAATTGTCGTCATAATGTAATACGCTTGAGACAAGTTGGCAGAAATATCTTCCAGGCTCAAAGGTGGGTGTTTATTTTCCTTGAGATATTTTAAAGGATGGTTGAAGTGTAGCAGCTAACTACTTTTTATTGAATATATTTATTTTAATGGAAAAGATGAGAAAGCACCAAATGCTGATTTTAATCATTTGGGCTTAATTAGCTGCTTAAACTGCTTTATCAAGAGAGCCATTTTTATCATCCAGGAGGCAATGAAATGATAGAAGTGATACAGCTTCCAGTAAACACACTAGTTTTATGAGCTGAGATTCAACAAAATAAAGCAGCAAGGAAAGGGAATAGATACTTCTAATATTAATTATGTCCTTGGTGATAAATGTAGGAACATTTGGATTGATACTGATTTAGAAATCTTAAAAGTAAAGTATAGAATTTATCTCTATAAATTGTATGAGTTTATCTGCTTACTGTGATGAAAATATAATAATGATTCACACAGATTTTAATTTTTTCTCTTTGAAAAGAACTGCTTACTAAAGGTTGTGACCCTGCATTTCATTAGTTTTGTACCTGGAGTTATATAAACAAATTAGCCAGTTATGTATTTGGTAGCCTTATATACATGTAAATATTTCAAATAAAAATAAAGATTCTGAAAGATATTTGACCAAAAAAATGTTATCCAGTGACTTTATCAAAACGTCCATGGCCCCTAACATTAAGGCTTATGTAAAAAGCCAAATAATTTAGGTGTAGGTTTTAACTCGAATGACACTCTGACAGCATTTTCAATTGCCAAAGTATTCACATCTACCATGGTATCCCACTGGCAAAGTGTGCATGTTATTAATGAGTACGGGAATGGATCTCTTAGATAACTTGTGAAATCAACAATTTTACATACACAATATGGTACAGGTTTGACACCATAACACAAGTCATAATATGCCTGCATATTTACAATGTTCATCAAGCACAAATGAAGATAATATGATACCTTTTACAATGAGGCTGCCAGTGTTCTTTGCAGTGCCAAACTGATTTGTGGCTATGCATGTATATGATCCAGCATCTGACCTGGTAATATTATATATCTTGAGGCTGCCATCCTCCAAGAGAAATATTCTAAAAAGAAAATACATCATTAATAGAAGTAAGGCTCTTCAACACTGGTAAATCATAAGTGCTTATTTTTATTTTAAAACTTTACTAAAATCATGGGTGTATGTGATAATATGAATTTTTTCCTTTCCTATTATTCTGTTCTTCATTGTGAGCTATCTCTGAGTCTACATATTACAGTAAATGGCATTTGCTTTTATTCTGACACGATATTGATAATTATCATTCTATAACTTGAATTATCATTGTCGATTTCAAAGCATATTAAAAATAAAAGCAGTGCTTGGTAGTATAATGTCAAGTTGCTTGATGAATAAGAAATGCAACTATTTACTCTGTATTTTCCAAAGTCAACTCACTGGCAAAAATTGAACTTGGCTTAGGAGAAATGCAAGCTAATTTTCACAATTAGTCTGTGTCTTTTTAAACGTGGTCTGTCAGCATTTTCTGTGGCCACAGAATGGGGTGTTGAACCACGACAGTATTTGCCAGTGCTGATGAGTTGAAGAAACTATCTATATGGTTCCATGGCCAGAGGGCCATGCTTATTATGTGGCTATCCCATCAAAAAGAGGAAGGAAGAAGTAGAAAGAATAAGGCTTCATGGGTTAATTATGAATTAATATTAATATTCCTAAAAGAGAGAGTACAAAAAGGAGGTTCATCTGCCAAAGAAGTTCCCATCTTTCATAAAATAATCCATATTAAATTTTCTCTGAAACTCTAGCATAGTCTAAAGCACAATGCCACTGAAATCAGAAAAAAAAAAAAAACCCTGAGATTTGTTCCCTGAAAAATTCACCATCAAATGTAATAAGAGGAGACTGAAAAAATGTAAAAACAAAAATATTCGTCCAATTTTAGGCTACCATATTTTATATCTTACAAATGTAGTTACCAACCTTTTAAAAACATTAGTAGGTAGTCAAGATTGTATCAAAATGTGTGACAACATACTAATTTTTAACAACAGTTTTAAAGGCAAGAAAGGCTAGACAATTGGCATGCATGCCATATCCATTAACAATAACAAAATAGTATTTGCTGCATTGCAAACATATCGTTGTTTCTAATATATGTATAACACAAAATGTAGCTAATATAATTAATTACTCAATTTGAAACACAGAGAATACCAGCCAACGACAATTTGCAGGAAGCCAGCTTCTGACGTTGGATTTATTATTAATAACAGATTCCAAATTCTGTTATCAGTGAGTGGAAGGAGCCACATCTGAATTTAGAATGTTCCATGGCATATAATCAGATTTTTTAAAGTCATTATCTTAGAGTATTCTCCCATAGCAGACATTTAATGTCTTATTTAATTTCTGAGATGTCTAGTGTACTAGATCCCAATTTACATTAACAATTGAATTATGCCATTATTGACAGAGTAACAAAACTATTCTATTATGCACCAAACTCAGGCCAAATATAATTCTTTATCTGATTTGAATTATAAGAGGTAAATGTGAGAAGCTTTTGGGTGCATCTACCCCTAACATTTAGGAATAACTAGGAATATTGAGCAACACAGAAACCTGAACTATTGGCCAATAAAAAACACATGACAGAAATGATAGGTCTGCTGATATCTAAAGGCCACCAAGAAAGTTTTCCAGCCACTAAGTCAATGCCAATGTCTATATTTCATATAATTTTTCACATAACTTCCAGAAAGGAATAATTCAAGTGTGCAGTGGTACCCTGAGTATACTACCCCTTTCAGGCTCAGTAGGTCTTCAATGTTTGCTAAATCGAGTTGAAATTGCCATCATTGAGGCTGATTATTTCTATGAAATCCTAATCAACACATCAATATTTCTTAAGTACTTACTACTGTTTAAGGTACTGAGAGAGCAAACTAAGAAAAGTTAAAATCTGCCCTAGACTAACTAGCTAAGTAGGAGAGAATGAAGTTATATCTAATTATCCTAGTACTCAGGCTTTTTCCAGAACCATTACTTTGCCTTACGTTTAGTAAAATAATTCTGCATGTTAATTATATGGTCCAAGAAGTTTCAGCAGAGTCATCACTAGATGCCCTAAAGATATTCCATGTGTTTACTCCTCAAAATGTGGTCTTATCCCAGACCTAATGAATCAAACTGCATTTTCACAAGACACCCTATGCACTGTAGTACATACAGTGACTAGCATGTACAATTAAGTTTGAGAAGTACTGATCTATTTACTATTAAACTTTAATCTGAAAATTTTTTCTTTACTTCAAAGTAAGACTACATCTTACTTATGATCTTATGAAAATAATTTATAAAAGAATAATAACATACATTTTAAATGTTTTATAAAAATAGCCAAACTAGTAACCAAATTGATTTATGATTTATTAAAATAAACTTTAAAAGTTCTCTCTGTTGATCTAGGATATAGACATTCAAAGATTTAATCATAACTAAAGATTTTATGGCATAACAAACAGTACAGATATTTGAATGTATCACTTAGATTTCTCCTTTAATTAATGAGATATTAAAATATGGTAAAAAAATTAATCTCATGACAATATAAACAGAATTAAACAACCTGATCATTGTCTTAATTTTATTAAGAAAAAATTAAACAAAAACTATAAAAGAATTTCCAGTTTTTTAACATATCTAAACACGTCTTAGCAGAAATGATTTTAAAAAAGCCAAAAGAAGGAACACTCAGTGAAGATCAAATGGCACTGAGCAATTGGCATTTTCAGATAAGGCAAAATGCACATGTAAGAATTAACTGGAACATTTTAATTGATGGTTTTGGTAACATTCATAGAGAGAGACTGATTTTTTTCTATTCTTCTTTTACAATATGCAAAAAAGATACTTTATCTCAAGGATTGGTAATAACATATCAATGAACGACATTAAAATATTCTACCTTCATTTGCATATATGCTTCTCTGGCATTTAAAAAAAAACACACACAGCCAGAAGAATAGATAAGCTTGGCTATCTGTAAAAAGCAGGAAAAATATTCTGATAATAAAAGTAGAGATTTGCATGAATGATTAGTACAAAGCATATAGTTACAGGGAAAAAAGCAGAAGGTAATACCATGATTACATATTATATGTATATTATTATATGAGGATTTAAGGTTGAAGTTATACTACTAATATATAATGAGTCATAAAAATATGTGTGGAAATTTGTGAGCACCATGAAATGATGGGAGACTTCCAAAAATTCAACAGCAGTTTAAATACATGATTGAAACTGGAGCAATGTTAAGATATTTTTTCCTTCTTAATCAGCAAATACTTTCTAAATGTCTACTGTGTTTGAAACGGTATGTTAGGTGTTACAATGGGGATGCGAAAATAAAAAGTGTTAGATGTTAAAGGTGCTCTTTTCCATATTAAAACTCATTGTTATAAATTTATGGAGGCTATGACATATTATAGGGAGCTGGTTCTGCACAGGCCCTCTAGTAAGTGTGTAATAAATGTCAACTCATCGAATGCTTAAGACAAACTTCTGGGCTAGGTATTGTTTGCACCCCTATTTTATAAATCAGGAAACAGGCATAAAGAGAAGCAATAAGTGACTCAAGGTACCCACTAGATGGCGGAGGGCTCAGATTCTAACCATATCTTTCTTCAGACCAGAAAACACTTATTTTAGCAAGTTCCGTTTTAGTTCACTTCCAAAATATAGTTTACTAATAGCAGAGTTACTAAAAGCAGCATAAATTTAAGCTATATGTGCATGTACATATGTGTGTATATATGTATGTATAATTTTATTTGCATAGAATGACCTTTAATATTGAAGATTTAAAATCTGACCTTCAGAGTCTAATAACTCTCTAAAATGTGATGCAACATTTATGTACATGTATGTGCATTTTCTCAAGATTCTTAGTTTATGTGGCATCTTAAAGACAGGCTTAATATCCGTTCCCCTGCTCTGGAAGAGAGTTTTAACCATAGATATCTTAACACGTGAGGTACTAATAATGGTCATGCTAATACTAAGGATTGTTTTTCCTCTTTTCTTGTGCCATCCTGTGCAATTATGGTGTAATTAGCAGAGTGGATAAAAACTTGGGCTTTGAGGACAAACTACTTATGATCGAATCTGAATCCCAACATTTGATTTTTGTGTTACTGGGCCAAGTTAACTAATGGCCCAAGTCCTTTTTTTTTTTTTTTTTTTGTCTATAGCATAGAAATACTAATATTACCTGTGTCACAGAGTCATGAGGATTAATTGATATAAATCGTTCAAAATGCTTAGCACTGTACCGGACTCCATTAGCAGTCAATAGGTAGGCTTTCAATGAACTGATTTCTCATCCTGCCTAAGAATGTAGGCATATCTATAACTCCATGAGGAATAAACAAGGAAAGAAGAAATTGTTTTATCACACTGCATTTTGAACAAAGAGGCCTGAGAACTATATCTGGGCTTTTCGAAAGGAGTCTAATGCCAGCAAAACTGTCCTCAGCATTAAGTTTCACTGCTTAAAACCCTTCCGTGAATTCATGCAACCTCTTGTCTGTGTTCTTAGCTACTTAATCTTTTTGATCTACAATGCTCTAATTTTTATTTTAGGAATAATAATGTGATTGCTGTAAAAGTTAATTAAATGCTAGATATTAATCTAATTCTTATTCTTAGCTGATACTAATATTTGACATTTTCTCTCTTCCAAGACTCCAGTTACTATTTCTGATTCTCACTCTGTTTGTTGCTCATGCCTAATGTCTTCTTAAAATTCTTGCCTATGGCTGGACTCAGAAGCATGTTATGTGGCTTTAACTAAGCTCTGGTTATCAGTCCCCAGACTCTCCTTGGTTTTGGCATCACCAAATTCTGACATTTGACTTACGGTGTTGGTATGTTTCCTCCTTATTTCCTCAATAAGTTTAGTGATAACGCCATTTCTCTCATGTCTTTATTCTCTAATATCCACTTAATTAGAATATTTTAACTGTTCACACAATTAAATAGAAAAATTTTCCCCAAATTACCAAACCTCAATATTCTGTTTAGATAATTAAATCACTGATTATAGCATTTGCATTTAAAATGTTCTGTAAAATTAGAATTTAAAGGCATTTATATGTGTAGATATAGTATGACTATTCAACTAATAGAAAAATTAATAGCGTTTGTATTGTACCATGCAATTCCTCTAATGCATTATGAGTCAAAATTCAGAAGAACAAGCTGTGTCTGACAGTTAAGTGACACTGGGTAGATTTTATAGTGGCTTTAGAATATAGAGCATGTACAAAACTAAGCCAATAACGTATAAATATTTCAAGTTTAACTGATAAGTTGAAGGCAGATTTTTAAAGAGCAGCTGAACATGCGACATTTTAATCTTCCCACTGTCAGGGAAGGTAGGTAGTCCTACACAGAAAACAAAAGTAACAGATGTCCTACCCATTTGCCTGACTTTGTACCTATTACCTTCTATTTGATGGGTCATTATGAACAGAACACCAGGAAGGAGAAGGATCACATCACATCCACTTGGAGGGCTTCTTTACCCGCAGCATGTGCATCAGATTTTGTGTTACTTTAAGGAACTACATCGAGACTAATGCGGAATATTTTACCCTCGTTTTTCCGGTGTCTTAGTCCATTTAGTGTTGCTCTATCAGACTCCCTGAGACTCAGTAATTTATAAAGAAAAATGGTTTATTTGGCTCATGATTCTGGTGGCTGGAAGGCTCACGGTTGGGCAGCTGCAGCTGGTGAGGTTCTCAGGCTGCTTCAACTCATGGCAAAAAGCAGAAAGAAACTGGTGTGTACAAAGAGGTCACATGGCAAGAGGGGAAGTAAGAGAGAGAGACTGAGGAAGCCAGACTCTTTTAAAACGCTGTCTAGCAGGAACAAATCTATTCCCAAGAGAGCAGGAACAAATCTATTCTCAAGAGAGCAAGAACTCACTCAACCCAGAGGGAGGGCATTAATGCATTAAGGAGGGATCTGTCCCCAAGGCCCAAACAGGCTCCACCTCCCAAAACTGCCACATGGAAGATAAAATTTCAATATGAGTTTTAGTGGGGACAATCCATATCCAAACGATAGCACCTGCATTGTATGAACTAATACCTGTTCATAATTAACTAAACTATTTCAATACAATAGAGATTAACATTCACATCCTTTTTTGTCACTATAACAAATCTAATATCTACCCAATCCTTAATTTATTTACATACAGAAAACAGATCTGTACATGTAGATTCCAAGGTGTGAATGGAAAATAAGAAATGCTCCAGATTTTTTGTTTGGTATCAACCATAACTTTGTACAAAGTTTGAGGACAAAGAGGATTAGAAATAGCTAAATTTCTTAAACTAAAAAAAAAAAAAATCAGGTCATCGGGCAATTATAATTTCTTATTGCTGAAACTAGAGCAATACTGCTATTTTTATAGTTAGATTATTAACTGGAGTATTGCTTCCAGTTCTGTCTAAAGATAATGCTGTAGACCATGAAATTTTAATTGATTCTCTAATTTTACTGATATTTGGAAAATGTAAAATTGATTTTATTAAAATGAGTTAGATAAGAAATAGAAATGTGGGTATAAATTCTTCCTGTTCACAATTTAAGTTTTAGGTAAAATCTCCCACTGGAATCTATTTTAGATCAAATACTGATATTGTGGTAAAATGTCCCACCGGAATCTGTTTTAGATTAAATATTAATATTGCATTTTAATGATTTTTGCACCCAATTATTATAGTTAATGTGTAATATCTATGCTAATGTCACTGTCATTTAATAAGCTATCTTTTAAAAATTTCTTATTTTAACAAACCACATAAAAAGTCAATCTACAAACAAGTAAATTACAAAGTTTGCTCATTTAAATCAAAATAAAGGTTGTCCTTTCCATCATTTTATGTCAGTAACTTTAATTATAAGTAATTGTATGGCTGGGCATGGTGGTTCATGCCTGTAATCCCAGCACACTGGGAGGCCAGGGTGGGTGAATCACTTGAGGTCAGGAGTTCGAGACCAGACTGGCCAATATGGTGAAACCCCGTCTGTACTGAAAATACAAAAATTAGCGGGTATGGTGGTTCGTGCCTGTAATTTCAGCTACTCAGGAGGCTGAGGCGGGAGAATCACTTGAGCCCGGGAGGTGGAGGTTGCAGTAGGCCAAGATCGTGCCACCGCACTACAGCCTGGTGGACTAAGTGAGACCCTGTCTCAAAAAAAAAAAAAAAGTAATTGTACATAAGTAGTTAAACACAGAGAACATCTGATACCCCTGTCCAGGCAAAATTCAAAGATTTAATCAGTGGATTGATGAAAACCTAATTTATCAGTCCTTATAAGATCATCAATGTAGTAAAAATGAAAAAAAGCAAAAGAGACAGAGATGAAGTGAAAATGAAGTACTGTCTCAAGAGAGACATGATCGAGGGACCAGAGGAAACAAACCTAAATCTGGCCACTGTACCAAGTAACGTAGATCACACTTTCAGCAAAGCACAGGCACAGACAATTGTTAATCAGTTCTGAACAAGAGGAAACACATATCAAAAAATTCAGGAAAATTTATAGAAAGGACTGTTAAATATTATATTCATCTCTTTTATTTTGTCTGACTTTGGGGAAAGAACACAAATATTTATTTTCAGGGAAGAGTTGTGTGAGTCCCAAAGAGGAAACAAATGTTTATAATTTGCAAATCTTTCTTTGAGTACCCTCCTTCACAGAACCTGCCAGACAAAAGCCTAAACTCTCTTCTCCTCGTATCTAGCAGAGGTTTCACTCTCCAATCTGCTTATCTGAATCCCATTCACCCTCCAAAACCTTCTTTGATTCCCAGTGTTTCAGACACACCTTATGAAATCTTTTAGGTTCTCTCAGTTCCACTGACTGTCAAAGGTTCAGGTAAAGCAGCTCCACCAGCAAAGGGGCAGTCAGGTAAATTAATCCCTTTTTCTTTCCTTCCACAGACTGTTCCCAAGTGGTTTCTCTATACAGCCTGTCTGGAAGCAACCTATGTAGCTGACAACCTACGATGTCAAGCTACCAATGATGTGACTATGGCTTGAAGTGAGGCAGCAGGTGTGCAGTAAGATACAATCATCCATTGCTGCCCTGCAGGTGGACCTCCCTGAGAAGCAGAACTGAGCACTGTTTCCTGCGGAACCCCACCAAGATATACAGCTTTCTCTATCACATCCTTCTCCAGTCACTAGAGTTCACGATATGCTTTCTCCCCACATCAAAAAACTGAGATGCAGGGAGATTCAATAACTAACTTAACCGCAGCCCCGATACAGGTCTTCTGATACGGAGTCAGTGTTTTTTCTACTGAGTCATTATCTAAATCATTTTACTGTCTTGTACTTTTAATTTTCTTTTTAGATAAGTTTTTGCTCTCCAAATATGCTGTAAAAGCTAAGGTTTGTTTGAGGCAGGTGATACAGGGATTATAAGACCATGGACTCTAAAGTCAGATCACTTTGAATATGTGCCTGAGTTTCTGTTTTTGGCCATGTTAATTTAGGAGCAGTTGCTTGATTTCTATGCCAACTTTATATAGAATGGGGATATGAGTAGTAATAACATCATCATCTTGTTTTGAGAATTAAATACATTATGCTATATATATATAGAGAGAGAGAGCCTAGAGCATAATGGGTGTCCCAAGGTAGTAGCTAATATTCTTTATTTGTTTATATTCTCCAAGAAGCCCAACAGTTAGCAGGTACTTAATAAATATGCATTTTTCTGATTGCATTTGCTGTTAAATATTCAGCCTTTTGTTTCTAGAGCCAGATGTATATTTGTCAATATTATCAATCAATTCAGTCCCCTAACAGAAAGCGATTTAGTCAAACAACCACATTATTTATAAGTATAAATAAGGAGTATAAACTTTATACTTATAAACAATGTGGTTATTTGATCATTGAAGTGACTTTCTGTTAGTTTGCTGATGCCCCTTAAAGCAGTACAAAAGTTGATGCAAAGAAATGGAGTTGGCCTTTGAACAATGCAGGGGTTGGGGTGCCAACATTCTCACAGAGTTGAAATTCCACCTGTAACTTTTGACTTCCTAAAATTAACTACTAATAGTCTCCAACTGACCAGCAGCCTTACTGATAACATAAACAGTCCATGAACAAGTTTTGTATGTTATATGCATTATACAATGTATTTTTACAATAAAGTCAGCTAGAGAAGATATCATGTTACTAAGAAAATCATAAGGAAGAGAAAACATATTTACTATTTATTATGTGGAAGAGGATCATAATAAAGTTCTTCATCATCTTGACACTGAGTAGGCTGAGGAGAAGGAGGAAGAGGAGGTGTCCGGTCTCACTCTCTTAGGAGTGGCAAAGGTGAAAGAGGTGGAGGAGGTGAAAGGAGAGGCAGGAGAGGCAGGCACAGTCAGTATAACTTTTAATGAAAAAAACTCAAGTATAAATAGACCTGCACAGTTCAATCCCCGTTGTCCAACGGTCAACTCTACATTCAAATCACTAGGATAAGACTTGGTGTATAAAACAAATCTTAATCATTATTTTTTTTCAGTTCTGATCATGAAACTAAAGGGTATAATACAAGCCAGAGTAAAATGTTTTTAATTATTATAACAATATAGACCCCGTTTGGTGGTTCCTAAATATTCATCTGATTCACAGAATTGTCGCAATAAGATCTCTAGTATTTTTTTTAGCCTCTGTCCTAGCTCCAGGCAAATAATAGTGTTCCTTTGGGCAGCTGTATTGAGTTATATTAGGCAGAGTGTAATTAAATATTTATGGGCCGTAGGAAGAGGGAAAGGAAAGGAAACAAAAATGAAAACCTACATGAAGTGACATCATAAACAGGTAACAAATAAATCCAATTTGCTATGTTTTGCTGGAAAGCAAGTGCTTATAAAAGAAACAGACAGGCCAGGCAGGGTGGCTCACACCTTTAATCCCAACGCTTTGGGAGGCTGAGGTGGGCAGATAACTAGGTCAGGAGTTCGAGACCAGCCTGAACAACATGGTGAAACCCCTTCCCTACTAAAAATACAAAAATTAGCCGGGTGTGGTGGCGCTCGCCTGTAATCCCAGCTATTCCAGAGGCTGATGAATAAGAATTGCTTGAACCCGGAAGGCGGAGGTTGCAGTGAGCCGAGATCGTGCCACTACACTCAAGCCTGGGTGAAAGAGGGAGACTCCACCACAAACAAACAAACAAACAAACAAAAGAAATAGACCTGAGTACTTTTATGTTACTTTTTTTTGGCAACTCTTCAACAAAATCGAGAAATACATATTTTTAACTATTAAATAGCTAAGGATATACTTCCCATTAACTGATTTTTCAAGGATGATTCAGGGTCTTTAGGTAGTTAACTGAAAGGGTTTTATTAGCAAATAGTTGTTCAGAGGGGTTACCTAGATATTAGAAATAGACTCAAATACATTTTAATTTAAATGAGAACGTTACTGGTGCCCGTTTCTACTTTTTCAGAATTCTTAGTGTCTGTAATTGTATTTACAACTAGTGCGTAATTACTGGAGTGAACAAATGATTCCATCTTAAGTCTTTGGTTCAACTGTCTTAAACTCCAAAGCAGAAAGGAAGCATCAAATATTCAGACCTCTAAATTTATCATAATGTGTCACCTTGTTTAATATACACAAAAAATTTAAGTGTGATCTTTGTAGTGGCTGACGCAACACAAACACAGATTCACGGTGACTGAATTATGGCACAAATTAGGAGATGGTAGGTAAGAGCAGTTGCTAAATAGCGTAATTATTTGGTGCCATGATGTGTCTTTATTCTGATGGCATGCCAGAGTGTGCTGCTATGCTGACTCCCATAAAATGTTAAGGAAATACAATTTAACATTAACAAAACAGCATCAGATGGAAAGCCTAACTAAATTAATCCAGTGAAATAGGCCAAAGAGAAATATTTAGCTCTTCAGTAGAAGAAGGGAAAGATAAAGTGTCTCCATTCGCTGCAGCATTTTGGGATGCCTGAGAAAACACAAAAGAGAATTAACATAGATTCATATGCTAA
Organism: Homo sapiens; assembly: GCF_000001405.40. Lineage (NCBI taxonomy): Eukaryota > Metazoa > Chordata > Mammalia > Primates > Hominidae > Homo > Homo sapiens. The sequence goes on along the minus strand of NC_000003.12, from coordinate 1,341,299 downwards.
CATGCCTTATAGCCCAAGTAAATCAAAAGAAAAGACTAGAAAGTATGAAGTTGGCAAAGGACACAAAAATGTGTGAATGCAGGACTTTAAAGAAATAAATTAAAAAAAAAAAACCAACAAACTATGCTCCCAAAGTTACTAGAGGAGAACACATTGAAAATACAATAGAGGAGAGAGTTATGCAGAACAGAATGGAGAAGTCTGAACATTGTGAGGACATTCTGCCTATGCTATTATTACATTTATGACTATGAACCTATTGTGTGATTTCCTCAGGGCTTTGAAGTTTTATAAATGTAAAGTTGTTTCTGCTGAAAGCTTTGGGATAGACAGATGAGATTCAAGTCAGATGACCTTAAACCACCAACTTGAAACTTAAGGTTCTCGGCTTCCCTCACATATAAAAAGGTGAGAGAACAGGGCTGGAACGCTAATGATTATTAACCCTTTCACTCCAGCTCCCTGTAATCTGATGATTTCAGGACATGAGTATCTGAAAACTTGAGTATCAAGATAGAACATGGTTTTGAAAGTGATGGATGCTAGTGGAATTTCCAATCCTGGATTCCCTTTGGCTACTGAATTATAGCATTCCTCAGAGTCTACAAAATTAGGTTTACAAAAGTGGCTGAGAATAGGGGACCAACCTGGGTGTGACTCTTTGTCTGCTAACTTTAACTCTTTCTTCTTAGTTATAATACACAGTCTTATACCTATTTTAATTCCTTTGTGGGGCTTAGCGACTTTAACCTGCTTACTGAATTTACATATCTACCTCTCCATGCCATCAAAAATTACATTGTATGTTACGTTAAAAATCCAATCAGTCTTCCGAACATTGTGTATTCACGATGCTGTGCCACTGAAAGAACTGATATTTTTGTATTGATGTGAATAAATAAGACTCCATCTATCAGTATTTGGACAACATGTTGACTTATTCTATACCTTTTAGTGACATAAAGATAGAGTTTTACCTTGCATATCACTATTTTCAGAAGATTTTTTTAGTATAACTCTGAAGAAACAAAAAAATGTGTATATTATGAAGGACTGCCTTGAATTCCACATATAGACACCAGAAATCTCATTAAAATCCTGCAGTGTTGTGTTTAAGATTATACAAGGCTTTGAGTCAGAGCTTCTCAGAACTGAATGTTTTTCTATCACTTACTGATCGCGGTATGATGCTGAACTTCTCTAAGCCTTAGTTTTACTCATCTAAAAATATGAATAAATGCCTCTCATAGGTATGTTGTAAAAATTTAACGAAATGATGTATCAAACATCTTAACACACTATCTGCCCTTGATGGATAGCATATAAATGGATATATCATCATCATTATTATTCTTATATAATGAAACTCATGGTTAAATATGGGGAGGATAGATTTATGGGTGTATTTGGTTAATTTAATTGGAGATAGAATTAAAATATATGTTATTAGGTATATCCAAGCATTCCTTGAGTAGTCAAAGAGTCAATTCTTGGATGCCTTGCAAAATGATTTGAGTACCCTTTACTTGCATTTAGAGGACTCACGGGAGAAGTGTGTCTTGTATTGAGGAAGGGAAATCTGTACCCAAAATTCTGAAATGACACCAAGTCTGGATACCAAATATACAGTAAGACAGTCTCGTAATAAGCCTGTACCTCCCACTTTTCTCTTCCAGGAAAAATTCCCACTCACTCTTCAACTGCCAGTTCAGTTACCTGCAACCTGTTGAAACCTTTCTAGACTCCTGTAAGCCAAGTTAGTGAATTGCCCTCACTCTCTTCACATGTTAGTGGTGACACATGCCCCACTGCACCGGAGCTGTGGGCTTGTCTGCCTTCCCCAGGAGACTCTGAGCTCATTCAAGTTATAAACCCAGAATCTTTCACAACGCCCGTCAAATTGGTTTGCCACTATACTTATAAATAAATGAATCGTTTGGCAAGTCACACTTGAGAATCAGATTTGTCACTACAAATTAGTAGTCCTCAAACTATGCTCCTTGGAGAGCTAGGGGATTTCTAGGGCACACCATGGAGATTTAGGGTGAGAGGGATTGAGGAGGGCATTGAGTGGGGTTCTGGTTCTCCCTCCGGGACATTAGCCAGATTAGTTCAATTTTATCTGTGGAATGAAAGGTTTTCTTGCATACATTTCATTTGAAAAAAAATTTAAAAAGTTCTACTATGAAAAAAAGAAAAAATTGAAAAATTCTAGTCAGTGGCTTAAAAAAAAAAGAGTGCTCTGACAGCTTCACTGCTTGTTTGGAAGGTTTTAATGAGACTGATTTCTATACTATTACTCCAGCTTTTATTTCTTCTACTGGATTGTCATAGACAGCAATGCTTTTTCTAATTATTTATTTTTATTTATTTTTTTAAATACACTCACTGGCATTAGAAGGTGTGGGTGTGACAAAGATCTGTCATCAACCATTTTCTTTTTAAGTAAACAAAAAAGGACATTATACTTTAAAATTTATCAAGTAACCACTTCTTTTCTCAAAAATCAAACCAAGAACAAAAGGTCATTTGTATAAATTACATGAATAATTGACCTTTTCTGTCTATAAAATTATTGCTGTTGAATATTTATGTAAAATTTTGAAGATACAAGTGTCACTCAGAAATTAGAAGCAAGAGGTAAAATAAGTGGACACCATTCTAGAGCCAATTATATTCACATTTTCAAAAAGGGGAGAACTAAGGATTTATATCTCTTCAACAGTGAGATAGAATGAATGGCTGAACTGCTAGGATAGGAATCAAAGTTCTGGGGTGGAACAGAGATAAAATGAAGCACATTTCTATCTAAGTAGATATGTGTGCACCAAACCAGTGCTCCTCTAGGTGGTATTCAACAACTTCAGCCTCTCTTGAAGGCAGAGGGAGTGAACTTACACAAATTCAGGTTCCTTAACCTATTCCACACCTACTAAATCAAAATCATGGGCATGGCTCTGGGATCTGCATTTTTCACAAGATTCTTATGGTGCATGATCAAATTTGAAACTGACTGATATCGCAGCCCATGAATTCACAGCCACTCTACAAGGAAGCCTACCCATTTTCTGTTGTAAGACACAGTTTAATAATTTATAAGATGCTATTTATTTTGTGAAACTTCTTTGTTTTCTCCTATTTACCCTTGGTTGAAAGCCACCAAGGGTGGCTTTACCTGTCACGAAAACATGGGAGAGGGACTACAGCAGTAATAGGCCAACACAAGGCAGCAGGGTAAAACAGCGTACATTGAGTTAGGCAGGCTGGATTTAAAGGCAGGCTTTATAACTTTAATGAACCGGAGCTTTTTCAGACCATGGCATCTGGGTGGTTCTGCAGGCACTGTGTGAAAGGTGAGTGCCCCAGATCAGTGGAGGTCAGTGGGGATAAAGAAAGGGGAATTGGATGGCAAGAGGGGAAAATGAAAACAAGACTGACAGGGGCACACACAGGATTTTAGCTTGTTACATCTTCATGTGAAACAGGCAAGACTATCAGATGGCTCTTGACATCTCCAACATGTATTCCCTTGGAAAGGCTCACCTTAACAAGGCTCTCAGGAGTTGAGTATGAACAATTTAAAATTTTATTACAAAGAGGCAGCACAGAAGGGAGATTGTAATAAGCCTGGCATTATGCAGACTGTCATTCTTCCTTAAACAGGGGAACATATGGTTCATTTGCCTGTTTGATACTCATGCTACCTGACGTACTAAGCACTATTATATTAAGTAGTTGGAGATACAAAATAAAATTAAGTTTATTTGCTTGTTCCATTAGGAAGCTCTGCAAAGAGGAGGAAGGGGTAGAGAAGCCTGCTTTGCAGTTGCTATATAATGGTTAATGTTGTCTTGAAAAGGCATGTGCGACGGAGATATTTTATTAAGACTGAGCACTTGGGGGTAAAGGCAAAAGCAAAAGGAACAGTAATAATTTAGAAGGTAGATATTGTAAAATATGTAGAGAAGTGTCAGACAGGGAGGAAGAATCATATAATTGGCTGTCTTGCATTCAGGCAGCCAGACTCCCATTAGCTGGTGCCTCCACAAGATCAGATGATTGGAAAAACCTCCAAGAAGAAAATGTAATGATAGCTAAGTATTGGGCAATGGCTGTGTAACTAGAAGAACTGCTTTGTCCACATAACTTAGCAATGAGAAGAATAAAGACAAACTAATTTTTTTCTGTTCCTTGTCTGTGTCAGGCATTATGCTAACGGCTTTCAAACAGGTCTTCCCAAGGGGACCATTTTACCCATGAAGAAAAGAAAGATCCAGTGACTTGCTCAATAAGTAGCACTTCTATCTTGTCACAGGGAATTCCCTGGTCCTTTCTCTCATCTTTCTTTCTCTACCATTTCCTTCTCTCTTACTTTGGCTTCCTTCTTCCACTTTCCACTTTCCCTACGATCTTTATACCTTCCTTGTGTAGTTTTCCCACAATGGAATATAGTGTCCAAGAGGAAGGTGTCTGGGCATTGCGGAGCCAGGCAGGTGGAAGTGCAGTGGGTCTGCTCTAAATTTGAGGTTTGAAGGCAAAAATATTGAAGAAGCACCGCTTGTTCAATAATTGAATAAGACTCCAATTCACCTAATGGGTTCACTCTTTCCCACAAGGTACATGCATTTGCCAAGTGTCCAGGGCCACACAGGTTTTAACAGTAGCATTATTGTAGGATAAATCACACAGAATCCATGATTTGATAACACCTGTCTGCAAATATATATACTTGGAGTAAGTAGATAAAGGTAACGGAATTGGTTTCCAGAGAGTCCAGCTGTCCGCTCATTTCAATTCTGGGGAATATAATCACTTTCTGAAACCAATTGCTAAGGGGTAGAATCTCTGTAATTGAGTCAGTTTGATTCTCTGTAAATTTAAAAATGCCTTTGTGTTTAACTTTTTGAGATTACTAGGGTAAAAATGATACAAATTTAATCATATAATCGGTGACAATTGTGATCCTCAGAAATATATCTGAATATGAAAAAAAAATGTGCTTTAATGTTTTGAGATATGTAAAGTGCCTGGTACACCATCTAGCATGTAGAAGGTGCTTAAAGTGGTTATCATCATTATTAATGAGACTTTTTCTGACATTTAGCTGTATTTTATTTTATTTTATTTATTTGATTTTAAGAAATCTGGGCAAAGTGCAGTAGGCTTTTTTTTTAAGGAAAATGAGAGAAAATGCTGTCAATTACCAAAGATTCAGGGATTTTTTTGTTGTTGTTGTTTGTTTGTTTGTTTGAAACAGGGTCTCCCTCTGTTACCCAGGCTGGAGTGCAGTGGCACAATCATGGCTCACTGCAGCCTCAACATCCTGGGCTCAAGTTATTCTCCCACCTCAACACCCGTTCCCACCCCCATCCATTAGCTGGCACCACAGGGGTGTGCCACCATGTTCCACCCCATTCCTTTTTAAAATTTTTTTGCAGAGACAGGGTCTCACTATGTTGCCCAGGCTGGTCTCGAACTCCTGAACTCAAGCAGTCCTTCTACCTTGGCCTCCCAAAGTGCTGGGATTACAGGCATGAGCCACTGCACCCAACCAGATTCAATTGTATAATGGTATTCTTCCAATAATAGGACAACATTTCTTTTCTCCATCTCTTTGTTTTTATTGTTGATAGCTTGTATGTCCGCTATGACCAAACCCCAGGTAATTCAGGAATTGTATTTAATGCTGCCTGTCAGAGAACAACATTGAACTGTCTCTCCAGTGGGTTAACACTTCCTATTAAATTCAGGAGGTGATTCCTGAATAGGTAGACAGCAGTCACTGGGCATAAGGGGACAAATCTAGGACTTTGATTTCTGTCAGTTCACTTGCTAAGTAGATCCACAAGGAAAAAAAGAAGTGATTAATCAAACTTAGCAGATGTGGAATTGATTCCCTCAGTTGCCTGAGAATGCCTTGCAGAGATAAACTTAATCTGTAATTCATCCTGATTTTCCGTGGTTGTTCCTTGGCTGCCAGAGGTAAAAGCATGCACAACTGGGATATGCATACAAGTTACGATGACAGCAACAAATACATCCAATGTAGCAGTGTGTGTACAGCTCACCTGTCATTCCGGACATAAAATCTGAGTCTCTTATAACCTCATCAGAGAGACAAGTACCATTTTCTCTGAAATGAACCAGCTGAGAACCTGTGAAGTTAAAGGACTTGCTAGAAGTTATCAGCTAAGAAATAGAGTTGGGACTTTAACCCAGATCTTTGACTTCAAATCACTTTAAAGAAAAACATTATCATAAGAAAGGGCAAGAAGAATGTTATATGTTATGTGGCTATCTGGCTTAACACTTTATCCCCAGCACCCAGTTAGGTTATAATAGGTGTTCAGCAAATATTTGCAGAATGAATGAAGAAATTAATAAATGAATAATCATACCATCGGTCTATTAATTATTAAAATTTTTGGCTTAGCTGCAAAATCTCTAAAATTAGTTAAACAAATTAAATTTTAACTTTTATTAATTTAGCAACACAGAAAATATTTACTGAATGTGTGCTATATTCCAGGTTTGTGGTGGATGCTAGGCCTATAATGGTGAATTAAAGAATGGTGCTCGGTGCCTTCATGGAGCTTACAGCCTAGCTGATAGGGCTCTCTGTAAACTCTGAATCCATCCAACCAAATCATTTTAGCTGTTTTGACAGTTCACAGCAATTGCCGTGTTTGGCTCAGTCACCTGGTCACCCAAGCAAATCATTAAAACATATATAAAGTTATAACTAAGATAGAACTTTCAATTTCAACCCCTTGGGCTAAGGTTCTCTATTGATTTCTAAAATGTAATCTCTGTGCAAGCAGACACTGCATGAATATAGTGTTTAATATTTCCTAAAGTTGTTTTCATATTATTTCATCTTAAGATAAATCCAGGAAATAGTGGCCTCAAAAAAAAAAAAAAAATAAAAAGAGGAGTCTAGCATTTCTACTCAAGTCACGCCACTTATCAGTGATAGATCTGAGACCACAACCCGTGTTTTCTAATTCCCAGTGCTTCCTGGTTCTCCTGCAGGAATATGCCTTTTGCTTCTCTTCAATATAAGTGCTATTTCTAAACCACTGGTGGGTCTAAAAAGAATGAGACAGATGTTGCATGACCATTCATTCCCAGCAGGAAACCAGGCAGTCTTCGGACTCTGTAATGCCATCTACCTATTTTTGGTTCGAGAAACACTTTTCTCCTCTGACAGGCTGCTATAAATACAGATCCTTGCTTTAGGAACAGAACTCTTAAAACAGCCAAGACTTCAATTATGGCACATAGGCTAATAAGAAACATGTTCACTGTATTGAGAAATGTAACTTAATCTGAATTATCAACACATCAAATTACGTTGAATCATGTGACAACAGCCTTTCAAAAACTGAAGAGCTGAGCGTGTACTCCATTATCCATAGAGAGGAAAAGACGTGAATACAGAGATGGAAGACTTGGCACCAAGTCTAAGCTTCTTCACTTATTAGCTGTGTGATGGAAGCTGTTTCAATTCATGTAAGACTAGAAGAAATTGTCAAAATATATATACTGCCACCATTTTTTTATAAGTCAGCACTTCAGTCTGATTACTTTGAATAGGTTTCTTTAGAGCCCTCTCAACCATCTCTAGGTAGTTATACTTTATTGGCTGCAAGAGTTAGTGACAATGAAATTTCAAAGTAGACAGTACCATATAGAAGTTTTACAACAGAAACTAAAAATGTACATTTCCTCACATAGGTATTTCCAAGGTCAAGAACTAGAAACCATTTCTACTTGGAATCATTGTAAAATTTTGAACTTTTTTCCTATATCTGACTTTTTTATTCTTCATATATATACAACTGTGTCATGTTTTAACAGAGGTATGAGATGGTAGAAGTTATGTATATATTGCTATTTGAGTGAAATAATCAGTCTGGTGTGGCATTAAAAAATGTGTACTGGGCTCAGCGTTCTGTGTTTGAGTTTAGGATCTGGCACTGTAAATTCGGAAAATGGGATACATTATCTCTAGTGCTCCTTTCAAATATAGCATTGAACAGTGTATGTACACATGCAATAACCCTTGCATTTGTAATCAAATCTAAAAATAAATTGCCCAGTCAACCTTTATGTGCAATACTCTGTCCCTGGCTCCTAATATATTTAATTTTGTTTGCTTTGGAAATCTGATGCCAATTCCTAGGTACCCATCTACCCACACCCCACCCACACAAATACACACATACATACTCAATCAAATAAACTTTTTTATGTATTCAAATGTAAGAAAACATATTTTGTGAAATTAACTGCTATTTTGATGTTGTCTTCTCCAAAGCTTTCGTTAATATTGTCTTCTTAAAGCCATGACAATTTGAAAGCTAAATGTAGCTACTTTGCTAGGATTTAGGATCTGTTCTGTCAATACTCTTTTGAAAAAGAAGAGGGGGTTCTGATCAGGGAAAAAAGAATTTGGCTACCACGTAATGGTTCAGACCAAAGATGTAGAAGAAATAATCAACCTTGGGCCTGAACAGGCTTGAAGAAACCATTTGACTTTCTCTCCTTTTTTAGGAAAATGAAGTACCTCTAATTCATTTTACATATGAAGTTCTATAGAAGACAAATGACTTTGCCAAAGTCAGGCTCTCAACAGGGTGGGGGCTGAAATCTTTTTACTATATCACACCACGTCTATAGTAAACAGCAGTGACCCTTCTTGCCCTTCCTGCTTCCTCTCTCTCTTTCTTTCTTTCCCCCTCTTTCTCTTCCTTCCTTCCCTCCCTCCTTCCTTCCTTCCTTCCTTCCTTCCTTCCTTCCTTTTTTCCTTCCTTTCTTTCTCTCTTTCTTATCACTACTCTAATTTTTTACCTCAATCTGTTTGGAAGTCCCACGATAAGACTATAAAAAAGGCAATAGTCTGACACAAACAGAAGCATAGATGCTGTATTTCTCAACAAACAGCTTGAAGCCATGCACTTAATAAAGCCAGTCGATCAGATGGCAACAGAAGAAAGGACAAGCTAGAAAGTGTGCAGGGACATAGACTCATGGAGTTAACTGTGTGACCTTTTGAAAATTACTGCTCAGTGTAATCTCTACCGGGTGGAGATGTAGTGACTGTAATTACTACATTCTGCTAGAGCTCAATTATTTTCAACTTTTAAGAATGCACAGTAAGGAGATAATTTGCTTGTTTGTATGTATGTTTTCTTTTGTTAAGACCTGCAGTGAAACCCTGAAGCAATGAAAAGATAGAATGAAAGAATAATGTATAAATAGAACTCACAGGGTTCATTCCCTTAATCACAGAGAGACAATGCTGAGCTGATATGATTATTAGTAACTGTGGTGAGGTGAAAATGACCCCAAATTTATTCTGTATGGGACAAAACAAAATAAAACAAAAACCTGAAGAGCTGTTTTAAAAAGCAGTTTCCCTCCTGCTTTTTTTTCTTATTATCTTAGCTTTTTTTTTTCTCTCTCTCATTATCTTAGCTTTACTCAAATTCTCCTCCTAATTTTCTTTCTTGTTCCCACATACTTCGTGTTTGGACCTTTAAAGCTTGTGGAAGGTAAATGCCATCATTCTGCTCCTTGGGTGAGTTACTTTATTAAATGAGGCACAGTTAATCAATTTGTCCAGACCCTCAGTACAAGGTGCTGTGTTTGATACTGCAGGATCTCTTATGTTTTTCTGTTCCACAGCAGTGTATTCAAACCTTGATTAGATTTTAGGAATGCATGAGGAAACATTTAAAAAGAATTCACATCTAAATCTGTTGGGAGCAAATCTCCTAGGCAATGCACACAGAAGAAGAGACCCAACCTGAGTCAGGACAACAGGTTTCCTTTCACCTTTTCTTTCACCTTAGTTCTGAAGCACCTGTTCCTATGTCTTGAGGGATTTCCCCAAGAACAGCCTTTCTGTAAAGCTGGTAACGCTTTACATGTTCACCCTTTTTGATTCATTCATTTATTCCACAGATATTTATTAAGTTTTGGTTCTGTGCCAAGGCACAGGACATACAAAGATAAATGTGACATAATTCCTGTCCTGGGAAAAGCTTTAGTCCAGGGATGTAAAGAAATGCAGAGAATAAGGAAAGAAAGAATGCCCTAGAAAGGGGCTCTCTGATGTACACTTCATTGTGTAAATGGAATGGATCTTCAAGGCAGCAGTTATAACCACAAAGGGACTCTACACAAACCACAGAGACCCCTGCTTTTGTTTGTTTTCACCTCTTTTTTCCTCGGCCACAAATGAAATCTTGGGATTAGAAGTGATAAAATGATGTCCCTTCATTCATCCTATGGCTACTTTTTTCTGGCATGGGAGATTCAATACCAGAATGCAGACTTCTAGCTTTCTCTGAAACATTGGAAGTTCTACAAACCTAGTTCTCATTTCCCGCAAGGCAACCAGTTGACAGAATTTGGAGTTGTGACTATCCTTTTTAGGTAGGGAACTCACTTTCTAGTCCGTCACAGTCATTTCTTCCAAGAGTAACAACTGTCATTTTTTAACACACTTTAGTTGTCCTTTCTTTCACCTGGCCTTTTACCTGCCCATCCTGGTATGCATATAAGTCATGGAACATATGATGCTGAAGAAGAGCTCATTGAACGAAAGGGACTATTTTCATATCTTCAGCACAATGGCTCGTTCACATTAGGATTTAATTGCATATCTGATTATAGAGTAACACATGTGAGTCATTAAAAGAGAGCAGCATCTGTGGTCTAGTCACCTCATGTATACAAGGCTCTACGGTACAATAGAATAAAAGATATTACAAGTAGAGAAAAACACCCGTCTTTTTTTTTGTTTGTTTGTTTTCTTTTGTCAAAGTCTCCTAGAAAACATGCCAGTGCTGACCTAGGGTTTCTCAACTGTATCCATTATGGTAGGAAACCTCTCTTCTTTCTCTACAGGAACCTCTCTACATTTCTTCATGTGGTGAATTCATTTTGTCATGGGGTGAACACCTGTGTGACTATTTAAAAACCACAACACCAGGTGTGTGCCAATGAGTGTCTCTCTCCTTTGTGAAATGTTATTCGCACTGATTTCTCAGCAGGCTGGTTCAGGAGGAAGCCTTCAAACTGAATGTAGAAAAAGGTCTTAAAAGATTTTTAAAAATCTATTACAAGTGCATGCACTGAAAATATTGCAGCTAACTTATACAAACAGGTCTTTATTTTATAAGATCCTTTTGTTTTTTACAATTTTACTATGATGAGAAGAATGCTGGCGTCTCTAGGTATGCCAATGAGACTTTATCATAAAAGAGGAAATTTTGAAAGGCCTACTAAAACCTAAAAATTTGGAAGATGTTATATTACAAACAAAAATATTTTTAAAAATAAAGATTTGTTTACCTTTTGCTTTGTCTAAGGGTCTCCGTTCCTCTTTTCCAAGAGATAGCTGCCCTGGGAAAAGCATTTGGTTTGCATCCGATAACAATATCCCCACCAACTTGAACAAAAGACTTTTTTTTAACTGGACTTTTGGAGAAATCTGGAGCTGAGGCTAAAAACAAAATCAAAGACAAAATTGTTTAATTACTCAGTTAACATGTAGTGACTCCAGGGGTGACTTGCTATGCTAGACAGAATCTAATATTTATAGCTGTATCCTCTTTTCAGGTTACTTTGCTCAAGGTGTTCTTGGACCAAATACTGACTTAACATTTTAGAGTTTATGTTTTGTTTGTAAAATGAAGATGACAAAAGATATTACCTTAGAGAGTTAGTGTGGAGATTAAATGATGTAACAGTTGCAGGGAATTATAGTATAGTGCCTGGCGCAAAGTATAGGCTCAATAAATGCAACTTATTTTTGTTTTGTTGGTGGTCATTGCAATAATAAAAGCAAGTGGTAGAGAGGAGGCAAGTTAGACAAAGTCACTTTTCTAATAGCATTTACAACAAAGAGGATGAAGATGGTTTCAAAAGAGGCCGAAGAAGGAATTTTAATTCTGACCAGGAAAGTCTATTCCAGCCAAAACAATGATCATACATGTCATATACATACATATGATAAATCAGAAACACACACACACATATACATGTATGCACATACATGTGTATCCATATATATACATGTATATGCATACATGTATATATGTATGTGTGTTTCTGATTTATTATATATGTATATAAGCAATGGAACATATGATGTTGAAGAAACACACACACATATACATATATACGTATATACACATATATACATATATATGTGATTTATATATGTATATATACCAATCTGATTTATTTCAGTGGTATTGTATTGTGGTTAGCAACTGAAATAAATCAGAAATATTTTATTGCTATTAGCAATAAAATACTATTGAAATAAATCAGAAATGCTGTATCACTATGTCGGTTTTTTCCCCACTAAATATATGTTGAACAAATGCCAGTTCAGAAGGACAAGAAATTATTAGGCTATCAGGGTGCCTCTGAATCTTTCCAACTTCATGAATGTTGGAATCCATGTGTCCAGTCTCCATTTCTAATCTAAAGCTCAAGTGAACTGAAGTTCTTTCGGGTATGCCATGCTCTCTTGCTTCTGGGCTTTTCAGATGTTGCTTCTCTACCCTTCACCTTACTGATGCATGTTTTTACTTCTGATCTTAGATTAAAGGGAATGTCCTCAATGTAGGTTATGTTCAACTTGTCATGTGCAACGATAGCAACTCCTCAATTCTTAGCCATAAGAATTGCCATATTTTAAATCTGACACTTTTTTCTCCTTGAAATTATAGGTTGAGTGAAGATAAAGATCACTTCATCTTGATACAGCTCAGTACATAATAAATGTTCAATCAAACAGTAGCGATAGAAAGAATGAGCAAATGAATGAGTGCTCATCACCCATAAGCTCATAAAACTTTGTGTCTTGTTGTTTGATCCTTCCTCTCTTTTATCTCCTCTGTTCTTCCTACCACTAAGAAACCCTTGGGTTGAAAACTATCAACGCGTCATTTATTGTGGCAGACACCACTGGTTGGACTTCCCAAAATATCATTCTCAAATTGCTTTAATCTCAGCACTTTTCACTATAGGGACTTATTTTTCTACCTCCTCTTGATGTCTGGATGGTCATGTGACAGAACTCTAGTTAATGACATAAAAAGTTTACTATGGAAGCTAAGGGAAATTCTGCTTTTCTAATAAAAGAGATAAATGTGATTATTTCTGTAACCTCGCTCTTCTGCCTTGAGCATAGACTTGATTTCTATAACTAGAGCAGCCATCTTGTAACCATGAGGCTTTGATGCTGAAGGGAAGGTGTAAAGGATTTTGTCAAGTTGAGGTGCCATGCCCGGCAGCCAATGCCCCTCTTGCTAAGAGATAAAATAAATTACTGTTTCTTTTAGTTACTGTGAATTGTGATTTTTTTATTACTTTTTAATTTGCAGCTGAAAATATTCCTAAAGATATTCTTTGAGTTATACTCAAAAATTCATGCTAGAATCAGCTTTGGAAGAGCTTCCTCCGGTTTGGATGCACCCAATGGTGGGTTTTTTTCTGAAGCCCCAGTGCATTGCCCAAGCAGAATAATAATTACCACCTTGAATTTTGTAAAAAGTTAATTTAGACATTTCCCATTATTTGATGGGACAGCAATTTCTAATTTACAAAAAAAATTGGGTTGGGATTATGCATAATTATAGCTTGTTAAAACGTCATTTTGAATTTGTTGGTTGTAAATAAACGACTTACCTAAAACTCTCAATTCAGCATTTGCATAAATTATCTGATATTTGTTTTCTGCAGCACATTGGTACACACCAGAATCTGACACATTCAGCATCGTTATGATGAGTGTCCCATTTTCTATTTGAATTCTCTCCTAATAAAGGAAAAGGCATATAAAGATGCTTGTACGTTAATATAGCATTCTCTTAACCAGGATATGTTATTAAACAACATTTGTGTATATCTATGAGATCTGATAATTTGGTGTATTAATACACTACTAGATTCTGAGCAGCATTTTTAAGTTTAAAAAACGAAAATATGTTTAGGATAATTTTAGTGGTTACTAGTGTGTTTTATGTTATCTCATTTCTTTGACAATTGACATACTTTGCACAAAATGTATGTTAACTTTCTGTTATTTGGTATACATAGTAATTTGGAATACTCCACCGTCCTAATTATTCCAGGAAAACACGGTTAACAATAATGTTAGACATGTATATCATGACTAGAACACTGCCTTGGCTTTCCATTTTCCAAAAGTTTCAAAAACATTTGAAATGTGATGATGTGATAATTTTCTAATTGAGTCTTGAGTTGGAGTAGCTAAATCCTTCCTTTCTACAAACTACTATAAAGTGTGCCTAAACAGCCAAAATCTGTTACAGAACCCCATGTGGGGTATAGAAATACAATTTTGAGTGCACATAGTGACATAATTAATAGTACAAATATAACTTAAGACTAAATATTTCAAGGCATGTATTACCATCCTCTAGGGAAAAGGAAAATAGGCTGGAGGAAACAGAATGCTATATGCAAAAGGCATGCAGGAAGAAAATTTCACTGATGCTGAAACAAAGAACAGCATTATATTCAGCTTCCAAACAACAGATGTTCTTTGTGTCTCTGGCTATGCCTACATGTGCAAAGTAAAATGGAGAATTGACACAATTATCTGGATAATTTAATAGGTAAAAAACAAATCTTTCATTTTCTAGGTATTGTAGAAGAAAGTATGCTTTAAATGGAGAAATGTGGATAACTGCCTTAGTTATTTACTTTCCTAGGGGTTTAAAGACAGTCGTCAGTGTTCATAAAAGCAAAATACTGGGTAGTGACTAAGAGATTGGGTCCTGATATCAGACCAAAATAAAAGTTTAAAATGCTAATTCTAACATTTACTAGCTGCTGTGTGACCTTAAACAAGTAGCCTAACCTCTTTGAAACTCATTTTCTTCATTTACATAAAGGAATAATACTTGTATCTCTCTTATAATGTTTTCATGAGGGTGCAATAAGATAATGCACGGAAAAATATTTAACACAGGGCTTGGCTCATATGAGAGTTCAGTAAGTGTTATCCGTGTCGATGATGACGGTGATGATGATGATGATATTTAAATGTGAATCTATTACTGGCTAACAGTGATTTTGTGAAAGTTATTTGTCTTGTCTACACTTATTTTTCTCTTTTGAAAGATGGGTTACTTTGTAAGTTTATTTAAGGATTAAATAAATCAGTGTATGCATCCTTTCCTGGAACATACCAAAGACTCCATTAACATTAGCTGTTTCTGTTAGTTACTAGTACTGTTAGTAACAAAATTTACCTAGTAGAGTAGGTAAACTTTTAATATCAACATAGTTGCTTACCTCTGGGTTGAGTCGTTCACCATTTTTTAACCATGTATACCAAGGGTTTGGCTTTCCACTAGCTTTACATTCCCAGAGCAAGTTGTCATAGATAGAGAGGTGTGTATTTTGGATTTTCTGTTCCCATTCTGGAGGAGCTGTTTCAAAAAGGCAAGTGCCACTGTTTGGTAAAAGGCAGTTATCCAAGACATTATGCTACATTACAAGGGCTGTAGAGATCAGAAGGACAAGGCTAACTGGGTCCAGTTGGATTGCACACACACGATTTGAGGGAGGGGACATGCAGGAGCTTCAATGCGGGTTGACAGAAATCCTGTTGCAAATATCATTGGGCATTTGGCTCAAGTTAAATGTTTGTCATCTGTCATTTTGCTCCACCTGTATAACAACTTGGGAGCTGTGGGAAAAGGGCAAAATGTAGAACAGGGCCAGGGAATAAATCCATGCTAAATATTAGAACATAGGTCAAGTTAGAAAATGTATATCAAATCTGAACCTGTGGAATAAATCTGAAAGTTCACTGATTATATTTGCTCTAAACTAAAAGTAATAAATCTGTATCTGTTTCAGACACAATTACAACTCAATACCTTGAAGCATAAATCAAACATGAGCTTCCTGGCATTTTGGTAGAAAGATAATCCAGTATTCTTTTTTCCTAGATAAAATTCTTGACAAGGAATGGTGAACATTTGGAGTTTTATACAGGTTCAGTATCTTACTTTAATTCTGGGTGTGAGTTTTCCAAATTTTCTTTAATTTGAGAAAGTTCTTCATAGTAGTGAGACAACAAGAAACTGGCATAATTGACGTGAAAGTAAGATTGTATTATTTTTACCATCATTCATGGAAACAGGCGGGTTGGAAATTAAATGTTTTCACATGAATATCTCTTTCATAAACTGACTGGAAACTGCCTGGAGGTGCCAATTAATCCCTCTCCTTTATTTAGTTCTGTCCTTGGATATACAGAAGTATATGACGCTTCCCTTGGACTCTCAGGCTGTGGCAAGCCAGATGCTTTATATTTGTAATTGCACTTAATTCCCTCTACAATCTTTCAGTGGATTCTCGCAGCGATGTTAGGTAACCTGTTCAAGATGACATGGTAGAAAACAGGGAAGCCAAAATTTGAACCCTAAAAGCAGAACCTAAGTAAAGGGCTTGAGTTCCACATGTTCATTTGAGAATGTTAGCCCAAGGGAAAAGCATCAGGAAAAAAAGGTAGTCACCGGGAAGGAAAAAAAAGTCAATGCAAGGCTGAGTTATTGAGTTGACCACCAACACGATCCATTGTTCTCCATCTTATGTCAACTTCTAAGCAGTCTTTAGAGCTGTCTACCCAGGGAAATGAAGGGGGATCATTTAGTTCCCATCCATGGTCATCTAAGGGTAGTGCAGGTGTAAACTACTGGCACATCCAAACTGGGCATGCTTAAATGCTGAGTAGGCTCACGAAGGAGCCAAAGAAAACCCAGAACAGAAAACAAGATGTGCTTGGTAGTTTTGCACCTGAGACAACACTCCTTCAGGTTACATCTACAACGCACAGTGCTGAACTGGCCACCGTAGCAGTGGCTGAAGTAAGAAGCAGGGCCGAGAGGATTCGAAATTGTGCACAATATAAAACGCAAGTCTGTCTGACTTCTAGAGTTTTTCTACTGCACAACCTGCCTTCACCAAGACAGAAGACCCTTCAATGAGACTACAAACGAGTAAAAGAAATCATGATGTCTCTGGGTGGTGGGAACTAAGCCTAGGATTACCTCTTGCAGGAATCAGGACAACTTCCAGTTACAGAATGTGCTTCCTGCAGCCTTGAGGGACAAATCAAGGCAAAACTTAGAAGAACTAGATCTATTGGTGAAATTGAATCATGTTTCTGGGTATTATTAACAAAATTATATAATTCATAAGTATTTGTTTAGAAATTGTCCTAATATATGTCTGACCTGGGAAAATAAATGCATGCTCATATGTAATTTCACATAACTTACAAAGGTTTCAGATATATCTGATTTTATGCTTAATGCAATAATTGCGGCTACAGAACACATTTATTTATTCAACGTGAACATTCTTTGGATGATTAAAATTCTGGAGAGCAAAGTTTTAAATTTAAAACTAGGTAGGAAATTCATGGGAGAAGAGGCTTAGGATTTTGGGTCTACCATACAGGTTTGAGTTTTAGATTTTTTTCTGCCATATTGACTGGTTATGAAAAGCCACTTAACTCCTCTGAACATGTTCTATTTTCTATGATGAATAATACTTTAGAGATTTCTTTTAGAGATTATAAAATTACGATATAGATGGATATACAATATTACTTGGTTCTGAATTATAACTTAAACACAGCAATATAACAGACTGAGAGATTCTTTTCTTGAATTTCTCAGTTATTATTCAACTCTGAGGTAACTGAGTCAGTAATCCTCTTTTCTTTTGAAAGCACTTCAGAAAGTGAATTAATATGTGACTAAGAAACATAATGATTATGTTATTGACTAAGTATCCATTATTCCCCTACAAGGACCATTTCAGGCTAATTAAATGGCTAATTTGGTTGTGGTGAGATATAGTACAATGAGCTTAGACCACCATGTTGAAATGCTATGGCAGTTTCAGAAGACATTTCAAGGTTCTGATCTTGAATCTGACAATCACTATCTGTGAGATCCTGCACAATTAACTTAAGATATTTTTGCCTATAGTATCACTGAACATTGTTTCTACCTCTTAATATTAATCTTAAGATTTCTACTTCTTAAGATTAAGAATTCTATAAGTGAATGTTTGTAAAATTGCTATGTAAGCTAACATTTGCTTTATCAGTATACAGAAAGGTACTTTATTATTGATTTCCAGTTTACAGATACCTTTGTGTTCTGGTTCATCCCTTGATTATATCTTTGTCTATTATATATAAAATGGAAAATATTTCTTTAAAACTAGCCAAAGCATTCAATATCTTCATTCTACTAAAACTCCCATTTGTATCCTATTTTATTTACAAAGGATACTAAATTCCAAAGACTTTCCTTTAAAGTGTAGGTACTACTGAAAAAAAATATTGTTTTTCTTGGCTAGGTTTGCTAAAACTGTAGGAGAATAATGAGTAGAAAATTATATTCTATATATAAAATAGTAGTATTCATTGCAGGTTAAAGTTGGAAATTCTAAAGAAAATGGAAAATAATATTACAGACACACAATATGTTCTCCCCACGGGCACTCAATCAACATTCCTATGGGATAATTACAGTATCCTGGATTTTTCTAGTTATTACACACACACACACATACACACACACATACACACATATTTTCTCTAATTACTTTATCATTGATTATAAACATGTCACATAGGAAAGTATTTTGGCCATATATCAATACTTTTTAAAAATTATCTAATACAGATACATTAAGTTTATCAAAGAAGTTAAGGATCTTTTAATAGTATACAGCATTTTGCAAATTCTGAGATATATTGTATTGTTTACTTAATGTTAAGTAAGAGAAAATTTCAATCCTGGATTAAAGAAGACACAAAGACAGCTTTTAGATAATATATGCATTCATCGTCTCTCTTAAGTTTACGAGAGATTTTTGTAACTGAGACAAACATAATTTTAAATAATGTAATTGCCTTCTTTTTATATTACCTACTTATGAGTAGACAAAATATGAAAACTAGGAACAAATATTATAAACCACCATGCAGTATTATATTTTTCCTATCAATTTTTTTCATTTATTAATTCTACTTAGAATTAGAATCAAGATTGCTATAATCTGCTGCAGAACGTTTAATGGGAAATATATGGAGTTCATGCTTCCTTTTATTATAAACTTTTATGGCTTTAACATGACACTGCTGATATTTTGAAGGCAAATATAATAAACAATAGCATTCATAGACCATGCTAAAATTAAAACCATATTTTAAAGGTGGTCATTCCCATCTGCTAATCATTGTGTTAAGCATCTAAACCCGGAAATATGCCTTCCTTATTTCTCCCGTGACACTTTTTCACAACATGCTAATGACTTCCACAATTTATTATGAAGGGCATTACCAAATATTTTATATATATTTGAAATCCAATTAGCTCACCATAAAAAATGAGTTGACCCTTTGCAAGGTTTCTTCCTCGAAGGTTGCTTGCAATGCACTCATAAAAGCCTTCATCTTCTTGTTGGAAGTTCGGGATTTCAAGGATAGCTTGGGATTTGCTGTACTTGACTTTCCCTGGCAACGGGCTCCCGTCCAACCTTCTCCAACTAATATCGGGGACTGGACTAAACAGTTACACCTCATTAGAATAGAAGACGGTTTAATCTTTATGACAGCAAAATAAAAGAAGAGCATCCATACAAATAACTCTCAAGAAAAATATTCTATCAATCTGTTGTATTATGACTAGTTTTCAGATCATGCAATCATTCGCCATTCACTCAATCAGTCATTTATTTAACACTTTATTAAGTGCCTGCCGTATGCAAGTCACTGTGCTATGTTCAGGGAAAATAGTGGTGAATAAAATAGACATGTCCTCTGCCCTTATGTTGCTTACAGACTAGTGGGAAAACATACCATAAACAAATAATAAAAACAAGTACACTTGCAAACTGCAATAACCGAAACAAAAGAAATAGAGTGCAGAGATAGTAACAAGATTATGTCAATTTATTATAGTGGTCAAGGAAATTCTTTGTGAGAACATGACATTTAAGACTAGGCAGGCTTTATATATATATTTATAGTTTCTAAGGCAAAAATATAAAGTATTCCAGATCTAAACTGGTACTAATAGGTAACTGAAGACATGGGATGGGTGAGGTAAATTATCCAGGGAAAACAGCACTATAAAACAGACCCATATGAACTGGTAAATAGGCTCTATGATCCTCAAAAAAAGTACTCATTTATATACGATTTAAAAAAAAGTAAAACAAAGATGGATTTACACCGCAGCCTGTCCCCTGTTATAAAGAACTTGTAAATAAAGTTACTTTATTAATATTAATTTCGTCTACTTTCTCATATCTATTATTTTTAGTCTAATATGGGTATCTTTCAAAGGAGCAAAAATACATGTTATAATAAATGAAACTAAGTGTTTAACAATAAGGGATGAATTTAGAAATTAATGGTTTAGAAGGCATAAAATAAGAACGGGCAGGCTGCAAGCAAAGTTCCAGAAGGAAAATATTCACTACTAAACTAATGAATTGTAAAATGAATCCCCAGTCTGTTCACATTAATATCTCTCCTTTCCTCTTGTCAAGTCATTCTTCATTCCCTTATAGATTTTTAGATGATTTGAATAATTCTATTCTAATTATATTTCAAATTAATAATAATGGTAGTAAGTCATTTTGCAAAGTCAATTGGTAAACCTTGAAGAAGAGGCAGAATTTCTTCAAGTCAGCAGAAGGAATGTGGGAGGCTCATCCAACTACATGCAAAGTGCTTGGCAAATAAAGATTTGGAGAGTTTGAGCAGTAAACAACTGCAGAAAGTTGGGATGTCTCAGTAGAAGCTTCAAGCAAGAACACTTATGAAGCCTTAGACATTTTTATTGGAAAAAATTATTATCCTCCTATGTACATCAAGGATAAAGCACAAGGATAAAAATCATATGCACTCAAACATATTTGTCAGAAAATGTGCCCTAAATCAATGTTTGATTCAATTATTCTCAGAATTAACATACAATTACAGTGAAAACTTGAATTTTGAATTGCCTTAAGTAAAAAATAATTATTATCATATACTAAGTTTTTGTCCTTTTAAAAAGCCTTGCCACTTGCCACAAATTTAAGTTGACATTTCAGTAAATTGGTATATTCATGGCAACAATTAACCTCAGATAACTGATGTTCTTTTTCATTCATTTTATGGCATACTAACCAATAAGAACGAAATTCTAGAAGGAACTTTATTCACATAGATATTCACAATGTCTAGTGAATTTTATAGGATATGAGGTATTATTCAATTAAAAATGCATATGTTGTATGTATTGCATGTGAAGTTTTTATCTATGGGTAGTTGTGATATAAATGTCTTTTATTTTATTTTATTTTATTTTATTTTATTTTATTTTATTTTCTGCTCTCTGTTTATTTCTGGTTTTCATTATTTTCCTGCAATGAGCATGCATTACCAGTGTAATAAAAATTTTCTGAGAAAATTGTTTTACAAAGGAAAAATAGAGCTCTAATATTTGTCTGAATTCATGATCCTTTATCTTTTTATGACAGCAAATCTCTGAGATTTATAACAAATACATGCAAAGTATCCAATTGAAAAGGCTTTTAATCTAAAACATTCAGACAAAATATAAGTAAAAATTGTGTATTTTTCCCTCTGCTCTTAGTTATTTATATTGATTGTGAAGACAGAAGTCATTTTTTAACATAACTAAATACCTAAGTAACTGAACATTTTGACAATTATGATAATTGTAATAATATTACAACAAATAGCTACCTTATATGCATATATTATGCAGACTCACAGTACCTGTACAATACAGAGTACCAAGTACTATGTATCTGTACAATACGTACATATAATTTCACTTACTTTTCTAAAGCTAAAGAGGCGGAGCTGGGATTCATTTTCAGGTTTTCTTGAAGTAGAAGCTATGAGTATAATTCAAAGGAATACTGACTTCACAGCTGTTGTGTTAGGTTGGTGCAAAAGTAATCGCGGCTTTTGCCATTAAAAGTCATGGCAAAAGTAGGATTACTTTTGCACAAACCTAATTAGATCATTCCCTTGAAGCCTAGGTATTTGTTACTTTACAAAAGTGGATCTCCATTTTAAGTGGCCCAATTGTGTGGGTGTAAAGAGAATTCCACCTTGTCCAAAGAAAAATAACTCAGTGACAACATTAAAGTCTTACTGGACAAGCATTTTTTCCCTTTGATACAAGAAATGGAGTCTCCTATTTAGATACACCTTTCTTAGACGAGTAATGTAGCAGAAAATGTCAGTGCTGGACTCACGTCCCTTCTAATCCCTCTTCCGCCCCAGATTCCTATGTACTTTGTACCCTTAAGAGCCAGTACATGTTATCTCTTTTTGGACACTGTCCTCAAGCTGTTATAGCTAATTTATCTTCACAAAGAGAGAACTGAAAGTACCTAGGAATTTACATACCCCCAGGAGCAGCCATTAACCAATAAATGACTGGCTTCTAGGGTATAACTTCTCCAGCTCCCGTGCTCCTAGTTGTGAGACAACTCTAGGTATGACCTGTATTCTCTCCAGAGCTATAGGATTGAATCAAATTTACCTTCTGTGGAACTTTGCTTGACAGTATACCGAGCTTGGCTACTATCTCTTCCCTGCCCCACTTCCCTCTTTTCCTTTGGGTTCTTTCTAAAAACTCATCTAATAAATCACTTGCAAAAAATTATACTTTCAGGTTCTGCCTCTTAAAAATTCAATTAATTAGAATTCCCAGCGGGCTCTAATCATGTGCTACTTTAGTTAAAATACCAACTGTAGGAAACCTTAAGTATTTCTTATTATAGTATTTTTATATAGGCTTTAGACACACATCCAAATGGAAGTCTAGAGAATTGAACATGAATGGCATATAAGACAAAAAAAAAAATTAGTAGTAGAACCATTGTGAAAAACCATGAATTGTGAACATATGTTGAGAACTTATTGCTCTGCAGAGCTACAATCACACCAGAATGATAGCAAAAGGCAAGAAACGCAAGAGACATGAGACTTAAAAGAGACAAGAAAATCTCACTAAGAAAGAAACTCCTCTAGAATTTTCTTTCTTTTTCTTTCTTTCTCTCTCTTCTTTCTTTCTTTCTTTCCTTCTCTCTTTCTTTCCTTTTTTTCTTCTTTCTCAATTGTGTTTGGAGTTGTAAGTCTGATAAAACATTCAATTAAGGAGAAGGTTATAAGATTCAGGGTACAGTACTGGGCTTTAAAAGTTATATTGTTCCATTTTGAAGATGGTTACAAGAATTAATGTCCTGGATTCTAAATCTGCAGAGGACATGTGTTTGCTTTTTTTTTTTTTTTTAACCTGCATTTTTATTTTCCTTACAAAGCCCAATCCTCCCCATCTCATTTCAGTTGGGCTGACCACACCTCTGGCATTAGGTGAGAGCACATAATTCAGGTCTTGCCATAAGAGGCTTGTAGGGCATAGCCACCTTGACTAGACAAACACGGGGATGAAGACAAACCAACCAGAGACAATTAGATTCAGTTCCAGGACTGCTTGCAGAATGGCTCTTGAAGAGGAGATCTCTTTCCACTGAGGTTTTTTGAGACAGTGAGGTATAAACGCCAAGATTCTAGTCAATAATTTTCCACCAAATAGAGAAAGCATCTCTGAAATCCGAAACTAACACAGAGGAAAGAAACTTGGAATTGTTCACACACCTAACTCAAGGCATGCTTGATGCCCACCCCCCGAAAAACAAACAAGCATCAACCTTTTTGAACGTTTCAGTTAGCCAATATATTATTTTTTTCTTAAGCCCATTTTGAGTCATTTTCCTGCTGTATTCATCCAGAACAGACCTGACAAATAGATTCTGAATGCCTCAGTTCAAATGCTAGCTAGGTTAGTTTCTATCTGTGTGATTGAATTACATGATATGGTGGATTCCTCCTGGCTATTATAGTGTGTGCTCTAGATATTTTAGAATCCTCACAGCAAGAAAAAACAACAAATTATCAAAAAATAATGATAAAAACCTTTTAAATAAGAAAAGTCTAATCAAATGCATTTTGCGGCAATAGTCTGTGTTAACAAAGTTTTTAATGGGAGAAAAGTGAAGCAGGTTTATACAATTTCACAGTTCCTAATTAAATGTTGAGATTTTTTTCAGCTCAGTTATATAACTGCTAAATCTGAATGCCATGTTCCTCTTGCTTATCATTGGTAATGTAAGGTACAGAGGCAGAAAGAATAAATGCAAAACACAGGTTATTTAAAAATATGTATGCATTTTAATGAGCAATTCCCACTTCATCCCAGAATTTT
Organism: Homo sapiens; assembly: GCF_000001405.40. Classification (NCBI taxonomy): domain Eukaryota; kingdom Metazoa; phylum Chordata; class Mammalia; order Primates; family Hominidae; genus Homo; species Homo sapiens. The sequence goes on along the minus strand of NC_000003.12, from coordinate 1,316,916 downwards.
TTATGAAGACACTAAATAAACTGCTTCAGATTTGACACCATTTCTCTTTTCTGAAGCCATCCTAAATGGACAGTGGGTGGGAAAAACTGGAATCAATGAAAAACAAAATTATTTTAGTAGCGAGCTTTAATGTTTTAATGTAAGCGTATTTTTCCAAGAGATACCATTCTGTGTTAATAATAATAATAACAATTACAATAAGGTTTACTAGTATAATACTATGTATGTAGTAAAGAGAGAAATGTGGCTCTCATCCTTAGCTAAATTTTGTTGCACATTTATAAGCAAGAATCTTCTTTACATAGTTTGGATCTGTGTCCCTGCCCAAATCTCATGTAAAAATGTAATCCCCAGTATTGAAGGTGGGGATCTGGTGGGAGGTGACTGGATTATGGGGGTGGATCATTCATTAATGGTTTAGCACTATCTCCGTGGTGCTGTTCTCATGATAGTGAGTGAGTTATTGTGAGATATGGTTGTTTAAAGGTGTGTAGCACCTTCCCTCTCTCTCTCTTCCTTCTGCTCCAGCCATGTAGGACATGCCTGCTTCCCCTTCACTTTCTACCATGATTGTAAGTTTCCTGAGGCCTCCCCAGAAGCAGAAGCTGTTATGCTTCCTGTACAGCCTGCAGAACTGTGAGCCAATTAAACCTCTTTTCTTTATAAATTGCCCAGTCCCTGTTATTTCTTTATAGCAGTGCAAGAATAGATTAATACGCCTCTCATTTATAGCATGGTAATTAGTAATAGTACACAATTCATAGGCTTATTTTGAGGATTAAGATAATTCATGTCACATGCTTACCATACTGCCTAGCACCTATTAAACAATATGTTTGAGTGTTCAATTAATAAAAATATTTTAAGATTATTATAATGTGATTACTATCATTTCAAAACCAGGAATCCTAATTCACATGTATTTGTCTTTTACTCTCTGTTAAGGGATCCATATGACTACGCATTTGATACAAACTGATTTACGAATCATTTATACACTGAAATCAGATCTCCACACTATGAATGAAACGGCTACACAAGCATGAGTGTGTGTAAATTTCCTGCATCTCACCATTTAATGTCCTAGCTGCTATGGAGATACAACCTTGATCATAGTAGTCATGTTCACTTCATCATGACAAGGGCAGGAATCTTTCAGGTGAGACATGGATGTGTGGGTGTGGAGGACCTTTTTCTTTAACGTGGTTAATCATCTAGTACCATTTCAGTAGGGAAGAAAGCAATCAGACAGTGCTCTCCAAACTGAAGGAAATGGTATAGGAAAATTAGATATTTTAAAATAATATTAATAATCATTAACTGAGTGCTTACTATGTACCAGGCATTGTGACAGATGGCTTCCATATGCCATCTGAGCTAAATACCCAGCTTGCAGCTGCTAACAATGCTAATTAACTTTTTGGAATGATACTCACCTTTAGATGGGTAATTTCAACTAAATTATTACCTGCCAGTTCTCCTCCACTTAGAGTTCCAGAGCACGCTAATTTATTGTGATCTACCTTCTAATTCCTTTGAGTTGCCACCCACTAAATTAAAAGCACTAATAGACTGTTTCTCCTACTGTGGCTTCAGCATTCTTTTTAGACTCTGTGTAGTTTGTCCATGTTGATACTAGCAATGCAGTATTTACTAGGAGTTCGTTTTGCTTCAAGATAAATGATCTCTTTAAAATGAAAAGTTAATATATTAATCAGATAAAGAACACCATGGAGGAAGGTGGATCTTTGAAGGGGTCTTCAGAATGGAGATTATCGTTAAATCTCTTGAAACTGATGTTACAGAGTCAAAACAAATGGTGCCATTATCATTTTAACTACAGATATCAGTCGTTTCTGGCAACATTTCCCTTTAAACTCCAATTTTACACTTCTCCCCTCTCTCTTTTTACAAAAATTGAGCTTGGATGCAAATCTCAATAAAGAAAACCAATATGAAGCAATTCTCTTATTCAAAGATTCCTCAGACCATAGATGAGGGATTCTTGAACCTTGTATTTCAAAAGGAGCATTGCAAAAGCCTTTTCTTATTTTGTTCCTATTTTCTAAATGAAGGTTGCCTGAAATGTGATTCTTCACAATTGTGAAATACTACTAGATGATAAAAGCAAAGTTTTTCTTTTTTCTTTTCCTCTGCTGTGGTTTCGTGCTTCTGGAATACGCATTGCCATAAATATGGACTTTTACTTCATCCTGTCATGTCTTTATGCTTTTACAAAGGGAGCATCCTATTAATTTTATCTGAAGACAGAGAATACACTTCTTAACCATCTGACCTAGTTCATCCTGATTTCGAGTTAAATTAAAGCTCTACATACACTAGTAGAAGCACACTGTGCCTCAATTCTATACCTTTAGCCCATAAATAGAATTTTTATTACTAGTGCTATTTGAGAAAGCTTGTATTTCTCCCCTGGATTTCTTAAACCTCATTATCTACAGCTTAAATCCAAGCCATACTAAGTTTTTAACTAAAGACTGGTACAGAGAATGAGTTTCTTAAGATGCTTGTATTTGGGATTATTAACTTGAACCTCATTTCAGGAAATCCTGTCAGTGGGCCAGTTTTAATCAAAGAGAGTGAAGCAGAATAACAAAACCAGCAAAGAATGCCTTTGCTACATTTTCAGACTGTTCAGCTAGCTGCTTTCATTTCCCCAATTTGAAATATTCATACAAAGAGCTTGGAATGTAAGATTGTCCTATGGCAATACAATATGGATAAATTCATGAGTTCTGTAGAAAAGCAATCTCACTGTTACGGAAAAAGAGAAAACATTTTTATTTTACTCTGAGTGGTGTAAATGGAGTCATGATTCTGTCCTTGCAGTCAGTCCCTACTAGGAAATGAATGTTTGTGTCCTCCCCAAATTTATAGGTTGGAAACCTAACCCCTAAGGTGATAGTATTAGGAGGTGGGACTATGACATGAAGATAGAGCCTTCATAGTGGGATTAGTGTTCTTATAAAATAGATCGGAGGGAGCTTGTTTTTCTCTTCCACCATGCGAGGACACAGCTAGATGAACCAGAGATCAGCCCTCACCAGACATCTCACCAAACACTAAGTCTGCTGTTGCCTTGATCATGGACTTCCCAGCCTCCAGAACTTGTGAACAACAAATTTCTGTTGTTCACAAGCCAATTCCTGTTGTTTACAAGTCTACAGTATTTTGTGATGGCAGCCCAATGGGAATAAGATGATGCCTATATCAGCTTTCCCTTGGGGAGGACATCTTTGAAAAGCCACAAATGGTTTGTTTATAATAGCAGTGGTAACAGAATGGCACCTGCAGTTGGGGGAAAAAAAAGGACGCAGGCAAATTTTATAGAGCTGAATACAAGTTACCTAACCTCTCTGAGACTCAGTGTTCTCTTTACATTAACTAGAAATAAGAATGAGTACACAGGAAGAGCAAATGAGGAAATATCCATGAGAGTACATTCTAAAATACAATGTTTGAAGCATAAATAAGGCTTAGTAAATTGCCTTAATACCAAGATTATGAACAGAGACATGAAAGGACCATTGTCCAAAGATTCTCTAAGAATTTTACTACCAATTTCTACTCCTTTTAATGTAAATAATATGAATACTAATCTGCACATGAAACATGAATTGAAGCCCACTATTTCAAGATGTGGTAGAGCTGAATATGATACTGCACTTAGCAGTTCACTAACAGCTTGTCTATAATTTTTTATTAATAAATAATACTAAGCCTCGATAAATACCTCTGCTGCTCTTAGGAGAGAAAATGATAATTTGGTATAGGTAGGTGGGCCTTGTGTTACCTCAAATTTATTCCGTTTGATCTTGTCTCAGTTTGGAATCATAAATTTTCATATAAAGAAGTAAAGAGACTGAAATGGCATATTAACAGTTTATCATTTTATCATTATTTAACATGAATTGAGCACATATTATATGTTAGCTCCATGCTAAGTATTTTCTTTAAATCATGCTATAGCACTATCAAACATACGATTACAGTTGTTCACATTTTGTAGATGAACAAATTGGGATTAGGATAGTTTGGGTAATATGCCCAACATCATACAGTAAATTAAAAAAAAAAAAAAAAGGATTTGAACCAAAGTCTGTCTTTCCACAGACATGGAGCTCTAAATCACCATGCTTTGCTCCCCCTGCATGAATTAACCAGGTACAAAATGAGAGCAAACCTTATTAGGGTGTATAACATGTGCTTAGCAATACATTCTTCACCTAAGGAACTAATGTGTCTTGCAACCAGTCAATAGATGCTTTTTTTTTTTTTTTTGTATAAGAGGCAAAAGGTGAAATCACGGAGACTATCTTTTTAAAACATATTGAGATGCCTCCAAATTTGAGTAGAAGCTTAGAGATGGGCTCCAAGGTCAGCTGGAAAATAGGAAACAAACAACTTATTATTTTTCCTGAGCCCAGTTCCAACTTAGATTTGAAATCCTTCTCTACTGTAAACTGCCAATTACTTAAAAGTAAGAACTGTGGGTCTCCTGAGAGAGGTGGTGATAGACTGGGATGGAAAGGATGATGAGTTGCTTCCAGAAATATACATATACATATATATATATTCTTCTTGGATGATTTTTAAGAACCTTTAAATTAGTTTAATTTTAGAAACAGCACTGTAACAATCCACTCTATGCTCCTTGAAAAAAAAATTTTCAAAAACTATATGGAAAGGAATGTTTGACATTAGATTCGGAGTGTGTCTTTAAGATTAAAAGAGGCCAACTTTTAGGGCAGGTCCCTGGTCTTTGACAGTGGCCCCTCTATAATCTTTCTTGAGAAACTGGCAAGATATTTAGAAATCGTAGTATTTTACATAGTGTTCCATTTACCAATAATCCTAATTTTCTAAAAATATACTTAGGAAGTTTACATGAACGTAAGCAAAATACAGCCACAAGAATATTCATTACATTATTATTCATGATTACAAAAAATTGGAAACAAAATTGATGGAAACTAAATGTCCACCAATAGGAGATTGGCTATAAATATATATTGAAATATCTCATTGTCATTACAAATGAGGGTGCAGAGGACTGTTTAATGACTTGCATATATGTTCATGGTATATTTTTAAGAATTAAAAAAATTTACAAACAAATATGCAGTGTATTATACTAATTATGTTAAAAGTAGAATAAAGACAGGAAGGATATATGTATACTGAAATAAGAGTAGTTATCCTTTGGGGGAGAAATTAAGTATAAAAAGGATTTTATTGTCTCCTTTTTTCTTGCCTATATTTTCAGAATTTTCTTAAATGAGTATATCTGACTTTTTCAAACTTTATATATACATATATGTGTATATAAAGATATTTTATATACACATAGACATTTATATGTACATATATGTACATATAAAGACATTTTATATGTACATATATGTACATATAAAGACATTTTATATGTACATATATGTACATATAAAGACATTTTATATGTACATATATGTACATATAAAGACATTTTATATGTACATATATGTACATATAAAGACATTTTATATGTACATATATGTACATATAAAGACATTTTATATGTACATATATGTATATATACATTTTATATGTACATATACGTATATGTATATATAAATATGTATGTATATATACACATATACAAATATATATGTGTATATATACACATATATGTACATATAAAGACATTTTATATATACAACACCTATATATATAAAGACATTTTATATATACACCTATGTATATATAAAGACATTTTATATATACATACACCTATGTATATATAAAAACCTAAGTATGTATTTGTTTTGCTTTAAGCAAAGGAAGTAACTCTTCCTAATCTCCTTGCTTGTTTCCTTGCCTGCCCTCAGCTCTCATTTCAAATTCACTTCTAGAACTCTGGTTCTCCTGCTCGTTTTTGTCCTTTGGGAACTGCAATGGCACAATCTCAGCTCACAGCAACTTCTGCCTCCCGGGTTCAAGCGATTCTCCTGCTTCAGCCACCTGAGTAGCTGGGATTACAGGTGTGCACCACCACACCCAGCTGATTTTGTATTTTTAGTAGAGATGGGGTTTCTCCATATTGGGCAGGCTAGTCTCAAACTCCTGACCTCAGGCGATCTGCCCGCCTCAGCCTCCCAAAGTCCTGGGATTACAGGCATGAGCCACTGCGCCTGGCCTCTATTTTTTCTTGATGTACATACATTTCTTCTTTATGTACATAATCTCTTCTAGAAAATGGAAGCAGAGAGAATATTTTTAAATTCACTCTATGAGGCCAAATTACCATAATGCCAAAATAAGATAAAGACATTTCAAGAAAGTAAAACTGCAGACCAGTATCTTTCATTAATACAAATGGAAAAATCCTCAACAAATATTAGCAAATTGTGTCCAGCAACAATTAAAAAGACTTATGCACCACAACAAAATAGGACTTGTCTTGGGTATGCAGGACTGATGGTTCAATATTAGAAAATTAATTCATGAAATCCACTAATGAATAGAAGAAAAATCACATGATCATATCAACTGGTGCCAAAAAAAGCATTTGGAAAAATGCAACACCTATCCAAAATAAAAATTCTCAATGAACTAGGAATGGAGAGGAAGCTCCCCAACTTGATAAAAATGTCTGCCAAAAAATGTAGCACTAGCATCCTACTTAATGGTGAGAAATTGGATGCTTTCATTTTGGATAGCGGAAAAAGGCAAGCATGTTTACTCTTATCACTCACTGTCATCATTGTATTGGAAATCCTAGCTGGTGCAATAATACAAGAAAAGGCAAAAAAAATGTATATAGATTGAAAAGAAGGAAATAATACTTGTTCCCAGGCAGCAATGAAAAATCCCCAAGAATTAACAAAAAATAACTCCAGCACTAATAAGTGCTTATAGCAAGGCAACAAGATACAATGTTAATATATCAAAGTCAGTTAACTTTTGTTTATACCAGTAGTTAACAAATGGAATTTGAATTCCACAATTAACATACAATGCCATTTATATTAGCACTAAAACATGAAATTCTAGGGTTTATATAAAATAGTATTTCAGAATTTACATGCAGAAAACTATACAATCTCATAAAATCAATTAAAAGAGATCGAAATAAGCGGAGAAATAGTCTGTGTTCATGGATGAAAAGACTCAACACTGTCAGTGTGTCAAGTCTTCCCAACTTGATCAATAGATTTAAGTCAATCCCAATCAAAACCCCAATTGCTATTTCATGGATATAGACAAAATGATTCTAAGTTTGTATGGAAAGACAAGGAAAGCAAAACAAAACAAAATAGCCAACACAATGCTGAAGAAGAAGAATAAAGTTGGAGTACTGACATTACCTGACTTCAGGATTTACCGTAAAGCTACAGTAATTGAGGCAATGTGGTAATGGCAAAAGAATAGACAGAGCAATGGAACAAAAGAGATCCCGGTAATAGACCTATACAAATACAGTCAGCATATCTTTGACAAAGGAGCAAACGCAATACAGTGGAGAAAAATTTGTCTTTTTAACAGATACTGGAACGATTGGAAGTCCATATGTTATAAAATGAATAGACCCAGAAGTCATATCTTTCACAAAAATTAATGCAAAATGGACCATCAATGAAAATGCAAAACATAAAGCTATAATAGCTCTAGAAGATGACAGAGGAGAATATCTAGGTAACCTTGGATATAGTGATGAGTTTTTGTATTTAATGCCAAAAACACCGTTTATTGGAAAAAAAATTGATAACCTGCACATCATTAAAATAAAAACCTTGTGCTTTGTTAAGGACATTGTTAAGGAAATGCAAAGACAAGTCACAGACTGGGAGAAAATATTGGCAAAACGCATATCTGATAAAAGGCTTATGTTCAAAATATGCAAAGAATTCTTAAAGCTCATCAATAAGAAAATAAACATACCAATTAAAAATGTAGAAAAGATATAAGCAGACGTCTTACTAAAGAAGATAAATAGATAGCAAATAATCACATTAAAAGATGTTCACATCCTTTGCCGTTAGAGAATTACCAATTAAAACAACAAGGAAATACCACTATACACCTGTAAGAATGGCTAAAAAACAAAACAAAACAAAAACACACACAATATCAAATGCTGGTGTAGATTAAGAGAAATCAAAATTCTAATTTATTACTGGTGGTATTGCAAAATGGGACAGCACTGTGTGGAGTGGAAAGGTACTGATCAGTAAGTGGAGGAGAGCAGAGTGATCCATGTGGTAATGGATTAGAGTCGGAGACAACAACAAGATCATATGTTTAATTTAACATAATACAAATAGCTGTATGTAGAAATACTTATAGATATATGTACATAATAATTAGTATAGACACACATACTTCTTTTCTCTGTCATCTGAGAGCGCCTAAATAAATGACACTCCAGCAGCAACAAGCACACCTAGTACCCAGATATTGGTTTCTGATGTCATTCTTCAATAACAAGACCCTATCCTTGGAGACATGACTGCTTCTATGACTAGGGCATGAAACATACAAGATGAACCTGGAACATCTTTAATGCCAGTAAATAAGAAAGTGCTAACAGGTGCACACACACACACACACACACACACACACACACACAAAACACCCCATACATTGATGAGTGCATAACAAAGGGCACAAGATCCAACTTAAAAGTCTCCCAATGGCAAAAGCTAAAACAATTTGAGCAGCAAAATAAACAAAGTAGCACAGAATTACAACCCAAAGTCTAAAATAATTATATGTGAGTCAGTACTGACAGAAGTAAATTATTAAATATTAATAAATGAGGAAGAAGTGACACATTTCACAGGTAGAAGAATTCTATAGTCTCATTATTCTGCAGAAGGTGAAGCACAACACTCTATTCATCAAATGTGGACTACACATAGTCACCCATTTCCAAAGAGTCAGTATGGAGTGGGAGAAAAGAGTAATTTTACAGTGGAGAACCCTGATAAAAAGTATTTCAGCCAGGTAATCAAGGCCAGCATCATCTGTCATAAATCATTATGATAAAGTTAACCTTGATATGTAATGAAAATTGTTCCTTACCTTTATGTTCTTCCTCTCCAAAACTTGTAACCCCAGTCTAATTATGACAAATACAGACACATTCTAACAGAGGGGCAGCCTACAATAAACTGACCACCACCCCTCAAAACTGTCAGGGACATCAAACACAAGAAATGTCTGAGATTCTGCTACAGACAAGAGAAGACTAATGAGACAAGAAAACTCGATGTAATATGGTATTCTGGATGGAATCTTGGAATAGAAGGGCATAAATACCAAATAAATTTGAATAAAATATGGACTTTATAATAATCAGACATCAGTATTGGCTGGTTAATTGTAACAAATGCATCATAATAACGTAAGATGTTAGTAACAAGGGAAATTGTGTGTGGGGGGGTTATATTGGACCTCTCTGTACTATCCGTTCAATATTTCTGTTCTAAAACTATTCTTTAAAATCCATTAGTTAAAAAATGTATTTATGAACAGAGGGGAAAAAAGGAAGAAATAATTTTCCATTTCTCAGAAATACAAGAAACCCTTAAATAATAGCCTAAAATTAGCTCTGCTAAAGAAATGACAGTGACCCTCTCCAGTCTCTATTTGATAAAGGGCAGCGTGGGAAAAAGATAATCAGTAAAGCTCCCAAAGTGAGGATCCTTGACTCTTCCTTCACTGAAAGTCTGGAAGGAAAGAGCTGATCCCAAGAGAATGTGTGATTGCACATTGTTACATCAATCTTATTTTCATTAGCCTGCAACCTCCCCGGGGCCTTTATGTAATCTTCTTTATCTCCCAGGGCCAAGTGTCTGTCCTTTGGAGAATCCCTCCTGACTGACTACCTAAATGAAGAAATGAAGGAATTAATGATGGAATGAGGTATTCAATACATATTTGCTAAGTGAATGAATAATTTGTGCTCAATTTGTCAAATGAGTGAGTGAGGAAACGTCAGTAACTCTTAGAAAGATTGAACAGAATTTAAAATGATAAATCTATTCTTCTGGGGAAGTCCCTTAACACAAAAATATAATACAGAAACCACTTCGCTCCTTCTTACATGTTCCTTTTTACCTCCTCAGTCAAAGCAGCTTTGACAATTCCCAGGATTAATAAAGTAGTTACTATTTAATGCCTATTATGGGTCAGGAAATTTAGTAAGTGAGCTTAATAGTATTTCCAGTCCTTACAAACATTCTGCTGTATCTATTTATTCTCTCTCTATCATTTTTGCCTTCCTTATACAGATAAGAAAACTGACCAAAGTCATCCAGCTATTGACAAGTGAAGTTAAGACTCCAATCCTGCTCTATTTGAACTTAAAGTCCACACTTTTCAGCATACCATTTGCCTTCAAATGCTAGTAAATTCACTGATAAATTATTTATTGCTAGGTTGAGCGCTTGTTTATGTGAGAGTGTAGTGGGTTTAATGTTATCTTTCAATTTCTGAATAATTGGCTTGAAGATTTTTTAGTTCTCAGATTTGTGAGCATGGTCAACAGAGGTGAGTGTTCTATAGAGTTTACTTGATTATTTTATGCCAAGCAATACCACGTCATGTTAAAAAAAAGTTATTGATAATATCGTGTTATAGAAAAAGCCATTAGCAAGAATCTAAAGATTAGGTTTCAGTATACATTTCTGGAGTGAATGGGGTAAACTATGCCTAGGAAGAGATTCTGTTCTCTATCTGCTCAACTCAATGAGGGGAAACAAAAGGTAAACAATTTTTTAGACATCCAGTTTCAAAATCATTAAGATACCTGAGTGATTAATTCAATAAACCAAAAATAATCGCTAAGGAACTGAAAAATTTCAGTGTGCCTAGCTTGATTTAAAAATGTTATTTTCATCTTAAGTGACTTGAAAAATCTTTCTGCAGTATAATCTGCAATGATGTCCACATTAGTAAGACGAAAAGCAAACACTATAAGAAATAGCTCCTCTGTCACCTGAAAATTCTGGAACACCTAACAACATCATGGTGAGACTTCAGATTTGTTGCTTGACATTAATAGCCAAGCTGGGTATCTTTAGCTTCATAAATTAGAAAAAAAAATAAGTTATACATGTACACATAAATATAGTCCTCTGTGTGAAGGCTTCAGAACACACAGGAACGTTCAGTGCTGCTACTAATGTTATTTACATTCCAGAACACTGACAGAAAAGGTACTAAATTAAGATTTTTTTAAAAAAAGGAAAATATGTTTGGTTGTTTATAAAAGCAGTAGAATAGAGTTATGGGGGATATCAGTTTAATTTCTTCACTCAGCAAGAGCCCATATTTTTTTCAAAGGAGACGTACATATCTATCAGTCAATCATACTACATTTGCATAGCACCTATACAAGGAGCTTCTCAGGGTATTTCACAATACAATTAATTTGCAGCTTTCATAATTAAGAGTCCACCATGTTAAACAAATGAGACAAAGCTGAGAGTTGAAAGCTGTGATCATGTCAGCTCTGAAACTCCAACAAAGGAAGTCAGTTACATATCCCCAAAGTCATAGCAATTAAAGTTAAGACAATTACTTGAAGCTTTGTCTTAATTATTCTATACTCACACTAGCTTATAGTGGTTTAAGATTGTTAGATTATATGAGTAAACACTTCACCTGTTCTTCTCTAGACCTCACTTTTTATACATTCTGTCTGCATGATGGTATCCGTGACAGAAGCTATGTTTTCTGAGTGCTACCTAATCAGGTATACCAGACTTTTAGAAATGGTGTACATTGCCATCATCATCTATAAAATAATAAGGTGTATAAACCTGATTTTTGATGTTTTTGAAAACACTTTTTTCTTCTCATTAAAACACAGCTTGAATTTTTACAAGTTTATCTTTTGAATTTTGTTTTTTTTTTTTTTTTTGACAGAGTCTCATTCTGTCTTTAGGCTGGAGTGCAGCAGCACGATCTCAGCTCACTGCAACTTCCACCCTCTGAGTTCAAGCAATTCTCCTGCCTCAGCCTCCCGAGCTGGGATTACAGGTGTCTGCCACTGCACCCGGCTAATTTTTTGTATTTTTTGTAGATAAGGGGGTTTCACCTTCTTGGCCAGGCTGGTCTTGAACTCCTGACCTCGTGATCCACCCACCTCGGCCTCCCAAAGTGCTGGGATTACAGGCGTGAGCCACTGCGCCCGGCCAAGGGTTATTTTTAATATATAAAATTAAAACTTACTTGTTGCTGGAATATTAGTTATTATAGATAATATAAATGGGAAATATATCTATAATTCCATTCCCTAGATAAAGCATTTTTTAACATTTTGCTGAATTCTTTCAAGCCTTTTTCTTGTAAAATATTTACATAATTGAGGGTCATACTACATCTGCACATGGAGGATTAAGTAAGTCAGATACTTAGAAGTTAATTCAATATAAATATGAAAGTGTTATAAGCATGAGTTTTGAAGTCAGAATCTATGAGATGTAGATTTGAATCCCAGATATGCAACTTATGCAACTTACATTGGTTAAGTCACTTAATTTATCTAAGCCTCACTGTATTTACCTCCGTAATTAGTATTTCAAAAACAGTGAAAAACTAGACAAATATATGGAAAAAAAAAACCTCTTTCTGGAACTTGAACAATTGGCAACACAAAAGTATGATCCTGAAAGAGGGGAAATAAATGAAGTAAGGTTTTGGTAGCCCTTATTTTCTGTGTAGAGATGCTTTCCATCCAGATCAGGGAGTAGGTAGGGGAGACATAAGTAGTAAAGTACTGTGTCACTAAGCTGAGAAGACAAAGATAAGATTTGGAGAGGCTGAAGTGGCTGGAATTGCAGAGCACAGTGTTAGAAAGAATGGCATTACTCAAATAATGTGCTCTGAAGATCTGCATAGGAGTGTCACATGAGGCTGGGCAAAGAATAATTTTCAGAGCTCAAATAGGCCTGGAAGACATGAGAGCTCCACTATGCCAGAGAAGAAAAACTTGGTGAACATTTGAAGCATTCAGTTGGGGATTTCATTTTAGTAGTAAACCAGCCTTAATAACCACAGAAAACTCGAGGATTCACAGTAGTATAACAACTGCCTATCAAAATAAAGTTCAAAAAGCTTTTTAATAAATACACCACAATTTAGCATTCAACAACAAGACATTTATGGTGTCTACTATTCAATCTTAAATTACTAGATATCCAAACAAGCAAAAAAATGAGAACTGTGACTAGGAGAAAAAGCAGCCAATAGAAACAGACCCACAAATAACTGAGATGATAGAATTAGCAAGCGAGGACTTATTTAGGGCTCCTATATAATTACAGTGCAGAGAATTACAGCTGAAATAACGGCAAGCTTTAGATGCTATTTAGGAAAGAGTCTCTAGGGAAACCCAAGGGCAAGAGTGGAGATAAAAGCAAAGGTACTAGCTAAAATTTAACCTCTGATACCACAGCTAGAGCCAACAGTAATTACAGTCTAACCCTAGCTAGAAAAACATAAAACCTCACGCTAAAAGTTTAGTTATTGAAGTTCCTTTAATCTGATATAATAATGACCAGGATTCAAAAAAAAGTGCAAAGCCTGCTAAAAAACAGTCTGAAGAGACAAAACAACCATGATAACTAGACTCAAATACAATGAAACTTTTAGGACTATCAGGCTGAGGATTTAAAATTGAACAGTTATCAGACTGTAATTTTGAATTACTATAATTAATATATTAAGTGCTATAATAAAAAAGTGAACAGCATACAAGAACAAATGGATAATGTAAGCACAGAGAAGAAAACTCTAAGAAAGGATCAAAAGGAAATGCTGGAAATAAAATAAGTTATAACACAAATGAGGGATGGCTTTGATGGGCTCACCAGTAGACTGAACATAGCTAAGGGGGGAAGTAAATGAATGACAAGCAGTATCAATAGAACCTCCCAAACTGAGATGCAAAGATAAAAATAAAAATTTTAAAAAGATTAAGAACTTGGACAGAAGGGAGATTACAAATGGCATAAAAGATAATGTAAAACAAATACTAAAAGGAGAAAAAAACAAACAAATAAATGTTTGAAGTAATCATGCCTGAATAGTTTTCAAAAATAATGACAAACACCAAACCATAGACTCAGGAATTTCAGAGAAAACAAAGCAAGATAAATAAATAACAAAAATAATCTACAACCTCAAGAGAAAAAATATTCCCAGTGATAGGGGGTGATATTTCCTAGTTATGTGAGCACATGTATGGGGTACATTAAACAAACATTTAACAAAAGCCAATTTTTATATCAGAAGCTCTCTTATGACCTAAAAATAAAAAATGTAATAAGATCTGGCACTGGAGCTGGTCTTTCTATATTTTCATTTCTTTTTCCTTCTACCCACCTATTGATTTCCTTCCTCCCTCTTCTCTCTCTCTTTCCCCCATCTATTAAAATATATACATCTTAGTCTAATAAATGTGTAGTCTATAGCTTAAATAGCAGTCAATGAATAGTAATGTAATAAGAAAAAAATATTTGATTTTATTCCTCAAGTCAACTAGCTTTTCTCAGTTTTGAGGTTATGCAACATCTTACAAAAGAGTAAAGTACATCACAAAGTAGACAGGAAGATTTAGAAGGATTAGTAAAAGGGAGTCCCCACATTTGGGGAAAAAAATGACTAAAACCAAATGCTGCACAGCAATATTTTTATGAAGAGATGTTAGAGAATATGATTTATAATAAACAATAGACTTTATAAAAACACTTGGCAACAAACTTACAAATACAGATTTATAATTTTGAAGATAAGACGTTTGACTTTTTATTTTCAGATTGTTAATTATATACCTATAACATAATTAATCTTCTAGTGAGTGTGTCGCCTTTTATGCTTGTTAATTTTATATATTTAGAAGACAATATGGCATTTGCTAAATACCTTAATTTATAATGGACTCAAAGGCATTTTCAGTATGTTTGCAATGTGTCAAAGATAATTTAATTTGTTTTCTGAAAACTATTGGCAAGCATATATAAAATTCTTTTTGGTAGTAACTCACATTTGTAAGTTTTCCAAAGTAGTCAAAGTATTTTCACATACATTTCGTTGTTTTGAAGAAATGAGAAATGTATCTGCACTCCAACTACACAAAATGTAAGATTGTTATACAGGGCATCTTAACGCTACCGCTTTGACCGAGCAGATGCTTCAGACTTTCCATTTTTACCACAAGGTATTTCAATTCTATATTAATGCCTTCATTTAATAAACATAATCTCAACATTGATTAATTTTGTTAGATAACAATTTAGGGAGTGTACTCTATTAAATCAAGAATTTCCTTGACAATTTTCTATGAGGTATGGTTTGGTAATTTATATTATTTTCCTATTCCCATTTAACATTATTTCATGTTCAACGGTTATTTCCTGCATAAACTTAACCAACATGATTTATTTATCAGGGGGTTTCTTTTGTACATACACATCAGATTTTACATTTTGAGAGTTTTTTAAACTATTAATTTTCCAACTCAAATTTTTCTGGGTCAAATATTGCTAGTTTAATTTTTGTCAAAAGTTTAGGAGCCGGGCACAGTGGCTCACGCTTGTAATACCAGCACTTTGGGAGGCCAAGATGGGTGGAGCAGGAGGTCAGGAGTTAGAGACAAGCCTGGCCAACACAGTGAAACTCCGCCTCTACTATAAATACAAAAATTAGCTGGGTGTGGTGGCAGGTGCCTGTAATTCCAGCTACTCTGGAGGCTGAGGCAGGAGAATCACTTGAACCGGGGACGCGGAGGTTGCAGTGAGCCGAGATCGTGCCATTGCACTCCAGCCTGGGCGACAGAGTTAGACTCCGTCTCAAAAAAAAAAAAAAAAAAAAAAAAAAAAAAGTTTAGGGACTCCTGTATTATAAATTTTACCTTTTGCAATTTAATAATACGTTGATTATTTCCATCACCATGGAGTTAATAGAAAATAAGACACTGCTTTATTTATTTTTAAATTATTCCACATACCTCATATATCCCAAGCTTCATTTTTCCTGATTAGATCTTACCATGTATCTGGTTAAATATATTTGTGTGTGGAGAAAGAAAGAGAGAGAGGGGGAGAGAGAGAGAGAAAGGGAATGTAGCACAGGTTTACACTTGGTCAATTCAGATAGAGTATATGATGTCCGTGTGTTACTCTTTCAACTTTTCTATAGGTTTGAATAATATAAAAATAAATAAATTTAAGAAACTGGTATGTGAGCAGTTCAAAGACTATATTGATCATGTTATCTCTCCTTTTCTTCCTTTCTTTCTCTCTTTCTTTCTTTCTTTCTTTCTTTCTTTCTTTCTTTCTTTCTTTCTTTTTCTTTCTCTTTCTTTCTCTCTCTTTCTTTATCTTTCTTTCTTTCTTTCTCTTTCTTTTCTTTTTCCTTCCTTCCTTCCTTCCTTCCTTCCTTCCTTCCTTCCTTCCTGAACTGACCCTAATTGCTCCTTTCTCTCTTATACTGTCATCAATCCTGAGACAGAGAGAACAGGACTGGGCTGGGAAAGATGAGAATTCATACCCCCTCTGAGACACCTACTCTCCCTTGGGCATCCTCACTAATTCAAACATTGCTTATATAAAAGCAGAATGCGGTCGGCGCAGTGGCTCACGCCTGTCATCCCAGCACTTAGGAAGGCTGAGTCGGGCGGATCACGAGGTCAGCAGATCGAGACCATCCTGGCTAACGTGCTGAAACCCCATCTCTACTAAAAATACCAAAAAAAAATTACAATTAGCTTAGCGTGGTGGCGGGCACCTGTAGTCCCAGCTACTTGGGAGGCTGAGGCAGGAGAATGGCGGGAACCCGGGTGGCAGAGCTTGCAGTGAGCTGAGATCAAGCCACTGCACTCCAGCCTGAGCAACAGAGCAAGACTCCGTCTCAAAAAAAAAAGTAGAATGAAATTTGGATTTTGGTTTTAGAATAATTCAGTGAGCATTTATTACATAAATGCCAAGTCTTAATGTTTTAACATGTATTATCCATTCTAATCTTCACAACAAACATACAAGGTGGAATCATCATAACTCCTTTCAGATGAAAATATGGTAATTCATAGAGATTATAAGCACGTTTGCTAACAATCAAATAACTCTTCAGAAAATTGGGAATTGAATCTGTCTCCCAGGATTTCAAAAGCAGTTCTCTTACTATTTACTTAGAAGTTCCTAAATTCAGAATTTAAAATCAGGTGGGCCTGGGTTTGAATTGCTTGCTTCCTCTGAATAGAAACATAAGATTGAACAGGTTACTTCTCCAATCTGAGCTTCAGTTTCTCATATGTAATGAAAACGTAACTTGCCCTGCAAGATTATGACAATTATATATATTGTATCATAAATGCTTAGTTATAGGTGCTTAGCAAATGAAATTATTTTCATTAGATTCTTGAGAAATAGCCTCAACATTTTCAATTATTTTATTGTGGAAGACCATTTTTTAATTTCAGGAATCTATATTTCCTGATGCCAAATATGATTAAATAAGCTATTAATATTCTTTTCAGATACTCTCTTTCATTGGTTTTCTTTTAAAATTAATTATCTAATTATCAAAGAATTTGATGACATTTAATATTTTTATAAACCTTAACTTCTGAAAAAGCCTGAAAATGGTGAAAGTTCATTATGTCTTAAAAGGCAGACAATTAAAAACTGATGTAAAGCCCCTATTTGTCACTTTCTTAAGAATCATTTAATCAATCAATAATTATTTATTTGATAAATGCTATGAGACCCATACTCTATGAAAATAAAATACGGTCTCTTAAATCCATGAGAAATGACTATTCTGAGAAATTTCATTCAAAGATATGCAAAACTCCATCTATAGAAAACAAACTAAGATTTAGTAACCACCATTATTTGGATTGCTGAGTATGTTTAACTTAATAATATGACTGAGACATTTAAGGATGTTTTCTAGAATTTGGAGACTAAGTCACTATTTCTAAATGTGAGGGCCACATTAGGAATAGACTTTGGATTTAGAGGTAAGCCCTCCGAGCTTACCTCTGAGTCAGTCAAGTCTTTTACTATTCAAAGTATGTTCTGTTTACAAGAAGCATGACTAATATATGGGAGCTTTTTAGAAATGGAGGAATCAAACATCACCCTAGACCTCTAGAGTCAGAATATGAATTTAACCATGTCCCCAGGTAACTCACATGCATATTAACATTTGAAAATGACAGTCTAGTCTATCTGTCTCCTTCTTTTTTTCTGGTGTTTATAGGCACAAAAATGAAATTTGTATACCTCCAAAAAGCAAAGAGGGGTTCTAGATATCCCATGCAAAAATGTAGGTATTTTCCTGGCTTAAAAGTATTCCAAACCTGTTCCTAATAAATACTTATCTGAGTAAAACAAAATGCCTCCACTATCAGGGAAGGTTGGGCTCAATTCTAATTACCCACTATGAACAATGGACTTTAATTAGTCTTATTTTGGAAACAAGCAGTGGTTTTTTATTTATCAGAATTGTTGGTTAATTAAGCAAGGAAATACTCCAGGCAATGTATTTCTGGATGTAGGACAAGATGGAGTGAAGGATATGTGGAAGGTTTAGTGACTTGCCCATCATCTTATACGAGTGCACTTATTCCCTTGCAATGTGCTGCCTAAATGGGTCTCATTATGCTTAAACTAAGGAAATATCAGCACCTGTAGGGAAGAATTGCAGCCCTGATCATTTTCAGTTACAGGCCTGGTCATTGTCTCAGTATTAGACATGTTTGTTTAAATTCAAATCAGAAAGTTCCACTGTTGCCCAGCATTTGAAATCTACTTGGTAATTTACCTTAGAGCAATATATGAATAACAAAAAGGTTTTTAATAAAAAAAAATTAATGCAACCAGGAAAACAAAAACAAAAACAAAAACCTTACTTTCCAAGGGCAAAACATTCCAGTTTTACAGATGAATCCTTTGCAGCTTGTATAGTTTCAGGAAAACGCACTTCAATCTTTGGTTCATATTCCCCCATCACACCTGTTAAATATCAAAAGAGCTAGCAGCATTTCTGGAGAATAGAAGTTTTCTATGAAGTAAATGCTTCATTAACCAAAACCTGATTATTTCTTCTTAATAAGAGTTAGGGT
Organism: Homo sapiens; assembly: GCF_000001405.40. Taxonomy (NCBI): domain Eukaryota; kingdom Metazoa; phylum Chordata; class Mammalia; order Primates; family Hominidae; genus Homo; species Homo sapiens. The sequence goes on along the minus strand of NC_000003.12, from coordinate 1,297,778 downwards.
TTTCAGTTAAGAATTGGATACATATAGATTCTAAAATGCTTCTGTGTTTTCAAAAAAGACACTTTTCTAGTGACATCCACATTTATCTACCTTTCAGGGAACTCAGAGAGCCAGATCTGATTAATAAAAAAAAAAAAAAAGAAAAAAACAACAACAACGGGATGTTTTCAGCTAACACTGGTAGAAGTCCACTGCAGTAGGTCTTAGTCCAAAATAACAGTAGTTCTGCAGCAGAACATATAAAGGCATCACATTAATTGAGATAAAAATGTAAATATTCACATATTAGTACAATAAGGTTTTGCCGCTAAGTTTGCTGTATACCTATACGAATTTGTTTTAAGTTTTAAAACTTTCAATCCAAGGAATTGGGGATATGTGCCAAGATAAGATGATGGTATAACCTATTGTAAATACACTGCCTACCAGAGGAGTTGTAACAGAAATATATCTGTAGGCTATTCTCATTAACTTAATTAATTTAATCAGTGACATCTCAAGATTATTTAAATACTTTGATCATTTTTAATCTATGTACCAAACGACAGAGTAATACATTTCTAAAATAAATACATTGTTGGTGGTCAATATAATTGCAGAAAAAGTAAAAATTACAAAATATATATGAAATAAAAATACTTAATTTTTAAGACTTGATCATTATAAACATTCAAAGAGGTTATGGTGAGAAGGTAGTGAGTACTACTTCATTCAACTAAGTTGGTAGGTTTTATTCTTTTTCACTTTCTTGACATCTGATATTTCCTACCTGCTCACTTTTAAAATAGGTTTGATTTTTATATTATATATAATACTTCTGCTCTATTTTTCCTGTAAATGTATTCAAGGGAATAGAGGGGATAGAAGAAGGAAGGAATTAAGAAGGCAAGAAGCAGAAACTCAGAGTAGACAGGAAACAAAAAAAGGAAAAACATGGTAGAATCTCCAAGTATATTGTTGGCTCATGAATTCTTCTGGTCATAAATAGTAGTATTCATTGAAGGAGATAAATTGGACTTAGGAATAAGTCTAATGGTTGCTGAAATCTTAGTGAAGACCTTGCAAATACATTTGGGTGGTTAGTGATTATAAAAGCTCTATTATAAGAACTCCTTCTATGGGACTTGTTCCACAATTCTGTTATGCTTCATTAGCATTATATTCTTGCTTTTCTTCAACTCTTCAGAGGGGAGAAAAACTCCACGAGGTATTGCATTTCAAGTCCTGAATACAATCATAAAATGCACCAACAAATTTTCTACCTGTATGAATCCCACTGTGAACATTTAATTAAAAAAACAACTAGAGAATTTCTCCACTTCAATGACTTCCTTAAACTTTCTGGCTCTCTAAATCTTGTACCAGCCATGACTTGACTAAGCTACAAAGCTCGTCAGAGACTAGTGTGAATTATGTTCCTTGGAGGAATATAATTAGTATAAATCTTGTGTTTCATTCTTCTCTGGAATGCTCATAATTAATGTTGGTTTGCTTTGCTTTCCTTGGATATGAACTTTTCCCTCCATTTTGCCAGCCACGTAAATAAAGGGTGAACAACAAAAAAAGGGCAAATATGGAAAAAAGGGGCCATTAAAAAGTAGCTGCAACATATGTTCATTAAAAATATATTGATTCAGTTATATGTTTGGCAGCACCCACACGTGCACACATACACACACGCCAACTCCCCGGAACATCGTTTTTGTTTTTACAAAACAGTCTTTAAGCAAAAAAAAGACAAGCTGTTTCAATGCCAGAAAGGAGATGGCTTGGTATACCCAGAACCATGTCTACTGCACCATGTGGGTGAATTAGATAATTTTCTGTTATATTTCTGGTTTACATATTTGTGAATTGAACCTAAACTCGTAATTTGGCTCCACCAAACAAGAAGGAAGCAGAAAGCTTTACGAATCTTCCCAGGCTTTAAGGGCCAAAGATAAAGTACATTCCCAAGATAACTCATTATCTTACCATCAGTGCGCTGCACTAATGGAGTGGGTGGACCTTGAACACTTCTCTGGGCCTCTTTGTTAGTTATAAAGCAAGTGTAGTTGCCCACATCTGATGGTTCCACTTTGGCAATGTACAAGTTTCCCGTCTCTTGAGATACAAATCGCCTATTGTCCTCTTGGACGTATAAGGGGTTATCATTGAAGGTCCATGCATAAGATAAATCTGAAAAACAAGAAACAAAACAAAACAAAACAAAACCATACTGTCCTTACTGCATTCATTCATATCTGAAAATTCTTTGTCTTACTTCCCCATAATTAGGAGAAAATTGTGCCTCTATTTGCTCAGTTGATAGCTGTCATCTGGTGTAATTGTAATATTCCCTTATATTGAAATATAGCTCAGATTGGACGATAAATTATGTGGGCACTTTCCCCATCATTGACTTTTTGGGATTAAGGATATAACAATAGGATGTTATGGAAATAAGTGGATGAGTTTATTAAGAAATACCATAAGACGTATAAAATAATAACTGTTCCAAATGTACACTGAATTCCTTAGGAAAAACTTATGCTGCTTCAAAGCAGTGTTTCTCAGTGCATTATCAGAAGAATTAAACATACTTACAGGTACTTGTTAAAAATTTAACTTAAAAATTTCAGTTCAAGAAGTCTACCACAGACCTTGAAGTTCACTCATTTGATCATTACATAATTTCTTTTTTATTTTTAAAGAGATGGGGTCTCACTATGTTGCCCCAGCTGGTCTCCAACTCCTGAGCTCAAGTCATTCTCCTGCCTTAGCCTCCCAAAGTGCTAGGATTACAGGCATGAGCCACTGCACTGGCCTGATTATTACATAATTTTAAGCAGCTATTCTGTGACAGTTTTAGGTCTTAGTGTAAAACCAAACAAAACCTGTGCCCTATAAAGGTCACACCAGTTACTGCTAATTGCCAATAATGTGAGTAATCTCAATGAAGGATAACATATGCTTTGACAAAGGCATTATAGGGAGCCCAGAGAAGGAGCCTAGAATGATGTGTCATCAGAAAAGACTTCTAAGAAGGAATTCCATTTTGAAACCGGCACGATAAACTAGAGCTATCCAAGTGACGGAGGAGTCGACAAGCATTTCTCCGAGTAACTATCAAGAGCATAAACATGAAACAGGGCACACATTGTTTTTACTGAACATCAATCAGTCCATCTCTGGAAATCTTGTGGGTAACTGTATAAATGACATAATGAGCATATGTTAAAATGCACAGAACTTGTGTTCCGTTTAATCACTTGTGACCATTATATACCCCCTGTAACCATCCTTCCCCAAGTAAAATGAGGAAGATTTCCAGGTCTTCAGAAATCCTCCCCTGTTTTTTTCTACTGCTGCAACCACTACTGGATTTCTATCATCATAGATTATTTCTGCTGTCATTTGTATGTCATCATAAAACAAACAGAATGTACTATTTTATGTCTGAATTCTTTCATTTAACATAATTTTAAGGTTCACCTATTGTTTTCATGACTATAAGCCCTTTCTTCCATTATATTGTGGATAGTATTTCATTTTATGAATATACCATAATTTGATTGGACACCTTCCTGTTGATGAGCATTTGGATTATTTCCAGATTGAGGTCATTATGTATTAGGTGGAAATAAGCATCCTTGTCTAAGACTGTCTGTATACATTTTTATTTTTCTTGGTTAGATTCCTAGGAGTAAGCCATAATGTAGATGTAAGTGTAACTTTATAAGAAATGACAAAAGAATTTTTTAAAGTGGTTGTATCAGTTTATACTTCCACCAGCAATATTTGAGAGTTCCAGTTGTCCCATAACCTCACAAAAATCATGTGCTGTCAATTTCTTTCGTTTTAGCCAGAAATCTTTGAGCAAAAGCAAATATTCATATGTATTAAAGCTTGGTGAATATAATTCTTCCTGAAGCTAAGACATTAGGTGTACTGCGGAAACTAGGTAGAGTAGAACTATGTCTAGGGAAGTAGAAGAATATAGCTGGTCCAAAGGAGATCCCCAAAATAGGTGGAGTATATAGGTACTCAGGGTGGAGAAGGGGAATATACTGCAACTAACTCAAAAAAAGTCTTCAGTTGGATGGACCCTCATACACTTTTGAATTATAGTTCACAGGGGAGTAGTTTATGCATCTTGGAGCCTCTTGTCCAAACAGAGAGCTGAGTTGCTATTTGCCAACTGTACTTACATTAAAAACTGGCACGGAAGCAAGACATGGCAGAGACAAAAGAAGCTAATTATTTCTGATATGTTCCGGTAGGCTTCCTCAGCTGGGAAGAGACCACCTGAAACATTCTTCACTAACCTTACTAAATTTAAATTCCCAAAAGTAAAAGGTGGCAAAACAAACTGACAGCTATTTTGGACTTAAATCTGATCTATAGAGACAAACTCTTGAAAATGGGAATGAGGGAATATTGTCATTTTGTCATCCCTTCCATCGAGAAAAAAAAAATGCATGAAGCATGAACCATACTTAAAGGAATGAGATTTTAGGAAGGAAGAAATAAAGGAAAAAAGGAGAAAGAAAATGTGGAAGGAAGGAAAGAGAAAGAAGGAAAAAGTTAATCTATTAATAGTGGGGAGGAGCAAAATAATTAATTTCTCACAACAATTTATAAATGATGTCAGTAAAAAGAAATTTGTCTCTGCAGACAGAACCCTGATATCGTTCCCAGGAATGGAGAAGAAATAAAGTAAAGATGAGACCAGGAACAGCAGGAGCACAGTAAATGCTACTTGCGCATGAAGTGAGAAAATGCAAAAAGTGTCATTAAACCATAAAAGTAGTGTCATGTGGGAAAAAAAACCTAAGCAGCATTGTTAGGTAAAAAGCATGTTATGAGTGTGGGAACTTTGTGTGTGTGTGTGTGTGATATGTTTATGCAAATTCTTACATTTAAAAACCTGGAGATGTATACAGTGGTTTTCTCAGAGTGAGTGGAGGGAAATACAAAAGGCTTTTACTCTCTTTGTAATGTGTTTCTGTCGTATTATAATTTTAAATTGCTATGCATTTTTTGTGTAAATGGAAGAAAGAATCAACAGGATAAGAAGAGTGTCAGAAAGGCTAAACACTAGAATGAGCTGCAACTTGTAAAAACAGGGTGGATAACATTTCTTATTCTTACTCTGAACCGTTCAAATGGATGTTTTATGTTTTATGCAGGCACTGATTCCCACACCTGATGTACATTAGAATCACTAAAGAAGCTTGTTAAAATACAAATAGCTAACTCAATTCTTAGCAATTTAGTTTTATTTATTCTATCTGAGCCAGGTATCATGGGATCTGTGTTTTCGACACCCTCCAAATGACGCATGCAATTGACTGAAATATTTTGTTCGGAGCACCCATTATTGAAAGAGGAATTAAAAATATCAAGTTTATCAAGAGATAAAAAATAAAATGTAGCAAAAGCCAGTCACAAAACATAGTGATAAAACTTTGATTTTGCCTCTGGAAAAAAAGATTCTGGAAGCATATTACAGCTGTCTGTTTACATTGAAGAGCTGCCACACGCATAAAAAGTTAAATAAAACCCTCTCTATCAATGTCCAGAAGGCAAAAGTAGGACTCGTGGCTGCTGGAGGTGACAGAATGCTGTTAGATTTAATATAATGAAGAACAGTCTAAATTTGAGAAGGATAGCAGTGGATGATCTACTAGGTAGTGAGTTCTTTATCATTAGACATGATCAAGCAGAGTATGGATGAACACTACTCGGGATGTAGCAAAAAAAAATTGTTTTGACGATGGATGGGGGTTAAACCTAAGCTTCTACGAATGGTTTCCTTCAGCCTCAACATTCCTTTGATCTCCCTAAGAGTCTATACTTTTGGATCAAGTATGCATAAATGCAATTTGCTTTTAATTTTTGAAAAATGCTTTGAGATGCTCGTGCTGTTCTCATGTATTGAGTCTTTATTTTCTTTTGCAAGTCTCTATTGGAGTCTTTCATCATACCATGTGGTCTCTTGCTTCAGTTTCTTTACTGACGTCCTTTGCTGCCTCACTTCTAAGCCTGTTGCTGTCTCCACCAAAGAGATGCTCAAAGGTTTTTGTTTGAAATCAGAGTCATCTAGAGAGTAAATTTTTCTTCAATATAAAGAGGAAGGAAAGAATGTAGTTCAGATTCCCCTGTTGTCATTGACTCCTCATCTTTTGAACCTTTTTGTGAAACAAAGACAATCTTGAGCAAATTCCCAGGGCCATGTCTCAGCTTACGGATCCTTATTCAATGCCTATTTGTGGAGAGAAATACGCTTTAGCTCTCTGAAATCCAATGTCACCCCTTTCACTTAACAAAAATTACAGTTTGCCACTAGTGCCCAAGAAATCTTTGTATTCTTCAACCTGTAATCTTGGGACCTGAGACTGTAATTTTCCTCTCTCCCCTGGTGAATTCATTTTTACCTTAGCTGCTAGAACTTGCCAATCTATTCCTACATGTGGTGTGTCCTTCTTTAATAGTGAGATATTTAGAAGCTGCTGGAAGAATCTAATCCAGAAATAGGGAAGATTACATAAAGATTAATAATAAATTCAGAAAAAAACTTATTTCATCATGCCAGCAACTGCTTTATGAGGCTAAGGGTGCAAGAACTAACAGTATAAAGGTAATTTCCCAAAATTGTATTCATAACATGTGGGAGGAGCAGGGCTTGAACCTAGATCCTTCAGATGCCAGATCTTTGCTCTTTCCCTAATAATACTGTCAGAGGCCTTTGAACCAGAGCAACTCCATCTTGAATACGGGCTGTGTAAAATGAGGCTGAAACCTACTGGGCTGTATTTGCAGAAAGTTAAGGCATTTTAAGTCACAGGATGAGATAGGAGGTCAGCACAAGATACAGATCGTAAAGACCTTACTGATAAAACAGATTCAGTAAAGAAGCCAGCTAAAACCCACCAACACCAAGATAACAATGAGAGTGACCTCTGGCTGTCCTCACTGCTACACTCCCATTAGCGCCACGACAATTTATAAATGCCATGGTAGCATCAGAAAGTTACCCTATATGGTCTAAAACCAGGAGGTATATAATGATTATTTTGCACATAATTAAGAAATAACCATAAAAATGGAAAACCAGCAGCCCTCAGGGCTGCTATGTCTATGGAGTAGCCATTCTGTTATTCCTTTACTTTCCTAATAAACTTGCTTTCATTTTAATCTATGGGCACGCCCTGAATTCTTTCTTGTACAAGATCCAAGAACCCTCTCATGGAGTCCGGATCTGAACCCCTTTCCCATAACAATAGCTTTCTACTTTTCAATGTCTTTACAATTGATCCTCTTTTTCTATGTTCATGTCCTCTCCTTAGCTCGTCCTCCTCACCTTTAGCCTTCCTTCAAAACTCCCAAGCTCCACAAGTAACCAACCTTACTCACATTCTAAGACAAATGTTCCTCACTGTCCATTCCCTCCCCCATTAACATTTCCTGTCCTGCGTCCAATTTCTTAAGAACTTCATAGATAAATAAGTTAAACTGCCATGTGAAATTACTGTAAAGTACTTATTGCTAATATTAGCAGGGAGTAGAACAGATATAAAAACTTGAATTTTCCCTCTTAAATGGGCCTCTCTGAAGCAGAGGTTCTAAAACTTCACCATGCATCAGAACCCCTTGGTAGACTTGCTAAACCACAAGCCGCTGGGCTCCACCCTCAGACTCTGTGATTCAGTAAGTCTGGGGAGGAGCCAGGAAATCTGCATTGCTAACAAGCTCCTAGGTGACAATGACACTGGGGGGTCTGGAGCTACCCTTTGGAAATCATTGATAAAAATGATAAAACTCGCCGGGCGCATTGGCTCACGCCTGCAATCCCAGCACTTTGGGAGGCCGAGGCGGGCGGATCACGAGGTCAGGAGATCGAGACCATCCTGGCTAACACGGTGAAACCCCGTCTCTACCAAAAACACAAAACATTAGCTGGGCGTGGTGTTGGGCACCTGTAGTCCCAGCTGCTGGGGAGACTGAGGCAGGAGAATGGCGGGAACCCGGGAGTTGGAGTTTGCAGTGAGCTGAGATCGCGCCCCTGCCCTCCAGCCTGGGCCACAGAGCGAGACTCTGTCTCAAAAAAAAAAAAAAAACCCAAAAAAACAAAACAAAACAAAAGATAAAACTCAGTCTCCTCTGCATCATCACACTGGGAAGGGAAACGCCTGGATTTTGAATGGTGGACCACCTTGTATATTTGCGTTTGAGTGGTGTGTTGGAGTCTGGAGAAAAGGCTGTCTCTTAGTTTATACATTCATAAAACGTCTGGGATGGCAAGGATTTGCGAGACTTGCCAGCCCAACCACTTCATTTTTACAAGTGAAGAAGCAGAGGGGAATAGAGCTAGCAGCAGCTCTGGGAGTACAATCCAGGTGCCCTTTTGTGCCCTCTGAATTGGTGAAGATGTAAAGCTGCAAGTCTTTGCTGTCATAGTATTTCTCACCCTGCCCTGCTCCCTTCTCCCCATGGGCTGGCTCCTCCCAGTCATCTGAAGAGCCAGCCTGCACTGGGGGCTTTTATCTATTTTGTTCCAGCATCAGCCACTGCTGTGCTTAATCTGTGTATCTTTCAATGGGGAAAGAAAAAAAAAACCTTCCAAACTGGAAGTTTAAAAACCTTCCCATTTGGCTTTTCTTAATTAAATGTATAATTCATGAGCCATTTAGGTTGAAACCATTGAATTTTTAAATATTTTCTCCACCATCTATGACATTTATCGGTTATTAACGGTTGTGATGCATTTTCCCTGTGATGAGTCAGCAGTAGCATTAGAGCTGAATGATAATTGGTCCTTCCTGAAGCATTTTTTTGTAGTTTCACAATGACTTCGTCCTCTACAATTTTATTATTATTAGAAATGGCAGATCTGCAGTAAGCAATTGAAGACTCTATCTGCTGCTCTCTCAAGCATACAACAAATCCTCTTTTCCCCAGAGTGTGATTATGTTTTGACATCTTTTACAGCCCTATATCTTGTACTGTAATATTTAAAATACAAACAAGAAAGATATATGCAATTATACCCATTATATAGCATGTAATTTTTATTAGAGGAAAAATATCTCATGTGAAAGAGAAGCATCATGATAAACATTGATACTGACAACTTCTATTGGCACTTTAGAACAGATCTCAAAATTGATAGCATGTTTCCTGAGGCAGAAAATAAATGAGTAGAATAAAGAACTTGAAGTATAGTGTTCAGATTTACTGGGTAAATCCCCCCTTTGGAATATTCCAGAATGTGTGTACTTTACTGCAAACCTTGTGTAGTGCTCCAGGGTTAAATGTGACTGACTCTTGGGTGGTCAATCATGGTTATGCTAGCTCAGTGGCAAAAACCTAATCCAAGAAGAATAATTCCTTTTCTGGACTGAAGTCATTGATATTAGGCTGAGGAAGTTTACGATGTAATCCAGAAACGTGCCTAACACTTTAAAATCCACTCCTATTTGAATTCCCATTCGTTCCACAATTACTGCTTGATCACCTGGATTTTATTGGATCCCTTCTGATTTACACATCTACTGTTTGGAATCAAGGAGATGGTGGTTCTTTACGGCCTATGAATGACAGTTAAATAAAGGTCTCATGGGTTCCTAATATTGCTAAGTTCCAAATAACTATAGAACTGGTTGTACATTGGCCAAACCTACTTGGAGAAGGAACGAAAACACAGCTGTCTCAAGGCAAACCCCAAAACTGGGGTTCAGCCTGGGAGGCCACATGAGTTACTGGCTTCTCACAGGAAGGGATTCAAGACCGAGCCAACACTGTAAAGTGAAAGCAAGTTTATGAGGAAAGTAGAGGAATAAGTAACAGTGGCTACTTCAGAGCTGGCTATTTTCGTGGTTATTCCTTGCTCATATGCTAAACATGGGGAGGAACATTCATTAGTTTTCTGGGAAAGAGGAGGAGAATTCCCAGGACTGAAGGTTCCTCACACTTTTAGACCATATTGGGTAGCTTCTAGAAGTTGCCATGGCATTTGTAAACTGTCATGGCGCTGGTGGGAGTGTCTTTTAGCACCTTAATGCATTATAATTAGCATATAATGAGCAGTGTGGATGATTAGAGATAGCTTTTTTCACCATCTTGGTTTTGGTGGGTTTTGGCTGGCTTCTTTACCACATCTTATTTTGTCAGTGGGCTCTTTTTGACTTGTACTTTGCAAAGCCAGTCCTACCGACTCTTATCTCATAGCCAGCTTCTGAGTGAATTGCTAGGAAACCTCCAATTCTTAGGGAGACCAAGCAAGTCATAGGATACAAATATATGAGGACTAGACTTCTCTTTTTCTTCCCAATTTCCATCTTTTATGGGTGAACTTAATACAGTGAATGTAAGAGATGGGCTGTACCAGTGGTTTTCAACTAAGGATAGTTTTGCCCTCTAGAAGTTATCTGGCAATATCTGGAGACAAATTTTCCCACAATTGGAGGAGGCAGTGCGATTGGCATCTAGTAAGTAAAAGCCAGGGATATTACTAAACATCTTAACAACGTGCAGAGCAGTTCTTCCAATAAAGAATTACTCCCGTAGATGTCTATTAGATCTGCTTGGTGCAGAGCTGAGTTCAAGTCCTGAATATCGTTGTTAATTTTCTGTCTTGTTGATCTAATATTGACAGTGGGGTGTTAAAGTCTCCCACTATTATTGTGTGGGAGTCTAAGTTTCTTTGTAAGACTCTAAGAACGTGCTTTATGAATCTGGGTGCTCCTGTATTGGGTGCATATATATTTAGGATAGTTAGCTCTTCCTGTTGCATTGATCCCTTTACCATTATGTAATGACCTTCTTTGTCTCTTTTGATCTTTGTTGGTTTAAAGTCTGTTTTATCAGTGACTAGGATTGCAACCCCTGCTTTTTTCTGCTTTCCTTTTGCTTGGTAAATATTCCTCCTTCCCTTTATTTTGAGCCTATGTGTGTCTTTGCACATGAGGTGGGTCTCCTATGTGTCTTTGCATGTGAGATGGGTCTCCATGTGAGATACTGAATACAGCACACGGAGGAGCCTTGACTCTTTATCCAATTTGCCAGTCTGTGTCTTTTAATTGGGACATTTAGCCTGTTTACATTTAAGGTTAATATTGAAATAGCAAAGACTTGGAACCACCACAAATGCCCATCAATGATAGACTGGATATTATGTCTATCTATCTATCAATGATAGACTGTCACATTTTCTTTAAAATGTGGCACATATACACCATGGAATACTATGCAGCCATAAAAAAGGATGAGTTCATGTCCTTTGCAGGGACATGGATGAAGCTCGAAACCATCATTTTCAGCAAACTAACACAAGAACAGAAAACCAAACACCGCAGGTTTTCACTCATAAGTGAGAGTTGAACAATGAGAACACATGGACACAGGGAGGGGCCCATCACACACTGGGGCCTACTGGGGGTTGGGGGGCTAAGGGAGGGATAGCATTAGGAGAAAAACCTAATGTAGATGGCCGGTTGATGGGTGCAGCAAACCACCATGGCACGTGTACACCTATGTAACAAACCTGCACTTTCTTCACATGTGGCCCAGAACTTAAAGTATGATAATAAAAAGAGAAAAAAAGAATTACTTCCTATCTCCCCAACATCTGGCCCTACTGCCACAAAGTGTACCAGTGTTGGAAAATCCTGACTTCTACACATGGTAACAGGCTGCAACAGGAGAGTTCTGTTTGATGTGCTGGAAAGCAAGGAAAATAGTCTTTCTAAGAGTGAATGGAGTCTGAAAGTGGAGGGAAGGAATGTGCAGCATGGGACTTAAAGAAATAAACTTTCTAGAGAGCTGACTTTGGCCAGCTATGAAGAGTGGGAAGAGCCATGAGCTTCCTGGTTCTAACACTGTACACTAATTTTAGGCAAATCAGTAGACCTCTCTGTGTGTTGTTTACATAGTCTCCAGTAGAGTAAAGAACTCTTGTTATCTCCTTGTATTATTTAAAAACTTTTAAGTGTCTCTTCTGGACCAGATTATGCCAGAGAAAATTAGGGAGTGGAATAAATGCACTGATGTTTAGACAGGATCTTTCGAATTCCAGAGACAAGATCTTGGCCAAGCTATGTTATAGTTAGTTGAGTTTAGTTAACTATAGTTGTTAGCTAACACTAACAATTTTAACACAATACTCAATTTGTAAAATTGAGATATCTTCCCGGAAAATGTTAAATGCGTTGAAGTATTGCAAATGCTAAGTTTAGTGCCTAGTACATAGTAAGTATTCATTATCTTATCCAATTATGTAGTATTAAATATTACTTATATAAGGTGAGTTCCAAATTTAGCTCTTCAAACCAGAGCTTTTGCCCTAAACATATAATCCAGCTGCCTGCTAGAAACTTTCACCCTTGTATCTAACTGGCATCTGAACATTAACATCTCCTAAAACAAATTCCTGATTTACTCCATCCTTAAACCTGCTATCCCTTCATCAACTCCACCCCAATAAATGATACTCCATTTTCCAGTTGCTCGGTCCCAAATCCTTGGAGTTATCTTTTACTTTTCTCCTTCTCTTATAACCCACATTCAATCTTTCAGGAAATTATTTTACTTATACCTTATAAATACATACTGAAGACTGGTAATTATCTATCTGTCTACAGCAATCCACCTGGTCCAAGTCACCATTCTCTCTCACCTGAATTAACACAATCACTTTTTAACTGCTTATGTTCTTGCCCCTCTGTGGTCTACTATCCAGAGTAAATTTTTACAAATGAAAGTCAGAGAAAGCATGTCACTCTTCTGAATATAAACCAGTGAATTTTCATCTTACTCCCAGGAGAAGGCAAAGTCCCTAAAATGTCTGAAAGTAAGGCTGTGTGTCCTCATTTACTCTCCTGTCTGTTCATTTTAATTCACCTATGCTGACCTCAGTGCCGTTCTCCCAACATGCTAGACGTGGTTTCCCCACAGGTTCTTTGACATGCTATTTCCTCCACCTGAACTGCCTTTACTTAATGTGTCTCACTCCCTCACTTCTTTAGTTCTCTGCTCAAATAGCAGTGAAACCTTCTTTTACCTTAGAATATACAATAGCAACATCTACTATTTCCTATCTCCTTTTATTTTTCTTCTGGCTTTTATTACCACCTGTCATGCTTTATATTTCTTTATTATAAGATTCATGGAGCTAAAAACTTTGTCTCTCTTTTCCACTTTATCACTAAAATGCAGAAAAACGAGTGGCACTTAGTAACTACATAATAAATATTTGTTGAGTGAATACCCAGTGTACAAGTTCAATAATACGGTTATTATCGTTACTATTATTATTATACCAAGAGGCAACTATTGGGCCTGTCTGCCTTTTACACTTTCAGAGAGCCTCAGAGTAACATATCCACTGCCAATTTGACCTACCCACTAAGACAAAAGCACTTTCATTTACGCCAGAAACAGCAAGCACACCAACTGGAGGAAGGGGATGTTAAGTTTTAGCACTTTTTTCTCTACATAATTTTCCTCTTTATTTGATAACACAATTGTGAGCCTTTGCTTGGAATGACTTTTAATTTAAGTGGAATTGTCAACATCTTTACTGATGCAAATACAAACAGTGGGCTCAGACAGTCGTGCTATCTTCCTGCTACAGACACAGATGATCCAAACTTTTGGCATCAATTCAACTGTTCTACCAACCTGAAAGTTGCATCTGAGGAGAGAATGGAACATTTCCTCTAAATCAAATTTTAAACCTATAATTTTTATGAGCTCGGGACTTAGTTTCTTTTTTGTTTGTTTGTTTGTTTGCTTTTTGAGATGAAATCTCACTCTTGTCCCCCAGGCTGGAGTGCAAAGGCATGATCTTGGCTCACTGCAACCTCCGCCTCCCAGAGTCAAGTGATTCTCCTGCCTCAGCCCCAGAGTAGCTGGGATTACAGGCGCCTGCCACCACACCCGGCTAATTTTTGTATTTTTAGGACAGACGGGGTTTCACCATGTTGGCCAGGCTGGTCTCGAACTCCTGACCTCAGGTGATCTGCCCACCTTGGCCTCCCAAAGTGCTGGGATTACAGGTGTGAGCCACTGAGCCCCGCCGAGAGTTTCATATCCAACCAATGAAGGGAAAGAGTGTTCTTTACTTTGGATAAAGTGAAACTATTACTACATAGTGAAGGGGGGGTTTAATTATTGTAGATAACATGTATCGTTGCTTCATTCTGTCATTTTTAAATAAGATTTCCTATGAGGCTGGACTAACTCACTGGGTCCATGGAAGTTTATTGATTGCTTGTTTTCATATTCCTTCTTCAGTTTTGGTTTCAAGGGCGTTATATCTGTTCCAAAATTTAAAGGAAATTCTGCCTTCAGCTCTGTTGCAGATAGTTTGTGCCGACATTTTTTGTGACGAGTGACTGAAATTTAACAAAAGCTCACTTTGGAGGTGAGTGAGAATCCATGGTGGAAAGACCTCTCTGCATACAGCTCAAAGTTCAGCCAAAGGCACGGTAACATCCTGCTCCCCAAAAATAAATAAAATAAATACTAAATAAGTTTTGTGGGCTGGGAGCAGTGGCTCACACCGGTGATCCCAGGACTTTGGGAAGCCGAGGCAGGCGGATCACATGAGGCCAGGAGTTGGAGACCCACCCTGTCTCTACTAAAAATATAAAAAATTAGCTGGGTGTGGTGGCATGCACCTGTAGTCCCAGCTACACAGGAGGCTGAGGCAGGAGAATCGCTTGAACCAGGGAGGTGGAGATTGCAGTGAGCCAATATGGCACCTCTGCACTCCAGCCTGGGCAACAGGGCGAGACTCCCTCTCAAAAAAAAAGAGTTTTGTGTTGTCTCTTTCTGTTGCATGAACTGAGGGATGACCTTAGAACCCTGCAGGGACATAGTGAAAGAAATAAAATATTTTTGTTTGGCCAACTAGTAAATTTCGTTCTGCCAAGCACTGAGAAGCTAAAGGAGTACTGAATTCTTCTGAGATAGGTGTCCAAATAGGGAAGAATTATAATAGATACTCGAGGGAATTGTTGGAGATTGTTGGAAAGATGTGGGAAGTCACAGCCTACCAGTGAGAGAGCGTTTAGGAGGAATGAAGGAGACGTTTAACAGGAATCTTAGTGAAGTTTTGTAATCAGATGTGCATTGCAGTCCTCTCTGTGCTGTCCTTACAAAACTTCGTGAAACCTACATTTCTCGGAAATATTTTACAGATAAGATTTTTTGGAAATATGGGAACAAGGACTGAGTCTAGTCCTAAGGACAGAGATTCAGTTACAATCACAAAACCCATCTCTGATTGGGGAATAGGATTAAAAGAGAAATATACTCCTCCACTCAGATTACAGAGAATGGTGCCTATTCTGCTTCCACATTTTGAAATGATAAAATAGAGCGTCTTGAACTGTGTCCTGGCATTATTGCTTAGGTTATTTTTCTTTTGCACTGTGATGCCTTCTCTGCTAGAATAACCTTTCCGTGTAAAACCCTTCCTTTCTAGAGGAGCAGGACATTTGCATCTGTGCTTCAAAACTGGGTGGAAAGCATCCACAGAAGGCCTATGCTGGAGTCAGCCCTCCTTTCGTTTACGCAGAAGAAAGGACAGCTCTATAAAAGTACCTGTTTATTTGGTTTCTGTTGATTACTCTGTTTCATGGGGTTGTGACCAATCATTTACATGGAAAAACCATCTAGACACTTTTCTGTTTTGTTTTTAAAACATGGAGCCATTCTTTGCTGGGTAAATTTATAAAATTTAGCCATGTCGATACTTTTTCTTACTCTCCTATAAAGTTATGTGTGTGTGTGTGTGTGTGTGTGTGTATACCTATATATATCACACTAAAATATATTTGATAGGCCTGCCTTATTAAAAAAAAGTTTTGTATAATTTATGTGAATACACTAAAAAGAAAGCATAAAGAATTCAGGATATTCTGATAATATCAAGTTTAACATGATTTCTCCCTTGCTGCCGAACTCCCTGTGAGACTCATTCTTGCTGACTGTTTATGTTGAAAAAGACAACAGAACTAAGTTATCAAAAATTTGATGTAAAATTTCAGCCTTTGCTGCGCCCGATGGCTCACGCCTGTAATCCCAGCACTTTGGGAGGCCGAGGCGGGCAGATCACGAGGTCAGAAGTGAAACCCCGCCTCTACTAAAAATACAAAAATTAGGTGTTCATGGTGGCACGTGCCTGTGGTTCCAGCTACTCGGGAAGCTGAGGCAGGAGAATCCCTTGAATCTGGGAGGCGGAGGTAGTGGTGAGCAGAGATGGGGCCACTGCACTCCAGCTTAGGCAACAGAAGGAGACTCCGTCTCAAAAAAAAAAAAAAAAAAGTCAACTTTTATGGCCTTCTATCTCTGTGGAGTCTGTGCTACTTTTCTTTATGAGAAGCTTTGTTTAATACTTACACACGAGATTTAAAAAATAATTTGGCCACGCCGACATTTACTTTACAGTGCTCTGTTAACTCCGTCTGCCCCCATGAATATATTTCTAGGACGTTTCTCTGTGAGAGCCATGTGTGGTAGGAAATATGGAGCCTTTAGGGAGATTGGAAATAGAAGAAATAATATTTGAGAAACATATTGTAGGGCAAAATCCCAAGATGACCTTCAACGACCCGTGCCCTTGTATAATTCTCTTCATCTGAGTGTGAGTGCGACTTGTAGCAGGATGAGAGATCATATCCATGATTAGATAAGATTAGATGGCACAGGTTGATTTAAAGAAACTGACTTCAGCTTTTGTGGGCATGATCTGTATCAGGTGAGCCCTCACAAGAGATGGGGCTCTTCCTGACTAAAGAAATTTGAAATGTTCGAGGGACTAAATGTGAGACAGATTCTCTGTTCCTGGCTTTGACATTGGACAAATGCTCATGGCAAGAAATTCAGCAGCCTCTACAAGTTGAGAGTGTCCCTTAACAGCCAGTTATCAAGGAAACAGGGACCTTAACAGCAAGAAACATGATTCAGCCGACAAATATGCTTGGAATCATGATGAGATGCTACTTGTAACATAAATTAAATCTCGGACCAGGTGCGGTGACTCATGCCTGTAATCCCAGCACTTTGGGAGGCCGAGGTGGGCAGATCACCTGAGGTTAGGAGTTTGAGACCAGCCTGGCCAACATGGCGAAAACCCGTCTCTACTAAAAATACAGAAATTAGCTGGGTGTGGTTGTGTGCAAATGTAATCCCAGCTACTCAGTAGGCTGAGGTAGGAGAATCGCTTGAACCCAGGAGGCAGAGGTTGCAGTGAGCCAAGATCGAGCCACTGCACTCCAGCCTGGGAGACAGAGCGAGATGCTATCACAAAAAAAAAAAAAAAAAAAAAAATTGGTATTACACAAGTTTGCCATTACTCCCATGCAGCAAGATTATTCAGTTACAAAGGTCTTAATTTAAGGCAGTTTTTGTAAATGTGTGACTTAATTTTATGGCATCGACCCCACGGGCGCTGTTACAATGAGGGCCTCACACACTAAAAGATCCACATATCCTTTAATGGTGATAGGTGACAAGGTAACAAGGACAAGCGTCTCCTGTCTGGCTGCCTTTTAATTTTTTAAATTTTTTTACATATGGAACTGATTCATTTACAAATATTTTACATTTCTTTTATTCCCGATTAAACAAAGTTGAAAACAATTTTCAGTAGTGTCAAGAATATTTGAATAACATCGTAAGAGCATAAAATGACATAGACTGACAGGACAAACTGATACCATTTTGCATATTTTGTCATCTTAGATTATGGTGCCGGAAAATAATCTTCTATACCGTTAAAAAATAAGCACCAAAAGAGCCTCAGCAATTATTGTGTGTTCTGAAACAATATTATTTTATCTCAATATAGCATTAAAAGCATTGCAACTCTTCCCTATCATATCAGGTGAATATAATGCCATAATACTCTCTAATAATACCGAATAAGATATTGTTAACTTTGAATTAGCTTTCTTTTCTTTTGGTCATGGCAATTCATGAGGTTGTGTAAAAATAATAATGGAAAAACGCTTTCAAGTTTCTCAAGGCTCATAAATAAGATTTGGTTTAACATTAAAAGTAAATTGCTTAAATTTTATTTTTAAACATCTGTCCTTTGTATTTTAAAAGTTCTCCCATTCCAGAGTGGAAATCAATTATAACAACTGCAGTGATAGTTAAGAGCTGAGGGTCTGGGAACCAGACTTCCTGGATTTGAATATTGGCTTCATTGCCTGCCAGCTGCGTGACCTTGGACCAGTTAATTAACATCTTTCTATTTCTCTATAGTGTACTGAGCCTGTAAAACAATAATTATACTCATATATCTCTTATAAGTTTTTGTGAAAATTTAAGAATCTAATACATGTTAAAGTCCTTGGGTCTGTGCTGTGTAAGTCCTTGCTGTTATTAAGCTTTCTATAATATAGTGTGATATTGGTTTGTACCAAATGACTCCATGGATGTTTTCACACTGCCTCCTTCAGGTTCACTGTGAGTTGAGAATCACGACTAAATTTACCACATCATGTGAAATTTGAGAAAATCCATTCCCAAGAGGATGAGAATCAGTAAGTAGTTTGGATCCCTGACAACGGGCCAGTCCACTGACCAAGCCAGAGTCTTCCAAAGTAGAGGCTGGCATTTATTGCTTGATTTTTACCATTGCCAGGAGACATTCTGATTTGGTGCTATACAGAATTTGCTTCCAGTTAATGGTGATCTATCCCTTCCGGTAATTAATGTGACATTGCCAAGAGGAGTGTTAGTTGGAATTTGCTTCTCCATAGAGCCCAAAAATAAAAACGTAGTAACAATCTTAACTTTCTTTACTTACTAAAGTATTAGTTATTACACTACTCAATTTACATTTATTAGCTCATTTAACATTTACAACAAAACTGAACAAACAAACAAACAAACAGTTAATGTCTCTATTTTATAGATGAGAAAACCAAGCCTCAAAGTGGGGTAAATAAATTGTCCCCTTGTCATGAAGTTTGCCTGTCACAGCACCGAATTACAGCTGCGGTCAGTTTCTCTAAAAAGCCCTGGCACTCACACTACGTACAATGCCATGATGTATCTCCTTAAAAACATATTTGCTGTGTGGCTGCTTGAACGAATATTTTTAAAAGAAAATGTTTAGATATAGAACTATTTGTATGCAGTAGATGCACTTGACGAGAGTCACAATTTCTTTGATTTGATAAAAGGTGATCACTGAGCCTAAGACCTGATGTGCTCACATCACTCTCCAAGTGACCGCATTGATGATATGACCCAAATCACCCCATCATACCTCCAAAATGTGGCGGTGGGCCACAGAGAAGCACCACACCTTGACCTTCTCGGACAGATACTGTGCTTCTTGTTTTAGTTTCAAAGTCTTCAATATCTTGGAAAACAAAGAAAAGCAGATTTATAATTAGTTACTTTGCAGAATAAATATTTTAAAGAAGAATCTCAAGAATGTTTTTATTATTAAGGGGAATTAATCTCATACTTTGCTGACCAGAAGACTTAGTTGACAATCAATTTAACTGCACTTATTATTATCTTGCAAAATCTTGTGTTTCTTTCTTTCTTTTTAATTAAACACAGTATGTGATAAAGACAATACTCACTATCTGTTTGCTTTTATTCTTCCAGACAGTGTAGCCTAGCAGGAAATCTGTGAAGCCCAACACATATTTACTTTGTCTGTCCAAGGAAGGTGTGATTTTAGAAAGGTATGTCACAAGTTTGCTGCAGTCTTCCAACATCTTAGATTAATGGTTGCCATTTTAAAGTGTGACTGGCATCTATGAGAATTTAGGATGTAATGGTGTGAGGGAAAGAGTTCTGTGTGACAGAACCAATG
Organism: Homo sapiens; assembly: GCF_000001405.40. Lineage (NCBI taxonomy): Eukaryota > Metazoa > Chordata > Mammalia > Primates > Hominidae > Homo > Homo sapiens. Next base: position 1,277,947 of record NC_000003.12, on the reverse strand, counting down.
AGACAAAAAGTGTATTTTCAATTTTCTCTTGATTTATTCCTTTACAAAGCAGGCTCATGATCTTATTTGGAATGTGGTGATTTCCTGCATAACAGAATCACAGAAATTCAGAGTTGAAAGAGTGCTTACTAGCTATCTTGTTAAGCCATCTGAGGTATAAATCTTTCCACCTTCCTGAAGAATGGTCACCCATTCTCCTAAATTGTTTAACTTCTTTGAGCCTCAGTTTCTTTACCTGTAAAATCCTTTCATTCATTCAATTAGTTATTTAATGAATTAACCTACTAATCTGGGTGTGGTGGCTCACTCCTGTAATCCCAGCACTTTGGGAGGCTGAGTCAGGCAAGTTGCTTGTGGCCAGGAGTTTGAGACCAGCTTGGCCAATATGGCAAAACCCCATCTCTACTAAAATTACAAAAATTAGCCAGGCATGGTGGCACACGCCTGTAATTCCAGCTATGTCAGGAGGCTGAGGCATGAGAATTGCTTGAACCCAGGAGGCAGAGGTTGCAATGAGCCGAGATTGCGCCACTGTACTCCAGCCTGAGAGACAGAGCCAGAATCGGTCTCAAAAAAAAAAAAAAAAAAAAAAAAAAAAAAAGAAAACCTACTAAAAGACAGAAGTAGTATTCAGGGGAGAAGGTTTATTTGTGAATAAAACAATAAAACAGGCAGGTATTTTACCTTTATTGTGCTTACTATCTAATGGGAAGACCAGAAGATTGTTTTTAAAATGAATACATCATTTACAAATTGTGGTAAGTGTCCTTGAGTGTAGACTGAAATTGTCTACCAAGATCTATTCTTCCTTCTCCCATAATAATAGACTTGTTATCAAACATGCTTGTCTAACCAGAGATCACATTTCCCAGATTTCTTTGCAGCTAAATATGGCAAGCAAAAATGATGAATGAAACTTTCACTTACTATGTTTGAGAGGAAATCTCCACAAATTTTGATGTTCCTGATCCACCTACCACCACACCCACCTAAATTGCCAAATTGCCAATGATATGGGAGGTCTTGAAAGCCACTTGCTGAATGCAAAAGAGCCACCATTCACCCGGGTATTTGAGTGACTAGCTGGAGCAGAAACATAGCTAATCTGGAACGTCAACTTTAGATCATTATATTACATATAAGTAAATTTCTATCTTGTTTGAGGCATTTGTTTTGGGGTCTCTGTCGCATCAGTTTAACTTTTTACCCTAAGATACCCTGTAAAAGATAAGAAGAGAGCACTGATCTGACAGATGAGAAAGAGACAGCCATGCAATGATGGTAAGGCAGAGGGAAAGAACTGCTTCCAGAATGAAAAAACCGTACTAAATTTCTGGATATAAAAAATGTAGGGACGTTTTGTTGTACTGAATAGAAGCCAGTGTTGTTAGTGCATAATGGGCAAGGTTTCAGAGCAAGCACAGTAGCAAGCAGCATATCGTGAGCTATGTACGTACAATACATTTGGTTTAAATTTAAAATACAAATAAAATGGATTGGAAATAATCTAATAATACAGCAGCGCACATCGTTGAATCATACCTGGAACATGCATAGAAAGTCATGTCATTGAAAATTAGAAAGAATACGTCAAATCTAAATGGTTTGACTCGGAACATTCTTAGTGTCATGTTCTTTAAAAAGTCACTAAATATTGATACACCATTATCCTACTGTGGAAGAAAACAACAGTAAAAAACTAATATAAGCATCCTGTTAGATTGGCATAAAGTTACAGAATGAATTTTTAAAAAAATACACATTGGTTATCTTAGAGGAATGGATGGGAGATGTGAAAGTAGAGATTACCCATCTTTACTTACATCTGTCTTTATCTTTTAAAGTCTTCTAAAGATTACACATTGTAGTTTTTTTAGTTTTGCTTATTTTTTAACAACCTTACTATGGTCTAATTGGAACAAATTATTGGTATTGTTTAGAGGAATTCAAGAATTTCATTTTGGATCTATTAAATTTGTATTATCCATGAGCTATCTAAGCGACAATATTACAAATACTATAAAACAGGGATCTCCAATCCCAAAACCACGCAGCAGGAGATGAGTGGCAGGCAAGCGAACAAAGCTTCATTTTATTTACAGCCACTCCCTGTCAATCACATTACCTCCTGAGCTCTGCCCCCTGTTAGATCAGCAGTGGCATTAGATTCTCATAGGAACACAAACCCTATTGTGAACCGCGCATGTGAGGGATCCAAGTTGCACACTCCTTGTGATAACCTAATGCCTGATGATCTGTCACTGTCTCCCATCACCCCCAAATGGCACCATCTAGTGGCAGGAAAACAAGCTTAGGGCTAAGAATGGGATTTATAAGCATATACACCATATTTGAAGTCATAGGTATGAATGTAAACCTGATGGGGTGACTCTTAAACTTTTGGCACGAGCAAATTGGTGGACAGTTGTCTAGGAGTTAACCTTGAAAATCTCCATATTTAGAGGTAGAGAACCACAGATATGAGAGAGAGGGTGTGTGTAAAAAGCTAGAGGTGAATAATACGTGAACATAAAAGACAAAACAATGTTGGTCATATGTGATCTTGCCAAGAAAAGTTTCAGTAGAGTTTGGGGAAAAAGCCAATATGAATCGAGAAGTGGATAGTAGATAGCAGATAAGGACATGGAGATCACAGTCATGAGAACTCTTTAGAGTTGGCTATGAGTAAGAGATGAGATTTAGGAAGAATACCAAAAGGTTTGGAGGGTGAGGCCACTATGCTGAAATCAATGATCAAGTAAGGAAAGAGACTGACGATTCAGGACACAGATAAAATAAGGTCCTTGTAAAGCCTGAAGGGTGATAATGAGAACCCACATGGAAGGATCGGCCTTTGTAAGGAAAGAGAAATTAAAACAAAACTTATATGTGCTTGTAAAAGATGGACTGCAGAGTTTTTGCTGGGTTAGATGAGAAAGTTTTTGGTGCTGGTTTCAAATTTTTCAATCAAACTGATTTGGGTGGGGGCGTTGGGTGGTCATTTGGGAAGATAAAAGATCCAATAAACACACCTATGTTTAGCAGGGTTGTTATGGGGATTAAATAAAATGATGAATTTAAAGTGTCTTGACTGAAGCCTAGAATATTGGTAATTACTACTACTGGGTAGTGGTAATTACTATGATTATGACATTCTGAGTGGTTAGGGCCAACCATACATTTTCCTCTGACTGATACAAAGTTCAGATACACTAATCTAAAAATACAAGTTAAATATCACATGCTAGTTCCAGTAAAATTTTTGGAGGTAGATGATTTTATTTGAAACATCCGCAGTTTATCTCTGCTAACTACATTACTTCCCATATCAGTGTTCTTTTTGTAAACATTGCTTTTCAATCCATGTAAAGTATGAGTTCAATAAGATAGATTCACCAGATCTGATATGTAAATTGAGAAAGTCTTATATTTTCTATACTTTTAATAACAAAAGTATTTAATAACAAAAGTATTAAGATAAACTCTACTGATCCTCAACTACACCCCCTTCCCGTTCTCCACCTGCTCTCAATCAGCAGTCATTAGCTTTATACTAATTTAGGACCTGGCATGCCTACCATGTTTCTCATACAGGAATTTACATCAAATATGCTTCCTTTCTTCTTTGGCCATGAAAAAACTAAATCAGCCTACATATGTTGGCGCTGTTGATGTGAACTATTGCCTTGACTTGGGAGTCCTCTATGACTTTGGCTTGTATCAGTTTAAATATGACTCCTGAATAAAAATCAGCCTAATAAGCTTTATTTTAAAACAAAAAAAATTAATATATTGAAATCATTGTTTCTGTTTCTAGTAATAATCATCATAGGTGACAATTTTAAGGTTTTTTTCTTACTATTGTTTTTGAAAGGCCCCATTAAATTGTGACTATATTGTAATGGTCACAAAAACAAACACTGTCAAAAAGGAGTAATGAGAAATTGAATGATTCTATGAAATTAACAAGCTTTGGATTGAATTCTCTCAGTGTCACATTGTCAGTGCTCCACAATCCTAGGAACATCAATCATCTTTTCAGTGTTAATCAGAAGTCATTATAAGACACTGCTGATAAGAACACTGATACTTTAATATATTCTGTGTTCACTTCCACTTAAATAGCATCCGCTTGTGACATAATTTCTCTGTGCCTTTTATGATTACAATGGGATTTCTATTAGCTGACATGAAAGGAAATCAACGCCTCTCAAAAGTCACACAAGTCCTGTTAGCTATCAAAACAGTCATTCCAAAATGTTAGTAGTTCACAGGTTTTAATTAATAATTCACGTTTTAAAACTGTTTAATAGCACACAGATCATAGACAAGATATAAGTCTGCCTTATTTAAACTATGTACCATCTCATGTGGATATGCTTTGAACAAGGTCTATTGTACAGATCCAATCTGTATTTCAAATACCCTTCTGCTAGCTGGAAACAAGATTTAATTCAGATCATTTTCTGAGGCAAGGGTGACTGAATTAGGTAGCCATACAAGCATCCAGCGAATATTTTCTTTGCTCTGTAAGACCTTTAAAAACTCTAGATTTATTCTTCTACAAGGAGAGGCCAGAGAGAACCACCAGTTTCTATTTTTGTCCTATCCATTTTTGCTTAAAAGAAAATTGCTTAGAATGAGATCGTTCTCTGAGATGGTCTCAAATTCTATAATATTTGGAGATATTCTCATAGACCACAAAGGTGACCTGCCCAGGCTGCCCTTGTGCACGGGATACAAATCCTGCAGTGCTGGTTGCTGTTAATGACCTTGATTGTTGAGGTTGCTCTCATTAAGCCATTCTGATGGCCATGGCTTATCATGTCCTGTGGTTTGATTGCTGGTTTTGGAGGAAGCATTTGGCAGGAGTATAAGCAAAAATGCAGTCACGAATAAGGCTCTGTTCCAAAGGCCAGCAGGAAGTGCCTGAGAATGGCCCATAAAATGAGCTTTAAAGAATTACTGGGCCATATGCTCTCTCTTGGAGCAACCAAGGTGCAAGGGAGGGACAAGGGCCACCAAAATGTACTTAAAATTAAGGTTCAGGCAATACAAGTATTGTAACATCTAATTGTAAGAGAATATATCTTTGCAGCTGCCACGTGTAGGAATGAATCTCAGCCTAATTAAAGCAAGAAAACTGTACATTTGCTGCCAAGGCCTGAGGATCACAATCAGACGATGCACTTGACAGTGCCAGCCCCTGACACAGAAGGAGGCCAGTGGTTTGCCAAGTCTCATAAGCTTGAAGGAAGGCTATGGGTACCCAGGGTCCATTGATCAGGACCAAGAAGACAGCACCTGAAAAGCTGGAGATAGGGAAAATATTCACCAGAAAAATGGGCATGCTTACAGTAGGACATAGTACACTCAGCTGAGTTGTTAAAAATCTGAATAATGATATATATTTTTTCCCATTTACTATGTATGAATTATTTCATTGCAATGTTTTAAATTTTTTCTTTGTTCTTTCATTTTTTAATATATGGAGAATAGCCATTATATGTCAGATGCTCTGATAAGTACACTCATTGAATCCTCAGAACCACCTGTAATCCTCACAATCACCTGTACCATTGTCACTTTCATTTAGCGAAGGAGGAAATTGAGGTTCACAGATGACTGGCCACTGACCAAAGTTGACCCAATTTCTATGTGTCCAGATAAGGTTGAAAAAGAGAGTTTGAGTATTAGTCAATTTTCATACTGCTATGAAGAAATACCTGAGACTGGATAATTCATAAAGAAAAAGAGTTTTAATGGACTCACAGCTCCACATGGCTCAGGAGGCCCTATAATCATGGTGGAAGGTGAAGGAGGAGCAAAGGCATGTCTTACATGGCGGCAGGCAAGACAGTGTATGCAGGGGAACTGCCCTTTATAAAACCATTAGATCTTGTGAGACTTATTCACTAACAGGAGAACAGCATGGGTAAAACCTGCCCCCATGATTCAATTACCTCCCACTGGGTCCCTCCCATGACATGTGGGGATTATGGCAACTACAATTTAATGTGGGATTTGGGTGGGGATACATTAAAACCATATCCCTCTGGTTCCACGGTTCACACTAAAACACTGCTCTCCAGATGTTACCTGGGGTCTCCTTGCCACTTATAATTTACAAAATTAACATAAACTAATACTCCATGGTCAAACCATCAAAAGCCTAATGCTTTTCCAAAAAGTTGTACAAATTGCTAGCGGAGGGGTAAAGGTGCTTTCTCTCCCCCAAGAATTTGTAGTTTCTAGAAGTGGCTCTGTTTCTGATGTCCTGAATCCTCTGAATCCTTATTTGTACCTCTCTTTATATTTCTCGATTTATCTCCACCCTTACATCTCTCCCTGTATCTGCATGTGAACATAGAATGTAGCCCCTTATTTTGACCAACATAGAGAGCTATGCACCGCCCACCAGCACATACAACAGAGGTGTGGTGCATCACCACTACCAGATTTTGAGCCTGTGTCAGCCTTACTGATATATTCATATGCAGCTCGAACACCTTAGAATGAAATATTGGGTATATGGCTCCTAAAGGCCCTTTAGTTACTCCTCTTACTTGCGTCTGCCTTCTCTCTTCTATAACTTCCCTACTACAATCCTCTCTTTCAGGAGCAGGAGGAAAATGTCCCGCTGCTTTCATCTGCCAAGATGTTCAGCTCTCTCTGCTCCTGCTGTCACACCAGAAATTGATTGATCTGTATGGGTTCAAACAGGTAATAAGTAAAGGAAATAAAATTTAATTCCAGATGCTGTGTTTCTAGACAAGGCGCCATGGCTCCAGCCTGTAATCCCAGCAATTTGGGACACCAAGGTGGGCGGATCACATGAGACCAGGAGTTGGACACCAGCCCGGGCAACATGGTGAAACCCTGTCTCTACTAAAAATATAAAAAATAGTCTAATGTGGTGGCATGTACCTGTGGTCCCAGCTATTCAGGAAGCAGAGGTTGCAGTGAGCCAAGATCGCACAACTGCACTCCACACTCTAGCCTGGGTGACAGAGTCAGACTTTGTCTCAAAAAGCAAGAACAAACAAACAAACAAAGACAAAGTAAAGAAACAAATATTGTGGCTCGAGAGTGCATTCGCTTAACCACCAGACCATACTGCCTCTCTATCTAGAAAGTCACCCAGACAGACCTTTTCTCTCTTTTCACACCTCAGAAGCAATTTCAATTATTGGTCACTTCAAAGACGTTAGGTCTAATTTTAAACTCTATGATTTATTTTACCCTGCTTTCTGGTTTCCGTCAACCAAATACTATTTCCCCCCTTTGAGAATCCTTCTGAAGAAGTTTTAGCACTGAAAGCTGGTTCTGGAGTAAACAAGATGTTGGAGCACTTGTTCACCTTCACGATGCGGTTCCCATGTTGAAGGTATGTATTTTGTTTTGGCCTACGGCAAAAACATTTTGCGGGGCAAAGAAATGCCAGTACTCTGCCCAGCAAAAGAGAAATGGTGAAAGACACCAAGAAAACAAATCCCCAAATCTGCATAAGTCTCACAGAACTCCCAGATATGATATATGCAACTTTCAGTATTAAAATACTCTTAAGAATCTCAAAACATTATAGTGAGGTTATTCTAAATTTGTATCTCTCCATGCTTCTCTTCTTTGAAGAGGACCAGTTATGAATAATACCAAAATTGTTCATGTTGCTATTTCCTATTTCTTGAGTGATTTTGTTTTAGTTCTATAGTAACTAATTTTCCCATGCCTTTATTAATTGGCACAGAGAAATATCTCTACTGAAACCAGTTTCATTTTCCACCATCGTTTTCTGGATGCTATATACTCAGTCATGGTGTTCATGATATTATTATGTTTCCTAGCATAACTCAGTAACACAACACGACATAACCTAATCAAGCACAATGTTATTGTCAAACGCTGTAAAAGAGGCAATAGCTAAATCTTAGAACTGGTCATACATTTGGAATGCTAATATCCAAGTAGGAAGTAAGAAGTTATTTTAAGAGCTCCTGGTGTCAAATCCATTTACAGTCCAAGTTAAAATTCCTCACTTTTGGGGGTGTAAAAGAATTTTCGTAAAAATTTATATATAAGTAGAGAAAAAAATGCGTTGTTTCTTGTTTTTCTGGGAATATAATGAATTCACTGAGAAGCATTTTTTTTTATGAAAAAATAGATAGGATAATAGTAAGGAGCACATAATGCATGTTTTTCCCTAACAGCCCAGCACTTAAGTTTTCAGGGAGGTAAACATTTCATAAATTAAACAAGTAAACCAATATGAAATATCAATTAGGTAATTGGTCTATGATAATATACATGTCAGACTGGATTTGATTTTCTATAATAGACACATTTGCCTGACAAATGGTGGTAAGAACAGTGACACTTATGACAAAAATAAATATACAAGTGCTAGATGTGGGCTAGACTCAAACTCGCTTCTTACTAAGCTGGCATATTCCCTACATTTAAAAGTAGATGAGAGAAACAGAACACAATTATGGAACTGCATAGGATACATTGAGATGCCAGATTACTTAACTAGTAAAAGGCAACTGGCCTTTGGTGTTCCTGAAAGGAAGGTGATGTAGGTAGCATGCAAAATAGATTAAATAACCCACTAACGAATTCCTTAAAAGGCTTAGTGATGGAACAAAATGATCAAAAATGCAAGTTTAGGGTCAGACTATCTATATTCAAATGCTAGCTTGGCCGTGCATGCACTAGCTATTGATTTAGGGCAGATTATTTAGTATCTTTCTACCTCAGTTTTCTTCACTTTTAAAATAAGCTAGCTAACAATAGTACCTGCCTCAGAGGAAAAAAAATGACATAATACAATTAAAGTGTGTAGAAGATGTTAAGTACAAAATATATGATGTGAGGGACTTTAATCACATTACTGATGATACGAGGGCACATCAACAAAATTAGGATGTTTTGAATTTTTATTTTTATTTTATTTATTTTATAACTTTTGAGACAGGGTCTCACTCTCTTGCCTCGGCTGGAGTGCAGTGGCTTGATCATAGCTCACTGTAACCTCAAATCTCTGGGCTCATGCAATCCTCCTGCCTTAGCCTTCTGAGTAGCTAGGATTACAGGTGTGTGCCACCAATCCCAGCTTGAACTTTTAAACTGGCTTTTTTTTCAGCTTTCATCTCAGTGTCGGATGATGTAACGAGACATATTTTCTTGAAGACTGAGTCAGGACTTACTTCTGTGCCTATTCGGTGGCAGCTTAAATGCTCATGAATGAATGGAAAAAAACAAAAAGGAGACCTAAAGTCAAAAATATGTGAATTTTATTCCAAGAACTGCCACATCACACTGTATTTTTTTTTTTTTTTTTTGAGACGGAGTCTCGCTCTGTCGCCCAGGCTGGAGTGCAGTGGCTCAATCTCGGCTCACTGCAAGCTCCTCCTCCCGGGTTCACGCCATTCTCCTGCCTCAGCCTCCCAAGTAGCTGGGACTACAGGCACCTGCCACCGCGCCTGGCTAATTTTTTATATTTTTAGTAGAGACGGGGTTTCACCACATTAACCAGGATGGTCTCGATCTCCTGACCTCGTGATCCGCCCGCCTCGGCCTCCCAAAGTGCTGGGATTACAAGCGTGAGCCACCGCGCCCAGCCCACTCTCTATTTTATGCCAGAGAATGTTTCTCCAACTTGACACAAGTTGTTAGACTGATGGTTAGTGACCCTCACTGCCTAGGAAGCTACACAGCCCAGCTGGAGGCAGCAGTGACCTCTTGGGTGGACATACAATAGCCAGAAAAATCCTAGGCTGCCCTGCTTCTCATAGTCTTGGGCTTTGCCTTTTGGCAAATGTTCATTTTCTCACCTTTTGTTCTGCAGGGAGGACAGTGCCAAAACCTTTGTAGTCAATAATCTCTAAAGAGATTTCTTTGGGGCAATTTGTGCTTCTTGGGATTAATATGTGATATAAATATTGTTCAAAGGCAAAAAGGGGAGTATCCAGAAAAGGCCAAATCTTCAGGTAAATCATCCTCATGTGGGAAAGTCATCAAGGTGTCATCAGTGGTGTCATCAAGGGACGTGTTTTTTTTTTCAGAAAGAAATGTGAGGTTTCTGCTGAGGAAGCCCTGAATGGCAAAAGAAACGTGTATATTCCATTGCCATTGCAGACACTAAAGTGACTCATCCAAAGATCAGCTTGTTGAATTCATTATTCCCAGGACGCCAAAAAACAACTCACTTTCTCTCCACTTGTTAATTTTTATAAATATTATTTTATCTTTCCCAAAGAGAAATTTTAACTTGGACCGTAAATGGATTCGACACTATAAACTCTTAAAAGACCTTCTTACTTCCTACTTGGATATCAGCATTCCAATTTTTCTCCAATATCAAGTGTTTATTAGATTTTGGTTAAATATTTGATGGCAACAGCTAAGAGCTATAGAGGTGTACCGTGAGAGGGGCTTCCTGGTACAGGAGCCGGGGACCTCTTAATTACTGAGACCTTCCCAATTCCTGAACTTTATAAACAAAATGAGTTGTAGGTACCCCATATGACTCCCATTTCATAAATATACACACCAGTGCTCAGAAAGGTTAAGCAATGTGCTCAAGACCACATAACTAAAAAAATAAAAGGAGGCCTTTTATTGAATAGGGACTACTACCCAGCTCTGATTCATTTTCAGCTATTCAGGATACCACTTTCCCTGCTCAATGGTGGGAGAGGGAAAAAAAGTGAGGAAGGAGAGGAAAAAGAGGGCTGCAAACAGTTTCTTTTTATCCAAGAGCAAGCAAACAGAGTCTGCCCTGTCACTGGGGGAAGTACATCCTGACCTTGTACTTAAGTCTTAGCAGGTGGTAGGTAACAAGAAAGTTCAGGCTATCCAAAAAATTAGTGGGGCGTGGCAGTGTGTGCCTGTAGTCCCAGCTACCTGGGAGGCTGAGGCAGAAGAATTGCTTGAACCTGGGGGTCGCAGGTTACAGAGAGAGACTCTGTCTCCAAAAAAAAAAAAAAAAAAAAAAAAGGGCCAGGCTGACCACTGGCTTCCCAGAGGTCTGAGGGAGTCTGGCCAGAAGCTCACTTGTAATTCACTCCTGGGCCAGGTCATCAGCAAAGGGGGCTGAAGGTGTTGGTTTTGGTGGCAAATTAGGTGCACCTGTGCCCTTCCAAGAACAACTGCATTTATAGCTCCCTCTTGATTCACATGTGTGACTCTCATTAGAGTAAAGGAGAGTGATTTCAATGGAGTGAGGCCCGAGGTCACTTGGAAAGAGTGGTTTATGCGAACCATTATACCTGCTATGGTCCTTCATAGACAGAGCCCTTAATAAGCCCTTTTATTCATTGTGATGGTTTAATCAGAAAGTTAGATTGCAAAATTTGCAACCTATGTAAAATACAAAAGGCCGAGTTTTGGAGGTAATGGGACAGAGCTCCTGGGTAAAGGTCTTAATGCTCCTGTTTATACAAGAAGCGTGAAGCAAGAACATTTTTTTAAAGACTTCCCATGGACATAAGCTCTGAGTTTACCAGAGATTTTTATCCTACTGGTTTCGGTTTGCAAGAACTTCCACAACTGGAATTCGGGAGAGTGACTGCAGGGTTGATGGTAAATACTGACATTTTTCCGTTGAATTTTCTTAGTCCAAGCAAGGTCTTTGGAATCACAGCTGCAATCGGCATTTTCTTTGTAGCTTTCTCCAGCTCAGCACTAAGGAGAATTAGGTTCAGTGATAAGGACCCTTGCATGCATTATGGTTTAGATAAAGGGAGGGAGGGAAAGAGAGACTATTAAATAAAATCTCACTTTTTTCCAAAGCATTTTCATTTCTGTCATCATTTTTAATGTTGATAGTAACCCTGAGAGATAAGCAGAAGAGACATTACCAATGTGTGGGAGAGATATCACTGGTTGTATGGGTGACGCACTTAGGTGTTATGCAAAAAAAAAAACACCTTTAACTTTATATAACTATGTATTGCCTTTTAAAGTTTTGTTCTATTTGTGATGAATGACACTGGCTTTCTAGATACAGTGGTAATAAATATGTTTTTTCAAACAAATTTACTCATTAAAAAATCAAAGCAATTTGGGAAAAATAAAACATAGTACAGACAGTACATTGATATTTCAAAAAACACAAAGGTTTTTTGTGTTTCAGGCTAAAGCTGAAAAACCTTGTTGAGGAAAACGGGCCATCTGAGCTCCAGAGGACATGGCATATCAGGAGACAAGACATCTTTGAGACAACCAAAGTGGTCTGACTGCATTTGCCATGATGAAGGATTTGGTGGAGGGGAGAGAACAGAAACAAAAAGAAAATCAAGATATAGAATGCTGAAGGACTCTTAGAAATAGTCTTTTCTGCTTATAGTAATTTGTGTTTTCTTTTGCCAATACTCCTCCCCTAAATGTCTACAAACATTTTGTTACAAACAAAAATCTATAGACATGTGTTTATCAAGTGTGTTGTGTGAGGGACAGAATTAAGAAAACATTTCTACTCTTGAGTAAGAACCAGGATGGAGAAGGAGGGAAAACTGTAAGACCCAGAGCAGAGAATGGGACTTCAGCAAAAGTTGGAGCCAGAAGTAGTCATGGAAATGTCTGTTCATTGGGTTACACTGGAATTACCTGGACACTGATTTTTCCAGAGAACAGTGACTAGGTTTCATTTAGAGGTGAAGAGGCAGAGAGTGCTAGCTGAGACAACTAATGATAGAATTACCACATGATCTAGCAATCCCACTTCTTGTATATATCCAAAGAAATTGAAATCAGTATGCCAAAGAGATATCTGCATTCTGGTGAATGCAATGACATGGAAGCAAGTTAAGTGTCCATCATCAGGTGAATAGATAACAAAAATGTGGCATATATACACAATAAAATACTATCCCTATCCAGCCAAAAAAAAAAAAAAAAAAAGGAAATTCGGTCATTTGTGGCAACATGGATGAACCTGGAGGACATTATGCTAAGTAAAATAAGCCAGCAACAGAATGACAAATACCAAATGATCTCACTCATACAAGGAATCAAAAAAGTTAAATTCATGTAAGTAGAGAGTAGAATGGTGGTTACCAGAGGCTGGGGGAGAGGGGTGCATAGGAAATGGGGAAATGTTAGTCAAACAGTGCGAAGTTTCAGTGAAACAGGAAGAAAAAGCTTTAGTGATCTATTGCACAGAGTGGTAAAAATAATAAATAATAATGTATTGTATACTCCAAAATTTCTAGAAGAGTAGATTTTAAATGTTTTTACCACAAAAAATGACAAGTATGTGGGGTGACAAATTTAATTAGCTTGATTTAACCATTCCATAATCTAAAGATACATCAAAATACCACATTTTACCCTATAAATCTATACAATTATTATTAGTTAATTAAAAATAAAATTTAAAAATAATTTTAAAAATACAGATGAAGCTGGTTTAAGTTATAGGTTACAGTCAAAGCTGAAACTGGAACTTTTAGTCCCAAATGACATCAACCACTCAACCTCTCTCTATGTGGCTGCTCCTCAAAGACAGGTGGTTCAGGACATGTTGGCTGATTCAATAAGTTTACAAAGAGGTGAACTGCTTGCATTGCATTATAATTTGCTATAACAGTAATTTAAATGTAGAGTTTGTTCACTAACTCATGTATTTATAAAATCTTTTCAAAAAATAACCCTACTTGGCTGCCACCGTTTGTTTGTATCAGCGCCTTTCCACAAAATGTGTACAGGTTTACCTTTGCAGTACCAGTAAGTGCTGGCCCACAGTAGGTACTCAAAAAATATTTGATTAATGATCAGTCAACCCAGAGAAATAAAGATGACTTTAAATAGTTTACTAAATTACTTAAAGCCCCATATGATATGGCCCTGTTTACCCCATCCTTTCACCTGTGTTCAGAACATTCCAAATACAGCTGCCATTTTATTTTCCTGTTTTTCGGAACATAATGAGTTTCTTCCCCCGATGGCCCTTGGTCTTCTTGTTTCTTCTGCTTGAAAACTTACCCCCAGATCTTTGCATTCTAGATTCTTTTTGACATTTAGATCTCAGCCTACTTGCTACTACCACATAGTGAACCCTCCCTTGGCTAACCAATCTAACGTAGCAGTTCCCTATCACTCTGTATTTTTCCCCAAAGGCCCAGTCACTGTCAGCAATGATTATTGATTTACTTTATTTCAGTGTGCTCTAAATAGACCATAAGCTTCACGAAAACAGGGACCTTGTTTTCCCGCGAGTTCAGTGTTTGCAAAAAGCAGGTATTCAACAAGAACATGTTTAATAAATTAAGAAATAATTATACCTCTAAAGCGAGTGAATGCATACAAAATACTACAAACATAGTCTACAATATTTCCTTTAGGAATTGAAGAGAGCAAAAGACCAAATTTGTCTGATTAAAGGTTTCTTAGAGAAGAGGCTAGGATCGACCTGGAAACATGTGGTAGCTAGGCTGCAAAACGGCCCCGAATGAACTCGCTTCCAATATCCACCACTTTGTGTATTGCCGCATTGTGTCAGCATTAGTCTGCACAACCAACTGAGTCTGGTCAAATTATGGCTTGTCACTTCCAAAATTAGGTTATAAGAGACTGGGGCCCAGGGGAGACAGAAAAACCCTCAAACAGATGGAAAGCTTGCTTATTTCACATAAAAAGAGTGTTCACATAGTTGAAGGAAAATGTTTGGGCTTTGGAGTCAGATAAATCTGTGCTTGAATGAAGTGCTTGGATTTATAAGCTGTGAGACATTTAAAATGGTACTTTTCATTTTTTTTCAATTTCTCTGAATATGCTCAGTGTCTAATACACAAAGGGCACTCAAGAACATTTGCTGAAAAGAGGAATGGGTGAATGGATCTATAAAATGTTCTGAAAATAGGTATATTATTTGACTGTTGTGAGACTTAAATGAAATAAGTAACTTGTTTAAAAACTACATGTCAAATGGCCCTAAATAACTTATAACTCTTACAAAGACTTGGAGTTGATTTAAACGATATGTAGATTTAATTATTACATTTATTTATTTTTTAGTTATTTTTCTTTTTATTATACCAATTATCTTCTTGGATTTATTTATATTTACATTTAATCTTCATAAAATTTATACTATATATGTGGGTACTATACAAGCATATTGTACAGTAAATATTTATTATTATTACATATATTTTACACATGAAATGCTAAATCCCAGAAATGTTCAAAAAACTTGCCAAAAGGTCACTGAACTGGTTACTAATTAATAGAACAAAGATTCAAATCCCAAAAAGTATGACCTATAGTCTTTAGCACAATGCCATAAGGCCTAAACGACCAACTGGTTGATTTTCTAGTTCATTTCAATTTCTGCTACAATGATTATTGTGTGTTCATTGTTTGCGCCAGGTCTCTTTACATGCCAGGAAATGAAATTCACTTAAAGTAGTATAAACTAAAGCGGGGGTGGAGTTAAAAAGGATCAAGAGAAATCTTAGACCAACAAAGTGCAGGAGGCATATCTGGGAACAGGAAGGACACTTGCCACACCTGCCAATTATTCTCTTCCTCCCTCTCTAGGTTCCTTTATCTACAGGTGTCCCAGTCTCTGTTAACTCTGCTTTGCATGAATATCTGCTCCACTGTCTTCCCAGCTGATCAGTCTCCTTGTTTTTACTTATAGTTCATGCCCCCATAACATCTCAGACTGCATATTGCTTTGGCTTATCCTAGCCACAACACTGCATAAGCTTCTCTGCCCCTGAGCCTACCATGAAGTCCTCTTGTGACTCTTACTTCGGATTTTTGAGATGTTTAATGCCGCACATCTGTAACTGCAGAAAAGAGGTTGCCCATTTGGCAACTGAGGACTGCTTATTTATAAGACAGGCAGAAACTGTAATTATCATCTTCAGTATAATAATTAATCCAGGAGATCACTGTCCAGTTGTCTCAATTGGGTTTTTCATTTATTTGAAGGATAGCATAAGTGCAGTCCAGTCGCATATCCAGTAATTTACCAAGAACAACTAAAAACTAACCTATTTACTCATAGAAATACTAGGGCCAAGTATACGGGAAAAAATGTGAAATTCCGGAACTGCTATCTCTGAACTTTTACACCTCCTCTTGTCTTATTACATGTGACCTTTTAAATTAAAATTATGTGATAAAATGTAAATATCAAGCTAATTTCTTGAATTTTCTCACATTATGACTGTCACATGGGAAACCAAAAGTGTTATAGTTCTTTTAAAGTATGATTGTAGCAGCCACTGTAGGTGCCCCATATCCCATATATCTGTTCAACCCATTTAGGAAGTTACCTGTCACATTGGGGGACAGTTACGTTAGAGGGTTTGCTGCCTCCATTTGGGTTGCTCTGCCTGAGAATGCTCTGAGAAATTATTTTTTATTCCACAGACACATACTTGTCTACATAGAAAGCAGGCCAGGTTACCAGAAATTGAAGTCCTGAGGACTGATCCTTAACCAATGAGGTACAGAAGGTAATGAGTAAATGTCCCAGTTTCCTTGGCCTATGCTGGGCTAATAATGAGATGTGCTTGATAGCTGTAGGGGGCACTCAGCTGTACTGAGCCACAATTGCCCACAATGACAACCAATTAATTACCTTATTCTTCATCAGTTTTTGGGTTTTCTCCTTTTGCTATCTATTTACCTACTCCTTCACCATACTTCTGAGAATACCACCTAAATACACTACATAGTCCATGTCTTCGCCATGAGATCTGCTTTCACAGAAAGCCAAAGAGATTGTGCTGTAGACATTTAAAGGAAGTCTCATCTGCCAAATTTATTAAGTAACTAAAATGTGCCCCGTACTGCTCTAGCAGCTGAAAATGCAACAATGAACTAAACAGACAAGACTGGTTAGTTTCCACTGGTGGCAAACCAATGTTTCTCTAATTTTTTTTTCCCCATCGCACATAGAGTTCTCTGATACTTCACATTAAGTTTGAACAGCCAGTTTCTTAATTTTTTCTTCAAAAAGGAGAGAATATAATGTGTATTACTTTGTTCACACACTGCTAATACAGACATACCTGACACTGGGTAATTTATAAAGGAAAGAGGTTTAATTGGCTCACAGTTCAGCATGTCTGGGGAGGCCTCAGGAAACTTACAGTCATGGCAGAAGGGGAAGCATACACGTCCTTCTTTACACGGCGGCATCAGGTAGAGGTACCAAGCAAAAGGAGAAAAGCCCCTTTAAATTATCAGATCTCGTGAGAACTCATTATCAAGAGAACAGCATGAGGGTAACCGCCCCCATGATTCAATTACCTCCCACAGGATCCCTCCCCCAACAGGTGGAGATTATGAGAACTGCAATTCAAGATGAGATTTGGGCAGGGACACAGCCAAACCATATCATAATGTGTTATAAAATCACCTCAGTTTTTGTTTTATTTGAGGGAATTATTATCTAAAGCACCAGTGATTAAGAAGGGTGATGTGGTTACTGCTACAAAAATGTCAAAGATAGGCAGAGAAACTCGCTATGGTACTCAGCAAACCAAACATCAAACATCTGCCCTGAATCTATCTTTGGGACTACACAGTTAATGGTATAAAATATTAAGACTCACCTCTAGACACTAAGAGGTGTTATGTTGCATAGTAAGTACTGATGGAGCCTCTGGATGTTTTGAATCGGAACCCCCATCCGGAAGCCACAGGCACACAGGCAATTGACTCCCGAAAACAAACAAACAAAAAATGTTTTTGATATTCTGTGTTTGTGAAAAGTTCTCTTGCTTGTCATCACAAAGTCACTTGCAATCAGGGAGTCAATTTGTATTCAAGAGGTTGTCTTTCTATCAGCAAATGGTTTATAGGCACTTTCACTAAATTGTTTCTCTAAAAGAAATAGACAGGATCTCATCTGCATTGGCTTAAGGATATCTCTTCCTGAAGACAGAGGCATGGCCTACATGACCCTTAAGAACTCTTTATGCCT